>NC_000005.10:10000-1260000 GCF_000001405.40 Homo sapiens | reverse complement strand
GTCCACTCCCTCTCCTGTGGGCTTCTGTGTCCACTCCCCCTCTCCTGTGGGCGTCCACACCCCCTCTCCTGTGGGCATCCGCATCCACTCCCTCTCCTGTGGGCATCTGTGTCCACTCCCTCTCTCCTGTGGTTGTCCGTGTCCACTCCCCCCTCCTGTGGGCGTCCGCGTCCACTCCCTCTCCTGTGGGCATCTGCATCCACTCCCTCTCTCCTGTGGGCGTCTGTGTCCACTCCCCCTCTCCTGTGGGCATCCGCGTCCACTCCCTCTTCTGTGGGCATCTGCATCCACTCGTCTCTCCTGTGGGCGTCCGTGTCCACTCCCCCTCTCCTGTGGGCATCTGCGTCCACTCCCTCTCTCCTGTGGGCATCCGTGTCCACTCCCCCTCTCCTGTGGGCATCCATGTCCACTCCCTCTCCTGTGGGCATCTGCGTCCACTCCCTCTCCTGTGGGCATCTGCGTCTGCTCCCTCTCTCCTGTGGGCGTCCGTGTCCACTCCCCCCTCCTGTGGGCGTCCGCGTCCACTCCCTCTCCTGTGGGCATCTGCGTCCGCTCCCTCTCTCCTGTGGGCGTCCGTGTCCACTCCCCCCTCCTGTGGGCGTCCGCATCCACTCCCTCTCCTGTGGGCATCTGCGTCTGCTCCCTCTCTCCTGTGGGCGTCCATGTCCACTCCCTCTCCTGTGGGCATCTGCGTCCACTCCCTCTCCTGTGGGCATCCGCGTCCACTCCCTCTCCTGTGGGCATCTGCATCCACTCCATCTCCTGTGGGCATCCACGTCCACTCCCTCTCCTGTGTGCATCTGCATCCACTCCACTCCCCCTCTCCTGTGGGCATCCGCGTCCACTCCCTCTCCTGTGGGCATCTGCATCCACTCCCTCTCTCCTGTGGGCGTCCGTGTCCACTCCCCCTCTCCTGTGGGCATTTACATCCACTCCATTCCCTCTCTCCTGTGGGCGTCTGTGTCCACTCCCCCTCTCCTGTGGGCATTTACATCCACTCCACTCCCTCTCTCCTGTGGGCATCCGCGTCCACTCCCCCTCTCTGTGGGCATCTGCGTCCACCTCCCCTCTCTGTGGGCATTTGCGTCCACTCCCTCTCCTGGTTCCTTCCTGTCTTGGCCGAGCCTCGGGGGCAGGCAGATGACACAGAGTCTTGACTCGCCCAGGGTGGTTCGCAGCTGCCGGGTGAGGGCCAGGCCGGATTTCACTGGGAAGAGGGATAGTTTCTTGTCAAAATGTTCCTCTTTCTTGTTCCATCTGAATGGATGATAAAGCAAAAAGTAAAAACTTAAAATCCCAGAGAGGTTTCTACCGTTTCTCACTCTTTCTTGGCGACTCTAGGTGAACAGCCTCCAGACGGTGTGCACCAACATCTACAAGATCCTCCTGCTGCAGGCGTACAGGTGAGCCGCCACCAAGGGGTGCAGGCCCAGCCTCCAGGGACCCTCCGCGCTCTGCTCACCTCTGACCCGGGGCTTCACCTTGGAACTCCTGGGTTTTAGGGGCAAGGAATGTCTTACGTTTTCAGTGGTGCTGCTGCCTGTGCACAGTTCTGTTCGCGTGGCTCTGTGCAAAGCACCTGTTCTCCATCTCTGGGTAGTGGTAGGAGCCGGTGTGGCCCCAGGTGTCCCCACTGTGCCTGTGCACTGGCCGTGGGACGTCATGGAGGCCATCCCAGGGCAGCAGGGGCATGGGGTAAAGAGATGTTTATGGGGAGTCTTAGCAGAGGAGGCTGGGAAGGTGTCTGAACAGTAGATGGGAGATCAGATGCCCGGAGGATTTGGGGTCTCAGCAAAGAGGGCCGAGGTGGGTGCAGGTGAGGGTCGCTGGCCCCACCCCCGGGAAGGTGCAGCAGAGCTGTGGCTCCCCACACAGCCCGGCCAGCACCTGTGCTCTGGGCATGGCTGTGCTCCTGGAACGTTCCCTGTCCTGGCTGGTCAGGGGGTGCCCCTGCCAAGAATCGACAACTTTATCACAGAGGGAAGGGCCAATCTGTGGAGGCCACAGGGCCAGCTTCTGCCTGGAGTCAGGGCAGGTGGTGGCACAAGCCTCGGGGCTGTACCAAAGGGCAGTCGGGCACCACAGGCCCGGGCCTCCACCTCAACAGGCCTCCCGAGCCACTGGGAGCTGAATGCCAGGAGGCCGAAGCCCTCGCCCCATGAGGGCTGAGAAGGAGTGTGAGCATTTGTGTTACCCAGGGCCGAGGCTGCGCGAATTACCGTGCACACTTGATGTGAAATGAGGTCGTCGTCTATCGTGGAAACCCAGCAAGGGCTCACGGGAGAGTTTTCCATTACAAGGTCGTACCATGAAAATGGTTTTTAACCCGAGTGCTTGCGCCTTCATGCTCTGGCAGGGAGGGCAGAGCCACAGCTGCATGTTACCGCCTTTGCACCAGCTCCAGAGGCTTGGGACCAGGCTGTCTCAGTTCCAGGGTGCGTCCGGCTCAGACCGCCCTCCTCTCTGCCTTCTCTCTCTGCCTCAAATCTTCCCTCGTTTGCATCTCCCTGACGCGTGCCTGGGCCCTCGTGCAAGCTGCTTGACTCCTTTCCGGAAACCCTTGGGGTGTGCTGGATACAGGTGCCACTGAGGACTGGAGGTGTCTGACACTGTGGTTGACCCCAGGGTCCAGCTGGCGTGCTTGGGGCCTCCTTGGGCCATGATGAGGTCAGAGGAGTTTTCCCAGGTGAAAACTCCTGGGAAACTCCCAGGGCCATGTGACCTGCCACCTGCTCCTCCCATATTCAGCTCAGTCTTGTCCTCATTTCCCCACCAGGGTCTCTAGCTCCGAGGAGCTCCCGTAGAGGGCCTGGGCTCAGGGCAGGGCGGCTGAGTTTCCCCACCCATGTGGGGACCCTTGGGTAGTCGCTTGATTGGGTAGCCCTGAGGAGGCCGAGATGCGATGGGCCACGGGCCGTTTCCAAACACAGAGTCAGGCACGTGGAAGGCCCAGGAATCCCCTTCCCTCGAGGCAGGAGTGGGAGAACGGAGAGCTGGGCCCCGATTTCACGGCAGCCAGGCTGCAGTGGGCGAGGCTGTGGTGGTCCACGTGGCGCTGGGGGCGGGGTCTGATTCAAATCCGCTGGGGCTCGGCCTTCCTGGCCCGTGCTGGCCGCGCCTCCACACGGGCTTGGGGTGGACGCCCCGACCTCTAGCAGGTGGCTATTTCTCCCTTTGGAAGAGAGCCCCTCACCCATGCTAGGTGTTTCCCTCCTGGGTCAGGAGCGTGGCCGTGTGGCAACCCCGGGACCTTAGGCTTATTTATTTGTTTAAAAACATTCTGGGCCTGGCTTCCGTTGTTGCTAAATGGGGAAAAGACATCCCACCTCAGCAGAGTTACTGAGAGGCTGAAACCGGGGTGCTGGCTTGACTGGTGTGATCTCAGGTCATTCCAGAAGTGGCTCAGGAAGTCAGTGAGACCAGGTACATGGGGGGCTCAGGCAGTGGGTGAGATGAGGTACACGGGGGGCTCAGGCAGTGGGTGAGGCCAGGTACATGGGGGGCTCAGGCACTGGGTGAGATGAGGTACACGGGGGGCTCAGGCAGAGGGTCAGACCAGGTACACGGGGGCTCTGATCACACGCACATATGAGCACATGTGCACATGTGCTGTTTCATGGTAGCCAGGTCTGTGCACACCTGCCCCAAAGTCCCAGGAAGCTGAGAGGCCAAAGATGGAGGCTGACAGGGCTGGCGCGGTGGCTCACACCTGTAGTCCCAGCACTTTGGGAGGCCGAGGCGAGAGGATCCCTTGAGCCCAGGAGTTTAAGACCAGCCTGAGCAACATAGTAGAACCCCATCTCTATGAAAAATAAAAACAAAAATTAGCTGAGCATGGTGGTGTGCGCCTGTAGTTCCAATACTTGGGAGGCTGAAGTGGGAGGATCACTTGAGCCCAGGAGGTGGAAGCTGCAGTGAGCTGAGATTGCACCACTGTACTGCAGCCTGGGTGACAGAGTGAGAGCCCATCTCAACAACAACAAAGAAGACTGACAAATGCAGTTTCTTGGAAAGAAACATTTAGTAGGAACTTAACCTACACACAGAAGCCAAGTCGGTGTCTCGGTGTCAGTGAGATGAGATGATGGGTCCTCACACCATCACCCCAGACCCAGGGTTTATGCACCACAGGGGCGGGTGGCTCAGAAGGGATGCGCAGGACGTTGATATACGATGACATCAAGGTTGTCTGACGAAGGGCAGGATTCATGATAAGTACCTGCTGGTACACAAGGAACAATGGATAAACTGGAAACCTTAGAGGCCTTCCCGGAACAGGGGCTAATCAGAAGCCAGCATGGGGGGCTGGCATCCAGGATGGAGCTGCTTCAGCCTCCACATGCGTGTTCATACAGATGGTGCACAGAAACGCAGTGTACCTGTGCACACACAGACACGCAGCTACTCGCACACACAAGCACACACACAGACATGCATGCATGCATCCGTGTGTGTGCACCTGTGCCCATGAGGAAACCCATGCATGTGCATTCATGCACGCACACAGGCACCGGTGGGCCCATGCCCACACCCACGAGCACCGTCTGATTAGGAGGCCTTTCCTCTGACGCTGTCCGCCATCCTCTCAGGTTTCACGCATGTGTGCTGCAGCTCCCATTTCATCAGCAAGTTTGGAAGAACCCCACATTTTTCCTGCGCGTCATCTCTGACACGGCCTCCCTCTGCTACTCCATCCTGAAAGCCAAGAACGCAGGTATGTGCAGGTGCCTGGCCTCAGTGGCAGCAGTGCCTGCCTGCTGGTGTTAGTGTGTCAGGAGACTGAGTGAATCTGGGCTTAGGAAGTTCTTACCCCTTTTCGCATCAGGAAGTGGTTTAACCCAACCACTGTCAGGCTCGTCTGCCCGCCCTCTCGTGGGGTGAGCAGAGCACCTGATGGAAGGGACAGGAGCTGTCTGGGAGCTGCCATCCTTCCCACCTTGCTCTGCCTGGGGAAGCGCTGGGGGGCCTGGTCTCTCCTGTTTGCCCCATGGTGGGATTTGGGGGGCCTGGCCTCTCCTGTTTGCCCTGTGGTGGGATTGGGCTGTCTCCCGTCCATGGCACTTAGGGCCCTTGTGCAAACCCAGGCCAAGGGCTTAGGAGGAGGCCAGGCCCAGGCTACCCCACCCCTCTCAGGAGCAGAGGCCGCGTATCACCACGACAGAGCCCCGCGCCGTCCTCTGCTTCCCAGTCACCGTCCTCTGCCCCTGGACACTTTGTCCAGCATCAGGGAGGTTTCTGATCCGTCTGAAATTCAAGCCATGTCGAACCTGCGGTCCTGAGCTTAACAGCTTCTACTTTCTGTTCTTTCTGTGTTGTGGAAATTTCACCTGGAGAAGCCGAAGAAAACATTTCTGTCGTGACTCCTGCGGTGCTTGGGTCGGGACAGCCAGAGATGGAGCCACCCCGCAGACCGTCGGGTGTGGGCAGCTTTCCGGTGTCTCCTGGGAGGGGAGCTGGGCTGGGCCTGTGACTCCTCAGCCTCTGTTTTCCCCCAGGGATGTCGCTGGGGGCCAAGGGCGCCGCCGGCCCTCTGCCCTCCGAGGCCGTGCAGTGGCTGTGCCACCAAGCATTCCTGCTCAAGCTGACTCGACACCGTGTCACCTACGTGCCACTCCTGGGGTCACTCAGGACAGGCAAGTGTGGGTGGAGGCCAGTGCGGGCCCCACCTGCCCAGGGGTCATCCTTGAACGCCCTGTGTGGGGCGAGCAGCCTCAGATGCTGCTGAAGTGCAGACGCCCCCGGGCCTGACCCTGGGGGCCTGGAGCCACGCTGGCAGCCCTATGTGATTAAACGCTGGTGTCCCCAGGCCACGGAGCCTGGCAGGGTCCACAACTTCTTGAACCCCTGCTTCCCATCTCAGGGGCGATGGCTCCCCACGCTTGGGAGCCTTCTGACCCCTGACCTGTGTCCTCTCACAGCCTCTTCCCTGGCTGCTGCCCTGAGCTCCTGGGGTCCTGAGCAAGTTCTCTCCCCGCCCCGCCGCTCCAGCGTCACTGGGCTGCCTGTCTGCTCGCCCCGGTGGAGGGGTGTCTGTCCCTTCACTGAGGTTCCCACCAGCCAGGGCCACGAGGTGCAGGCCCTGCCTGCCCGGCCACCCACACGTCCTAGGAGGGTTGGAGGATGCCACCTCTGGCCTCTTCTGGAACGGAGTCTGATTTTGGCCCCGCAGCCCAGACGCAGCTGAGTCGGAAGCTCCCGGGGACGACGCTGACTGCCCTGGAGGCCGCAGCCAACCCGGCACTGCCCTCAGACTTCAAGACCATCCTGGACTGATGGCCACCCGCCCACAGCCAGGCCGAGAGCAGACACCAGCAGCCCTGTCACGCCGGGCTCTACGTCCCAGGGAGGGAGGGGCGGCCCACACCCAGGCCCGCACCGCTGGGAGTCTGAGGCCTGAGTGAGTGTTTGGCCGAGGCCTGCATGTCCGGCTGAAGGCTGAGTGTCCGGCTGAGGCCTGAGCGAGTGTCCAGCCAAGGGCTGAGTGTCCAGCACACCTGCCGTCTTCACTTCCCCACAGGCTGGCGCTCGGCTCCACCCCAGGGCCAGCTTTTCCTCACCAGGAGCCCGGCTTCCACTCCCCACATAGGAATAGTCCATCCCCAGATTCGCCATTGTTCACCCCTCGCCCTGCCCTCCTTTGCCTTCCACCCCCACCATCCAGGTGGAGACCCTGAGAAGGACCCTGGGAGCTCTGGGAATTTGGAGTGACCAAAGGTGTGCCCTGTACACAGGCGAGGACCCTGCACCTGGATGGGGGTCCCTGTGGGTCAAATTGGGGGGAGGTGCTGTGGGAGTAAAATACTGAATATATGAGTTTTTCAGTTTTGAAAAAAATCTCATGTTTGAATCCTAATGTGCACTGCATAGACACCACTGTATGCAATTACAGAAGCCTGTGAGTGAACGGGGTGGTGGTCAGTGCGGGCCCATGGCCTGGCTGTGCATTTACGGAAGTCTATGAGTGAATGGGGTTGTGGTCAGTGCGGGCCCATGGCCTGGCTGGGCCTGGGAGGTTTCTGATGCTGTGAGGCAGGAGGGGAAGGAGGGTAGGGGATAGACAGTGGGAGCCCCCACCCTGGAAGACATAACAGTAAGTCCAGGCCCGAAGGGCAGCAGGGATGCTGGGGGCCCAGCTTGGGCGGCGGGGATGATGGAGGGCCTGGCCAGGGTGGCAGGGATGATGGGGGCCCCAGCTGGGGTGGCAGGGGTGATGGGGGGGGCTGGTCTGGGTGGCGGGGAAGATGGGGAAGCCTGGCTGGGCCCCCTCCTCCCCTGCCTCCCACCTGCAGCCGTGGATCCGGATGTGCTTCCCTGGTGCACATCCTCTGGGCCATCAGCTTTCATGGAGGTGGGGGGCAGGGGCATGACACCATCCTGTATAAAATCCAGGATTCCTCCTCCTGAACGCCCCAACTCAGGTTGAAAGTCACATTCCGCCTCTGGCCATTCTCTTAAGAGTAGACCAGGATTCTGATCTCTGAAGGGTGGGTAGGGTGGGGCAGTGGAGGGTGTGGACACAGGAGGCTTCAGGGTGGGGCTGGTGATGCTCTCTCATCCTCTTATCATCTCCCAGTCTCATCTCTCATCCTCTTATCATCTCCCAGTCTCATCTGTCTTCCTCTTATCTCCCAGTCTCATCTGTCATCCTCTTACCATCTCCCAGTCTCATCTCTTATCCTCTTATCTCCTAGTCTCATCCAGACTTACCTCCCAGGGCGGGTGCCAGGCTCGCAGTGGAGCTGGACATACGTCCTTCCTCAGGCAGAAGGAACTGGAAGGATTGCAGAGAACAGGAGGGGCGGCTCAGAGGGACGCAGTCTTGGGGTGAAGAAACAGCCCCTCCTCAGAAGTTGGCTTGGGCCACACGAAACCGAGGGCCCTGCGTGAGTGGCTCCAGAGCCTTCCAGCAGGTCCCTGGTGGGGCCTTATGGTATGGCCGGGTCCTACTGAGTGCACCTTGGACAGGGCTTCTGGTTTGAGTGCAGCCCGGACGTGCCTGGTGTCGGGGTGGGGGCTTATGGCCACTGGATATGGCGTCATTTATTGCTGCTGCTTCAGAGAATGTCTGAGTGACCGAGCCTAATGTGTTTATGGTGGGCCCAAGTCCACAGACTGTGTCGTAAATGCACTCTGGTGCCTGGAGCCCCCGTATAGGAGCTGTGAGGAAGGAGGGGCTCTTGGCAGCCGGCCTGGGGGCGCCTTTGCCCTGCAAACTGGAAGGGAGCGGCCCCGGGCGCCGTGGGCGGACGACCTCAGTGGGAGGTTGGACAGAACAGGGCGGGGACTCCCAGGAGCAGAGGCCGCTGCTCAGGCACACCTGGGTTTGAATCACAGACCAACAGGTCAGGCCATTGTTCAGCTATCCATCTTCTACAAAGCTCCAGATTCCTGTTTCTCCGGGTGTTTTTTGTTGAAATTTTACTCAGGATTACTTATATTTTTTGCTAAAGTATTAGACCCTTAAAAAAGGTATTTGCTTTGATATGGCTTAACTCACTAAGCACCTACTTTATTTGTCTGTTTTTATTTATTATTATTATTATTATTAGAGATGGTGTCTACTCTGTCACCCAGGTTGTTAGTGCAGTGGCACAGTCATGGCTCGCTGTAGCCGCAAACCCCCAGGCTCAAGTGATCCTCCGGCCTCAGCTTCCCAGAGTGCTGGGATTACAGGTGTGAGCCACTGCCCTTGCCTGGCACTTTTAAAAACCACTATGTAAGGTCAGGTCCAGTGGCTTCCACACCTGTCATCCCAGTAGTTTGGGAAGCCGAGGCAGAAGGATTGTCTGAGGCCAGGAGTTTGAGACCAGCATGGGTAACATAGGGAGACCCCATCTCTACAAAAAATGCAAAAAGTTATCCGGGCGTGGGGTCCAGCATCTGTAGTCCCAGCTGCTCGGGAGGCTGAGTGGGAGGATCGCTTGAGCCCGGGAGGTCATGGCTGCAGTGAGCTGTGATTGTACCATCGCACTCCAGCCTGGGCAACAGAGTGAGACCCTGTCTCAAAAAAAAAAAAAAAAAAAGAAGGAGAAGGAGAAGAGAAGAAGAAGGAAGAAGGAAAGAGAAGAAGAAGGAAGAAGGAAGAAAGAAGGAGAAGGAGGCCTGCTAGGTGCTAGGTAGACTGTCAAATCTCAGAGCAAAATGAAAATAACAAAGTTTTAAAGGGAAAGAAAAACCCCAGCTCTTTGGACTTCCTTAGGCCTGAACTTCATCTCAAGCAGCTTCCTTCCACAGACAAGCGTGTATGGAGCGAGTGAGTTCAAAGCAGAAAGGGAGGAGAAGCAGGCAAGGGTGGAGGCTGTGGGTGACACCAGCCAGGACCCCTGAAAGGGAGTGGTTGTTTTCCTGCCTCAGCCCCACGCTCCTGCCGGTCCTGCACCTGCTGTAACCGTCGATGTTGGTGCCAGGTGCCCACCTGGGAAGGATGCTGTGCAGGGGGCTTGCCAAACTTTGGTGGGTTTCAGAAGCCCCAGGCACTTGTGGCAGGCACAATTACAGCCCCTCCCCAAAGATGCCCACGTCCTTCTCCTGGAACCTGTGAATGTGTCACCCGCAAGGCAGAGGCTGGTGGAGGCTGCAGGTGGAATCACGGCTGCCAGTCAGCCGATCTTAAGGTCATCCTGGATTATCTGGTGGGCCTGATATGGCCACAAGGGTCCCTAGAAGTGAGAGAGGGAGGCAGGGGAGAGTCAGAGAGGGGACGTGAGAAGGACCACTGGCCACTGCTGGCTTTGAGATGGAGGAGGGGGTCCCCAGCCAAGGAATGGGGGCAGCCGCTCCATGCTGGAAAAGCAAGCAATCCTCCCCGGTCCTGAGGGCACACGGCCCTGCCCACGCCTCGATTTCAGGCCAGTGGGACCTGTTTCAGCTTTCCGGCCTCCAGAGCTGTAAGATGATGCGTTTGTGTTCAGCCACTAAGCTGCAGTGATTCGTCACAGCAGCAAATGGAATAGCAGTACAGGGAAATGAATACAGGGACAGTTCTCAGAGTGACTCTCAGCCCACCCCTGGGGATCCTGTGGGACAGCTCAGGTGGAGTTGCTGCCGAGAGGGAGAAAGGAACAGAGACAGTGGGGCTGCCAGCCTCCCTGCGTGCTGGTCACCTGGGGTCATGATGAAATGTGTGTGCTGGGGCAGCAGGGCTCCTGTGCCCATCCAGCTCCAATGGCCGAGGCCGCTGGCGGAGTCCTCACACTGACGGGCAAGGGATGGAGCCTCTTCACCCTGGATCCAGCTTTGACCAGGGCCCCCGGCGAGTGCAGGTCACCCAGGTTTGTGGAGCCTGGTGTTGGGCACTCCGCTGTGGCCTGCAGGAGGGTCGGACAGGTCTCCAAGGTGCCATCTGGATGCACAGGTTCCATGGTCCCATTTCTGCGGCCCCAGAGAGCGAGCATCACGACAGGCCTGGGCCTCACCTCAGCCTCATGCAGGCATGAAAGAACCGAGTCTTGCCGGAGGGGGCCTGGCTGGCTTTCTCCTCTGACACAGCACGAAGCCCCGGGCTCGCCACCTGGAGTGGTAAGTCCCCAGCCCCCAGTGTGGACGGGAGACTCATGCTCCCTGGCCGTGGCAGCGGGGTCCTCTCTGTCAGGTCCAGGCCCACCCTTGCTGGAAGGGGCTGCTTCCCTTGGAGCTGGGTGGGTGAGTCCTGGGGCAGCTCCAGTGCTGACTGCGCCCTCCATGACCTCCCGCCTCACTTCTCCTTCTGCACTTATGTCCTTCACGCATTCTCCCCTGGTTCTTGGTGACCTCAGACTCTCCCCTGAGGATGAGCCCCATCAGGCTTTTGAAAACTGGGCCCTGAACCTCGTTTTCCCATCAAGTGCTCCCTGACTCCTCTGTGCCTGGCAAAGCAGCCTTGGGGTCACCCTCTGCCAGGAACCCGCTCACGGGACAGCCTGTCCTCATGTGACCACCATGGTCATGGGAGCTGTGTCCATCTCTGGGGCCGGCTGGCCTCATTTGCAGCCGGCTTTATTTCCAGTTCAACACGGTGGCCCCTGGAAGGGGAGAGCCCCTGTGGAGCTACAGATCCTCTATTCCAGCCACTTCTGGTCAGGTGATAGGAGCATTTTGTTCCTGTCCCGACACTGGCCAGTCTGAGACACCCGCCCCTGGAATGTTTTTCCCAAGGGTGAGGGACAAGTTGAAGGTGTTGAGCATGGGGCGTGGCCACGCAGGGTCAGTCCCTCCAGTTCTGCTCTCGCCGCCTGGCCCTTGTCTCCCCCTCCCTCGATGGTGCACGGGTACCTCCACAGCCCATGAGGCCTCAGCCCCTGTCCCTGAACAACCTTGGCAATGTGATGGGACAGACCACCTCTGCCTCCCTTTGTGGCGTCCGTCTGTCCACCTGTCATCACCTATTGGGCCACCTCTGTCCCTCCTCCTTTCTACCCACTTTTATCCATGGCTGCATCAGGCACATGGGTGGTGTGGCATTTTCTGGAGGGCTGAGCGTCCACTGTGTCCTCTGTCCCAGCCCCCCACCCCTTCCCTTTTCGTCAGCTGGACAAGGACTCTGAAGCTTCAGGGTGGGGCTATAGATGCTGCTTCTAGCTCCCCCCATACAGAGTGTTGGGCAGAGCCCCAGCCCTCGTTAGGATGTGCTACACCCAAAAGTCTGATCCAGGGTGGGAGCAGGGGGCACCTGCTCACATCCTAGTTATTTTCTAAGTATGGTATTGACGCAAAATGTAACCTCGGATAAGTCTGAGTGGCTTGTCAGCACCCCTGCTGCCAACAGCTGCCTGTTTTTCTCGTCCGGGTCAACGACAGGACTTGCAGGCCCTATGGTGAGTTGGGGAAGGTGTCCCAAGAGCTGCCTTTGGGGACACACGCCCTTGGCAGTGTTTGCTTCTGAGCAGGTTACTCTACCTTTTGCGTCTGTGAGTTGGTGACACCATGGAACGCAGCTGTTGCTTTGGCTTCTGGAGGCTTTCCTTTGGGGAACCACCCCTCCCTCCACTCCACCCTCCAGGCTCTGTGAGTGGGTGACACCATGGAACGCAGCTGTTGCTTTGGCTGCTGGAGGCTTTCCTTTGGGGAAGCACCCCTCCCTCCACCCCACCCTCCAGGCTCTGCAATCACTTTTCCCTGCAATTTCGTGTCTAGACTCTGAAGGGGGAGCATCTCACCCAGATCATGAACCAAAAGGATTTTGGAATGGTCACAGAGACGCCCTACTTAAAAAAGCTGAACAGTGTGGGGAGAGAGTCCCATGGATCCTGTGAACTCCTGGGTCCAGTAGGGCCTGAAGCCCACCCTGAACTTGGCCAGTTCTGAGAGCTGGTGAAGGCCATTTGGTTTGAGTTTGTTTGTGTCAGTTACAATGGAAGAGGCTGGCTATTAGGCCCAAGGCATGGAGTTGTGGCAAGATTGTGAGGCTGAACTGGGGGATGCCAGACTGTCCTCTGCAGCAGCCTTATCTCACAGTGGACTGACTCGCTTTGTGACATGTTCATCCTCAAGTCCCCCTGCCTTACCACCGGTGTGGGGGGCATCACAACTGCAGGACGGAGGGACGAAGTGCAGCACCCCTCTGCTGTGGGCTTGGGACACGCTTAGGTGGGCAGCTTCCCCTGCCGTGGGCTCGGGACACTCTTAGGTGGGCAGCTTCCCCTGCCGTGGGCTCAGGACACGCTTAGGTGGGCAGCTCCCCCCCTGCCGTGGGCTCGGGACACGCTTAGGTGGGCAGCTTCCCCTGCCGTGGGCTCAGGACACGTTTAGGTGGGCAGCTTCCCCCACTGTGGGCTCAGGATGCGCTTGGGTGGGGTGCACTGGCGTTAACTGCATGTTTAGCACTCAGCTTATCTGCAGGTGGGTAGCGGTGCACGTGCTTTTGTTTACTCTGGGCTGGCCTTGGTCAAGGACGGGTTCCCAACAAGAATGCGTGTAATGGACGCTTGGCACCGCGGCCGCGCCTTGATGCTGGGATTTTTCAGCACCACGGACAGTGCTGCCTGGCCAGGCGCCCTTTTCCAAAGCGGGAGCAGGTGCCTTGGGTCTTCACAGGGCCCCTCCCGGCGGCAGGAAGCCAGGACCTGCGGGGCCTCCCTCCGTGTGGCGAGTCAGAGACCTGATCCCTGGCTCCGTGGTGCTGTTGCAGGGGAAGGAGGAGAGGGAAAAGGATGGGGAGGAAAGAGGGAGGAGGAGGGCGGAGGGAACAGAGGGAGAGGGAGGAGGGAAGCACGCGCGTGGCGCCTGGAGCCGGGGTACTCTGGAGCAGGGCGGGCTGGACGGGGGCTGCACAGTGCGCTTGGCGCCCGGGGCGCGGGTGACTGCCCCACGTGAGCGAGCTCCTGCCTGTCGCCCCTCTGCCCCGGGACAGCAGGAGCCTTTTGGTACCTCCTTAATACAGTTTGACAGTTTGGGAAAATAAAAGTGGCAACCTACAGTGTTTCTCAGAAATTTCAGGAAGGGTCAGCCAGACCGCAGACTCCAGACCCCAGGCCCCCGCTCCCAGGCGGGAGGAAGCATCTGTCCTGGGTACCCCTGCCGCCTGCGAGCTGTAGGGGGACAGCCCGCCTGGGACCTGGAGCCGGGGTGCAGGCGGCCCCCTGAGCCACCCGGGCGGCCGCTCTTCCCCAGAGACCAGCCAGGCTAGGTTCAGAGTCTGTGAGACCGGGAGCCCCGCACCTGCGAAGATCCCTGAGCCAGCCCGGCCAAGCGCAGGGACCTCAGCCGCTGCAGGACGCCCAGGCCGCGGGCTCAGCAGGGATGCCGGGGCCCTGCGAGACCTCCCTAGGGGCGGGCCCCAAGCAGCAGCGCTGCCCGGGCGTCAGGAAAGCAGTAACCACACGTACACAGCGGCATCAAGGTTGAGTCGCTGGTGTATTGGGGTCGGCCCTGTGGGCGGGGCCCCGCCCACCATCAGGCCAAGCCCCCCCACAGACCCGCCCATGCAGGCCCCGCTCCGGCCGGCTTCAGCGCATGTCCGTGTCCGGGCGCATGTCCGTGTCTGGGCGCGTGTCCGTGTCCGGGCGCATGTCCGTGTCTGGGCGCGCGTCCCTGTCCCTCCACGTCCGCCTCCGCCGGGTGAGCAGCTGAGCAAGCGCGGCCACCGGGACCCACAGCACGGGCAGCAAGGACAGCAGCACACAGGCGGCGCGCGCCCAGCCCGGGTAGAGCTTCTCCTGACGCGAGGGGAACAGCTCCTGCGGGACCACAGCCTCATTAGCTGGCGCCGGCCACCCTGGGCCGTGAGGCTGACCCCCGTGCTCCTCAATCCAAGGGGCAAGAGCCACCTGCCCACCCGGACTTGGATGGGAATGGAAAAGGCACGGCCAGAGCAGTGGCCAGGCCGTGTGGCCGCTCACCACCGCCCCTCCGGGCCAGGAGTTTGGGGACCTGGGCTGAGCTTCTCCTGGGGCTGGGGCCTCCCCGAGGTAGGCCTAGGTGTTGTGTTCTGGAACCAGAGGGGCTACATGGCCTCAACCCATTGGGCGTCGTTGGAGGCCGTGTCCCCAGCTTTCTCCCCTATACACTGGGTGGCACCACCCACCCGGCTGCAGGTACCGTGGAAATTCTTCAAAAATACATGGTCACTCCTCCTTCACCTGCCCTTGGTGTTCTGCTACGGAGGGACTTTCCAAGACACATTTGGAGAGGAGTGGCGTCCACATTCCCGAGAAGGGGTGGCATGGTGAGGTTTTGAGCGGCCACCAGTGGGGACTCAGATGGTATGTCAGGGGCTGGCGCTGCTTGGAGCCCCTGAGGCGTTTTCGGAGTGTGGCTGGCACTCTGATCTCTCCTCGGGAGGCTTTTGTGTGGAAACGGCCTCCAGCCAAACTGACCCACTGGGTGGCAGTAGGGGTCTGTGCACAACCTCTCTTGTCACAGACCAGGAATGGGCCGTTGTCCGGCTGCCCGTCCCCATGCCACATGGGCAGGACACAGGCAGGGAGGATGAAGCCACATCCCCAAGGAGGAGCTCCAGGGCCCTGTGGGGTCCCTGGGCTCTGGGCACTGCTCAGGTCCTCACTCCACTGACCAGGCGCTTGCCCATGGTCACCCCCATGCCATTTCTGATCCCAGCGGGCACTCGGGCGCTGCACAAAGCCCATCCTGTTCACATCCCTGGCTTCCCAGTTTGCCAGGCAGAAGTGACCACGCCACCTTGTCACTAGCACGTGAATGTGCACCGCATGGGTCGTCGGGCACCGGATGGCACCGTAGGGGCCAGACCAAGCCCGAGGGGTCCCAGGACTTCCCAGGTTCCCACCGGAAGGACCTACGTATTTGGGGTTCCAGGCCTTGTATCTCAGTGGCTTCCAGAACAGGAGGATGATGTAAGCCACAAAGATGGTCAGCAGCAGGGGACTGACCACCCTCCAGGTCAGCCGCCAGTAGGGGCTGGGCCGCCTCCCGGTCATCCACGCAATGTCATCGCAGAACCTGCACCAGATGCTGGGCTCAGGCTTCACATGGTCTGTGGAAGGTCCACCCACTCCAAGCCGAGGATCGGACCCTAACTGGGGTCCAACCTGCACCCTCTGGTGCCTCGGCAGCTCCCCAGGGCAGAACATTCTCGGCGGTCTGGGCAGCTGCGGGTTGAACCTGTGCCCGGCAGCCATTCCCTGTCCCACCCTGGTGGGTCCCAGAGGAGCACTCGGCGGGGCGGCAGCTCACCGTTTCATTCCATAAACATAAACGACACCCACAACCTCGAGAAAGGCCAACATGAGCAGGTTCGGGGAAGCGGCAAAATTGTCGAAAATCTCCAGCCAGTAGTTCCCAGACTGCAGCGTGAAGCAGGTGGCGGAGAGGAAGCAGACCAGGCAGACCAGCCCTGGGGCAGTGGGAAAGGGGTGTGGGGGGTAAGGGGATGGGGAGTGGAGGTGTGGGGAGGGTCAGGAGGAAGCCAGCCAGGCAGACCTGCCCTCGGACAGCGGGGAGGGCCAGGGCACCTGGGCTGGAGACTTCTCTCGGCTTCCCACCCTCCATCCCTGCCCTCCCCAGTCTCTTTCCTGTATTGTGCTCAAGGAGCAGGAAGGACCTGCTTTCCTGCTCCAGATGGGGGATGTGGCCTCCGGGGCCGTGGGGGAGGGGCAGCCCTGACCCTCCCTCGACCCTCGGCTCTCCGTTGATGGCTGTCAGCAAGGAGTAGCCTGGCTCAGCCTTTCCCTGAACTCAGGCTTGGCCCCTTGCGCTCTCCATCCAGGAGGGGCGTCTGGACAGCGGGCGGGAGTGGACAGTCAGATGCTGGGGACGGGTCCTCCAGGGCGGCGGAGCTGTGCGCTCACCAGTCAGGGCCTCCTTGGGGACCCATCTAGGCAGGACCCCCACGTCCAGCAGGGGTGTGATGACCGCCTCCACGGTCCCGAACATGGTCGATAGCCCCAAGGTGAACAGCATCCCGAAGAAGAGCATGGCCCACACAGGAGCCCCCGGCATGTGGAGGTCGGTCTCCGTGAAGACGACGAAGGCCAGGCCCGGGCCCGAGGCACTCTGCAATACACGGAGCCCCGGGCTTCAGGCCACGCACACACACACTCCACCACACACACACGCCTGCCTGCAGGACACACACTCTCCCAGGCCGAGGACACGAGTGCACATCACCCCTCCTGGTGTCGGGCTGAGGTGGCTCAGGGCTGGCCATGCCTTCTGGGAGACGAGGCTGCAAGCGCAACTCTGCAGGGGAGGGTCCTTCCCCTTTAATAACCCACAGCAGGCAGCTGGGCCTAGAAACCAGCGCCTTTTATGCCTAGAGTCAGGCACCCTGAGATGCATCCCACACCTGCCTCCTGGCTGTGCCCCCCTGCCTGGTGCCCCTAGGTCCAGGCATACACTGGCCCTGAGTGTGGCTTGACCCCAGCCATGCCCTGGCACTGTGACCCTCATGCTGGCCACCCCCTCTCCTGGGGTCTGGGCACCAGCAATGCCCACTCTCTCGGGTCAGCCCAACCCCCAAGACTGCTGGGTGCAGCGTCTGCTGGACACAGCTGCCCCCAGGACTTCGGGCTTTCCAGGAGGCCTGGCAACCTGAGACAAAGATAGACTGGGGTTCTTGGTTCACAGGCCCTGGCCCTGGGTCTGTGGGAATTGTTTGCAGCCTTTGGCAGTGGGACACAGCCAGTGCGGCCCTGGTGCTCCTGTGGACGGCCCTGCCTGGCTACCCCAGGGGGTGTGCAGGTACCTTATCCAGAAAGTCTTCCAGGAGGCAGGCCTTCAGGGGGAGCTGGGCCACCCTCTTGGGCCAGGTGGCGTTCAGGTGCATGAGGACGGCTGGGTAGTCGTCCCTGGAGATGCTCTGCTCTGGGAAGTCAAAGTCGTTGATGAGGCTGAGGATGTTTCTGCGGGGACAGAGAGGACTGTGGGCTCATGGCCCTGGTTCCCAAACACATCCAGAGAAACCCTTGGTTGGTGCTGCGAAGCACAGCATCCCTGGGAGGGCTGGGCCCCTCCTGCCCCTGTTGGGATCGTGTGGGCCCCTCCTGCCCCTGTTGGGATCGTGTGGACGCCTCCTGCCCCTGTTGGGATCGTGTGGACGCCTCCTGCCCCTGTTGGGATCGTGTGGACGCCTCCTGCCCCTGTTGGGATCGTGTGGACGCCTCCTGCCCCTGTTGGGATCGTGTGGACGCCTCCTGCCCCTGTTGGGATCGTGTGGACGCCTCCTGCCCCTGTTGGGATCGTGTGGACGCCTCCTGCCCCTGTTGGGATCGTGTGGACGTCTGTGCTGTGACAGGGCGGCACTGGTAGGGGCATGGTTTACTCCATGCACACTGCCGGGTGAGGGGAGAAGCTGTTCTCTACCCCCCTGGGTTTGGAAGGGGAGCACTCCCCCATGGGTGCAAAGGGGGTGGGGGTGGTGGCAGCTTCCTCACTTCGAAGGTGGGTCCTGATTCGCCCTGTGGGGCCGCCCTGCAGACAAGGACCTGGGCTTCTGAAGGTTTGCTGGGAGGACTTCAGCCCACCCGCCCACCCTTCTGTCTCCACTGCCAAAGGCTCCTTCTGTCCTCAGGGCTTAAGGTTCAAGCACAGACAGCCAAGGGCGGGACACATGGATACCAGCAAACACCTTTTTGGGGCTCCAGCTATTCCTAGAACAATCCTGAAGAGAGAGACCTCGCTCCCCTCACTTCTAGCCCCATGTGGCACACGAGGCCAGCTTGGGCTGCACGGCGCAGGGCGTTGTGCGCACGGCTGGTCCTTATCCGCCTGCTCATTGAGATGTGCTTGTAACCCCGTCAATATTTGCGCACTTTTACAGTTACTTGCGACATTCAGAGTGAGCAGAAATCAGAGTTGCCCGCCATGCACGTCCCCGGCTGGGGCTGAACAAAGCCCAGCTCTGCCTTCTTGACCCGGCTCATCCTGTAAATCCTATAAATCACCGTCCTCCCTGACCCGGCTCATCCTGTAAAACACTGTCCCTTCTGTGGCCTGTGAGTGCCATGTTTTCCACTTTTGTGTGCGTTTTCTTGGTGACGTCCCCGTTGAAAAGTGCCATCAGGTGCAGTGCTGACGTGCTGCCCTGCTCCCAAGCACAGGAGGCTGGGGTTGGAACACTCAGGGCTGGTCACTCTCTGGGTGGGGCCGTCCTGGACACTGTAGGGTGCTGCGAGGTATCCTCGGCCTCCACCCACTGGATGCCAGGCACACCCCTCACACAAGTGTGGCCAATCAAAAATGTCTCCATATACTGCCAGATGTACCCTGGTGGGGTCAGAGTCACCCCATGTTGCAGGGACGTGCTGTCTGCCCAGTGGGTTCTCAAGGACCCACCTGAAGGTAGTTCACAAGCAAGTTGGGTGCTCTAAGAGGGCCGTGGGTCTGACGAGGCAGCTGCCTGTGCAGGGGACAACCTAACTGCATCAGGTCCTGGGACCACCGCAGCAAACGACCAGCAATGGTGCCTCAAAACCACGGGAAATCATCCTCTCCCGTTCCGGAGTACTGTGACATCTGAAATCCCAGTGTGGCCAGGCCGCGCCCCTCCTGAGCCTGCACGGGAGACTCCTCCCGCCTCTTCCAGCTTCTGCACCTTCAGGCATCCCTGGGCTGTGGCCACAAGCGCTGCGACCTCTGCCTGTCTTCACGTGGCCTCCTCCTCTGTGTCTGTCTCCTCTTCTTATAAGGACTGTGGTTATTGGATTTAGGGCCTACCCTACTCCAGAGAGACCGATCCTACTTAATTACATCTGCAAAGACCCTTTTCCAACCAGGTCACATTCTGAAGTTTTGGGTGGAAGTGACCTTCTGGGGACACCATTCACTCCACACCCCTACAGAAATGAAATGTGCCCACGCCACCCTTCCTCATGCCTTGGGATTCTCGGTGCGGCAGGCACCTGTCTGGCGGCTGTGCCCCACAGAGCCAGGCGCGGCACCTGTGCTCACCTGTCCAGGCAGTGCTCGTAGTCATTAGTTGCTTTGAACCCCAGGACAGAGAAGACAGCGATGGACGCGTACAGGGAGGTCATCCTGTTGACCAGGGCGATGACCACCGCATCCTTCTGGCAGTCATTCCTGGGCACAAACGCACGCTCATCACAGGCTTTGCAGGAGGTAACTGGGCCTCATCCAGGGGAGGAAGTGAGGAGGGGGCTTCCCTCCTTGACCCTCTCTCCCGCCTGGGATGCCCCTTCTCTGACCCAAGGGCTGCTGCTGCCAGTCCTGGAGTCTCAGAATGGCCTCAGATCCCCCCAACAGTCTACTCCAGCAGCCCCAGCTCAAGGCTGCTAAGGGTCTGAAACCCATTCACACCCCCACCAAGGCCTTTAGGCCCACAGGGAGCTGAGAGGCAGGGCATTCATAGAGGATCTGAAATGTACATGTTTTGGAAAATCATCTCCAAAGGAGAAACGCACACAAGTGCAGCTCCAGTGTGAGTTCAAGGAAGTAAGGTGTCGATCACAAACATTTAAAGCTTCCCTGGCGTCCCAGCTGGCACTTCCTTCCCTAAAGGCCGCCAGCGGGCAGAGCTGCCCAGGGACCAACCTGCCTCTCCCATCTCATGCAAACTGCCTGCCTCCGAAGGGGGCAGAAATACTGGCAGCCACGGGAAATAAGGCTTGTTTCAGGTTCATCACAGTGCACTGGGCTATGCACTTTATGATCCGTGGAATTGCACTTTGTAGGGATCTGTGCATATTAAGATATCATAAAAGCAGCACCTGCTCATGTCGGCACCAACGGGCCTTGAGTCTATTTCAGGTGACCATTGAGGCTTTTATGGCCCCACGTGTCATGTGCATTTTGATTGGTATCGTGCCCAGTTACACCCTGGTTCCTGGGTGTGATTATCCAGGCTGTCTTCCTGCAGCCAGCTCCGGACGTGCTGGGAGCTGCCGTGAGGGCCCAGACTGTGGCGTGAGGTTCTTATCTCAGGTTCACACAAGGCCACCCTTGGATCCACAGTGTGATCCTGAGATCAGGAAGTGCTCGGGCGTCTCCCCAAAGCTTCCCTGGCTGGACAGCTGAGCCCGACTGCCTACCTGGGCGAGTTGTAACTTGCAAAAGCGATGTGTCCTCCGAAGGCCAGGGACAGAGAGAAGAATATCTGGGTGGCTGCGTCCAGCCACACCCGGGGGTTCTGGAGAATGTGCATCTGGAATGAGTCAGGGAGAGCGTCTCACTCAGCAGGCAAACCACATGAGCTGGTGGCCCTGACTGTTCCAGAACGTTCCCAAGGTGGCTTTGGGGACACTCGTGAGCAAGTGTGACCTGTACAGACACCAGGAACAGGGTAGGACCACGCAGGTGTGCAGGTGTGGAGTGGCAGCTCTGTACACGGCAAATGCCAGGCCCCTGTCCGGGATGTGGCCGAATGAGCCGGTGGCTGTCAGGCGCACATGAGAACGTAGCTGGCAGGTTTTTTGGGGCTGGAGATGGGTTTGAGCAGCTCCTGCATGGGCATGTTTACTGTGCCCTCTCTAACCGGGCGGTTCTGGGTGATTTGAAGCCCCGAGGGCAGGGATGCCATGCACGGAGCCTGGCTTTTCTGCTTCTGGGGCCTGGGAAGGTGTCCTCTGTCTTTTGCTAGGACTCCGGGCAGACATGCCCATACCCAGGTGCCCACTCCCACACCAGCCCCTGGAAACTGCCTCGGGATGCTGGGCAGGGAGTGCCGCGATCTGGGATAGTACAGAATGCTCTAGAAGCCGTGCAGGCTCCTGGAGCAGGCGCTGGCTCCTGTGGCTTCCCAATGGGGTGCATGCAGCTGGACAAGGCCCTTGGTGGAGTCGGGCCCAGAGCAGGGACATCCAGTCCCCAGCCAGCCTCTCCCAGAACCCTGTCCCTCCTCCCCTGACCCCTCACATCCATGTCCACTTGGTGTCCCACAGGTGCCAAAGTCCACCTGCCCCAGACCGAAGTCCTCCTCCAGGCCCACTCCAAACCTGACCTCTTTCCTGAGTCCTCCAGGCTCACTCCAAACCTGACCTCTTTCCTGAGGCCCCTGGCTCACTCCAAACCTGACCTCTTTCCTGAGGCCCCAAGCTCACTCCAAACCTGACCTCTTTCCTGAGGCCCCTGGCTCACTCCAAACCTGATGTCTTTCCTGAGTCCTCCAGGCCCACTCCAAACCTGACCTCTTTCCTGAGGCCCCAAGCTCACTCCAAACCTGACCTCTTTCCTGAGGCCCCAGGCCCACTCCAAACCTGACCTCTTTCCTGAGGCCCCAGGCCCACTCCAAACCTGACCTCTTTCCTGAGGCCCCAGGCTCACTCCAAACCTGATGTCTTTCCTGAGTCCTCCAGGCCCACTCCAAACCTGACCTCTTTCCTGAGGCCCCAGGCTCACTCCAAACCTGACCTCTTTCCTAAGGCCCCCCTCCCGCCACGCCATCCTGGGCCAACCTCACCCCTGACCACCAGGCAGCCCAGCTGCTGGAGTGGCTCCTGGCCTCTCACGCTCCCAGGTGAGGGAGGGAGCTGCTGGCCACAGCCCTGAAATGTGTGTGCTGGAGGCCCTGAACTTTGATCCAAGACCCACTTACGTTGGGAGTGAACAAGTAGATGAGTCCTTTTGTTGCCCCTGGCAGGGTCAGCCCTCTGATGAGAAAGATGGTCAGGACCAGGTAAGGGAACAAAGCTGTGAAGTAAATCACCTTGAAACAAAAGGTGGAGTCATGAGACTTGAAATGGCCTCTGGTCTGTCCACAAGCCTCAGAGAAGCAGGCAGGCTCCAGACACCGCCCTTGTGGTCAGAGTGGCTGCCTCTGGTATGGGATTGACCAGGACGGATGGGGGTGCACCTTGGGGGATGGTGGGGTGCAGGCTCAGGGCAAGCTCGGAGGGTTTGGGGCTCACCAGAGACAGTCACATGCACATTCGTTTACATGTTTGTGCCCCATGGAGCACTGGCTGTCTGGGAGACTCAGGCCTCCTTTGAGCAAAGGGGCTGGGCCCTGAAGAGGGGTCTGGGCCAAACTCCCTCCCTGGCCTCCCTCTCCCAAGCCACCCACCTCCACTTGCCTCTCTCCTGGTCACCCTCGTTTCTGACCATATCCTTTCCCTGCTTTGGTCCCCTCTCCGGCCTCCCTCCTGTCCACTCTCGAGTTCTCAGCCCTTCTGTGTGGCCAGAGTCTTCTTCCTCCCACCTCGATGCCCCCACCTGGCTGCACCTACCCTGTACCCCTTCTGCCCACATAGAGCTGTTTCCCACTTCTCATCAGCTGTAGACAAGGGTCTACACACTAGACATCCACATGGAAGAGCATAAATGGACACTCCTCTCTCACTCCTCTCCTCAGTTCCCCCAATACAGACTGACTGCAGAATCACCTGGGATGCATTTTTTTTTTTTTTTTTTTTTTTGAGACAGAGTCTTGCTCTCTTGCCCAGGCTGGAGTGCAATGGCCCAATCTCGGCTCACTGCAACCTCTGCTTCCGGGTTCAAGCAATTCTTCTGCCTCAGCCTCGCAAGTAGTTGGGATTACAGGCTCCCAACACCACGGCTGGCTAATTTTTTTTTTTTTTTATTTTTAGTAGACACGGGGTGTCACTATGTTGGCGAGGCTGGTCTTGAACTCCTGACTTCATGTGATCCACCTACCTTAGCCTCCCAAAGTGCTGGGATTACAGGCATGAGCCACTGTGCCCAGCTTGGGATGCATTTTTAAGGGCCTTTATAATAGGATTATTTGGAATTTCTGGCTGGCTGCTTTGTCTAATTCAGTAATTCCAGTCCTCTCAAGCATGAAGACCCCCACCCTCCATGTAAGAGGAATGACAACCTCAGCACACTGAGACACTGCACAGGGCATGGGGCACTGGCGTCCTGAGACACTGCACAGGACATGGGGCACTGGCGTCCTGAGACACTGCACAGCGCATGGGGCACTGGGGTCCTGTGTCTGTGGCCCATGGGTCAGGAGGCACGGTCCAGGGTGCATGGACTGAGCACCGTCATTTGAAAAGAATCCACACATGTGTGATACCAGACTGGAGATGATAGCACACACTAGAGAATACAGGGTAAGAACTCTTCTTGCTTGAGGGGTCCAGGCAAGCAGGAGGCTCAGGTTCTACTGGTCCTTTCTGCTGCTCCCAATGGAAACCACATGGTTGAACATCAATACAGTTTTTCTCATTATTTAAGCCTCTTTGAAAGATAATCGCTTGTTTAAAACTAAACTGATAACAATGCATTTGCTGTTTATATAACATGTTATAAGCAAAATGTATGACAACAATAGCGCAAAGCCTGGGAAGGGAAATGGGATAAAATGCAATGAGATTCTTAAATGACCATAGAATGCCCCAAGATCACTTAATGATAGACCATGACAGGCTAGAGATGTAGACTGTAACCTCTAAAGCAGTTACTAGAATAACAAGAGAGAGTTAAAGCTAAACCAACCAAGGAGATAGAGCGGGATCCTGAAAAATACCTAGAGAAAGAGAGAAACAAGAATAAAAAAAAACAGATGGGGCACATGGAAACACATCTGAGGACAGAGCTAAACCCAACCATATCAATAATCACATTAAATGTAAATGCTCTAAACACCCCAAATAAAAGGCAGAGATTGTCAGATTGGTTAAAACAGCCAGATCCAATTGTATGCTGTCTACAAGAAAAACACTTTCAACATAAAGATACAAAAAGTTTAAAAGAAAAAGGATGGAAAAAATACACTCTGTTAACATAGCCCAAAGAAATCTGGAGTGGCTATTTTAAAACAAAGTCAGTTTCAGAGCCAAGAATATCACCAGAATAAAAAAGGTTGCTTCACAGTGATAATGGGATCAATTCCCTAAGAAGACGTTGCAATCCTAGATGTTTATGCCCCTCGCAAGAGCTTGTAGACACAAAGCGAACACAGGTCAATGGGGAGGGGTCTTGGGGGCTGGAGGAAGCAAGAGAGGGGATCAGGCCCTGCCAGCTCTCACCTTCCCTGTAGTCTCAATGCCCCTGATGACACACATGTACACGACTGCCCAGGAGGCTGCCAAGCAGATGAGCAGCCACCACTGGATGGAGCCACTGTCATTGATGTCGGCTGTGATGTTCAGTGTCTGCCGGTACCAGAAGTAGCTCACGGCGCTGCTGCCCTGGCACTCCTCCACAAACCCTGAAACCAGGGGGCCTGTCACAGGCTGGCTGTGGGGCGTAGGCACCCTCACCATGTGGCTCTTGAGCTCAATTTCCCTGGGCTGCTCACAACACTGCCCTTTTGGGCTGAGGTGCCCTTTCACTTCTTTTTGGGCCCAGGGCTGAGATGGAGAAACAGACGTGGCTGTGAAAATGAACAGGCTGAGTGAACCTCAAAGGGAAGCTCCACTTTGCGAAGGTTTACGAGCCCTGCTGAGCCGGGGCAGCCTGCAGCCCCTTGGACGTCACTGTCACCATGTAAAGCTGGTCCCCTCACTTCCTCCTGCCACCCACCATCCCAGACCCCCAAGGATGGCACAGGAGCACTGGACGGAGAGCGGCTGCATGTGTCAAGTGTGTGGCTGGCTAGTGCTTGGGGAGAAAGTGAGGCTGTGGCCAGGCGGGCAGATTGTCCTGTGACTCCCACTTCCTCCTTGACGGGGCCACAGGCTGATGCAGGGATCCAGAGGCAGCGTCTGACAACAGCAGGCTCCCGTGACATCTCTCAGGACCCACTGCAGCCCATTTCTGGGACACTTGACTGGGGAAATGTGGGGGGCCCCTCATGGAAAAGTCTGAGGATTACCGGTATCCCGACCGGGCCACTGCCCATGCCACAGGGCTCCTCCCTCCACACTGTCCTTGGGCCCCAAGGCTTCTTCTAGGTCTCCTTCTAAGGCCCTGCCAGTCATTGACATCAAGCACTGTCACAGCCCAGCTCTGAGTGGGCACTGCCTGCCCCACGCTTGGCTGAGGGAAGGGCATGGGCAGAGCTGGCCCCTCCGGGCCCTTTTCTTCGGAAATTTTCCTTCAGTGGAGCTTGGGGCAGATGTGGGAAGGGCAGTTATGGGGCCCTGCCGTGTGCATTGAGAGAGGACTTAACTCCTCTCGGCCTGCCTGAAAATCAAAGGGCTGGCCTAAGTGACCCCAAAAGTAAACGCTTGGACAAGGTAGAAGGAATTTGGGACCCACAAACCATCACCCAGGAACTCGGGCTGCAGATAGCCTGTACTGGGGCCGCTTCTGGAGTGTGGCTGGGAGGAACCCTGGCAGGACCACCCACCCTCAGAGAGGTGCCAGGAGGCTGATGGCACAGCCAGGGCTCTTGGCCTCCCCAGGGTGCCCAGCTCTGGCCCAGGGCATCCAGGTGCAGACTCAGTGTTCGTCCCTGAGGCCAGCCTCATCCAGCACCAGCCCAGCGTGAGTTTTAGCAAAAGGCAGGAAGGAAAGAAAGTCAGAGTTGCTTCCTAAGCAAGTCATTGAAAGATACGACTGTCAGTTGAGTGCAGTGGCTCACACCTGTCATCCCAGTGCTTTGGGAGGCTGAAGCAGGAGGATCGCTTGAACCCAAGGGTTCAAGATCATCCTGGGCAACATATTGAGACCCCGTCTCTACAAAAAATAAAATTAGCTGGGTGCTGGCCGGGCGCGGTGGCTCACGCCTGTAATCCCAGCACTTTGGGAGGCCGAGGCAGGCGGATCACGAGGTCAGGAGATCGAGACCATCCTGGCTAACATGGTGAAACCCCGTCTCTACTAAAAATACAAAAAATTAGCCAGGCCTGGTGGCAGGCGCCTGTAGTCCTAGCTATTTGGGAGGCTGAGGCAGGAGAATGGCGTGAACCTGGGAGGCAGAGCTTGCAGTGAGCCAAGATAGCACCACTGCACTCCAGCCTGGGCGACAGAGCAAGACTCCGTCTCAAAAAAAAAATTAGCTGAGTGTGGAGGCACTTGTCTGTGGTCCCAGCTGCTTGGGAAGTGGAGGTAGGAGAATCACTTGAGCCAGGAGTTGGAGGTTGCAGTGAGCCATGCTTGCACCACTGCACTCCAGCCTGGGCAATAGAGGGAGACCTTGTCCCAAAAAAAAAAAAAAAAGAAGAAAATATAACTGTCATTCATGTCTCGAGGATCTCCCCAGATGGAGCTCCTGGCTGAGGTCTGGACCCAAAGTCTGTTTTTTGTTTGTTTGTTCGATTGTTTTTTGATACAGAGTCTCACTCTGTCACCCCGTCTGGAGTGCAGTGGTATGATCTCGGCTATCTGCAACCTCCACTTCCCGGGTTCAAGCAATTCTTCTGTCTCAGCCTCCTGGCTAGCTGGGATTACAGATGCCCGCCACCATGCCTGGCTGATTTTTGTATTTTGAGTAGAGATGGGGTTTCACCATATTGGTCAGGCTGGTCTTGAACTCCTGACCTCAAGTGATCTGCCCACCTCGGCCTCCCTAAGTGCTGGGTTGACAAGCGTGAGCCACGGCGTCCGACCTAACGTCTTAAATCTAACAACAGCAGTGCCCTCGCATGACCACGCCATGCACATGGCTGCAAGGGGACCTCGGTGGTCCGGACCTGGCAGGGAAGCACAGCACAGCGTGGAGGTCATAAGAACTGGACTGCACGTGTGCTCCTGGGGAGACCGAGGCGCGTGCATGTGCACACAGAGCAACCGGTTCCCCGGCCCTCCCCCCGCGGTGAGCATCCGCCACCCGCAGCTGCTCTGATGCTGGACACGCTGCAGCACATGCCTCTCTCGGCCGTGCACGGACCCACACAGCAGGCGGCGCCCAGCTCACCTGTTCTGTTGAGGTCCGGTGGGCAGGAGCTCCAGGGCAGCGGGTGCTGGAAGGAGTTGAGGAGGTACCACAGCACCCACGCCACGATGGTGTTGTAGTACAGGCTGATCAGGAAGGACAGCGTGACACAGCCCAGCCCTGTGGACAGGGACCATGTCAGGTGGCCCCGGGGCTCCTTCCCAGCTCCCTCTGCCCAGAAGCAGTGAGAATAAAACAAAATAACAACATAAAATAACACATGCTGAAGGGCGCAGCTGAAAGCCAGGCCTCCCTCACACCTCACATGTGAATGGCAACACCAGCTTCCAGGTCCTTCCGGGATGTCCTGGCACACATGTTCTCCATCTCTAATTCTCCCCGAGTCACCGCTGCTTCTCACACACACCCAAGGGCTCCCTGCCACCCCACCCGCCGGCCTGGCCTGGCCGCTTCCGTACCACAGGCATGGACCCGCCCCCGCCCCACCTCTCATCCAGGAGGGCCCTGTCCCTGGCAGCCTCAGTCAGGGCAAGCGAGGACGGTGGCCTACCTACTCCACTGAGGTACGGGGAGATGGCCGTCCACACGCCGACGCTGCCCTTCCGCAGCCGCTGGCCGATGGCGAGCTCGACGTGGAAAATGGGGATCCCCTCGAAGACCAGCGCGATGACGTAGGGGATGAGGAAGGCCCCTGTGAGGAGGGGGTGGTCAGCACCTGCCCAGGGTCGGGGGCTGGGGGGGACTGTGGCGTGGGCCAGGGGGAGCCACCTGTGGTCTTCAAGGGGCAGACGGGACCTGAATGTTGGGGGCACCACTTGGGTGGTGGAGACACCCTTGGGGCACTGTTGGGTTGCCAAACCCTGCCTCTGATTTTGGCTCGGTTGCTGAGACCTCTCATCAAGAGGGCAGGGCCCTGGAGGGGAGCAGGGGGCCCAAAAGGAGGCAGCCGGCCCTGGACTAGGACTTGGGGTCTAAGCGTGACCCCTGTGTTGCGTTTGCTGAGGGACCAGCATTGTTTGAGGCACCTGCCTTTTCCTGGGGGCTGCTGTGGCCGGCAGTGGGGACTCAGCCTCTGTGGGAAGGAGGCCTGCAGGGGCCTGGCGGAATCACACTGAAAACCTCTGCCATCAGCCTCCCCATGGGAAAACAGCTCCTTTCATTAACGTGATGTTTCTGAAAATTCATGAGTCTGCAGAAATAAAGTGCTGACTGAGCATGTTTTTTAAACACCCCAGTCACCGGAGGAGGTCTGGCTGCTTTTGTGTGAGGTCGCCTGTTGGCTCCCCGGCTTCATGCTGCTCTTGTTGGAGCTTCATGCAACAGATGGCATGAGCTGCTCTGTTCCCCCAGGGACCCCAGGGCGGCTTGAGGGCTGCTCTGTTCCCACGAGGAACCCGGGGCGGCTGGCGGTCTCTCCTGGGAACTGGAACCATCTTTGCTCATGGGGATGTCGCAGGAGAGTGGTGTCTCAGACCAAGGCTCTGAGAGCTGCATCAGGGCTGGACCAGTCCCCCCACTTCCTGGCATCTCGGGCCTCTGTACCTCCATCCAGTGCCATGATGGGGGTGCCCATAGGCATGGCAGGATGAAGGCCCCACAGGCCCCAGGGCAGGGGGAACAGGCCGGCTCCACTTCCTGGAGCTAGTGGAAGCACCCAGTAGAGATGAATGGCCGTGCCTTCTGCCTGGGGCACCCGCAGTGGAAGGGGCAGACAAGGTGCCAGGGCCTGGTGCTGAGGATGCGAGCAGGGCTGGCTTCCCGTGGAGTCCACAGACCCTCCTGGCCCCAGCGGCAGAGCTGGGCATGATCGATTCCTGCAATTTGACCTCTAAGTTCAGCAGCTGCCTACAAGACCTGCTGGGAGGATGCTGGTTCTCCCGGGCTCCTGGTTCCATGGGCATCACTACGCTGCTGAAGAGGCCCCTGTGTCTGCATGCTGCGTCTCAGTCCTGGTGGCCTCACAGAGTTGGCAGCTGCACTGTTCCCCAAGCGAGTCACCGTCTGTGCACGAGTTCGGGTCTCTGTGCAGCTCCACGTCTGTGCCCAGGGCTGTTGACTCCTCCCCACCTGCATGCACAGGTGCTGGGACAGGCTGCGGGGTGGCACTGACCTCAGGCCTTCTGCCCTAAGACGCTGACCTACATGGGTGCCGGCTGCCCACACTCTTCCCCGCCGTGCGTCTCCGCGCCTGGCATCTCCCATCAGCTCCACTTTGCCAGGCAGGGTCCGGCTTCTAGAAGCTCGTTTCCAGGTCATCAACACAGCCTTGCTCTGGGTTTGTGTCACCATGAGAATGTTCTGCGACTGCCACGGGCACAGGGAGGCCCTAGAGTGGGAGGTGAGCCCTCACCCCTGTTGGCTTCTGCACAGGACTCCAGGGCCAGCATGTGGGGGCCGGACGGCTCTTGTCCGTGTCATTTACACAGCGGCAGAAAGACAAGCATTGAAGAGGGGAAGCTGAGGTCTACGGGGTCAGCCTCAGGTGGAGGCACCTGACACCCCAAGATGCCTCCTGGGAGGGTGGGAACAGCTGTGGCCAGGGCCTGGAGCAAAAGGGAACAAAACCCAGGGCACCCCAGGGAGCTCATGGCAGGGAGTCAGCATACCTGCCTTTCTCAGGGCCAGGCTCCCATGTGAATGGGGGGACACCCCCAAGCCAGCCTCTCTTCCCCCACCTCCAGCCTGTACCGTGAGAGCCCCTCTTCCCCCACCTCCAGCCTGTGCTATGAGAGCCCCTCTTCCCTCCCCCACGACCAGCCTGCACTGTGAAAGCCCCTCTTCCCTCCCCTCCAGCCTGTACCGTTAGAGCCCTTCTTCGCTCCCCTCCAGCCTGTGCTGTGAGAGCCCCTTTTCCCTCCCCCACCTCCAGCCTGCACCTGAGAGCTCTTCTTCCCCCACCTCCAGCCTGCACCATGATAGCCCTTCTTCCCTCCCCTCCAGCCTGCACCGTGACAGCCCTTCTTCCCTCCCCTCCAGCCTGCACCTGAGAGCCCTTCTTCCCTTCCCTTCCCTTTAGCCTGCGCTGTGAGAGCCCCTCTCCCCTCCCCCATCTCCAGCCTGTACCGTGAGAGCCCCTCTTACCTTTCCCCTGTTCAGCCTGCACTGTGAAAACATCACTTCCCCCCACCCCCAGCCTGCACCGTGGAGGCCTTCTTCCCCCCGACCTCCAGCCTGCACCTGAGGTCTCAAGGCTGGTGTGTGACCAGCCACCCATCCCGCAGTAGTGGCTTCGTGGCCACACTCAGGCCTCAGGTGCACAGTGGCCGGGTGGAGGACAGATGTGGGTGGCGTGGGCACCACGTCGCGGTGGGCAGGGGCTCCGGGTTCCAGATATGGGATCCACTGTCCAGGGAGCACTGCAGACTCCAGGCCAGCAGGTGCCCTGGGCCCCATTGACCCTTGCTCTGTGGTGAGGGCCATTGAGCCTGGGCTGGGGCCTCAGGTGACCAGGCTGAGGTCAGTTTGTCAGAGACCACCCTGACAAGATCATCGAAGGGAAAGATTTGGGGAGAAGTGAGCTCTCTGTGACTGATTTGGGGAAGCTGAATCTGCTGTATTTAGGGGAGAGGAGATGAGAGGGTTTTCTGTGAATTGAGGGTTTCTGTGTTTAGGGGAGAGGAGATGAGAGGGTTTTCTGTGAATTGAGGGTTTCTGTGTTTAGGGGAGAGGAGATGAGAGGGTTTTCTGTGAATACGAGATCGTGGCCACAGCTGGGATCTTCACGAAACAGGAACGTCGACTCTGTGGTACAGCGGCTGCATTAAAGCCGTATGTAGACTGCCACGTGGGCATAAATGTAGATAAAAAATCAACCAGAGTGTTGTGGTTGGGGGTGGTGGCTCTGTTGGCCAACCCAAGTCCAGCACGGAGGGCACTTTCCCCGGCCTGCGTGGGCACGGGTCTCACTGGGCAGTCTTTACGTTGAATGCGCAGGAAGAGACAGTCAGTCCATGCATTTTTTCCGAATTTGAAGGAAGAAGAAGCGTTGATTCCACATGGTAAGAATGTCTACACAACTCCTTTTTGGGTGTTTGTTTTGAGACAGCATCTTTCTCTGTCATCCAGGCTGGAGTACAGTGGCACAGTCATGGCTCACTCCAGCCTCGACCTCCCAGGCTCACGCCATCCTTCCACCTCAGCCTCCTGGGTAGCCAGGGCTACAAGTAGACGCCAGCACGCCCGGCTAATTTTTATATTTTTTATGGAGACAGGGTTTTGCCATGTTGCCCAGGCTGCAGCTCCTAGTTTTAACAATTACGTGAAGTTTAGCAGTCGTTCATAAGCATGGAGGACGCAGTGGTGTCTGCCGAAGACGGGAAAGGTGGCTGTGAACGGCTGGCTGCTGTTACAATCGATCCACGCAGGATCGAGAGAAACCTGCACCCCACCACACGAGGCTGAGAGATGCAGAGGCCGCAGTGCAGCCACTGAGCAAATGCAGAGGAGAAGCAGGCTCTGCTCAGAGCAGCGGCAAAAGCCAGGGATTGCTGAGAATCAACCAGAGACACGCCCAGGGTCATGATGGAGAGACCCGCAGGAAGGCAGAAAGGAGACCGAGCCGGGAGCCGCGAGGGTGCAGACGGCAGATGGTGCTCCAGTGCCAGCCCCCACTGCCTGGGCACTGCCTCCAAGGCGTGAAGGCCGTCAAGGTGGAAACTCCCCCCGGGCAGTGTAGAAAGCAGCACAGGGCCAAGGGAGCGCCGAAGAATCTCTTCTGGAAATTGACAACCTGGTGTAAAGCTCAGAGGAAAAGTAGCAGCTGGCAAAAGTTCAAAGAATAAAAAAAAAAGGCCTTGCTCTACTACTAGGCGTCGAGACTAACGAAGAAGCCATAGTAATTAATACAGTGTCGTTTTTGGTGCAAGAATCCACAGATCTCAACAGCACCTACCAGATACAGAAGTCGGTTGAACACCGGAGGCAGGAAGTAGCGGGGAGGGGGCGCGCTTGATGAGTGACCTCACGTGTGTGGACACAGCCAGCCCAGGGCCACCAGCTTAGTCATAAAAGCTTCCTGGGTTGAAACCTTAAACCACAGCAAGTGTTAGAGTGTCCCGGGCAGCTGGCCTGAACCCATCGCTTGGCATTTACGAGTCTACGTTCCTTTGATTTAAAGACGCTGAATGTGTAATAAAGCAGCTGCCATGAAATGTCATAGGTGTGAGAAAATCACTGTAAATCTTTACCGCAACGTTTTGCTACATTCTGTTACAATGTTGCTTTACAAGTCTTAGCTTTGAAGAGAACATTTATGTAGTTGAATACTTATGAATGGGAGAGCAAATAATATTCGCCTTTGGTAGTCATGAGTATATGCAAATGTTAAAAGCTACACAGTACCTGCTTCTTAATTATATCTTGTTTTCAAAATCATCAATGAGTGATCCTCACAGCGAGACAAAGTGAAGGGCATGTTCACACACAGGGTGAGAATGCTGATGGCACGGCCCTTAGGAAGTGTGTGAGTTAAATAAACTTGGATGTTTCATGACATGCAACCCGGTGGCTTGCATCAGGAGATTGATGGTAGAGTCGTTCATGAGTGGAGCAGCCCTGAAGTCCCCGCGCAGCTGGCGGGCAGGGCTGTTCTCCCTCCTCAGCAGCACCCCAGGTGGGGGCCTCCCCAGCTTTGCCCCAGCGTGGAGCAGCTGAGTTTAAGGGAGGCTAGTGCCAGACACTTCCAGTACACTGCAGGCGCTTAGCAATGGTAACTGGGTTTCGGTGGGCAAGGCATCGGCGGGCAAGGCATCGGCGGGCAAGTCATCGGCGGGCAAGGCATCGACGGGCAAGGCGTCGGCGGGCAAGGCGTCGGCGGGCAAGGCGTCGGCGGGCAAGGGGTCGGCGGGCAAGGTGTCGGCGGGCAAGGCGTCGGCGGGCAAGGCGTTGGGCGCGTCGGCGGGCAAGGCATCGGTGGGCAAGGCATCGGTGGGCAAGGCGTCGGTGGGCAAGGCGTTGGGCAAGGCATCAGCAGGAAAGGCATCGGTGGGCAAGGCATTGGCGAACAAGGCGTTGGTGGGTAAAGCGTTGGCCGGCATTTCCAGCTCTGCGTGAAGCCTGCTGCCCCCACAACCTTGCATGCTCTGGTGACTCTTAGCAGATCGAGCCGCAGCACAGGCAGCGAGGGCCCCGGGAGCCAGGGACGCCTCTGCCCTTGGGCTTTGGTGCTTTCAGAAATGCCTTCAAAGGGACTCTCATGATGAGAAGATCCAAGGCCCAATGCACCCTCTCCAGCCCCAAAGCCCCAAAGAGACCCCAGTGCCCCGAGGGTGGCAGTGACGGGTGTTTCTTTTTGTTTTTTCCATTTGTGCGCATTTCCTGCATTTTCTGCCTGTTGAGAATCTTTTCTTAAGCAGGAGGAAAAACACTTTAAAGGAGTAACCTTATAACAAGGGATAGTTGTGCGGGGCTCTCAGGGAAGGAGCTGAGGGCCCGGGGAACAGGCTGACCAAGCAGCCCGGCCTGGCCTGAGGAGGACCCTGCGGCCTGGGAAGCCCCTGCCCGTGTTGCCTGGGGAAGACCTGGGTGTCCATGCGTGATGTTGTACGTCGGCTCCCTGAGAGCAGTGATTCATGCCTGTCCCTACATCCTGTGTCGCCACATGGAGAGCAGAGTGTGACCCCTGCATGAAGAGAAGCAGGCACAGGGTGAGGGGAGGCTCGAGGTGCGTGGGAGCCTATTTCAGTCACCAATGCACTTCTGGGGGTGGTGAGTCCAAGGTCACTAAAGTCACCCAGACAGTTCTGAACATCCTGGCACCCCCCACAGGGCTCTCCCAGAGAACCAAAGCCAGGGAGGCGAGGGGTGGGCCCCCAAATTCCTGCAAAGAACCTCGGAGAAGGGCACCTGAGCACATGTCTGGACACACCAAGGCTGTGGTGAGGAAACCCAGAGCGGATTGTGTGTTCTTTAAAGAACTGACGACATTCAGATGGAAGAGCGCTCACTGTTTGTAGGGTGTGTGTGTCGGGCAGGGCGGCCCATTCAACCTGACGCCTGGCAGGAAGCTGCCCTGAGGTCCCGGAAGACCATAGTGGACCCCGAGGGGACTGGATCCTCCGTGCTGTGGGCAGTGGTGAAGCTGCCCTGAGGTCCCAGAAGACTGCAGGTGGGCCCTGAGGGGACTGACTCTGCCGTGGGCAATGGTGCACCCTGGTTTCCAGGAGGAGTGACTCTGCCCAAGCACTGGGGATGCGTGGCAGGCGCCTGGCAGGTCAGGGTGGAGACGGCCTCCCCTGCTTAGGGGTCTGCCCCAGGACGCAGGTGGGTGCTTACCTCCTCCATAGGTCTGGCACAGGTATGGGAACCGCCAAATGTTCCCCAGTCCCACGGCAAACCCAGTGCAGCTCAGGAGGTACTGGGCCTTGTTGTCCCACTTGGGCCTCTCATCCCCGAGGTCGCAGGCGGCCGGGTCCGGTTCTGGGGCATGAGCCATGGTGACTGAGTGCCCCAGGCTTCAGGGCAAGGGTGGTGCCTCACTCCACACCCAGCACTAGAGAGCCGTCTCCAGCCTCTGCCGACGTTTGGAAACCACAAGCAGCCCCACTGCAGTTGTATTTATTCATTTCTTTAAAGGAAAACCAGTGGAGTGCCGTTAATGGGTAACTCAGGTCCAGGCCCTGGCTCTGACGCCAGGGTCCTTCCCTGGCACCCACGTCCTCTGCTCCTTCTCGCATGCTCTGTGTTCCAGGCAAACGCCGGGCCTGGCACCACCCCCAGCACCATGAGGACCGTTTGCAAGGACAGCCTCAAGTTTTTTTGTTGCAGACACCAGGATTCCCAAGACTGAGGCATATTTTAATCGTTTTAAATTTCTTATGTTTTATTTAACCATTTGATCTTGAGATACTTATAGATTGTCACTCTGTCACTGTCAGAAACAACTCAGATCAGATCGCATGCACCCGAAGCCCGGATTCCCGCAGGGATCCTCTCAGCTGCTCTTGGGAGGCCGGGGGCTGCCCTCACACCCACTGCTGCCCTCGGGCCGCTGGGCAGGACAGGGTGACAGGCACCCACCGTGCGTGGGGGCAGAGGGCTGAGTCCTCTCCTGTGCTGGGGGCACCCCTGTCCATGGGTGGAGGGTTGATGAGTTGACGCCGGGTGAGTTCAGCTCTAAGGAGCTCCCCACAGTGCTCCCTGGACTCTGGGGCTCCTCCTTGCAGATGCTCCCGCCACGGACAGGCCAAGGGCCCCCAGGCCCGCAATTGCCCCATTCCACTGGACACTGCACCCCTCAACCGTGTGGCCACAACTCCAAATCCATGAGTCCCAGGGCAGGGGCCCAGGTGGACACATTTTTGGAAGGTTCTTATTTGAGTGAGAGGAAGTGTGAGGGAAGAAGATGAGAAGAGCTGGTTGGTCCCCATTGTGAGGCCACAGGCCTGGGCCATGGCCTCTTCGGAGCAAGCCCCCAAAGCCAGACCCCCCAGGAGGAGGCAGGAGCTGGACCTGCCGTCCCCACCATCCCGTCTGAGGTCACTGGCTCACTCATCCCTCTACGTCTGGACAACAGTAACTTCTAGGGTGAGCATACTCAATAGAAGGGATTTATTTAGAAATGTACACTTTATGCCCATAAAGCCTGCATTTCTACCACATTTACAGAGACATTGAAACCTATGAAACAACGCATGAATCAGGAGATGTAGATGAGATGGGAGCTCCCGCCCAGGGTCCTATGGCAGGCACACCAGGGTACACCAATGGATGCCAGGGCACATCAGTGCACACCTGTGCATGCCAGGGTACACCAATGCACACCTGTGCACGCCTGGCAGGGCCTCCTGGGCAGATGCCACAGGGCAGCATATTAATGGGGCACTGATGGAAATTTTCTCGATCCAGGGCCAAAGAGCAGGAAAAGATGAGGTGAGACCCTGTTGAAGCCATCAGCAGGCGAGCCCCTCGGTGGCATCACAGCCGGGGGCAGAGGCTGTGATATGTCCCCCCACCTCTGCTGCTGTGGAGTCTTGCGCATCCCAGGGCCCAGTGACAGTCAGCAGGGTGAAAGGGGCTGGTAGGGGACTCAGTGTGTGCAGTCACTGCTGGATGGGGTGCTGGAAGGGACGATTGTGACCAGGTTTCTGTGGGTGGAACATCATACTGGCACACACCAGGCTTTCAGTCCTGCCTGTAGGAATTCTCAGAACATCAGTTTAATGTAAGCGTCCAGATTCTTCTATGGAAAGCAGAGGTGACCTGTCCGTAGGAACTCTCAGAACACCAGTTTAATGTAAGCATCCAGATTCTTCCATGCAAAGCGGAGGTGACCTGTCCGTAGGAACTCTCAGAACACCAGTTTAATGTAAGCATCCAGATTCTTCCGTGCAAAGCGGAGGTGACCTGTCCGTGGAAGCAGATGTCCCAAGTGCCGACTGCCTTTGGCTGCGATGGAATGTTGAACCCCAATGGGGGCCCATCCCGTGACGGGGGCAGGGCAGGCGCCAGGCTGGGCTTCACTGAGTGGTGCGGGAGCTGGAAGCTTCTGGGGGCTGCACGGTCCTCCAAGGTGCCCTGGACACACACAGTGCCCAAGGATGGCAGCCAGGGTTGAGTTACCCTGTAACCCATCTTTTCCAAAGGCTGGCTAAAAATTCACACAGCTCATGTCCTCTTAAGAAAATGCACAGAGTGGTATTTGCCTTGAATTATGCCAAGTTGAGTTTTATTTAACTGCTCATCTATTTGTGGTGGCAGGAGCAATGATTAAATGGCTGGCATTCATTAAGCCGGGAAGCGGCCAGAACGCAGAGACTCGGCAGCGGCCGACTGGAGGCAGGGCCCCGGTGGATGCGGCCAAGTTTTCTCAGAATCGCCAGCAACTGCCCACTCCGGCTTCCGAGAGGCTGCTCCGGGTCGAGGGCTACAGGGCTCTGGGAACCCCCAGGTCAAAGGTCAACACCAAGGGGAAGGGGATGGGTGGGGGTGGGTAGCAAGAGTCGCTCCCAGGAGCCAAGATAGTACCCTGTGCTTTTGTCTCCTGCCACCCACAGAGATGAAGCATAGAGGTGCTGCCCCCACCCCAGCTGCAGCTTCCGCTTCCCCCGGGCACGTGCAGGGCACAGCACGTCCCCAGTGGTCTGCTCCCCTCTGCACATGCACCCCGTGACTGTGGCAAGGACAAACACAGAGGGCAGCTGGGCCCCGAGTGGCAGGCATGTGTCCCAGCGACGTGTACGCACACATATCCACACGTGTCCATATGTGTGTCCATATGTGTCCATATGCGTGTCCATGCGTGTCCATATGCGCACATACATACACACTGGCATGCACAAATGCACACCTGCCTGAATATGCACACACACGAGCACACATCACACACATATACACAAACAGGTACAGACACACACATATACACAACACACGTATACACACACGTACACATGCTCACATATACACACGTCACACAGGCATACATGTACATATACACATGTGCATATATACTTGCAAACGCACACACAGAACACACATACACACAATTGCATGCATGTATATACACTCACAGATATACATATACACGTGCATGTGGACACCCATTGTACGAGCACATGTGCATGCATGTATACACGTGTGTGTTCACACATATGCACACCACACACAACATAGGCATGTATGTCTATATATACATGCACACACACGGGCAGCAAATATCGCACACATGTATATGCATGCACACTTGCACACTCACACAATGTCCATACATGTACATGCACACACACAACATGACACATCTGCACACATGGCACATGCACATACAATACACACACCCACACACATGTATATGTGTGCATACACGTGCACACTCACACAGTGCCCATGCATGTACATGCACACACGATACATATCTGCACACATGGCACATGCGTGTACAATACACACACTCACACACGAGCATACACTCACGCTTACACACATGCAGGTGCAGCCCGGCCCCCACCCCACAGGTCTTGCTGGTTCCTCCTTCCCTGACACCAGTGTATGGCACGCCGTGGGATGGGCCTTCTCAGTACTTCAGGTCCCCGTTCATGGAGGCTGTGGACAGTGTGCTCACCAGCCCCTGATGGTCCCCTGGCTTCTGGCAGTGGTTCCTGATGAGCTTGTAGATGGCATAGCCAGGGATGGTGAGGGAGGGCACTCCAGCCACAATCACCACCACCACATACACCCAGTTCGGGTAGGAGATCTTCTGGGATTTGGGAAATTCCTCCTGGGGAGAGAGCCCCATGGGTGAGTAGGCATCCCGGGAGCCAGTGGGGTTCACTTTGAGGCAAAGGCCCCTCACCCCATGACTCTCACCTCCTGTCCTGTGGGGCAGGCAGGGTGGCCTGGGGCTCCTCCAGCTTCCCCTTTCCCCTACCTCCCAACTCCCAGCCCACCCACCTCCCTCCTGGGATGGTGTGACACATTGGTGTCAGGGAGGGGGGAACCAGCAAGATGCGTGGGGTGGTGGCTGGACTGCACCTGAGTGTGAGTGTGTGTGCCCATGTGTGTGGGTGTGTGTATTGTGTGTGCATGCGCCATGTGTGTGGATGAGTGTCCTCCTTTCCCCTTCCCCATTCCTCTCCCCACCCCAGGCGACTGCCTGGACACTTACGTAGCCAGGGTCCCAGATGCTGTAGGTCAGCTCCTGACTGACCTCTACCACGAAGAAGAAGAGGAAGATGATCAGCATGAGCAGGGGGCTGACCACGCGCCACGTGACTTGCCAGAAGATGTTGGGCTTGTGGCCGATCATGAACTCGATGTCCTTATTGAACCTGCCAAGGCCAGAGACAGCTGTCACTGCTGCTACCAGCTGGGCTTCAACTCGCTAAGCTTTCTGTACGTTCTGCTACCCGAACAGATGGTGTGCTGCGAGGTGCCCGGCCTCCCCTTGCCAGGGCCCGATCCCTCCCTCCTGGTCATGGGTGCCTCCTCAAGCAGACCCCTCTGTGGGCACGGCCAGCAGCTGCCTCTGCCCTACGATGCCACCAGCCAGTGCTCGACGGCTTGCCCATGGTCAGAGGTGCCCCGCCCTCACCCACGTCTGAGGTGGTCACTGGTGCAGAATGGGGGGTTGGAGGAGGGAGCGCCGCCAGACACCCCCAGCCTCTCCTTCCTTAGCAGCACCCTGAAGTCAGAAAACCCCACACCTTCCCCACCCTACGGCTCAATTCCCATCCTCTGCTGAACCCTCTTCTGCGCAAAGGAGTTTATCGTCTGCATAAATCAGGATGGAGCAGGCAGAAGGTTACACCCAAGCCGGTCCCAGGCCTGCAGTGTCCAGGTGGGTACCCATGGTCCCCGCAGAAGCGTGTGAGGAGGAGCTGGTCTCACGTGCTCCACATTTAGGTGGTTATGCATGCACCTCACACCCGGCAAGGGCTTACTGCCCTTGCGTCCTGCAAACCCCACTGCTGGGGTTTTCCCAAGCCGGGAGCCTGCAGGGCTGTGCCTGCTCAATGTTAACTGAGTCTGTCCAATTATTTCTTTTCTTCCTCTTTTTTTTTTTTTTTTTTGAGATGGAGCCTCATTTTGTCACCCAGGCTGGATTGCAGTGGTATGATCTCCCCTCACTGCAACCTACACCTCCCAGGTTCAAGCGATTCTCCTGCCTCAGCCTCCCGAGTAGCTGGGATTACAGGCATGCACCACCATGCCTGGCTAATTTTTGTATTATTAGTAGAGACGGCGTTTCATCGCGTTGGCCAGGCTGGTCTCAAACTGCTGACTTCAAGTGATTTGCCCACCTTGGCCTCCCAAAGTGCTGGGATGACAGTCATGAGCCACCGTGCCCGGCCTTGTCTGATTATTTCTAAAGTTGTGGTGGCTCCAACCAAGAGTCCCTGTCTGAGGCTCTACCACACTGCTGGAGTCTCTCTGCCCTAAAAAGGCCTGGAGCATCAGGGAAATAAGGCACTCCCCACCCCCCTGCACACACACACACACAAGGAGCATCCCCGGCCGTGGGCCCTGCAGTGGCCTCGAGCTCTGGCTCTCTGCGTGGGCACCGCCAAGGTCTGGGCTCCACTGGGCTTCCCGGCTCCCAGCAACACAAAGCTCCCATTATCGGCATGCCAGGGCCCTGCTGATGCCCTCTGCTCCCGCCAGGACAGGTCTACACCAGCCTCTGTGGCCGGCCGAGGCCCCGAGTCATAGACTCTCCCTCCGTACCCTGAACACAGCCCGGGTCCTCCCTCACAGGAACGCCCTGTGACCTGGCTTTTCTGCATTAGAGGCACCTGTCCCCACCGTGGCCCCTACCTGTCCACACCGTACACGTAGACCACAGAGAACATCTCGCAGAAGGCGATGATGAGCAGGGGAATGGAGCCGGCATAGCTGTCCAGCAGGGAGAGCCAGTACTGGCCGGAGTTCAGCGTGAAGATGAAGCCAATGAGGAATGTCCCCAGGCAGATGAGGCCTGCAGGCCGGGGGACAGAGCTGCTCACACGCCCAGGGGCTGCACGCACGGCCAGGGACAGAGCTGTTCACACAACTGGGGGCTGCACATATGGCCAGGGACAGAGCTGTTCACACACCCGGGGGCTGCACACACTGCCGGGGACAGAGCTGCTCACATGCCCGGCGGCTGCACGCACGGCCGGGGACAGAGCTGTTCACACGCCCGGGGGCTGCACACACGGCCGGGGACAGAGCTGTTCACACGCCTGGGGGCTGCACGCACGGCCGGGGACAGAGCTGTTCACACGCCCGGGGGCTGCACGCACGGCCGGGGACAGAGCTGTTCACACAGCCGGGGGCTGCCATCCCACAGGTGGCACCATTGCCATGGGGACCCCTCCCGACTGCACACGTACCTGTGAGCACCTCCTTGGGCCACTTCGGGGGGATGACTCTGAGGTCCTGCAGGGGCACAACGACGCCCTCCATGTTCCCAAACATAGATGACAGCCCCAGGCAGAAGAGCATAATGAAGAAGAGCACAGACCACAGTGGGGACAACGGCATCTTGGTGATGGCCTCGGTGAAGACGATGAAGGCCAGGCCTGTGCCCTCCACGGCCTGCACGGATGACACACAGTCACCAGGGCCTCTGCCCTCCGTGGGCTCCGTCTCCTCCCCGCCCGAGGTCTCGTGCGTCGCCAAGCCACGCAGCATGGGGCGGGCAGGTCTGAGCTGTCATGAAATAGCTAGATCTTGTCTTTTAGGCCCAAAGTGTATTTTCAAAAGCCGAACTATGCATCAGGACCAGCACGTGGATCCCATCACCAAGCGGCACTCAGAGCCCCGTTCCGCCCACAGACGGGCTCTCCCAACACAGGGAGCTTCTGAGATCTCACAGCCTGCACAGCCCTGATCCAGTGCAGCTGAGCCACGTACCCAAGGTGTTACGCGAGTCACCTGTTAATAAACGCATACCCTGGACGTGCTCGGAAGGCAGGTGGCCAACGGCCGGGTTAGAGCAGGCTGTGCTCACAGACAGGCTCTCGGGTAAGAACCACCAAGGCGCAACCACCCGGACGCCTTCTGCTCCTGTGTCTGGTCCCAGACCGTCACCAAGAACCAGGCCCCGGCCCATCACGGTCCTGGCGATCAGTGGTCCTAGCTGTGGAATCTCCGGAGAAAAACCTCCACCCATGAGGCTGAGGGACCTGCCCAGCTCCGTGGGGCTCCCTGCAGGGAACTGGCTCAGGGATTGGATATGGCAGGACTCAAGGACCCATCTGAAGACAGGGTCCTCCACGGCCGCTTAACACAACTATGCGAGTTCCAGAGGCAAGAGTGGAACCCCTTGCACAGCAGGACGTGGCTTGTGGAGGGCTCTGAAGAGTTTAAAAGGAAATCATTAGAAGCAGGCAGCAGCACGTGCATACAAGGCACGCCGCTCTTCAGTGCAGGGCAGGAGGTGGGAGGAGGCGGGAGGAGGCAGGAGGTGGTGGGAGGTGGCGGGAGGAGGCGCCAGGATGGAGGCGCCAACTCTGGTGCTTCTCGGAATGGCACTGCCGAGGGCAGCCCTGCCATGAGATTGCACACCACGGGGGTTTCTTTCTGTGGCGTTTCTAGAAAAGGCAGGTGGGCAGAGCAGCAGAGGGGGTGCCTGGGGCTGCCAGGGGTGGGGAGCAACAGCACACGGAAAGCTTGCGGGCGTGGACGGGGGTGCTGCACATGGCTGTGCAAGGCACTGGAAGTGGGCGAATTTCATGGTGCATAATTATAACTCACTAAAGTTGCTTTTAAAAGACATTTAGACCAGACGGCCCTGTTGGGCCCCTCCTGCCTGCGCATCCTGCACTTGGAGGCCTCCTACAGTTGGTGGCACAGGGTCGGGAGAGGCCGCGGAGCCCTCTGCCTGGCTCCAGCTGGTGCGGAAATGGCTCGCTCTGCCCAGCTCTTCTCCCAGTGGCCACTGGAGAAGCAGCACTGGGCCCTGAAGTGCCTCATGCCCGCAAAATATGGGGTGGCTCCCCAAAAGAACACTGCATAATGAAAATCAGCAAATGTCGACCTTTAATTGTAACAGCATCTAAACTTCGTTAACTGTGGAAATAGTATTCAAAAACACTCGTTACGTGGAGTATCCTCGACATCAGCGTGGCTGAGCCTCGCCCGCCAGTCCAAAATAAAACCTGTCCTGGTGGCCTCACAGGTTCAAAAACAGCTACAAAAACTCTTTCAATGTCGATAGAAGTCACCGTGTTACAGATGGCCCCAGGGGGTGTTTTGTGTGTGTGATAGGAGAGAATGGAGGGGCAGCCCGTGGTGTTCCCCGGCTCCTGCCTCTGAGCCTACGCCTCTGCGTTAACAGGAGCCTCGGAAGTGAAATCTCGTGGCCTGGCAGACACCAGCGCCCCAGACCGAAGAGCCCTGGACGCCAGGCAGAGCAGACAGTGGGAGCTGGGCCTCCCGGCTGAAGCTCAGCATCTGCGTCCTCCACAGGCCAGGGGCCCAGGGGTGGCCGGACTCTGAGGTGCCAGCAAGGGGTGCCCTCTCCCTGCCTCGAGCTCCGGAATGGACCTACCTCTGAGAGGAAGGCGTTGATGTCGCAGGTCTGGAACACCAGCTGCGCGTAGGCCGCGGGGTCGGAGGCGTTGCACCGCTGCTGCATGTCCACAAAGTTCTCCTGGGTCACGTTGCCTTCAGGCAGGTCGAACCCGTTGATGAGGGTCAGGATGTTCCTGCGGGTCAGATTGAGGCTGACGGCCACCTGGGGCCAGGGAGGCTGGGAGGCTTCCTGGAGGCGCAGCCCAAGGCACCAGGATGGTGGGACAGCCACTCACGTGCTGAAGCAGTCGTCGTAGCGCTGTGTGGCGCGGAACCCAATGACGGAGTAGACCACGATGGCCACATACACCGATGTGAAGCCGTTGATGATGGACACAATCACCGAGTCCTTCTCGCAGTTGTTGCTGCAGACGAGACCAGTGTCATGGCGGCTGGCGATGAGGTCCCAGGTCAGGACACAGCCCAGGGCAGCATCCGCATCCCGCCCAGAGCGCCAGCCCCAGGAGTGAGAGGCTGAGCCACTGAGTGACACGGGGAGGCAGTCGGAGCCCCTGCCCCACTCCGAGCAGGCTCAGGGGATGCAGAGGTGGCCCCAGGGCAGCACCTGGTCCCCTGCTCACCTGGCCTCAGCTTAGGGGCTGCCCCAGGCTATGACTGCTCCTGACTCCCCAGACCACTCTGGTTATAGAGCTCAGGTCTCTTTCCGCCCCGTCTTGTGCCTGCGGTAACCTCCGTCAAGCCTCTAGGGACAGCTCCAGGCCAAAGACATCACATCCATTCTCCCCCAGCCTCCACCCTAGGCGTCCTGTCCAGCTGCTTGGCAGCTGAGACCTCACCATTTCCTAAAGGCACCCTGTGCTCAGTGTGTCTTGAACTCAAGCCCTGACCTCCCTGACCCAACCCAGCCAGCTCACTCCACCCTTCCCATTTCGGTTGATGCTGACACCATCCTTCCAGATGCTTCCATCAAAAGCTGAATCTGTTAGCCTCAGGGAAATGCCAATCAAACTGCAGTGAGATCTCACCACACCCCTGCTGGGATGGCCAGAAACAAAAGTCAGACAATAACAAGTGTTGGTGAGGATACGGGGAAACTGGAGCTTCCTGCACGCTGGTGGGAACGTGAGTGGTGCAGCCACCGTGGAAAACAGCCTGACAGCTCCTCGAAGGACTGCATGTAGAGGCCAGCATGACGCAGCAACTCCACTCCTAGGCGCACACCCAGAAGAACGAAAGCATGCGTCCACAAAAACGCGTACACACAGGCTCACGTCAGCATGACTCATGACAGCCAAAACGTGGAAAATGTCCATGGATGGATATGCACAAACCGTAGCCCATGCACACCATGAAATATTGCTCAGCCCTAAACAGGAATGGCGCTCTGACGCCGGCTGTGATGGGATGAGCCTTGAGGATGTTGTGCCCCATGCAAGGATCAGACACAGGGCTGTGGCAATGTGGCCACCCCATTCGCAGGAAATGTCCGGACTAGGCACAGCCACAGAGGCAGAGAGCGCATCAGTGCTCACCCGGGGCAGGAGGACAGGGCACTGGGGAGCGGCTGCTCACATATGTGGAGCTTTTGCTGATTGGAACCTTCTAGAACTGGACAGTGCTGATGGCTGGCTTCACAACTCTGTGAATGTACTTAAGACCATTGAACTGGGCATTCCAAATGGGGGAGTTGTGTGGTATTCAAATGATCTGAATAAAGCTGTTATAAAAATAATTCACCCTCAGTTCCACCTCAGCCACTCCACGAAAAAGTCAGAGTCCTCAATCCTGCCTTGGCCCTGCCCCAGCTGCCTGCAGTGCCCAGGGGTCCTCCTAGCACCTGCCCTCAGCACCCAGGGGAGCTCCTGAGGCCTGGGTGGGGCTTCACTGCTCCACCCAGTGCTCGCACAATGACTCCAGGGTCCTTTCTGTCCCTCCAACACCCTCTCTGCCCACAAGCCCATCTGCAGGTGCCTCCAAGCACATCTCCCTCTGCACCCCAGCCCTCCCTGCCTGGGCTCTGCACCTGCCAAGCCCCAGCCCCGCCTCAGCTATGCCCTCCCTGCCCAGCCCCGCCCCTCACACCCAGGGCCCACCCTCCCTACCCAGGCCCCCGTCCAGTCTAGGCCCCACCCTCCCTACCCAGGCCCTGCCCCCTTGCACTGAGGGTCCCCTGTGTCTGACTCCAATCGCACCTTCACAGCCTGGAGGGCCACCCTGACCCCTAGGAGTCCTCCCTCACCCCCAGCCCCTTCTGCTCTGAAATTCTGGTCACCACACAGAGGACAACTTCTGCACTTGCTTGTCAACCTGCAGAGCCACAGGTCACTGAGGGCAGGTCCTGATGCACCAGGTCGGGCACATAGTAGGTGCTTCATAAATGCTAGTGGAAATTAACTGACACCAGCTGTGCTCCTCCCAGACGCTGCTGGGGACTCCAGGGTATGCATCCTTCCCAGGGGCATTGGGAAGCGCAGTGGGTACGTGGGGAAGGGGCAGTGGAAGGATCAGACCTTGGTCGGGGACGTGGAGGGCGTCGGGGGCGCCACATGTCTGGGGGCCTGGGATGCCCAGGGGTGGGCTGGGAGCGATGTGGGTGTGGAGCAGGGAACTGGGGAGAGCACAGGAGGGGTCTGCACCAGGCTCGTGGAGGGACGGGTGTGGGGAAAGCTGCAGGCGCCCGGCTCCTGGCCCTCCTCACAGGGAGACCTGCCCCTCCTCCACATGCTGCACTCTAGACTCAGCTCACATGGACCCCGAGCAGGAGGGAACGGGCCCATCGGGGCAGCAAGGCCCCGGCCACACAGCCACAGAGTGCTTTCCACCTTGTCTTTTATCCTCCCAGCAAGATCCCCCCAGGACTGAGAGGGAAACTGAGGCCCACCACACCCGCACTCACTGCACAGAGTTGTAGCTGGAGAAGGAGATGAGGCCCCCGAAGGCCAGGGAGAAGGAGAAGAAGACCTGTGCGCCCGCGTCCAGCCAGGTGTCCGGCTGGGCCAGCTCCGTGACCTGCGCCACATGGAGACCCTCAGCCACTCATGGTGCAGATGGGGCCATGGGGACCTGGGAGGGTGTGCTCCCAGGGAGGCGGGGAGGGTCGAGGCTATTGGGGTGGTCAGGACAGGCCAGGGCCCCCTGGGGTGGCAGCTATGCCTTCCCTGTGGGGGCTCCGTCGGCTCACAGGGGCAAAGCCACCCTCCCAGGAGCTGCCCCAGGCCCCAGGGACAGGCCTTGCCCTCGCTGGCCCCGTGGACCTCCTCAGGCCTGGGACTGGTCGAGCAGCAGGCTGCCTGTCCCCGTGGGTGAGAGCTGGTATTGAGGCTGGCGGGGGCACAGGGCAGCCAGGCCTCTCCCGGGGTCTGGGCCCAGGGCAGCCTCGGGGACTTACGTTGGGCGTGAAGAGGAAGACGATGCCATTGGTGGCGCCCTTCAGCGTCAGGCCTCGGATGAGGAAGATGGTCAGGACGACATAGGGCAGCGTGGAGGTGATGTACACGGCCTGCGGAGGGCGGGACATGTGGGATGGGCGGGAAGTTGGGGGGCCAGGCATGCGGTGGGGGCGGCACGTGGGGGCGGGGCATATGGGGGCGGGGCATGTGGGGAATGGGGGCCAGGCCTACGGGGGGCGAGGCATGCTGGAAGGGTGGGGAGGGGGCCAGGCCTGTTGGGGGGACAGGGCATGTGGGAGGGGTGGGGATGGGGGCAGGGGCTGTGGGGGGCGGGGCCTGCGGAGGGCAGAGCATGTGGAATGGATGGGGATGGGGGGCCAGGCCTGTGGAGTCCGGGTATGTGGGATGGTGCGGAGGGGGGCCAGGCCTACAGGGGTTGGGGCATCTGGGGAAGGGGGCCCAGGGCGACGGGGGGCCGAGCATGTGGGACGGGTGGGGACGGGAGGCAGGGCCTGCGGGCGGCTGGGTATGTGGAATGGGTGGGGATGGGGGGCAGGGCCTGCGGGAGCCTGGGTATTTGGGATGGTGCGGAGGGGGGCCGTGCTTGTGGTGGGGGGCATGTGGGACGAGTGGGAACGGGGACAGGGCCTCACAGGCTGCCGGCCCACCAGAAGAAAGGGATGGCCGCTCTGGACCTCGTACCAAAGATTCCCATGTAGGGGAAGATCAAGCCTTACTCTTCCATTTCCACTTTCCTGTTTTATCATCACCATCATCACCATCATCATCATCATCGTCTATCTCTTTCTGGTAGTTTGTATTACTCCTACATAACGCTAAGTGTCGTGTGGGCCAACGTCAAGTTCCTGGAGCCCCAAGTCTGGTCATTTCAGGAAACCTGGGGCAGGCAGGGCCCCTCCCGCCCAGGCCAGTGAGCCTAAGGGCAAAGGCAGCTCTCTTGGTGGGGTCTGGGGAAAGGCAGAGCCCGGGACCCCCAGACCTGGGTTTTAGAGTGCAGCCGGCCGGAGGCAGGGCTGCCCGCACCCGCCCTCTGGAGCACCTGCAGCCTGGCCGGGCCCATGCAGTACCTTCCCGGTGGTCTCGATGCCGCGGATGGTGCACATGTACAGGACGCTCCATGCGCAGGCCAGGCACAGCAGCATCCACCACTGGATGGAGCCCGAGTCGCTGATGGACGTGGAGATGTTGAGCGTCTCTCGGTACCAGAAGTAGTCCACAGGGGAGCTCCTGGCGCACTCGTCCACATACCCTGGGGAGAGGGCCATTCACACACCTCAGGGTACGGGTCCCCCAAGGGAGGAGAATGGAAGGCCCTGAGCTGGAAGAAATGCCAGCCACGTTCCAGAGGCCTTGACACCAGTGACACGCCCACACGTGCACATGAACACAGGCACACATGCTCACGTGCACGCACATGCATGCACGCACACAGCACACATGCACAGCTACACCCTCGTGTGCACATCTGGTCCATGCACCTGCACACCCCACACATGCACATGCACACACACACACAGCACACACATGCACAGAGGCACACATGCTCACATGCACGCACATGCACGGACACACAACACACACACATGCACACAGGCACACATGCTCACATGCACACACATGCTCACATGCACACACATGCATGTACACACACAGCACACAAGTGTGACTGTACTCTCGCGTGCACATCTGGTCCATGCACCTGCACACCCCACACATGCACATGCACACACACACAGTACACACATGCACACAGGCACACATGCTCACATGCACGCACATGCATGTACACACACAGCACACAAGCGTGACTGTACTCTCACGTGCATATCCGATACTGTACCTCTACACCCCACACATGCACATGCACACAGCACACATGCTCACGTGCACACACATGCATGCACACACAGCACACACATAGCACACATGCACAGCTGTACCCTTGCATACACATCTGGTACACACATCTGCACACCCCATGCATGCACACACCTTTGTGAGCACACGAGCACACATTCCTACACAGGTGCACTGGTTAGAAGGCTCCAGCCCCAACAGTCAGGTGCACCCTGGGCCTCACGCTGCTCCCTCTTCCCTGTGCAAGTCTGGCAGCCTCAGAGTGTTTGCGCTCCCGGGCTGGGGCCCTTGCCTGCAACTGCCCACTCCACACACTGTCACCACTGTGGGCCTCTCTGGGCTTGTGGAACCATCCTGAGACCTTTCTAAAGGGGAAGTGGTCTAATTCCAGAGGACCCCACAGCCCCGGAGGCAGGAAAGGGCCCCGACAGTCCCAGCGAGCAGTGAGGGTTGCACGTATCGTGGGAGGACCTGTCTTATTCCAACCCCAGGGGCCATCTTGCCGGCCCCGACAGAGCAGCAGCATGCAGGGAAGCCCCGCTGGCCCCGCTGTGCTGGTCGGACCAGAAGCCGGTGGTGACCAAGCCGTTCAGGCCCCAGGACCACGTGTGAATCGCCGTGAGCTGATTGCATGTCACACGTAGAGGGTCTGCCCCCTACGCTCCCTCCCTGGGCAAGAGGGTTCTGGAAGGGCCGGGGTGGGAGGGCAATGCGGGCCCCACATGGGCAGGACAGACCCACCTGTGCGGAGCAACGCAGGGATGCATGGGGCGGGAGGCGGCAGTCCTGACACCATGTCCCTTCCTAGAGAATAGGGAGCAGCCTCCCAGCAGCCTGGGGCTCCAGGCTGGTGACCGGGGGCCCTCAGAGCAGGCACAGCCCCCCCGGGCTCCCACGCTTTCCTCCCAAGGGTCTCATCCTCCACCACGCCCCCCACACAAGAGCCACCACTTTTAAGGTCTTTTCTTTCGTGCTGTCATTTTTTGACACCCTGTTGCCTTGGGGCTCTGGTTTCTGCCACGCCTGACCTGAGTTTCCTGAGGCCATGTGCCTGCTATGAGAGACACAACAGCCTCACAGGTGAGACGGATGGGGCTGCTTGCAAGGACTCACCTGTCTGGTTCTCGTTGAGCGGGCAGTCGCTCCAGGGCAGAGGCTCCTGGAAGGAGTTGAATAAGTACCACATGATCCAGGAGATGATGGTGTTGTAATACAGTCCCACCATGAAGGACGTGAGCATGGAGGCCAGGCCTGCAGGGAGGCTGCTGCTGAGGCTTGGGGCCGAGGCACACCCTCCACTGGCCACCCATCCCCACTCTGAGCAGGAGGTCCCAGGGCTGGCACAGGGTGTGGCTGGGATGGGCTACTCCAGAATCTGAGGGGCCGACCCAGTGCAGGCCGGGATCATGCAGCTGATGCCGTGGTGCAGCCTGTACACGCCTTCCAGGCTCACACCTTCCTGGCACACGCCTGCCCTGCACACGCCTTCCCGGCTCACACCTTCCTGGCACATGCCTGCCTGGCTTGCCCCAGGCATGGGTCTCACCTGCCCAGTGCAGCCTCCAGCAGGTGCATCCAGGCCACCGCCTTCGCAGAGAACTTTTGATGTACCAGTAGCCTGGTTGCTGCCTACGGGCTGGGGGACTGCCCACTTGGCCCTGACCCAAACCGGGAAGCCCCCGTGGCCCAGGACAGGTGGGTGGGCTTCAGGAAAGCCTTCCCTGTGGAGGACTCATGAGAGGGGAGACAACAGAAACTGCAGAGGGGAATGTTCTCAATTATTTGGGGACAGCTAGGCAGGATGGAAAGTGTGCTATGTAGTACATGCTTTACTGAAGTTTCAAACTCAAAACCAAATGTGTGTTGTGAATATGTGAGTGTGAGATGGGGAAGAGAGACAGGGGGAGAGACGGAGATAGGGGAAGAGAGAGAAGAGGGAAGAGACAGAGAGAATAGGAGGGGGAAAGAAAAAAAGACAGAGACTGAGAGGGAGAGAGAGAGAGGAGGAGGATGAGAGAGAGGGGGGAAGGGAGAGAATAGGAGGGGAAAGAGAGAATGACAGAGACAGAGAGAGAGGAAGAGAGAGGGAGAGACAGAGAGAGGAAGAGAGAGGGAGGAGGGAGGTCTTGGATACTCAGCGAGAGGGTGTGGGCTCTGCCCTGGGCCTGGAGGGAGGCCTTGGAGACTCAGGGAGAGGCTGGGATGAGGGTGTAGGCTCTGCTCCAGGCCTGCAGGCTTCCGAAGGGCAGGTGCTTCCTGGACTCAGACTCCTCTCTGGAGTGGACCCTGCCCTTTCCTCCTCCGTCTTTCACCGTCTGCCCATATTCTGAGGGCTTAATGAGCCGTGTCCTCTTGGTGAGGCTGCACTGGGTCTGCTCCTGGGCCCCAGAGCTTATAAATGAGTGACTATGTCTGGGGGTGTCAGTGCTGGGGACCTCCTCACTAGGTGTGGGGGAGTGGACACAGGAGGCTGGTGCCCCCTCCTGGGCCCTGGGCTCTCGCTGAGCGCCGCCATGGGCAGGGCTTGAGTGGTCACTCTGCTGTCCAGTGTCTGGACCCTCCTGGGCCCTGGGCTGCCAGGGACTCGGGCGGCCTCTGCTGGCCTGTCTGGTTCCTGGTGAACAGGAGTGGCCTGGAGTTTCCAAAGGCCTCCAGGAGATGAAGCTGGGACCTTTGTTGCACCAGAAACAGACAGGGAAGGCAGAGCAGGGGCACCGAGGCCGGCAAGGCGAACCCTGGGCCCGGGTGGAACGGCTTCCCAGCAGAGGCGACCCCTGGGCCCGGGTGGAACTGCTCCGAGGCACTCACCTAGGCCCTTCAGGGCCGGGTGGATGGAGCTCCACACACCCAGGCTGCCCCGCCGCAGCCGCTGCCCGATGGCGAACTCCAGGTACAGCAGGGGGATGCCCTCCAGGACCAGCAGGATGAGGAACGGGATCATGAAGGCTCCTGCAATGGGAGGAGTCCACCATGCCTGAGAGCCGTTCCCGGGGGAGCAGGAAGGCCTCCCTCGGGAGCAGGCATTCACAGCAAACCTTGCAGCCCCTATGGCCGGCCCACCACTTGGGAACAGAGCTGAGATGGAGCAGCCAGTCCATGGGATCAGGGCCAGAGCTGACTCCACGTTCTAGAAGCACTGCTGGGCAGCTGGACATTCCTGACCATCACACAGGCTGAGGTCGCCTATGGGACCTCTGGACGTTGCTGTCGTTAAGGGAGGTGTGGTCCATGCCTCACGCGCTCTGACCAACATGCAACCACAGCCGCTGCCTGGGAATCGACCTCCCCACCCACCCCCTGGCAGTCCAGGAGTCCCACGGAGGAGCTGCTTTTGCCTGTCCAGCCAGGGGCTTCCAACAGCAGCGTGCCACTCCTGCCCCGCCTGTGCCAGCTGCACCTGCCACGTCCCTCCTTGGCTTAATGAACGTTCTGTGGATTTGGCATGCCTGTGGGGAGAGGCTGTTTCCTGGCAATCGTGTGTGGCCTCAGTGGGGAATTAGGGTTTAATGGGGACCGTTTTGGTTCTTAAGACAGAGTTCTAAAGATGGACCTGAGCCCAGGTGCTGGTTACATGGCATTGTGGATGTCTTTAATACCACTGAATTGTACATGTAAAAATGATTAAAATGGCAAATTTTACATATATGTATTCAATAATAATAAAAAATTGCAAAAAGGAGAACCACGTTGAGACATTTCTGCTTCTGCTGTGACAACGGTCTTGTCTTATGGGGGATCTACCCACCTCTGCACTGCTACCTCTTTGCTCTAAAAGGACACCTTCAGCTATCATTCTGGGGCTAATTCTCTAATGTGGAACAGTGTAAGATCACCTTTGAAATATGATGCTATTTAATCTTTGTGAAATTGTGGTCATTCAGTCTGGGCTAGAACTGTAGCAGGAAAGTGGGACTGTCCAGGCGCTGACAGCCAGGAGACAGGTGACTCACTCATGGTCTAAACCGAGGGCCACGTTTAGTGTTTCAACTGACTGGAGAGTTGTTTGTTTGAAAGTTGGTTTGAAATAGATAGAAGATAGGGATGTGCTGATCCTGAGAGGAAGCCGAGTGGCTCCTGCCATCATCAGGCGCAGAGGCTCAGAATCAGCCTGGGACCGGGAGAAGAGATTCAGGAAAAATCGCAGATGCTTAGAAGGATTTCACACTCACATTTCCTCACATCTTTAAATTCTGTCTCTTTTAAAAAACCAAAGCTGAAAAGCATAGGTCAGCTTCCTCTCAGAGCTCAGCGGCAGCCAGCACCCAGAGAAGGGGCCTGGCCGCGCCCATGAACTCCACTCGCCCGGCCAAGCGGGCTGCCCTGACCGCTCCCTCTGCGGGTGGACGTACGGCCTCCCAGCTCAGCCACAAGGCCCCCAGGCTACACACAGGATGAGGTGCAGCCACTCCTGGGCATCATGACGGTGCCCAAGGTGCTCGGCAGAGGGCGAGGAGGGACACAGCCTTGGCAGGGCTCCCATCCGGCCAGGGCAGCGTGGACACCGGTGGGTCCTTCACTCGAAGGTGGAGAAGGACGAGGGTCAGGGAACAGCAGAGGTGAGTGCAGGCCGTGGCGCCCGGCTTCCGAGGCTGGCCTGGCACCGCGCAGTGCGTCTCCTACCTGAACCCGAGCACCCTGCTATGGGGACGCGGAAGCAGCTCCCGTCGCGCCTGCCCCAGGCTGGACGGAAGGGCCACGCTGCAGCCGGGGTGAGCACAGCGAAGCCGACAGCCTTTGGGACCGAGGTCAGCAGCTGCAACGGCGCAAGAATTCCAAACACAGCTGTGGCTGAAGGGCCTGGGGGTGTGCAGGTCCCAAACCCCAGTGAGCCTGATCCCGACATGGGTCCTGTCTCCTGGGGGCCACCTTTGTGTCCCGTGGTGGCTGACCCTGAGAGGGAGGGCTGTGGGGATGCTCACATGACACTGGGGTCCCAGCGACAGCCCCTCCTCACGCTGCGTGTCCCTGGGGCCTCTCAGGAGGGACGCGTGACCCGCCTGCCTGCACCCTCCCCACCAGCAGAGCCAAGCCCCCATCATCCTCCCGCCCCCCAGGCTGGGCACCCTCACCCTCCTTCCCCACACACGTGTTCCATTTGTCCTTCTCCCACCAAATCTCTTACACCCTGAGCTCCCTCCATTCCATCCCCATCGCCTCCCTTCCCGACCCAGCCACTGTCTCCTTAGCCAGCAGGGCCATGTCAGATCCCAAACTACCATCCTCAGGGGATGGCACAGCACATGTGTGAGAGACAGAGACACACACAGAGACAGTGACACAGAGAGACAGAGACAGAGAGGGAGGCAGGGAGAGAGAGAGACACACACACAGAGACAGAGTCACAGAGGGGGAGATGGAGACACACAGAAAAAGAGACAGAGAGACACACACACAGACAGAAACAGAGAGAGACAGAGGAGAGAAACAGACAGGGCGATGGAGAGAGAGAGAGAGAAGGAGGGAGGGAGGGAGAAGCCAGGTACTGGAGGCTGTGACTTCCTCACTTGGCCCCTGCCAGCCTCTCTCACTGCTCCCTCTCCCAGTTTAACACGGAGCCTTTTCTCTCCCCTCCCTCTGTGTCCACTTGGTGCCTGCCTGTTGAGTGGAGCAGGGCCCTCTGGAGCCCAGCACCTCTATCCCCACACAGGCCCCTCTCTCTGAGCTGGGGTTCCAGGGACAGGTTCCTTCAGAAGCAGGAGCTGCAGGTGGCAGCAGCAGAGCCAGGTGTGTAGGGTGGGCTGGCGGGATGCTGGATTCATCGAGAGATGAAAGGCAGAAGGGAATGGTAGCCAGGTGCAGGAGATGCTCACCAGCGGGTCCCTATGGGAGGGTGTGGGGGCTGCAGGCTCACCTGCAGGGACACCCAAGACCCCAGCAGGGCCTGCTCATTAGGTTAAAATAAGAAAAGATTCACTCCTCCAATTTTTTTTTCCCAAGAGCTTGATTTGAAACTCTTCCAGACAAAACTACCAAGAAAAAGCAAGTGCATGATCCCCAGTGTCCTCCACCCTCTCCCTTCCCTCCACTATGCCCTAACCCTAAATGCTCGGGTCTTCCTATCGCTTCATCTCCATTGAGAAAACTCCTACTCATCCTTGAAAACCCCACCAGGGTGTCCCCTCTTTTGAGAGTCTCAGTTGTTGCCCTTGCTCCTGGTGGCTCTCCTTTCTGAAGGTTCCTCCGGGCAGGAGACCCTCAAATCCCCAACCCCTGGGGCTCAGGCTCAGCATGGAGCAGTGAACAGAGAGGACTGGGGGTGGGGGGCACACACCCACTCCACCCCAAATGCAGCCCGGAGGCAGCCAGGCCCTCCGTTGCTCCCAATGAAGGAGGCTGTCCTGCCCCAAGAAACTCAAGGAAAGCCAAGCATTCTTGACAATTAAAGCCACCAGAATATGAATATTTGTCTTTTAAACGCAGCGACTTCTTCCTAGTGTGGGGTGAGGTGCAGAGGAAGGAGAGAAGGAAAGGGGCGGCCAGCGCCCAGGGAACACTGCGTGGCTCTGCCTGGTGGGGCCCTGCAGGGCGCCTGGACGTGGTTGCAAAGGTCCCTGGAAACCAGGCCTCTCTGCGGCGCTGCAGATGTTGGCTCACTCAGGTGGAAGCAGGTAACCGAGAGAATGGGGTGGGGACGTGGCCAAATGGAAAGCACCCAGAGGGAAAGAGACACTGGGCACAGAAACAGTTCCTCCTGTCTGTCCTTGAAAAAGTAGGAAACCAGGAGAGAGGGGGAGGAGGGAGCTGCAGTTCTCACGCAGGGACTAAGCTTCCCCTTTTTTCTCTCTCCAGCAGGTGGTGTTTGTGGCACCAAGTAAATGCTGCATGGATTTTTGCTAAGAATTAGCTGCAGATGGACTAAGGGGAAAGCTGACCCCGGGGCCAGGCGTTGAGCAGCAAAGAAGAGACAGCTGGAAACAGCTGTGCTGGCGCCACATGGTCCTGGAAGGGGTGGCTCCTCCGGCTCCCGCACGCCACCTCGCTCACGGACACCATCACTGCCCTGTGCAGAGGAGCTGGGGGGGCAGCCCCTGAGGGGCCAGCTGTGGGGTGGGCTCTATCAGCAGCCACTGACGGGGACACACGGGGCAACTGAGGTTTCTGGACGGACACAGGTGGGCATGAATGCGTCTCCGCCTGCGCCACCGGCACTGCGGGGCCCTGCCGTGGGGATGTGGTGCTCCCAGGTGGGGGTGAGTGGGGTGAGCCCTGGCTGACCACGCCTCACGGCTTTTGGTTGCTGTTCCTGCACACCTGCCCACTGCCCCCAGCACCACCCTCGGGGGGCTCCGCCATCACACCCATTTCCCAGGTGAGAATGCCCAGGTGCAGCACGCCCTTGAGACGGCTCAGGTGAGTGGGGCGGCTGAGTTTGGAAATGCCCTTCCTCAGGAAAGTGTCCCTTGAGCCTGCCCACCTGGCACAGGCTCTCCAAGGAGGGCAAAATCTGTTAAGACACAGGAGACTCGGAGGCACGCGTAAATGGTTTTTAACCTCGAAGGACAATCCCAGACACTCAGGAGGCTTCCAAGAGGGAACCAGGAGGACCTGGCTGCCTGCTTCCCCTCGATTTGGTCTCGATGACCCGCATCAATTAGGAAATCTGGTGTCACTGACAAGGCATGCATGCTGGGGCCCTCACTAAGATGCACAGAGAGAGAGTGCGCTGTCTGTGGGTGTGGCCTCCCAGGGACGCAGCCTGCCCCACTGTTTTGGTGCCCATGAGGCCCCCAGGAGCCATAGGAGGGGACCCTGTGTCGCCGGGTCCTTTCAGCTGCCTCCCTGAAAGCTCCCTTGTGGCAGAGCTGCGGCCCAGATTGGATTCACCAGGAGACGGGTGCCCTGCTGGGAAACCCGGTGGCCTGCAGAGCCGTCTCCCATTCTCGGGGCCCTGCCCTTCTGGCCCGAGTCCCTCTGGCTGCAGTGTGGGCTTCAGCTCTTTCAGGCTGGTGGTCTGGTATGTGGGGTCCTGGTCAGCCCCCACAGCATGACCAAAAGGCACAGGGTTCCTCCAGGCCGGGGCGACTGCCAGAACCCTGTGGAGCCATCTGCGATGCCGCAGCTGATGGGGGCCCAGGTGACAGTGGCCCTCAGAGTCTAGCAGGTGACCTGGTGGCCCAGCCGAAGGGCCAGGTCAGGGGAAGCTTGTCTGGGGTCTGGGGAGAAGGGCCTGCTGGTGTCCACCCCAGGAGTGGGACCATCTGAGACCCAGCACATCCCAGAGCCCTGCTCGGCCCTCCTCACCTGGGCCTGCCTGCCCGGAACCCGCTGCCCGCTGCCCGCTGCCCGCACCTGTCCACCCCAGCATGGCCCAGGGTGCAGCGCCAGCACCCGCTGCTTGAAAGCTGCTCGCTCCCAGGCTCCACCGTGCACAGCGGCTGGTCTCTGGGTGTCAGAGCGGGGACTATCTGAGGTGCTGGGAGCCCCATCAGATTCCTGCCCAAGCCCGCATCTTAGAACTTGCCCTTCTGTGCAAAGACAAATAACTTCCCAGGCAGGCTCAGGCAGTCCCAACCCCTCCTCTTCCCAGGAGGCATGTGTCTGCCCCTCCATCCCCAGTGGGGATGTGAGCCTGTGACTCAGTTTCTCCTCCAAGCTAAACAAACTCAGGGTGTGGGTGAGCGCAGGGATCCTCCCCACAGGATAGGGCCCTGGGGGAGGGGGCGAGGACAGTGGCCAGGAAGTCCCCTGAGGCTTTGGTGAGCTGAGACTTGGGGACTGTCAGGGACTATAGTATCGGAGTGGCCAAGGTCCCCCGACCTGCCTCCAGTGGAAAGTGCAGGCTGGACCAGAGGCTCATGAAGCGCCCACCCCCGCAAGGCAGTGATCAACTCCTTGACAATGCTGGAGGCGAAACTGATTCAGGAAAAGCCCATTTCTGTTTTTCTTTAAAAACCTTCACATCACAAAGCCCGCGTGAGAGACAGCAGCTCTCCATGGTGAGAAGGAACAGGGCCCCCTGAGGGCAGACTCCTCTAAACGGAGGCTGAGACCTTCACGGCCCCCCCGTGAACTGCCCCAGGGCAGCAGGAAGCCTGTTTCCCAAGGGTGCCCGGCCCTCCTGGACCTTCCGCTGAGAAAGCAGCAGGTTTATGAGGGCAGCAGCTTTGGGGTTCGCCAAGCCCAAGGCTGAGTTCAAGTGTGGGGGTCCTAGGTACAGCCCCCTGCCAGGCCTGGGAGCCACTTCTCAGATGCTCAGGACCACTGGGCAGGAACACAAATGTCACCTCTGTGCCAGCAGCGGCCATGCCTACCTGGGCCGCAGGAGCCAGAGGAACGAGGAGCAGTCAGGCTTGTGTGTTGGGTGGGCACAGCGGCTCCCGGCCTCCAGGCCTGAGGGCACCTGGCTCAAGAGCCAGGCCCGAGTCCACAGGCTCCGGCTACCCACTCTGCTCCTCTAGGGTCACCTGCCCCCAACCCAGCTACCTCCTCTGCTCCCTGCACTGGCAGGTGTCCGCCTGTGGGGCTGGGACGAGAGGTGATGCCCAGGAGGGCCCAGCCCCGCGTCCTCCGAGGAGGGGCTGTACCGGGAGAAACACCCTTCCCCCGGCCCCACCCTCAGGCCAGAACGTTCCAGGACTGCCAGTCTGGAACACAGGGCCCTCCCTGGAGCCCCACACGAAGTCTTGGGGTCGTGCCGGCCAGGCCCATCTCCTCACCAGCAGCCTAGGAACCGGGCACGGGGGCCCGTGGGGGCCCCAGCTCCCCCCACACCCTGCGGCTTCTCCTCTCCCCTCCGTGCTTGGGGAGCCGAGGGTCCGGGGAGGATGTCTGCCCAGGGCCTCTGCGTGTGTCTGTGCTTCCCTGGCCACGGCCTCGCCCGCAGCCCCGCCCGGCCAGCCTACCTCCTCCGTGGCTCTGACACAGGTAGGGGAAGCGCCACACGTTGCCGAGGCCCACGCAGAAGCCCAGGCAGGTGAGCATGTACTGCGCCTTGTTGTCCCACTTCGGCCGGGAGCTGGCCTCCTCCTGCTCGATGGTCTCCAGCTCAGCCAGGGACGGGATCCGGGCGTCTAGGCCGGGGTTGGGCAGCACGAGCCTCACCATGGTGGTCGCTGGACGGCTCCGCACACAGCAGGCAGGGCAGAAGCTGGAGGGCGAGTGGCCGTGGGCCGGGAGCCGGGCACTTTATAGAGAACCTTTGGCACCTCGCCCCAGGCACCTGGGCAGAACGGAGCCAGTCGTCAGCAGATCTGCAGGGTGCGTCTGCGGAGGGACTGTTAATGCCTTATCTGCAGAGACGCCCGGCCCCGGGGCCAGCAGAGCCACCCACTGCCTTCGGGCAACCGGAGGCTGCTCCGTGGGCGCTGGCCACCCCTCCCCCTGCACAAACGCACACACAAATGCGTACAAACGCCGGTGCACCCCGGGGAGAAAGAACCAAGGCAAACAGGATGCTGGCTCTGCCCCGGTCTGGGAGCCCCTGGCTGCCGCACACCCCCACCTGCAGGACGCCGGGTGGGCCTCTCCACAGCTCCCTGGAGCACAGGCATCCCCGGCCCCCACCCCAGTCCAGGGAGAGGGAACTCAGCGGGAGCAGGGGCCCTGGGGCAGCTCTTGGTCTGCTCACACCAAGCACAGCGAGGCCCTGGACCCCTCCAGCCTGGCTCTGGGCTCTAGACGGCTGCTCGGGGGCCCGGCTTCCCACCAGTCCCCACGGAACCACGGCTCCTTGGGATGTGGCCTGAATCAACCTGAGAGTGGGGTTCCCGTGGCTGTGCCCCCTGGGCCACAGTTTCATTCTGGGGTTCGTAATGAACTTCATAATGAACAGCTCACGCTGCCCAACCCCAGCCTGGATGCCCGGATCCCATCCCTGGCTGAGCTGGAGAACATCGAGCAGGAGGAGTTCAGCTCCCGGCCATAGGTTCAGGACCCAGAGCCACCCTCTAGGGCAGCCTCGTCCCCAAGGGCCCTCTGGGGTCACGGGGGATGGAGGGTCCTGTGTCATGGAACCTGCAGCCACCCCAGATCCCCACCTTCCCGGTGACTGCACGGTTTCTGTCCTTCTGTGGAGCACTTTGTGGGGGGCAGTCCTGTGCCGGGCATGGGACAGCGAAGGAGATGGTGTTCCTGCTCCCCAGCAAAGAGGCCGTGCAGGGAAGCCACAGGGCTGACCACGGGGTCCAGGAGGGGCAGGAGGAACGTTGCGGGGAGTTCAGGAGAGGATCCTGGGGGTTGTGTCTCCAAAGCCAGAGTGGGATTCTCTCCTGGTTTTCCGCACAGGGAGTTGGAGGCCATCCTCTGTCGGGCGCTGCCCGTTTGGGCCCCCACTTGGGCCTCCCCTCACGTCTCTCCCATCTAGGAGACCTCAAGCTCTGGAATCCCGGACCAGCCTTCCTGAGGCCAGGGACGGTGCCACACCCTGCGCCTCCCCAGGCCTTCCTCCCGTTGCCTCCTTCAGCCTCTGGGCTCACCTCCCTGGGGGCCCTCGCTGGCCCCCTGCCCCCACTGCCCACATGGCTCCTTCCATAGCCGGGGCCTTCCCGGCAGGCATGGGACTTTCTCCCTAGCCTCCTGGTTCCTTTATCTCAGTCTGCACCGCTGGGCGATAAGGACCCAGAGCCGCCCCCGCCCCCACCTCCACCCTGCACAGGGCTCATCGACATTCGCTGAGTAATGGAGATGAAGGCGCTGGGGGCGTCACTCAGAGATGAGCGAGTTTAGGCGCCTGACCTTTGCCCCTAGGACACAGGAACTCAGAAAGGGAGGCCAGAAGGAAGAGATCACGTTTGCATTTAAGGACTCCTGGCTTCCGAGCACAGCGCAGATTGGAGGGAAGGGTGGGGACTTGGGAAGACAGAGAGAGAAAGACAGAGACAGAGAAAGAGAGACAGGGAGAGACAGAAACAAGGAGAGACAGAGAAAGAGAGACAGGCACAAAGACAGAAACAGAGACAGGGACAAAGACAGAGAGAGGTAGAGACAGAGACGAGGAGAGACAGAGACAGAGAAAGAGAAACAGGAACAGAGACAGAGAGAGGGAAAGACAGAGAGAGAAAGGCAGAGACAGAGACAGGGAGAGACAGACAAAGAGAGACAGGGAGAGAGAGAGAGACAGAGAAAAAAGAGAGAGACAGAGAGAAAGACAGACAGAGAAAGACAGGGACAGAGAGAGGGAGAGACAGAGACAGAGAGAGAGACAAAGACAGAGACAGAGAGACAGAGAGAGATGGAGACAGAGAGAGAAAGACACAGAGACAGAAACAGGGAAAAAGAGAGATGGGGAGACAGAGACAGAGAGAAAGAGAAAGACAGAGAAAGAGAGAGGGAGAGACAGAGACACAGAGACAGGGAGAGACAGAGATAAAGAGAGAGACAGACATAGACAGAGACAGAGAGAAACAGAGAGATAGAGACAGAGAAAGAGACAAAGAAAGAGACAGGGAGAGCCAGAGAGAGAGAAAGACAGAGACAGACAGAGGAAGAGAGACAAGGAGAGACAGAGATAGAGAGAAAGGGAGAGACAGAGAGAGAGAAAGTACAGAGAAAGAGAAACAGAGAGATAGAGGCAGAGAAGGAGAGAGGGAGAGACAGAGACAGAGAGAGGGAGAGACAGAGAGAGAGAGAAAGACAGAGAAAGAGAGCCAAGGAGAGACACAGAGAGAAAGACAGAGAGAGACAGAGAGATAGAGAAAGACAGAGACAGACAGAGAAAGAGAGACAGGGAGAGACAGAGATGGAGAGACAGAGACAGAAAAAGAGAGAGATGGGGAGACAGAGACAGAGAGACAGAGACAGAGAGACAGGAAGAGAGAGAAAGACAGAGAGACAGGAAGAGAGAGAAAGACAGAGAGAGACAGAGACAGAGAGAGATAGGGATAGACAAAGACAGAGAGATAGAGACAGAGAAAGACAGAGACAGAGAGAGAGAGATGGGGGAGACAGAGAGATACAGAGACAGAGAGAGAGAAAGACAGAAACAGAGAGAGACAAGGAGAGACAGAGATAGGGAGAGACAGAGAGAGAAAGACAGAGAAAGAGAGACAGGGATAGACAGAGACAGAGAGAGACAGAGATAGAGTCAGAGAGACAGAAACGGACAGAGAAAGAGACAGAGACAGACAAAAAGAGAGAGAGAAAGACAGATATAGAGAAAGAGAGACAGGGAGAGATAGAGACAAAGAAAGAGATAGGGAGAGACAGAGAGAGAAAGACAGAGACAGACAGAGAGAGACAGAGATAGAGAGAGAGAGGGAGAGACAGAGAAAGAAAGTCAGAGAAAGAAAGTCAGAGAAAGACAGGGAGAGAGAGAGAAAGACACAGACAGAGCAAGATAGACAGTGAGACACAGAGAGAGAAAAAGAGACAGAGACAGAGAGGGGGAAGAAACAGAGACAGAGTGACACAAAGAGACAGAGACAGACAGAGAGAGAGAGTCAGTGGCTGGCCCAGGCCTGGAGTGGGGACTCAGGAATGGCGGAGGGGACAGGACAGTCTTCAGATGGGGAGGACGTGTCTCCTGGACCCCAAGGACCAGCAAGGGAGAATGAGCGTGGGATGGTTAAGGGCAGGTCTTCTGAATGAGCTTTGTGGGAGAGTCCACACCAAAGACGATTGGAGGCATGAGCCCAGATGTGTGTGGAGGGTCCCTGCCCCTTGCAAGCCCCACTGGACACACCTGAGTTTCCCAGGGGCCTTGGGGCCCAACTTAAAGGGTGCCTGGGGCCAGTGGCCTTGAGGCTTCCTCCTCTCCCCAGTGCCTCTAGAAACTTCTGCAGAGGCAACCAGGTTGCGGGGTAGCAACCAAAACCAACTTGGACCACATTTGCTGGGCCACTGGCCCCATAGTTCTTAGTGCCCTCAGGCCCAGCATTCGTATATGTAAAACAAAGCGTAGTACCCAACTCTCACAGTACCGAACTCCTGCAGTACACAACTCCCACAGAACCCAACTCCCACAGTATCCAACCCCCACGGTACCCAACTCCCACAGTACCCAACCCCCTCAGTACCCAATCCCCGCAGTACCCAACCCCCTCAGTACCCAACCCCCGCAGTACCCAACCCCTGCAGTACCCAACTCCCATAGTACCCCACTCCCACAGTACCCAACTCTCACAGTGCACAACTCCCACAGTACACAAATGCCACAATACCCAACTCCCAACTACTCAACTGCCACAGAACACAACTCCCACAGTATCCAACCCCCACAGTACCCAACCCCTGCAGTACCCAACTGCCATAGTACCCCACTCCCACAGTACCCAACTCTCACAGTGCACAACTCCCACAGTACACAAATGCCACAATACCCAACTCCCAACTACTCAACTGCCACAGAACACAACTCCCACAGTATCCAACCCCCACAGTACCCAACCCCTGCAGTACCCAACTGCCACAGTACCCAACTCCCATAGTATCCAATCCCCACAGTACCTAACCCCTGCAGTACCCAACTCCCACAGTACCCAACTCCCACAGTATCCAACCCCCACAGTACCCAACCCTTGCCGTACCCAACTCCCGCAGTACCCAACTCCCGCAGGACCCAACTCCCACAATACCCAACCTCCACAGTACCCAACCCCTGCAGTACCCAACTCCCACAGTACCCAACTCCCACAGTCCCCAACTCCCACAGTACCCAACTCCCACAGAACCCAACTCCCACAGGACCCAACTACAATAGTACCCAACCCCTACAGTACCCAACTCCTGCAGTACCCAACTCCCGCAGTACCCAACTGCCACAGTACCCAACTCCTACAGTCCCCAACTCCCACAGTACCCAATTCCCACAGTACCAAACTACTATAGTACTCAACTCCCACAGTACCCAAATCCTGCAGCACCCAAATACAATAGTACCCAACTCCCACAGTACCCAACTCCTGCAGTACCCAAATCCCACAGTAGCCAAATACAATAGTAGCCAACTCCCACAGTACCCAACCCCCACAGCACCCAACTCCTACAGTACTCAACTACAATAGTACCAAACACCCACAGTACCCAACTCCCACAGTACCCAACTCCCACAGTACCTAACCCTCATAATGCCTAACTCCCATGTACCTAACTCCCATAGTACTCAATTCTCATAGTACCCAACTCCCAAAATACCTAACTCCCAATGTATCTAACTGCCACAGTACTCAACCCCCAGAGTACTCAACTGCCTCGTACCTAGGTAAGTACTCCATGCTTGTTCCCTGAGAAAATATCTAGAAATAGCTATGACTGATGGAAGACCAGTGCCTGACGCCTGCAGCAGCTCCCACAACAGGGCCTCGAGGGGCCACTTTGGTTCTGATCCTGCACTGGAGCTTTCTTCCTGCAGAAGAGAGCATCTCATCTGTCCCTGCCTCTGAGGAATGGGGAGCCCTTGGGAGGGTCTCAGCGCCACCACCGCCTGAGCTTCCCAAAACCCTCACAGCCCTGGCCAGCCCTGCCCATTGCCGGCTGGGAGGAGGGACCAGGCAAGCCAAGGACCATGGACCTCATTTCCTGCTGCAGAGCCTGAGGCCGGGTCACCAGCATGAGGCCTCTGTGATGCTGCTGTGGTCTCAGAGGCCATCGACTGCGTGCCTGGGAGGTGGGAGGTGACTGTGATGGCCGTCGACTGCGTGCCCGGGAGGTGGGAGGTGACCGTCGGCGATGGCCGTCGACTGCGTGCCCGGGAGGTGGGAGGTGACCGGCTGTGATGGCCGTCGACTGCATGCCCAGGAGGTGGGAAGTGGCCATCTGTGATGGCCGTCGACTGCGTGCCTGGGAGGTGGGAGGTGACTGTCTGTGATGGCTGTCGACTGCGTGCCCGGGACATGGGAGGTGACTGTCTGTAATGGCCATCAACTGTGTCCCCAGGGGGTGGGAGGTGACTGTCTGTGATCGTCATTCCTCAGAGGCAGGGAAAGATGAGGTGTCCTCTTCTGGGCTCCAAGGTGGGGCAGGGGCCAGGGAAGCAGTTCTCAGGGCCTCTGCACTCCCCAGGTGGTCACCAAGTCCCTCTCGCTCAGAAACCTTCAGTGTTCATTAGAGCAAAGGCAATGATCCCTGAGGGCCAGCAGGGTCCTACCTGCCCTGTGCACGGCCTCTGACCCTGCAGGGTCCTCCCACAGGCCTGGCCTGCACCTGCTGCTGGCTGAGGGCTGCTTCCCAGGAATTCAGCTTGGTCCGCACAGGCGAAGCATGGGCCACGCAGTGGGACTGCACTTCTCCTTGCCTTTCCTTTGCATAGCAGGATCTCCTCCAACAGGCTGTCCAGTTTGTTTAGCTGTTGGGCTAAGGGCTCATGCTCTCTCTTCCCCACTTGGACATAAGAGGGACCAGGTAGGAATCTTTGTTGCCTCTGTTTACTGGTGAGCCCTGAGCCCCCAGAACCTGCCTGATGCCTTATGAGCCCTCCTCAATATCTGACGCCCTGCAGCCTTGGGGCCCCAGAGATATCCCCAGGGCAGGTTCGTCCCCACCACCTCTGCCCCTCCCTTCCCAGCTCCAGGTACTGCAGGAGACCCCTACCATCTTGCTGATGGGGGTCAGGGAGTGAAGCTCCCTTCTGAAATCTGGGGCAGCTTGGGGGCAGGTGAACTACCCCGGGCTTCTGCCTGTTCCGGGTTGCATTTGAGACTCATCAGAAAGGCCAGGGTGGCCAGAAAGATGTCCTCCCTTGAGGCCAGAGAGGCCACCTGGGGCACGTAGTGAAAAGTTACCTTTGTCCGTGATGAGCACATGGAGGGGGTCATTGTTGTGGGTCTTTGCAGAACAGGTTTCCATACACCTTGCCCACACAGACCTGAGGAGGGTCCTTGGGGTCCGCAGTCGGAAACAGTGTGCCTTTGTGTCTACGGAAATATCTTATTGCAAAAGCAAGTTATTACAAGCTCAGCAAAGGAAATTGGAGCATTTTCAATACCTCCTGGAGGAAAACGCTGTCAATGGTTTTCTCCCTGTCCTGTAGTTTATAAATATCTGTGTGTGATACACTCACTCATGATGTGAGATTCAACTCTGTGCATGATATTTACTAAACATCATGTCTCGTCTGCATACTATGTCCCTCACAGCACTAGTCACAACAGCAAAGACATGGAATCAACCTACATGCCCATCGTCGGTAGACTGGATAAAGAAAATGTGGCACATGTGCACCATGGAATACTATACAGCCATAAAAAGGAACCAGATCATGTCCTTTGCAGGAACACGGATGGAGCTGGAGGCCATTACCTTTAGCAAACTCATACAGGAACAGAAAACCAAATACTGCACGTCTCACTTATAAACAGGAGTTAAATGCTGAGAACACCTGGGCAGATAGAAGGGAATATAAGACACTGGGCCTGTCAGAGGGTGGGCGGTGGGAGGAGGGAGAGGGTCAGGAAAAATAATTAATGGGTACTAGGCTTAATACCCGGGTGATGAAATAATCTGTACGCAAACCCCCATGACACACATTAACCTCTGTAACAAACCTGTACATCCTGCACATGCGGCCCTGAACTTAAAATAAGTTTAAAAAATTAAAAAATAAACATAATCTCATGAGGAGTTTCTGTTTATTAAATGTTTAGATTGTTAGGTTTGAATTTTTATTTAATTTTTCTTTCAAATACCATCCGGAGTGTGACATCGAAAGCCCTCTGCACCAGCGGCACCCTCGTTGATTATGGAAATTCACGGCAGCCTTGGCTTTCATTTTCCCCAAGAAGCCTTGCTGGGGTGGACGAGCTGCACCTGCGTCTTTCTCCAGGTGGATGAACTTTCAGGAAGCGGCACATCCGCGGAACAAACCCCTGCCCAGAGCAGGAAACGCAATGTTCCAGAACCCCAGCAGCCCGGCTCCCTCAGCCCCATCCCACTTCCAGAAAGGAGCCACTGTCTCGAGCTGGACGCTGCAGGTGGCTCGCTGTTCCGCTCAGAGCTGTCCGGGCCTCGCACCCTGGCTCGCTGTGCCTGCTCCAGGTCCACGGCTGCAGCTCCTTCACGGCTCCATTGCTGACGGTAGGGGTCCCGTTTGCGCCATGAGGATGAAAGCCGCCGTGGACGTCTGTTCCTGCCTTTCGCACATTCATGCCCGGAGTTCTCCGAGGTAAGCGCCCACGAGGGGAGATGCTGCCTCCTGGGGCGAGTGTGTCCGGCCGGAAAGGTGCAGGCAGGTGATTTCCATGAACAGTCCAGCTGGTCACCCTGGCCCTGCCCCTCCACCCACACCCAGCCCTGGCGTCCAGCCTTTCCACCATTCAGCCACAGGATCTCCATGCTTTGAATTCTGGTTTTCCTGGTGGCCAGGGATGCTGGACATCATCTATGGCTTTCACGGGCCATCGGCTGCCCCAAGGAATGCCTGTCCACATGCCGTACGCTACTGATGCTGACTTCTTCATGGGGATTTCGGGACTCTCAACATATTCCAAAATGTCCTGTTCCTGAAACATCTGCCCCTACTCACAGCCTTTCCTCCCCCACCGTGACATCTCCCTCAACTCACGGCCTGTCCCTCCTCTCCGTGACATCTCCCCCGACTCAAAGCCTGTCCTTCCCCTCCACGACATCTCTGACTCACGGCCTGTCCTTCCCCTCCACGACATCTCCCACAACTCATGGCCTGTCCTTCCCCTCCATGATATCGCCCCCTGCTCACGGCCTGTCCCTCCCCTCCACGACATCTCCCCCTACTCACTGCCTCTCCTTCCCTCCACGACATCTCCCCCTGCTCACAGCCTTTTCTCCCCCCACGACATCTCACCCACTCCTCAGCCTTTCCTCCCCTCATGACATCTCCCCCACTCCTCAGACTTTCCTCCCCCTATGACATCTCCCCGACTCCTCAGCCTTCCCCCCCCATGACGTCTCCCCCTACTCACAGCCTTTCCTCCCCCCACGACATCTCCCCCACTCCTCAGCCTTTCCCCCACGACATCTCCCCCACTCAGAGCCGTTCCACCTCTCATGATATCTCCCCCACTCCTCAGCCTTTTCTCCCCTCACGACATCTCCCCCACTCCTCAGCCTTTCCCCCCATGACATCTCCCCCACTCAGAGCCGATCCAGCCCTCATGACATCTCCCCCACTCCTCAGCCTTTCCTCCCCCCATGACATCTCACCCACTCCTCAGCCTTTCTTCCCCTCATGGCATCTCCCCGACTCCTCAGCCTTTCCTCCCTTTCCATGACATCTCCCCCACTCCTCAGCCTTTCCTCCCCCGATGACATCTCCCCGACTCCTCAGCCTTTCCTCCTTTTCCATGACATCTCCCCCACTCCTCAGCCTTTCCTCCCCCCATGACATCTCCCCCCATGACATCTCCCCCATTCCTCAGCCTTTCCTCCCCTCATAACATCTCCTCTACTCCTCAGCCTTTCCTCCCCCCATGACATCTCCCCCCATGACATCTCCCCCACTCCTCAGCCTTTCCTCCCCTCATGACATCTCCCCCACTCCTCAGCCTTTCCTCCCCCCATGACATCTCCCCCCATGACATCTCCCCCATTCCTCAGCCTTTCCTCCCCTCATAACATCTCCTCTACTCCTCAGCCTTTCCTCCCCTCATGACATCTCCCCCACTCCTCAGCCTTTCCTCCCTTCATGACATCTTCCCCTACTCCTCAGCCTTTCCTCCCCTCATGACATCTCCCCCTACTCCTCAGCCTTTCCTCCCCTCATGACATCTCCCCCACTCCTCAGCCTTTCCTCCCCTCATGACATCCGCCCCTACTCCTCAGCCTTTCCTCCCCTCATGACGTCTACCCCTACTCCTCAGCCTTTCCTCCCCTCATGACGTCTCCCCCACTCCTCGGCCTTTCCTCCCCTCATGACATCTTCCCCACTCCTCGGCCTTTCCTCCCCTCATGACGTCTCCCCAACTCCTCGGCCTTTCCTCCCCCCATGACGTCTCCCCCACTCCTCAGCCTTTCCTCCCCCCATGACGTCTCCCCCACTCCTCGGCCTTTCCTCCCCTCATGACATCTTCCCCACTCCTCGGCCTTTCCTCCCTTCATGACATCTCCCCCACTCCTCGGCCTTTCCTCCCCTCATGACGTCTCCCCAACTCCTCGGCCTTTCCTCCCTTCATGACGTCTCCCCAACTCCTCGGCCTTTCCTCCCCTCATGACGTCTCCCCCCACCTCAGCCTTTCCTCCCCTCATGACGTCTCCCCCACTCCTCAGCCTTTCCCCCTCATGACGTCTCCCCCACTCCTCAGCCTTTCCTCCCCTCATGACGTCTCCCCCACTCCTCGGCCTTTCCTCCCCCCATGACGTCTCCCCTACTCCTCAGCCTTTCCTCCCCCCATGACATCTCCCCTGCTCCTCAGCCTTTCCTCCCCTCATGACATCTCCCCTACTCCTCAGCCTTTCCTCCCCCCATGACATCTCCCCTACTCCTCAGCCTTTCCTCCCCCCATGACATCTCCCCTACTCCTCAGCCTTTCCTCCCCCCATGACATCTCCCCTACTCCTCAGCCTTTCCTCCCCCCATGACATCTCCCCTGCTCCTCAGCCTTTCCTCCCCTCATGACATGTTTTGATGTACAGAAGCTGTCAAGTGTAAGTCGACCAATCGTCTGCTGTTTATGTGCACCTCTGCCCGCCTTCAGGCCCTGGAGCTTCCTCTTCCACCTCCTGCCTCTGCAGGCTGCCCCTGCCTCCCACCCATGTCCAGGCCTGTTCGATCGACTTCTGCACTTCCTCTTTTGTTCATTGGTCTTCTTGTCTACTTTGCACCAATAATACACCATCGTATTCCCTGTTGCCTTCCAATAATCCTTGGTGTCTGGTGGTAAAGTCCTTCCACTTTGTTTTTCTTAGCAACATACATTTTATAGCAACCTTGTCACTTTCTGCAGAAAAAAGGCAGCTGGGATTTTAATGGAAATGCATTTAATTGACTCTGTAGATCTGTAAATCAGTTGAAGTGGAAATCTTTACAGTGTTAAGGTTTTCAAACCATGAACACCGTGTATCTCTCCATTAATTTAGGCTTTCTTTGTTAACGTTTCATAGTTTTGTGTAGAAGTCCTGAAGATCTTTCATTAGATTTATTCCCAGTTATTTATCTTTTGACTCTGTTGTAAATGGTGTTGTTTTTAAATGTCCGTCTCCTAACCTGCCTGCCTGGTGGACGTCATGTGAGAGCTGTCAGATTTGAAACAGGGTCCCATGGATTGAACCCACTGAAACCGGAGCCTGGGAAGGCTCTGAAGGGAGGGGTCTCCCGCCTGAATGCCTGACAAGAAGAACCACAAAAAAGACTGCAAACCCACAACCTTGCACAAAATGCTTCTTCGCGGACATCGGCCCACTCACTGCCCGTCCAACCTTGGACTGACGCCACCCTCATTGTTGATGCTGTCACCAAGGGGAATTGTTCCACAACAACATGTGCGACCCTCTTCATTTTCCCTTTAAAGCCCTCCTGACCGCGTTTGCCTGCTCCCCTCACAATGCCTGTTCCCAAGGAAATAGTTTCTTTTTTTTTTTTGAGATGGAGTCTCGCACTGTCACCTGGGCTGGAGTGCAGTGGCGTGATCTCGGCTCACTTCAACCTCCGCCTCCTGGGTTCAGGCGATTCTCCTGCCTCAGCCTCCTGAAGAGCTGTGATTACAGGCACCCGCCACCACACTCGGCTAATGTTTTGTATTTTTAGTAAAGATGGGGTTTCACTATGATAGCCAGGCTGGTCTCGAACTCCTGACTTCGTGATATGCCAGCCTCAGCCCAGCCACAAATAGTTTCTTTTAGTCTCTCTGTAACCACTCTCTAGGTTTGACAATAACAGTGCAATTACTTTTTGTATATTGACCTTACATCAAAATCTTTTTCTAATATTTTACCCATTGATTTTTAGAGATATCTTTTTTTTTTTTTGAGTCAGAGTTTCGCTGTTGTTGCCCAGGCTGGAGTGCAGTGGTGCGATCTCAGCTCAGCGCAACCTCTGCCTCCCGGGTTCAAGCAATTGTCGTGTCTCAGTCTGCCGAGTGGCTGGGATTACAGGCACCTGCCCCCACAGCCAGCTAATTTTTTGTGTTTTTAGTAAAGATGGGGTTTCACTATGTTAGCCAGGCTGGTCTCGATCTCCTGACTTCGTGATCTGCCCACCTCAGCCTCCCAAAGTGCAGGGATTACAGGCGTGAGCCACAGCGCCCGGCCCTTTTAAGATATCTTAATACAAAATTATGCCAACTGCAGGTGCCGGCTTTATTTCTCCTCCCCCACTCTGTCACCTTTGCTTCTTCTGTGTTTCTTGTCTTGCCGCGTTGTGTCCAGCACAGTGCTGGGTGGGGTCCCCATGGCGGCCTCCTGGCCTTGACCTGCCTGTGGGAAGCCATCAGCAGGTCACCCCTGGAGTCACCTAGTATGGTGGAGACTTTTGTACAAGCTCATTTCAGATTCAAGGCTCCTCCTTCTGTTCTCAGTTTACTAAGAGTTTCTTTTAATTTTTTCATGAGCTTTATTGATTCTCACACCGTAGAATCCACTCGCTTCAAGCCCATGATCCAGTGGCTTTCAGGGAACTCACGTCATCCTGCAACTGTCACTGCAATCGACGCTGGAACGTGCTCATCCCGAAAAAGAAATTCCCATTGCCCTCAACCCTCCTTGATGTTCTGCTTTTTATCATGAATGGTGATAAACTTCATAAAATTATCTCCTACATTTTTGAGGAGACATTGTTCCTCTTCATTCTTCATTATCTTCATGAGGTGATTACACAGTATTTTGTTTGTTTGTTTGTTTGTTTTTTGAGATGGAGTCTCCCTCTGTTGCCCAGGCTGGAGTGCAGTGGCGTAATCTTGGCTCAGTGCAATCTCCGCCTCCTGGGTTCAAGCGATTCTCCTGCCTCAGCCTCCTGAGTAGCTGGGATTATGGGCGCGTGCCACCACACCCGGCTAATTTTTGTATTGTTAGTAGAGACAGGGTTTCACCATGTTGGCCAGGCTGGTCTCGAAATCCTAACTTCAGGTGATCCACCCGCCTTGGTCTCCCAAAGGGCTGGGATTACAGGCACAAGCCACCGCACCTGGCCCACGGTTTGATTGTTAAATATTAAACCAATTTTACCATCCTGGAATAATCCCAATCTGTCCATCATGCATAATTTTTACAACACTGGCTTCAGTTCACCACAAATAGACTTAGAGTTTTATAATCTATGTTCCTTGCCCATATGACTTAATCCACATTTCCAACGGTGTCCTTGGGGTGGATTGCTGTGATGGGAATTATAAGGCCACAGGCTGCCCTTATCTTCCAGGTAGACACGTACATCACAAAATTCTCCATAAAAAGCTGAGTTATGCTTCCGCCAGCAGGAATTACGGATCTTCTACTCACTGAACTTTCACTCACAGTAGGTAATATTATTTATTTAAAACCTTCACTAATTTCATAAGCTTAACAACATACAGCTGAAATATACCAAAGAGCTTCCGGAATCCTTTGTAAAGGGGATTTGACCCTTAATCAATTTCGTGTTTTTGCCTCTCGGATTTTATTGAAATGGGGCAGGCTTTCAGCTTTAGATGTTTCCCACATAAGATGCCCCATCTTTCAAATCATCTGGAAGAGACGACATTTTAGCCGGCACAAGAGAGGCTACGCTGCAGGAACAAACATCCCCCAACTGTCCATGACAATGTTCTATGGGCCAGGGATCCTCCAGGCAGCTGCACCTCCAGAGCACCTGCAGAGTCCACAGCTGCTGAAGCTGGCGGGGGAGAGCTGGGGACCCAGTATGGGCCACCCCTGCCCACAGTCTGCCGGCCAAAGCCATTCCAACATCCAAGCACCTGCTCCTTCAAGGGGACAAGGAGGCACAGCACCCTCAAGGCTTGAGGAGGAGAGCCTGAAAGCATGGTCAGAGGTACCCACGTGGCCAGGATGGACGGCCAGGGGCCAGGCACACCGAGGACCGGCCGCAGCCGCCCCAGCCCCACACAGGCCCAGCACTGCATTTGGACATGCTTTCTGGCTTCTTTCTCTCCTGGGGGACGGCCGCCTCCTCCCAGCCACTGTGCCACCCCCAGCCCCCACCCAGCCTGCTGGCAGAGGCCTCAGCTCCCAGCCAGGACCTCTCAGTGCTGAGCAACAGAGGCCTCCGGCTGTGCCTTCAGCCCAGTGTGGTGGGTGGACCCTCAGGTCTGCAGAGGACTTCTCAGGCACAGCAGACTGGTAATGACCTGGCTGCTCAGCCGGGCCCTCACTGAAGGGCAGCATTTGGAAGCCACCAGGCCAGCAGGGGTCCCAGCGTGCCCTGGCCTTGGCTTTTCGGGGCCCTGGGGCATCTCACAGGGACCAAGCCCTCAGGAGACACACACGTGGGAATCATCGCTCAGGTCCTCGCTCCCCTGCAGGGAGGAAGAATGACCTCCCATTGGGTAGGGTGGTGGGGAGGGGGCCCACCTCGGAGGCACCGCCCTTTCATAGCCTCTGAGCCTTTTCAGGAGATGGAAGCAGCAGGAAGCCAGGCTTGGTCCTCCTGTGCCACCCCCACCATCTGCTCACAGCCAGCCAAGGCGGGGCTGCCGTCCCCAGCACAGGGTCAAGCGCCCCAACAAGGACTGGACCTGCTGCGTCCTGGACTCCACAGCCCTCCCACCCATCCCTGCCTGAGAATTATCAGTGGAGGCTCATCCCCAAGGCCCACGTCACCCCAGCGGGGCCACAGGGCTCCTGCATCTGCCCTGGAGGAGCTGCCAGCTGGAGCATGGCGGTCAAACCTGAGGTGTGGCTGGAGCTATCACAGCGAAGTACAGGTCTCTCCTGAGGAGGCCCAAGGCCCTGATTCCATCCCTTCTGGAAACTTCCAGGTGCAGCAAGATGAGTGTGAGGCCGGGCTGGGCCCAGGAGAGAAAAGCAGGAGGGGGTGGGGGTGCCCACATCCTGGGGCAGCCACCAGGACAGGGCAGAGACATCCTGAAAGCATGGACGCCCCCCATGCCCAGCCAGAGAAAGGTGCCAGGGATGCTGATGGCTCATTGGTGGTGCCTCTCACATCCCTCAGCACCCGGCATTGGGCAGCAGCCAAGAGGGCAGCCATGGGGGGCCTCGTGATCACGGATCAGTAACCTTTGTTCTGAACGGGGTGGTTTGTTTTCATGGAGGAGCCGAGTTTGTAAGGCCCAAGTTATTGAGCAGCAGCTTCCTAAGTCACGAGACCCTGAGGCCTCCCACCTCCCCAAGGCCTGGAGCTAAATCCGCAGGGTCAGCTCCACCTCCGACATTCCTCCTGGTCACCTTCACCCCTGCCCTTGTCTCTACCTTTGCTTTCCAGGGAAGGGGAAGCAGAGTGTCCACCCACCAGGGCAGGAGGCCGGGGGGCAGGGGAGACAGACAGCAAGACACAGAGGCAGAGAGACAGGGAGACAGACAGAGAGGCAGAGAGAAACAGAGACAGAGAGACAGGGACACAGAGAGGCAGAGAGAAACAGAGACAGAGAGGCAGAGAGAGATAGAGACAGAGAAGGAGGGAAGAGGAGAAGAGAAAGGACAGAAGGGGAGAGAGGGGGCCAGTCCCCATGGTCCTGTCCCTGGCACCCACGGCACTCATGGGTGCTCCATGCTGGGGCCACTGCATTCCCAGGAGGGGCCGTGCCCCAGATGCTCTGGTCCCTGGGTGGGAATTCCCAGGACACCTGTGCGTGTGGCGCTCTGGGCACCTGCCAGCCAGGGGACGCTGGCCTTGCACTGGCACTGTGCCTCTCCTATGGGCATCACATTCCTGGCTGTGTTTACTGCTAGGTTATCAGGAGAGCCAGTGCTTACCCAAACGTGGATCTTTGCGGAAATAACCCAGAGATAAGCTGGGACAGGCTGCAGTTTGACTTTCCTCTGTGTCAAGATAACAGCTGAGATCAGCGGGTGGCAGCGGAAGCACAGAGAGGGGCTGTGACCTCCTCTCCACAGAGTGTGTCAGATGGGGCCCTGGCTGCCCTGAGTGGACGACATCCAGGGAGGCTGCCCGGCCAGAAGCCCTGGGCCTGGAAGCAGCCAGCTTGAAGCTTGTGGCCTGGAGGCCTGGGGGCCAGAGTCCTGCACGGAAGCCCTGGTCCCATCCATGGAACCCTTCTGCTCTATGGTGCACAGCTGGGAAAAGTGAAGGGACACCCCTAGTTATTGTAGTTATTGTCAGAGAAATAACCATAGTGTAAATGTGTGTTTTTGTAACTTTTGTGATTATAAAATACAGTTTTGTAACATATTTGGAAAATGCAGAACAAACACGGAGAGGAGAAGTGTCCTCATTTCACCATCCATGGGGGCGAGAAACAGCCAATTCAGCATTTTCCATCCTGACGCATGTGTGCATATGTACACGCATATCACACATATGTGCCAGTTCCATTCTGACACTTGTGCAGATGCACACGCATATTACACATATGTGCCAGCTCCATCCTGATGTGTGCAGATGTGTAAAGATGCACAAGCATGTTACACATGTGCCAGCTCCATCACGACACGTGTGCAGATGCACACACATCACACATGTGTAAAGTTCATCATGACACGTGTGCAGGTGCACACACATGTTACACATATGTGCCAGTTCCATCCTGACATGTGTGCAGATGTGTAAAGATGCACAAGCGTGTTACACATGTGCCAGCTCCATCACATGTGTGCAGATGCACACACATATCACACATATGTGCCAACTCCATCCTGACATGTGTGCATATGCACACACGTATCACATGTATGTGCCAATACTCCCTCTGGGAGTTGGGGGAGGAGCTCCTTCCACAGACCCTCCAGGCACTCCAGGTACCGGGTGACAAAGGGTGGGCTGGGTCAGCCCTCATTCTACAGATGAGGAAACTGAGTCCTGGGGACAAAGAGACCACTCAGGGTGGAGGCCAAGGGGCACCAGACCCCAGGTCTCCTTCCCACAACCCAGCCCAGTCCAATGGCCCTGCTCACCTCCCAGCCCCATCCAGGATAAAGCCCTCCCAATGGCCTCTCCCAGAGGAGCCTCCCCAGGCAGGACCAGCCCCATCTTCCAGCTGGGGGCCCAAGCATCCGCTAGGGGCCTGGTCAGTAAATGAACCCAGGTCCTCAGACTAGCAGCTCAGCCACCCCTGGCCTCCATGGCCCAGAAGAAAGGTCCTGGGATGTGGGCACAGTGTCCGTGGGTCCCGGTGAGGGGGAGTGGTCCTCACCTCCGTCCACCTGACCCCAGGGCGTACAGGGGCCTCCACTGCAGGGGAGGCTCGGGTGCCAGTCTCAGCCCCAAGAGGCGCCAAGTTGAGTTTGTGGATGGGACAGAAGGGGCGTCCAAGGCCACAGCCTGACCCGACCCCGCAGCACCTGGGTTATCCCTGAGCTCCTTCTCCAAGCACCTCTAGAATCCTGTAAAATGGTTTCTAACCAATGGTTTGTGATTAACCGTCAACTGGGGAGGTGTCTTCTCAGTGGCCTGTGGTTTTCCAAGAAGCACCTGTGACCCTGTTGAGCACCTGCAAAGAGAACCTGGGCAGAGCGGGGTCCGCCTCTGTGGAACATTCCAGGAGCTCTGCCTGCCTAGCACCTGCACCCGTGCGGGGTACTCAGGCAGCTCTCGTCCCCAGGTGAGTCTGCTCTCTGGGGCCTCCAGGTTTCTGCCCACGGCTAGGATGCCCGTGTCCCACCCATCCAGGCCCCTTCCCCCAGACCCTGGGTGCTCCTCCTGCCCCACCCCAGGGCCGTGTGCACCCAGCCCTTCATCATCTCCACGCCCTGATGTGCAGAACCCTTGGTGGCCCTGGCTGGGCCTGCCCATGGCTCTCCAGCCTTGCCAGCCTATCGGGAGCCTGGGGCTGCGCCCGGGGTGGGGACAGGGGCTCCCCATTTAGCAGCCCAGACTGGAAGCCTTAGGTGGAGGTGGAGCACACACCGCTGGCCAGAGGGGGTCTGCTGCCCTGGAAAGGGTTGGGGGAGAAGTGAGCTCCCCTTACGTCTCCTATTTCCCCCTCATGCCCCTTCTTGCCCCTCCCTCACCCCCTGCAGCAGCCCCTGAGGGGTCTCAGAGCTTGAAAACCAAGCAAGGAGGAGCTTCGCTGTTACCCAAAGGCCGCTGGCCCTGCCCCTTCCTGCCTCTGCCCAGCCCTGACCACGGAGCCACCTGCTCTCCCCCTCTTCCCTGGGGCCGGCCCTGGTGTCCTCCAGGCCTTACTGAGCACAGTGCCGGGTGCTGGGTTCTGGGTGCCGGGTGCCGGGTGCTGGATGCTGCATGTGGTTTACCCCATTCCTGCCCCACCCCCGTCCAGGGCTCCTGGGGATTTTGTCCTCCTGTCCAGGTGAGGGGCATCCCCGGCCCAGCATCTGTGCATCTGGAGTCTGCACCCTGGCCTCAGAGCTGGCCTTGGTATCTTTATGGAGCTGCCCCATGTAATGACAGCGGACTGCCGGGAACAAAGCCTGACTTGTCTACAGAGCCTGTGCTGCTGCTGACAGCAAGGAGCGTTATTAAAAACCCTTTTGTCTCTGCCCCTTCTGCGGGCTCATTGACCTTCACGGGCCAAGCAAGGCACTTTGCAGCTGTATTTTGAAATGGAAGTGCTTCCAAGGAAACATTGTTTGGGGGAACATTTTTAGCAGGTGAACGAAACTCACAGTTCACCAATAGCAATCACGCCGGAGACGTTTCTCACTGTGCCCCACAGCCTCTCTGGGGCGAGCAGGCCTGGCGACAGGACACACGTCTCTGGGAGCCGGGTTTATTGGAGCCAGCGTGGACTCCCTGGGCACCCTCCCCCCAGCAGCTGTCTGCAGGAGCTGCGAGCTGCTAGCTGCGCTATCACAAATGTTAAAATGTAACTCCTCTTTGCTTTTCCTCAACCAACAGCAGCGCAGCCGAGCAAAGGTGAACTGTGTGGTGTTGATAATCTAATCGGGAGCACAGGGCCTCCCCGGGTGGGTGCCCCATTCCGATCCGCTGCCCCTGAGAGGTGGGCCTTGGGAGAGGCAGGGCTTGGACGCCCTTCCTCGGGGCAGCGGGGTGCAGGGAGAGTTCTTCTGGCTGTGAGTCCCGGAGTCCCCGACCCTGGCACCCCTTCAGCAAGGTTCTCAGGCACATCTGCCGGGGGCGCTGAGGGGACCTGAGATGGACGGGCCGGGAGGGAGGCTGAGGTAAGACCTGAGGCTGAGGTAAGACCTCAGCCTGAGGTAAGACACAGTGCTGGGGCCTCCCTTGAAGCCCGTTTGAAGTGAGGTCCCCACAGCTGTCAGAGGACACGCAGGGTGGGGGCTCCTGGGTGGGAAACAGGTAAACCTCTTGGGCGCCTGGGGCTGGAGGCCTGAGTGGTCCTGAAAAGAACATTCAGGCCAGGCGCAGTGGCTCACACCTGTAATCCCAGCACTTTCGGGGGCTGAGGCGGGTGGATCACAAGGTCAAGAGATCGAGACCATCCTGGCCAACATGGTGAAACCCCGTCTCTACTAAAGACACAAAAGCTAGCTGCATGTGGTGGCGCACGCCTGTAGTCCCAGCTCCTCTTAGGGAGGCTGAGGCAGGAGAATCACTTGGACCCAGGAGGCGGAGGTTGCAGTGAGCTGAGATTGCGCCACTGCACTCCAGCCTGGCGACACAGCGAGACTCTGTCTCAAAAATAAATAAATAAATAAATAAAAAGAAAAGAAAAGAACATTTAGTGAAAGGAGCAAGGAAGAGAAGGCATTCTGGGCAGACCCCGGCCCCCAGGGCACAGGCGTGCAGTGTTTCCCTTCCAGGGTTTGGTGGACACTTGGAGGGACCAGGTCGGGGTGTGGCCTGGGAGGGGTGGCCAAGGTCCAGGGGTCAGGGTCACTTCGGGGAAGTCCAAGGGGCAGCGCGGAGCCACCGCTGTGGACATGGGAGGAGCCTACTAGCCAGCATGGCCCAAAGGAAGGAGGGGCTGAGGGTCAGAGGTCATGGGAGAGAAGAGGGAGTGGGGCAGACCCTCTCCCAAGGCCATGGGGTGGGGGAGAAACAGCGCCTTAGGGCCTGTCCTGATCCTCCTCCAGAGCCTGCTCAGAGTGGGAGCAGCCCCTCCTCCCTTCCCCTCCACCACCCAGGCGCAGGTGCGGCCTCTCCCTGGCCCGGGGACCTGCGTGAGGTCAGCCCTCAAAGCGCTGTCCCTTCTGGCTCACCTGGGCCCAGGGTGAGGCCCGACCCCACGGTGGACCCTGAGTCACTGCAGCTTCTGTGCCCAGCTCAGGAACAGAGCAGCCTTCAAGGCCAGGACTGGGGAGGGGCTCGGCTTTTCCGGCCCTTGGACGCCACTCAACTCTTCCTGCCCGTGTGTTGGCAAAGAACTAGCACGGCCTCTGAAGCACTGAAAAGACAAGGGCTACCTCTTTTCCAGAAGGTCCCAGAGCCCACCATGAGCAGGCAGTGTTTGGGAAAAGCCCGGGGAGGTGGCAGGGGCTCCGAGGAGCGGGGGATTCTAAGGGGTTATAGCTGCGCTGAGCCCCGGGCTCCTCAGAAGCCTCAGAAGGAGAAGGGGGCTCCTTTGGGGGCATCCTCCCTGCATCCGGGGTGTTGCAGGGTGACCTCCCGTAGTGCCAGCAGGGGCGGCCCCTCGGTCTGGCCAGAGAAGCCCAGCCACTGTCCCGTATGGTGGATGTCAGGCCCAGTGCCGTGTTTCCGAAGGAGGGAAGGGGTGAGAGGCAGCAGCCAGACACCCCGCTGAGCCCGCCCCGACCCTGAGCACGTGGGAGCTGGAGACGGTGTCACACACTCGGCCTGGCTTTGGGACCATCCCTAGGGCTTCTGTGGGGAGGAGGAAGGAGGAGCAGACGTGGAAGGGCTGCCAGGGCCCCAGCAGATGGGGTCGGGGGCGGAGGAGAGCCAGGAAAGTGTGGGCGCCTGGGGGAGTCACAGATGGAGGTCTGGTACCTAGAGCCTGGAGAACGACGGCTCTCGGGACAGAGGGCCTCAGACTCTGGCACACCAGCCGTACCTATGACAAGCTCCATGGGGGAAGAACCAGGCACCTGGATGCATGGCTGTGAGGCCCCCACCCCACAGGGGCCTCAGAGGCACAGGCTCCAGGCTCCAGCGGGGAGGGCGCTGCATCCCACCCTGGGAGCATGGCTATGAGGCCCCCACCCCACAGGGGACCCAGAGGCACAGGCTCCAGGCTCCAGCGGGAAGGGCCCTGCTCCCCACCCCCATCCCCCGCCTCAGGCTTCACTGAGATGGGCCCCGGGGACCCCGGGAGCTTTCTGTGACTGCTCGGCAATGGGTTCCCCAAGGCCTGGCACAGGCTTTCCTTAGAGCCAGGCTGTGGACCCAAAGCCTTGGGCCAAGTCTCAGGACCAGATGGGCGGCTCTGGAGAGGACCCCACAGTCCAGGGTGAGGCGCGCCCCGCTGGGGGCAGCGCTGCCTGTGGAGAGGACCCCACAGTCCAGGGTGAGGCGCGCCCCGCTGGGGGCAGCACTGCCCGTGGCCGTCTCCATCCATCTCACCCTGACGCAAGGCCGGCTTCCTCTGCGTCCAGTGGTCGGGGCCTTGGAGAGGCCAGCAGGGCCCGTGGGGGTCGCGTTTCTTCCCTGTGGCATCAGCTCTTTTCCCAGCAGGCCTCTTTGCAGCTGGATGCAGCAGCCAAGCCCTGGAGTCTTTGGAAAACTGTGGCCTGGCGGGGGCCCAGGCAATGCCACCTTACAGGGGACACCCACACAGGCGGTCCCGAGGAGGGGTGTGCTGCCGCCCTGAGCTCAGCCAGGCATCACCGTGGTGTCACCGTCAGCTCGGGTGGCACCTCCCGGGCTGCCCTCTCGGCTGCCACTTCTCATGAAACTGACAGGGACTGAACACGAATGATGTGGCTTATAGCTGGGTGCCCCCACCCTGACCACAGGTGCCACGCGACGGGAGCCACATTCTCTTCCTGATTCTAACTCCACGGGTACAGAGACAGAAGCTGCCATCTTTAGAAATAAAACTTTTTTCTAACTACAAAATAATACAGTTTAATATAGGAAATGTGGAAAATGGGGTATTCGGGGTGGATATTGAGAAGAGAGAAGCAACACCAATTCTATGTGCGAGACGCTGGCACTTCCCAGCGTAGCCTTGTGTTCCTGACCCTGGGGTGGCCTGAGCGTGGCCTGTGGGGCCCGTGTCCAGGTGCGGAGGGGGCCCTGAGTCGTGCGGGGCAAGTGGTCAGGGCCCCAGGCCCAGGCTGCCTGGAGCGAGATGACTGGGCCTGGCCCCTGGGGACTTGCTCTGACAAAACCCCCCGGTCCCCACTCCTGAGCCCCTGCAGGAGCAGCCCTGGGAACATGGGGAGCAGCTCCTTCTGCCTATGTGCTCCGGACTCAGGAACTCTGGAGAGAAGAAACACAACCCCACAGGCCCCGCCTGCCTCTCCTGCAGTCTTGAGGCCCCAGGGAAAGCCCCCACTGCAGGCAGGGGGTGGGTGCCCGAGCGAGGGTGTGGGGTGAGCAGGGTCCTGGGCATGTCAGGGCTGCGTGGGACTCCAGCGGGCCGGGTGCCTCTCGCCCTGCAGGACGTGGCTGGCCTGGTCTGCCCCCAGCTGAGCCTCACCTGAGGGAGAGCTGGGGTGGGCCGCCTCGTTTACGACCGTGTAGTCGTCTTTTGCACACAAAGCCATGTGAGTCCGTACGTGAGTCCTGTGGAAAGACAAGACATGGAATAGGAGTGACGTCCGTCCCCAGGCATGAAGTGGAGAGCATCACGCTGTGTGAGTTAAACACTGGCCAAGCACGGTGTGAGTCGGAGCCGGGGACCTGGCCAGATGAGGGCTGCGTGCAGCTTTCACACCCCAGGCACGTGAGCACCGCCAAGCCCAGCCTCAGCCAGCAGCTGCTCTGCAATGTGGAGTCACCAGTGGCCCCAAGGATGGCAGGTGGGGGTGGCCTTGGGACTGAATTAGGCCGACACCCAAGGCCTCTGTTCCTTCCCGTCCCTTCTCTCCCTTCGGAGGATCAAATGAGAGTTTCTAGGAAAGAAAACATGGCCAGGCCCTCCTCCAGCGCCCAGGCAGGGCTCGAGCGGACGCCCGTGTGACCCCCACATCCCTTCTACCCCTGTAGCTCTCTGACTCTGATATCCCAGTGGGAGGAACGAGGAGGGGACGGGTGAGGAGGAGGAAGAGGAGGAGACATGAGGGTTAGGAGGAGCACATCCTGAGTTTGTGAGGCTTCACTGACCTCTGGCCTCACAAACACACACAGGCCTGAGCTCCGGATATTTCTCCTGTTCTGGAGACAGTGAGAAGTGAAAGAGAAATGGCTGCCCCTGCACCACTTACCGCGAAGGAGGCTCAAGGCTGGGGGGCCCCTCTGCCTTCCAGTGACCGCCCGTGTCACATCCTGACCCGCTCAGCAGGTGAGCTGCAGGCTGCCAATGCACTGGTGCTACTTGCCCCTCGGTGTCTGGGTGGCTTTTGTGTGGCTGCGGCAGCTTGTGGGCCCACATCCCAGGCACGGGTGGTCCTGAAGGTGCTGGGGAAGGGACATGCCCTGGGAGGCAGGATGTCCACACTAAGTGAGTTGCTCGCCTCCACTGGAGGAGAGACGGCCAGAGGCATGGATGCACGCTGACTCGTGGACGGCCGCTGTTTGACGAGACCATCAAGGAGGGAGGAGCACCCGTGGAAAGGCGTGGCAGGGTGGTCGGGGCAGAGGTGTACATCAGCCTATCCAATGCTCACGGCTGGAGGACGCCGCGCCCTGTGAATGCTCACTGAGGACCATCCCGGGCACTGGGGCTCTCCATGTGAGAATGGACAATATGCTGCCTTCCCAGCTGCCCCATCCTTCCTGCGAGAGCTTGGGGATGGGTGGCCACAGTGGCACTGGGGAGAACACGAGGGCTCCCCAGCAAGCGTTTTCTCTCATGGAGGTGGCTCTGGTCACAGCGTCACTGCAGGGCGCAGCCACGGTGGCGGCCAATGGAAACTGGGCTCTTCTTTTTCTTTTTTTTTTTGAGACAGAGTCTCGCTCTGTCACCCAGGCTGGAGTACAATGGCAGGATCTCGGCTCACTGCAACATCCACCTCCCGGGTTCAAGTGATTCTCCTGCCTCAGCCTCCTGAGTAGCTGGGATTACAGGTGCCAGCCACCACGCCCGGCTAATTTTTGTATTTTTAGTAGAGACAGGGTTTCACCATGTTGGTCAGGCTGTCTCGAACTCCTGACCTCGTGATCTGCCCGCCTTGGCCTTCTCAAAGTGCTGGGATTACAGACATGAGCCACCGCGCCCGGCCAAAACTGGGCTTTTCTACGGTGGGGAGAGCAGAGCTATTCTCTCTGGGGTGGGTGCTTGTCTGGGACTTGTCACCATCCCTTACTCCAGGGCTGTCTTCAGCACTGTCGCCCACAGTCTTTCCGAACGCCTTATTCAGATGTTATAATTTCCCACACGATGTTCCTGACCAAGAAACGCATTTTACAGCAAAGGGGTGAGGAACGGATCTGTGGCCATAGGATCCCAGAGCCGTGTCCCCGCCACTCAGGAGCAGGCGACCTGAGCAGAAGGGCTTGGCGCTGGTGGGCAGTGGGAGCCCTGCCATGGGCGGCCCGAGGGGTGGTGGGATCCCCGCCGTGGGCAACCCCGGGGGCGGTGGGAGCCACGCTGTGGGTGGGCTGGAGGCCCTACTGGGTGTGCTACCGGAAGGGAGGTCCTGACTGTGAGTCCATGTTCCTGGCATGTTGAACAAAGAATTGAGCAAAACTCACAAAACGACAAATAACAGAGTAATGAAAGCGCAGATCCTTTGCAGTGAACATGCACTCCACAAGGGGGGACGGGACTCCAGCAAGTGCTCCGGAGCCCCCATTAGGGTTTGTATTGGGCTAAAAGAATTTGGTAACACCCCCAGGTGCCCTTTCCAGGTCTCTGATTGGCTGCATCCTATGAAGACTGGCCTGCGGCCAATCAGAGGCTGAGGTGGAGACTCCTGTCTTGTTTTCCCAGGAAGGAGGCTGCGGCCTGTGTGCCGCCCAATCCAGCCAGGAACCGGTGGCACCTGCTGCCCTCCGGCTTCTGCCTTAGCCCTCGGTGACCCCATTCCCTGTTCTCCTGCCTCAGGTGCAGGGCGATGGTTCTCAGTCAACGCTGGGGCCAGAGCCGGGGCTGGGGCCGCTCGTTCTGCACAGGTCCCGGGAGTGGCGGTGAGCAATGCTCTCGCTCTCAGCGACCCACGTGCAAAGCGCTCCCTGCGCCCCCGACCCCGCAGCTTTGGGCTCTGCTGACTTCAAGGCTTCATTCTTCCTCCAGGAGAACACAGCAGGTCCCTCCGACCGCAGTCGGCCTCTCCAGCCTGCCATGCCTCTGGCCATGAGGCGACCCGCTGGAGTGATGGATTCCCGTCACTACCACCCACAGGGCGAGGGGGTGCATTGGTCTGCTTGGGCCGCTGTAACAAAATGCCACAGCCTGGATGAGTGACTGACATTGCTTCCCCACCGTTCTGGAGGCTGGAGGCCCGAGATCGAGGTCCCTGACACTATTTCAGTGATGCCAGAGCCCAGGAGGAGTCGACCAAGCCCCAGCGTGGCCATAAGCACCTTCGCAGGACCACGGAGTCGCTGCAGGTGTTCAGCCCTGTTGAGAGTGGGAGTCGGTGTCGATGGTCACAGCTCAGTAACTCATCGTCACCAGCGAGTACCACAGAGCAGACACAACTGCACTTCTCTGTAGAGCCTCCAGTCGATACTGAGAGCCACTGGGGCGTCTGACACCCAAGGGTGCAGACATTCACTCCAAGTCCAGAGACCGCGCCCTTTCTAAGGCCCTGTCTCACAGTCGCCCCGTGCTCATTGTGCCGGATGTTTCCACAGCCACAGAGACGGTGCGTGAAGGTGGGTGATTCAGGGTGGGCACTCCAGGTACAGAACCCAGAGGTGCTTCCCGCCCCCCTACCAGGCCTTACCCCCGCCCCCTCCCTCAGCAGCAGCAGGGTTGGGCCAGGGCCTTCCTTGACATCCACCATGTATTCCAGTGATAGTTTAAGTAGATCCCACACTAAATGGCCCACTAAAGACACGATTTTGCCTCGGGAAATCTTTCTGAGTTTAGTCCACATGCTGATTTCATGTTCAGGGGGTGAATGTTAAAATCTCTACTTAACAAGGTGAGGTGCAGCCTAGTGCATATGACTGACAGAAACGTGAAGCCACAGTGGACGCCTGGATGAGACACAGATCACCTTCCAAATCTGAGTGTGGCCTTGGGACCAACCAGGCAGCCAGGGAGAAGGCAGAGACCAGAGGGAACCCAGGTGCCCTCAATCCCAGCCTCCTCTATCCCAGCCTCCCAATCCCAGCCTCCCCAATCCCAGCCTCCTAATCCCAGCCTCCTCCATCCCAGGACCCCCACTCCCAGCCTCCCGATCCCAGCTTCTCTGATCCCAGCCTCCCCTAAAACCCAGACTCTATGAATCCCAGCCTCTGAGGTGGGAACTGTTAGTAACCCCACTCCATGGACAAGAAAGCTGGGGCCTGGCGAGGCTAACAGACTATCCTGATGGTGTGAGGGAGGGATCGGCCTCTGAGGGCTGCTTCCACCCATCTCACCAGTGGCTGCAGGCTCCAGGCGCCACTTTCCTTGAGTCTATGTTCTTTCCAAGCATCCTGCAGCTCCAGAAGCTCTGGAGCCGCCAGCACTGAGAGAAGCGATGGAGCTGCATGCAGGGTGAGTGTAGGACCGGGCGGAGCTGCTCTGTGGCTGGCGGGCACATTCTTTGTCAACATGAGCATCTCTCACTGTTCCTAGACCCCCTGGCTCCCCAGCTTCCTTGGAGCCAGGCGTGGCCACAGGAAAATGTTTAGGTCAATGACAGGTGAGCAAAAGTGTGAATACAACCTCCAGGAGTTTTCTTAAAGGAAGGGACAGGCCCTTCCCCTCCTCATGTCTCCTTCTGGCTGCCTGGAAGGCACATGTGAGGGCTGGAGCCTGAGCAGCCACCTTGGGCCATCAGGAGGAAGCCTGTGCTGCAATGGTAACTCAGTGACTTGGCGAGACTCACAGAGCCTGCATTCCCGACACCTGGTGCCCTATACCAGCCCCGGGCATATTCTTAGTGTGGGAGAAAAATCAGCTTTGGTCTAGCTTAAGACTCTGGGTGGGGCACGGAATGGGATAGAATGGGGAGTCCGGTTCCCCCAGCTGAGCCAGGTGACCATTCCTCAGGAAACTTTGTTGACAGCGGTGTCTGGATGGACCAGCAGAGGGCACTCTCACCCACGGGGAAAATCGTGCGCCCGGCCTCGTCCACCGCCAGAAGACGCCGCTACACAGTGAGTCATTCCACAAATCCCTGCTCTCACGGGATCTCTGGAGATAAAGGCAGTTGAGAATCGACAAATAGGACTGTTTCTCCGTTTATGAAATTTGAGCTGCCCTTAGACTTCACGGCAGAGAATATAGAGACAGTAAACCCTGGGGTTGAAGATGGGACCACGAACCTGGGGCCACCTTCTAGGGACGGGTGCTTCGTGTGGGGCATCCCGGGGAGGGGGTGCCCTGGAGCCTGAGTCAGTGCCAGGCACCTTGAGTCTAACGCTCTCAGTGCAGTTGCCTCCTTTGAAAAATAAAAGGCTTGGACAAAATAAGCTCCAAAGTCTCGTTCCGGTTTGAAATTTTTAACAAGCAGAACGAGTTCCAGTGTCACCGAGGACCTTTTGGAAATGACTTTCAGCCTCTGCCTCAGTCTCGGCATCAGTCTGCTGGGGAGGGACTGGGGGTGCTTCAGGGAGAGGGCAGCCCCCCAGCAGAGGGAGGGGAAGCAGCCCAGGGACACCCCTTGGAGGGGCCTGAGGTGGGAGATGGCACCAGCAGTGCCCCAGTGCCCACGGTACCCCAGGGGCGGCTCAGCCCCACCTGCGTCCACGTGTGTCCCTGGGCACGGGTGGGACGAGGCCCCTCGGGCTGGGTGGGGCGCTCCCCTCCTGACAGTCTGAATTGCATCCTCAAGTACTCAGACCCAGCGATTTCTCCCCGCTGGGGACATGGGGCAGCAACACAGGCATCGCGCTGGGTTTTATACAAGACACTGACTGCATTCTGGTCGCCACCCGCCTCACGGTGGAAGATGATGTGGATATGCTTTCCCAGAGGTGCCTGCGGCCAGGGCCTGTGGAGCCTCCCTACCCTCTGTCCACACCAAGTCCACTGAGCAGCGATCAGCTGGCCTGGTCCTTGGTCAGGCCAGATGCAGGCCCCTTCACCATGGTGGGCACTCTCTGCCCACCAGGCACAGGAGCTCCCAGGGTCTCTGCAGTGCGGACCCTGACGACCATCCACCCCACACGGCCGTTTCTTTCTTTCTTTTATTTTTTTGAGATGGAGTCTCGCTCTGTCGACCAGGCTGGAGTGCAATGGTGCGATCTCGGCTCACTGCAATCTCTGCCTCCCGGTGAGAGGTGAAGCCAGCTGGACTTCCTGGGTCTAGTGGGGACTTGGAGAACTTTTCTGTCTAGCTAAAGATTTGTAAATGCACCAATCAGTGCTGTGTCTAGCTAAAGTTTGTAAACGTACCAATCAGCACTCTGTAAAAATGGGCCAATCAGCACTCTGTAAAATGGACCAATCAGCACTCTGTAAAATGGACCAGTCAGCAGGATGTGGGCGGGGTCAAATAAAGGAATAAAAAGCTGGTAGCCGAGCCGGCAGTGGCAAACCGTTTGGGTCCTTCTCGGTACCCTGGTGGCTTTGTTGTTTTGCTCTTTGCAATAGATCTTGTTGCCGCTTGCTCTTTGGGGCCTCACTGCCTTTATGAGCTATAACACTCCCCGCAGAGGTCTGCAGCTTCATTCTTGAAGCCAGCGAGACCACGAACCCACTGGGAGGAACCAACAACTCCAAACGCGCCACCTGTAAGAGCTGTAACACTCCCTGTGAAGGTCTGTGGCTTCACTCCTGAAGTCAGCGAGACCAGGAACCCACCGGAAGGAACTCCGGACACAAAGAACTGCAACACTCACCCGAGGGTCTGTGGCTTCATTCTTGAAGTCAGTGAGATTAAGAACCCACCGGAAGGAACCAGTTCCGGACGTGCCGAGTTCAAGCAATTGTCCTGCCTCAGTCTCCGGAGTAACTGGGATTACAGGTGCACGCTGCCATGCCCAGCTAATTTGTATTTTAGTAGAGTCGAGGTTTCACCGCGTTGCCCAGGCTGGTCTCGAATTCCTGAGCTTGGGCAACCCACTCACCTCGGCCTCCCAAAGTGCTAGGATTACAGGCGTGAGCCACCAGGCCGGGCCCGTATGGTGGTTTCTACTCCGGACTGACTCTCCCGGGTCTTGGTCACTCTGCAGAATCCTGGACCGGAAGGGGGCCTCGGCCAGGGGAGGGCTTGCGAGGAGCCCCGGACCTACTGGCCATTATAGGGTGACGGGAAGTTCCTTGCATCCCGGGATCCCATGGCACTTGGTCAGGGAAGCCTCCCCAGAGAGGCCCAACTCCCCAGATCCAGGTGGGGAATCAGGGTACCAGCCAGGCAGTGTTCCCACCCCAGCCATGCTGCTGGCTTCCGTCCCTGTGGTGGGGTCACCCAGGTGGCTCATGCCTCCACGCACAGCCTTGTGGACACCCCCACACCGCCCATAGTCAAGTCAGAGCTCACGAGCCCACAGGGCAGATACCCGCCACGAGGGGACGGTGGGCCAGGAGGGTCCTCTGTGGGCAGCGCCGTGTTCCTGATCTCCCCAGGCTGCTGGGGGATGGGGTGGGGCAGAGGAGGCCACCTTCCCATTTCCCACTTTGCTGGGTCTCCCTCTTTGCTGGACAGTGCTGGGGCAGGTTACACACCCATGACAGTGTGAGGACTGAGGGTGCGCGTCCTGGAGCCTTCAGGGCTTGGGTGGAGGGGGCAGCTTGTCCCCCTGAGGCCTGGGCCAGAGATCCCATTCTGAATGCGGAGAGCCAAGATTCTACCTGGATCCTGGCCTTGTGGGTCACTGTGACGGCCCAGAGCTGACTTTATGTGACAGTTTGTCCTGAGATTTAAAACTGAATATTTAGACTCGTGGGATCTGGGCATCCACTTCAACCAAGGATGGGGACAGGCAGCAGGGTGGAGGGTGGACGATGCAGGAAGATGCTGTAGGACCAAGAACAAGGGGGCTGTGAGGCAAAGGAGCAGCACGAGGAGCCGTGTGTGCCCACTGCCACTTGCAGCCTCATTTCTCAACCCGACTGTGATGACTGCCGCTTGCTGGAAAGATGCTCTGAAGACACAATGAACTGACAATGCGTCACCCCGACTCCTGCCTGAGCCACTCCATTCCTTAAAGACGGTACGTGACTCACGTCCTTGCTGTGTCCTGCACGAGATAAGGTCTGGCAGGGTTGGTAATTATGCCTCTGGGATCTGTAACCAGACATTCTCTGTAACCATTCTGTATAATCTGGACGTTCTCTGTAATCCAGATGTTCTGTGTAAACTGAAGTTCTCTGTAATTGGACTTTCTCTATAACCAGTTGTCCTCTGTAACCTTCTCTATAATCCAGATGTTCTTTGCAACCAGATATTCTCTCTAACCAGACATTCTGTATAATCCAGACATTCTCTGTAACCAGATGTTTTCTATAATCCAGATTTTTTTTTTTTTTTGAGACAGTTGCACTCTTTTTGCCCAGGCTGGAGTGCAATGGTGAGATCTTGGCTCCCTGCAACCTCCACCTCCCAGGTTCAAGCGATTCTCCTGCTTCAACCTCCCTAGTAGCTGAGATTACAGGCATGCACCACCATGCTTAGCTAATTTTGTATTTTTAGTAGAGACGGGGTTTCTTCATGTTGGTCAGACTGCTCTCAAACTCCTGACCTCAGGTGATCCGCCCACCTCGGCCTCCCAAAGTGCTGGGATGACAGACGTGAGCCACCGCACCCGGCCCTGGATGTTCTTTTTAATCCAGATATTCTCTGTAATCCAGACGTTCTCTACAACCAGACATTCTCTGTAATCGGACATTCAGTACAATCCAGGCTTTCTCCGTAACCAGACGTTCTCTATAATCCAGACGTTCTCTGTAACCCACACGCAGCTCCGTGTGACTCTGCTCTTCCGTGACTTCTGCGTCTATAATCCAGACGTTCTCTGTAACCCACGTGCAGCTCCGTGTGACCCTGCTCTTCCGTGACTTCTGCGTCTATAATCCAGACGTTCTCTGTAACCCACTGCAGCTCCGTGTGACTCTGCTCTTCCGTGACTTCTGCGTCTATAATCCAGACGTTCTCTGTAACCCACTGCAGCTCCGTGTGACTCTGCTCTTCCGTGACTTCTGCATCTATAATCCAGACGTTCTCTGTAACCCACTGCAGCTCCGTGTGACTCTGCTCTTCCGTGACTTCTGCGTCTATAATCCAGACGTTCTCTGTAACCCACTGCAGCTCCGTGTGACTCTGCTCTTCCGTGACTTCTGCGTCTATAATCCAGACGTTCTCTGTAACCCACTGCAGCTCCGTGTGACTCTGCTCTTCCGTGACTTCTGCGTCTATAATCCAGACGTTCTCTGTAACCCACTGCAGCTCCGTGTGACTCTGCTCTTCCGTGACTTCTGTGCACATTTCGAGCTGCATCACCAGAGCTGTGCCAGGAGCTGGGACTGTTCCGCAGCAGCCTGACCATGTGCCTCTGAAAGACCCCTCCCGGGCTGCAGTGCTCAGAAAAACTTCCAAATAAGATGAACTTCCCTTATTTAAAAGCTTGACTCCTTTTTTAGTGGACAGGGCTATGAGCTGAGGGACACGAGACGTCCAGGACAGGAGGGCCGGCCTTGTCTCAGGCCCTGCTCCCTCACCAAAGGCTCTGTGCTCTGTTCTCCTTCTGAGCCAGCTGTCCTGAAACGGAGGCCCTTTTGTGACCCGACTTGGTCTGTTGGCGGGGGACAGACACCAAGGCCATGTCTCACACCGGTCATGGCCAGCCCCCGGCCCTCCTTCCCTCCTCCCCTCCTTCCCTGCTGTAGCCTTTAGGGTTCAGACCCTGGCTGTCCTGTCCTCATTGGGGCTGATGCCCTGCCATGCCCCCCAGGAGCCCCCGTGCTCGGCAGGCTTGGGCTGGGAGGCGCAGTCTCCAGTCTCCAGCAGACACCACCTTACCCAGGTACATGGCACTTTCCTCATTAGGGTGACATTTTCCTCATCAGTGAGGCTCTCGCCTCCTGAGTTGCACCACCCCTGCGCCAGCGTGGTTGGTCTCCAGAGTCATACATGAGCATGGCGGGCTTGCCTCCAGGAACCAGAGGGTCCTCTGGGGGTTGGGGCACAAGGGGCCGCCCTGACCTCCCCAGACCCTAATGCGATTCCCACAGCTCTCGTCCACGAAGCACCAGGCCTCGGCCACGTTTCTAATCTCGTGATCCCTCCTGGAAATCCCAGACATGACAGATCCCAACGGGGTGATGCTTGCATCACTGAACCAACCCCAGGACACCGGAGAGCTGGCCGTGTGGGGAACCCGTGGATCCACCTGGGCCCTGGAGCTGGGGATGTTGGTAGTGTGCGGGGAGGCGGCAAGGCAAGACGGGCAGGAGGAGGCAGCTCTGTCCAGGGCCCAGGCGTCCCTCACGCCGTTTCCAGGCACCCGCAGACTTCAGGAGTCTTAGTCATCGTTGGGTGTTTGGGGCTCTCTAGTCCCAGTAGGTGCTGGGACTCTCAAACCTCACAGCTACCACCCTGGTGCTATCGTTACGGACGATCGCACTTTTGAGAAAATTGGGCACCGTTGCCAGAGCAGCAGTTAGGCCTCAAGCCAACTAGGCTCCAGAGCGCCTGCCGCCAACCATCATACCACAGGGCACGGTCTCGGATATTAAACGTCTGGTTGGATACAAATCAAGACCACAATTTCTCATTGCACTGGGAGCTTCGCCACGCACCATCTCTGGGCTGACGCAACAGCCTAAGGCCCTGGGTCCCTAGAAATAGATCCTGTGTGTTGTAAGTGGGCCGGCCTGGTGGTCAGGGCTGCACACGGGGCCTCTGGGCGGTGGCTGGGGGGTGGTCATTTCAGGAAGTTGTGCGGTGGGGTCCTGTGATGGGGCGTGTGTTGGGATCTTTATGACCTTGAGAATCATGGTTTTTGAGGGAGACCAAGGCCTCTGTGTCAGGGCCAGCCTGATGGGGGTTGGGGCAACTGAGCTCAACACCAACAAGCAGAAACAGGCAAGTTATCTCTTGCTCTATGCCTCAGTTTACTCATCTGTCCATCGTAGTAACACTTGTGTTTTTAAGGATTCTGCCAAAATAGCATCATGTATATGAAATGCTTGCAGGTTCCTAGAATGGACAGTGCTGAGCAGAGATGGCTGTTGTTCTATTTCAGCAACCGAATGCCAAAAATACGGAGGAGGCAGTGCGGCATGGAGGCGGATCTGCCTTACGAAATGGGCAGGGGCCCCACGCGTGGGAAAGGGCACAGGCATTTGGAAGAGTGTGGCACTTTTTCAGGAAATGCAACATCCTTCTACTCTGTGACCCAGCGGCTCCCCCTGGTGTTTACCAGAGAGAAATGGACGCAGACATCTGCCCACATGCAGGCACAGGAAGGTTCGTGGCCGCTGTGTTTCAATATTGTAATTGCGCCAAACTGGAGATGACACAGAGTCCAGGCTCAGGAGCGTGACTGGCAGCTGTGGCACATCTGTGCCATGGAGTGCTGCTCAGCACCAGGGGCAGGGGCTGTGGACGGAGCTGTGGACGCAATGTCAGGAGCACGGTGGGCGAGGAGACGGGAAGCCGGGGGCCCTGTCCTGTGGGGTTCTGGAGCAGGCAAAGCATGCCTGGGACAGAGATGGCCAGGCCAATATTACCCCTGGGCGAGGGCCAACAGCAAGGCCAGGACCGAGCTTTCTGGGGTGGTGTTGATGCAGGTGGACGCAGCTGTCTACACGGAGTCCACCTCCCCCACTGCCAGCATCTGTCCCGGAGGGCTCGGCTCACTGGCAGTTTGTCCGCAAGGTGGTGCTCAGTCACCATGCACAGGACATTTTTGACCGAAAGTTCTGTTTTTGCCATAAGTTGCACCCTGACCACACCTGCTTCTTCTGAAAGCACCTGGTACCCAGATGTGCCCATCCCCAGCTGCATTTCCTGAGTACGAAACTTGCAGGAATTTGTAGCAGGGAGGATGGGACTAAGATTATGTGTGTGTGGAGTGGGCAGGAGCTACCAAGAGCCCTGAAACCACTCAGGGTTTTGCTTGGCCATAAAGAGCCACGGAGCCTTCTAGGTTGAGGGAGGCCTTTGTGGAGAAAGGAAGCACCTGGATCAAGAAGGTTATTTCAGTGCTTGTCATCATCACCTTCTGGACCGTAAGTGGCAGGCACACATGTTGAAAATAACAACAGAAGACAGAGGCTACTTTGACTCAGATGTCTGGGCAGGCAGGGCTGGCCAGGAAGCTGGAGGCAGGACTGACCACGGCCTCTCTCTGCAAATCTGTGTCATTTATTTCCTGACGCTGGTAGCCTGGGGGTCCCTCTGCCTGAACACCTTCTGGCTCTTCTTTTTTTTTTTTTTTTTTTGAGACGGAGTCTCGCTCTGTCGCCCAGGCTGGAGTGCAGTGGCGCGATCTCAGCTCACTGCAAGCTCCGCCTCCCGGGTTCACGCCATTCTCCTGCCTCAGCCTCCCGAGTAGCTGGGACTACAGGCGCCCGCTACCACGCCCGGCTAATTTTTTGTATTTTTAGTAGAGACGGGGTTTCACCTTGTTAGCCAGGATGGTCTCGATCTCCTGACCTCGTGATCCGCCCGCCTCGGCCTCCCAAAGTGCTGGGATTACAGGCGTGAGCCACCGCGCCCGGCCCTGGCTCTTCTTAACTGCTCTGAACCCCTGGCATCAACCTGATGGGCAGGTGCTTCCCCCATGCTTCTTCTCCCTGCACTGCCCACCCCACGACTGACCTTCCCTGGGTTCCCTACACACCCCTTCAGTGCCTCTCACTTCCCTCCTGATGGCAGACGTCTCAGGACTGCTACCTTGGGAGGTTTCCCTTTGTGTCCCCAGCCACATAAGGTATCTCATTCTCTGCACATCCCCGTACCATGAATGGATGGATTGGTGGATGGGTAGATGGATGAATGGGTGGATGGATGAATAGATGGATAGGTGGGTAGATGGATGGGTGGATGGATGAGTAGATAGGTGGGTGGTTGGGTGGGTGGATGGATGGATGGATGGATGGATGGATAGATGGGTGGGTAGGTGGATAGATTTCTATCTGAAGAGTGGGTGGATGGATGGATGGATGGATGGACAGATGAGTGGGTGGATGGATGGATTTATGGGTGAATGGAATGATGGATAGATGGATGGATGGATAGATGGGTGGGTGGGTGGATAGGTGGATGGATGGATGGATGAATGGTGGGTGGATGGATGGATGGATGAATGGATGGATAGGTGGGTGAGTGGATGGGCAGATGGATGGATGGGTGGATGGATGGATGGATGGATAGATGGGTGGGTAAGTGGATAGATAGAAGGGTGGGTGAAAGGATGGGTGGGTGGGTGGATGGATGAATGGATAGATGAGTGGGTGGGTGAGTAGGTGGATAGATGGATGGATGGGTAGATGAGTGGGTGCAAGGATGGATAGATGGTTAGGTGGATGGATGGATGGATGGATAGATGGGTGGGTTGGTGGGTAGATAAAAGGGTGGGTGAAAGGATGGGTGGATGGAAGGATGGATGTATGATTGGATGGATGGATGGATGGATGGATGGATGGACAGATGAGTGGGTGGGTGAGTGGGTGGATGGATGGATGGATGGATGGACAGATGGGTGGGTGAGTGGGTGGATGGATGGATGGATAGATGGGTGGGTGGATGGATGGATGGATGGATGGATGGGGAGATGGGTGGGTGGATTACTGGATGGATGGGTTCATGAGTGAATGAAAGAATGAGTGAATGAATGAGTAGGTGATTTGTTCCTCAGGCCCTGGAGCTGGATCTACCCTACTGTCCCTGAGTGGCCTGTGTCCCATGCACCAGTCTCTGTGAACTATGCTCCACACAGAGGCAGGAGCCTGACTCCTGAGAGATATGGGTGTAACCTCTCAGGGCGTTACTCACTGGGACCACCCAGGAGCTCCTTGCAAAGGTAAAGGCTCCTGGTCTCCCAGTAGGCGCAGCCTCAGTCTCCAGGATGTGGCCTGGGGCCAGCATTTTTCCAGCTCTGGGCGGGGCCCTTTACATCCACCTCTACGCGCCCCCTTAGAAGGGGCTGGTCTTTCCACTCAGCTCTTTGTGTCCTTAGAGGCCAAAACACCTCCTTGCACCCTAGGGGGATGACCCTGCTCTGGTGCGCCAGGGCCCTTATTTTGTGTCCCGATAAGAGAGGGCTGAACCTGGTTTTTCTTCATCAGAAGGATGGTGCGGCCAGCCTGGGAGGAGGGGCTGCCTGGGTGGAGGCTTCTGCATGGCTGTTCAAAGTGCGGCTGTGCTGGCTGCCCAGTGCCTCCTGTCTCAAGGCACAACTCTCAGGTGGACGGAGGACAGAGGCCCTGGAAACCATGGGCCCGGCTTGTCCCCACCCTGGTGCTACAGCTTCAACTCATGGACAAGAGCTCCTGCCAGTCCCCGGGCCCGCAGAGTCTCAGCTTCCTTCCTCCTTGCTCAGTGTCTGCGCTTGTGTCTGGAAAGGGCGTGAAGCAGAGGTTGTGACATTGGCCCCAGACACTCCCTCCGAGAGCCCTGTGCCCTCCCTGACCTTCATGGGCCTCTCGTCTGGGAGACACAATGTTATCTGATTGAGGAGGACTCCCCACTCCGCATCACTGCCCTCCTCCCACAGAGACACAGGGTGTCCTGCAGGGAGAAAAAGGGCCCAGCCGACTGGCTCTGCACGAAAAGTACCCTCTGGAGACGGATTTATCCGTGTGCTGGCTGTTCATGCAGCTAGAACATGTGGTCTCTGAGGCCAGCACGGGGAGCGCAAGGGACACGGGGAGCTCAAGGGACACGGGGCCACACTCCCCCCAGCGCTGGTGGCTTCATTTCAGCAAATTAGGAGCAAAAGCTTCTCAGTCAATCAGGGTGGGCCCCTGGAGGAGGTGGTGGGGTCACAAAGGTGGAGCAGCTGGCTGTGTGTGTCGGTATTTCTGTGTGTGTGTCGGTGTGTGTGTCTCCATATCTGTGTGTCTGTGTATGTCTGTGTGTATCTGTGTCTATTTCTGTGTGTATCTGTGTGTGTCTCCATATTTGTGTGTCTCCATCTGTGTCTCTGTGTATCTGCATGTCTGTGTGTATTTCTGTGTATATCTCTGTGTGTGTTTATCTGTGTGCATCTGTGTCTATGTTTGTGTGTGCACAGATCCACACTGTGAGATGAGAGTCCAGGGTGCTATGTGTCTGGTCCTGGTGGCCCAAGGGGGGCACCTGATGTCCCTGTGGATGTGACTTCCCCGGGCCTGAGTCTGTCCCCCAGTCTTTCGGACTCCCATGACCCTCAAGTGAGCCCACACCATCCTTCCCACCCACTGCCGCTTACCAGGCTGAATCCTTGGTGGGCCACAGCCCCCACCACCCGCGTGCAGCAGTGCCCAGGCCACTCACGAGGGAGACAGAGCTCACGGGCATCTGCAACCCCCTGCACTTGAGGGTCACAGGCTCCTCCTTGGGAGGCACCTCAGCGGGGCTTGGGCCAGCGTACCCCGAGCGCCTCTCGCTGGAACAGGCTGAGGCAGCCTAGAAACCCAACCTCGATGGGGAGCCCGGGGCCCACAGGGCCGCAGGATCAGGTCGCAGTGCTGGGCCAGGCCATGGGTCAGATCGCCAAGTTTCCATGTTTGCAAGTTTCAAGTGGGGCAGGTCTCACCGTGGGGAGGGGCCCGTGGGCAAGGACTGGCCCAGTGACCTTTTGGCATCAGGCAGGGCTGCAGGCCAGGAAGGCAGGCCAGGCCCACCATGGGGGTTTCTGAGCACCCTGACCCTGGGGGTACCCCAAGACTGATCTTTCAGCCCAAATCCAGGAGACCCATCTGGGATGTCACCCCTGACCCCACAGCACTGGGCACAGCTGCTCAATGAGCCAAGGTAAGAACCAGGACCATGTGCCCCTGATTGGCTACTGGAACTGGGCCGTGGACCCCACGACTGTGGTTCAGTGTCCCCATACCCCTGCCACGGCCCAGGGGAGACCACCACCCTGACCAGACCACCTTGCCTGCTCCACAGAAAAACGCGTCCAGAAATGTTACGGTTCCCTCAACCCTCAGCCCGTGACCGGCCCCCACACCTGGCTAGCCAGACCCTTGTATCGCACCTAAACTGAGCGCTGCAGGGGCCGGCCCTGGAGATGGCTCAGACCTCTGCCCCCAGGAAGTCCCCAAGGGGCAGGAGCACAGCCACCCTCCCAGTGGGGAGCCCCAGAGCTTACTGCAGAGCACAGGAGTGGGAATGGGAGGTTATAGAGACACTCTGAGGCCACCGAGAGCCCCTCCAGCACTCAAGGCCTTCCTGGCGCCCAGCCCAGCACCAAGCTGACAGCTCCAGCCGCTCACCGGCTTGCTGGGCCTAAATTCCCCTCCTCTTCTTCCTAGCAAGGTGACCGACGGCTGTGGCCCTTGGTTTGCTCCTCTATAAAATGGGGACAGCCATGGCCTCTCCCCCAGTGCTGCCATGGGAAGAAAAGAAGTTCTTACAATAAGCCCTTAGCTGCCTCCTGACAGGTGGCAAACACACCCCTTGTGCTGAGCTCATTGTTAAAGAAAGAAAGAAACAGATATCAAAAAGAAAAGAGTCTAGTGACAGGAGGGAATGTTTCGGAGGGAAGAAAAATCATTGAATCCGGCCAGTCAAAAGCCAAGTTTCTTCCTCAAGAAAAGCAGAAGTTGCCTTCGTTGGCATCCTCACTAGGCTGGGGCAGGCGCCAGCTCTCAGCCCCTGTCCCTGAACAGAACCTGCTGCCAGGTGGAGGCTGCACCCAAAAGCCAGGCCCCTGAACGTCTGGATGTTACGTTTCCGCTCTGTTCAGAGTCCCCTAGAGCCCAAATTCTACCCTAGGCCCAACCCTGTGCACATCACCCACCCTTTGCACGTCACCCACCCTGCAAAATCCCAAGGGCAGCCGCACCTTAGACACGGATTCCTTAGTCTGAGAGAGGACACACCCACCCCCCACCCCCAGGGCCTCGAAGGGCATCCTCAGATGCAGGAGGCACATGACAAATGCAGGGGTGACTAGGGGAGGGTGGCTTGGTTTCTGCTGCCCGGGAGCTTCCTCTCATCCTGTTCCAGTGGGTGGCCGCGTGGCCAGTGCTGGGTCAGCTGCCTGTCCCGTCACGGGACCCCTCGGGGTCACGGTGGCCTCAGGAGGACTGGCCGTAGGAACATGGCGAGGACACATCCTCGGGCCACGGGCAGCTGGCTTTGCTGACGTGGGGTGGGCGGCTGGCCGGCCACCAACCAGTGAGTGGGCAGGGGTCTCGGCCAGAGTGAGCGCTGGAATGGGGCTGGAGGAAGGTTCTAGAAGCAGAGAGGGTACTGGAAGAAAATGAACTCTGCTTTGGGTCATCTGCAGACCCCGGGAAGCTCCTGCTGTGGCCTTGCGTGCACAGAAAGCTGGGAGCCCCTGTGTCCGCACGGTGAGGGCGCCCCAGCTGGATGCACCTTCTGGAGCAGTGGGGATGCAGGATCCTCCCCCTCGGCTTCTGTTGTGACTTGCTCCCTGGCTGCTGTCCAGTAGCCGGGCACATGTCCAGCACCCTCCGTCGCTGGGCACTGCACATCCCAGCCACAGCCTCACCCCAACCCCTCCCGTAGCTCCTCCCTCGGCTGGGGGCCAGCAACACAAGGCCGGGCTGCCCAGCTTAGCCTGAACGTGACCTCCGTGGACGGGCAACGGCTGGGGCCCTGGAGCAGCTCCTACTCCTATAGGTCTGCCGCAGGTCCCCCACTGGCCTGGCCCTGGTGAGGGTGATCCCAGACCTGGCTGAGGGTCGGCAGATGCCCGGCCCTGCGGCGGCCGCCCCCAGCAAGGGGCTGTGCCCTGTAGCTGCGCCTTTCCTTAGGTAGCGCTGTCTCCACGGCACCCTCAACCCTGGGCCTTTGTCTCCAGGAAACGCCACTGAGCTAGCTGCTCACAAAGGGCAAATCGTGGACCAACAGACCACGCGGGAGTAGAGAGCTGAATGGGACACTTTATTTCAGCAGGCGAAGTAGCACCTTTGCAAACAAGCTGCAGAGCACCAAGGGGGAGTTTCAGGAAGCGCCTGGGCTGGAGGACACAGTGGGTGTGCACCTGGCAGCTGGAGTTACAAAGCGAGCCTGTTGTCTCTCCCACCACAGAACCTGCCCAGAGGGAGGGCCCAGCCCACAGAACCAGGGAGCAGTCTCACGCCCAGCACCGTGGGCCATGGAACAGGCTGCGGGGAGGGAGCTGGGCCACCTTCGCCTGGTCCTGGAAGTCAGGAACAAGAGCAGCATTCACAGAGGACAGGGTGTGCAGAGAATTCCCCTGCGCTGAGTCATCTCAACCTTGAGCCCGTCCTGGGGCGGAGGCACCATTGTTCTCCCAACTTCGGATGTGAGGAGGCTGAGGCCCTGGGAGGATTTACCTCGGCAAGGGGGTGCAGGACAAGTGCATCAGTCTGCTGTTGGGTCAGTAACACTGCGTAACAAGTCGAGCTGCAGTTACTTATCCCTGCTCACTGTCAGGGCCAGCTGGTCTAGGCTTATCGGCCCTTCTGGGCCGTGCTCTGGGCTGAGACCTCTCTCCAGGTCTCTCACCCTCCAGGGGCCGGCAGCCTTACCTGGGATGTGTTTCTTTTCTTTTCTTCTTTTTTTTTTGAGACGGAGTCTCGCTCTGTCACCCAGGCTGGAGTGCAGTGGCGCAATCTCGGCTCACTGCAAGCTCTGCCTCCTGGGTTCACGCCATTCTCCTGGCTCAGCCTCCTGAGTAGCTGGGACTACAGGTGCCCGCCACCACGCCCGGCTAATTTTTTGTATTTTTGGTAGAGGCGGGGTTTCACTGTTTTAGCCAGGATGGTCTCGATCTCCTGACCTTGTGATCCGCCCGCCTCGGCCTCCCAAAGTGCTGGGATTACAGGCGTGAGCCATCGCGCCTGGCCCCTGGGGTGTGTTTCTTACAGTGACAGCAGAGGCCAAGCCCAGCCTGCTTGAAATCCATTATTGATCCACTGTTGATCCAGAGCAGAGCATGCTTGTGTCCTCGGAGGGGTGGAGGGGGAAGAGAGCAGGTGTTTGCTGAACAATAATCCAAGTACCCCCCATGATCTCGAGGCAGAGGGAATGGAACCCAGCCCCCAGCAGCAGTGTCGCTGTGGCGCTGTGGTGGCACCCTGCCTGCTCTCCCACCACCCTTCAGCAGCTCCTCTCCAAAGTCTGCCCCTCCAGGACCCCGTCACGGGGTAGGGGGAGGAGGCGTCCCATCGTCCAACGTACAGTTCAGTAAATGGTGGGGAGAAAGGGTTAACATCCTCTCTCCTGCCCCTTGCCTCCACCCATCTCTGTCTCTCTCTCTCTCTCTCCCTTCCTGTCTCTCTCTGTCTCTCCCTCCCTCTCTCTGTCTCTGTCTTTCTGTCTCTATCACTCATCCTGTGTCTTCTCTCTGTCTGTTTTTCTCCCTCCCTCTCTCTGTCCCTCCCTCTCTCTGTCTCCATCTTTCTCTGTCTCTATCACTCTCCCTGTCTCTCTCCCTCCCTCTCTGTGTCTCTCTCTCCCTCTCTTTCTCTGTCTCTGTCTCTGCTCCCCACTGCACTTCCATCACTCCTCACTCCCAAAGGCTCTCCCGTTCCCTGGTCACCTACCTTGTTGAGGCTCCCCCAGGAGGGCCTCCAGGTCTGTGGTGAGACCCCAGGGATCTGACAGCAGGTGGGAGTGAAGTCATGGGAGCCCAGGTGCGGGTGACCCCTGGAGGTGACCCCTGAGTCCCTCTGACCTGGCTGCAGAATGAAGGCGGAGGTGCCTGCATGGGGCCAGACCACCCTCCTGGCCCTTGCAGTCAGTCCCCCACAGAACTTGCAGGAAAAGTGGCGAGTCTTACTGTTTGCAGATCAGACCTCAATTTTGCAAACTGACAACTGAAAAAATTAGGGGCTATAAGTAGGTTGTTAGTCAAAGAGATTAAAGTTGTCATTACAAACAGTGGAAAACAATGACACCAAGAGGCCAAGGCTGTTTTCAGGGGAAACTGTATAAGCTTCACTGTTTTCTCCATTTAGCAAGATAAACAAAAAGCATGAAGGAGTACTCAGATCAAGATGGGAGGAAAAACCGTCTTGAAACAAGAAAGTGATAGAAGCAGAATTTAAGACCTGGAGAGGAGGATAAAGCAGGAACAGCGGTTAGCCTGTGCTCAGCCTCCTGATGTCTGCAGCCATCTCCCCACTGAGGGACGCGCGTGGCCGGTGCACCTCTCCCCTGTCCTCAGCCACTCGGCGTCCACAGCCCTTGTCCTTCTTCCCATCCACTGCTCAACGTGGAGAACTTACGGGAGCCAGGCGGCATTTTTCTGTCTTTAGCATTTCATAAAAGAACCTGGATTCTTACAACCTTTCTCTCCTGCGGAGGCGTCAGACGATCAGAGCCCGTTGGGCCTCCTGTGTCTCCAGTCCTGTCTTCGGGAGGCATTCACCACAGTCCTCCCGGGACACATGCAGCCACTGTCCACGGGAGGCCAAGGTGGGCAGTGGCCGCAGTGAGCCCCATCGTTCAGGCTGACTCAGCATGGCTAGAGGCTTCTAAGGGGCTCCAGGGCCTCCCAAATTTCTGGCAGCCTCAAACCCAGGGACAGGGTGGGCAGAGGGTGTGGCTGAATGGCAGATATTGGGGCATTTGGAAATGAAAGCTGGGGACAGGCTGCCTTTGGGGCAGGAGTCCGGAGGAGCTCTCACTTGAGGAGCCTGAACAGGGGAGGCGGAAGGCCGGGAGGTGAGAGGATCTGAGTTGTGGGACCTCCTTCCTCCTCAAGTCCGTCCCAAGCCGCCTCCGGGTCTCAGGGGAGGCGTCCAGGGTCGGCCTCATGGGGTAGAGCAAGAGGCAGCACTTCAACTCCCCAGGCGGCACAGTGCTTCCCGGAGACACCAGAACCACCCTCACTTGGGTCCAGGCCACACACTCAGTTCCACCAGCAACACAGCCCTGGATATCGCCCTGGAATTTCTAGGAAATTCCAAAACAAGAACAAAGGGGTGAAAAGAAAACAGAAGAGGTAAAAATGACAAAAAAGGACAACGATATCATTACTTACAGGTTAAAAAAATTCCTTGCACGCCGGGTGCGGTGGCTCACGCCTGTAACCCCAGCACTTTGGGAGGCCGAGGTGGGCAGATCACTTGAGGTCAGGAGTTCGAGACAAGCCTGGCCACCATGGCAAAACCCCATCTCTACTAAAATACAAAAATTAGCCGGGCGTGGTTCGCACCTGTAATCTCAGCTACTCGGGAGGCTGAGGCAGCAGAATTGCTTGAACCTGGGAGTTGGAGGTTGCAGTGAGCCAAAATCGCACCACTGCACTCCAGCCTGGGTGACTGAGCAAGACTCAGTCTCCAAAACAAAACAAAACAGAACAAAAATTCCTTGCAAAATGCGAGAGGTTGAACTGGAAATGTATTTGAATAATAGGATTTAGAGTTCTGCAAGGTAGAAGATTACAAAAGAAACACACAACAGCCAAAGGTGTTTCATCCTGTTTTTACATGTCAGTCCAGTAGTGACAAGAATGTGAATACACACACATAAATTAATGGAAAAAATGTGCAGGACCTGGGTGAAAATATTTGACACCATAAAGATGTCAGTTCTCAGCAAATTTATTTATACATTTAGTGACTTTTCAACCAAATCAGAAATGTATTTGGGGGGAACGTCCAAAAATGATTCAAAAGTTCATCTTGGAAAAAGGTGTGGGGAGGTGGGAACAGGTGTGAGAAGGTTGAGCAGGTGGGAAGAGGTGTGGACAGATGTCAGCAGGTGTGAGCCAGTGTGGGCAGGTGTGGGCAGGTGGGAACAGGTGTGAGTAGATGTGAGCAGGCTGGAACAGGTGTGGACAGATGTGTGCAGGTGTGAGCCAGTGTGGGCAGGTGTGAGCAGATGAGAACAGGTGTGAGCAGGTGTGGGCAGGTGGCACAGGAGTGAGTAGGTGTGGGCAGGCTGGAACAGGTGTGGACAGATGTGTGAAGGTGTGAGCCAGTGTGGGCAGGTGTGAGCAGATGGGAACAGGTGTGGGCAGGTGGGAACAGGTGTGAGTAGATGTGAGCAGGCTGGAACAGGTGTGGACAGATGTGTGCAGGTGTGAGCCAGCGTGGGCAGGTGGCACAGGGGTGAGTAGGTGTGAGCAGGCTGGAACAGGTGTGGACAGATGTGAGCAGGTGTGAGCCAGTGTGGGCAGGTGGGAACAGGTGTGAGTAGATGTGAGCAGGCTGGAACAGGTGTGGACATATGTGTGCAGGTATGAGCCAGTGTGGGCAGGTGTGAGCAGATGGGAACAGGTGTGGGCAGGTGGCACAGGGGTGAGTAGGTGTGAGTGGGCTGGAACAGCTGTGGACAGATGTCAGCAGGTGTGAGCCAGTGTGGGCAGGTGTGAGCAGGCATGCCTGCCGGTGCCACATGAGTGGAGGTGGGGCGATGGTGAGAGGATGTGCTGAAGAAAGGAGTTCTCATCCTCCCTGGTCTTTCCACTGGTGTTAGCTGTGCCCTTGAGACCCAGCCTCTGGTGATTTCTTATCCATAGCACCACAGACATGGGTGAGGCGTGTTTCTCAGCCTTCTGCACACGAAGGTGTGGCCACAGGACTAAGTTCTGGCTAACAGGATAAGCGAAGGTGCTATGTGCACTCCTAGGCTTCCTAGGCTGTGCTCTGCGAAGGAGTGGCTAGCTACCTTTCCCGTTTCCTCACTCTACTGCTGGGATTCAGATGTGATGGCTGGACCAGCAGCAGCCACCGTGGACGACGAGGGCAGAGTATGACTGGAGGCAGCACAGCTGACCACTTGCTCCCTGTAAGTCACTGTCTAGATGTCACCTGAGGCCCTCCCCACACCTCAGAGCTCTTACCCTTGCCTCCCTCTAGAACCTACACTTCACGGAGGCAGGGGTTCCCTTCTGTCACCTGCAGGGCCCGGCACAGGTTAGCATTCATAAATATTTATTGAATCTGTGAATACATATTGTAAAGTGCTCAATACTTCCACGCAAGGTGGTGGCAACAGCATCATTAGAGGGGAGGAAAGAGCCAGTTGCAGAATTTGTGCAGCTGCGGTGGTTGCAGGAACCCCTGAAGAGCAGGCGGGGTCTCCCAAGACTTCTAGGGTCCGCGGCTCCCAGCGCCTCCGCAGCCAGGCTGGCCTCCGCCTTCCACCCTGGCTGCCCCGGAGGCCTTTCTCCCCAGGTGGAAGTCCCAGGAGGAGGCCTCTGCCTCGCACGCAGGCACGGCTGAACCCTGCTTGGCCAAGGGCTGGAGTCTGGGGATGGGGGAGGTGGAGGCCCCAGATCAGGGCGCCCCTCCCCACGGACCCAAAGGCCAGCGAGACCTCCACCCTCACCGGCCCCCTGGTCCCGGCCCTCGGTGGGCGTCGCCAGAGACCGCGGGCTGCAGCGTTGCTGCCAGGGTTGGTCGTCGTCGGTTCCAGGCGGCGCAGAGCGAGGTCTGTTCCTCCCCTCAGGCTTCTGCACCGCGCGCTGACCCGGTCGCCCGGCTGGGGCGTCTCCAAGGTCACGCAGCGAGAGCCGAGGCCGCTCTTCGTTCTTCGGGGGCCGAGGCCGTGGTCCCCCCGCGGGCAGGGACCGCTGCCGAGGTGTCAGCCGGAGTCCGCCTCGCCCTCCCGGCCCCTCCCCGCGCCGCGCGGCCCCATCCCCGGCGGTGCGCTCGGTCCCTCTCTCCCCCCCGGCCTCCCTCCCTTCCTCCCGGCCTCCCGCGCCCGCCCCGCCGGCCCCGCCCTCCCCGCGCTCAGGTCCCCGCTCCCCGCAGCCGTCGCGGACACCATGTCCCAGCGCTTCGTGGTGACCCCCGCGGCGGGGGGTGCGGGGCCCGGGGCCAAGGAAGGCGACAGCCAGCGCCCCACCCCGAGCCCCCGCCGGGCCCCCGACCCCGGCCTGGACCCCGCAGCCGCGCCCGAGCCGCCTGACGAGGACCCGCTTCCCATTCTGCTCTACTGCCGCGAGCCCGGCCGCTACGGTAGGTGCGCGCAGGTGCCGGTCCCCTCGAGGGGCGCAGGTGGGCGGCGGCGGCCTGGCGGGCCGGCGGGGGTGGGGCTCCCGGTCAGCCCGGGGGTCGGTCCCTGCCTGGGGTCCCCCCAGCCCAGCGGAGCCCCGCCCCTGCCGCCCGCCGCGCGCTCCGGGGACCTGGGGCAGTTCCCTGCGGGGATCCCGCCCTGTCCGGGGCCTGCAGGTGACACCGAGCCGGGGCAGGGGCCGCGGGGATGGGCCGACAGCTCCCGGGGCGCCCTCTGACCTCGCTGTTCCCGCGGCTGCAGAGTCCAGACGGGGTCACTTCGCGGGGAGGGCGGGGACCAGGCAGAAAAGGGGCCCTGTTCTCGTCCAGGGCTGCCTCTCTCGGGACCACGGCGGGTCCCTGAGGCCTTGGGCGGGGCTGTGATCTGATGATTTATAGCGCGGGAGGGTGGCAGGGGTCTGGCCCGGCAGATCTGGGAAGCAGTGGGGGTTCGTCCCTGCGGGGAGCAGAACCGTGTCCTCCTGACCACTCGCTGCTCACACGGGGGTCCCGAAGCCTGAGGTGGGCGAGGGGCCTGGGAGGGCGGGGCGGGGGCGGGGGGAGGCAGAGGACCCAGAGCCAAGCCCGCTTCCAGTGGGCTGAGGAGGGCCCTGCCTGGGACCATGGAGTGCCCCCCGCCAGCCTTGGCCACACAGAGGCCACCAGGCCTGGACCCTGGCTTGGGCTTAAAGCTCGTGGGCCCCGAGGACAGATGTCCCTGAGCTGTCACTCTCTCGTGGGACCTGGGTGCCCCGAGGGTCCATCTGCTGTTCCCGCCTGGCATGGCCAGGGTAGGCTGCTCTGAAGACCTGCGGTTACTGCGATGTCTTGCCCTGTGAGGGGCCGGGGATGAGGCAGGTCCCAGGCAGAAGGGCTCCGACGGGCCCTGGGGGACCCAGCTCACGTGTGTGGGGGCCGTGCGTGTCCGTTTCGCCTGTTCATGTATGTCACACATGTGAGAGTCCACAGCGAGGGCAGCCTTTACACGCGATGGCCCAGAGGAGCGAGCATCTCAGGCTCCTCAGCACGTCTCTGTGCTGACCTCCTGCAGCACTGCCGGGAGCCATGTGAGTGTCCACGCCTGTGTGTGTCCGTGTGTGTGTCTATGTGTGTGCTGTGTGGTATGTGTATATGTCTATAGTGTGATGTGTGTATATGTGTGTGTATGGCATATGAGGTGTGTGTGTCTATATTATGTGTAGTGTGTGTCTGTGTCTAGATGTGTGTGGTGCATTGTATGTGTCTCTGTGTGTGTGTGTGTGTGTGTGTGTGTGTGTGTGTGTTGCGGACACCAGTTGTCCAGGACTGCATGGATTGGTACAGGGGTGTGGTGGGAGCTGTGGTCTGTGTCTCAGTTGGATTCGGCTCAGTGCCCTAGATAGGTTGTGGACACACACGCTTTGGAGACAAGGTTAGGGTTAGGGTTGGGATTAGGGGTTAGGGGTTAGGGTTAGGGTTAGGGACACAAGCCTGTGGAGATGAGGTGGACGGGACACTTGTTCCTGTGGGTTAGGGTTAGCGTCAGGAACACATGCGTGTGGAGATGAAAAGGATGGGACACTTGTTATTCTCGGTTAGGGTTAGGGTTGGGAACACATGCGTGTGGAGATGAGATGGACGAGACACCTGCCCTTCTAGGTGGCAGCTGTGGCTCTCGGGTCCAGCCCTGTCCTTCTCCTGAGCCTGGAGTCATTTCTTGGACTCCAGGGTCATGCCCTGCAATGTCTGATACAGGATGCTGTGGTCTCCTCCCTAAAGGAAGACCCTGTCTTCAAACAGCTGCTGTGTGGCACTCCCCAGATGCACACAAAGTTTTCTCTCTAGTTCTGAAGTCAGCCTGCTCACCAGGGTGCACGTTCCTCTTGATTTTCTCTGTGGAGGCCAACAAAGGAGCTGGTGATTCTGCAGGTCGCCGGTTAGTGTGAACTAGAGCGCCAAGTCAGGGCTGCAGGGTTCTCGGGCGTCCTCAGGCCTTGTTTGTTCCGGGGGAAATGGTTTGACAACACGGCTTGTGGCAACAGGGGCTTCCCCATGGGCTGTTCCTTGGCTCTGTAGTGCCAGGGCCAGCACCCCAGGCATGGACAGGGTCCTGAGTCGGGCCGACCCTACTGGTCTCCTCCACGCCTCATTCTCCTTTCTAGGGAGCCTTGGCCTCTCCTCCGGGTGCCCAGCACACTGGCCCATGGACCCCCCCAGAGGCCCCTGAGGAAAGCGTGTGGGGGCAGGTGAAGGTCTGAACTCATCTGTCCTTCCTGCTTCAGGCTGTGAATGTTTGCACATTCATGTGGGCATGGAGGGAGGTGTTGCCTTAATCCTGGATGGAGCAGGTGGGAGACCCCGTTCAGGCCTAGCATTCCCCCACCCACCTCATCTCCTCTTTGGGGTGGGTGCTTGGAGGCTGGGCTGGACCGCCCAGGGACTGGGCAAGCCCGTCCCTCCTCCCACGTCAGCACCCGGGGGTAGAGACCCTGTGCCCACGGCCATGCGGCTGCCTGGCTGCCGTGGACAGCTGGGCTCCAGTCCTGTGGGGGTTGGAGGAGGATGGCTCCAGCCAACCATCAGCTGAATGATTTTGTGTCGTGCCCGCTACATATGAACAGAAGACCTATTATTTAACAGTGCCATTAAGACAATGTAAACCAAGTTTAAAAAAGCAAACAAACATTTTATTGGCATGCGTTGGGCGCCACAGGAATTGCATGCCAGGCGGGCCATTTGTCCTGGGCTGACCTTCCCTTGCAGATGTGTGGCCTGGTGATCAGATGAACTTTCTAATCCTCCAGAGACAGCTCCTCTCTGCTCACAGGCCCCAGGGATAAGTCAGTAATCCCCGCAGGCCTCCCCCGTGTCGGTCATCCCTCAGTTTTCAATGCAGGAATCCACACCGACTTTGTACTCAGTTGACTTTGCTGAGAATGGCTGGGGTGTGTCGGTGCTGAGGCAGTGCATGGTCCGGGGGGCGTCTCCGTTCTGTAAGGGAGTCGCCCTTCTCTAGCTTGGGGGTCTCCGTTCTCTAGCTTGGGGGTCTCCCTTCTCTAGCTTGGGGGACTCCCTTCTCTAGCTTGGGGGATCTCCCTTACCAGGGAGGTCTCCCTTCTCTAGGGGATGGGTCCCTTCTCTCTGCCACAGGATGTAAACATGCCATTGGGACTCTCGCCCTGTGCCAGCATCCCCCTCGGTCCTGCTGGGTGAGCCCACGGGCACAGGCAGGTCTGACAGGGGCTTTCCGGCTATGTTTTTGCATCAAGGAGGGTGGTGCCACTTCCTGCTCAGCAGGGAGCAGCCTGTGGCTTCTACACTCAGTTGGTGGCCGGCCGCAGAGTCAGCCTTGCAGGCATGACTGCCCCCTGCACACTGTGGCATCTTCCGTGGGCACAAGGGTGGGTGGCCGGGTGTGCAGGGCAGAGGGGAGATGAGCTGGGGAACACCAGACGATCGCACAGCCTCCTAGTCCTGTGGGAGGGTCCAGCTGGGAGGTGATGGGGCTGGCCATTTCACAAAGCAAAGGAGAGGGGAGGGGAGGGGAGACAGGGAGCACCAGGCAATGGCAGAGCCCCCTGGCCCTGTGGGAAGGTCCAGCTCGGCATTGATAGGACCATTTCACAGATGGTTCCAGAGGCTCCAGAAGGTGAATGTGACTGCACCCTCTTTCCCAGTGAAGGGATGCCGATGACAGCCCCCATGTAGCTTCCTCTGTGGGACGGTTTCAGCGGGGTCCCAGATCCAGCTATCAGGACATGGCAGGATTCGTCACCTGGCGTGCCCCCAGACCCGGAAGGGATGAGGAAAGGTAGGTTCCCAGCCTGCAAGGAGAGCCGTGTGCAGGAGGCTGCCCAGAGGACAGGACGTTCAGGGAGGTCCAAGTGGCTCAAGGCCACAGCTGAGGGGGAGCACAAGCTGTGCGCCCCTCACCACCCACCCCCTGCCCCCCGCCTCCCGGGCTGCACTGAGCCTGCTCTAGAGGATGGGCAGGCTGGAACTCAGGGTCCCTCAGCCTGTCGGACCCTTCTGGCACCGGTTGGTTCTGGTGGTTTTCACCCCTGGCACTGGGACAGAGACCAGTTCTGAGTCCCTGATTAGAGGGTTGGGCCTTTTGTTCCCTGCAGCTGTTGTTATGGCTGGTGGGGCCATCAGAGCCCTACAGACGCTCATAATTATACCTGGAGGGTTGTGTGCAGCCCAGAACACTCTGGGAGGCCAAAGGAACCCTCCCCTAGTGCTGGGGCTGGCAGAGGCCGGGCCCCTGCAGACGCCAGCTTAGCAACGGCGCCCACTGACATCTTCAATGAGATGTGTGCCGAGGCCAGGCTGAGGTTTCTTTGTGTGTCTCTGTGTGTGAGTGGATGTCTGCATCTCTGTGGAGCGTGTTGGGTTTTTGCCGCTTAAGGAGAAGGTGAAGAGTTCGTTGCCTGAGCCTTGGAAACTGCTCTGGCTGGGAAGCAACGCTCATGGTAGAAGGCGCCTTTGCAAGCCTGAGCTTTGTGAGCTGGGATCCCGGGGATCTGGAACAGGAGGATCCTTGGGTACCACCCATGGGCCCAGACCCTGCTGGCACAGCAGTGAGGCTCTGGCCCCGCCATCTCCGTCCAGCTCCCAAGGCCGCCCTCCCCATCCGTGGACCACAGGAGAGTGGGCTGCCCCCTCAGCCTTTGCCTTCTGATGGGGGAAAGCCTCAGGAAAATCCCATGTCCTCAGCTGGCTGCATGCTCTCCTTGTTGGGAAAATCAGACCACCAGGCTGCTTCTGCGTGCCCTCCTGGGCCACTCAGAAACGTGGTGTGCAGATCCCAGGCGGAGGCCACTGGTTCTGGTGTCTGAAAACCTGCCAGCCCCACGGGGCAGGCTCTGTTTTCTTTTTGCTTAAATATTTCATGGAGCTCGGCCGTCGTGTTCATCCATGAGCTGCCTCTAGTTATCTGTGGAGCAGGACAAGCTTGCGTTTTGTCACTTTGCTCTTAAAGAAGTCTCGACTCAGTGATTTTAATTTTGGCTTTAAAAGAAAATGCTTGAACGCATGTCCATCCTTTCTGTTCTTTGCTATTTAGTGTTTAATTTGGCTTCTTTTTCCACTGGAGGGGACCTGGGTTTTGAGACACCAGCTCCATGTATACACCAGAATTTTCTTTAAATAAAGACTTGAATATTCGGAAGAGATCCTGCAGCTCAGCTGCTTGTGGCATGAGTTGGGGTCCTCACTGTGGGCTGGGCCTTTGGGCCTTGGTGCAGGGCTCCACCCAGGTGCCTCCTCTGTTCCTCTGGTCGAGGCCTGTGCCCTGAAAATGAGGGATGGGGTTAGGGGGCAGGTGTGTGTGCATGGATGTCGGCTCCTGCATGGCTCTATCGGGGTCGGGGGAGGGGCAGAGGAAACTACAAGCACAGACTAAAAAAAATGCAAACACACATCAGAGGACACACACAGAGTAGAAGAACAGCTCCCGGGATGGGAGAGAGCATTTGCAAATCATAGAGCTGATGAGGGGTTCATACCCAGAGGATGCCAAGAACTCCTACAACTCAACAGCAACAGCAAACAAATACACCCTTTTAAAAATGGGAAAAGGGCTTAAATAGCTATTTCTCTGTTTTTATTGTTGTTGTTTTTTTCTTTGAGGTGGAGTTTCGCTCTCGTTGCCCAGGCTGGAGTGCAATGGCACGATCTCAGCTCACCGCAACCTCCACCTCCCAGATTCAAGCGATTCTCCTGCCTCAGCCTCCCGAGTAACTGGAATTGCAGGCGTGCACCACCATGCCCAGCTAATTTTTTGTATTGTGAGTAGAGACGGAGTTTCACCATGTTGGCCAGGCTGGTCTCAAACTCCTGACATCAGGTGATCCGCCCACCTTGGCCTCCCAAAGTGCTGGGATAACAGATGTGAACCACCGCACCCGGCTTGAATAGCCATTTCTTCAAAAAGATACACAAATGATAATAAGCACATGGAGAGATGCTTCACATCCCTAATCACTAGAGAAATGCAAATCAACACTAATAATTGTGAAGACACCACTTCACAACTATTTGAATGGCTCTTATTTTTATTTTTTTTAATTTATTTGTTTTTGAGAGGGAGTTTTTCTCTGTTGCCCAGGCCGCAGTGCAGTGGCACCATCTCGGCTCACTACAACCTCCACCTCCCGGGTTCAAGTGATTATCTTGCCTCAGCCTCCAGAGTAGCTGGGATTACAGGCACCTGCCACCACGCCTGGCTAATTTTTATATTTTTAGTAGAGATGCGGTTTCGCCATGTTGGCCAGGCTGGTCTCGAACTCCTGACCTCAAGTGATCTGCCCACCTTGGCCTCCCAAAGTGCTGGGATTACAGGTGTGAGCCGCCGCGCCTGGCCAGGCTCTTATTTTTAGAATGGACAATACCGTGTTGGTGAGGATGTTACAAGTGGGGACCCTTGTGCGCTGCTTGTGGGAATGTAAAGTGGCATGGCTGGAAAACAGATGTCAGAAGCTCACACGGTAGCATCATAGGATCCACAGTCCCCCTTCTGGGTGCGGCATCGTAGGATCCACAGTCCCCCTTCTGGGTGTAGGGGCTCAGAGAGACATTTGCACATCCATGTTCCTGGGAGCATCATTCACGGTAGACACAGGTGGAAGCAACCCAGTTGTCCGTGGGTGGATGAACGGATTCATAAAATGTGACATGTACTTTTAAACAAAAATTATGGGCAGCTGTTGTTTTGAATGGAGCTCCTACACCAGGCCCCAATACATCACTCCATTTTGGTTTGGCCTGAAGGCTAAATGGCATCATCAAACTGAAACTTTAAGGAAGCAGATAGATCCCAAAGCTGACCAGTTTTTTCTGAAAACAGGAGACTGCAGTCTACCTGGTCAGTGTACAAAGGAAGTCCCTCTGCTTTAACCCTTACAACAAGGAACCTGAGGGAACCCGATGTCAACCGTCAGCCTTTCTTCTGTTCCGTGTCCCTGTACCCACTTTACAAAACCCACTGTTGGCCATTGCCCAGGGGGAGCTCTCATTCCTCGACTGAGGCTGCCCCATTCGTGAATCGAGAATAAAGGCCAATTCAATCTACAGCTAAATTTGTTATAATTTTGTATAACATTTTGATAGTACATGTAGTGGAATATTATTTAGCCTTAAAAAGTATCAACAAAGGCCAGGTGCGGTGGCTCACGCCTGTAATACCAGCACTCTGGGAGGCCAAAGCAGGTGGATCACAAGGTCAGGAGATAGAGACCATCCTGGCTAACATGGTGAAACCCCGTCTCTACTAAAATACAAAAAATTAGCCGGGCGTGGTGGTGGGCGCCTGTAGTCCCAGCTAGTAGGGAGGCTGAGGCAGGAGAATGGTGTGAACCTGGGAGGCGGAGCTTGCAGTGAGTGGAGATCGCACCACTGCACTCCAGCCTGGGTGACAGAGCGAGACGCCATCTCAAAAAAAAAAAAAAAAAAAGAAAGAAAGAAAAAAGTATCAACAAAAAAAAGCAAACTCTGTAAAATATTTAAAGAGGTTTATTCTGAGCCAATGTGAGTGACCATGGCCCAGAAAACAGCTTCAGGAGGGCCTGAGAGCCTGTGCCTGAGGCAGTTACAGTTTGGTTGTATACATTTCAGGGAGACAGAAGTTACAGGCAAAGCCAGGCGAGGCATAATCCCAGCTCTTTGGGAGGCTGAGGTGGGGGAATTGTTTCCCTACAGGAGTTCAAGACCACCCTGGGCAACATAGCAAGATCCCGTCTCTACAAAAAATTTTCTAAAAATTAGCCAGGCGTGGTGGTGCACACCCACGGTCCCACCTGCTTGGGAAGCTGAGGCTCCAGTCCGGGAGGTCAAGGCCACAATGAGCTGTGATTGAGATACTACTCTCAGCCTGGGTGACAGAGTGAGACCCTGTCTCAAAAAAGTAATTAATTAATTTAATTAAATAAAGAAGTTACAGGCAAAGGCATAAATCAGTACATGGAAAGTATACATTGATTCGGTGGGAAATGAGGGACATCTTGAAGGGGAGCAGAGAGATTTAAATGTTTTCTGATTAGTATTTGGGTGAAAGAGTTAAGCTGAAGACGTGAAGGCTTGCAGTGGGTGGAAAGAATCACTTGGCTTCAGCTGAGGGGCTGTGGAGACCAAGGTGCTGGTGACGTAGAAGCCTCCAGGAGGCGGCCCCGAGAGGACAGAGGGCAGGCAGGGCCTTCAAATGTGTGGGGACTCCTGGCGGGTCTCTCCGGGTGTGGGACCCTCGGCGGGTCTCTCCGGGTCGGAGGGACTCTCGGTGGGTCTCTATACCAGGGTCAGGCTGGATTTGGGGTCTTACCGCCACAGAGTCTGTTCTGCCGTCTTTGGATAACTATTTTGGAGTTAGTGTGGGTCAGCTGCACCTGAACTCCTAAAGGCGGGGGCGGGGGGGGTGGCGGGGTGGGCCGTGATGAGGAGAGTCCCTCCTCCCTTCTGTCACCGTGGGAATTTAGTGTTTCCTGTTGCCCTGGGTCCCCTTGTCCAAGAGGGGTGTTCCGTTCATTTGTCTGTGGGACTTTGGATTTTGTTTTTAGTTTACAAAAGAAAGGAAATTCAGACACACACTGCCACATGGATGGAGGCTGAGGACATTGTGTGAACGAAATAAGCCTGTCGATGAAAAGAGCGAAAGTCTGTGAAATATTTGAAGAGATTGATTCTGAGCCACACAGAGTGACTGTGCAGTGACACGGCCCTCGGGAGGTGGGCGGGTGCAGCTGGGCCTTAGTTCAGGCGGGCATGAGACATTTAAGATATACATTGGTCAGGTCCAGAAAGGCGGGACAGCTCCAAGTGGGGCTTCCAGGTCATAGGTAGATTTAAAAATGTTCTGATTGGCAATTGTTTGGGAGTTACTATCAATAGAAAGGATTGTCTGGGTTAGGGTAAGGGGCTGTGGAGGCCAAGGTTTCATCATGCAGGTGAAGCCTCCAGGTAGCAGGCTCCAGAGAGAAGAGATTGTATGGTGTTTCTTACCAGACTTAAGGTCTGTGTTGATGTTACTGCTGGTCGGCTTTTCCTAAATTCCGAAAGGGAGGAGGGCGGCATGAGGCATGGCCGACCACCGCTTCCCGTCGTGGCCTGAAGCAGTCTTTCTGGTTAACGTTGGGGTGTCCTGGCCCAGAGGAGGGGTCCATCCAGACGGTCGGGGAGGAGCCTTAGAATTTTATTTTTTGTTTACACTGCAGAGATGGCTTTGAACACCTCTCAGCAGGCCACCACTGCTCCCACCCACATGCAGGCACCCCAGGCTTCATTCCACGGCCAGGTCAGAGGGACCCAGGCCTGGAGGTCCGTGGTCACTGGCCCAGGTGGTCACCTCCAGGGGTCACCAGCATCTGGGCTCCCACAACTCCACTCCAAAAGCCCACCTGCTGGCAGGTCCCTGAGGTCTCATCACAGACCTGGAGACTCTCCCAGAGGAGCCTCAAGAAGGTGGGTGACCAGGGAATGGCCCCTCCTGCTGGGAGCAGGTTCCAGGGAGAGCCTTTGGGAATGAGGAGGGATGGGGCAGCCAGACACAGAAAGGTCAATCCTGCAGAATAACAGTTGCAGGCAGAGCCTGGAGTTGTCAAATTCTGGGAGACGGAGGCAGAACGGGGACTGCCAGGGGCTGGGGGAGGGGAATGGGAGTCAGTTTAATGGGTGCAGAGCTGCAGTTTTGCAAAGGAAGTTCTGGAGAAGGATGGCGGTGATGGTTTTACAGCATTGTGACTGCATTTAATGCCACTGAACTGCTCACCCAAAAATGGTAAAAATGGTAAAATGTTATGTGTATTTTATCACAATACAAAAAATACCAAAAAGAAAATGCAAGCAGACAGTAGGGGCCTAGAGATAAACTAAACCCTCCCGCACCCCCAGCCCCTTCCTTCTGCAGAGGACAGAGGCGCTTGATCCTGGCCTCTAGTTTTCTGAGAGGAGGCCAGTTTGATTAAATCAATTCACACCTAGGCAGGCTCTCCAGGGAGGGGGTCCTGTTTAATCTAAATTACTCTCTGCAAGGTGCTCTTTCAGGCCTCTTGGAAGAGATATTTTTGTCCAGGGACCTTCCTGTTTCAAATAACATCCTTTGTGAGCCCTTCCTGGCTGGTCCTGGAAAGGTCAGTGAAGGGGCTGGCAGCCTCTGACTTCCTGTGGGCAGATTCCAGGAAGGGGCAGCAAGCCTGGCCGCTAGGCAGCCTGCAGCCTCCGATGGCTCCTCAGTGCTCCAAGAGCAAGCACCTGGCCGCAATTACCCCGCTGGGCACTCGGGGCTTCTGCAGGGGCACCTCAGCTGGGAATTAGGGGGAGGGGTGACCACCCCAGCAGCTGTGTCCCCACAGGGAGGGGGTCTGCGGAACCGGCCATCATTTACTGCACAGACCGTGTGATGGACATGAGCCCTCGCTGGTCTTCCAGGCCCACTGGCAGCGGCCCCTGCCTGGCCCTTGTGGCCACTCACTGTCCTGTCTCCAGAGACCCCACACCCAAGTGTGAGGGCCGAGTTCTCGGCCAGGTTCCCTTTGAAGAAGGGGTGATCCCTGGGCCCCCTGCGGCCTCCAGCTGCTGTCCCACGCAGGCTCTCTCCAGCCCTCCAGGCCCGGCCTGGCCGTGCCGACAGCACATGCTCCTTCCCCAGCCCCGGCCCGGTTGGTCCAGTGGTGCTGGCTGCTGCTGTGGGTGCTGCACTTCCTTCCTCGGATGCAGTAAACTTCACGTTTTGCCTCAGGACGTTCCGAATCAGCCATGGGAATTGAACACTGGTTTAAAGCCACATTGGTGTCATCCCTGCTTTCTGCCGCTCGGAGGCCTGTGCATGCGCAGCCGGGATGGCAGTGGCCCCTGTTTATTCAGACGGGCATTTCAGCAGGGCTGGAACTCAGAGACACACCTGGTTCTAGTCTTTGCTTCCTTGCCTGTAATTTTCTCACATGTCCCCACTGCAGCCTGGTGATCTGTTGGTCTGGAAGTGGTACAGGTGTTAATGGATAAATAGCTGTACTCAATTGTAAAGTGTGGTGCGGTCCGCTGGTTTGAGGGGTCATTTTCAAGGCGGGTGCCCACCAGGCTGCCTGCCTCACCAGCTCACCATGACCCAGCGTGACCTCACCGTGCCCTCCACCCAGCGTGACCCGGAGCTGAGGGCTCCTCCCGTTCCACAGTTGAATTCCTGCCCCCAAATTGTCATGATGATGCTGGGACCAAGAACAGGTGGGTGGGGGCAGTGGCGGCGGCCTGGGAGCAACTGGTTTAAAGCTGGAGTGAAAACCCTGACTCTCCAGGATCTCGTTCAAAGGGGCCACTCCTTGTCGGAGCTGCCCTGAGCTGCCCTGGCAGAGCAAGGCCCTGGCGTGGAGCCCGGGACGTGGGCCCCTGCCTTGTGGGAGCTTGGGCATGGCGTAAGCCCCAGACACCATCCTCTCCCGCCACCCGGCGCTGCGCCGGCCAACTTCCCCTCCCTGAGGTTGGCGGGTGCGTCCAGGTCCCCTCCCTGAGGTTGGTGGGTGCGTCCACGTCCTCTCCCTGAGGGTGGTGGGTGCGTCCAGGTCCCCTCTCTGAGGTTGGCGGGTGTGCCCCTCCCTGCAGGGCTGTTCGCCCCCTCCCTATTTCTTGGTTCTGGGCTGCAGTCTTAGAACACACTGGTGACAGCCGCCCGAGCCAGCCAGGGGTAGGAGGGCAGGGTGCCCAAGAGGCCAGGTTTCCCAGCGCCAGGGTGCCCAGGAGGCCAGGTTTCCCAGCGCCAGGGTGCCCAGGAGGCCAGGTTTCCCAGCGCCAGGGTGCCCAGGAGGCCAGGGTGCCAAGCGCCAGGGTGCCCAGGAGGCCAGGGTGCCCAGCACTCTGCCCGAGAGTGTCTGCTGGCCCCGGTGCAGCCACGGGTTTGCTGGTTGGTACTGAGGAAGGTGCAGGGCTTGCAGAGGGGACTGGGCAGGTCACATGTCTGAAGCTCAGCAGTGGGTGGCAGCGCTCTGGGTGAAGAAGCAGCACCAGGACACAGGGAGAACCCTGGGAAGGTCAGTGGAGGCGCATGCAGGACACAGACAGCTGCCGACTGAGTCGTGCCCCCAGATTCGCAGCTGAGGCCCAGCCCCAACGGGACTGTATCTGGAGCTAGGACCTTGAGGGAGGGACTTAAGGTTAAATGAGGTTGTGAGGAAGGCCCTGACCCAATAGGACGTGTCCTTGTAAGAAGAGAAAGCGACACCAGGGATGCGTGTGTGCAGAGGAGCGGCCGTGGGAGGACACAGGAGAAGCCACCGTCTGCGGGCCATGAATAGGCCTTGGGAGAAACCGCCCAGCAGCCCCTTGGTCTGGGACTTCCAGCCCCCAGGCTGCGAGGGAACAATTTCTAGTGTTGAAGCCCCCGCCCATGGCGCTTTGTTACAATTGCTGGAGCTGATGAGGCCGGTCTTACACTTGCCCCTTATCCGACAGGACTGGCACCAGCGCTGCGGGAGGTGGCGGGATGTCGGGAAGCTCCGGTCTTGGGAAATGCCACCTTCCGCAGGTGATCCTTGAGCTGCGGCTTCTGACCCTGCGGATGGAGGGGCATGTTGCCCAGGAGGCTGTGTTGGGGCCCTCAGGGAAGGAAGGCCCGTGTCACAGATGGAGCCGTAAGCTCTGTGGTGCCCGGCACGGGAACAAGCCTTCTTTGGCCGCCTCTCAGCCCCCGTTACCATGAATACCGGGGCCCGGGGCCTGGGGCCCAGGGCCCAGTGCCCTCCCAGGATGGAGAATGGGCCAGGAAAGTCCATTTCCTCTTCTGCTGACCTACTCCCCCTTACCTCCCCTGAGTTCTGAGCACGTTGCCCAAAGAACAGGGGCTCTGAGTGAGTTTGGGATTGGAGGGGAGGGGTGTGTATGGGGGGGGCAGCTGATGGTCACGGGTATTCTAGGGGGAAGATGTGGGGAGGGCCGTGAGCACCTCCTGCCTGGAGTTCTGGGCAGTGGCTCAGGAAGAGGGGAGGGGGACAGAGAGAGACACAGAGACAGAGACAGAGAGACAGGGAGACAGAGACAGCCAGACAGAGACAGCGAGAGACAGAGACACAGAGACAGAAAAACAGACAGAGACAGATGGACAGAGACAGAAAGAGAGACAGAGAGAGAGACACACACAGAGAAGCAGAGAACAGGGAAGAGAGGGGAGAGGGGAGAGAGGGGAGTGGGGAGGGGAAAGGGGAGGGGGAGGGGAGGGGGGAGTGGAGGGCAGAGAGGGGAGGGGACAGCGAAGATGAGAGAGTGAGGAGGGGAGAGGGGAAAGGGGAGAAGGGAGAGGGGAGACAGGAGAGGGTGGAGGGGAGAGGGGAGAGGGAAGAGGGGAGAGGGGAGAGGAGAGAGGGGAGAGGGGAGACGGGAGGGGCGAGGGGGGAGGGGAGAGGGGAGAGAGGGGACAGGAGACGGGGGAGGTTTTCTTCCTCCTGATTATGGGGGCACCAGGGCTTATAGGGCTGGGCTGCCCCTGCCCTGTGGAGCGTCTGGGCTCTGTATGGAGGGGCCCTGTCTGGGGCCCAGAGATGCTGCCAGGGGTGGCCGGGTGAACTGACTGCGGCCCAGTGCAGCTCTGGGGAGGGGAGTGGCCACCCTGACGCCACCTGCCCCGCCTCTAGCACCAGAAGCAAAGGTGGAGGCCAGGAAGCCCCGGGAAGTCCTGCAGGGCTGCAGGGAAGAGGGGTATCTCTAAGCAACAGCCACAGTTGGTGGCTGGGAGCACTTCAGACTCCACATGACCAGGTCTGATCCTGCCAGCAGCACCCATGATAATGGTGACTTGGGCAAAATGAAAGTTCACTTCTCCCTCACTAAGCATTTTGTTCTGAATTTGTTCATCTGTTGATCTGTCCCGGCGAACCCTCTTGTCTCTGCCTGAGTGTCCAGTGGCCTCTCTGCACCAACGGAGTTATTCCTTGTCCACGCTGTCCTATGCAGCAGCCACCGGCCACATGTGGCTATCGGCACTTGAGCTGTAGCTGCTGTGGCTGAGGACCTGGATTCTTCATTTTTTAAAAAAAATTTTAACTTAAATATAAACTTCAGTGACCACACAAGCTTAGTGGCTGCTGTCCCAGTGAGGTCTGGGTGCTGAGGACACAGTGGGGAAGACAGTCCCCAGGGAGCCTCCATCCCAGGAGATACAGAAAACAAGCCAGGGGAGAGCACAGAGAGGGAGGCAGGGACAGCTGTGGTGCCCGTGGCGGCTCTGGTGCCCATGGCGGCTGTGGTGCCCGTGGCAGCAGGGACGGCTGGGACAGCCAAGTTACAGGCTCAGTGACATCTCTCCATTAGGACTGGGAGAGGACTGGGGGTCCTACTGCCTAGCACTTGAGAATGTGATGGTATTGGGAGGGAGCTGTTTGCAGAGGTCATCAAGTGACAGCTCACAGGGGTGCATCCTAATTCAATATAACGGGTGTCCTTATTAAAAGGGGGAATTTGGACACAGAAATAGACACTCACAGAGCAGGGACGATACAGAGACACAGGGAGAAGCTGGGGCCTGCAAGCCAAGAAGAGGCCGGAACCGGTGCCCGCCTACAGCTCAGGGGAGCAGCCCAGCCACACACTGACCTGGGACTTCAGGCCCGAGGCTTCGAGACGTGTCTGTGGTGTGCACAGCCTGGCTGCACTCATTTCCACAGCGGCCCGAGCGTATTGGTATAAACGTCCCGTGTCCACCCTCCCCCTCAGCCTGGCTGCTCTGAACTGGCCCAGGCCCAGCTTGCCCACCTTGGCTGCAGCCCCCAACGGCTCTGCCTCATGCTGAGCCTCCCAAGGGGTTCCCCTCAGAACATTCTCCCATGGCGTGGTCACCTAGAAGCTACTCCGAGCTGTCATGCCGGTGCAGTGACCACATCCCTCCCCAGCCAGTGCTTGTCAATGGCCCTCCTGGGTGAATCTCCCTTCCCTGCACCCCCTCCGCCAGCCACCTGAGCCCTCCCCGGGGCCCTGGGCTCCGCCCTTGCGCCTCTCGTTGCCTGGTGAGCAGAGCTTTCTTGTCCCACTGGAGTAGAGAGCGTGGAGCCAGCGGTGCGAGTTCCTGAGCACGGGGAACTCCGGGATTGCTGGGCATGCTGGCACCGTCCTGAACCCCATCTCCCTGTTTACAGAATGACGCCTCCCTCCAGGGACAGCTGTGGGGAGGGGAAGCCAGCAGGGAGCACCCCCCCTCACCAGCAGGGGGCACCCACTCACCAGCAGGGAGCACCGCCTCGCTGGAGCTGCACCTGTTTCCTCCTCCCCTGCTTACCAGTGTCTTCCAGACCCGGTGGGGGGGAACAGAACCGAGGGAGATGGAGACGCAGGTGTGGCTGTGTGTGCAGATTGGCGGTCAGGATTCACCCGAGGGGCCATGGGGATCACATGCCTCATCGCCTGGGATGTGCTGGCTGGGGCAGGGCCACCTTTCTCAGGAGGGGGATCTGCCTGGGTTCCCATGGGGCCCTGCTCCCTGCATGCAGGTGGGCCGGGGCTGCAGCGGCTGGTACGAGACAGCCAGCCAGCGATGGGAAACAGCGTTTCTGGGGGGCCTTCTGAGGGCAGGACGGCGCCTCTGGGGTGCTGGTTGAGGCCAAGGCGGTGGTGCCTGGTCACCGACCTCGGAGCGTTTGATGCCCTGAGACCTGGGATGCTCTGGGAGACAGAGGTGCAGGCCGGGCGTGTCCTGACACCTTCCAGCATGTCCCGGCCTGGTCCGCATCTGTGACCACAGAGGTCTTCTTGGCACTTCTTGGGATCAGAGCCCTGAGGCCCATGCATCCGGAAACGCCGTTTGGAGATGTGGAAAGTCCCTTTTGACTCACAAAATCTGCCTTTGTCTCAGCAAGTGTCCCAGAACCGTGGGGACGTAGTGGCCCTAGACTGGGAAGTGGGGCTCGGGAACCAGATTCAGAATTACTCACCTTCCCCAAAGACACGGGGCCTGCCGGGAGGAGGGACGTGGGTCACAAAAGTGGGCCGTGGCCACCCCAGGGTCAAGCAAGCTCGCCGTGTGCACTCGGGGAAGGCAGGCTGTGCGGACGCCTACAGAGGAACATGGGGGCCACTCTGCCTCCTGTTTCCCGGCACCCACACCCGCTAGGGCCACTGCCCAAACAGTTCTCGAGGCAACCTCGGTTCCAGGTTCCGGCATGTGGCACCATTGCTGCTGTGTGGACACCACCCCTCAGAGAAGGCCAAGCCGGCAAGGCCCAGGCAGTGTCAACCGCCCCAGCTCCCAGAACCGCATCTGTCAGGCTGAGCCGCCTCTTGGTTTGGGGCCCAGGGCCCTCGTGAGGATGTAGCTGAGCACCAGCTGCATTTGCCTGGAGTGGTTCCTGCCTTCCAGGGGCTGCTCCCCACCAGGGCTGGGCTTGGGTGCAGGCACTGGGGCCGCACGTCCTGGGGAGATGCTGTTACCAGCGAGGGTCCCCCGCCAGGATCCCAGCCGGCTGCCGTGGAGGCCAAGGGCTCACACTTTCCCCCTTCCTCTTGCCTACGGACCATGAGGACTCAGCAGCCACCTGGTGGGCTACGCCCATGGGGATGAGGAGGGAGCCCAGCTGTGGGGACCATCGGAGGCTCCCAAAGTGCACCTGCTGCCGCCCAGAGCCCCCCCCCCACCCCAAGCTTGGGTGAGGGGCGACCCCTGCAGCTGTTTCAAAGTCAAGACTTCAGCTTGCTCTCCTTTCAGAGGCCTGGGTGGTGGGTGCAGGTCCAAGGCTTCTGGCCAGTGCCCTGGAGTCGAGTATCCCCGGCTCACCTCAGGGCACATGTTAGGACCCAGCATGTGTTAAGGACCTGGTAGAAAGCTGTGTGTTGCAGTTGAACAGACACCCTGGGGCTCCCACTGTGCACACAGGGCTGTGTCGGGCAGTGGGGCTTAGCTTCCTGGGCCTCTCTCTGGAGCCCAAGTCCTTCTAAGTTTGGACCTTGATCCTGTTTTGGTTTCAAGGTTTGTAGTAAACTAAACGGTGGCCTCCAAAGAGCTACATCTATGTCCTGATTCCTGGAACCCGAGAATATGACCTTATTTGGAAAAGAATCTTTGCATGTGGGGTAAAGATCTCCAGCTGAAGTCGCCCCAGTTTATGTGAGCGGGCTCTAAGCCCACTGGCAAATCAGAAACAGACGAGGAGAGAGGCACACAGAGGAGGAGGCCCTATGAGGTTGAGAGGTGAAGCCCGCTGGGCCTCTGGGTAGGGTGGGGACTTGTAGAACTTTTCTGTCTAGCTAAAGGATTGTAAACACACCAATGAGCAGCTCTGTGTGTAGCTAAAGGTTTGTAAATGCACCAATCAGCACTCTGTAAAAATGGAGCAATCAGCACTCTGTAAAATGAACCAATCAGTGTTCTGTAAAATGGACCAATCAGCAGGATGTGGGTGGGGTCAAATAAGGGAATAAAAGCCGCCCTGCCCTGCCCCACCCCGCCGGCAGTGGGTGGTGCCCTGGGGTTCATTTCAATGATGTGGAAGGTTTGTGTTTTTTTCCGCTTTTCCCCTTTTGCAATAAATCTTGCTGCTGCTCACTCTTTGGGTCCGTGCCACGTTTAAGAGCTGTAACACTGCAAAGATCTGGGACTTCATTCTTGAAGTCAGCATAAACCAAGAACCCACTGGAAGGAACCAACTCTGGACACAGCGTGACCACTTCTGAGAAGAGGAGGGGCGGGTGCCGGCGGCTATCCCTGCTCCAGGGTCACTCAGGAACCAGGAGCCCAGGAACCAGCCCGGCAAGAGAGACTGCTCCTTCTGCCACAGCTCACTGGACCCCCTTAGGGTGTCTTCCACAGCGCTGGCGCCGACATCCATGATTCTCCTCACAGTGCGCCAGGCCCCGGGGAGCTGGTGCCGGGGGAGGGGCAGATCCAGGCGCTTGTGCTGTCTTCTCCGCCAGCCAGACCAAGGGTTCTGATGACGCACCTGGGCGAGCAGGGAGGGCCTGACCTGCAGAGGCCATGTCCAGGAAGAGGAGCCCCGGCCCCGAATCGCCCAGATGTGTGGCCCAAGGACAGCCGTGCGAAGTCCTGGGGCGGGCCCTGTTTGCCAAGTCCAGGATGAGGCCATGGACATGAGTGGGGACCACCCGGAGGGGAACGGGGTCATTCAGTGCCTGCTCGGGGGGTCTGGACGTCCAGGCAGGTTGAGGAGGAGGGGGAAGGTGTGGACAACGGGAAGGGAAGGTGTAGCTGGAGCTGAAGGTGGTCTTCTAGCAGTGGGGACCCCCTGGGGCTGGGTGCGGTGTATTTGACGTCCCTGGCAGGTGCTGAGCTGTAAGGAAACAAGGTGGGGAGGCAGGCAGTCAGGGATGGAGTCCTGGCTCTCTGGGCCAAGGTTCTTTGTCATTCGTGGTCTGATCCTTGTCCTTCGGAGTCCTTGGTTTCTCGGGGCACAGATGGAGGGGGCTACGCAGGAAGTGGCTCCGGATCGTGCCTGGCCTCGAGTGCTCTGGGAAGAGGGCACAGGTGGCCCCGCCTGTGATGGGGGCATGAATCCTTGGAGTAGGGGCAGGGTGAGCTTGAGGGGGTGAAAACCCGGGACTGCAGCGGCCTCACTGTGGCTGGGTGTGGCTCTGTGCAGCCAGCTCTGGGCTGGGAAACACTGGCTGTAGACACACGTGTGTCTGCATGTGTGTCCTGGTGTTGGAGTGTGTGAGCACGTGTGTGTGTCCTGCTGTTGGTGTGTGTGCACATGTGTGTCCTGGTGGTGTGTGAGTACATGTGTGTGTGTCCTGGTGGTATGTGTGCACGTCTGTGTGTCCTGGTGTTGGTGTCTGAGCACATGTGTGCCTGCGTGTCCTGCTGTTTGAGCATATGTGTGCCTGCGTGTCCTGCTGTTTGAGCATATGTGTGCCTGCGTGTCCTGGTGTTGGTGTCTGAGCACGTGTGTGCCTGCGTGTCCTGGTGTTGGTGTCTGAGCACACGTGTGCCTGCGTGTCCTGGTGTTGGTGTCTGAGCACACGTGTGCCTGCGTGTCCTGGTGTTGGTGTCTGAGCACGTGTGTGCCTGCGTGTCCTGGTGTTGGTGTCTGAGCACATGTGTGCCTGCGTGTCCTGGTGTTGGTGTCTGAGCACACGTGTGTCTGCGTGTCCTGGTGGTGTCTGAGCATATGTGTGCCTGCGTGTCCTGGTGTTGGTGTCTGAGCACACGTGTGCCTGCGTGTACTGGTGTTGGTGTCTGACCACGTGTGTGCCTGCGTGTCCTGGTGTTGGTGTCTGAGCACACGTGTGCCTGCGTGTCCTGGTGTTGGTGTCTGAGCACACGTGTGCCTGCGTGTCCTGGTGTTGGTGTCTGAGCACACGTGTGTCTGCGTGTCCTGGTGTTGGTGTCTGAGCACGTGTGTGCCTGCGTGTCCTGGTGTTGGGGTGTGTGCACATGTCTGTGTGTCAGTCGTGTCTCATGTCTTGGTGGGTGTCAGGAGGAGTCGTGATTTCTCGGAGCTGGGTTGGAGGGACAGTGGAGTGTTTCCCTCTATTGCACGGATGGTTCCTTGGGAGGACAAAGCCGCACAGCAGTGCCTGCAGGAGCAGAGACGGCCACGATTCTCCCTCCTCCTGTGGCCTCTCCGCAGTCTCCTCTTCCATGGCCTCTGAACCTTCTCATCAGCAGCTGTTTGCTTAAACATGGGAATCTCAGCATGAATCAAGGGGCAATGTGCATCCGTGTCCTCTGGACCCGAGCCAGGCCTGGAGATGGTGTGCTGCTTACCCCTGCACCCCGCAGGGCCGACGAGGCCACCATTTCTGTGGGAAACTTACAGGATGAGCAGGGAGGTTGAGGGAAACGGGGAGTGCGTTTTGGATGTGGGGATGGTGCAGTCCAAGCTGGCACTGTTTGTCAAACTCTTGAAGATATTTTTGGAAAACCCACCAGCTGTGAAACTGCACTCCTCTGCAAGAGACCTGGTGTGTTCCTGCCCTTACCAGGGCGAGGGACTTAAGCTGAGCCTTCAGTAAACCCTGAATGGGATGTTTGTCTTTCCAGGAATATCGTCACACTGTCACCACTCATGCACGCACCTGAAGCTGCGTGTGGCATCACTTTGCACATGTTCACACTTACAGAAATGGCACTAGGGGTAAGCACCGCCCTAGACTTGTTTTGGAGCTGTCTTTGTACCCCTGTGGCGACTTCAACCCTGGGACCAGCATCATGTATCTCCATGGCCACCCTGGATCCCGGGGCAGCAGGGCTGGGGACGAGGGCCGCAGGTGACATCACCCACAGTTGACTGCACCTGGGCTGGAGCGAGAATGGCTAGTGTTGAGGCATTTGTCCAAGGCCCTGGAAACGGGCCTAGTGTTGAGGCATTTGTCCAAGGCCCTGGAAAACGGAGCATGGTGGTTGTGTGTGGTTGACTTCCTGGGTCCTGGGAACTCCCTCTGCCTGTTTAGTCAAAATCTCACAGGCTCAGCTGCAAATGCACCTTTCAATTTCCTTACTAGGAAGGTTCTGGCTGGCCCCACAGTCTTTCCAGATGTTTCTCCTTTCATTTTCCATCTACTCATCCCCATCTTACAGATGAGCAAACCGAGGCTCAGGAAGGTGAATGTCTTTTGTTTGAGATGGAGTCTTGCCCTGTCGCCCAGGCTGGGGTGCAGTGGTGAGATCTCGGCTCACTGCAGCCTCTGCCTCCCGGGTTCAAGCGATTCTCCTGCCTCAGCCTCCCGAGTAGCTGGGATTACAGGCCCCCGCCACCATACCCAGGTAATTTTTGTATTTTTGGTAGAGACGGGGTTTCACCATGTTGGCCAGGCTGGTCTCGAACTCCTGGTAATCTGCCCATCTCAGCCTCCCAAAGTGCTGGGGTTACAGGGATGAGCCACCGCGCCTGGCCGTGCCCTTCTTTTTTAAGGTGGAACAACATCCCGCTGTGTGGACCGACTTGTTTTGTTCATGGCTTTATCTGCTCACCACCTCTCGGGCTGATTCTGCCACCTGGCTGTTGTGGGTAGTGCTGCTCTAATCACGGGTGTGCAAATATCTGTTCGAGTCCCTGCTTTCAGTTCTTTATAGCACGTGCAGAAGTGAAATTGCTGGGTCAGAGGGTCATTCTATTAACTTTTTCAGGAACTGCCGTTCTGTTTCCGTATGGACTGTACCAATTTACACTCCCACCGGTAGAAGACAAGGGCCCCGTATTTTCACATTCTTACAGCATTCATTTTCTCCTGTTTTGATAGTAGCCGTCTTCATGGGTGTTCAAATTTTTTTTTTTTAAACAGAATTTTGCTCTTATTGCCCAGGCTGAAGTGAAATGGCATGATCTCAGCTCACTATAACCTCTGCCTCCCGGGTTCAAGTGATTCTCCTGCCTCAGCCTCTCCAGTAGCTGGGATTATAGATGTGTGCCACCACACCCGGCTGATTTTTGTATTTTTAGTAGAGACGGGGTTTCATCATGTTGGCCAGGCTGGTCTCGAACTCCTGACCTCAGGTGATCCGCCCACCTTGGCCTCCAAAAGTGCTGGGATTACAGGCATGAGCCACCGCGCCCAGCCAAGTTTTTTAACTCACTAGAAACACGTAGCTGTCCCAGAATTGCAGAGCTGGAGCTGGGAGAGCCACCCAGTTCTCTCACAACATGAGAATCAGCCGGGAGGCTTTTAAAGGGGAGGCTGGGCTTGTACTAGGCTCTGGCTGTCTGGGGTGGGTCTGTGGTGGGCCAGGGAGACTAGCTGGGCTGAGCAGGCTTGTGGGCACAATCAAGCTCCCTCTCTCCATGGTGTACGTGCTGGAAAGTTCAGGGAGGAAGGCCATGCAGCGGTTAGAACAAGAGCCCACCCCCACCTCCAGCTGCAGCTCCACACAACCCTCTCTGGTGTTGCTGCCTCGGTTGGTCAGGGAAATAACTTGGCTCCCCTGGGATTACTGGGAAAGCTATTTACAGGGTCTGAGAACCCCAGGGGGTTCCTGAGCTGCCCCCAACCTCAGCCTCTGAGATTCAGCAGCAGATGTTCATACCCCGAAACTCCACACATAGAGGAAGTTCTCACCGAGGGGCGCACGTCCAGCCTCCCGTCTCTGACAGTGCTTTGGGATGACACCCAGCAAGCATGCCGGCCAGCAAGCGTCAGCGTCAGCAGCAGCCACAGCGGCCTACCAGTATTTGGGATTGTTCTCTCCACCCACAGTCAACCCCAGACAGCACTGTGTGGGGTCCCCCTCGCATCTCTTGCCTTAAGTCCTGTCGACGGAAAGAACAGGCACCTCATGGCTCTGCCCCCACCTCACCCAGCCCTCTCCCCCAGGACCAGCAGGGCAGGGTTTCCAGGGAGCTGTGTGCATTTGAAAATCCTCCACTCCTGGAGGAGGTGGGGCTGACGGGATTCAAGCTGGGGTCTGAAGATCCTGAGGAGGTCGGGGGGTTGGGGGGAGCTCTTGCCCACATGTGCGACTCCCAGCCATTAGCCCAGCGCAGGGCGCCTGGTTAAATTTGTTTCAAACTAACACAAATAATTCTTAGTAGAAGCAGCTGGGTGCGGTGGCTCATGTCTGTAATCTCAGCACTTTGGGAAGCCAAGCCTGGCAGATCACTTGAAGTTGGGAGTTCGAGACCAGCCTGGCCAACATGGTGAAACTCCGTCTACCAAAAATACAAAAATTAGCTGTGTGTGGTGACGCACGCCTGTAATCCCAGCTACTTGGGAGGTTGAGGCAGGAGAATCACTTGAACCCAGGAGGCAGAGGTTGCAGTGAGCCAAGATCCAAGATCACGCCCCTGCACCCCAGCCTAGATGACAGAGCGAGACTGTCTCAAAAATAAATTCTTAGTAGAAGCAATATTTGGGTCACACTACATCAAAATAAAATTCATCATTTATCTGAAATTTGTGCTGGGCCGAGTGCCCGTGTCTTATCCGGCAGCCCTACCAGGTCCTTTGGCCATGGACACTGCAGTGCAGTTCTTGGGAGGCGGTGCTGGCCCCAAGGCTCCAGAGGGAAGCAAGCTGGGCACACGCCTCTTAGGAGGGGCCGGAGCACGCCAAGGAGATGTTCTGGGGACATTAGGATGATCTCAGGAAGCTGAGGGGGAAAGCTGGCCCTGGAATGGTCCAGAAGGCAGGCAAGGGTTCTTCATGAGTCAGGGCCCCCTGGAAGGGAAGGGACAGAAAACAGCCCGGGTGTTAGTTCAAAAAAGAAAAGAAAAAAGAACTGTTACCAGAAAGGGGCCCCAATCCAGACGACCCCCAAGAGAAGGTTCTTGGACCTCACACAAGAAAGAATTGGAGGTGAGTCCATAGAGTATAAAGTGAAAGTAAGTTTATTAAGAAAGTGAAGGGATGAAGAATGGCTCCCCGACCAAGGACACTTACTGTTACTTCTTCATTATGCGCTGAACAAGGGGTGGATTTTTCATGAATTTTCCAGGAAAGGGGTGCAAAATTCCCAGAACTGTGGGCTCCTCCCCTTTTTAGGCCATAGAGGGTAGCTTCCCGACGTTGCCGTGGCCTCTGTAAACTGCCACCGTGCTGGTAGGAGTGTCTCTTAGATGCTAATGCATTCGAATTAGCGTGTAATGAGCAGTGAGGACAACCAGAGGTCACTTTCATGCCGCCTTGGTTTTGGTGGGTACTGGGTATTGGATGGCTTCCTGACCACAACTTGTTTTATTAATAAGGTTTTAACGACCTGCCTCTTGCGCGGTCGTCCCGTCTCACCTTGTGACTGAGAATCCCTAAGCTCCTGGGAATGCAGCGCAGCAGGCCTCAGCCTCATCAGACCCAGCCCCTGTTCAAGATGGAGTCACTCTGGTTCAAACGCCCCTGACAGAACCAGGGGCAGTGAGCTTTGCCGTGTACACAGCCAGGGCGCTGGGCCCCACCTGGGAAGCTGCTCCTGGCAGGCATTGCCCTACCTCCCAGGAGGATCACCTTGCTTACTGAGCCCTTCCACAGCACAGGCCACAAAAGGAGCCCCTTTCCCGTGTCCTGGACGAGGATCTGGGAACCCACCCCAGACAAGCCATGGCTAGGCAAGGCTCTGGGGATTGGCCTGACTCAGGGTCTCAGTCCCAGCAGCCGTTCCAGGGTGGATTCTGGGGGCCCCAAGGGAGGCAGCCCTAGCGCCTGGTTAGGGACCCGGAGAGGTCAGGTGAGGCCCCCAACACCAGGCAGGAGAGGTGGTCCTGGCAGGTTGCCCGGAGCATGCCCTCTGGGAGGTCCTCAGGGCTTGTGTTGACCACCAGGGCCGGTGCCTGCTTCCGACAGCGTGGCGGCCGTGCAGGACTGTGCCTCAGGTGCTAGGATTGTGTAGAATCCTGAGTTTCTGGAACCATCTGCCTGTTGCACCAATACCGGCTCCCTCCCCCACACCCTTCAGCAGCTGCTGAGGCTGAGGTGCCAAAAGGAGGGGCCCAGGAATGCCCCTGTCTGCAAGTGGTGCCAGGCCCCAGCCTCTGGGTGACTCTTGGCAAGGAGCAGGACGGCCGGGAGGGACGGTGTCCCTGCACATCCCCATGGGCCCCTGCAAGTCCCCGTGAGTCCGAGCGTGTCCCCACGTGTCCCCGTGAGTCCCCTAGCGATCCGGGACGTCCCTGTGAGTCCCTGTGTGTCCCTGCGAATACAGGCGCTGAGCTCTGAGTCTCTGTTTTGCTTTGATTAGGCCTCCATCTCCTAGTCCAGGCCTTGCTACCCTCCCCCAGGCCTCACCCTGGAAACACCACCCCCTCCCTGTTCTGTGTCCTGGGACCCCATCTCCTAGGTGGGCCCCCAGCAGCCCTCAGACCACCCTCCGACGTGAGGTTCTGTCAGGGAACCCTGTGCTACTCCAATGTTGTCCCCAGGGCTTACTCCCTGAGCTGCCTCCCGGCTCAGACTGGCCCAGCCGCTCCCCTTGGCCGGAAGGAGACTGCATGGGCTGTGCTGAGCTCAGCCTCCTCCTCTTTCCGCTTCTGCCACCCTCCCACCACCCGCCCACCTGCGTCTGTGCTGGGTTTCCCTGGCAGGAGCTCTGTGCACCTGTCCAGGTGTGTCTGCTGGAAGCTCCCGCTGCTCCCTCTGGGCAGGCACAGGTGCACCTGCAGGCCCAGGGAAGAATGCAGCACGCCCTCCCTCCCTGCTGCCCCCACCCTGGCTAAGGAGGTGAGGGGACCTGCGCGGGCAGCCGCCCTGGCTAAGGAGGTGAGGGGACCTGCGCGGGCAGCCGCCCTGGCTAAGGAGGTGAGGGGACACGCGTGTGCAGCCGTGGGCAGGGCTGTGGGAGGCCCCAGGTGGCCTCTCCTGGGGTGGGGTGGGGGCGGGGCTTTCATTCAGCCTCTCTTCCTCCCACAGCTCAAGCTCTGGGAAGGCCAGGTCTTTGCTCCTCTGCCCAGACGCAGATGCAGGTGCACCCTGGGTCCTCCTGTCCTCGCTGGGTGTTGAGCGGAGACAGGAGGTGCCTGCCCAGGTCCCTTGTCCTGAGAGTGCCTCCTCCCAGCCAGCCTCGCCCGGTGGGGTCCTGCAGGTTACGACTGAAGCGAGTGGTGCGGCTTCTGGAAGATTCTGGAGGGTCCTGGGCTGCCCGGGAGGCTGCTTGATGGGGGTGGTGGAAAAGGGGCCCCCACAGCTAATACTCCTGTAAACCAAACGGGTGCAATTCTGGGTGATTTTCCGCAGATTTTTCTGAACCACATCCAGAAGTAAAGTCGTGGAGGAGATATCAAAACTTCTTGGGTATCTAAACTTCCTCTTTCAGGGGAAGAAGCAGAGGTAGCTTTGACTGCCCCAGCTGGCCAGGGCGTCCCTTGAGCTCTGACCCCTGACCCTCTGGCTCCTCACCTGGGAGTCAGGTGATGGCTTCACGCCCAGGACACAATGGGCTGTGCAGTTTCCAGCTCTGACGGCAGCAGGGCGTTCTTTTCCTCTTGAATCACCAGGTTTCGGGTCAGCAGTGTCGAGAGCCCGGCTCCAAGGTGCTTCTGAACGGTAATCTCAGCCGGGATCTTTTCTTCCTGTTTAATCATATCCAGAAATTACATCCCATCAGGGTGACCCCTGTGACTTTTTCCGTGAAACAGTGGGTGCCCCAGGTGTTCCCGTGTTCATCCGCGTGAGGGCTTTGGAAACCTTGCCAGGGATGCCTGAGCAAGTGTGTCTCTCGGGGGTTGGCCGATGCCCCAGCTGGGCTCCTGGAGCCGCCCTCCACCCTGTCGCCTGGGACGCTGTGGTTTCCCTGGTCCTGGTCCTGGTCCTGGGCGTCACAGGAAAGCTGAGGGGGCCAGGAGGGGAGGGCGCCTGGTTCTGTCCCTTACGCTAGGGGAAGCCCGGAACTTTCTCTGGCCCTTGTGGGCCTGGGATGCTCGGGACACTCCTGGTGGCCCATGGCCACCTCCTTGCCTTGGGTGGCTGCTAAGGCTCTGTGAGACTGGACTTCGGAGGTGGGGGTGTTACCTGAACGTCCTGCCCACCTCCGACTTTCACTTGGAGCCAGGAGGCGTTGTACCCTGCAACAGCTCAGCCCTTGGGGATGCACAGAGGGGCCGGCAGCAGTGGCGGCTGGCTGAGGGAGGCCTCTTGGAGGGGTGTCCTCGTGTGTCTAGGAGAGACGTGGCTGTCCCCCTGGCCTGGCAGGCCCTAGGCAGCAGCTGTGACCGAGGTTTGAGGAGAGGGACTTCTAGAGGCCATCAGACTTGGGATCCCAGGGGTGCTCCCAAGCCTTGCAGGGGATCCCAGGAGTGCTCCCAAGCCTTGCAGGGGCAGCGGGGTATGCTTGGCCATCAGGGAAAGCTGAAAGCAGAGCTGGCAGGTGTGTTGGACGCACATGGGGATGGAGCACGTGGCAGGGAGCCGCGTGACTGAGGGTCCAGCTTGTGTGGGTGGATGGTGGGAGTGGGTCTGGTTTCTGCATGTGTGTGCACATATGTGTGTATGCAAACATGTGATCCATTCTAGGAAAAGGCTGGAAGCCGTGTAGAGACCAGGCAGGCACTTGGGGCCACTCCCATTGGTGTGCACGCATGCACACACACACGCACACATACATGCACACACGTGCACACATGCTCCGCTGCAGCCTGTCAGGACTGGTGGTCACAGGGCAGACCCAATACCCATGGGCCACCTGGTCTGTACCAGTCTCACTAGCCACCGCACCTGCTGAGCCTGTTGTTTATCAAATATTTACTGAGCCCCAGAGGTCTCAGAGTGTTGGGGGCTGGGCAGCACTTTTCCTCCCTATGAGAAGATGAATTCTAGAACCTTCCATCAACCACATGAGGAAGGAAACCCCTGTTGGGGGCTCCATCTGTACCCAGGCATGCTCCAGGGTCACTGGGTCCGCGTGAGATGTCCCATCCTGCCTCCATGCATTGCTGGTGGCTTTTGTTTGTCTGAGTCTGGCTTCATTTCCTGGAGCGAGGCCACCAGTTTCCACTGGGCCTGACTGCTCCGTGAGAGCTCGTCCTGGGATTTGGCTCTTGTGCTGCAGATCAGCGGGAGTTTACCTGGCAACTTGGATCCAGCAACCCTGGTCCCACAGGAGCTGGAGCGGACTTCCCGCCAGGTTGAGACCACAGGTGCAGGGGAAGGGGCGAGAGTGTTCCTCAGGCACCCACCTCCCAGCCACGCCCACTCCCAGCCTGCCTTAAGGATGAGATCTGTTTCCTCAGTGAACTTGCCCCAGTGCATGGCGTGAGAAGCTAAATGACACACATCCTACATTCACTGCTTCTGGAATAACCAGAGATCACGCGCCTGTCACCACCCCCAGATGAAAACCAGGACGTCGCAGCCCTGGAGAATCTGAGCCACTCTTGGGACACTTTCCTGGGGTGTGGGCATCTCCTCGTGCTTTATCTTCCCTTCCTTGATGACAAGTGCTAATTTGATAACAGGAGATGTGCAAAATTACTTCTTTTTTAAAATTCTCTGAAAGACTTCAATGTAACTGGTATTATTTCTTCCTTCAGTGTTTGGAAAAGTTTACCAGTGAGTCTGTGTGGCCCTGAAGGTTTTATGTGCAGGAGGGGGGCAAAGTTAAATCAAGGATTTAATTTCTTCATGAGACATAGTACTATTCAGAGCTTCTGTTTCTTTTTGTATGGATTTTGGAGAATGTGTCTATTTTATCTCCATTTACAAGATCGTTATCACAGAGTTATCTGTGGTATTTGTATATCCATCAGTTTCCTCGGACTGCTGTGATCACCACACACTGTGGCTTCACAGATCTGCCTTCTCAGTGGTGGAGAAAGGAAATCTGAAGTCCAGGTGTGGGCAGGGCTGCACGCCCTCCGGAGGCTCTAAAAGAGGCTCCTTCCTGCCCCTTCCAACTTCTGCGGCTCCAGGCATCCCTGGGTCTGTGGCCCCATCGCCTCAGCCTCTGCCTCCATCTCTGTGGCCCTTGCCTTTTGCCTCTCCTCTGTGGCCTCAAAGCTGTCCATATAAGGACATCAGTCGGCCAGGCGTGGTGGCTCACGCCTGTAATCCCAGCACTTTGGGAGGCCAAGGCAGGTGGATCACGAAGTCAAGAGATCGAGACTATCCTGGTCAACACAGTGAAACCCCGTCTCTACTAAAAATACAAAAATTAGCTGGGCGTGGTGGCGTGTGCCTGTAGTCCCAGCTACTTGGGAGGCTGAGGCAGGAGAATCACTTGAACCTGGGCGGTGGAGGTTGCAGTGAGCCGAGATTGCGCCACTGCACTTCAGCCTGGCAACAAAGCAAGACTTCGTCTAAAAAAAAAAAGACATCAGTCATTGGATTGAGAGCCCACACCCTACTCCAGGATGACCTCATCTTCATGATGTGGTCCCAACTGCAAGGAGCCACCTCCCAGTCAGGACATTCACAGGTACCTGTGTTAGAACTTCAACATATCCTTCTGGGGAAGCCCAGCTCAACCCACTCCACTACCTTTATACTTTTGCAGGATCTACAGTGGTGACTCGTCCCTTAAGCACGGTTTCAGCTGCATCTTATGGTTTCGATAGGTTGTATTTTCATTATAATTTAGTTCGACAGAAAACTAAATACAGCATGTTCTCACTTATAAGTGGGAGCTAAACGATGAGAACGCATGGACACATAGAGGGAAACAACACAGCCTGGGGCCCACTTGAGGGCAGAGAGTGGGAGGAGGGGAAGGATCAGGAAAGATAACTAATGGGTACTAGGTTTAATACCTGAGTAATGAAATAATCTGTACAACAAACCCCATGACACAAATTTACTTGTGTAATAAACGTGAATATGTACCTCTGAAACTTAAAACACAAAACAAAAACCAAAAACAAATCAGAAGAAAAAAACTAAACAATTTAAAATGTTTTAAAAAGTGAGTAACATCTCAATTATATTAAACATTAAAAAGAATAGGTAGGGGCTGGGTGCAGTGGCTCACGCCTGTAATCCCAGCACTTTGGGAGGCCGAGGCGATCAGATTACCTGAGGCCAGGAGTTCAAGACCAGCCTGGCCAACATGGTGAAACCCTGTCTCTACTAAAAATATAGAAAATTAGCCGGGCATGGTGGCCCATGCCTGTAATCCCAGCTGTCAGCTACTTGGGAGGCTGAGACACGAGAATCACTTGAACCTGGGAGGTGGAGGCTGCAGTGAGCTGAGATCATACCACTGCATCCAGCCTGGAGTGGGACTCTGTCTCAAAAAATAATAAAATAAAATAAAAAGAATAGATGAATTCATGGGTTAATATTGTGTAAATATACTATGTGTATATTGCTAAGAATTAGCTTAATAACATGAGTGACTTTTTGGAAACATTAACAATTAAATTAATGAAGATATAACAATGCAAGCAGACAGACTTTTTTTTTTTTTTTTTTTTGAGGCAGGGCCTGGCACTGTTGTCAGGCTAGAGTGCAGTGATGTGATCTCAGCTCCCTGCAACTTCCGCCTCCCAGGTTCAAGTGATTCTCCTGTCTCAGTCTCCTGAGTAGCTGGGATTACAGGCACATGCCACCATGCCTGGCTAATTTGTGTATATTTAGTAGAGATGGGGTTTCACCATGTGGGCCAGGCTGATCTCAAACTCCTGGCCTCAGGTGATCTGCTCGCCTCGGCCTCCCAAAATGCTGGGATTACAGGCATGAGCCACTGTGCCCGGCCCAGGTAGACATTTTAACCATGTTTGATATATTTCAAATTTTACCATTTATACAAAGTAATTGGGATCCAATTAGTCAAAGTTATAAATAAATTAGAATAGTCTCCCACCCTAGATAAACTTTCCAAAACCACTGTTTTGGAGTTTGGAGAGCAGTGACATTTTCCGCAGTACAATTTCTAACATGTTGACACGCCTGCAGATTCAATGAAAATACTAAAATACCATTATTATGCACTATTCAGCATAAAAATACTAAAATAAACTTAAAAAGTGTGCCGTTTGACTTTACTTGCTTTTACCCATGAAGTGATGTTTCTGTATGAAAGTCTTAGAATTAAAAAGAATTCACACACACACACACACACACACACACTTTCGTTTAAAACATTATCTCATTCCGATCACGGCTCACTCTTCAGCACGTGGGTTTCTCCATGTGCTGCAGTTCCCAGGCCCCGGGGGATTTTCCATTATCTTTCCACAGCTGCTCTGTGCTCCATTCCCAGCTGTCAGAGCTCCTCTCTCAACCCTGTGGTGTGGAGTAGGGGCCGGGCAGTGGCTGGGTGCATTTCCACATAGCTGACCATTAATTAGGTCAGTCTTGCTTATGGGTTGTTCAAATCTTCTTTCTCTCCAGTGATTTGTTTTACCAGTTATGGGGCGAGGTGTCTTGAAATCTCTAGCTGTTCCCTGGAGTAGTGTCTGTTTCTCCTCCAGTTCTCTGGATTTTGCTGAAGCGGGGCGTCATCAGGGTGTGAGATTTGAGGTCTGGCCGGCCGCCTCGCTCCGGTTAGTGCAAGCACTGGTGTCTTTTCTTTTGATTATTTTGGATTAAACACTTTTTTTATTACTCCGTTTTCTCCCTGTGTTCGCTTGCTAGCTGTGTGTTCTGCTGTTCTCACGGTCGTCGCCCCAGTGTCTGCCCTGCACAGATGCCCTTGATGGTCCAGGTCTGCTGCGATCAGGGACTCCAGGGCCTCCCTCCCCTGTGCTGGGCGCTGAGTGTTCAATGTGTCCAGCGCCGCAAGGCTCTGCCGCCTGCCCCGCCAGTCCGTGTTCTCTGAGCTCTGGATTTCGGTGTTTCCATCAGGAACCATTTTCCTTCCACTTGGGATAAATCCTCACAGTTTTCGTTGGTCTGGAAATGTCTTGATTTTGCCTTCATTTTTGAAGACAGTGTTTGCTGGCGCAGAGGTCGAGGCTGCAGCTGTTTCTCTGTACTTTGGAAGCACCCTCCCATGGTCTTCTGTCCTCTGTGTTTTCTTTGACCACTGCACGCAGCTACTTCCTCATGACCAGGCGCTGGAGCTGCAAATCTTTTTGGTTTTTGTTTTTTAAATGTGCATTCCTTTTCTCCTCGAAAACAGTGAGGGATTAGGTGGTCTTTGAAAGACTTTTCTCTTGGCTTGTGGGCGCTGATCTCTATGCTGAAGATCTCTGGCCTGTGAAGTGGGTCCCTGAGGACGAATCTAGCTGTTGCTAGTTGTTGGAGCAGATTGACCTGCTGTCAGCTGTGGGTTTTGCATTGCGAGGTCCATGGAGGTTGCTGTCCTTCAAAAGCAATCAAAGCTTATTTTTTAAATGTATTTTTAACTTATCACCCTGAGAAAATAGAAATTGATGACTTGTGGTATTTGCACAGATAAGTCATTCTCCACTGAGAGCGATGAATTTAGTAGCGTATTGGCCTGACCTCGTGATGCAAGCCAAATATTTAAGGTTTCAATGAGGCAATTAGACCAAGAGAGTTATCTCAGAAACTGTTACTCAAACATGTTTCCTCTTCTCTCTTCTCTTAATGAAACAAACGAAGAAAGTCAAGAAAGAGAGGTGGATTTGGGTTCAGTTTGCCAAGCAAAATTTGAAGCTTAAACCTTCAGGATATGCCCTACCAGTTTGCAACACTGTTTGATGGAGGCCCCGATCCCGGCTCCTTGGCCAACACACGTGACGTGTGTCCTCCAAGACCAGGACACTCAGAGAAGCTGACCGCGGCCCCCGGCCCCTCAGCGGGGAACGCCCACTTCTGTGCGGCGGTCTCTGGCCGGCCTCATTGCCTTGCTGAGCTGCTACCCCTCAGTGGGCCGGCGGGGCCAGGCTGGGCAGCTTTATTCATTTATCTGGGGGTCTTTGGCAGGGAGGAGGCTAGACAGCTTAACTCATTTATCTGGGGGTTCTTTTGCCAGGAACCCTAGATGTGAGCTCTAGTGCGCCTCCAGGAGTTGGTGGTGTTACCTGGCAGGGCTGTGCTTGCAGGTGCTGGGACCCAAGGGTTCAAGGGCCCAGGAGTGGCCCCCTCCCCTCCTCGGAGCCGGGGTCCCTGCGACCACTCCTGCTCTGCACGCCCAGCATGCCTCTCTATGCGGCTCCCAGAACCCACTTCCCCAGAGGGAATGTGGACCCAGGGCAAGCCACTGCCTCCCTGGGGCCCCACAGAGTGACCTTGGGCACAGGCCACCCGAGACCTTATCTGAGCCAAGTGTAAAAATAGGACAGAAATCACTGCCGGGAGCCCGAGCGTGCCCTGCTTATCTTGGGCAGTGGCAGTGGCAGCGGCTCAGCCAGAACGATTAGGAGGTATTTTTGGCCAGATGATGCTGGCGTAGCCACCCCAGGTAACAGGACAGAGGAGCGTAGGCAGAAGGTCAGGCCCCGCGCCCCCAGGCAGCCAGGGCGACGCCCCCAGCTCCTCCCAGAGGGCTTGTGCGTGCGCACGTGGGGCGCTTCACACATTTTACACATTTTCATTTTTACTTAGATACATACCTTTGAAGTTGTTACCCATCACTACATAGGGGGAATAGCAACCCTCGTGTCCATCAGCACATGAGTGGGTGAACAAAACGTGCCCGTCCAGACAGTGGACACTCGACAGCCGAGAAAATGAAAGAGATGCTGGCACGGGCTACAGCACCAAGGAGCTGTGTGGACGTCATGCCGCGGGGCCCTGTCTGATCCTCTCCTGGGAGGTCCCTGGAGTTCCCAGATCTGTAGAGACCGAACGCAGAATGGCAGGTGCCAGGCTGGGGAGAGGCCTTCAGTTTGGGAGGACTCTGGAGACCGGTGGTGAAGGTGGACGCACAGCTGTGGGAATGCGGTTCGTCCGTCGGACACTTAAAGATGGTGAAAATGGCAATTTTATGTATTATTTTACTACAATTAAATAAAATGGATTTTTTTAGAAAAAGGAAAAAGCAAAGTTAAAACTAACAAACATTTTTACCAGTTATCTGAGCTGGTGTTGAGAACCCAGGCCCCTTGAGGTGCCAAGCGCAGTGGCGGGGGCTGTGCTGGGCAGCCAGAATTTTCATCCCCCCACTGCCCGGATTCTGGTGAGATTCTGACACCCCCAAAATCCCACCCCGCCTCGCACAGCCCTGCCGGGGGTTCTGGTTTCTCAAGGGTTGGGGTGACACGTTTCTAGGGAGGCCCATGCGCAAGGGCAGGCGGTGGGGGCAGGGAAAGTTCCCAAGGACAGTGTCCCCCCACACCATCCCTGTCTTCCCTGCTGTTCCCTTGAGAGCTGGAGGGTCTGGCTCTCTGGAATGGGGGCTGCGTTGCCGTGGGCCCGGGGCACAAGGCAGAGAGGCTGGGAGACAGGGCCTCCACAAGGGTCTGGGAGTAGGCAGAGCCCCGCCTCAGGGAACCCATCCCCGCTTCGTGCCTGCAGCGCAGTGTGTGCCTGGCATGAAGCAGGCCTAGGGTGGGCGCTGAGCTGATGAAGGGGCCCCCTCTCATGCCCCCCACACTTGCACAACCCCATCAGGGACAGTGGCCTCCAAGGCCTGCAGGAAGACAGGACAGCCCCTCCTGAGTCTGGGGCACAGTTACCCCTTCCTAGGAGAAACTGCGCGGCTCCGGGGCTGACCCATGGGTGCTTCCAGGGTTCACCCCTCAGTGCTGGGCATGGCTGGGGCGGGCAGGGGATTCCCATCTGGGAAGGGTCCTTCCAGTCATCCATGGGACAAGGAATGTCCTAAGGCTTCTGGAACTCCCCCTTGTCCCTGCCTGCCACTCACTGGCTGTAAGCCCTTGAGGTCACACTGCCTCTCTGGGTCCCACAAAGTGGCATGGATCCTTCCTGTGCCCACCAATGCCGCTGCCTTCTCTTTCCACGATTACTTGAGGCCATATGCTTAAAGGACCTCTCAGCAGCATTCCACCGGAGAGGAATGTGAGGGTGACGATCCTGCTTGGGACTCGGCTGCAGGGGGATCCGCACACGGGCGCTGATGTCGGCCCTGCCCCCCAGCAAGTCCATGAGCTTTCCCGTGGGCCTCAGGGGCACAGCCCTCCACAGGCCAAACCCCTGCCAGGTGGCACCACTGCTGTCTGGGGACCGACACAGGGAACTCCACGTGTAAAGTCCAGGCCTTGGGACGGAGACAGCTGTGTCTGGGGACCACACTGGCCAGACACTTGGTGATAAATATTTGCTGGCCTGGACTCTTCTTCACAGAGAATGTGACAGAAACAGCCCAGCTGTCCCACTGCCTGCAAGATGAGGGATGCGGGGACGTGCAGGAGGCAGCTTGGGGAACGGTGGCGGGCAGCAGGAGGGTTGGGTGGACTCAGTGTCAAGGTCAGGATGCACCGAGTCTACCGTGCAGCACATGCTCTGAGCCACTCTTATTTCCTCTGAGTGAGGTGCAGCTGGCACCCAGGGAGCAGCACACATCTTAAATCTTTGCCGGGTGAGCTCCGAGCTCGGGCAGGCCCAGGAGCCCTTCGCGTCGAAGCGTGGCCGTTCCAAGCCCTGGAAGCCGTCTCTGCTGCACAGGGACTGCCGTCTGTGCTGGTGTGCACCCCAGGGTGAGTCCTGCCTGCCCTTGAGCTTCACGTAGACAGCATCATGCCGACCTCCTCCTGCCCTGCAGCCCACGTGCGAGATCATCCCTGGCGTGTGTGGTAGACACTCCCTGAAGGGACACGCCATCTGTGGCCCGTCGCCCACTGCCCTGCTGATGGGAATGTGGGCTGTGTCCAGTCTGGGCTCCCAGGAAGGCCTTTGTGTGTCTTTTGCTTAGTGTCTGTGTGTTTCTGTTGAGAGTGGGGTTTCTGGGTGGTGATGGAGGCGTGTCTGGAGTTTTCCACAGTGGCCGTGCATTCCACGGACCTCCAGTTGTGTGGGGAGGTACAGCGGCTGTGAGCATCTGGCCAGCACACCGTGGTGTCCCCGGCACACTGCCGACGGCGCGCGTCCCCCGGCGAGGTGGCATCTCCACGTGCTCCTCCATGTTAGTTCAAGTCTTTGCCCTCTTGTCCTCCGGGTTCAGCGTTTCCTTGCTGGTCTGTAAGCCGTCTTCGTGTGATCCGGACACTGCCGGTGGGGGGGCCCTGTGGACGGCAGGTGCCCACCCAGCTGCACCCGGGCTTGCTCCCCTGCCCTTGAGAGCGTCTTCTGAGAAAGAGAAGTGTGTCATTTTAGTGAAGACCACTTTGTCAGCCTTTCTCTTATGAAGAGCATGTTTGGGGCTGTGGCAGGGTCTGCAGCCATGATTCTGAGTGTCAATCTGTGCTCTCTGGCTTTGGGGCCGTGGAGGGTCCCCTCAGCCCCAGGGGGATCCACTGCACTCTGGGGGTGAAATTCAGGGGACCTGGTCAGGCCCTGCCAGCTGGGCAGAAAGGCCCTTGAGTGACCCCAATGACAGGCTGTTGACCTATGGGGGGGTCCCAGCTGCCTGGGCCATGGTGACACCTGTGCGCCTTCAGCCAGCTCAGACTGGATTTTTGCGGGGAGGCAGAAGCAGCCACAGGGGGCAGGTGGCCTGAGGGGAGGCCTGAGGCTACAGGGCCCAAAGCTGGGCACCGCCCCCCAGCCTGCCCATCACAGGACAGCGCCGGTGGACCCCATTTGTCCATTGCCTGGAAGGAATCGGGCGTGTTCTGGTCTGCACCCTGACATGCAGCCCTCCAGAGCCACCGCGTGCCTGGGATGGGGCTGTGTGGGTGGGGAGCCTGGCACGGGGTGGCTGAAAGGGTGCTGGGGAGAGGAAGGTGGCTCAAAGTCCGTTGTTCCCGTGCTTCCTGAAACGGTCGCTGCCCGACGGTCAGGGCTGAACCTCACCGCCCAACCAGGACCACAGCACCATGGGCGGCGAGCCGGCCGCACACAGCTGGAGGGGGTCATGGTGCAGCCAAGGCAGCACCAGAGCTTTCCAAAGGGCTTGTGTAACCTCGGCGTCACCCGGGCAGGGATGTGTGCGTGCCTGCGGCGTCCCCTGGGAGCTGGGGCCCTAGCGGGTGTCTGGGTACTGCTGTGCGGGGTGGGATCACGGGGTCCTCACCTTTAACGAGTGCTGGCCCTGATGAGCAAGTCCAGAAAACTCACCCCAAAAGGGCTCTGGGAAAAAGTGGCGGTAACTGAGGCCGGGCTTTGCAGTCCAGGTTCCCAGCTGAATGTTTAGAAAACGCAGGGGAGGTTGTGCAGGTGCTTCTCTGATCCCAGCAGAAAGCTGTAAAATGCAAAGCTGATGGCAGAACTCAGCCTTCCAGCGCTGCAAAAGCGACTCTGGCCCCTGCCTGTGTCGGCTCTCATCAGGAGGGCTTCGAGCTGCTGCAGACTGAGGGTGAGCACACCAGATGCGGGGCCACAAAACGAGGCAGGGCCCTCCTTTCGGGAGCAGTCGTCTGTGCCCCTCCCTCTCCCCCAGAACATTCCTCTGGGGAGGTCTGGCTCTGGGTGCTCAGTGTGGGTTGTGAGCCCCTCCCGCCGGGAGGCTGATGTCAGCGCCAGCTCTGCCTCTCCCGCCAGCCGGCCCAGAAGTTCAGCGAGACACGCCCACACCTCCCACAGCCTTGGAAGAAGCCACCAGAAACAACCTTGGTACCTGCAAGGCTGCGGGGCCAGCACATTTGATGTTATGAGCACAGCTGTTTACTGTTGTCTGGGTCCCCCACACTGTCTGATTTTTAATGGGTTCCATTAGAAATGGGTGAGACCAGGCTCTCTGAGGCCTACGTCAGGTCCAGGCTTTCTCCTTCCTCCTGGACTCATTCGAATTTCCTGGCAAGAGGCATCCCCCGGTCTAGAAAGGGGAAACTTCCCAAGACCTTTCACGCCCAAGGACGGCTTTGGCGGCCTTCGCATTTGGCCAACAGCTCATCTGTGTCTGGCGAGGGCGCGAGTCTGGGTCACACCTGTTTTTGGAGAATCCCTGGCGCTGCTGCCAGGAAGACTCTTCTGCCGGGTCTGGATGGCTGCCAGGCCTGCCCACGATGTTCTCAGATTGCACTGAAACGTTTCCCAGTGTGGGATCTTCTTATCTCTCTGTTCAAGGGGCTGAGGCCCATGGACTCCCCCTCATGTAACCGCCCAATGGGTTCACCTTGCCTGCTGCCCAGACAGAGCTGATGGATCAAGACAGGGGAATTACAGGGGAGAAAGAATGACTCACGCAGAGCTGGCTGTGCAGGAGACCGGAGTTTTACTGTCACTCAAATCAGGGGAATCGCAATAGGGAAAGAGGGATTCACGCAGAGCTGGCTGTGTGGGAGACCGGAGTTTTATTATTACTGAAATCAGTCTCCCCACACATTTGGGATCAGTTCTTTTTTTCTTTTTTTGAGACAGAGTCTCACTCTATCCCCCAGGCTGGAGTGCAGTGGCGTGCTCTCAGCTCACTGCAAGCTCCGCCTCCCGGGTTCACGCCATTCTCCTGCCTCAGCCTCCCGAGTAGCTGGGACTTCAGGCACCTGCCACCATGACCGGCTAATGTTTTTGTGTGTATTTTTAGTAGAGACGGGGTTTCACCGTGTTAGCCAGGATGGTCTCGATCTCCTGACCTCGTGATCCACCCACCTCAGCCTTCTAAAGTGCTGGGACTACAGGCGTGAGCTACCGCGCCCGGCAGGGATCAGTTTTTAAGGACAGCTTAGTGGGTGAGGAAGCCAGTGAGCCAGGAGTGCTGATTGGTCAGGTCAGAGATGAACTCATAGGGAATTGAAGCTGTCCTTTTGTGCGGAGTCTGTTCCTGGTGGGGGTCACAAGATCAGATGAGCCAGTCTATTGGTCTGAGTGGTGCCAGCTGATCCATCTAGCGCAACAAGGATCCGCAAAACATCTCAAGCATGGATTTTAGGAGCAGTTTAGGGAGGGTCAGAATCTTGTAGCCTCCAGCTGCATGACTCCTAAACCACAATTTCTTTAATCTTGTGGCTAATTTGTTAATCCTACAAAGGCAGTCTAGCCCTCAGGCAAGAAGGAGGTTTATTTTAACTATAAACTAAGTTCCTCCCAAAGTTAGTTCAGCCTACGCCCAGGAAGGAACAAGGACAGCTTGGAGGTCAGAACCAAGATGGAGTCAGGTCGGAACCCTTCCACCAACGGTGATAATTTTGCAAACTTGGCTTCACTAGTTGCTTCGTTGCTCCATCTCGGGCTGGTAGGAACCCCTTCCCTGGCTGCCTCCCCAGCGAAGGCTGCACCCCCACCCCCGCAGGCCAGGCCCAGCTCACCCCAGCCTGCTCAGTGGCCCCTCGCAGTACGCTCCCCACCAGCCCCCCAGCCCATCCCCACGGCTCTGGGGTTTGAGCAGGACCCTCCGCGGCTCTGAGACAGAGCCAGCAAATCCCTGATCTCATGGTGTTGCTGGGGTCGGGGGCGGCATCCATGAGGGTTGGCCTCGTCTTCCAAACCCAGCTCTTTATGACGTCTGAGAGAGGATTGGCCACATCGTGTCCTGGGCTCTGCTTCCATTTCTGAAGGGCTGCGTGTCTGCCAGGTTGGGAGGTTTTGAGCCCATCTGGACCCTGGCATGGCCTTTCCCCCTGAGCCGACAGCAAACATTTGCCCAAGCTTCACGGGAAAGAAGTCACCTGTGGAGCAGGAACGAGAGCTGGCGGGGGGTGGGTGGGCTTCTGGGCAGCTTGGACTTCAGAGGAGATGCGAACCTTCCCTGTGTCTGCAACTCACGGGCGTCCGTGTGAGATTCTGAGTAACATTATGTGAGTTACACTTTGAGAGAAGGAAAGCCACACACGTGGTCTAAAAATCCTGGAGCCTCCTGAGTGAGGGGAAGAGTGTGTCGGACTCATCCACGGAATCTTCCAGAGGGAACTTGAGCGAAGACTCAGTGTCCGTGAATTACAGGACTGAGAGCTTTGTCGCTCAAGCTTGACCTTCTGTTGGCGTCACTTACAGTCTCAGACACAGATGGTCTGAGACGAGCTCTGTGGGAGGGGAGGCCCCTTCTATTCCCAGATTCAGCTCCATGGGATGTACCCCTGCCCAGCAGGCACAGGACCCGGGGGAGGCTCAGAACCCCACGTACCTGGCCACTGTGCAGACAGGCTCCCCAGCGCCAGGCCAGGCCCACCATCCACCAGGCCCAGAGGCCCCGCCCTGGGCAAGCCAGGGATCGGGGCGGGGGGCAGCTTGCGGTGCCTGCCTGGGAAGAGCCTGGCATTGTTTGCAGAACCCTTGGGACAGGGCTGCTTCTTCAGGGGAGATGCAGCCATGGGCCTGGGGCTGTGGCTGGGGTCTTCTGTCATCCCTGCCTACCACAGCTCCCTTCGAGCCCCCACAGGTGGTGGCGGATGTGGGGCTTTAGGGCCACCCTGGCCATGGGCAGAATTCTCGGCCCTGGTGGGACTCCTGGGCAGGGAGAGTGTGGGTCCCACAGGTGGCCGGAGACTCTGCTTCCTCCACTGATGTCCACATACCCCACCCTGCCAGGAGAGGCTCACCACGCTTAAAAAAAAAAAGGTTTGTTTTTTAAAAATCACTTTAGCCTTGGGTAACTGGGGCCTCCCTTCCCTCTCCTCCCTTCCCACCTCTTTCCTTTCCCTCCCCCTTCCCCCGATTCTCCTTCCTCCCCTCTCTCTTCTGCTCTGCCCTATTCGCTCTCTCCCCCACTCACCATGGGTGCTGGGCCAACAGGCAAGAACCTGGGTGGGTGCCCGGCCCTGCCAGGCAGAAGGCGGGTGGCTTTCTGGTGAGAAGGAGTGTGGGGCCTCCAGGGCCGGCCTCCTCCAGGTGTCCCCTTCCCTGGACACGGAGCTCTCCACGGACACTCTGCCTGCCAGCCCCACCTGCATCCTTCAGCCCTGGAGGTGCGCCCTGCCTGATACCCGACAGCAGGTTCCCAGCCCAGAAGGATGCAGATGGCGCACCAGGAGATGAGCCCCCCACCCTAACAGGAAAGCAGAAGTGGACTGGGGGGACCCGCGGACCTGGGGAGAAGCTCCGTGGGCAGAGGCACACAGATACCTGGAGGCAGCCTGCGTCTGGTGAGAGCCCTCCCAGGCCACAGCCCTGATTCCAAGCCGTGGGCACGAGCGGCCTCCTGGCTTGGAAGCTGGCATTGGGTGTCCGTCCTAATCCATTAGAAACTCCACCCCAGGGTGGCAGGCAGCAGGGACTGTTTCGAGAATCTACACACAGAATGTAACCACCATCGGCTACACTTTCGCACTAAATCCCAGGGTTCCCCTGGCTGTGCCCTGCACACGGCCAAGAGGCCATCGCAGATGACCAGGCTCACATCATAAGGATGCGAGATTGCATTTGAAGAGGCCCCCTGGGCAAAGCTGGACACCGATGCTTGGAAAGGGCACTAATGGTGATCGACTGAGACCCACCAATGTGTTTCATCAGCGATGTACAAATATACTTGGGAGATTGTCGGGAACCAATTCACCGTTGTGGAAACTGACAAATGAGGGAGAGGCACCCTTGCCCTGCCTTTCCTGTGGGCACCATTATCCAGATGGCCAGACGGACAAGATGAGCCTCTCCCTCCAGTGAATTCATGACGAAGCCACCACGCACTGGAAAATCACCATTTTGCTCCATGAATCTGTCGATTCAGACATCAAGCACCAACGACTGCGGACGGAGGAGCTACCACCAGACAGTGCGTGGCTCCCTCTGCGAGCCCCCGGCCTTGCCAGGGGACTGGACCCGGATCCCAGCAGTCCCCTGGCTCCAGGTGCCCACTTCCAGGAGACGCAGAGGCCTGCACCGAAAGATGCAGCTCCAACCCAGGCCTCGGGTACCTCCACGTGTCCGAGGGCCACTTCCTACAACAGGTGCCGGGTACAGAAAAGGACAGAGGGATGGAGGTGGGTAGGAAGAGAGCACTGAAAGTCACACAACGCACATTTAACCCCAGGCTGCCGTGTGGGAGGATATACGTGGACACGGAAACCCACAGAGCGAAGGGAGGGGCCACCAGACCCCTAGGGATGGGCTACTGATGGGATGGGAGGGGCCTGCAGCGGCTTCTGGGCTCCGGCAAGGGTCTCTGTCTTGACCCGCAGGTGCTTACAGGGTGCTGATCCCTGTCGTGACTCACCTGATTAGAATGCAAAAGGCAGCAGACCTCACCCCCCACCCGAGGTCTCCCACAAGTAAGATCTAAGATTTAAACAAGAGAAGCCACCTGCCTTCTGCCTGGCAGGGCTGGGCACCCACCCAGGTGCTTCAGCCATGGCCCCTGGTCCTAGTCAAGATTTTGTAATCACAGAGAAGACCACCCTCGGAGCTGCCACAGGACCCTAAACTCCTGGGCCTCAGTTTCCTCCTCTGTAAAATGAAGCTGATGAGTCCTGAGTCCGGGAGCTGGCCCTGGCCACAGACCCTCCAAACCAGCTCCTCTGAAGGTCCACAGCCAGCACATGGCGGGCAGCCGGCCCTGGGGTCCTGGGGTGTGAAGCAGAGCTTGGATGTGCGACGGGAGCCCTGCACATCTGTTGCTCCTGCTGGCATCACTTGGGAAGGCCTCGTGCCCACCCTGAGCTCTGTCCAACCCTCGGGAATAGCGCTGGGTGGCAACCAGGGTTGAATGTACAGAAGCCCCTGCTGGGGTGACTGAGGAGAGGGTTTACCCAGCACCCTAAGTGTGAACCCTATAATTGACCCCATTGGGCACTTCTGTTCCCACCCCCTGGATCTTTTTAGCAAAGCCAGCCCTCCTCATAAGGATGCCTGGGAACTATTTTATCTTCTGGGGAGGTGATGGTTTCCTACCTTCCAACCCACTGACCCAGGGAGGCAGCTGACCTAGCACCATCCACAGCCCTGAGCTCCCTTTGGTGGGAGGTGGGGTGAGAGTGTGGAGCAGGCACAGCTCCAGACACCCAGGCCAGAGGAACCCCCACCTCTGCAAGGGCTGGTGCTGGATGGGCGACGTTCCAGGAGGGTCCCAGGCCTACAGCTTCTGCCCAGAAGAGTCCATGGGGCAAAGGGGTAGAACCCTAGGCCACCCCAGGGCATGACTGGCTTTACTGGAAATGGCTGGAGAGGTTGGGCTTGCGTTCCTTGAACCCACAGAGCCCGGTGATCCCACAGCCCGGAGGCCATCACTCCCCTCCAGCTGCCTTTTAGGATTAGACAGGCAAGCGGCTAAAACATGGCCAGGCCATACCCATTTTCCACGTGACAAGAGGCTGTGGCCGTGTTTGCCCACACCACCTGTGTTTCTGCTTTGTTGTCGTACAGCAGTTGTGGGTGATTAGGAATAAAGGCTGACTCATTGCACCTGTGTGCCATAGCATTTTAGCCCAATTCCCCATTGACGGACATCTGATTGTTCCGTTTTTCATGAGTCATTTGTTGAGAAATGTGCCAGGTGCTGGCCGGTGGTATCCTGGTGTCTGCCTGGTGGGTTCTGGAACTCCACCTTCCCTGCATCACCCTGTGAGCTTCTGGAACATTTCCCAAGGAGGGAAGGGAGGGTTCTAGGGCAGGGGCCGCGGGGCACTCCTGGGGCAGGTGTGGAGGAGACTGGGGTCTTCGTGGGTGGTATTTGTCATGGGTGGGGGGGGGGACTCCCTCTACTGGGTTAGGTCCCTAAACTGGAGCTGGACCAAGCTCCGGAGTACCCCACCCCCAGGCTATCCAAGGCTCCTTCCACTGGAGTTGCCTTTGCAGCCAGGTTGGGCTAGCCAGGAGCCAGGCTAGGAGCCCAGGGTCTGAGCGGGTGTTGACAGCCTGGAGTGGGTGGGCGGACTGTGTGGGAGGTGGGTGCTGGAGGATGGCAGGGGGGAACAGGAGGGGGAAGAAGGAGGGGTAGGGGGCTGGAGCAGGAAATGGGGGGCAAACAGGAGGGGGTGCGGGAGGGGGCGCAGAAGGAGGAGGGGCCCAGCAGGAGGGGGTGCAGAAAGGGCAGGGGTTCCAGCAGGAGGGGGTTCATAGGGGCAGGGGGGCCCAGCAGGAGGGGGTGCAGGAAGGGTGGGGGGGTGCAGGAGGGGTGAGGGGTTCCAGCAGAAGGGCGTGCAGGAGGGGCAGGGGGCTGGAGCAGGAGTGGGGGGTCGGGGAAGGGGACAAGAGGGGAGGCGGGGAGGGGGCCGGGGAGGGCGGGGAGGGCGGGGAGTTCCAGCAGGAGGGGCAGGGGGCTGGAGCAGGAGGGGGTGCAGGAGACTGAGCGGGGATTCGCGGGCTCTGCGATGGTCGGGAGCGCAGGCAGCGAAAGCCCCGCGTCCCGGGTCGCGGCGGTCAGACAGACGCAGCCTGGGTTGGGGTCCCTGCAGGAAGTCGCCGCGGGCCAACTTTTCGTGGGGCCGCGGGGCAAGCAGGTGAAGTCACGTGGCCCGGGCGGGGCGGGGCGGCTCGGTCGGACCCCGCCCCTGCCTCCAAGTCCCGTGGCGTCGGCGGGAGCGGCGCAGCGCGGGCCGGGCCGGGACGGGGACTGTCGGCTGCAGGCGGCCATGCCCACCAACTTCACCGTGGTGCCCGTGGAGGCTCACGCCGACGGCGGCGGGGACGAGACTGCCGAGCGGACGGAGGCTCCGGGCACCCCCGAGGGCCCCGAGCCCGAGCGCCCCAGCCCGGGTGAGCGCGGCCGCACCTGGCCGGACAAAGGCCGAGCGCCCCGAGCGCGGGTCTGGGCCCGGCATCCGGGAGCGGAGGCGGGCGGCGGGGCCGGGGGTACAGGAGGCGCCCCTTCCCGCGCCCCCACCGCCTGTTCTCGGTCCCCCACGAGGGCCCCCACCCCACGTTAGTGGCAGCGCTAGGGGGCGAGGGGCCCTGCCAGGGCTCCCGGTACGGTCAGCTCGGGTGGGACCGGGGGCAGAGGTGTGGACGCCGCTGCTGGTAGCCATGGAAACGGGGAGGGGCTGGAGCGCGCCTCCGGAGGGAGCCCGGGCCCCTGGGTGGTCCCTAGTGGGACAGGGGTGGCGGTGGAGACCCGGGCGGTTCGGGAGCCGGGGCGTCCTGCGTCCCCCGCGCTCTCCCTTCCCCTGCGCCGCGGCCGTCCGGTAACACTAGCCCGGGCCGGCCCGTCCTGCCCCCGCCTGACCCTGGAGGAGCCGCCCACCCCCCAGAGGCGGAACAGGAAGGACTGCGCCCTGGCTGGGGAGGGGGCAGCCACCGGGGCCTTGCTCAGGCCGCGTCCTCCGTGTTCCCGTCCCCCGTTCCGGGAATCTGGAGGTTTCTAGCACTTTCACTTTCTCTAGGGGGTGGGGACGGGGCTGGGGAGAGAATCCCCCAGCCCTGTTCCCTCCATCCTGGCTCCAAATCCCAGTTACTCCCCGGATCTCAGCCCCCTCTAGAAACCGGAGGCTCTTAGGCCCTTCCATCCGGAGTCTCTGAGAAGGTGTCCGGACTCAGTCCAGCCCCCACCCCGCGTGCTGGCAGTGCCCGCATGTGCCCGGGTCTCATGCAGTGGGTGGCAGCCTCCCTGCTCCCTGGCAGTGGAAGGAAGGTGAGGTCTGTCCAGGGACAAGTCCGGTGCCAGACCCCAGATCCTTCCTAACCCACCATCCCGGGCAGGAAAGGCCAGACATCCCCTCCAGGCAGTTTAGGAACCCGGAGACACGGGTGGGGACCCACCGTGAAGGCAGTGGCCTGGTGGCCTGGGGTGCGTCATCAGGGTCCCCGTGGCGGGCGAAGAGTGGTCTCAGCTTCCTCTGCACAGAGGCCAGCCCAGATCTTGGAAGTGGTCAGGCGGGGCGCCAGGCTCAACACCAGGTGAAGTGCTAACTAAGCAGGGTCCGTGAGTCCAAGCCCCTTCTCTCCAGTCACCACCGTGGAGGCAGGAAGCACCAAGGAGTGTGGGCCCTGGCGTGGTCTTTCTGTGTGAGCTTTGTAGCAACGCCCCCGGAACGCACTCAGAAGGAGCCTCTTCTTGTCTGGCCGGCCCCTTCTCAAGGCTGATCAGGTTCACTTTTGTCTTTAGACTGTAAGTGTCATTTGCTTTTAAGCCAGAGAGAATTTTGTGCTTGTTCGTTTTCTTGTCTCTTCTACTCTCAAGGCTGTTGAGCAGTGCCCTGGGCCTGTGTCTGCCCAGCAGGAAGTGGCCCTGGCTGAGCGCTGCCCATGTCGCTGCCCGCGCACTCAGGTCCTGCTACGGGCGTGTCAGGAGGCTCCCTGGCCTTCATGAAATTGAGAACGGGAGGGCATGGGCCAGGTGTGGGCTTCTGGACACTTTTGAGGGTGGCCCTGTGGTGTGAGCTGAACTTGGGAGATTTCTCCGAACTGGCAGAGAACTTGCACCTGGCGCTTTTGTGCTGGACCCGCTTCCTACTTCCACAGAAAGGGCCCGGTGCCCAGCCACTGCCAGGCTGTAACGGGCACGCAGCTGCCCTTCGGAATCCACTTGATCACATCCTGATCTTCAGCCCACAGAGGTGCGGCGAGGAGTCCCGTGATGGGCACGGAGCCTGGGGAAGGAGGCACAGGCTTTGCTTTTTGGTGGTGGTTGGGGGCGGGGGTCCTGCAGAAGCCGGAGCCCCTCCCAAAGGCCTTCTGTGTGGGGTCCACACCACAAGGTCACAGGCCAGGTCCAAAACTGTCCGGCCACAGAGTTACCAGCACCCAAGCTCTTCCTGACTCCATTGCCGTTCCCCTGAACGGTCTGTGGAGGTACTGGAGCTTCTGGGCTGGCGCCTGGGTGACGGCGAAGCAAGTTTGGGGGGCCTGGTGGGCTGATCCTAGGCACTGCCAGGTGGGCGTGGAGAGGGCGTCCTGAGCCACCCCAACTTGAGGAGCAGGGGCCTTGGTGTCCCCAGCCTGGGTTGGGGGGTTCTGGGGAAAGAGGGGTAGATGCTGCTGCCCGGGCTGCCTGGCTCGACCCAGAGCCCAGCAAGGCCGCGTCTGCCCAGCCTGGCTCCAGGGGCCTTCTGTCCCCGACCCCTGCAGCTTCCCTGCTGCTTCTGGTGGAGCCTCTGCGGGAGGCGTCCTGTCCCGGGGATGGGCACTGTGCCCTCAGCACTTCTTGGGACGGAGCTTTTATTCTTATGTGAAATACCTCGTCTTGAAATGAGAAGGACGTGTTAACCCTCAGTTTCTCAGTGGGGTGGTTTTTTGAGAGTAGGAGGTGGGAGGACACTGCTGGGGGCCGGCTGCGTCTCGTCCGACTTCAGGGTAGAGTGGGTTTTGTAACTGACTTGGGGGAGCCCACCCTTCCTCCGTGACCACATCAGGGTAGACTCACTCCTTCCCAGGTTGTAGGGGTGCGTCCAGAGGCCTCGGAGACCCTGGGAGGGGTGGGAAAGGAGGGCTGGCCAGTGCCCCGGCCTGTCTGGAAGGTGCAGCGTGCAGAGCCTCTGTCAAGGTCCCACAGGCCCTGGCCACCCACTGTCTAGGAGGGACTTCCACTCGTCTGGGGCTCCCTGGGCTGGGAGAGGGTGGGTCCTGCCTTGTACCCCCAGGTCTCCCACCCTCAGCTGGGGCTCTCCCAGGTTTGCCGGGAGCTTCTTCCTGGCTTGGGCGCCACTTCCCTCTTTGGGTTCCGTTTCTGAGATTTTCCACTGTGGCTGAGCTCGTGTCGGTTGTCCAGGGGCGGTCCTGCCTCCCTCTGCCCCTGGCCGCTGACAGAGGCCCGGTTGCGTGGTCAGTGGCCTGCCCGTCCCTCCTGCTCCAACTACCTACCGTGTCCGTGTTGGGAGCCCCCTCCCAAAATCTGAGGACAGCTAGAGCTGCCGCTTTGTCCTGGGCCGTCCTCGCCTGTCGGGTGCTGGGTGCCATGCTCTGCACTGCCCTTGGGAATGGCGAGACGGTGCACGCCGGTCGTGCTGATCTGGGGTCCCCTTTGGGGATGCAGGGACTTGGGGGATCACGCATTAGATAGGGGGACCACACACAGAGCGTCCAGGTTCTGTCCTGCCGAGTAGGGACAGAGAGCTCTCGTTGTGCCCAGATTTCAGGAGGGCGTTCCCGACACGGACATGGGAGGCAGTCGGAGCAGGAGGGACAGGCAGGCTGTTGACCCCGCGGCTGTGCCCGGGAGCCCCTGCAGCAGCTGGGCACTGCGTTGCGGGAACGGAAGGTCATGGGTATGTGGTGAGCAGGCAGGGAGGCTACAAGACATGCATTTTGTGTATCGAGTTCCCTTTTTAAAACCAAAGGAAACAAGATACACAGGAACGCCGTGGCTGCTGGGCATCCAGGCCGGGGCCTGTGCTTCCTCCTGCGCCTGACATACTCCCAGGCTGTCTCCCGGCAAGAGGCTCTCCTTAGCAGGCATGCGGTAAAGCATGGTGCTTTAGGTCAGCTGGCCGGGTCCATGTGTGCGGGCACCTATGTGCCTTGTGAGCGTGCAGGTGTATCCACGTGTGAGCCATGTGCTTGCACTGTGTATATGTGCACATATATGTACACACGTGTGCATACATGTGTACTGTGCTCTTGCACAGCTGTGTGCTGTGGGCATGCTCACGTGTGTGTGTGTATGTGTGTGTTTGTATGCTGTGGCAGGTAGAGAGGGGCTGGGGCTTCCTCCACAGCAGAGGGTCACGCGGTGTTGGGTGTTGGGTATCCGTTCCCTCCCCCTGGTCTAGGCCCATCAGTGAGTGGTGAGGGGCTCCCTCTCCTGGTGTGGCCTCGTGTTCAGGTCTGAACCTGCTCCTGGGCCTCTGATCATATGAGGAGACCTTTGCCTCGTGGACTCAGGTTCATGGTTTCCTCTTCTGCAAAGCTCCCCAGGCTTCTCTGAGTGGGCGAGGCCAAACGGATTCCACGGTGGTTTTCTGTCTAGCGTTGGACACCAGATCCCCTTCTTAGAGTGCGTGGCTTTCTCAGTGCCTCTCCCGTGGTCTGGATGGCTGTCGGGAAGGTGGTGCCAAGGGGAGGGCCAGGTGCTCAGGCCTGGGTGCAGGGCGGCTGGTCGGGGCCGAAGTCACACAGGTTTGCTGGGGATCGGTGAATGTCGGAGACCTTGCCAGGTGGTGGCTGGAGTCAAGCAGAGGCACCTGAGGGACCCTGAGGGTGAGTTGGGGGCTGTCCTCCCCTCATGCCCGGCAGTGAGTGGGCCGTGGAGTGAGGCCACCTCTGTCAGGGCCTCTGCCCTTTGGACGTGGGGCCACGTCCTACACAGCTCCCTGGACCTGACCCAGGGATTCCCAGATGGCCCAGGCTCCTGCATGGGGGATGGGTGGCCTTTGTAAAGCACAGAAAGCGACCCAGGTGGGCCTCAATCACTTGAGAGGTTTATTTGCCGAGGTTAAGGCTACGCCTAACACAGAACCACGGGGAACTCCTGTGGTCCGGCTTTTCTTCTCAAAGAAGGCTGAGAACTTGAATATTCAGAGAGTAAAGCGTGAGTATTAGGGGAAGAAAGAAAGAGAAAGAAGAGGGAGGGCAGATAAGAGGCAGGCAGCGTTTGATCAGCGTTCACTGAACCCGTGTGTTACACATGGGGGTAAAGGAAGAACCCCTCACGGCTCACGCTTAGTGACTCTGCACATTTACCTTCGACACAGTCAGTACAGGGTGGGCGAAGCAGTGAGGTGTGCGTTTGCCTCCGGCGAGCAGAGCAGCAACTCCTGGTTCTGTCCTTGGTCCCACACCCGTGAGGATGAGCTGTCATTTCCACCGTCAGTGTGAGTTTCATCACAACTGCTTTAGTGTAAGGATCCTGTGGGTCCTAAAATATGAGGGAGGCCTGCAGCTTTCTACACAGGAAGAAAATGGAAGGCAGCTTGCGTGACCCGGTTCCCAGCCTGACTCTTGCCTGTGGCTTAGTGTGTTTGGGTCCCGAGATCCTGTTTTCCTTTCATACCTTGGACCAGGGAGCCTTCCCAGGGCTGCTGTCCTTGGGCACTGCAGACACATCCCGACGTGGCACCGCTGGGCACAGCACTGGGAGTGGAGGTCAGCCCAGGGTGACCCCCCAGCTGTGAAGGGCACGAGTGGAGCCGACACCCCAGGGATGGATGGCGTCTGTGAGGCCAGCTGGCTGCCCGGAGGGCTCTCCTGTTACCATCCCTGTTGGAATATGAATTTTCTTTTTTTTTTTTTTTTTTTTTTTGAGACAGAGTTCACTCTGTCACCCAGGCTGGAGTGCAGTGGCACAGACTCAGCTCACTGCAACCTCTGCCTCCCAGGTTCAAGCGATTCTCGTGCCTCAGCCTCCCGAGTAGCGGGGACCACAGGCACGCACCACCGCGCCTGGCTAAGTTTTATATTTATAGTGCAGATGGGGTTTTGCCATGTTGGCCAAGCTGGTTTTGAACTCCTGGCCTCTAGTGGTCTGCCCACTTCGGCCTCCCGGAGTGCTGGGATTACAGGAGTGAGCCACCATATCTGGCCAGAATATGAATTTTCTAAGCTGTGCCTTAGACCGAGGTCTGGAGGGCAAAGTTTGATGTTTGACGTTAAGTATTAACCACAGTTCCTGGCTGGGTGCTTTTGATTTCAACCGGCTCCATCAGCTGAGTGTTTCTGAGGGTGGATCCCAGAGTCATTTTGTGACGGCCGTGTGGTGGGTGGGGCAGGAGTCCCTGGGTGCTGGGGAGTGTGAGGCCCGCCAGGGCCTTGAGGGGTAGACCTCCCCCTCCCACTGTGGGGCATGGGAACCCCGTGGAGCCCAGTGGGGCTGGGCGTGGACGGCATTCAGGAGTGGACCAGCTGGTCTTCAGGGCAGTGGGCTGGGCTGGGGGTGTCTGGGGCCTGGTGAGCAGCTGGCTGGGGGCCCTCCTGGTAACTGACATGGGGGGCTGGTCTCCTTTGGCCTTCCTTCTCAGATGCTGGGGAAGTGCTGCCCAGGGACAAGGGCAGAGCACAAAGGGTTAATACCTTTCCTTTATGAAGAAAGGGGAAACTCCCTTTTGGGGGCAGAGGCCTGTTCTGTGCAGATAAACCTCTGGCTTCAGCGCAGCAGCCTGAACGATGAGCTCCTGAACGATGAGCTGCCTGGCTGGCCATGCTGTCCAGGCCCTGCCTCTTCCCCTGTTTGTGGCCGCTGACTCCCCAAGGGTCCTGGAGCCTCTGGCCGGGAGTGCCGGGGGGCAGGCCCACGGCAGGGTCCCCTTTGGCTGGTGGGTGACTGCAGGACCTCATCCCTGTGGGGAGGGTCCTTTTGGCTGGTGGGCGACTGCAGGACCTCATCCCTGCAGGGAGGGTCCCCTTTGGCTGGTGGGTGACTGCAGGACCTCATCCCTGCGGGGAGGGTCCTTTTGACTGGTGGGTGACTGCAGGACCTAACCCCTGCGGGGAGGGTTCCCTTTGGCTGGTGGGTGACTGCAGGACCTCATCCCTGCGGGGAGGGTCCCCTTTGGCTGGTGGGTGACTGCAGGACCTCATCCCTGCGGGGAGGGTCCTTTTGACTGGTGGGTGACTGCAGGACCTCATCCCTGCGGGGAGGGTCCCCTTTGGCTGGTGGGTGACTGCAGGACCTCATCCCTGCGGGGAGGCTCCTCTTTGGCTGGTGGGTGACTGCAGGACCTCATTCCTTCGGGGAGGGTCCTTTTGACTGGTGGGTGACTGCAGGACCTCACCCCTGCGGGGAGGGTCCCTTTTGGCTGGTGGGTGACTGCAGGACCTCACCCCTGCGGGGAGGGGCGTGTGCTGCCGTTGCAGGGGTCTCGGGGTCCGAGTGGTGCTTGCGGCCCTGGGCTGTGACGTGGGCCCCCATCCTGCCAGCCCGTGCCTGTTTCCGCTCTCCCCTTGGGCGGTGTCTTTTTGAGGAAACAGTTGTGGGGAGGAGAGTGCTGCTTCTGAATCACGTGTGGACCTGGGGTGGTTTGTTTCCTGCGTTCTGGGGTTTTCTTGGGCAGCACCCCACACGCACCCCACACGCACCCCCCGGTGGGCCTCGGCTCTGTGGGGAGTGGTCCTGGGGTCCGGGATGAGAGTGGGCCCCGCCCAGGCCTGTGTTGACCCCTGGAGTCAGATTGCCATCCACTGTAGTGGTTACAGTGGCTCTGGGAAGTTTGGGGGCTGGGACCTGAGCCCAAGGCTGGCCATGGATAGCCGCACGCAGCATGCCCGTGTGCTTGGTTGGCATGCCTGGTTTGTGTGTCTGCCATGGCCTGGAGCTGTCCTCATGGTGGGGTAGCCCCGCTGGCCCTCCCAGCGTTCCTGTCCATTTAAGTCCCGTGCACAGGGGATGTCCACCTTGCAGACGTGCAGCCGGGAGGAGGTTGTTAAAGTGATCCTTGAACATTTGCTCTGTGCCTCAGTTTCCCTTGGCAGGAGCCAGCCTGTCACGAGGGTGGCGGTGGCTGTGACCTCTCATCTCCTTGGCTCTGTCTGCAGACCTCTGGCGCCAGCGGGTCGGGCCTGGGCTTTCAGGGAGGCTCAGAGACGCCCTGGGCAGTCACTGGGGAGGGATTGAGTGGAGTGGAAATCGGAGGAGGGAAGTGCGCCAGGCCAGGCCCCTCCTGGGTCCCCTCCATGCCGCCAAGGGTCCCCGACCGCAGCCCAGAGGCAGCCTGTAACAGGAGCCGCCCTGGGAGGGCCTGGCAGGTGCGCTGGGGGCCCTGCCTCTCCCGCCTTCCTTCATCTCTGCTCCTGCAGGCTGCCTGGGCCCCGAGTCTCTGGAACTAGGGGACCCCACGGCCCCTCCATGGCTCAGACGTCACTCTGGCTGCTGAGGGAGGAGGCTGGACCAGGACCAGCAAACAGCCACGTGACAGAGGGTTCGGGAAGTGAGTTCACCCGAGGCCACCTTCCCGCGAGCAGGCGTGTCCTTTAGATGGAAGGGCTGTAGTCCCAGTGCATGCCTGTGTCCTGGGCACCCCGCCCCGTGGGTCGTGCAGTCTGGGGGCTGTAGCCCCTGGGACTTTGTGCAGATGTGTGTGCTGCAGGTATGTGTGTGTGTACACGTGTATGTGCGGGTGTTGGTGTGTGTATGTGACTGCGGGTATGGGTATGCACATGTGAGGACAGGTGCGTGTGCAGGTTTGCGAGGTGAGTGTTGTGTGTATGAATGAGGGGGGAAGCGTGTGAGTATGGGTATGGAGAGTGTCTTCCGTGTGAGCAAGTTTGCGTGTGCACGTGGAAGTGCCTGTCTGTGCATGTGTACACATGCATGTCTCTGTGCATGTGAGTGTATATTTTCTGTGGCGTGTGTTCATGTGTGTCTGGCCATAGCTTGCCAGGACCTTCCAGCCAGGCTTCCTTGCTTCCAGTGCCTCTGACGGTGAGCTGGGATCTCCCGGCGCTCTCCTGGTTTACAGGATACTGGCGGTGGTGTCTGCACAGACTGTTGGGATGAGGTCACTTCGGGAATGGGTGATGAAGGGCCTGTTTTTCCCTCAGAAGGCAGCGCTGCTTTAGCCAGAAACTTGTGCTGGAAGCCTGAGAGCTTGCCTGAAGCCCCCCGTGTCCCAGCCTGAACACTGGGCCGTTCTCATCCTGTGCCCCTTGAGAGCCTCAGTTTCTAGATTTTAGGGGCCCACACAGCACAAACTGTGAGGGGCAGAGGGAGGGCAAGGGCCAGGGGTCGTCAGCTGGCGTTCGGATCCTGGAACCTAAACACACTTTATTTCAGTGCCCGGCACCTTCACAGGGAGCCCAGCCTCCAGGCAGTGGGGTTGGGAGTGTTCCTGGGTCCTCGCGCCTTCACAGGGAACTCAGCCTCCAGGCAGTGGGGTTGGGTGGGGGGTGCTCCTGGGTCCATTCAGTCTCGGGCTGTCCCCAGAGGCCACGTGAGCTGATGCCACTGGGTCACCAGGTGGGACTCATTCTGCTGTGAGTCCCCTGTGGCTCCAGGGGAGGGTGGCCTGCTGGACCCAGGGGACACACAGAGCCAGGCCTGAGAACCTCCTCGAGTGCAGGGAGCCGGGAAGCCTGGACTTGCTTGTCCCCTGCCCCAGGCCCGGCGCCTCTCTGTGTGCACAGGTCCGGTGCCACCCGCCACTGCTCTGCAGGGCTGGGTAGCTGGACGGACCACCCACGCTGGAGGGCAGGAAGGGGCGGAGGCTGTCGGACCTGGCTTCAGCTTCACAGCCCCTCCTGCCTGTCAGCTGCTTCCGGCTGAGGCTGAGTCTAAGAGGACGTTCCTAGAGCCCTTTGCGGAGAATGGCTGTAAAATCCCAAAACGCGGGAGGAAGAGGGGGAGGGATGAGCCACTGAGAAAGGGAGGAGGTTGTGCCTGGAGATAGGGAGGCTGATGGAGGCATTGTGATCTCAGAGGGGATTAGGGCCGATTAGGGAGGTGAGCCAGCTTCTCCCTGCAGAAACTACCCATGAACGCACTTCCCAGGCCTGGATCGGGATGGGTCAGGGATCTGACACACACACTCTCACTGCCTCTCTGGCTGGAGGGGCTGCCCCTCCTCTGGCCGGGACACTCGTGTGTCTGGTCTTTGCCCTTCCACCTGCAGCCGCCTCCTTCCCTCTCGGGGTGGGGACACAGCCTGGTTGGACAAGCCCAGGAGGCTGTTCCCCAAGGGCCCAGCCCATCAGGATCTGCTTACTGACCACAGGGTCTGCATTCACTTTGTTGATAAGGTGTCTGGAAAACTAACCTAGAGTGAAAAACAGACCGGAGGTTGCCTCTGTGGCTGGGGGGCTTGGCAGGGAGGGAGCTGGGGAAGTGGTGGGAGGCTCTTGGTAGGTCCGGTGAGCAGGGGCAGGCCTTTGTTAATGCTCAGCAGATAGACGTTCTCTTGCCCAGGCGGCTGCAGCCAGAGAAAACTCAGCAAAGCGGCTCCGGAGGGCCACAAGGCTGCTTAGTGTCGGGGGGTGGAGGGGGGTCGGGGCAGTGGTGGCCACTGTGTGCCATGACATGCATCAGACCAGGGCTGTGTGGGGCGGATCTGTGCGTGGACAGCTAGCACCCATAGGGCTGCACAGGGTGTCTGCCCACTTGCTTACCTGGGGTCGTTTTTATAATAAAATGAAGAGGTAGAAAAAATAAGACGAGAAAAAACTGACTTGTGGCCAGTTCTTCAGGCCAGGGCTTGACCTCGCCGCCTTCATGGCTGAGGAGGAGGGCAGCATTGGTCAGCCTGGTGTTGCTGGTTCTCCACCAGCGGCTGTCGGCCTTTGCTGGCTATTGGGAGGGCTCCTCCAAGGTCTCAGGGACCCACCAGAGGCTGTGGTTCTGGGGCCTGGACCCAGGTCGGGCCTGCTGGCCAGACGCTGTCAGTCCCGGGCACGTCTGCTTGGGGCAGGTTCTGTTGAGACCCTGGCCCCTGGGGATAGGTCAGCCTGGTGCATGGGGTTCATGAAGGCACCAGACAAGCTGTGAGCAGAGCTGCTGCTGGAACTGCTTTAAACCTGGAGGGACGGGCACCGGTGACAGTGACCAAGGCCCTGTCCCAGTGCAGGTGGGCAGGGCAGTCCACCCAGTGCCAGCTGCTTAGGGCCGCTCGGGGCAGGTGAGCGAGGAGGGGCCTCTGGGGAGAGGGCGCTGAAACAGGCTGTTCCCAGGTACGAGGCGGGCCGAGGCCGGGGCTGTTCCCAGAGCTGGGAAGATGTTGGGATGGACGGAGCAGGAGGGCAGCGCACACAGCTGTGGGGGAGCTGGCCATGGGTGCGGGGCTCAGCTCGTCGAGGGCTCCTGGTGGGTGGTCACCATGCAGAGCCACATCCCTGCAGGCTCATGTTTCACTGCCTCTTCCCGGGTGTGCTTTTCTGTCCCAGGACACATCCGGGATCCAACGTGACAGACACCAAGTTCCCACGCTGCCTCGGGCTCCTCTTGGCTGTGACGGTTTCTCGGACTTTCTTTTTTTGACGACTGTGGCAGTTTTGGGGAGTCCTGGTCCTTTTTAGAGAATGCCCCTCAGTTGGGAGGTGTCTGGTGTTTTCTCTCGTGGTTAGCCTGCAGCTGAGTGTTTCGGGGAGGAAGACCCCAGAGGACAGGCGCCCTCCCTGCATGCGGCGTCTGGGCACACGCGTCAACAGCACTTGGCGCGGTCTCCCCGAGGGCGCCGTCTTCCTCCTCTGTTACCCACGAGCGCAGCTCACCTTCCTTTCCCGCCCCAGCCAGGCTTCTGGAGCCTCGTTTGGTTTTGGTTCCCACTGTCGGATCCGCAGATGGGCTTGCCTTTGGGGCCTGCTGTGCTGTGGAGTAACCCAGGGCACCTGGGGGCTGCTGCGAGACCATCGAGCCTTTGAAAGGCTGTGGAAAGATAGATGACAGGCGGCTGCGGGTGGCCCAGGGGCCAGGCGGCCTTTACATGGGCTTCTTTCCCAGTGACTCTGGCCGGGTCCTGTGGATTTTTAATTCCGACGGCGTGTCTGCAGAATGGAGCACCGTACAAGCCTCATCAGGCGGCGCGGAGGGTACCAGCCCCTGCCGTCCCGGTGCCGCCCGAGGGTGAGGGACATTCGTGGATGATTCACGGGCTTCGTGAGCTATTTGCAGACACCCGCCTGAGTCTCCTTTAAGGGGAAATTCCTGAGCGGCTGCCTCGCTCTTCTCTTCCGAGGCGTGTGGGAGCCCAGCCCGGCCGGGTAGGAGGAGAGGGTTGAAATGCCATGCCTTCTTCTTCTCGCCCTGGATGCTACTGGCTGAAGTAGCCTCCTTTTAAAGCCTTATGAGTCGCTTTTTTCAGTGATAACAGTAACGGTCATGCGCCCTCAGGTTGCGAAGTGGGGCGGGCCAGGCCTGGGGGACCCCGGAATTCCCCTGCGCACTCCTGCCCCGTACACCCGCCGGAGGGGACCGTGGTGGTTGTGAAGGGGCCGTTCCTATCGCTGGTTTTAAGGTGTCCCGAGTTTTGCTGCACTTGGTTTTGGGGAGACCATGAGCTTGGCGCAAACTGAGATTCCCGAGTCAGCCTTTCTAAGCTGTGGTGGGCAGGCCACGGCTGTGATGTACAATGTGAAAGGAGCCGGCCTTTACAGGGCTTCTGTGAGGTGAGTTCAGCATTTCAGCCCTTAAATGTGGAGATAAGTCAGAAACGGGTTCGTCTTCGGGAGGAGGGAGGGGAGGCGAGTTTTGTGGAGGTCGGTACCATGGCTCATTCTGTGTCCTGGCCGGAACTGGGATCAATCCTCTGACCCGCTGAGGATGCCTGCCGTCCCCCGGAGGAGGTGGACTGGGTCGGGCCCTGCCGTCCCCCGGAGGAGGTGGACTGGGTCGGGGCTGGGTTGATGTCCGTGCCCCAGAGGAGGTGGACCGGGTCGGGCCCTGCTGTCCCCCGGAGGAGGTGGACTGGGTCGGGGCTGGGTTGATGTCTGTGCCCCAGAGGAGGTGGACCGGGTTGGGTTCTGCCGTCCACCGGAGGAGGTGGACCGGGTCCGGGTTAGGTTGATGTCTGTACCCTGCTCCTGCCTCAGGGCACGTGGTATCTGGGTGCTGCTCTTTGGCCCATGGGGTGGGGTTTGGCTGGGGAGACCTGATCTGGGTTGTTGGGCCATCCCTCGCCCCCGCTTCACCCTGCTTGGCAGAGGCCACTGGTGCATGGCGCCTGGGCAGGGGCACCACCGGGACCTGCCCTGAGGGTTAGACACTGTGGGCCACCTGGCAAGGACCCTGCCCATCTCACCTTCCTGCACCGCACGCCCAGGCTTTCCCCTGTGTCCGTTTGTCCTCTCAGCCTTCCGGTCATCATGAATGTGCAGAATGACAAGGGAGGAGGTGCTATCCCAGGCGAGTGGCTCTATCCCCAAAACACAGGCAGGGCTCGGCCAGAGGAAAACTCACTGCCCTTCACAGCAGCCAGGACTGCCGATGTCCAAGTCCAGGCCAGGGAGCGCAAGGGACGCGGCTGGGTGAGCAGAGGGTTAGAGGGTGGCTGGGTGAGCAGAGGGTTAGAGGGGGGCTGGGTGTGCAGAGGGTTAGAGGGGGGCTGGGTGAGCAGAGGGTTAGAGGGGGGCTGGGTGTGCAGAGGGTTAGAGGGGGGCCTGGGTGTGCAGAGGGTTAGAAGGGGGCTGGGTGAGCAGAGGGTTAGAAGGGGGCTGGGTGAGCAGAGGGTTAGAGGGGGGCTGGGTGTGCAGAGGGTTAGAAGGGGGCTTGGTGAGCAGAGGGTTAGAGGGGGGCTGGGTGTGCAGAGGGTTAGAGGGGGGCCTGGGTGTGCAGAGGGTTAGAAGGGGGCTGGGTGAGCAGAGGGTTAGAAGGGGGCTGGGTGTGCAGAGGGTTAGAGGGGGGCCTGGGCATGCAGAGGGTTAGAAGGGGGCTGGGTGAGCAGAGGGTTAGAAGGGGGCTGGGTGAGCAGAGGGTTAGAAGGGGGCTGGGTGTGCAGAGGGTTAGAGGGGGGCTGGGTGAGCAGAGGGTTAGAGGGGGGCTGGGCTTGCAGAGGGTTGTGGGGGCCTGGGCGTGCAGAGGGTTAGAGGGGGGCTGGGTGTGCAGAGGGTTAGAGGGGGGCTGGGTGTGCAGAGGGTTAGAGGGGGGCTGGGCGTGCAGAGGGTTAGAGGGGGGCTGGGCTTGCAGAGGGTTGTGGGGGCTGGGCTTGCAGAGGGTTAGAGGGGGGCTGGGTGTGCAGAGGGTTGGAGGGGGCGGCTGGGTGTGCAGAAGGTTAGAGAGGGCATTGGATTTTTAACGAAGGGTCTCTTGACTGGGATGGCATTGAGCCCATGACGTCCCCGGGACGCACTCTTGGTTCAGGTCTGACCTGGCTGTTTTAACCAGATAGAAACGTTTGTGGGCACTCCCAAGTGGGCACTTCCATCCTGCTGAGAGCACGCTTGCTGTGGCCTCCGTAGAGACCAAGCGACACTCTTCTCAAGAAAGTGAGGGGAGATGCGTTCTCTTTAAAGGCTTGAAGGTTGTAATCATGCTCTGAGGCTGCTTTTGGTGACAACATGCTGGTGGCTGAACACACGCTCACATGTTCAGTGCAGTCCCCACCTGGGAGGACCAGCCACACCCTGCTTTTCTGTATTCCGTCCCCCTTTTCTGTGCGTCCTCGCGTTCTGGACTCATCGTCTGTGTTACTTTAATAAGCAGCAGAAGGACAGAGTCGTGCCTCGCTGGCCCCACACGCAGGGCTTTGTCGTGAGGCCGCTGGCGCACAGCCCTGCACAGTCAGACGCAGGGATCTCGGGTGTGACCCTGTGGTGGTTACATCGTTATGTTTTCTAAGTTTAATGAATTTCTCGATATTAATCCAACTTGAGCAAGTTGTTTCTAGTGCTTTTTTCCAACTGCATAGGTTGCCTGTGGGGAGCTTGTGTGTGTGTTTTTCGGGGTGTTCTTGGGGCCTGATAGGCGTTGCCATCTTCCCAAGTGGGCTGCGCAGAGGAGACGCTGCGGTGAGCAGGGGTTGCTTCTGCTGGGAGTGTTGGAGGCGACGGGAAGGATGTTGGTCCCCTTGGTTTGAGCGAATGTGCTTGCTGTGTACACGTTTTTCCTACTTGTACAGTTCGTAGGAGTTCAGATAAACAGTGGTTGCTTGCTGAACGCAGACATAGTTACATGCTAAGACCTCAACCACCAGTAAACCTGTGCTTTCCAGAAGGGATGTAGGCCGGGCAGCGGAGCCCCAAGCTGCACTCCTGGTGGAGAAGGGCAGGCAGGGCTGAGCCTCCGGAGCCACGCACCCTTCCTGCGGGGAAGAGAAACTTGAGCCCAAGCAGCTGTGACTTTGTCCAAGGTTGTCTGTGGGGTTGGCTGCGTGGGAGGGAGAACCCGAAACCCTCGGGTCTCTCCCTCCCTCCCTCCTTCCTTCCCTCCCTTCCTCCCTCCCTCCTTTCTTCCTTCCCTCCCTCCCTCCCTTCATCCCTCCCTCCCTCCTTCCCTCCCTCCCTCCTTCCTTCCCTCCCTTCCCTCCTTCCTTCCCTCCCTCCTTCCTTCCCTCCCTCCCCCCCTCCCTCCTTTCCTTCCTCCCTCCTTCCTTCCCTCCCTTCCCCCCTCCCTCCTTTCCTTCCTCCCTCCTTCCTTCCCTCCCTTCCCCCCTCCCTCCTTTCTTCCTTCCCTCCCTCCCTCTAAGAATAGCTGCACCAGGCTCCTGGTCCTTCATCTTCCATTGACTCCAGAAAGTGTCGCCAGTCACCACTGATCTCTCTGTAAACAGTTGGCCGTTGTGTCCAGAAAAAGGGCCTGAGCAGGAATCCACTGAAACCATTGAAGAGGAGTGGGGAAGGGCCCTGGATGGGACTCATCTTGGAAAGACACCTATAATTGATGGGAAAGACATTTAGACATATTTTCTTAGTTGAAAGTATGTGTAATTTTTCTTTTAACCTGATTTCCATGTAATTTTAGATTTCAGAAAGGTTGCAAGACCAGTGTGGAGAACGCCCATCTGCCCTTGGCCTCCGTTGCCCAAATGCCAACCTCCTGCCATGTTGGCTGTGTCCCTCCTGCCTCCTGCCCTGCCCCAGGTCTCCGTCTTTCACTCCCACGTTTGTTTCTGAACTGTTGGGAGTAAGCAGCTGACGTGGTGCCTCTCACAGGCGTATTTCCTAAAAGCAAGCACGTTTCTTTCAGAATCTCTGCAGTGCAGTCACCAGAATCAGGGAGTTAATGATCACACACGAGAGATCTTTTTCAGATCTCACCAACTGGCCCAATCACGGTCTCTAGAAAAAGAAGTCTGAGGTTGTGCGTGCATTTGACCGTCTCTGTCACCTGGAGCTTCCTCTGAGTTGTCTCCCTGACGTTTTTGAGGGGTGGGGCCGCTGCTCCGTGGCACTGGCCTCTCTGTGGTGTGCCCCATGGTCTAGGCATCTGCAGTCACTCATGGTCGCACCAAGGACCTGCACACCCTGAAGGCTGTGCTTTCCGCCCCAGGCACCCTACTGGGAGCACGTGCTGCCCGCCTGCCCCCAGACGGCGATGCCCTCTTTGCTGGCACGGCTGGAACCCACCACTCCTGCGGCTGGTGCCTGTCAGCCAGCCAGGGTGGCCGCCAGTGGGCTCTGGCACATCTGAAATGTCCCATAGAGAATGCCCACCCTCCCAGCTGGGGTTGTTTGGTGCAGTGATGAGGTCTTGGCCTGCCCTCCTCCGGCCACCTCGCATCCTGCCTTGACCGTTTCTTCTGCACCCTCAGGGTCCCACACCATTCTGTGCAGGGCTAGGGTGGACTGGGCAAGGATGGGCCGAGCACCCCTAGGAAGGGTCCCGGCTTGGTCGTTCCCAGTCTGGGGAGCTGGTGTGCAGCACATGGGGCAGAGGGCCCTGAGGGCCCTGGGGTGCGTGGGTGGCTATGGTTTGATGCCCTTCAGCTCCTCACCGTGCCTGGCTGGGGCATGTGCATTTGCAGACCCTGTTCTGACCATGGGCTGCTCAGGGGTCCCGGGCAGGCTGTGGTCTCTGCAGTGGCCTGTGCCGAGTTCCTTGTGTTGCTGTGACAGTCCCCCAGGTCAGGTGATTCATGAACACAGAAACTTCTCAGAGTTCTTGAGGCTGAAAGTCTTAGACCAAGGCCTGGGCAGGTTTGGGGTCTGGCGAGGGCCCTAGGTTCCCTGCCGTGTCCTCCCATGGAGGGTGGGAGGGCGACAGCTCTGCTGCTGAGGCCTGGGGGTAGGGACTTTCATCCCCTTCCACACCTCACCACCTCCTACGGGCCCCACCTCCTACCGGCCCCGCCTCCTACCGGCCCCCCGCCTCCTACCGCCCCCACCTCCTACCGACCCTATCTTCTAACACCGTCACATGGGCCATCGGGCCTCAACCTGCCAGGGAGCCTCAAGTCCTCCTCCCCACCAATTCCCTTGCTCATGCTCTCGGGCAGCTGCTAGGATTACCCCCTGGTTCGAAGCCTGGGCTCAGCCCCATGGAGGGGTCGCCGGCCCAGCCTTCCTGAAAGACTCAGGAGGGGCTCATTTACCTAGAGAGCCTGTGGGCGGCGTCCTCAACAGGGAACAGTGGGAAGTCCTCTGTGTCCCTCCGAAATGGCGGATTAAGCAGCAAGGCTAGGAGGTGCCACCCCGACTTTTAAGAGTGAGAATTTTGCCCACATTTGGCTGAATGAGAGATTTTCAACGCCAGAGGGAGGTACCCTTGCCCTGGGCTGAACAGCTCACTTGCCGAGGCTTTCAGGGGCTTTGTCTTCAATGATGATGTGTGTGGGGGATAGCGTATGCCCTGGAGCTAGCGTGTGTTCTGGGGATAGCTTGTGTCCTAGGGATAGCTTGTGTTCTGGGGATAGCTTGCGCATTGGGGCTAGCATGTGTCCTGGGACTAGCGTGCACCCTGGGAAATGCCCCTTTCTTTGGAACACAGATGTGTGGAAGGAAGGAGAGTGTGTGAGAAGTATCACCCTTAGCCATGGTTTAGAGGTGACAGCTGGTGGGGACCAGAGCCCTCCGTGCAAGATCTGTAGTTGGCCTTCTGTGCTTGCTTTTAGTTCCTTCTAAGCTGACTCTGAATTGTTTTTCCCTCACTAGGAGATGGAAATCCAAGAGAAAACAGCCCATTCCTCAACAATGTCGAGGTGGAACAAGAGAGCTTCTTTGAAGGGAAGAACATGGCACTTTTCGAGGTAACTTTACTTTTTAGAAGAAGAAGGTGCCAGGGCCGTTGCTTTGATGTGGAAAAGTAAAGGAGCCCCTGGGGGCCCCCAGGCCGGGGCCTCCCACAGGACTGGACACCACGTGGAAGGAACTGGGGCCTCCCTGTCCTGAAGGCTGTGGCGGGGGCCCAGTCCCGCACTTGAGCTGGGACGTGCTCCTCGGCTGGTGCCTTCTGGGCTCCTTCCTGGATCTAGGGTGCTCCGGCCCCACGGGAACCCCTCTGAGCTGCTGAGTGCTGGACACCCTGGGGTCCCTGCCATGGGTGGGTGGCCCCACTCAGTGAGGCCTGGAGCCCTGGCCTCGGACTCAGACCTGCCACACAGGTGTCCAGGCCTCTCTGGCTTGCTTCAGACCCAGGGGCTGAGGACCCGGGGAGGGCCTGAGCTCCACACCCTGAACACGGGGAGGGAGGTCGGGGGGCCCACGGCGAGGTGCGGGCCGCCTGTGACCATGTCCACGCCGCGCAGGAGGAGATGGACAGTAACCCCATGGTGTCCTCGCTGCTCAACAAGCTGGCCAACTACACCAACCTGAGCCAGGGCGTGGTGGAGCACGAGGAGGACGAGGAGAGCCGGCGGCGGGAGGCCAAGGTACTGCCACCCTGCCCGTGCCCGCCCAGTCCCCGCCCCGTGTGTCCCGGCAGGGTTAGATCACGCCGGCAAGGCAGTTGCTTGTCAGAAGAGCTGCCCTGAGCTCTGGTATCATGGCCACGTCCAGCCCTTTCTTCCTGGGAGGGCTCGATGGTGCCTGCCCTGCAGCTCCTGTCCAGGCCTCTTCCCTCTCCACCGTCCGGGGAAGCGTGACACCCCCATGCATCTGGGTGGCCGGGTTCCCTGTCGAGAAATGAACTTGGGGTGTTTTGTTCGTTCTGCGGGAGCGGCCCCATCCCCTGCTGTGGAGAGGAGTCTGAATGGTGCCGAGAGGCCGGGACGTGGCCCCTTCCAGAGGGTGCTGTGGCCTCGGTGCTCCCAGGGGCCGCCCTCCTTTTCATTTCCTGTCCAGGACACTTAGCCTGGTAGCATTTTCCCTGCAGTTTTATTCCCTGAGGATTTGTTTCCAGGAATCCGTCCTAGGAAACGAGGGGGGTGCAGTGGGGAAAGGTTTCCCTTGAGTGGTTTCTGTGGGTGACGAGGTGTGGAAACCCCTTGAGCATCCTCGGGAGGGTTCTGCCGTCCTGTACAGACGGGTTGCCTGAGAGCCACCCTGAGGCCTGAGGCCCTGAGGTGACGCTCACAGGCGAGAAAGACCCTGGACCCGTGTTGGGGGAGATCTTAGGTCCTCGCTGTGGGGGTGCGGCGGGTGGCTCAGTTTCTTCTCAACTCCCTCTGCTTTTTAAATCTTCTTTCAAATATGTCTGTGTTGCTCTAGAATAAGATACAAAAAACAAAAAAAAATAATCCACCGGAAGAAACCAAGCAGCGCAGGCCCTGCTCTGAAGCCGGGCGACGGCCTCCCCCAGTCTTGACACAAAATTGTCATTTCCCGAGTCAGCCCCGAGCCTGTGCCCCCCTCCTTCGGCAGACAGCTAAGGGCATACGTTGGCTTTTTAGGGTGATTTTTAAATTCCCCTATTATTTTCCTTAACTTTCTAACTCTAAAAATACCATCAGGAGATCCCTATCTTCTCAGAAGGGAGGGTTTTGTAGTGCCAGGTAGAGGCCAGTGAGCAGGAAGGAAGGAGGTGCTGAGCCAGGCGCCCCCAGGTCCAGGGAGGGTGGGCCCCCCTGCTGCGTGTGACCTCCACCAAGTGGGGCGTCCGTCGGCCGGCTCCTTGCCCTCCCCTGCATCCTCCCAGCCTGGGCTCTGCGCTTTGCGTCGACGCCACCCCTGAGTGCCTCCTGCCAGCGTCCAGTGTTCTGCTGACCTGGGTCCCACACAGCAGTCGGGAAGTCAGGCCGCTCAAGATGTCTCTTTCCTTCCTTTTACTGTAAACACAGCGGAATTAATACTGCATTTCCAAAATACTTGAAGACATTTGGTTTTGTTTTTGAGAAGCCTCAATCTGGGGTTGAAGTAACCGGAGACGAGGGACGTGACCGTGAGACCACCTTGGGGTGGGGCCTGGCCTGATGAGGGCCCTCAGCCCTGGCTGTTGTCCCAGGACAGGGTAGTGGCCTCTTCAGAAGCTGCATCTCTGGACCTCTTTCTGGTTCCCCTGCTGGGTCCTTCCCGGCTCGGGGAGCTTGTGGCCGCCCCCCCTGTCTGTAGCTCGGCCAGCCCTTGGGGTGGGACCATCACTGCTGCACGTGGACGCTGCGGAATTGGGTGTTGCCAGGCTCAGCACTCAGCACCTTTCTGCACGTGGATGGTGTGGAACTGGGCATTGCCGGGCTCAGCACTCAGCACCTTTCTGCACGTGGACGCTGCGGAACTGGGTATTGCCGTGCCGCACGTGGACGCCGCGGAATTGGGTGGTGGTGTGCCGGGCTCAGCACTCAGTACCTTTCCGCACGTGGACGCTGTGGAACTGGGTATTGCCGGGCTCAGCACTCAGCACCTTTCTGGGGTTTCACGCATGCTGGGCACTACCTTGAGGCCTCATGGGCTCAGGCTGGTACTCTGGCACCAAAACTCAGGAGCCACAGGCCTTCCCTGTCTGTCCGCCTGTGTGCTGGAGTTTGTGTCCTAGGGAGATGTTGGCTTTCTCCAGGGAGCAGGTGTCTTCCCACGGGCCTGGTCCGAGTGCTCCGGGAACAGGCTTTAGCTCCAGCTCGGCTGGGCTCAGGCACCACTGGCCTGGACATCCAGCTCCAACCCCTCTGCCTGATGGAGCCCAGCCTGCCATGAGGTGCCCATAGAGAGCACACCCCAGCTTCTCTCACCCTACTTGGTACTGAGACATGACTGAAACGTCCAGGCAGGTGTGTTTGTTCATGGCACACTGTGGGCCAGGGCCCAGGAGGTTCCCACCTGGAAGGCTCTCCCTGGCCCTCCCTGGCAACCCTACCCCCAGGCTGGTGGCTCTCAGGCCTCTGTCCCTCAGGGACAATATGCAGGTACCCCAGGCTGATGCTGCCTGCGTTTCAGTCGTGGAGGGACCAGGGCCCGTGACCCCAGCAGGCCTGTTGTTTGACGGTGGCGGGTTTCAGTTGGCAGTGACTCCTTCGGCTCCCTTAGGGGACCGTGGCTCGGCCCCTGGGGTGGAAGGGCAGGGGCCGCCCCTGGTCCTCTTTGCCAGGCTCAGAGGCTCATCCCCAGCAGACCTGCTCCCATTGAGGAGCCTTTTCAAGGGCCCAGGCATCTCCAGCCTCCCGCGCCTGAAATTGGGTCAGGTTGAGCCTTAAAAGTTGCCTTTAGGCGCGAACCAAGAGGCCAAGGCCGGCCATGCCCTTCCGTGAGGAGTCAGGATCCCCCGCCTTTGGCCGAGAACCAGCTTCTGACTCGCCTGTCACGGGGCTGCGGGATTTGAGGCTGAGCCTGGAGGGCAGGGGCCCCTGTGTGGACCGCGTCTCTGCCTGGAGCTCTGCCTGTCGGCTCCTGCGTTAGCTGAAGCCTCGCTGGGAAGTCACAGCAACAATTGTCCCTGGAGCCTTGCTGTCACCTCTGCCCTGGGCTCTCAGTTTTATCCAATGAGAATGTCCCAAAGCCGGTTCTCCACCATCCGCCACCGCTTCTCTCGTTTGCACCAAGAACAAAGCATACCCAGATTTGGAGGGCCCAGCAGCGGCCCCCAGCCCCGTCACCCTCTCCTCTCCAGGGCCCCCGTCAGAAGCAAGTCGCTCCCCTGTTGCTTCCCACCTAGGGCTCAGGGAACCAAGTGAATCCCCCAGGCTCTCAGATCCAGGGCTTCCCACGCTCCGAGCTGCTCTTACATTATTTTTCCCAGGGTCCTAAAGTTGGTGGAGCCCTAGAGCCCTGCCCTGGCCCCAGCCTTGGCCAGTCTGTGGGAGGCGTTCCGGCACGGTGACCCCAGAAGCCACCCTGTTTGCTTTTGTGATGTGGTGTTCAGCGTGCTCTCCCTGGGAGCTGCCCCTCACCTGGTCCCCTGTTCCCATCCTCCCCAGGCCTGGGCTGTGTGAACCCCAGGATCGAAGCCCCGCACGGGGCCTGTTCTGATCCACATTGTGGCCACTGTTCACAGGAAGTGTCTTCAAATAAAACCTTCCCCCTTTTCCGTATTGACCTTGAGACGTTTTCCTGTTAAAACGTCACCTTGTGCTGGCACCAGCCGTCCTCCAGGTCTGAGCCACGTGCCTCTGCTCATGGCGGGAGTGGGGCTGAGCAGGCAGTGGGGATGGAGCTGAAACTTCTACCCCAGCCTGGCCCGTCCCGAGTGGAGCTGGGGAGCTGCCTGGCAGGCGCTGGCCTGCTCCTGGCTGTGCTGCTGACCCTTGCCCATGTGGGTTTTCTCAGGGCACAGGGTGTGTCCCCCTCTCTGGCACAGGTGTCTGAAGCAGGCTGCCTGCTCCGTGCTGGGGCAGGCGGGGTGGCCCCCACGTGGATATCTGAACCTTTGCTGTTATCTCGTGGTGACCTCCGTGCCCGGTTAAGATGTGTCAGTTTCTGCCCAGGGCCGACGCTGAGCTGTGGATTTTTTTTTTTTTTTTTTTTAGCTTTATGGGCAGCAGCCGTCTCATCCCTCCGCTGGCTCTGCTTCCATTCCTGAAGTCTCAGGCTCTCCCAGGGTGTCAGATCTCAGGCCCTGAGCCATCCAGGGAACGGAGCCGGGGGCCCTCTCGTTCTCCCTCTTGTTTTTTCCATAACTTTTCCAGTGTAACAGGTTTCCCTCCGTCGGGGAGGCACAGCGGAGCAGCTGCATCTTGGTTCTCTGCCAACCATGTGGTTCTGCTCCCCTCCCCTAAGCCCTCATTCCGGGATGGTCAGGGGTCCTGTCCTGGGCCTCTCTCTGAACCTCCATCTGTTCTGGGAAGGACTCCTGCCCCCTCCTGCCCCCACGGCCGCTTTGCCTGCCCAGGGCCTGAGTGCAGCCTGGGGAGGGGGCTCCCTCTGGGTGTGGGGTACGAGCCCCTGGGACACGCTATGCTCTGTCGCAGGCTCCGCGCATGGGCACCTTCATCGGCGTCTACCTGCCGTGCCTGCAGAACATCCTGGGCGTCATCCTCTTCCTGCGCCTGACGTGGATCGTGGGGGTGGCTGGTGTCCTGGAGTCCTTCCTCATCGTGGCCATGTGCTGCACATGTGTGAGTCTCCCCCGGCCAGGTGTGGCTGTGCCTTCGGGCGGTGGCAGCTGGACAGTAGGGCTCTCCCCAGATGCCGTCTCCCCTGGCCGCTGTGGTTGTGCCTTCGGGCGGTGGCAGCCGGACAGTAGGGCCCTCCCCAGACGCCCGTGTAGACGTCGTTCAGCGCCGTCTCCTCCACGAGAGCCGGGCAGCTGCGGGGATGAGATGCCACACTGTCCGGGGTTAGTGCTGGCGTGTTGACTGGCGTGCTGGCACCTCATTTACCCGTGTCTGCGGACAGGCATCTCAGCCAGTGGTGGGTGTCATGGGGCGGCACCCGGGGGCTGAGGCTTCCAAGGGAAGGGACACCCTGTGTTTTGATGACATCACCTCCAGTTTGGAAGGACCTTGGGCACTTTCAGGGGTCGCTGTCATAGGGGAAGGGGTGGGAACCAGGACACGCATGCCTGGTGCCCGGGAGCCTCCAGGTCCTGTTTCCTAGCCACTCCATTGAGATGGAGAGCCCTGGAGTTGGGGGCTGGCATTCGGCGGGAGCCGGGTCATAGACCCTGACTTGGGAGTGTTGCGATGCCGGCAGGCTGTTGGAAAACTCTCCTCAGATGGCTGCCTGTCTTTTTGCAGACAATGCTGACCGCCATTTCCATGAGTGCGATCGCTACCAACGGTGTGGTCCCAGGTAAGGGGTGCCCGCCAGCCGCGGCCCTGAGTCCTGTTAGAGGAGTCTGTGTTTTGCCGCACGGCAACCGCGAGGAGGCCGCTTGGCGAGGCCGGGCCGGGGGCTGCCTGGGGGTCTCAGCCGGGCCTTCTGCGTGTTCTCCACTGGCTCCTCTGGCGTTTGAGCCGTGAGGTCACGGCTGTTTGGTTTTCTTCCCCATTTTGCTGCGTGGTGACCGTCTCTTGCCAGGGTAGGCAGTGCCCACCAGGCAGCGGGCTGGGGAGGGGGAGGCACGGGCGATTCCAGTGGCTCCTGTAGCCCAGCGTGTGCCATAGGCTGAGTTCTTGGAACCTGTATCTCACGAGGGAAGGTGAAGACAAAACACTGCCCTGACCTTGTTAATTAGTAATAAGTTAATTACAATACATAATAACTAAATAACTAGTGAACCGAGATGATATTAATTAGTAATAAGTTAATTACAATACGTAATAACTAGTAAACTGAGATGATACTGTTAATTAGTAATAAACGAATTACGATACGAAATAACTAGTGAACGGAGACGCTGCCACGTCTGCTTCTGAGTGCATGTGTGCTGCGCGTGTTAACGGCTGGGCTTGCTCAGCACCAGGTCCTCACGCAGCTGGTCCCCATCCCCACGGGGGCATCGCTTGGTGCTCAGCGGACTTCCCCGGCCTCAGGAGAGCACGAGGGCCTTCACCAGGGGTCTCCCTCCGCAGCCAAGGGACCAGTCTCTGCTTCACGATGGCCGCGTCCATTAGGACCCCTTCCACATGCCACACGCACTGCTCAGAGCAGGGAGAGCTGTGTTCTCCAGGCAGCCCTGGGGTTGCGCCCGGCTTTCCCGCCAGTGATAGCGTGCGTGGTTCACAGTACACGAGACGACTCCTGAACATCCTAGTTTCTCTTTTGCCTTTTTCATAAGCAAAACTTAGTGGAAGTGGGGGCTGGGGCTGCCACTGATGTACGCGGGACTTTTTCTGGGACCTGCTGGGGCCTCCTGCTCCCCAGAGAGCCTTATCCCTGATCTCACCTGGTCCTCATGTCCATGAGAGCGCGTGCTCTTGGTGTGGAACGTGTGCCGAGCCTCGGGAGGGGAGAGTTCACCGTGGAAGCGTCTCCATGTGCTGCTTTGCGGGTGGACGAGGGTCTACACGCTGCCTTCGCAGAGACAGGCCCTCCTTTGCCCGTGAATGGCAGCGCAGACCGCACCTCGGGTCCGAGTCCAAGTGCGCCCCTGACCCGCGGCTGCCGCCTTTGTCTCCGCAGCTGGCGGGTCCTACTACATGATATCGCGCTCGCTGGGACCCGAGTTTGGAGGCGCTGTCGGCCTCTGCTTCTACCTGGGCACGACGTTTGCAGGGGCCATGTATATTTTGGGGACCATCGAGATTTTTCTGGTAAGTGTGCTGCTTTGGAAGGGTTCCCACCCCACAGTCTGTGGCAGGATGCCAAGGGGCCCTGCCTGACCCACTCTGTGGCACACACAGCACACTGAGCCATCCTGACCCCACTGCCCTGGCTGCCCCTGGGCTCTCCTGGGCTCTGGCCATGGCGGAAGCCACTGGGCAGCGTCCACTCAGCAGCGACCTGTGTCCCCCTTGAGCACCATTGCTGCCCTCCGTGAGGCGTGCCTGGCATGAGCTGGGTAGACATCTGGACTGTAGATCTGAGCCCCGCGTAGGTGCAGTCCTGCAGTCGGAGCTGTTTTAGGAGCAGGGCTGGAACTCGGCTTAGAAGAACCTTTTGCCAGGATCCCAGCCTCTTCTCTGCCTGATCTGGGCACTTGGCCGAGGGTCCCAGAGCCCAGCAATGTACAACCAGGTGATGTCATCACCTTCTCAAAACAGGCATGCTCAAAGCATGTCCCACATCACCTGAGCACAGCTGAGAGCTGTGGCCTGAGTTCCTTGGTCCTCGTGGGGACGGGAACCGCCCTTCTCTGGCCGACGGGTGCTGTCCTTCCTGCTGAGGTTCTGAAACCCGCTGTCCCTGCAGGGCTTCAGAGACGCTCACCTGAGCCCCTGTCCCCAGTCTTTCTGCCCCTCCCTCTGCTGCCAGACCTGGTTCCTGGCCTCCTGGGTTCCTGAAGAGAGCCACATGGCCAAGAAGGTTCTGAAACCTTTCAGTGGGGTCGCACCCACACCCGTCCCAACCCGAGTCCCCTGGCCATGTCCCTCCATCTTTCCACCTGCCCCGGGTGCCGTGGCTGCCGCACTCCCAGGATCCCCTTTGGTGGGGGTGGGTGCCATGCCCTCCATGCCTGCTGCACCCCAGTCCTGTCCTGGTCTTGAGGGAGCTGAGCAGCACTGTCTCACGTCTCCGTCCCTTCCCTTGAATCTGGGCAGAACAGAGGTTGCCCCCCGCCGGCGTGGTCAGACCCTGTGTGTGTCCAGGACGTCCAGCCGGGGTGGGCCGAGCTCTCTGGGCAGCAGTCACATTCCTCTTAGCAGAAGGTGTTTCTTTTGAGTGCGGACATGCGGATGCCCCGGGTCCTGAAGTTGCTTTACTCTAAGGCTCCCGGGTGGTTCCTGGGAAACGTTCAGGCCCCTGGCTGTCCATGGCCTGTGCGCTGACCCCCGCGGGCTCCGTCCCTCGCCTGTGCGCTGACCCCCGCGGGCTCCGTCCCTCGCCTGTGCGCTGACCCCCGCGGGCTCCGTCCCTTGCCTGTGCGCTGACCCCCGCGGGCTCCGTCCAGCACGGATGCGTCCCGATGGCCCCGGCACCTGTTGGGAGGAGGCCCCTGTGTGGCGCTGGGGGCTTGCGGGAGGGACGGGCACTGGGGAGTTGTGTCCGGGGACGGCCTCCCGACCGGCCTTGTTCCCACAGACGTACATCTCCCCGGGTGCGGCCATCTTCCAGGCGGAGGCTGCAGGTGGCGAGGCGGCCGCCATGCTGCACAACATGCGTGTGTACGGCACGTGCACGCTCGTGCTCATGGCCCTGGTGGTCTTCGTGGGCGTCAAGTATGTCAACAAGCTGGCGCTGGTCTTCCTGGCCTGCGTCGTGCTGTCCATCCTGGCCATCTATGCCGGCGTCATCAAGTCTGCCTTCGACCCCCCGGACATCCCGTGAGTCTCGGGGCCTCTGAGCCGTGGGTGGGTGTGGGGCTGGGGCCAGGTCCCATGGGCTCTGCCCGCCTCTCGTCCATCATCCTTGACGCCGAGCTCCCCGCAAGGGGTGGGCTGGGTGTGACCGTGGCGGGAACCCCCGTGGGCTCGTTCTGGGGATTACAGGAAACCCAACGGTGAGGTGGGCCGAGGTACCCTCGTGGCCGGGTCTGAGCATGAAGACCCTCCTCAGTGGCAGGAGGGCTGGTGAGGGGTCTGGCAGGTTTCAGGGGTGGCCGGTGGCCCTGAGCACGGTCAGGTGCAGTGAGCGTCATGGGTGTGGCCCTGGCTGCTGCTGGGGCCTGGGTGTCTTCTCCCTCCCAGAGGTGCTTGGAGGGGCTCTTTTCTTGTCCTTTTGGAGGAGCAGCTGGGAGGCGGCCCAGGGTCCTGGAACATGGGAGTGGCCACCAGAGCCCGCAGGGAGCAGGTCCAGAAAGGGCCAGCAGCCAAGCCCCTTGAGGCTCCCGCGGTTTTGCCGTCTCTGCGTGGAGGGAGCCCCTGAAGGAACAGCCTCATAGAGGCCTCAAAACAGAGGGAGGCAGAACAGCTGCAACCCCACAAGCCCGTTTTAGGGAAGCACAGCTGCCCTCCCCCTCGGGGACCCGTCCTGAGACCCCCTGCCGATGCTTGACGCTACGGCCCTGTGTAGACTGTTTTCCACGTACAGGCCTGGCTTATACGTCGGGGGCGGCACTCCTGTGCTCTTGGCCGTTGGCACGTGGCACGAGGGTGGCTTGAACTCAGACACTGAGATTGTGACAGCTGACCCGGCCAGGACGCCGCCGAGGGCCTCGGGGAGGGAGCGGCTGCAGCGTGGCTGTGCTGGCGCGGGGGGAGGTTGCTGGGTTCCACCTCACTACTCGGCACCGCGCGGTGGAAAACGTGTGAATTGTTTACGTCTAGAACGCTTCATTTAGCACGTTTGGACCACGGGTGGCCGAACCATGGATGAGGGGACGGCTGTACAGTACAGCGTTCCTGCTGCAGCCTGGCCTGGTCCCCGGTCCCTGGTCCCCAGTCCCCGGTCCCCAGTGTGATCCCTGGCCCTTGCATTCCTGCTGCAGCCTGGCCTGGGCCCGGTCCCTGGCGTGATCTGTGGCCTTCCTGTCTTGGGAGGTGCAGGGTGCCAGGAGCCACTCGCGGGCGACACCATGGGTGCCCGTTGGGGGAGCTGGGTGGGGCAGTAAAAGCCACTTCGGTGGCAGCACACGTGCCGTGCCTCCCTGTCCCGCCCAGGGTCTGCCTCCTGGGGAACCGCACGCTGTCACGGCGCAGCTTCGATGCCTGCGTCAAGGCCTACGGCATCCACAACAACTCAGCCACCTCCGCGCTCTGGGGCCTCTTCTGCAACGGCTCCCAGCCCAGCGCCGCCTGTGACGAGTACTTCATCCAGAACAACGTCACCGAAATCCAGGGCATCCCGGGCGCGGCCAGTGGTGTCTTCCTGGGTGAGGCTCACAGGGCTGCAGCTGGAGCTGGGGGGTGGCGGGGGCAGCAGGCGCTGGCCCTGGTGGCTGCTCTCGCCTTAGAGTCACTCTCAGGGCCCCAATTCCTCCTGCCTGGCCGAGCCCCTTCCCAGCTGCTGCTGATGAGCCTGGGGGTCCCTGTACACACCCCTGGCAGAGCCATAGAAGCCAAACACGGTGTGGCAGGGAGACAGCCTCCGTCATGGTCAGCAAGCTGGTCTTAATGCTATGGATTTATTTTCATGACCTCCTGGCAGCATGTATGGGGAACTTGCTGTGTTAAGAAGGGAGTGGTAGCTGGGCGGTAACTTCCCCCTCTGTGTATCCTTCTCTGATGAGAGGCTGCCTCGGACCTGCCCCAGGGGGTTGAGGGAAAAGGACCCCTGGCAGGGTACACGAGACCTGCTCCAGAACCCGAGACGGGAAGCCCGGACTTTCCAGAACCCGAGACGGGAAGCCCAGGCTTTCCAGAACCCAAGACAGGAAGCCCAGGCTTTCCAGAGCCCTAGAGAGGAAGCCCAGGCTTTCCAGAACCCTAGAGAGGAAGCCCGGACTTTCCAGAACCCGAGACGGGAAGCCTGGACTTCCCAGAACCCGAGATGGGGAAGCCCGGACTTTCCAGAACCCTAGAGAGGAAGCCCAGGCTTTCCAGAACCCAAGACGGGAAGCCTGGACTTTCCAGAACCTGAGACGGGAAGCCCAGGCTTTCCAGAACCTGAGATGGGAAGCCCGGACTTTCCAGAACCCTAGAGAGGAAGCCCAGGCTTTCCAGAACCCGAGACGGGAAGCCCAGGCTTTCCAGAACCCGAGACGGGAAGCCCAGGCTTTCCAGAACCCGAGACGGGAAGCCTGGACTTTCCAGAACCCGAGACGGGAAGCCCAGGCTTTCCAGAACCCAAGACGGGAAGCCTGGACTTTCCAGAACCTGAGACGGGAAGCCCAGGCTTTCCAGAACCCAAGACGGGAAGCCTGGACTTTCCAGAACCTGAGATGGGAAGCCCAGGCTTTCCAGAACCCGAGATGGGAAGCCCGGACTTTCCAGAACCCTAGAGAGGAAGCCCAGGCTTTCCAGAACCCGAGACGGGGAAGCCCGGACTTTCCAGAACCCTAGAGAGGAAGCCCAGGCTTTCCAGAACCCTAGAGAGGAAGCCCGGACTTTCCAGAACCCGAGACAGGAAGCCCGGACTTTCCAGAACCTGAGACGGGAAGCCCGGACTTCCCCAGAACCCGAGACGGGGAAGCCCGGACTTTCCAGAACCCTAGAGAGGAAGCCCAGGCTTTCCAGAACCCAAGATGGGAAGCCCAGGCTTTCCAGAACCCGAGACGGGAAGCCTGGACTTTCCAGAACCCGAGACGGGAAGCCTGGACTTTCCAGAACCCGAGACGGGAAGCCCGGACTTTCCAGAACCCTAGAGAGGAAGCCCAGGCTTTCCAGAACCCGAGACGGGGAAGCCCGGACTTTCCAGAACCCTAGAGAGGAAGCCCAGGCTTTCCAGAACCCTAGAGAGGAAGCCCGGACTTTCCAGAACCCGAGACGGGAAGCCCGGACTTTCCAGAACCTGAGACGGGAAGCCCGGACTTCCCCAGAACCCGAGACGGGGAAGCCCGGACTTTCCAGAACCCTAGAGAGGAAGCCCAGGCTTTCCAGAACCCAAGATGGGAAGCCCAGGCTTTCCAGAACCCGAGACGGGAAGCCTGGACTTTCCAGAACCCGAGACGGGAAGCCCAGGCTTTCCAGGAGTATGTTGTTCCCCACATGAGGCTTCTCTTTAGTGCTGACCTTCCCTCCGTAGACGCAGACAGGCAGCTTTCCCAGAGGTACCATCTCGAAAGCGTGTTTGAATTGGAGCCTGCTTGCGGCGCACAAGCTGTGACCCTTCCCCTCCGGCCACCAGTGGCACCTGCCGGGGAGTGGGCGGCCCCATGGCGGGGGCACTGCACAGAAGGTGCCAGAAACCCATGGGATCTTCCTTGCCCGGCAGAGAACCTGTGGAGTACGTACGCGCACGCGGGGGCGTTTGTGGAGAAGAAAGGTGTGCCCTCGGTGCCCGTGGCAGAGGAGAGCCGTGCCAGCGCACTGCCCTACGTGCTCACCGACATCGCGGCCTCCTTCACCCTGCTGGTTGGCATCTACTTCCCTTCCGTGACCGGTGAGCCCGCTGCTCCAGGCTTCCCCTTCTCTTTCTTTCTCTCCCTCTCTTTTTTGAGGCAAGGTCTTGCTCTGTCACCCAGGCTGGAGGGCAGTGGTGTGATCACGGCTCACTGCAGCCTCAACTCCTAGACACAAATATTCCTCCCACCTGAGTCTCCCAAGCAGCTGGGACCCCAGGCACCCAGTACCACGCCCGGCTAATATCTGTATTTTTTGTAGAGGGGGGCAGCCGGGACCCCAGGCACACGGTACCACGCCCGGTTAATGTCTGTATTTTTTGTAGACGGGGGTCTCCCCACGTTGCTCAGGCTGGTCTCAAACTCCTGAGCTCAAGCCATCCTCAGCCTCCCAAAGTGCTGGGATTACAGACGTCTTGAGCCACCACGCCTGGCTTCCTTCTTTCTCTTCCTTTGTCTTTGTCCATTTCTCTGTCTCTGTCATTCTCTCCTCCGGCACTCTTTCTCTCTCCCCCTACCCTTTTCCCTCTCTCTCTGTCTGTCTCTCTCTCTCTCTCTGTCTCCCTCTTCTTCCCTCCCTCCCTCTCTCTCTCTCTGTCTGTCTGTCTGTCTCTCTCTCTGTCTCTCTCTCTGTAGTGTGTTCCTTCCTGCCCCTGCTTATCTTGCCTGTTTGGCTCAGGGGAAGTGGCTGAGGTCTCTGCCCTGCGTCCTGATGGATTTGTGAGAAGCCTGTCTGCTGCTCTCCCAGGCAGCCCTGTGTCAGGAGAAGCTGTTGTAGGGTTGCTGGGAACACCTGGCAGGCTGTTAGGAGACACCTAGGAGTGGCCTCAGTGTGAGCTCAGAGGCCGGGGACCTCGGCCCTCTGTGTCCTCCTCAAACAGTGGGCCTTGTTCCGGCGGTGGGTGGGGCCCTTGGTTGTTCCCCAGGGGGTGGGGCCAGGCCCCGTGCTCTTCGAGTCGCACACACACGCCCCCGGCTGTCTCCACTCGGCCTTCTTGTCGGGACGCCCCTGACAGGCGCTGGCTGCTTGTGCAGCCTGCAGCTGCCCTTCTGGTCCCTTCTGGTCCCTCCCACGTCTGCTCCCGGACTTCATCTCAGCACATCCGAAAGCCCTGGAGCCCAGGGTCAGCTGCAGGGCCTGGCCACAGCGCTGGCTTCTCGTGTTTCCCTTGCCTCCACTGAAGGTGGGCCCGTCTTGCTATGGAGGGGGTGATCTGCCGGGGGTCCTCTCCCTGTACCTCCGCTCCAGCCTCCCCCGTCCGTCTGAGTGCGCTCCGCGCCGTGGGTGGAGGGCGTGGGGGCAGAGCCTCTGCGTGGCTCCTGGTGTCTCCGCGCCGTGGGTGGAGGGCGTGGGGGCAGAGCCTCTGCGTGGCTCCTGGTGTCTCCGCGCCGCGGGTGGAGGGCGTGGGGGTAGAGCCTCTGCGTGGCTCCGGGTGTCTCTGAGCCGCGGGTGGAGGGCGTGGGGGCAGAGCCTCTGCGTGGCTCCGGGTGTCTCCGCGGCACTGGATTGTGGGCTCTGCTGCCTCCCAGGCCACCCCGAGCAATGGGTGCTTCAGGCTGCGCCTTGGATGGGACCGAGCCAGGCGTGAAGTGGCCCCCACCGACCCGGCTTCCCAGAGCTTTGTAGGAGCCGATTGTGTGGAAACATCCCCGGCCGTGGCTCCCTAGAGCAAGGTGGTGCCACAGCGGGAGGGGTCGCAGCGTCTGCTGGCCTGGCTGGCTGGGCTGAGTCGTTCTAGGATCTCATTCCCAAAGTCCTTAGGTCCTGGGGGCCTGTGAGCCATTGCTCAGCACCGTCTCTGGGCTGACCCTTGGCCATGGGATTAACACAGGCTCCAGAGAAGCCCTGGGTGTGGGGGGCGTGGGGGTCAGTGACGGGGTCGGTTCTCGTCCTCGGATCCAGGGGAGCAGTAGACGTGGGTGCTCATCCGCGTGCCTGGGCCCGCATCCCCTCAGCCGCAGTATTGCAGCGTGGGCTGGCGGAGCTTGGACTGCAGCCTCGGCTGCAGCTCACGCTCGGGGTCTCCCCAGAGACCGCCTTTCCAGCTTTCTGGGCAGGGGCTGCCATCACATGGCACTGACTCCTCAGATGGGTCTTTGCAGCATTTTCCATGTTCACAGGTATCATGGCGGGTTCAAACCGGTCCGGGGACCTCAAGGATGCACAGAAGTCCATCCCCACGGGGACCATCCTGGCCATAGTGACGACGTCTTTCATCTGTATCCTTGGAGGGGTGCAGGCGAGGGTTCCAGCCTCTGCCTGGGGGGAGGCCCCCATGCCCTCCCCGGCTCAGCATCATACCCTCGGCCACCAGCATGTGACTTCCCAGGTTAGGCTGTGCTCTCACCACGTCATCCTCCCTGGGAGACGGGGCAAGGGCTGCTGTCAGGACCCTGGCTTCTTCACCACTGTGTGATGCGATCGTAGAGAAAACAGAAGCAGTCACCCTGCCGCGTGTGGACAGTGATGCGCAGCGGTGTGTGGGGTGTGCCGCCGGCAGGCTGGGCCCGCGGGGCCTCTGGCTTCTCAATCCCAAGGCTGCCTCTTTCCAGCCGAGCATTGTCCCCTCAGCATGGTCCCCTGCCAATCCCTGGCGGTCAAGCACCAGGCCAGGTGTGTGTCCACCACCCCAGGGCCCCGTTCTGTGGCGCTGGACAGAGCCCCAGGAGGGTGCGCTGAGGACACGGGGGACAGGACGTGCCCGGGATGGGATGGGATGCAGAACGGTCCCCGCCCACCTGGATCCTGCGGCCCGCTGGCCAGTGCATCTCCCCACCCACCCCACCCCACCCCACCCCACCCCCCGTACCTGAGGACCCTGCACCCACGGACCTGCCTTTCCTTGACGAGGGCTGTGGATCTCTCCTGCATTGTGCTGTTTGGGGCCTGCATTGAAGGCGTGGTCTTACGAGATAAGTACGTTTCCACCTGCAGTTTTCGTGCAAAGCCTGTAGTCTTCAAGGGTTTTCCTGAGGATGAATTCGGCTTTGAAATTACATCGCCCTAGGACTTCATGTCCGCGTGCAGAGCTGAAGGCGTCCTGGTCCCAGGGTTGGGATCCCTTGGTCTGATGTGTCGTCTCTTCCGCTGGAGCCTAGGGCCTGGGGAACCGTTCAGAGCCAACTCCAAGCCCTGATGCGGCTGGGGGCGCAGGCCCTTCCTGGGGAGGCCACAGGGGTGTGGACGGGTGAGGCTTGGCCCTGGGAGATCCCTCAGCCCTGCTGGCAAGTGGAGAAGTAGTGGGGTCCCAGGCAGGTCATCACTGACCCTGCATCCTCATGGGGTGTGCGTGTCTGGCAGCCCCAAGGCCCCGGGGGTCCTGGGTGGTCCCTGACTGAAGCTGATGCCAGGCTGGGTCTTCCCTGCTCCCAAGAGCGACCCTGAGGTGAGCAGGACCCCCTCCCCCGCTGAAGACCCTCCAGAGCATTCTGGCCATGCTGGGCAGAGCCTGGTGGAGGTTTCAGCCAACGGGGACTGGAGGCCGGGCCTCAGCTTTCCAAGGAGTCGCCCCCACTGCACTGGGCCCCTCGCTCTGGGTGGGAGAAGACATTTTGTCTGACTCAGGCTCACTTCTGAAAGCCGCCCGCCCGCCTGCCCGCCTGCCTGCAGGTTCGGGGAGGCCCTGCAGGGGAACCTGGTCATCGGCATGCTGGCCTGGCCCTCCCCCTGGGTCATCGTCATCGGCTCCTTCTTCTCCACCTGCGGTGCCGGCCTGCAGAGCCTCACGGGGGCACCGCGCCTACTGCAGGCCATTGCCCGTGACGGCATCGTCCCCTTCCTGCAGGTGAGTCCCGCACCCTCGTCGGGGGGACCCTGGAAGGTCAGGGTCGGGGGCTCTCCTCCCCTGCGGGATCCTCACAGTGCCGTGTGTGGGACGCATGCCCGCGGCTTGGACCCCATGGTGGTCATTCTGCCCCTGGCCACTGCACAGAGCATGGGAGTGGTGGGAGGTGGGTGGTGGGCAGAGGCAATTCTAGCCCTCCTGCCTGCAGGTCCCTCCGAGCTCGGCCCCGGGTGTGTCAGGAGCGGCTGTGAGGGCCCACAGCCACGTGTCCAGAGGTGCCTGGTCTGTTGTCTGGTCAGAAGCCCTCTGCCTGCCTGCCACATCTTTCTCTGTGTGGCTGAGCTCTTCAGCCCGTGGGAGGTGGCGTCACCAGCCACCTGCAGCCAGTGTGTGTGGCTGCTCTGAGGATTGCACGGACGCCCGCATGGGTCCTGTCCGTGTGCTGTGCCCAGAGCTGCCGATTGTGGCTCCTCCTGCTACCTGGGCCCAGGGGCAGCTGTGGGAAGGTCGTGGATGGCAGAGCCATCCTTGCCCGTCGCTGGTCCCTCGGCAGGGTGCCGACCCGCAGGGCCTTTGTGTGGTTGCATCTTCAGTCCCAGCCGGGCCTAGGGCATGGTGTCCAGGAAGGGGACAGGCACACAGGCCCCGTGGGCCTCAGCTTCTGGGAGGTGAGGGTGGCCTGATGAGAAAGGTCACCACAGGGTCTGGGGAACCGCGAGTGCCCTGGAGACGCTGGTCCTGTGTTGTGTGGTCGGGGAAACTGAGGCGGGGGGGCAGGCTGGGGCCACACAGGTTGCAGGCAAGCCGGGCGTAGGCACAGCTCTGAAGCCTCCTGGGCTGCAGCCCTTTGTCAGGGCTTCTTCCCAGGCCAGCCGCGTGATGTCCCGGGGACCTACTGTGAAAGGCGTTTCTGCTGGTCTGTGTCTTTAAGATTCATCTGGGCTAGACCTGACCAGCCTGCAGCTTCTCTCCTAAAAGGGTGGTGTCATCTGCCCCATCTTCCTGCCCTTCTCCCTGCAGGTGTTTGGCCACGGGAAGGCCAACGGGGAGCCCACGTGGGCGCTGCTGCTGACAGTCCTCATCTGCGAGACTGGCATCCTCATCGCCTCTCTGGACAGCGTGGCCCCGATCCTCTCCATGTGAGCCCCCACAGGACGGGGACCTGGGGATGGGTGTATGGGCCTGGAGCGTGGGGCAGTGTGGATGGGAGGTCCTGCTCAGGACAAGCAGTAGACAGGCATGGCCAGCTGTGGGCAGTCAGGATCCTGCCGGGAAGGGAGTTGCGCCGGGGAAGACAAGTACACAGGCCTCCAGGCAGCCGCCCGCTGGGGTCAGCCAGGGACAGTGTGGCTGGACAGACGGCTGCTGGGGAAGGGACGATGGCCCATCTCTTGATGGACCAGGTGGTCACAGGATGGCTGGAACCTGAGGGGGCCTGATTCGGAATCAGTCTGAGTCAGCTCACGTGCAGAGACAGACATGGGGAGACAAGGCGCAGGTGGGAGGGACAGTGACAAGGGTGGTCTCCCAGGTGGCAGTGACTGGGGGCTCAGGGGGGCCCAGTGGGCCCGTATCAGTGGCCGGCCGTCCCTGCAGGTTCTTCCTCATGTGCTACCTGTTCGTGAACCTGGCCTGCGCCGTGCAGACCCTGCTACGTACCCCCAACTGGCGTCCACGCTTCAAGTTCTACCACTGGTGAGGCCACTCAGCACGGGCGTGAGGAGCCCCACAGGCTGGGACACTGGGTGCCTCTGCCACTGGTGAGGCCGCTCAGCACAGGCGTCAGGAGCCCCACAGGCTGGGACACTGGGTGCCTCTACAAGGCCAGCTGCTCTGGGCCTGAAGACCCCAGCGCGTCCTTGACTGTTCCTTTGCGGAGTAAGCCCCTGCGCAGCTGATGAGACTGCACCTGAGGAAGGCCTCTGGTTACGAGGATGCCCAGGTGTCTGCATGTGCCTTGTACCTCCCGTGGTCAGCCCAGCCTTCCCAGGCTTGGGGCGTAGCCCATCAGGGCTGTGGGTCTTCTTAACTCCCCTCCCCAGGAATCAGGCGCTGGGTGGACGCTTCAGCCCCTTGTTGCATGCACAGCCGAGGTGCTGTGTGCACGCTGGGAGCTGGAGCTATGTACTGGGTTTTGGAGTGACAGCTCCCACAGGGGCCCAGGGAGCCACGTCACCCCTCAGAGGTGGTTGAGTACAGCCATGGTCGTCAGGCGTCAGTGACTGTTTTCCTAGTGTTAACAGAGAGTTTTACTGAGGGAGGGGCAGTGTCCGTGTGGTGGTGGCTGAGGTGTGGGGGCTGCATGGCGTTGGGCCGCCCCGAGCCACTTGCCCCGCCCCCAGGACCCTGTCCTTTCTGGGTATGAGCCTGTGCCTGGCGCTGATGTTCATCTGCTCCTGGTACTACGCGCTGTCCGCCATGCTCATCGCTGGCTGCATCTACAAGTACATCGAGTACCGCGGGTAAGCGCTGTCAGCCCCCCTTACAGACCCGGCGCACGGGAGGGCGGGCCCCTCTCATGCTATGCCTGGGGCAGCTCCCTGGAGGGGCCTCCCTGGGGCTTGAGCGTCGTGTGCCCTCACAGGGGCAGCTGGGAGCACGTCCAGGTGGGCTGTGTTGTGAAAGCTGGGGTTTCCCTCCCACTTCCAGCCAGGCCGAGGTGCCTGCACTTGTGGACAGGGTCTCCAGCCTGGAGCTCTGTCTCGTGCCGTCCTCAGCAGGCGGTGAGCCCACGGCTGACTATTCCTGCTACGTGTCTCGCGAGGTGTCCCCAGGTTGTGTCTGTACTCACTCGGCAGCCACAGGCGTCCTTCCCCGTGCCCCAGCACCCACCCTCCCTCCACCTGCACCCGCCTCGTGCCCGGGGTCCAGCCACTTCCCTGTCATGGGCCTCCTGTCCCCCGTCCTGTGAGGAAGGCACCTCACGCATGCTGGACGTAGACCTCGTTCCCTCCACAGCCACAGCACCCTCTGACCCGGTGGCTCCTAGGACGGGCTCCCTTCAGGGCAAGGGTGGGCATGGAGGCCTCCCTCCTCATCCAGGGACTTTTCCTGGGGGTCCTGTTTGCCCCAACTCACCTGCCCCCAGAAGTCCCCTTTCCCAGGTGGGAGAGGAGCCTCCAGGTACGCGGCTGGACAAACCCCGACTTCCTTTCCCACAGGGCCGAGAAGGAGTGGGGCGATGGCATCCGTGGCCTATCCCTGAACGCCGCCCGCTACGCCCTGCTGCGCGTGGAGCACGGTCCCCCCCACACCAAGAACTGGAGGTGAGCACCGCCCATGCCCCGTGGTCCTCAGACGCACAGAAGAGCTGTTTCTGAGGTCGGCCTTTGAGTGGGGACCTTTGAGTCTCAGGGGCCTCTCACCTTCAGCCGCTCAGGCAAGGTCTGGGGTGTGAACACTGCCTGGTGCAGAGCGGATGGCGCAGCTGGGGGCCGGGGGTGTCCCTGCTGCAGGGTGGGGGTGTGGGGAGCCGGCCCCTCTGCCAGCACAGCCCTGGGCTTGGGGTGGGAGAGGGTGGCTCCTGCTGAAGCAAAGGCCATCTTTGGGAAGCCTCTGCCCCTCAGGGCCTCGGCGGGGGCCTCAGGTGTGTGCCCCGGGCCATTGTCCCCTCAGGGGCCTCGGCGGGGGCCTCGGGTGTGCCCCGGGCCATTGTCCCCTCAGGGCCTCGGTGGGGGCTTCAGGTGTGTGTCCTGGGCCATTGTCTCACCTGTCTAGCATGTCACCTGTCCCACCTGTCTAACCTACCTGTTCTCCTGTCCTGCCTGGCTAGTGCCCACCTGTCCATCGGCCCTGCCTGTCCCACCTGGCTTCTGTGGCCTGTCTCACCTGTCACCTGTTCAACTTACCCCACGTGTGTCACGTTTCCCCATCCCATCTGTCACCTGCCCCTTTTGTCCCCTGTCCCGCCTGTCATGTATCTCCCGTCCCACCTGTGTCGTGTGCCCCGCCCGTCCCATCTGCCCTGCCTGTTGATGGGCCGTGCCCTGGTAAGCGTTGCCGTGGTAACAGCCGCCCCACCCTGGCTGCAGGCCCCAGGTGCTGGTGATGCTGAACCTGGACGCGGAGCAGGCCGTGAAGCACCCCCGCCTGCTGTCCTTCACGTCGCAGCTGAAGGCCGGCAAGGGCCTGACCATCGTGGGCTCGGTGCTGGAGGGGACGTACCTGGACAAGCACATGGAGGCTCAGCGGGCCGAGGAGGTGGGCCGGGCGGGGTCTGGGGGCCAGGCCTCTTTCCCACCCCAGCTGCACAGGAAACGTGCCCTGGCATGTCCTCATCGCAGCGTGTCAACACGGTGCTGTGCGTGGCGCTGCTGTGTTTTAGCCGTGGCGGTGGCTTTGAGCTCAGAGCAGCGCGCTAAGGCCTGGGAGCACCAGCCGCACCCCGGGAAGCTTGGGAGGTGTGAGGGCCATTAGCTTTCCAAGGGCGAACCCTGGGACCGCCTCCTCCCGCCATGGGTGAGCCCCGTCCAGAGCCGTAATCATGGTTCTGCTGCAAGCTCAGTCTCCCGCTGTTCAGGCTCACTGGGGGCTGCATAAGTGTGATGCCCGTGTGCTGGGGGCTCACTGGGGGCTGCATAAGTGTGATGCCCGTGTGCTGGGGGCTCACTGGGGGCTGCATAAGTGTGATGCCCGTGTGCTGGGGGCTCACTGGGGGCTCACTGGGGGCTGCATAAGTGTGATGCCCGTGTGCTGGGGGCTCACTGGGGGCTGCATAAGTGTGATGCCCGTGTGCTGGGGGCTCACTGGGGGCTCACTGGGGGCTGCATAAGTGTGATGCCCGTGTGCTGGGGGCTCACTGGGGGCTGCATAAGTGTGATGCCCGTGTGCTGGGGGCTCACTGGGGGCTGCATAAGTGTGATGCCCGTGTGCTGGGGGCTCACTGGGGGCTCACTGGGGGCTGCATAAGTGTGATGCCCGTGTGCTGGGGGCTCACTGGGGGCTGCATAAGTGTGATGCCCGTGTGCTGGGGGCTCACTGGGGGCTCACTGGGGGCTGCATAAGTGTGATACCGTGTGCTGGGGGCTCACTGGGGGCTGCATAAGTGTGATGCCCGTGTGCTGGGGGCTCACTGGGGGCTCACTGGGGGCTGCATAAGTGTGATACCGTGTGCTGGGGGCTCACTGGGGGCTGCATAAGTGTGATGCCAGTGTGCTGGGGGCTCACTGGGGGCTCACTGGGGGCTGCATAAGTGTGATGCCCGTGTGCTGGGGGCTCACTGGGGGCTCACTGGGGGCTGCATAAGTGTGATGCCGTGTGCTGGGGGCTCACTGGGGCTGCATAAGTGTGATGCCCGTGTGCTGGGGGCTCACTGGGGGCTCACTGGGGGCTGCATAAGTGTGATGCCCGTGTGCTGGGGGCTCACTGGGGGCTCACTGGGGGCTGCATAAGTGTGATGCCCGTGTGCTGGGGGCTCACTGGGGGCTGCATAAGTGTGATGCCGTGTGCTGGGGGCTCACTGGGGGCTGCATAAGTGTGATGCCAGTGTGCTGGGGGCTCACTGGGGGCTCACTGGGGGCTGCATAAGTGTGATGCCCGTGTGCTGGGGGCTCACTGGGGCTGCATAAGTGTGATGCCCGTGTGCTGGGGGCTCACTGGGGGCTCACTGGGGGCTGCATAAGTGTGATGCCCGTGTGCTGGGGGCTCACTGGGGGCTGCATAAGTGTGATGCCGTGTGCTGGGGGCTCACTGGGGGCTCACTGGGGGCTGCATAAGTGTGATGCCCGTGTGCTGGGGGCTCACTGGGGGCTGCATAAGTGTGATGCCCGTGTGCTGGGGGCTCACTGGGGGCTCACTGGGGGCTGCATAAGTGTGATACCGTGTGCTGGGGGCTCACTGGGGCTGCATAAGTGTGATGCCCGTGTGCTGGGGGCTCACTGGGGGCTGCATAAGTGTGATGCCCGTGTGCTGGGGGCTCACTGGGGGCTGCATAAGTGTGATGCCCGTGTGCTGGGGGCTCACTGGGGGCTGCATAAGTGTGATGCCCGTGTGCTGGGGGCTCACTGGGGGCTGCATAAGTGTGATGCCGTGTGCTGGGGGCTCACTGGGGCTGCATAAGTGTGATGCCGTGTGCTGGGGGCTCACTGGGGGCTGCATAAGTGTGATGCCCGTGTGCTGGGGGCTCACTGGGGCTGCATAAGTGTGATGCCCGTGTGCTGGGGGCTCACTGGGGGCTGCATAAGTGTGATGCCCGTGTGCTGGGGGCTCACTGGGGGCTGCATAAGTGTGATGCCCGTGTGCTGGGGGCTCACTGGGGGCTGCATAAGTGTGATGCCGTGTGCTGGGGGCTCACTGGGGCTGCATAAGTGTGATGCCGTGTGCTGGGGGCTCACTGGGGGCTGCATAAGTGTGATGCCCGTGTGCTGGGGGCTCACTGGGGCTGCATAAGTGTGATGCCCGTGTGCTGGGGGCTCACTGGGGGCTGCATAAGTGTGATGCCGTGTGCTGGGGGCTCACTGGGGGCTGCATAAGTGTGATGCCGTGTGCTGGGGGCTCACTGGGGGCTGCATAAGTGTGATACCGTGTGCTGGGGGCTCACTGGGGGCTCACTGGGGGCTGCATAAGTGTGATACCGTGTGCTGGGGGCTCACTGGGGGCTGCATAAGTGTGATGCCGTGTGCTGGGGGCTCACTGGGGCTGCATAAGTGTGATGCCCGTGTGCTGGGGGCTCACTGGGGGCTGCATAAGTGTGATGCCGTGTGCTGGGGGCTCACTGGGGCTGCATAAGTGTGATGCCGTGTGCTGGGGGCTCACTGGGGCTGCATAAGTGTGATGCCCGTGTGCTGGGGGCTCACTGGGGCTGCATAAGTGTGATGCCCGTGTGCTGGGGGCTCACTGGGGGCTGCATAAGTGTGATACCCGTGTGCTGGGGGCTCACTGGGGGCTGCATAAGTGTGATACCCGTGTGCTGGGGGCTCACTGGGGGCTGCATAAGTGTGATGCCCGTGTGCTGGGGGCTCACTGGGGGCTGCATAAGTGTGATACCGTGTGCTGGGGGCTCACTGGGGGCTGCATAAGTGTGATGCCGTGTGCTGGGGGCTCACTGGGGGCTCACTGGGGGCTGCATAAGTGTGATGCCCGTGTGCTGGGGGCTCACTGGGGGCTGCATAAGTGTGATGCCGTGTGCTGGGGGCTCACTGGGGCTGCATAAGTGTGATGCCGTGTGCTGGGGGCTCACTGGGGCTGCATAAGTGTGATGCCCGTGTGCTGGGGGCTCACTGGGGGCTGCATAAGTGTGATGCCCGTGTGCTGGGGGCTCACTGGGGGCTGCATAAGTGTGATGCCGTGTGCTGGGGGCTCACTGGGGGCTCACTGGGGGCTGCATAAGTGTGATGCCCGTGTGCTGGGGGCTCACTGGGGCTGCATAAGTGTGATGCCCGTGTGCTGGGGGCTCACTGGGGCTGCATAAGTGTGATGCCCGTGTGCTGGGGGCTCACTGGGGCTGCATAAGTGTGATGCCGTGTGCTGGGGGCTCACTGGGGGCTGCATAAGTGTGATGCCCGTGTGCTGGGGGCTCACTGGGGCTGCATAAGTGTGATGCCGTGTGCTGGGGGCTCACTGGGGGCTGCATAAGTGTGATGCCCGTGTGCTGGGGGCTCACTGGGGGCTGCATAAGTGTGATGCCCGTGTGCTGGGGGCTCACTGGGGGCTCACTGGGGGCTGCATAAGTGTGATGCCCGTGTGCTGGGGGCTCACTGGGGGCTGCATAAGTGTGATGCCCGTGTGCTGGGGGCTCACTGGGGGCTGCATAAGTGTGATGCCCGTGTGCTGGGGGCTCACTGGGGGCTCACTGGGGGCTGCATAAGTGTGATGCCCGTGTGCTGGGGGCTCACTGGGGGCTGCGTTAAGTGTGATGCCGTGTGCTGCTGAATTTCTGCCCACTCAGAGCTTTGTGGGGAGGGACGGGTGAGTGCCCCGGGCGTGTAGCATGCTGGTGCCAGCTCTGAGCCCTGCTGCTGCAGTCGGCTGCCCCAGGACATCGGGGTCTGAGACTTTGTGTCTTCATTTCTCTGATTTTCAAACTTCTTATGGGAAGCTTCACACTATCCAGAAACGGAATGATGACACGATGAAAGCCTGTGGGGTCCCATCACGTCACGTCACGTCACGTCACCTGGAGTTACTTCTGTATTTCTTGCTAAAGCAGGGAGCTTTTGAGTGCCCACCTGCGTGATTTTCATGCCAAGGGCACCTCATTCCCAGGCAGGGCTGGCTGCCGTGGGCGCCTCGAGCCTCCTCCTTCCCCCTCATGTGTGTGGGAGTCTGTGGGGCCTATACCACGTGCCTGTTGCAGTGGTGTGTGTCCGAGGTCCCTCCCATGCGGGTGCCCCCTCTGTCCTTGCTGTGGGTTGGGAGCCAGCTCCCTGCTGCCAGGCCCCCACTGGGACCTTGTGGGTGTGTCCAGGCATCTGCAGCCGCCCCCCACCGCCTCCCCGGTCCGTTTCTCTGCACAACCACAGCCGCACTGAGGCCCGTCCAGGTCTGGGCCGGTCAGCCTAGGGGTGGGAACCCTGCTCAAGAGGGCTGTGGGCACGTGGATGGTAGCAGCCTCAGGTGGTGTGGCCTAGGGCCAGGATCCCATGGAGGTAAAAAATGGCCCCCGCCGCTCCCGCCACGTTGGCCACGTGGATGGCCACCTTCTCAGGCTGTTGCACAGGTTCGCCTTCCCAGGGAAGACAGGAGATGCTCTGGGCCTTCCCTTTCCCTGACGGCGGCGTCATGGCTCACCACGGGTTCAGGCGTTAGCTGCTATTGACTGTGAACCCGTGGATTTAGGTATCGTGGTTTTCGGGGGGATGTTCACGGTCCTGGTCCCCATATGTCCCTTTCCGTGTTCCTTATCCCATGCTGGAATGCTCTTAGGAGGAATCCCGGAGTTGGAACTGCCCTGCTGGCGTGGATTCTAAGAATCCTGGCACTGCCTGGCCTCCCTGGAGGTGTGTGAGGGCGCGTCTGTGCGCACGAGGGACAGGGCAGGGATTGCAGTGACTGGGGGATGACGGGACCCCCTGCCACGCTCTGCCACAGTCTTCACGGCCATGGGAAGAGCTGCGCTCACTTATACTCTCACGTTAACGGAGCTCACAGGCAGATCCTCTCCGTCCGACAGCCCTTCGGCTGGGGGGTCTGGGGCAGCCTCAGACAGGAGCCCGCTCTTGCGGACGGGAGGACGAGCGCACCCTGCCCCCGCTGCTCTCAGCGAGCCTTTGGCTGTGACTTAGCTGCATTGGTTGCGAGGGCTGGAGCCAGCCGCAGGCCCCGCCTTCCCTTGGCTGCCTTTGGGGCTGCACTGCCCTGGGGAGCCGTATTCTCCTCCATCGTGGCTATGTTAGTGTGAAATTAGAGAAATCTGGGCAAATCTTTTTTATTTATTTGTTTTTTAATTTTTATTTATTTTTTGAGACAGAGTCTCCCTCTGTTGCCCAGGCTGCAGTGCAGTGGCGCCGTCTCAGCTCACTGCAACCTCCACCTCCCGAGTTGAAGCAGTTCTCCTGCCTCAGCCTCCCAGTAGCTGGGATTACAGGTGCCCACCACCACGCCCGGCTCATTTTTGTATTTTTAGTAGAGACGGGGTTTCGCCACATTGGCCAGTCTGGTCTCGAACTCCTGAGCTCAAGTGATTCGTCTGCTTCGGCCTCCCAAAGTGCTGGGATTACAGGTGTGAGCCACGGCAGCCTGTCTGGGCAAGGCTGTAAAGCATGGACATTTCTCTAAGAAGCGTGCAGCTTCGTGACTCATGCAGTCGCCAGGGAGGCTCATGCGCGCCCTTGTGCTCTGTTCTGTGTGGCACTGATTGGCATAAAAGGGGTCCTAAGGCCCTGGTGTTCTTGCTCCCCGCTCGTAAAGTTGTCCTCCGGGTTGAGGTCTGTCTGCACGGAGGCCTCTGCGACTGCTGCGCCGGGCAGGTGCGGGGACTTGTGATAACAGGGTCCCCGACACGGTGCTGACTTGTGATAACAGGGTCCCCGACACGGTGCTGACTTGTGATAACAGGGTCCCCGACACGGTGCTGACTTGTGATAACAGGGTCTCCCCACACAGTGTTGAGTTCCTGCCAGGCCAGGGCAGTGCCGCGTCCTCCTGAAACCCTGCAGTCCTGCAAGGTGGTTTTCCCAACAGTGAGGCCAGAAGAGAGTTGAGATCCCCAGCTCCGACTCCTCGGAGCCAGCACGTGGGGGTGAGCACAGCAGCCAGTCATGTAGGAAGTGGCCCCGTGACGTGGCTCCAGCACTTGGAGGCCCTCAGGGCCCCTCCAGTGGCTGCATCCAAACTTGGCTGATCCTGAACAGCCGTTTCCCTGGGCTCCGTTCTCCGGCCAGATCGGGGCACAAGAACAGAGAACCTGAATTGCCCTGCAGAGGGGTCTCGTGGGGATGAGAAGCAGCCGCATAAAGGGGCTGCTGTGTGGCCTTTGCTGAAATAGCCACACTTCCTGCCTTCTTCCCACATGACGCCCGATGCGGGTGCTTCCCTGTGCCTTCCTGCCCAGAGACGGCTGTGTCCACCCCGCAGCGTCCGCCTCCAGCCGGTCTCTGCCTCTCTGGGGCCCCTGCCTCCGCTTGCTGGCTGGTGCCCCTTGGGGGTAACGTGTTCAGGCCTTTCCTGACCTAAACAAAAGTCTCAAAGAGGAGCATATCTGCTGGCCCTGCACCCTGTCCCGTCTTGCGCCCGGGCAGCTGGGCAGAAGGTGGAGGTGTCTGGAGAGCAGGGTAAGGACGAGGGGTGCCTGAGGAGGAGTGGGGCCGTGGGAGAACATTGGATGTTGTTTTGTGTGTGAAGGGCTGGTGGAGCTCTAGGTGTGAGCCAGGGTAGGGGGTGAGGATACCAGTCAGGCTGACGTAGGGGCTGCTGGAATCTCGGCAAAGGAGGCAGGTGGTGGCTCTGATCCCTGAGTGGCCCGGGGCTGCTGTGATGGGACACAGACCACACGGCTCACAGCAAAGGGCGTCTGTTCTCTCCTAGTTCTGGAGCCCAGGAGTCTGAGATGAAGGAGACCGCAGGCCACGCTGCCTCCAGAGTCTCCCGGGAGGATCCTCCTGCCTCCTCCAGCTCCTGGGCCCCCGGGCGACCCTGGGCGCCTGTGCCTCCACGCAGTCTCTTCCTCCCAGTCTGAGAGCTCTTCCTGCCTTCATCCTGTAAGGTCACTTGTCAGTGGCTTCAGGGCCCACCTCTGACCCAGGATGCTCTCTCAACATCATAACCTAATTACAGGGTTCTTCAATACATCCATAAAGACAGGTTTTCCAAATAAGGTTGCATTCTCAGGTTCCTGGGGCTGGGATGCGGGTATCCTCTTTTTTGGGGGCACTATTCAACCCACTGCAATTGAGCTCTCGGCCCTAAAATTCATATCTGCCACACATGTACAGTATGTTCACCCCATCTCAGTGTCTCCTGAAGTCTCAGGCCTGCACAGACCAGCTCTGAGTCCCAACTCTCATGTAAATCTCATTGCTCGGAGCTCCCAAATCTCATCCTCTAAGCATCCAAACCAGAAGCCAGTGAAATGTGGGGTCTGGTCCATCCTGGACAAAACTGCTGTGTCTGTAGATGTGCAAGTGAGGAGGTGGTTATCCCAGAACGCAGCAGGGGACAAGCCAGGAGAGGCATGTTTGCTCCAAAAGGGAGAATCAGGTGGGAAGGGGCCACTGGTACCACACAAGGCTGAGACCCAGCAGGGCAGGCCCTGGGGTTCCAGGGCCTGAAGGTCAGAGGGTGGGAGGCCTGCGTCCACACATGCATGGCTTTAGTGCGTGGCAGGTCCTCGGCCACGCACGTGCAAACCCCATGGAGTCAAGCCGTTCCGTGGTGCAGCCTCATCAGACACCCCTGGGAAGAGACTGCACACAGCAGTGACCCCCTCCAACCCCGGGAGGAGACCACACGGCAGTCCCCCACCCCCGCCCCCCGCCGTTGCTGTTAGGGTGCTGCATCCTGGACCCCACGGCCTCCCTTTGAAGAGCTGCTAATTTGGCCCATTTTCGGGTGTTTCTGATGCACCAGGTGGATGAACCTGGCCCAGAGCGTCCGAGTGAACTGGGGGTGGGTCTGGGATGTTGTGGATCGCCTCAGAGAACTGCCTGGCGTTGTGTCCCCAGAGCAGCCCTCCACATCCCCTGCACGTGGCATCAGTCACACCTGCTCTGTGTCTCTCTCCCCAGTGTGTGAGCACGCACATACACACATACACACACAGCGGCCGGGAGCACCGCAGCACACCGTTGAGCCTTCGGGCCTTCCCTCCTGCTGGGTCCACAGGGGAGGTGGTGCGGGTGCCCTGGCCACCGTGGGTGGTGGGCGTGGGTCTGTGCACCCCATTCCTGCTGTAGCACCAACCTGTCCTGTCTCCCGCAGAACATACGGTCCCTAATGAGCACAGAGAAGACCAAGGGCTTCTGCCAGCTGGTGGTCTCGTCCAGCCTGCGGGATGGCATGTCCCACCTGATCCAGTCGGCCGGCCTGGGCGGCCTGAAGCACAACACGGTGCTCATGGCCTGGCCCGCATCCTGGAAGCAGGAGGACAACCCCTTCTCCTGGAAGAACTTTGTGGGTAGGCATGGCTGGCGGCCCTTCGGCATCCCCTCACCGTCCCCTCTGTGTCCTCTCAGTGTCCCCTCGCTGTCCCCTGTGTGTCTCCTCAGTGTCCCCTCGCTGTCCTCTCACTGTCCCCTTTTCGTCCCCACTGTCCCCTTGGTGTCCCCTCTGCATCCCCTCGCCGTCCCCTCACTGTCCCCTGTGTGTCTCCTCAGTGTCCCCTTGCTGTCCCCTCACTGTCCCCCTCTGCCTCCCCTCGCTGTCCCCTCACTGTCCCGTGTCCCCTCAGTCTCCTCTGCATCCCTTTGCCATCCCCTCGCTGTCCCCTAACCGTCCCCTCACCATCTCTTCGCCGTCCCCTCACTGTCCCCTCACCATCTCCTCGCCGTCCCCTCGCGGTCCCCTCACCATCTCCTCGCCGTCCCCTCGCTGTCCCCTCGCCGTCTCCTCGCCGTCGCTTCGCCGTCCCCTCGCCGTTCCCTCACTGTCCCCTCGCCGTCTCCTCGCTGTCCCCTCACCGTCCCCTTGCTGTCCCTTCACCGTCTCCTCGCCGTCCCCTCGCTGTCCCTTCACCGTCTCCTCGCTGTCCCCTCACCGTCCCCTCACTGTCCCTTCACCGTCTCCTCGCTATCCCTTCACTGTCTCCTCGCCGTCCCCTCTGTCTCCTCGCTGTCCCCTCAACGTCCCCAGGCCTGTGCGCTGTCAGGTCCCGATGGGCCTTGAGGCCACCGACCCGAGGGTGTGTGCTCTGAGGCTGTCGAAGGCCCTGGCCCTGGGAGCGGCCATCTGAAAGTGTCCAGGCACTCCCTCCCCTTCTCCCAGAGCCCCGCAGGGGCTGGGGGATTCCCTGGACACATGACCAGCAGCTGAACTCTGCTGTGAGTCTCTGGCTGGTCCTTGGAGGAGCTGACGGAGTGAGGGTGGGGGCTTTGTGGGGACCCCCCTCGCCTCGCCGTGCCCGCCCCTGCACTGGCTGTGAGTCCCCGGGGAGGCCCCTTCCGCACCCTGGCCTCAGATGACCTGCGGACGGCCGCCTCTCTCCGCAGACACCGTCCGCGACACCACCGCCGCGCACCAGGCTCTGCTGGTGGCCAAGAACGTCGACTCGTTTCCGCAAAACCAGGAGCGCTTCGGCGGGGGCCACATCGACGTGTGGTGGATCGTGCACGACGGCGGCATGCTCATGCTGCTGCCCTTCCTGCTGCGCCAGCACAAGGTGGGGCGTGCGACGGGGACACGCCAGCCGGAGCACGGCCACCCCACGTGCTGCGGGCCGGGACGGGCTCCTCTGAGGCCCCACAGCCATGCCCTCCCTGTCTGCAGGTGTGGAGGAAGTGCCGGATGCGTATCTTCACCGTGGCCCAGGTGGACGACAACAGCATCCAGATGAAGAAGGACCTGCAGATGTTCTTGTACCACTTGCGCATCAGCGCCGAGGTGGAGGTGGTGGAGATGGTGAGTCCCGAGGGCTTGAGGGGAGGAGGCCGGGGGGAGGTGGGGAGGAGGTGGGGGGCGGCCCGGGAGGGCTGTGGGCCTCGTGAGGTGGGGGTGGAGGGGGAAGTGGAGATCGGGAGGGCTGTGGCCTCGTGAGGTGGGGGTGGAGGGGGAAGTGGAGATCGGGAGGGCTGTGGCCTCGTGAGGTGGGGGTGGAGGGGGAGATCAGGAGGTGGAGGTGGAGGTGGGGAGGAGAAGGTGGTGGCGATTGTGGCGGGGGCTGCCAGGCCTTGCGGGGTGGTCAAGGAGGCTTGGTTTTGGAATCGCCAGGACATCACAGAAAGCACAGAGCCCCGTGTGTTGCTTGTGGACACCTCGTGTAACACGGGTGTGGGTGTTGCCCTAGAGCCGGCATCAGCATCTCCGTGTCCTCCATGGTCCCGTGTCCTCCTCGGCCCGGGACCCCGTCCAGGACCTCACACCTCAGTGGTGTTGCCATGGTGGGTGCACCTCTGAGCACCTCCCGTTTTGGGTGCTCTCCCCAGATGGGCTCACCTTCCCACGGCTGGAAACCACACATCAGCAGTCGGGACCCGGGGAGAGGGGCACTGGTCAGTGAGGCCAGGCTGCAGCTGTCACGTGGGACAGACAGGCCCTCGGTCAGCTATAGGCAGGGCCTGGACAGAGACTCGTCCCGTCCTTCACGCCTGGAGAGGACGGGGTTGATGGGCGGAGGCCTGGCATTGGAGCGCTTGCCCCCGGCCCCCAAGCATGGAGCTCTGGATCCTGGGGATCTGGTGGGCCCCTTGTGCTGGATGGAACCATGCCTGCTCGCTACCAGCCCACCCGGATCCACGGCTGTGCCTTCCCCTCCGGTCCTGCTGGCGGTCCCGGGACTTTGTGGGTTCTGACCCCACTTGGATCACGCCGACAACACTGGTCTTGAAGTCAGAACCCGCAAAGTCCTGGTTTCTTCCGGCTCCCGTGACCCCAGCGCATGGTTTTGCAGGTCCTCAGGGGCCTGGACTCCTGGAGGTGGGTGCTGGGAAGACATAAAGCTGGATAGAGACTGTCACGCTGTCCCCCAGGAAGCCACCTGTGCCCCTGCAGCAGCCTGGGAGGTGCGGTCTCTCCAGCCCCGCAGCCCCCCAGTCCCCCAGTCCCTCAGTCCCCCAGCCCCCCAGCCCCCCAGCCCTGGGTATGGCAGAGGCCCCGAGCACCTGCTCCTGGTTTGTGTCGGGCTGTGAGTGAGGCCAGGCACGGCTTCGTGCCTCACCGACAACCTTCTGTGTTTCTGTGTCAGTTCCCGTGGAACTCAGTTGTCCTGTGGGGTTGTTCTTCCTCTTGCCCTGCAGGACCTTTCCTAGGCCGAGGGCTGCAGGCCTGCGTGACGCTGGATGGTTTTCTGCCCAGTTTTGTACACTGGGCTTAGTTTCCATGTGGCTGTGTCTTCGGGGACGATGGCTGGAGTTTGTCTTGTTTGGACGAGGCTTTGCGGGTTCAAGGTTGTAGGGGTTATTATTGGTGCTAATAGTCGTATGAATAACGTTATTTCCAAGTCATAAAACCGCTTAGTAAAATAGTAACAAAATGCTGCCTGGGAGAACCAGCCCTGCCAGGGGGCCAGGTGGGGCGGCCACTGGGGCCCAGAGGAAACAGGCAAAGTGAGCCCATGGCCCCAGCCGCACCCCCAGCCCCTCCGTGGTGCCAGAAGCAGCTCCCCAGCTCCTGAGCAGGGGTTGTTAGCTCTGAAGTCCGGGAACCTGGAGCTCCCAGCACCCCCCATGCTCCCAGCCATGTCTCTGGCAGGGCTGGGGCTGCCCACCCCTCCGTAGCCCTGGCCGCAGGGACAAGTGCCACCTGGCTGGAGAGGGGCGTCTGGGTCGCTGCCATTCAGTCTGGCATGCTGTTTATTTTTTTAAAAAAAGTTTTGAGACAGAGTCTCGCTCTGTCCCCAAGGCTGGAACCTCCACCTCCTGGGTTCAGGCAATTCTCCTGCCTCAGCCTCCTGAGTAGCTGGGACTACAGGTACACGTCACCATACCTGGCTAATTTTTTTTTTTTTCTTTGTATTTTTAGTAGCAATGGGGTTTCACCATGATGGCCAGGCTGGTCTCGAACTTCTGACCTCAGGTGATCCACCCGCCTCGGCCTCCCAAAGTGTTGGGATGACAGGTGTGAGCCACCGCACCTGATCTGGTGTGCTGTTTTAAATACTGGTGCTTAACAGGCACAGCTGCTCCCAACTCCCATGAGCCGGGTGCGGCGGGTGAGACACAGGGATCCCGCACGGCGGGTGCGGTGGGTGAGACGCAGGGGTCCCGCATGGCGGATGCGGCAGGTGCGGCGGGTGCGGCGGGTGAGACTCAGGGATCCCGCACGGCGGGTGCGGCGGGTGAGACTCAGGGATCCCGCACGGCGGGTGCGGTGGGTGAGACGCAGGGGTCCCGCATGGCGGATGCGGCAGGTACGGCGGGTGCGGCGGGTGAGACTCAGGGATCCCGCACGGCGGGTGCGGCGGGTGAGACTCAGGGATCCCGCACGGCGGGTGCGGCGGGTGAGACTCAGGGATCCTGCACGGCAGGTGCGGTGGGTGAGACGCAGGGGTTCCGCATGGCGGATGCGGCAGGTACGGCGGGTGCGGTGGGTGAGACGCAGGGATCCCGCACGGCGGGTGCGGTGGGTGAGACGCAGGGGTCCCGCACGGCGGGTGCGGCGGGTGAGACGCAGGGGTCCCGCACGGCGGGTGCGGTGGGTGAGACGCAGGGGTTCCGCATGGCGGATGCGGCAGGTGCGGCGGGTGCGGCGGGTGAGACTCAGGGATCCCGCACGGCGGGTGCGGCGGGTGAGACTCAGGGATCCTGCACGGCAGGTGCAGTGGGTGAGACGCAGCAGTCCCACACTGTGGATGTTCCGGGTGAGGCGCAGGGGTCCCGCACGGTGGGTGCAATGGGTGAGACCCAGGGTCCTGCATGGCGGGCGCTGAGGTTGTGCTGTGGCTTCTCCATGTGTTCTGGGTGGGTTTCCCATGGTGCCAAGCCCCCCTGAGCATAGACAATGACACCTGTGAGCGTGGATCATGCAGCCCCATGGGGCAGTGCCTCGCCCTGAGCCGTGTGTGCCAGGTTGGTTTGTGGCTGTGGCCTTGCCCTCACAGCTGCCCTTGTGCCCGGTCGGAGGGTCCCGGGGAGGGACATGAGCAGAGCGTGTGTGCGGCGTGACTGCCCATCGTGCGCTCACACCTTCCTGGCCACTGGGCGGGGGGCCTGAGAGCCAGAGGGGGCCTGTGGGGCCCGGGACGCGTGGCCTTTCCCACCGCTCAGGGCGGCTCGGTCTCTGGGTACCGGGCTGGTGTTGGAGCCATCCGTGGTTCTGTGCACACCGGGCTTACTACGTGCTTGGGAACTTTCTAGGTTGAAAACGACATATCTGCTTTCACCTACGAGAGGACACTAATGATGGAGCAGAGGTCGCAGATGCTGAAGCAGATGCAGCTGTCCAAGAACGAGCAGGAGCGAGAGGTACGTGGGGGCCGTGGCCACAGACACCAGGCTTTCTGAGAAGTATAGCCGACTTCGCCGAGTCTTTTCTGGGACCCTCCTGCAGCCCACGAGGGTCCTCCAGAGAGCATGCCTCAGGTACTGCGTCGCAGGCTCAGCCCCCAGCCTGCGTGGAGGTGGCAGAGGCCCTGCAGGAGCACAGGAGTGGCGTCAAAGCCAGAGCTCATCGGAGCCTGGGCGTGCGGGTGCCTGGTTAGAGGAACGGCAGCCTGCCAGATGCATGCTCATGTGCAGGAAGGGACGAGGGCCGAGACCTTTGAACTTAGCTTTTCTAACCGAGCAGCGTGCAGGCAGGAGACATGGGGACCCTCCCCAAGGGCAGTGCCCTCTGACAGGGTCAGCGGCTTCTGAGCCGGATGAGTGCCCACAGCTGCTTACGATGGCTGCTTTGTCTCACAGCCTGAAACCGTGGAGCCCCTCAGTGCCCTTCCCCGCAGCATGCACAGATTTCTGTCCTAAGACCAAGTGGGAGGGGAGAGTGAGTGTGCAGGGAGGGAGGGAAGCGAGCTGGAGGGGAGTTGCCAACCCCCCCACCCCCCACCCCCCGACACAGACCTGTGCAGCCTCCGTGCGTGGAAGCTGGCCGCCTGGCTGCAGCGGCTTTGGCTCCGTGGGTAACTGTAGGCTGCTGAGGACGTCTGGGTGTATCCACCTGAGTTATACTGGCCTGGGCCCCATGGCCACTGTGAGACCCCAAGGGCAGGTGTCTTTGTGGTCACTTCGCACTGGAGGACAGCACGGGGGTCACCTGGTAGCGGGATGCTCAGCTCTGTGAGGTCACGGCCTCATGGGGTCTTCGTGGGTCCCACCAGGCTGGTATCACACACGTGTGTCTGCAGACCAGGTGCAGGTGTTGGTTTTCTGAGACTGCAGTGACGGCGGAGGCAGGGGCAGGGGATTTGCCTGCCCTGGGGCCTTGGCCTCAGCAGGAACCTGCAGTACACGGGTCTGCGTGTGGGGCCATATGTGCTGACAGCCGGAATCACTAAGCAGCGACTGCTGCTCTCCCCCAACAGAGAAAGGCGTGTGGAGCTGCGGTCCTGTCCACTCCCAGACCCCGGGCAGGTCAGGGTGGGCACAGATGCAGGACACGGGGGGCCGCCCAGCTTGTCCGTGGACAGAGACCCCTTCCACGGGGGTCCGGGCAGCCGGGAGTGTCTGGGAGGACCCACATCCTCTGTTTTCTGTCCAGGCCAGGTCCCTGAGATCCGGCAGGGTCGCCCTGGCGTCACAAGGGTTCAGCCCGGGTCCAGCTAGGAACAAGAATCCACCCATGGCTTCATGGGAAGTTCAGTGTGGAGAGTCAGCAAATGCTGACCGAGGAGGGACCGGGAGCGGGAACAGCAAGCTCGAGCTCGAAGGGCCCCTCCTGGGCCAGGTGGGGGTTGGAGGTGTCACCGCTCTGCAGAAGGGTTTGGATGAGCTGCTGTGCAGACGCTGGGTGGACACCCTCTAGTGACTTACACGGTGGCCCTCGGGCCAGGTGGGCGGCGCTGGCTCTGCCGAGAGCGGGCAGCCCTTGGGCTCTGGTTTCACGTTCAAGGCCATGGGAAATTTAGGCTGGGCCGGGCGCCACAATGAGTAGAGGCCTGGGGCCCACTGTCTGTGTCCAGAGAGGGAGGCAGCCCCAGGCCCTCCCCCATCTGTGCCAATCTCTTCCCTTTCGGGAAGGACCGACATCCAAGTTAAACAGTTTTATCCAGGGAAGAAGAACCTGGTCCAGTGAAATCACTCTGGACCTTTGGCTTTTTAAAATCACCCCGGGGCTCACAAACTCCTGATGCCCCTGGGACGAGTGGCTCCCCGGGCTGCGTCACAAACTCAGGCGGGGCTCCAGCCACAGTGGGAGAGGTGGCCATTCCAGTGTGTGCATAAATACCACTTCCAAGGTGGCACCCGTGTCTGGGAGCTCCCATTGGCCTACCTGTCAGGCTGGCCACGACAGCATGGAGGGCGTGAAGGGTGCAGGGAGGAATGAGAACCCAGTGGAGGGTGTTTAACCACCAGGGGCTGCGCCATTGGTGCGATCTCGCGGTGAGGGCGCCACTTCCCCTTCGGCGCCTACAGCTAGGGGCGTGGACGGTGTTTTCATTTTCCTCGGATTGTCAGAAGTGACGCACAGGGGGCCGGCCCTGTCATTGGCCCCAGCGGTGCCCCACAGGGCCCCTGCCAGCCTGGCCGGCCCCCAAACGTCCCCTGGCTGGTCAGACACAGCCTGCTTCCCCGGGGACAGGGCCTGGATGCTGGTACGGCCCCACCTGCCCCAAGCCTCCCTGAGACGGGGACGCCTGCGTGCTGGTCGTGTGGGCGAGCAGGTGGTCTGGGGTGAACACGTGTGTGGAGCCCCGTCAGGTGAGGGGGAGACTCTGCCAGCACGTGTCACCTCCTGTCAGTACGGGGTCATGGGGCCTTTCCAGTTCAGGGCCAGGGCGGGAAGGTGAGGGGGTGAGCGTTTGGTCGGGAAGCCTGGGAGGAGGGAGGCAGTCACGGGGGCGGCGCAGGACCAGTGTGGGACGCCAGGCTGGGTCCCGGGTCAGGCACACAGGGCCCTTCAGGTTCTGTGAGCTGCCCTCACCTCCGGCCTGGCATCCCGGGTCGCTCTCGCCCAGAGGAGTTTTGAGACCGGCTGGTCTCACCAAGTCCCGGGCCCGCCAGGCCCAGCTGATCCACGACAGGAACACCGCGTCCCACACCGCGGCGGCAGCCAGGACCCAAGCGCCGCCTACGCCAGACAAGGTGCAGATGACCTGGACCAGGGAGAAGCTGATCGCTGAGAAGTACAGGAGCAGAGACACCAGCCTATCTGGTTTCAAAGACCTCTTCAGCATGAAGCCGTGAGTGTCCGTGCGTGTGGCCTGGGGGGAACAGATCCTGGCAGTGCTGGCCCGGCAGTGAGGACAGAGTCCCTTCCCTGACCACTGAAGAGCTTCGGGGCAACCCTGCAGGCCAGTGGGCCCGTTAGAGAACAGGGAGCCGCCTGAGTGGGCACTGAGGGGTCCTTTTGGTGCCAAGGCCGGGCCCTGAGTTCAGCCCTGTGGCCGGGCGCTGAGGGATCCTTCTAGTGCCAAGGCCGGGAGTCCTTGTAAGACCTGGGTGCCAAGTGCTGAGGGGTCCTTCTAGTGCCAAGCGCTGAGGGGTCCTTCTAGTGCCAAGCGCTGAGGGGTCCTTGTAGGACCTAGGGTGGGTCCTGATGTTAACCCCACAGCTGGGTGACGAGCAGTCCTCCTGGTACCTGGGCCAGCCCTGAAGTCAGCCCTGCGGCCAGGCCTGCTTTACTCAGGCAAGCCTCACTGCAGCAGGCAGATGGGTCTGTTCCATGGAGGCGAGGAGGCTTGTGCCGCTGGGCACAGAATTCCTGGCCTTCACCCTGTGGGTAGTTCAGGCTGCTGTCGGGCCTTAGGGCCTGCCCTACGCCAAGGCTCCCACCTGTGGCCTTGGGCTGCGAACACCAGGGCTGTACAGGGTCCTTGCGGGTGTGGGTTTGGTTCTGCAGACGCAGCCTCTGAGTTCCAGATGAGAGCGCAAGAGACACCTCTCACCCGGGGTCAGAGCCAGACCCTAAAGCCAGGTTCTCAGGAAGGGCTGGGGGCTCCTGGGCCCTGTGGGGTGGGATGAGGCGGCGTCCTCCTGGGCAGCCATGCGATCTGGAACAGCCTGGTGCTCTCTCCTGAAGTCAGTAACACACTCTTGTTTTTTTCTCCTGCATAGAGAATGGGGAAACCTGTAAGTCCACTCGCTACAACCAGGTCGCCTTCCGGGCCCGGTTGCCCTGCATGCCTGTGTGTGTGTGGCCTGCGTGTGTCTGTGCGCGTGTTCTAGGCCTGTGCCTGCCCCGTGCACGGTGGCTTGTGTGCGTCCGCGTACAGCCAGAGCTCACCCAGAGCTGCTGCGGCTCCCACGTCAGTTTCCTGTTGCCTTCGCTCCCCTCTGTTCACGGTGGCTCCAGCACACGCCTGAAGCCTCTTCCTAAGTGAGGCCCAGGAACTGAGACCTGGGAGGTGTCCGAGCCGCTCCGGAGTGGAGGGGAGGCGTGCGCCTCGCAGGGCCCGTCAGTGAGTCCATCCACGTCCTTCTGGGTCAGGCGCTAGCTGAGTCGCGTTCCCACCTGGAATGCCTTCCATGTTAAAGCTGTCCAGCCTCCAGGCGGAGAGGGGTGCAGATCAGTTCTCTGTGTGGTCGGACCCTCGGCAGGAGCTACCTGCGTCTGAGCTCCGGGGCAGGTGGGAGGGTGTACCCTGGACGGACCCCCAGGGTGCTCCCTGGGAGTCCTCGATGCCGTCTCTGTCCCCTGCCTGCCCCCGCCAGTAACCGCCTGGGCCATGTTTTCCTTGTGGGCAGGCAGTGCCTGGTGCCTGAGTGAGGAACGCCTTGGCTGAGTGGCCACACTTCCCTTCCCTTTTTATCTTTAACCCCGAAACCTGAATTAATCAGACTCAAGAAACTGTGCAGCTATGTGCGAGGCGTGCAGGGAATCCCTGTACTTCCTGCTCCGTTCTGTAAATCTGAAAGTGCCTTCAGAATAGCGTGTTAATTAAAGCCGAAGAACGACGTAGACCCAGGAGTAGGGTTTGACACACACATGCACAGGCACACACACTCGGGGACCCTCAGTGGCACCTGTGCCTCCTCCCAGCGCCGGGGCTTGCCTCCCCTTGGTCGGGGCGGGGGCAGGTCCCCACAGGCCTGTAGGGTCAGGAGAAGGTGGGCCAGAATGGACAACGCGTGGGCTTTGTATTCATGTGTGGCGTGCGTCTGGGATGGCATTGACTCTCTTGGCCCAGCAGTTTCTCGGGGTTGGGCTGGGAGAAGCCCTCCGAAGATCTGGAGGTCGGCCCTGACCTCTTCTGGGCAGTGCGGGCGTGAGATGTGCGTGGCTTACTGTGACGTCCCCGGGAGCACACTTAACGGATGTCTGTTTGTGTGCGTGCTCGCATGTACCTGTCAGCGCACCTGCCGGTGGACGTGTACCTGCCTGTGTGCACGTCCACGTACGTTAGTGTGCATGTCTGTGTGCACATACTATGCATGTCTTACATGTTAGTGTGTCTGCACGCATTTGCACATTGTGACTGCATGCCTGTTTGTACATGATAGTGTATGCACTTGTGTATTAGTGTGACTATGCCTGTGTGTGTACACATCAGTGTGTCTGCATGTATGTGTGTGTGCGTATACACATTAGTGTGCGTGTCTGTGCCTGTGTCTGCACTGGTCCTCCTTGCTGTGGCGGCCGGCATACTCCACCAGTAGCCAAGGGCCAGGTCTCCGCCTCACCCCAGCACTCACTGGCTGTGGACACGCTGCCCACTCCGACCCCCCTGTGCTCCTGGCCTGCTTTCACTTCCTGGAGCTGCTCTTTGTCCCCAAACACACTGGTAATTGTGGTCTATCCAGAAGTCGAATTCAAAGTTCCAAGTTCCTGGCACGAAAGCCCCTTGACTGTGCTGTGGACAGAGACCCCATCTGTAATTAGACCAGGCTGGAGAGAAGATAGAAGGTCTCTCCCTGTGTTCCTCCTGGAAATTGGTGGTTATGATCACGTTTATGTGGCTTAAGCGTCAAGCGGATCAAAGGGCGTGAGCCTGGATAGCGTCCGTGGGGCCTCTCCATGACCCTGCATGGGCGGCCTCTGTCTGTCCGCCGCCGCCCCTCTGCGTCCAGGGCGCTGGTGACCTCCCCCAGGGGGCCACAGTCACGACCGCACGGCTGCAGCTGGCCTGAGACCCGCTCCGACTTTCAAGTCCACACACGGGCCGGGTTTTTCCAACACAGAAACGCAAGTGCTCCCCTCCGCCCAGCGTTTCCCCAGGTGGCCTCCTGGAACGCCAGTTCTGCTGCAGTTTAGGGGCCTGCCTAGGAGGGGACCGTGGGGTAGAGGAGGGAGATAAGCTCTGTCCCGCAAGGGCCTGAGCACCTCACAGCATGATTCTGCAGTGTCCCCAAACCTACTTGGTTGGGGAGCCTCCTGTGGGGCTGTGGCCGGGCCCAGGCCGCCAGGGACGCTTTGAGACATGGACCGGCCACAGCAGCTTCAGAGAGCAGACAGGGAGGGTCGTGGAGCAGAGCTGCGTTGTGAGGACGGAAGGCGGGGGCTGGACGGCCACACGGTGGAAGTGCTTGTCCTTTAGCCCTTGGCCAGACAGGGGCAGGGTGGGCCGTAGGAGGGGACCCAGTAGTGGCCACTGAGGGCCTGTGCCTCCAGCTGAGTCCTCGGCATACCCTGTCCTTGTCAGGCCTGGGAGCTTCAGCAGCAACGGCTGCACAGGCCGGTGTGGGGGACTCTGGGCCTTTCCTTCCTGAGCTTCCGGCCCCTTGGACCCAGTTGTATCAGGACCCTCGGAGAGGAGGCCATGTGTGCCCAGCCTGACGGGTCTGTGTTTGGCAGTGTCTGACGTGGGGTTTAGGGGCGATGATGTAGATGTCAAGAGAAGCGTGTCAGCCTTGAAGGCGTCAGGCACATGGGCCACCCAGACGGCTTCCACTGTTCTGCCTGCTTTGCAGATGTAGATGTAGTTAGGAAAGCGCTTGCGGTTTGTGTTGTGTGACTGTAGCCCTTAGAAGCTTGGCAGCCTTAGTGGGCTGAGTTCTAGGTCCCTGGAGGCCAAAGCATCCCGCTGCTGAACGCCCGCCCTGGCTGCAGTCAGCGCCTTTCGCTCGGAGCCGCCACTTCTGCATCCTTCAGGGTCAGAGAATCCGCCTGATCCTGACTCACACAGCCCTTTCCAACACGTGTGAATGCAGCTCATCAGGGCTCAGCTCAGCCTCGTGTCCGGAGCGTGGGGTGCACCCGCCGCCCGCTGACCGTGCCCACCTCCCCTGCAGGGACCAGTCCAACGTCAGGCGGATGCACACGGCTGTGAAGCTCAATGGCGTCGTCCTCAACAAGTCCCAGGATGCGCAGCTGGTCCTGCTCAACATGCCAGGTCCTCCCAAAAACCGGCAGGGAGACGAGAACTGTATCCTTTCTTGCAGTGTGCCTGCTGAGCGTGCGGGCACCCCCTGGTGGCTTCTCGCTAAGACCTGGGTTTGTGGGTGCTGGGAGTGAGGCTGGCTTCCCGCCTCTCCTTCAGCCCCAGGCTCTGGGAGCTACGACCGGGATGCAGTGGGGCTCTGAGCCCAGTGGTGACCGGGCCAGAGTTGGGGCCAGCCCTGGCATTGGTGTGGGGGAGGGAGGGCCCGCCTACAGTACCAGCCCCACTGTCCCCAGGTGCTCAGGGCTGCCCTGGGGCTGGGAGGCTCCCTGTCATGCATCCCCACAGCAGCTGTGCATTCTGGGACCTCCGCTGGGGCTCAGCCCCACCCTGCGCCGACAACGGTGGGAGGTGAGGAGCCCAGCTCTCGGCTTTAAGGCCACAATTGGTCGCAGCTTTGGGAATTTGTGCTTTGGAAGGAGAACTCCGCAGTGCATCTGGGCGTATTGGCACAGACAGGGTGACGCCTGGCACATCCCTGCCAGGTTGGCACCAAGAACTGGGGCCAGTGAGGGCATGTCCTCCATGCGTCCTGATCGGAATCCGTGGCCCAGGTCCCCTGTAGGCTGGTGAGGACCCAGTCCCGTGGCTGGGGTTCCCTGTCGGGTGGGGTCAGCACCGTGGGCTGTGTCGCTGTCTCTGCTCGTCCTCCCTGTGGCCACGGTGCTCCCTCTCTTTCCCGAGCACTGGCCCCTCTCTCCCCTGCCCTGCTCCTCCCCGCCTGGGGGGTCTCTCTAATCCCCACCTCTCTTTTCACCTTGGCTCTGGGTTTCTCAAACCAAATCTTAGCTAACCAGGAGAGGATAAACCTCACTCCTATCACGATTTCAGCTACACACGCTCAGGTAAGATCAGCTGTGGCCTTAACTCTGTTGACCACAGACATGGAGTTTCTTGAAGTCCTGACCGAGGGGCTGAACAGAGTCCTCCTGGTCAGGGGTGGCGGCCGGGAGGTGATCACCATCTACTCCTAATGCCCAACAGCATCACGGCACTCTGGGACAGGCACGGAGGACGGCGTGGGCAGCCTGGGCCTGGGCTTGGCCCAGGGAAACAGACGGCAGACACACCTGTCCCCCAGTGATGCCGCCCAAGCTGCCCATGGGGCTTCCTACGGAAGTTTCTAGGCCCGTCACCTAGGGCTCTCCTGTTCAGCCTTAACAGGCTCAGCAAATCAGGGCGTGGCTGGACGATTTCCTTGCATCTGAGGGCAGACGCTGCTACCGGAGTGACCTGGACGTGGCCAGATCTTCTCGCAGGTCACAAGAAGCCAGTGAGCCCTTGCCTTGGTTTCTGGAAGTTCTTTTCCTTGGCTGGATTTACCCAGTGGTTAGGTTGCATTTCTACCCCATCCAGAACATTCTTGGAAGAGCACCCGGAGCTGAAGCTGTCCCTGATGATGAAGGTGAAACGTCAGCCCTGGCCATGGCTCCGCTCAGGGCCCCGGTCACCTCCGAGTCACTCTGTTCCTTGACTGTCTTTGTGTTTCTGTACCTCAAGGCACTGAAGCTGGAGGACTCTGTCCATGCCCGTGTCACCCTCGTGTGGGAGCCTCTGGGCTCGGCAGGTCCACATTTCATGAGCTGAGGCGTGGGCCAGGGCCATCTGGAAAGGGAACTCGGCTTTTCCAGAACGTGGTGGATCATCTGTCGGGTGTGTGGTGAACACGTTCAGTTCATCAGGGCCTACGCTCCGGGAAGGGGCCCCCAGCTGTGGCTCTGCCATGCCGGGCTGTGTTTGCAGCTGTCCGAGTCTCCATCCACCTTTAGAAAACCAGCCACTTCTTTTCATAAGCACTGACAGGGCCCAGCCCACAGCCACAGGTGCGATCAGTGCCTCACGCAGGCAAATGCACTGAAACCCAGGGGCACACGCGCGCAGAGTGAACAGTGAGTTCCCCCGACAGCCCACGACAGCCAGGACTGCCCTCCCCACCCCACCCCACCCCAGGAGCACGGCACACAGTTCAGCCTCTGAGCTGGCTCACACGTGCCATCCCCACCCCGGTGCTCCAGGGAAGGAGGACACGGACCCGACGTGGGAGGTCCTCAGGCAGCAGTGGCGCCTGGTGTCAGGTCTGTCTGGCTGAGTCCCGGGCGTCCCCTGCCATGGCCTGTGCCTTGCATGGAGGCGGCGGTGGCACTGAAGAGATAGCTTTCAAGGGCCCAACACTTTGCACTTCGGCTGGCTGTGAGTTTCTGCTTTGTAGGTTGTGGTCACATTTGCAGGCTGCGGGCAGTGGCACCGACTTGGGCCTCCCTTTCTATGTGGCATATTTATTTATTTAAACACCCCAGGGAGTTACGTGGTAACAAGGTTGTCCATAAAGAGGTTGCTTCTATATACTAGAGGCCCCAGATGGCCAGGCCTTGGGCTACGTCTGGCTTGCATGGTCTCCCAAGGGAATCAGCCCCATCAACAAAGTTCAAATCGGGGCAGAGGCTGCACTTGTGCCCCCAGATGTTTCTGAGGAGCCAGACTAGGGCTGGCATTGCTGTAGAGTGACGGCTGCTGCCCAGAGCGTGTCCCAGACATCACAGCGGGGCTCAGCAGTTCCCACAGCCTCTGCCTGCCTTGGCTAAGCATGAGTTAAGCAGCAAAACGCTCCTCCATGTCTGGATGGGGCCGGCAGGTCCTGTGTCCCCTGCACCTGGAGGAGAGCAGGCTAGAGGCACAGCGGCCACATGGTGCTGGCTCTGAACGTTGGTTGGTGGCTGGAAAACAGCCCTGCTTCTGAGGGCCGCTCAGTTCTGCACACGAAACCACCTCCTGAGGGCTCAGCTCTGCCCCCGCCCTGGGCTGCAGCCTCTGCACGCAAGCACCAGGCATCCTTTGTGTTGTCAACTCCGTGTAACCAGTAACTACAGCCATTTACAATTGACTCCGTTTCCTTTTGTAGGTTTCCCTGTCTGTCTGTGTTAGTAGAAAAATAAAATCCTATGAAATCTGAGTACGTTGAAGAATCTCTTGAGTCTCATTCAGCATGAAAGACAGCTGGAGAAAATGTACTGGCCGCCCCTTTTCTAGCAGGAGCGTCAGGGCTGACCAGCCACAGCCAACTCAGGTGGCTGAAGAGTGACCATATGAATTGGACGAGGGCTTCCAAATCATGTCATCGGCTTGGAAATGACCTTACCCCAAACTTCCTAGTGCTGTGTGTTGAAGTGACCCAATCTCTGTATTTCTGAGACAGTCTCTGTTGCCTAGGCTGGAATGCAGTGGCGTCACCTCAGCTCACTGCAACCTCCGCCTCCCAGGTTCAAGCTATTTTCCTGCCTCAGCCTCCCGAATAGCTGGGATCACAGGCGTGTACCACCACGCCCAGCTAATTTTTGTATTTTAGTAGAGATGGGGTTTCACCATGTTGGCCAGGCTGGTCTCGAACTGACCTCAAGTGATCTGCCTGCCTCAGCCTCCTAAAGTGCTGGGATTACAGGTATGAGCCACCATGCCCGGCCATTCGATTTATAATTTAATTTATATAAGGATGGAGGCACCAGAGAGTCCGCCATGAGTGGGGACAGCGTGTTCTAACTCGTGAGATGCCAACTCACACCTGTGATGGTCACAGCCAAAACCAGAGAATCGCGGGGAGGACGTGCGGAATCGGACCCCTCTTGCAGGGTTGTAGCTGCACGGGAAGGGCCTGTGGTTCCTGAAAGTGTGAGAGACAGAGCCGCCCCTTCCCCGGCAGGTCCACTCCTGGTGTGTGGCACAGCCTCAGGAACGGGTGCACGCAAGTTCACAGCAGCCAAAATGGATGCAGCCCGAGAACATGCTGAGTCCATGTGGGCCGTGCCTGCTGCAGGCCTCTCAGCTAGAACCAGGAGCCAAGCTTGGAAGCCTCACGCTCGGGAGGAAGCTAGACACAAAGGGTCTCACGCTGTGGGACTGCACTTAACACGAAATGCCAGAGTGGGCCAGGCACAGAGGCAGGGGGTGCACTGGCGGGTGCTGGGGGTGGGTCAAGGGGAATGGGGGGAGATGGGGGATGGGGGGAGGCTGCTTACAGGGTATGGATTTCTTTTTGGGTGAAAATGTTCCGAAATGGCTGTGGTGAAGCTTATGTGACTGAACATGCTGGAACACTGCCTCGTGCACGACGAAGGGCGAATTGTGTGTGTGAAGCTGCCGGGCACCGTGTCCAGTGGGCCTGACACATGGTGGACAGGAAGGGACACGGCACAGGAGGGTGGCGGGTCCTGCTCTGGCTCTCGGGTCACAGGAGAGTGACCGTGAGAGCAGCGTCGTCCTCGGACCCCCGAGGGGTGAGTGCTGGCTGCACCCAGGCATCCACACCCGGGACTCAGAGCACGGGAGCGGCCGGCTGGGGTGGGCCTACTGTCCTGAGGGCCAGATGCTCACAAATTCCAGCAGGGAGGTTTGGAGACCCACTGATGCCTACACATCTGGGACCAGGGCCCAGCCAGAAACCCCTAGGTGTCCCCTTCCCTGGGACCCCAAAAACCAGGCTGCTTCCTAGCCTTGGCCGGTGCTTCCCAAGGAGCAAGAACTCGGCTAGAGCAGTCACCCACTCATTCACACACTTAACTCGCCCATTCACACGCTAACTCGCCCACTCATTCACACACTAACTTGCCCACTCGTTCACACACTAACCCACTCATTCACAAACCCACCCACTCATTCACACACTAATCCACTCACACACTAACCCACTCATTCACACACTAACCCACTTGTTCACACACCCACTCAACTCACCCACCCATTCACACACTAACTTGCCCACTCATACACTAACTCACCCACTCATTCACACACTTACCCACTCATTCGCACACTCATTCACTAACCCACCCACTCGTTCACACACCCTCATTCACACACTAACGCCCACTCGTTCACACATTCACCAACTCATTCACACATTAACCCACTGACACACACTAGCCCATTCACTAACCCATTCACACACTAACCCACTCGTTCACACACCCATTCACAAACTCGCCCACTCGTTCACACACCCACTCATTCACACACTAACCCACCCACTCATTCACGCACTAACCCACTCATTCACACACCAACTCACCCACTCATTCACACACACCCGCTCATTCACAAACCCACTCGTTCACACACCCACTCACACTAAATCCCTCATTCACACACTAACCCACTCATTCACACACTCACCCACTCGTTCACACACCCATTCACACAACTCATCCACTCATTCACACACCCATTCACAAACTCGCCCATTCGTTCACACACCCCCTCATTCACACACCCTCATTCACACACTAACACACTCACACTAACCCATTCACACACTAACCCACTCGTTCACACACCCATTCACACACTCATCCACACAATAACCCACCCATTCATGCACTAACCCATTCACACACCAACTCACCCAGTCACACACTAACCCACTCATTCACATACTAACCCACTCGTTCACACACCCACTCACACACTAACTCCCTCACACACTAACCCACTCACTCATTCACACAATAACCCACCCACTCATTCACACACTAACCCACTCATTCACACACCAACTCACCCATTCACACACTAACACACACTAACCCACTCGTTCACACACCCACAAACTCCATTCACACACTAACCCACTCATTCACACACCTATTCACAAACTCACCCACTCGTTCACACATCCACTCACACACTGACCCATTCACACACTAACCCATTCACACACTAACTCGCCTACTCGTTCACACACTAACCCACTTATTCACACTAACTCATTCACACATTGACCCACCCACTCATTCACACATTCACACACTAACCCGACACACACCCACATTCACACACGAACTCACCCATTCACACACTAACCCACTCGTTCACACAACCATTCACACACACACTCGTTCGACCATTCACACACTAACCCATTCACACACTAACTTGCCCATTCACACACTCACCCATTCACACATTCATACACTAACCCACCCACTCATTCACACACTAACCCACCGACTCATTCACACACTAACCCACTCATTCACACACTAACTCATCCATTCACACACTAACCCACCCACTCATTCACACACTAACCCATTCATTCACACACTAACTCACCGACTCATTCACACACTAACTCACCCACTCGTTCACGCACTAACTTACCTACTCATTCACACACTCATTCACACACTAAACCGACTCATTCATACACTAACCCATTCACAAACTCACCCATTCATTTGCACACTAACCCACTCATTCACACACTAACCCACTCATTCACACACTAACCCACTCATTCACACACTAACCCACTCATTCACACACCCACTCATTTACACACTAACCCACTTGTTCACACACCCGCTCATTCACACACTAACTCACCCATTCACACACTAACTCTCCCATTCATTCACACAAACACCCACTCATTCACACACCCACTCATTTACACACTAACCCACTCGTTCACATACCCGCTCATTCACACACTAACCCACTCATTCACACACTAACTCGCCCATTCATTCACACTAACTCACCCATTCACACACGAACTCATTCACACACTAACCCACCGACTCATTCACACACTAACCAACTCACACACTAACTCACCCATTCATTCACAAACTAACCCACCCATTCACACGCTAACTCACCCATTCATTCACATAGTAACTCACCCACTCCTTCACACACCCACTCATTCACACACTAACCCATTCACACACTAACTCGCCCACTCGTTCACAAAGTAACTCACCCACTCATTCACACATTAACTCATTCACACACTAACCCACCCACTCATTCACACACTAACTCATTCACACACTAACCCACCGGCTCATTCACAAACCCACTCATTCACACACTAACCCACTCATTCACACACTCACCCACTCATTCACACACTCACCCAGTTGTTCACACACACTCATTCACAAACTCACCCACTCATTGACACACTAACTCACCCACTCATTCACACACTAACCCACCCACTCACACACATTCATACACTAACCCACTGACTCATTCACACACTAACCCATTCATTCACACACTAACCCACTCGTTCACACACCCATACACACACTAACCCACTCACACACCCATTCACACACTAACCCACTCATTCACACACTAACTCGCCCACTCGTTCACACACCCACACACTAAATCCCTCATTCACACGCTAACTCACCCACTCATTCACACACTAACCCACTCGTTCACACACCCACTCATTCACACAATAACATCCACTCATTCACACACCCACTCATTCACACACTAACTCGCCCACTCATTCACAAACTCGCCCACTCGTTCACACTAACCCCCTCATTCACACACCCTCACACACTCTCACACACTAACCCACTCATTCACACACTAACCCACTCGTTCACACACCCATTCACACTCATCCACACAATAACCCACCCATTCATGCACTAACCCACTCATTCACACACCAACTCACCCACTCAGTCATGCACTAACTCACCCACTCATTCACATACTAACCCACTCGTTCACAAACCCACTCACACACTAACTCCCTCATTCACACACTAACCCACTCATTCACACACTAACTCACCCACTCGTTCACACACCAAAACACTGACCCATTCACACACTAACTCGCCCACTCATTCACACAAACTCACCCACTCGTTCACACACTAACTCACCCACTCATTCACACTAACTCATTCACACATTGACCCACCCACTCATTCATACATTCACACACTAACCCGACTCATTCACACACTTACCCACTCATTCACACACGAACTCACCCATTCATTCACACACTAACCCACTCGTTCACACACCCATTCACAGTCGTTCAGCCACTCATTCACACACTAACTCACCCATTCACACACTAACTCGCCCACTCGTTCACACACTAACTCACCCATTCACACACTCATTCATACACTAACCCACCCAGTCATTCACACACTAACCCGACTCATTCACACACTAACCCACTCATTCACACACTAACTCATCCATTCACACACTAACCCACCCATTCACACACTAACCCACCCACTCACACACTAACCCATTCATTCACACACTAACTCACCCACTCGTTCACACACCCACTCATTCACAAACTCACCTATTCATTAACACACTAACTCGCCCACTCACACACTAACTTGCCCACACGTTCACACACTAACTCACCCACTCATTCACACACTAACTCATTCACACTCATTCACACACTAACCCGACTCATTCACACACTAACCCACTCATTCACACACACACCCATTCATTCACACTAACTCACCCACTCATTCACACACTAACCCACTCGTTCACACACCCACTCATTTACACACCAACTCACCCACTCGTTCACACACCCTCTCATTCACACACTAACTCACCTACTCATTCACACACTAACCCATTCATTCACACACTCACCCACTCATTCACACACTAACTCACCCACTCGTTCACAACCCATTCACACACTAACCCACCCATTCATGCACTAACCCACTCTTTCACACACCAACTCACCCACTCGTTCACACACCCACTCATTTACACACTAACCCACTCGTTCACACACCCTCTCATTCACACACTAACTCACCCACTCATTCACACACTAACTCACCCATTCACACACGAACTCACTCATTCACACACTAACCCACCCATTCACACACTAACCCACTGACTCATTCACACACTAACCCACTCACACACTAACTCACCCATTCATTTACACACTAACCCACCCATTCATTCACAGTAACTCACCCACTCGTTCACACACCCACTCATTCACACACTAACCCACTCATTCACACACTAACTCACCCACTTGTTCACACACATTCAAACTCGCCCACTCATTGACACACTAACTCGCCCACTCTTTCACACTAACCCACTCACACACTAACCCACCCACTCATTCATTCATACACTAACCCACTGACTCACTCACACTAACCCATTCACACACTAACCCATTCATTCACACACTAACTCACCCACTCGTTCACACACCCACTCATTCACACACTAGCCCACTCATTCACACACCCATTCACACACTAACTCACCCACTCATTCACACACTAACTCCCCCACTCATTCACAAACTCGCCCACTCGTTCACACACTAACTCACCCACTCATTCACACACTAACCCATTCATTCACACAGTCACCCACTCATTCACACACTAACTCACCCACTCGTTCACAACCCATTCACACACTAACCCACCCATTCATGCACTAACCCACTCTTTCACACACCAACTCACCCACTCATTCACACACCCACTCATTCACACACTAACTCACCCACTCGTTCACACACCCATTCACAAAATCCCTCATTCACACACTAACCCATTCACACACTAACTCAGCCACTCGTTCACACACCCATTCACACACTAACTCATCGACTCATTCACATGCCCACTCATTCACACAGTAACTCACCCACTCATTCACAAACTTGCCCACTGCTTCACACACTAACTCGCCCACTCACACACTAACTTGCCCACTCGTTCACAAACTCACCCATTCATTCATACACTAACCCACCCACTTATTCACACACTAACTCATTCACACAACCCAACTTATTCACACACTAACCCACTCATTCACACACTAACCCACCCACTCATTCACAAACTAACCCATTCATTCACAAACTCACCCACTCGTTCACACACCCACTCATTCACACACCTACTCATTCACACACTAACTCGCCCACTCATTCATACAGTAACTCGCCCACTCATTCACACTAACTCGCCCACTCGTTCACACACTAACTTGCCCACTCGTTCACACACTAACTTGCCCACTCGTTCACAAACTCACCCATTCACACACTCACTCATTCATACACTAACCCACCCACTTATTCACACACTCATTCACACAACCCAACTTATTCACACACTAACCCACTCATTCACACACTAACCCACCCATTCACAAACCCATTCATTCACAAACTCACCCACTCATTCACACACCCACACACTCACCTACTCATTCACACACTAACTCGCCCACTCATTCACACACTAACTTGCCCACTCTTTCACTAACCCACTCATTCACACACTCATTCACACACTAACCCGTTCATACACTCACCTATTCATTCACACACTAACCTGCCCACTCATTCACAAACTCATTTACACACCCACTCATTCACACTAACCCACTCATTCACACACTACCTCACCCATTCACACTAACCCACTCGTTCACACACCCATTCACACTCACCCACTCATTTGCACACTAACTCACCCACTCATTCACACTAACCCACTCGTTCACACACTAACTCATCCACTCATTCACACATTCACCCACTAACTCGCCCACTCGTTCACAAACTCACCCACTCATTCACAAACCCCTCATTCACACACCCACTCATTCACACACGAACTCACCCATTCATTCACACACCCACTCGTTCACACACCCACTCATTCACACACTTAACTCACCCACTTGTTCACACATCCACTCCTTCACACACTAACCCACTCATTCACATACTAACTCGCCCACTCGTTCACACACTAACTCACCCATTCATGCACTCACTCACACACTAACCCACCCATTCACTAACTCACTCATTCACACACTAACCCACCCACTCATTCACACACTAATCTACCCATTCATTCACACACTAACCCACCCACTCATTCACACACTAACCCATTCACACACGATCTCACCCATTCATTCACAAACTCACCCACTCGTTCACAGCCACTCATTCACACACTAACTCACCCACTCATTCACACACGCACTCATTCACACCCACTCATTGACACACTAACTCGCCCACTCGTTCACACACTAACCCCTTCACACACACACTAACCCACCCATTCACTCACTCATTCACACACTAACCCACTGATTCATTCACACACTAACTCATTCACACACTAACTCACCCATTCACACACTAACCCACTCACACCCTAACACCCACTCGCTCACACACCCAGTCATTTACACACTAAGTCACCCACTCGTTCACACACATTCACACACGAATTCACCCATTCACACACTAACTCGCCCACTGATTCACAAACTCACCCACTCGTTCACACACTAGCCCACTCGTTCACACACTAACCCACTCATTCACACACCCATTCACACACTAACCCCCTCACACACTAACCCATTCACACGCTAACTCACCCACTCGTTCACACACCCACTCATTCACACTAACCCACCCACTCATTCACGCACTAACCCATTCACAAACTCATTCACACAATAACCCGACTCATTCATGCACTAACCCACTCATTCACACACCACCCATTCACACACCCACTCATTCACACACTAACCCACTCATTCACACATCCACACACTCCCTCTTTCACAAACTCACCCATTCACACACTAACCCATTCGTTCACACACCCATTCACAAACCCAGTCGTTCATACACCCATTCACACACTAACTCCCTCATTCACAAACTCCCTCATTCACACACTAACCCACTCGTTCACCCATTCACATACTAACCCACTCCTTCACACACCCATTCACTCATTCACACCCACTCGTTCACACACCCATTCACACAAACCCATTTGTTCACACACCCATTCACACACTGACCCACTCGTTCACACACCCACTCATTCACACACTAACCCACTCATTCACACACTAACCCACTCACTCACTGGTTCCCTCACTCACCAACTCGTTCACCCAGTCATCTGCATACTAATTCACTTACCTGCTCATCCACCCGTTCCCTGACTCACCCATTCACCCACTCATCATTCACTCACTCCTTAAGCACCCATTCATTCACAGCTCACCCACTGTCACCCACCCATTCATTCGCCTACTCATGTACTCATTTACCCCTCAGCCCTCACTCATCACTGTCACTCACTCATTGTTCATTCACCCGTTCACTCATTCACACACTCATTTACACACTAACCCACTCACTGTCATGCATTCATTCGCCTACTCATGTACTCATTTACCCCTCAGCCCTCACTCACCACTGTCATTCACTCACTCAGTCACCGTTCCATTCATTTATTCACCCGTTCACTCATTCATTCCCTAATTCACCCACTCATCCTTCACCCATTCACTCACTAATTTACACCAAGTCACTCCCACTCATTCAGATACAGGCTGGTCCAGCGACAAGATCATCTGGTAGTCAAAGTCTACACTCACACAAGAAAGAACAAGGCTCTTGGTTTCTGTGACCCAGGCCTCTGTCTGTGTGTCACCTTTGTCACCCGGTCTCCTGCAGTGAAGCCTTTCTGGTGCCAGCATGGTGGGAAGACTGGGCCAAACGGCAGGTAGAGCTGCCCCAGGAGCAGGCTGTGTGCCGGGAGTCCTCCGAGGAGCCTCTGCCTCCATCTTGCCTGCAGCACAGCACGGCCTTCCTTTTGGTGGCACCCATGTCCCCCGACAGGTGTGGCCCGGGAGCCAGAGAGGGACCTGATGCCATCCTGTGCTGTGTCCCTTCCCATCCACCATGTGCCAGGCCTGCTGGACATGGTACCCAACAGCTTCACACACACAATTCGCCCTTGGCCCCAGGCCAAGCTGCTGCAGCGTAACTGACAAGACACACTGATCTTTACATGTGGGTGTTTAATGAACGAGACCATTCAGCACTGGCTCACTTTTTGTGCATATGTGTTTTTTGTAGGGTTTTTGACGGGGGGGAGGTTCCTGTGTTAGTCTGTTTGGCATTGCTATAAAAGAATACCTGGCACTGGGGTATTTATAAAGAAAAGAGGTTTATGTGGCTCCCCGTTCTGCAGGCTGTACAAGCATGGTGCCCGCATCTGCTCAGCTTCTGGGGAGACCTCAGGAAGCTTCCACTCAACACAGGAGGCAAAGGAGGGGCAGGCATGTCACATGGTCAGAGCAAGAGAGAGAGGGGGAGGTGCCAGTTCCTTTAAACCAGCAGTCCCCAACCTTTTTGCCACCAGGGACTGGTTTTGTGGAAGACAAGTTTTCCACGGACGGGGTGTGGGGATGGTTTCAGAATGAAACTTCCACTTCCGATCATCAGGCATTAGATTCTCATAAGGAACACACAACCTAGATCCCTCGTATGCGCAGTTCACAACAGGGTTCGAGCACCCATCAGGATCTAATCCCGCCTCTGATCTAACAGGAGGCGGGGCTCAGGCACTCATGCTCACTCACCACCGCCCACCCCATGCTGTGAGGCCCGTTCCTAACAGGCCACAAACCAGTAGCAGTCCACAGCCTGGGGGTTGTGGCCCTTGCTCTAAAGAACCAGATCTCCCACAAACACCGAATGAGAGCTCACTCATCACCACGGCAAGGGCGCCAAGCCATATTCACCAGGGATCTGTCCTCATGACTCAAACCCCTCCCACAGACCCCACCCAGCACTGCGGATCACGTCTCAGCATGAGACTTGGAGGCAACAAACATCCAAGCCATTCACCAGGGATCTTCCGCCATGGCTCAAACCCCTCCCACAGACCCCACCCAGCACCACGGATCACGTCTCAGCATGAGACTCGGAGGCGACAAACATCCAAGCCATTCACCAGGGATCTTCCGCCATGGCTCAAACCCCTCCCACAGACCCCACCCAGCACCACGGATCACGTCTCAGCATGAGACTCGGAGGCGACAAACATCCAAGCCATTCACCAGGGATCTTCCGCCATGGCTCAAACCCCTCCCACAGACCCCACCCAGCACCGCTTTATCCTTAAAAACAAAACAAGGAATGTAAATGCAAAACTGCCGCGCGGCCTCGCCAGATTCCGGAAAACACCCGCATGTTCCTGTTCAGGGTAAACACGTGGACCCCTGCAGGCTCCAAGACTCAGAAACATTGGCACGGGCCCCCTGGGTCCCGGAAAGCACCCCCACGGTTCCTGTTCCGGGTAACCACATGGACCCCTGCAGGCTGCAAGACTCCGAAACGTCACTGGGACGTCCTTCTGGCCTGCAACCGTCTCCTGACCCTTGCAGGACACACCTTTCTCCAAAGCTGACATGTCACAGAAGTCGCCCCGTGAGTGTTGGGACCGTGAATGTGCAAGTCCCCGTGTTCTGAGCCGCACCCAGCGCGAGCCTCTCCCTCTCCCCAGCATCTGTTGCCCTGCCCCTCCCCGCCTTGACTGTGTCCTGCATGCACCTGAGCTGCTGTGGCTCCGGGACCAGGGGCTACCTCCACTGCCGCATGCTGCCCTGTGGCCCCTCCTCACTGGTGTGGGCTCCCCCTGTGCCCTGTGGCCCCTCCTCACTGGTCTGCACTCCCTACTCTGGCACTTCTCTTTCTAGCACTGCTGCCTTCTGCTGCTTGGCCTCCTGCGGGGAGCCGCGGATGCTCCCTGCTAAGCACAAGCTGCTTCCCCCCACCGGCCCTGTCCCCTCTCACTTCATGATGCACAAGCCAGGCAAAGCCTCAGCTTTTCCATTCGCTCCCGGCCTCGCACTGGGACAGCCTACAGCAGTCACCCCTTGAAGCCCCGGGAGGAACACCCACCCCAAGCATCCGGGCACTCCTTGCGCACTCCAGGGCCTCATTTTGGAATCAAAGCAGGTTTTATGGGTTACACAGACGAGCCTTAGAGCCAGGAAACATAGTGGCTTCAGATGTGTTCACCGCCATGTGGCATCGAGGGCAGAAGAGCAGAGGGCGCCTGGGCCTTGTCCACGTGTCCAAGGTGCACCACCTCCATCATGCCAGCACCTGCAGTCAGTTGCTGTTTGCTGTCGGAGGTGGGGGGTGGGGGCTGGGCTCCCCATGGGCACACAGCCGGCAGCTGCTCTGCTCCCTGCCCTGAGGTCGCGGGCTGTGGTGTGCTGGGAGCGAGGTGTGCTTGGCAGTGGCGCTAGGACGGGTGGAAGTGGTGGTGGTGGTGGTGGTGGTGGTGCTCGTGGTGGTGGTGGTGCTCGTGCCGCTGGATCACTGGCACCGCGTAGCCCTCTCCTGCTGGCGTGGGCGGCAGGTCCCGCACCACCTCGTGCTCCACTGTGGCAGGCTGAGCGTGTGGGGCCTTGAGTGGCGAGTGGCCCTCCCTGCCCTTTTGGCGGTACCGCTTGTGGCCGTAGGGTGGCGGTGGGGGCTGCGGGAGGTGGTGGCCGTCCTGAGGGGCCTGGGGCGGCAGGACGGCCGGCAGGTAGTAGCTGAAGGCTTTCCCGGACTTGCTGCTGGCTGGCACCCCAGGCGGCTTCCCGGAGCCCTTGGGGGACTTGAGGAACTGCTTCTCCGGCCCCTTCGGCCGGGGCTGCGTGTCCAGGGCCCGGGCAGCAGGCTCCGAGGCTGGCACGACGTGTTCCACCAGCACCTGTGACCTGCGGTGGTGTACGGCATGTGTATCTGGCTCCTGGGAGCGGGACCGGGCCTGGAGGTGCGAGGCCCTGCCCTGGGGCTCCTGCTTTGCTTGCACAGGAGGGGACCCTGCGGACACAGGTCAGAGTGTGAGGCCCTGGGAGTGCAGGCTCAGGTTCCCATCTCCTCAGAAACGGCCCAGGGCCCACTGGAAGAGCTGCGCCAGGGGTCCCACCTGAGGCCAGTCTGTTAGCCAAGTCTGCAGTCAGACGGCCACCAGCCCTGAAGGGAAGGGGCCTGGCCACTGTGGGTGACCTGCCTGGCTCCACAGCTCCCTGCAAAGGCCGACTCCTCTAGCCTTGTCCCCACTGTGTGTCCTGGGAGCGGAGCTTCTCTTCTCGCACAGCTGAGACCCTGCTTGGGGCGCCGTGGCAGAAAGCCAGGTTATATCAGGGAGGGCGCCCCCAGGATTCGCATCCCCTAAACCCTCATTACAAAATAGATTTGAGAAGGACTCAGGACTGCCACCTTCACAACGTGCAGTGCGAGCCCTGTAGGGTGCAGCTCCTGTGCAGAGCGCGGCCAAGGAGGGCAGGGTCAGCACACAGCGCACTGAGCCCCCATGACCCTGATCCAGCTCCACCCCTCCTGCCCCTGGGGACTCCTGAAGCCGGGGTTATGAGAGAGACTTGGCCCCAGCCCTTGGGGAGTGGCCTGGGCTTTGGTACAAGAATCTCCATGCAGGCCACATAGGGGTGCTGCTAGTCGGAAATAAACGTGTGCTGGGCAGGCTGCCAGCTATCTATGCTGCCTGCCATCCACCTGCTTGCCTGCCATCCACACTGCCTGCTGTCCACACTGCCTGGCTGCCATCCACACTGCCCGCCGTCCACACTGCCTGCCTGCCATCCACATTGCCCGCCATCCACACTGCCTGCCTGCCATCCACACTGCTCGCTGTCCACACTGCCCGCCGTCCACACTGCCCGCCTGCCATCCACACTGCCCGCCGTCCACACTGCCTGGCTGCCATCCACACTGCCCGCCATCCACACTGCCTGCCTGCCATCCACACTGCCTGCTGTCGACACTGTCTGTTGTCCACACTGCCTGCCCTGCCGTCCACACTGCCTGTTGTCCACACTGCCGGCCATCCACACTACTGGACGACCCCCTCTGCTGACTGAGCCGGTGATTCCACCCTAAAATACTGACTTCTCACCCCAAGGCAGGGTTTCCCTGAATGCAAACCCAATGTCTTCCATCTCACTTTGAACCAGGCACCCCCGCATCCGCCACATACACACACCTGGACGGGACGCCCGCCTTGCTTTCAGGCGGCACCAACAGGTAGCCAGGAGGCAGCCATGACCAACAGGTAGCTGTGGAAGGACCTGGGTGCCGTCCTGGGTGGGGTGGGGTGGGGGGGGTTGGGGGGGGGCGGGGCAGGGCAGGGAGGGGCCCCCTGCACTCAGGGCTGTGGGAATCAAGACCTTCGATGGGCACCCACAGCCAGGGCCTCACGCCCAGGGTGGCCTCCAGGACCTACCAGGGCCGAATCTGGACGTGTAGTTCTCAATCCCGGCGAGGTCCAGGTAGTGGTTTCTGCGCTCCGTGTTCTCGTCCACGCAGTAGGGCCCCCGCTCCGAGCAGGGCTGGGGGTCAGTACTGGGCCTCCTGCTTGGAGCACAGAGAAGGGCCTGACCCCCGCACAGACTGGGTGGCGCACCCCTGATGACGGGGTGCCTACAGCAGGCGGCAGGGGTCCGGGGTGCATCCTGACCAGCACCCACCTCCTCGCAGAGCAGGAAGGAGAGTGGACGCCTGGGCACAGACAGTCAAGTGCCGTCCAGAGAAACAAGGTCACAGCCGACCCCCAGAACCCTGTGAACTCCCTCCCAGGCACCAGAGCCGCAGGTGCTCTAGGGAGTGGCTCATGCTGTAGTGGCACCTGATCACCACTCTGGGACCACTGTAGCCACTGCGCCAGCCACACCCCAGCCACCCAGCCACCCCCAGCCACTGCCTCAGCCACTGCCTGAGCCATCCCCAGCCACTACCCCAGCCACCCTTAGCCATTGCCCCAGCCACCCCCAACCACTGCCCCAGCCACCCTCAGCCACTGCCCCAGCCACCCCCAGCCCTGTTGCCCCCAAAGCTGCTGAGTGGAGCCACAGGGAGCCACAGTGAGCCACAGCAAGTCCAGACTGAGGGTGTCAAGGCCGCTGTGGCTGCTGCCCCTCAAAGCCCTCTGCTCAGACAGACTTGGGGGCCCAGCTCAGCCAGGGTGCCAGATGCTGGAAGGGCCCATGCCCCACAGAGCTGCTGGACCAGGTGCCCCCTGCAGGTCTGACCTAGAGGATGGTGTGTGGCCTGTGGCCTGTGGCCTGCGGGAAGCAGGGGTGTGGCCAGGGTGCCCCCGCCTAAGGCACAGCCCCACCCTGGCACCCCAGCCCTCACCTGACGTGTGCAGACAACCTCCTGTCAGCCACCCTTGGCTCCTCTGCCAGTTCACCCTCCATCCTGCAACGGGTGGGCTCCCGGTCTGAAAGGGGGGTCCTGCCATTACTCACTCCCTCCCTCCTTCATTCAGCATTCACTCATTCATTCACTCATTCATTAACTCACTCACTCATTCATTCATTCATTAACTCACTGGTTCACTCATTCATTAACTCACTCACTTGTTCACTCATTCATTAACTCACTCGTTCACTCATTCATTAACTCACTCGTTCACTCATTAACTCACTCATTCATTAACACTCACTCATTCATTAACTCATTCATTCATTAACTCACTTGTTCACTCATTCATTAACTCACTCACTTGTTCATTCATTCATTAATCTGCTTACTCACCCACTTACTCTCTCACTCACTCACCCACTTACTCATTCACTCACTCACCCATCCATTCACCCACTCACTCCTCCATCCACTCACTTGTCCCTCCCTGTCCCGCGCACACAGCTTAGGCCCCTGCCAATGTTGGGTAGGGTCCTCTGTGTGTGCCCAGGCCTCACTCACCCTGGCCAGCAGGAGGACCCTCCTTCCTCTTGCTGGAGGGCTCAGGGCTGACGGTTAGCTTCACACGGAGGGTCTTGCTGCTGCCCGAGGAGTGGTTGACCGAGGCATCCACGACCTCATAGATGGTGTGCATGAGGCTGGACATGTCCTGGGGCCCGGCATCAGTTTCACTGACAGAGCAGACCCCAGGGGACACCACCCGCCCTCCCTGCCAGAAAACACATCCAGCCCCCGCCCCTTCCTATGCCATCCTTGCATCCACCAACAGACCACAGGAACCAACACAGGCATCTTCTCGGAGCAGCCTGGGTCTGCCCAGGTGGCCCTGTGAGCGCCTCCAGTGCCCTGAGGGCAGCCTTGCAGTGTGGGAAGCACAGCCGCAGAAATGGGCGGCGCAGGCTCGGCCCAGAAACACACGTGAACTGGGCCCTGGGGAGACGCAAGCCCAGCTGGCATGAGGACCTCGCAGCAGGCAGGTCCCCTCCTGCCCCCTGAGGTATCGCGAGGCCAGCACAGTCTGTCTGCCCCGTCTGTCTACTACTGTGGACCTGACGCAAACACAAGCTCACCTACCTCCCTGGTGACCTTCCCGCAGTTGTCAAAGTCATAGAGCGTGAACGTCCACTCCTGGCGGTCGTCCTCCTCCACCGAGACATCGCACTGGAGTGCCTGTGGGGGGACGTGGGGGCCGGGACCTCGCCTCCTACCCACGCCAACACGCCCAACTCCACAGGGGGAAGGATCTTCTGGGGCCTTTCCCAGGGGTCCCTCATGCCAGCTAGGAAAGGCGGAGCCTAGAGGGCAGCGTGGCTGGAGCTCAAGCCCTGAACCAGCAGACCCCTTCTTGCCCAGCTCCAGCCCTTCTTGGGGGGACCCAGCTTTGTGCCCTGTGATTCGGTTCCCCCACAGTGACACCTATCTCAGCTCATGCAAGCACTCCACGTCACCCAGAAGGAGAAGAGGACACACTGGCCGTCAAGTGTTGTCAATTCCAGAAATCTTGACTGGACACGGAGACCCCAGTCCTCCCTGAGCCCTCCCGGGAAACGGAAGCCCTGTGCCCTGCCTCCAGCGGGCAGAGAGTCGGGCTGTCCGTCAAGTCAGCTTTGGCATTACTCCTGTAGTGCCAAGGGCACCAAGGCTGGGAATGCGGCTCAAGTTATTTGATGCCAGACCAGTCAGTTTTGGCCAAATTCACAGCAACATCCTGCACTCTCTGGCTCCTGCTGACTTTGGCTTGCACATTCAAGTTCTGCTTCAATGCCTTAAACGGGGTGAACTGTGGGGAAGACTGAGTGAACTACGCCGTGTCCACAGATGCCCAGTTTAGGGCAACACATGCCTGTCCCTGAGCCCCCGGCCCCAGGGACGTGTTCCCGCAAGTGAGGCCGGAGAGAGACCCACGTCAATGTTGAGGCGCTGCCCGCCCGGTCCTCGCGGGCCCTCGCGGTTTGCTGCCCTCTCTCCGTCATCTGCGCTGAGGAGTTGTCCCGGGTGCTCGCGGCCCTCAGCTTTCTCAGCGGGGAGTGCCACTAGGGGGACAAGAGGAGGCGAAGGGGCTGGCAGAGGGCACATGGAGGATGTGGCCCGCCATTGGGGACCCTCGCTGCTCTCCCCTCACCACACCATGATCCTGTCCAGACGGGCCTGAGCTGAGAGCCCGATCTTGGGACCCCTGCGGAGGGGAGGGAGGCCCTATCCCGGCCAGCCACAGCCGGGTGTGCCCTCCTCTCACCAGCCCACGGTGGCCCCCAACTGCAACCACCACCTCAGAGCTGGGGGTGCAGCAGACTCCGAGGAGCACAGATAGGGGAACATAGCCTGGGCCTCCAGGAGATGCTCCCTGTGTCATCATTGGGCCCCCTCCCCATAGACACAGTCCCTCCGGCCCTCCACTCCAGAATCCTAGCACTGAGCCCACAGGCCACACAGGCCACCTGTGCACTGAGTGTGTCAACAGGCGGCCCCCTCCCCGCAGCCTCTGGGCAGGATGGATGAACAGTCCTCTGGTTTCTGGAGCACAATTATTCCGTTATTCTCCAGCACTTGCAAGCTGCGTCCCCAGGATAGGAGTGTGGGACTGTCCGGGCTCAGCACCTGCAGACAGGTGCACGTCGAGCCTGAGCTGGGACGATGCTCTGGGCCTGCCTTCCCACTGAGGGGGTGTGGGTGCCTCTCTTGGCTTCAGCAGCCATCCGAAGGTGGCCCTGCTTGCTGGCCTCCCAGCACCCTCCCACAGACCCACAGGTAAGCCAAGTGCTGACCTGCCACGCGCCACAGGTAGGACTGGTGCCACTGAGGCATACACGCGTGGCAGTGACTTAGGCTGGGCCAGCATCTCACACATCCTCCAGCCCAGGGCTAACTTGAAAATTCACAGGTCCCCTTTATACAGAGCCACCCCCATCCACAAACACAGGCTCACAGAGACTCCAAACACATAAAGGTAACGCTTAGGGCTCTGCCCATGGGACAGGCCTTTTTGGTCTCTGCTGCCAGATCGCAGCTGCCAGTCCAGCGAGGACCCTGTGAGTTGTGCTGCCAAGGCTTTTTAAGAACAAAGTGCGTCTAAGCCTGGGAAGTGCCCTCGCTCCGCACACGGGGTTGTTTTAAGGGTGGTTTTCGGCGTTGCCTTGGTACGGGATGAAGTCTGTGAGTTTGGGGAGGGAGGGCTGCGGGAGCTGCACTCACCCTGTAGGGGACACTGGTCCTCCCGGAAAGGCCCCTCCTTGGGGTCCCCATTGGGCAGCTCCTGCAGGAAGAACGGGGCAGTCAGTGGCCACATAGCTCAGTGGGCAGGCGGGGGAGATGGGCAGGAGCTCTGGGCGGCTGGACTGGAGCCTGACACTCGCCTCAGGCCTCCTGGGGCGTCTCAATCTCTGGGTCCAGAAACACCAACCCTTCGTGCCCCACTCAGCCTCAGATTTTAGGAAGCAAAACACACAGACATTCCTGTGTTGTCAGGTTCCCCAAAGCATTTCCAGGTAGAAGATGCAGCTGCCTGGAATGACCCCTTCAGTCAGTGCTGCCCTGGGGATCCCCTTGGCCAGGGCCCCCATGCTGGATTACCCTAAATGCAAGAGGAGACACACTGCCCCTTTGCTCTGGGGCCTGCTCCCAGCACTGCCCACTGGAGCCTGACACGAGGACTCCAGCCGCTGCCCGCATGGCTGCCCAGGACCCCAACATGCCTCTTATAGGGCTGCCGGCCGAGACCAGTTACGGAAAATGGGGAAAAACTTCAAACACATCCCAGCGGTGTTTCAGCTGAGCCGAAGCTCACATGGTTCTCATGAATAATCTGCAGCCTTCAGGACACAGAGAAGGAGACAGACCTGTGGTCAGGGCAGGGGCCTTGCGCAGTGGTGGAGGTGCGGAGCCCCTCGGCCCAGCACACACCGCCCTGGAGCATTTCCTGAGAGCAGGCAGCTCTCGGGCAGGCGGGCGGGAGGGATGGGCAGCTGTGTTTCTGCTTCTGATTCCAGGTCCCTGGAAAGCCGTGGAAAGCCCACAAGGAGATACAGCACAGAGCTCAGTCCCGTCCACCTGGACGGCCAGAGCCTGACCCTGGAGATGACTTTGGTGCCGAGTTGGTGTCTCCGTGGGTGGACACAGGACCCCAGGGCTGCCCAGCTGGGACTGCCCTCACAGTCCCCACGGCTTCATCCTTTCCTCCTGACCAGGGGTCATGTGCCCCTCATCTCTTCTGACCTCCTATGGGGCTGTCTGCCCTGCCGGGGTCCCTGGGGTTCCTGGAGTCTGGCCCAGGCAGGAGGCTGAGCAGGGTCACCCTCGAGGGCACCTGGACCCCCCCAAGCGCCTCCTGCCACCGTGGTCACTGGCCAGGGTCCAAACAGGGTATGGTGGAAGGTTCCAGGCTGGCCAGCTGCCACCCCAGAACTTGGGTGGGGAGAGAGGGACCAGACCCCCACCCACACATGGGCACTAAGGTGGCGCTGCCGAGGCTGAATATTGTTGAGTGAGACCCAGGCCCCCAGCCCCCCTTGTGGCTGAGCCAAGGGCCCCCCAGAGCTGAGGTCTCCTGCTGGCCGCCCAGGGCGGTGCCAAGGCAGGGTGGGCAGCTCCCAGCGGGAGGCAGGAGAGCTTGCCCTCATTTTAATAAGAAACAAAACAGCTGATTATTAAAAAGTAGGCCTCCCTCCTGGGGGCTGCAGTCCCGACATTCCGGGACTGGCTGCTGCAGCCTGAGGGGCCCCATGAGCCCAGCCCGGCGAGGCCTTTGTACATCCACACAGCAGGGAGGCACCGCTGTGAGGGAAAAGCTCTGTCCAGGTGGACGCTGGCATAAAACCAAATCATCTCTAAAACCCAGGCTGTAGTTATTTATTTATTTATTTCAAAATCAGAATAATGGGTGAGGCTGCAGTCGTGGGCTTCCATGGAGTGCAGAGCAGTGCCCAGAGCCCCAGAGTTGCAGCCCCCATGGGCACAGAATCCTCGTGGGATGGACCAGATACTAGGAGCTCTACAGCCCCTCAGGTGGACTCGTGCAGGTGCTTGGAGGTGGCTGCCGACAGAAATGGTGTCATAAGGGCAGCCAAGGCCACCAATGCCCAGGCTGAGGGATGCAGGCACTGCCACTGCGGAGGGGGGCCAAGGCCACCAATGCCCAGGCTGAGGGACGCAGGCACTGTCACTGTGGAGGGGGGCAGCCAAGACCACCAATGCCCAGGCTGAGGGACGCAGGCACTGCCACTGTGGAGGGCTGGTAGGGAGGGGAAGGTGACCCTAAATGCTGAGGTGGGTGCCCCGAGGCATCCCTGTCTACCCTTGGGAGCTCCAGCCCAGACCTTCTCCTCTGGGATGTGGGGAGGGTGCAGGGGACCTGTGTGGTGAAGCCCCCAGGGTTCTCAGTACCCCCCCCCCCGCACCACAATCCCCCCTCAGGCACCCAGTTCACCTCCCATCAGACCAGCAGGCAGAGCTCAGGCCTCCTGCATGGTGCTGGGTGCCCTGAGCCTCCTTACAGATAGCAGTGAGGTGCCCTGGGGCCTGAGGGCCAGCGCGTACAGCACTCCTTGCTAAAGAGCCTTAACTGAGGTCACTCATGGAGGCCACATCGCTGCCCAGATGAGGGGCAGCAGCAGTGGCTTCCTGGAAAGTGCCAGAACTCAGAGGAGCCGGAGGTGCGGTGGCTCCTGAGGACAGGCAGCGGGCGACGGGTTGGACGGGGTGGAGTATTTTTTAAGGATTTTTAAGTGTTTCCCACGATTTGCTGAACATGTCAAGTGAGAAACAGCACATCACGCACTCCACGCATAAAGCTAATACAGTGAAAATGTAAACGCAGCCCGTGCCGTGTTTCTAAAAATTCTGAGCGCACTTGTGGGGGATTTCACTGGTTACAGACAGGAGTGTAAATGCACAGGGTGACAGAAGGAGGGGCGCAGCTGTTCAAGACAGAATCTGCACAGACCCGTGGTTTGATGTCTGGAAACGCTCCGCGCGCTACACCAACCAGCCAAGCTACAATAACCAATAAAAACTGTAATAACCAACCAAAACTACACCATGTAGCCAACGCTGCACCAACCAGCCAACGCTGTATCAACCAGCCAATACTACACCAACCAGCCCATGACTGAGTTCCTAACACAGAGGAAAACCACATTGAAAAAATATCCCCTTATTCCCTAGAATTCTCAGCGCTCGAACGCACAGTGTTTTTTCTAAGACCCAGGTCAACAGCTACCTCTGAGATGCAGGGAGGATCAAACGGGAAAAAATGAGCATCTACAGTCAAAGCCACTCCAATCTCTGTGGCTGGTGATTTCATCAGATCCGTCCTGGTTGCATAAAACTGCCCTTTAATCTACGCTGCCTCGGTTAACTAGAAGGCCAAGAGCTTTAATTGCAACTTATAAAACCTGCCCCCGGGCCGCTGGCCAGATGTGCAGCCCCTCCCCACTGGGAAGACCTTCTGAGAGGCCAAGTCCGCACACAGGATCCCAGCAGGCCTGGCCCAATGTGCCCCGGCACCCACCAAAGCCTCAGCTTCCCAGGGCGGGCGCCCCTCCCTGAGATGCAGCCCCCACCTGGCCTCGCCCTCCTGAGGACCCACCCTACCCTCACTCCCTCCCGAGGGCCCAACCCTCCCCCTCAATCCCTCTGGCCCTGTCCCTAGCGAGACCCTCCTGTGATCCCCCAACCTGTTCCGCCCCCCTTCCTGTCCCAGCTGCACTTCCGGTTTGGGGTGCCTAGGCGCCTCCTCTAGCCTGTCCCACTGCTCTGCATCCCTGAGAACCCTCCAGGTCAGCAGGGACCCCACGGCTGGCCTGCAGACCTCCCCATGCCCGTTGTCCCCTCCCGCCCATGGCATCCTCCTGTGATGCCGGGGGCTCTCCTGGCCCCTGGGAGGACAGGAACCCGACCGTGGGCCTGCCCCGTGGGGCCTCATCCCATAAGGAAAGCAGCCGCATCTGCCTGAGCAGCTCAACCCCACTCCCTCACTCAGCATCACCTCAGATTTGGGAGGAGGGTCTGACCCCAACCCACGGAGGCCTCCGGGACCAGAACCCATAGCCTCGCAGCTGCATGAGCAGCAGGCGTCTGTCACACGGCGTCAACAACAGGTAGCCTTTGCTTCAGGTCCCACGGCCCTACGGGATGCTCAGGAAGGCCACCCTGGTCTGTGAGCCAACCACCCCGAGGCCACCGTCCACGTCCCCGCCACGACAGTGAGGACATCTGATCCCCGCCACAGGCACCGGGCTGAGCGCTTCGTCCTCCCAGCACCCAGCCCCCGTCCTGGTCCCAGCCCAGACGGTAAGATGCAAACCACAGCCTCCACAGGCGGCCAGGCACGGAGAGACGCTCACAAAACCTCAACCCCCAGCTTCCTTGGAAAAGTCAAAAGGAGTGTGTTCCCCACGTGCCAGCGCTCGGCAGCGCCCAGCAGCTGGAGCACCACTGCCCCCCAGAGCCACCCCGTCTGTCGGAACCCCTGCAGAGGCGCCAGGCAGCTGCAACACAGGTATCATCCTGGTGGCCTTCAACCTGGAAGTGCCGGTGCAGGCACCTCTGGGAGCCACCTGGAGCGGGCGATGTCCTCTTCCCAGTGGACAGGTGGGCACGGCCAGGCACCTTTCCCAGGTCTCGCAAATGCAAGGAGGCGCTGTCCCCTCCTGGGCCTCGTGAGGGCAGCTGTTGGCCACAGCTCTGGTGGAACGCCCGGTGGGAAACACACGGGTGTCCACAGTGAAGTCACGGCCCTCTGGGACATGACCTAAACCCTGGTCTAGGGTTCTAGAAATACCAACCCCGATCAACAGGCAAAGGCCACAGCGTGTCCAGGAGGCCAGGCTGGGAGCATCCCCTGGAGCCCAACGTCTCCCCACGAGTTGGGAGGGTGGAGGTGATGGGAGCCGAGGCAGAGGAGAGGGAGCGGGGAGGGAGGAGAGAGACAGAGAGGAAGGCTTCAGAGAACTGGGTGGGCGTGTCGGGCAGCATTTTCCAGACCTCGGGGCTCCCGGGTCCCTCTGGAGTGGGTGTGGAACCCCAAGTCTGGGACGTTATCCAGAAGGCACAGCTCCTACACCGCCTGACACAGGACGGGCCTCTCCTACAGCTTTCATCGCCACCAGCAGCACCTGGCACCCCTAGATCCATAGGCACCTCCCAGGCTGCACTCTGGCTCCCCAGCGCCTTGGCCACCTTGCACTGTGGTGGGGACGGCCCTGTTGGGTGGAGCCCCTGGCTCGAAGTTTCTGCCACTGGGGAAATGGCCTTGGTGCACCTCCCTGTCCTTGGCAGGTCAAGCAGTGGCTCTCGAGCTGTGCCCAGGGGGCCCCCAGGAGCTGGAAAGAAGGGCCGGGGTGACAGCCTGGCCCATGTCCTGTGGTCATTGTCACCACCCCTGTGGCCACCCTGTTCTGCAGGGCTAATCCTACAAACTGGGCTGCCAGGCCCAAGGCTGCCAGAATTACGGGGCTGTCGTGGCATCGAGGGCCAGTTTGTGGGGCTCAGGCAGGATGCCAAGTGGTGAGGAGCAAGGTAGGCGCCTGCCAAGCTTAGGCTGCAGCCACCGCCACCTCAGGGCACTCGGGAGGCACCTGGGATGCGGCTGGGCAGGACCAAGGCCACGTCCAGGCCAGCAGTGACCTCCTGCCTCGGGGGCTGGGAGGATGCTGGACGTGGTAGAATGAAGTGAGTGCCTGGCAGGTGGCTCAGGGAGGGGAGCTTTGGGATATGGCACACGGGCTGGAGCTGGGCCTCTCAGGAAAAGGCTGAGGGTGATGTCTGGATCCCAAGGAACCCAAAGGGCTGGGACACCCACAGTGGGTGGGAAGAGCAGGGACAATGGGCTGGGACACCCACAGAGGGTGGGAAGAGCAGGGACAATGGGCTGGGACACCCACAGCGGGTGGGAAGAGCAGGGACAATGGGCTGAGACGCCCACAGCAGATGGGAAGAGCAGGGACAATGGGCTGAGACGCCCACAGAGGGTGGGAAGAGCAGGGAAAAAGGGCTGGGACGCCCACAGCGGGTGGGAAGAGCAGGGACAATGGGCCGAGACGCCCACAGAGGGTGGGAAGAGCAGGGACAATGGACCGAGACGCCCACAGCGGGTGGGAAGAGCAGGGACAAAGGGCTGGGACGCCCACAGCGGGTGGGAAGAGCAGGGACAATGGGCTGAGACGCCCACTAGCAGGTGGGAAGAGCAGGGACAATGGGCTGAGACGCCCACAGAGGGTGGGAAGAGCAGGGACAAAGGGCTGGGACGCCCACAGCGGGTGGGAAGAGCAGGGACAATGGGCTGGGGCACCCACAGAGGGTGGGAAGAGCAGGGACAATGGGCTGAGACGCCCACAGCGGGTGGGAAGAGCAGGGACAATGGGCTGGGACGCCCACAGAGGGTGGGAAGAGCAGGGACAATGGGCTGAGACGCCCACTAGCGGGTGGGAAGAGCAGGGACAATGGGCTGAGACGCCCACAGCGGGTGGGAAGAGCAGGGACAATGGGCTGGGACGCCCACAGAGGGTGGGAAGAGCAGGGACAACGGGCTGGGACGCCCACAGCGGGTGGGAAGAGCAGGGACAACGGGCTGAGATGCCCACTAGCGGGTGGGAAGAGCAGGGACAATGGGCTGGGGCACCCACAGAGGGTGGGAAGAGCAGGGACAATGGGCTGAGACGCCCACAGCGGGTGGGAAGAGCAGGGACAATGGGCTGGGACGCCCACAGAGGGTGGGAAGAGCAGGGACAATGGGCTGAGACACCCACAGAGGGTGGGAAGAGCAGGGACAACGGGCTGGGACGCCCACAGAGGGTGGGAAGAGCAGGGACAACGGGCTGAGACGCCCACAGAGGGTGGGAAGAGCAGGGACAACGGGCTGGGACGCCCACAGAGAGTGGGAAGAGCAGGGACAACGGGCTGAGACGCCCACAGCGGGTGGGAAGAGCAGGGACAACGGGCTGAGACGCCCACAGCGGGTGGGAAGAGCAGGGACAACGGGCTGAGACGCCCACAGCGGGTGGGAAGAGCAGGGACAACGGGCTGAGACGCCCACAGCGGGTGGGAAGAGCAGGGACAACGGGCTGAGACGCCCACAGCGGGTGGGAAGAGCAGGGACAACGGGCTGAGACGCCCACAGCGGGTGGGAAGAGCAGGGACAACGGGCTGAGACGCCCACAGCGGGTGGGAAGAGCAGGGACAACGGGCTGAGACGCCCACAGAGGGTGGGAAGAGCAGGGACAACGGGCTGAGACGCCCACAGAGAGTGGGAAGAGCAGGGACAAAGGGCTGGGACGCCCACAGCGGGTGGGAAGAGCAGGGACAACGGGCTGAGACGCCCACAGCGGGTGGGAAGAGCAGGGACAACGGGCTGGGACACCCACAGAGGGTGGGAAGAGCAGGGACAACGGGCTGAGACGCCCACAGCGGGTGGGAAGAGCAGGGACAACGGGCTGAGACGCCCACAGAGGGTGGGAAGAGCAGGGACAATGGGCTGAGACGCCCACAGAGAGTGGGAAGAGCAGGGACAAAGGGCTGGGACGCCCACAGCGGGTGGGAAGAGCAGGGACAACGGGCTGAGACGCCCACAGAGAGTGGGAAGAGCAGGGACAAAGGGCTGGGACGCCCACAGCGGGTGGGAAGAGCAGGGACAACGGGCTGAGACGCCCACAGAGGGTGGGAAGAGCAGGGACAATGGGCTGAGACGCCCACAGAGGGTGGGAAGAGCAGGGACAATGGGCTGGGACGCCCACAGCGGGTGGGAAGAGCAGGGACAAAGGGCTGGGACGCCCACAGCGGGTGGGAAGAGCAGGGACAATGGGCTGGGATGCCCACAGAGAGTGGGAAGAGCAGGGACAATGGGCTGAGACGCCCACAGCGGGTGGGAAGAGCAGGGACAATGGGCTGGGACGCCCACAGAGGGTGGGAAGAGCAGGGACAATGGGCTGGGACGCCCACAGCGGGTGGGAAGAGCAGGGACAATGGGCTGAGACGCCCACAGAGGGTGGGAAGAGCAGGGACAACGGGCTGGGACGCCCACAGCGGGTGGGAAGAGCAGGGACAATGGGCTGAGACGCCCACAGAGGGTGGGAAGAGCAGGGACAACGGGCTGGGACGCCCACAGCGGGTGGGAAGAGCAGGGACAACGGGCTGAGACGCCCACAGAGGGTGGGAAGAGCAGGGACAATGGGCTGAGACGCCCACAGAGGGTGGGAAGAGCAGGGACAATGGGCTGGGACGCCCACAGAGAGTGGGAAGAGCAGGGACAATGGGCTGAGACGCCCACAGAGGGTGGGAAGAGCAGGGACAATGGGCTGGGACGCCCACAGCGGGTGGGAAGAGCAGGGACAATGGGCTGAGACGCCCACAGAGGGTGGGAAGAGCAGGGACAACGGGCTGGGACGCCCACAGCGGGTGGGAAGAGCAGGGACAAAGGGCTGGGACACCCACAGCGGGTGGGAAGAGCAGGGACAATGGGCTGGGACGCCCACAGAGAGTGGGAAGAGCAGGGACAATGGGCTGGGACGCCCACAGAGAGTGGGAAGAGCAGGGACAATGGGCTGGGACGCCCACAGCGGGTGGGAAGAGCAGGGACAATGGGCTGGGACGCCCACAGCGGGTGGGAAGAGCAGGGACAATGGGCTGGGACGCCCACAGAGAGTGGGAAGAGCAGGGACAATGGGCTGAGACGCCCACAGAGGGTGGGAAGAGCAGGGGCAATGGGCTGAGACGCCCACAGAGGGTGGGAAGAGCAGGGACAATGGGCTGAGACGCCCACAGAGGGTGGGAAGAGCAGGGACAATGGGCTGAGACGCCCACAGAGGGTGGGAAGAGCAGGGACAATGGGCTGGGACGCCCACAGCGGGTGGGAAGAGCAGGGACAACGGGCTGAGACGCCCACAGAGGGTGGGAAGAGCAGAGACAACGGGCTGAGACGCCCACAGCGGGTGGGAAGAGCAGGGACAACGGGCTGAGACGCCCACAGAGGGTGGGAAGAGCAGGGACAATGGGCTGGGACGCCCACAGCGGGTGGGAAGAGCAGGGACAATGGGCTGGGACGCCCACAGCGGGTGGGAAGAGCAGGGACAATGGGCTGAGACGCCCACAGAGGGTGGGAAGAGCAGGGACAACGGGCTGGGACGCCCACAGCGGGTGGGAAGAGCAGGGACAACGGGCTGGGACGCCCACAGCGGGTGGGAAGAGCAGGGACAATGGGCTGAGACGCCCACAGAGGGTGGGAAGAGCAGGGACAATGGGCTGGGATGCCCACAGCGGGTGGGAAGAGCAGGGACAACGGGCTGAGACGCCCACAGAGGGTGGGAAGAGCAGGGACAACGGGCTGAGACGCCCACAGAGGGTGGGAAGAGCAGGGACAATGGGCTGGGACGCCCACAGAGGGTGGGAAGAGCAGGGACAACGGGCTGGGACGCCCACAGAGGGTGGGAAGAGCAGGGACAACGGGCTGAGACGCCCACAGCAGGTGGGAAGAGCAGGGACAACGGGCTGGGACACCCACAGAGGGTGGGAAGAGCAGGGACAAAGGGCTGGGACACCCACTAGCGGGTGGGAAGAGCAGGGACAACGGGCTGAGACGCCCACAGCGGGTGGGAAGAGCAGGGACAAAGGGCTGGGACACCCACTAGCGGGTGGGAAGAGCAGGGACAAAGGGCTGGGACACCCACAGAGGGTGGGAAGAGCAGGGACAAAGGGCTGGGACACCCACTAGCGGGTGGGAAGAGCAGGGACAACGGGCTGAGACGCCCACAGCGGGTGGGAAGAGCAGGGACAAAGGGCTGGGACGCCCACAGCGGGTGGGAAGAGCAGGGACAAAGGGCTGGGACGCCCACAGCGGGTGGGAAGAGCAGGGACAACGGGCTGAGACGCCCACAGCGGGTGGGAAGAGCAGGGACAAAGGGCTGGGACACCCACTAGCGGGTGGGAAGAGCAGGGACAAAGGGCTGGGACACCCACAGCGGGTGGGAAGAGCAGGGACAATGGGCTGAGACGCCCACAGCGGGTGGGAAGAGCAGGGACAACGGGCTGGGACACCCACAGCGGGTGGGAAGAGCAGGGACAATGGGCTGAGACACCCACAGCGGGTGGGAAGAGCAGGGACAAAGGGCTGGGACACCCACAGCGGGTGGGAAGAGCAGGGACAATGGGCTGAGACGCCCACAGCGGGTGGGAAGAGCAGGGACAAAGGGCTGGGACACCCACAGCGGGTGGGAAGAGCAGGGACAATGGGTTGGGACACCCACAGCAGGTGGGAAGAGCAGGGACAGGGACAGCGCCACTGGCTACTGGTGGACAGGGGCCAGCAAGGTCAAGGGTGCAGGCTCTGGGGCTGAAGGACAGCAAGGACCCCGTTTCGACTGGCGGTAGGGGGAGGGTGGGAGGGCACCTTATGAGACAAGGTGGAAAATGAGGCCAGCAGGAAACAGGGAAGGAGGCCAGGGGTTGGTCGCAGCAGGCTGCAGGCGGCCCTGGGGGAGGGGCCCGGAGCAGCAGGCAGAGGGCCTGGGGCCTGGTGGGGAGCAGTGGTTTCCAAGGCTCTTTAAATGCAAAGACCACCACCCCATCCGCCTTATCCCTGCTGGGAGCTCAGATGCAAAGAAGCCTCTCCAAAATGTCACCATGGGAGGGGGGAACCTGCCACCGGCGTCTGCGGAAGAGAGTGTTTTCTTACAAGGAGGTGCCGGGGGCCCACTTCTGCCGGCCGCCATAGGATGGAATTTGACTTCAAGGTGATCCGCCAGCGCGCCTGTCTGGAAACCCCGCAGCCGGCTTTGAAGTCAAAGTCTCGGTTTCAATGGCTAAACAGTTTCAGATGTGACAATGTAGTTTTACGGGCTTAATAATTCCGACACATGTGCAGCTGGGGCCCAGAAAGGCTACAGCAACACTGTGCGCCAGTTCCTTCCAGGCTGTGCTTGCTATTCTGAACTTCTGGTTCTAAAGTGAAAGATTTAAGTACTATGAGACTGAGGCCCTGTGGGGAGGGGCTGGGGGGGGCTGGGTCGGGGGCAGGGGTTGGGACGGGTGGGTGGGTGGGTGGGTGGGTGGAGGGGCGGGGGGCCGGGTCAGCGGGAGGAGCAAAGGGGCTGGGAGGTGGGGGGCCGGGGGGACCGGGCAGGGGAGCCGGGCTTCCCACATAAGCCCTAGATACATTCAGACGGAGCCTCCATATCTGAGAGGCATTTGCAGATTTTGCCCATCGGTTCTTCTGGGTTTGAGAGATCTTTTAATAACCACATGTGAAATTTATACCTAGAAAAGCAGTAACTTTGGGGTCAAAAGGTCTCCTAAAATACTCAGATGTCCTCACAAGCCAGAGTTCTGCTGCGACTTAACTTCCTATAAGACCAGAAAATAGAAATGTTTCTGTCTCCCTCTTCATCCTGCCTCACAGCAGCTTTTCATCATCTGGATTGTTTAAATGGGAAAACGTGGAGGTGCCACACTACCCACGCCCCTCACTCCCTCACTACAGGGCTTTTGTGTTGGCATCCGCCCCCTCACCCAGTAAACGCCCTAAGCCCAGGGAGGGTCTCTGCAGTGCCCACCCCTGCCACGAGGGTGGACGCTCAGCCTAAGGGGACGACTGACCACACCAAGGGGTAAAGGGGCACCCAGCCCAACCCACGGGGCATCCTTACAAGTGGAAGTGAAGAGATGAGTTACAGGGACAGGCCCAGGGCTGCCCTGCCCATGAAATAAACCCCAACGTAAAACACATGCAGAAAAAAAAAAAAAAAAAAAAAGACAAGCAACACGTGGTCAGCAAGACCTGGCTTTTTGACCAGGCAGCCGAGCTTCCCTCTCCCCACGCTTGGAGAGAGGGACTCAGGGAGCACTTTACCCGCATTAACCGACGCGGATGGGAGGGGGAAGCTGTGAGCGCCACTGGGCCCACACCTTGGCTCAGGAATGGGAACCCACAGCCCTCCCAGAGTCTCCATCGTCAGCTAGGTGTGGCTGAGGCTGAGCAGGGTGACTAGGGGGTGGGGGTGGAGAGCAGGTGTCTTGAAATGAAATGTCTTCAGCTCAGGTATTAAATACAGACCTACGTACATGTGTGTGTAACCTCTATACATGTATGTATACACGTGTGTACTCACATATGTGAACACATCATACATACACCTACATATACGTGTGTGCGCCCCTGCCCAGATAATAGAGGCGTGATCATAAACTCTGCCGAAACTTTATTCCCTGCCTTCAACTCTCAGCATCCTGAAGTGCTGACACTGAATGTTAGACAACCATTTCACAACTCATCTGCAGGTCTAATTTTCTTCTCCCAGTCACGCCTGCTACTGTCTTTGTCTTCAGAGCTAACGATCCCCAATGTCACAGAAAAAGGAAAACCTTCCAAATTCAGCTGCCACCCTCAGCTTACCATCCAGAGCGCAGAACACACAAAATAAAACCACGACTCGGGCCCTGAACTTCCGAACTGCTGCACCCTCAACCGCCCCACTCAGAGGAGGCTGAATTCCACTGGGATTGAAAGCAGACCCGAATCCACTTCTCTTCTATCTGAATTCTTCCCCGGGAAAAACCCACCGGACGTTTTTGTTTTCTTTCATTCATATTAAAGCCTCATGTTTCCTATTTCAAAGGAAGATTAATTCCAAAGCTGGAAAGAACCCTGCCGCGTTTCAGGGTTTTCTTTTTTCTAATTTGGAAGACACCATATGTGAACATGCAACGTCGATGTCCTTACCAAAGAGAAACAGCGGAAAATGCTGGTTGAGGGGCTTATATTTGATTACAGCTCCAGACCCTGGGGACTGAGCTACTCAAACAAGTAATCAAGGCCTTTTCTTTCTCTAAAGCACCCCCGTCGCATGCCCTGCACGCGACAATCTCAGAACCTCCACGAGGGCCCTGCTGTGGCTGGCGAGAGGCTCCACGAGATGAAAGGAGGGCCCAGTGGCCACCTGCGGCTTTGCTATTGGCCGAGGCTGCAGAGGGCTCTAGGGGGCAGGGGCTATGCCTGGCGGCTGCCGTCCACACAAGCCACAGCCCACTCTCAGGGGAGAGCGGTGAGAACCCCCGCGTGAGAGGTAAAAATTGTTCAGAGAAGACCACGCGCATCTTTGTTACGGGACACACAATCTCGTCTCAGGAAGGGCACCGGATCCAAGGCCTGGAGGCTGCAGGGTTCTCGGGATGAGCTCTGAGCCGCACACAAAGACACCCTTACAGCACGTCTTGGGGTCACTCCAACCGCAAAAGAGGAGCAGCTGGCACAGGGGTGCCTATAGTGGGTATAATTGGCAGGGGAGGTGCAGGCAGCCAGGACCACCGCCCCGGTCACTAGAGCTAGAGGCAATCACAGCCCCGCCACAGGGATAGCGGGAAGGTGACGCTCTGGCCTGGTCGCTATGCCCTTTGACCCAGGACTCACCAACAGGGCTCTGAGTCTCCCAGACTGGGCTGTGGACAGAGGCGTGACGTCCCCACCTGCTGCTCCCCTAGATGCCCCAAAGCAGGGATGGTGCTCTCTGCCCTTTCGGAGGCCAAGGATGTTCCTCCCTGTGGGCCCAGCTTGTGACACTCTCTCCCCACGACAGGCAAACAGACCCCGAGAATGGGCCTCTGGGGCGGCTTCCCCTGGGCACAGCTAGGTGGTTGGCATGGGCAGGGCTCCCCTCATACACAAGATGCCTCCAAGCAAGGCCTGGCAGGGTCCTGACCACCGGCCAGAAGCATCCAGGCCACCTCTGTGCTCCGGCCTTGGGCCTTTCTGCTGGGCTCGGCTCAGCCTGTGGGCAGCTGCCAGTTCTTGCCACCTCTCCCTGTCACCCTGGGGACAAGGGGGCTGGGCGTCACCATCTGAGCACAAGCCCCTGAGTCGCCCTGACTGTGACCAGTCTCTCCCCCCAACACACGTGAGCCCGCTGCCACCTAAAACATGTCTCAGGCCTAGAAAAGCTCATGAAATACCCGCAAGCACCTTCCCCAGGCCCATGTCCGCTTTGTTTTACAGAAAACCTAAATCGCTTTCAACAAATCAATGGGAGGAGAGGAAGGGCCAGAAGCCCCTGCTAGTGGTCCCACCTGCTCCACAGATGTGAGGATGGGGCTCGGAGCCCGAGGAACATGGCTTGCAGGGTGGGTGGGGTCTTCCACCCCAAAGTGTCACCCGAGGGTCATCCGGCAGGTCTGCAGCTGTGGTGCTCCTCACAGACACCAGGTCTGGCCTCCCACAGCACAGAGACCAGTGCACATCTGTAGGCTGTGCCCGTGGCTCCTTCTGGCAGAGGGAGATGGGTGGGGGCCGCCATTCTTCTTCCTCCGCTGTGTCTCTCGCAGCCCCTGCCTGCTACCGTCCCGTCCTCCAGGCCTACTCCTGCCTCAGGGCCTTTGCAGTGGCTGCCCAGCCTGGAAGCCTCTGGGGGGCCACGCTTCCTCCATGCCTCCTCACCACACACTGTCCTGACACCCACATCAAGTGGCAGCCCCCGCCCCTGCCTGGCCTGTCCCACACCCCAGCACCACAGGCCCTGCACCCCAGCTCGGCCTCTCTCACACCCCAGCACCACGGGCCCTGTACCCCTGCCTGGCCTCTCCCACACTCCAGCCCAGCATCTCTCACACCCCAGCACCACAGGCCTGCACCCATGCCCGGCCTCACCCGCACCCCAGCACCCAGAGCCCTCCAGGCCTGCCTTCCAGCAGCCACTGTCCGGTTCTCCCAGCATCCAGAAAGCAGCTCAGGCCCTGGGGCTGCAGGGCGGCCCCGTGGTGGGGGGCTGTGGGCTCTGGGAGGGACTTCTGGTTTGGGGTCCTGGCTCCGGGACTCAGCCCTTCTGTTTTTGTTTCCTCCTTTTGAGGCGGTGCCCAGGACAAGCCTGTGACAAACAGAGGTGCAGGTCCTGCTCTGTCCAGCAGCACAAGGCAAAGACAGCCCTGGAATCCCACGGCTGGAAGCCTACAGCAACGTTCTTTCGTGTTACACCACAGCCCTCAGGAGCAAAATCAGGGCCACTGAAATGGCCCCTGCTCCAGCTCTGTCTGGGGCTGGCTGGTCTCAGACATGAGTGGCTGCCCTGAAGGGTGCAGGGCACACGGACCTGGCCACTGGCCTGGCACGCCCTCGGGACAGTTGAGCTGGGTGCACCTGGGCAGCCAAGAGAGCAGGCGGTGATGGTGGGCAGAGGGACATGGGGTCCCTCTGAGGACCCCAGGACGCTGAGGCCCAGACGCCAGCCACAGAGAGCCAAGCTACCCACGTCCCCGGGGCAGCAGGGAGGCCACCAGGGGCAGCAGCTTTGCACCATGTCCAGGCACGTCCTGGTGAGAAGTAGGATAGGGTCGGCTCTGCTATCCTTTGTGGGAACGAGGATGAGGTCGGCTCTGTTATCCTTTGTGGGAAGGACGAGGATGAGGTTGGCTCTGTTATCCTTTGTGGGAAGGAGGATGGGGTCGGCTCTGTTATCCTTTGTGGGAAGGAGGATGGGGTCTGCTCTGTTATCCTTTGTGGGAAGGAGGGTGAGGTCAGCTCTGTTATCCTTTGTGGAAAGGAGGATGGGGTCGGCTCTGTTATCCTTTGGGGAAACGAGGATGAGGTCGGCTCTGTTATCCTTTGTGGAAAGGAGGATGGGGTAGGCTCTGTTATCCAAAAACAGCTGCTGTAGCTCTTGTCACGTCCCCCTTAGCGGATGTGAGAGGCCTCGTCCTGGAAGTACATCCACGCAGGACCACGGCCTTAAGGGCAGGTGGGAGCCCTGGAGGGTCCTGCCAGCTACCGACGTGAGTGCCTCACGGAGAACCTCACTGGAGACAGCAAGGAGGGACCCCCGTTTCCATCGGCCTCTGGCAAGGCTCTCAGTCTAAATCCGCCAAGACACTTACCATTAAAATAATCTCCAATTTGAATGTTTGTATTACAATATTTCGTGCTTTTTAGCTTCTCTGATTTTGGTGCGCAAAACTATTTACGATTTCCTTGGAAAATTCTGCAGAACAAAAGGAAAACAAACCCTCCCCCTCCAGCTGCCAAGGGCTGGCCATCACCACCAGTGAATTCCAGCTCTGCGCAGGACAGGATCGAACAGACCCAATTTGTTTCACGCCAGCGTGAAAGGCTGCCAAAGGGTGCCCTGCCAAGTATTTGCCAACATGAAAGCAGATTAAAGCTCCCATCAGCCAGCATGGGTGCAGCTCGCCGTGAGAGCGGATCGGGGTCTCTGCAAGGCTCCTGTCCCAGCAGGTCCAGGCTTCGCAGTCCAGAGGCGGCAGCCAGGTCAGCACCGTGTGTCCCTCCAGGCCAGCACCACGAGCTCCGCCCCACGCTGGGGAAGTGTCCGGTGTGGGGGGGGATCCTGCTACCTGGGCAGACCCCTCTCACACACCGCGCCTTCTGCTCCCCATGGTTCCGGCGTTAACCCAGCAGCCCCACAGGAAGGGCTCCTTCCGCACCTCCAGGGACAGCTGACGGTCATGATCTGTGACAGACGACGGCTCAGAAGGTGGCAGAGACTGAAAGCTCTGGAGCCCTTGGAACTGATTAGGGGTCCTGGGCTCGGGACCCCTCCCCATGTTCAGGAAGGCAAGTCCAACAGGAGAGGGGCCACGGCTGGTAAGACCTGTGAGAGGACGGAGCCACAGGAACCCTCCAGCATGAATGCCCCAGGACGCAGCACAGGCCCCCTCGGGTTCCACACATGGACAGGCCGATCTGCAGTCCTGCTGGGAGCAGCCCACCCTGAAATGCTGGCGGCAGCATGTGCGGGCAGGACCGCCTCTAAATGCTGACCTCACCCCAGCAGTGGCTCCTGCTTCCTCCTGCTTCCTGATGCTCCTGAGGCTTCCCCAACTCCCTAGGGGTGTCATAGGCCTTTCGTCATAACCCAGGGAGTTTCTGATGCAGGCATCTGTCTGAGAGCCCTGCAGGAAGGACATAGGGCTCAGCCTTCAGAGCTCCAGGGACCCAGTGATCTGGCAGGTAGCTGTCTACAAATTCTGGGGTAGGCTGGGCAACTCCAAATTCAGGTGTGTCTGGCTTCAAGAACTACCGCTTCCGTAAAGTGTGGCTTTGCCAACTCAAGAACAGCAGCCAGGAGGCCAGAGGCTTCCTCTCTACAGGAAGGACGGTGGACCCCACTCCCACCCACTGGCCTCTGCTCCCACCACACCTGGCCACGCCAGGGAGGCTGTGGGCACTGCCAACCAGTGAGAGCTTGCTGACAGCTCAGATGACTGTGCAGTACGAATCAGGCCCACAGCATCTTGGCACAAGCTCACGGACTCACGCACCCCTCTGGCTTGCAGCACCCCGGCACTTGGGGCAAAAGGCCAGGAAGGGGCCCGGCCACACCTGGCTGCTCTCCAGGTGGCCCTCGCTGCCTGGCCTTATGGAGCGTGGAGCTGTCCCTTTTGTCTTTCCTCACAGGACCACAAGGGGAAGCAGGTGGCCCAGGCACGAGGGATGTGGCCAGGCTGTGAGTGGCAGCACCGGGTCCGAAGCCGGGTCCAGAGGCTGTCAAGCCACCATGCAAGCCGCCTCTGCTAACGATGGGATGACAGAAACCTGGTGCTGGCGAGGGGGCCACACGTAACACGGCCATATGGTGGCTCCCAACTATGGTCTTTGACTAGGACTTCATTCACAGCCTCTGTCGGGGCTGACCAAGTGGGTATCCCTTGGCCGCAAAGCGGGGGTGGAGGACAGGAGCCCTTGGCCCAGACTCCTGGCTTCCTGAGAAATAGAAAGAGCCGAACCCCCAACCCTAGCCTAGACAGGACAGTGGCAAGGTGTGTGTTTCCCCCAGTCGGGGCCTGGACCTGGGGTGGCCATGGACTTACTGCCAGCTCTGAACAAGCGGTGCCCACCCAGGGGCAAAGGAGAGCCAGCCACTCCTACAAGGCAGATGAAACTGCATTTCCAATCTCACCATCACCTTGCTGCTCACACGGGAGGCATGCACAGCAGGGGCCCAGGGCACCGAAGGGCACTCGTGGATGGGTACTCGAGACGGCCCTGCCCTTTCTGGCACAACTGCCTTGGCCGGCACCAGCCACAGTTCCCGCGGCTCCCAGGAGTCGCGTGTGCGTCTGATGGACCCCCAACACCCTAATGCAGGCATACGGCGGCCCAAAGCTGCAGGGCTGATGATTGGTTTCCGAGGATTGCAAACCAGCCTGGGTTTTTTAAGAAAAGGAAAGATGTAAGCTCTTTAGCCAAAACAAGATGAAAACCTCAAAGGAATTCAAATTACTCAGCCACAAGTAGGAAGGAAGGAGGACGGAGCAGCACCAGGCTTCCCATGGTGGTTCAGCCCACTGAGGAGAACAGGGTGCAGCCACCTGTCTTCTTTCACCTGCAGAAATCTAAAACTTCAGCTCATTCAGCAGCAAAATGGGCAGTTTTAGCTTCAGGAAGCTGTTTTGGAAGTCCAGGGGTGACAGCTGCCCCAGATGGCCTCGTCTGTGAAACCCCCAACTCTAGCCCAAGGCCCTGTGGCAGGGACGCTCTGTGCTCCAGGGCCTCCATCCAGACACCTGCCTGGTCCATGTGCAGGGCTTCTCAGGATGCACTTCACAGACACAGGGGCCGACACTGAGAATGCACATCTGCACTGTCCAGGTACAGTGACCCGAGCGGGCAGGACCACGCCACTGGCCAGCCTCCGGCCTCCACCATGGGCAACACAGATCCACTGGCCCAACCTCATGGCCAGGCACCGGCAGCAGCCTCTCCCAGTCAGCACGCTCTCCCAGTCAGCACCCCAGAGCCCCTGCTGCAGGACAGGGGATGCCTGCGGCTTGGTGGAGAGCTTGGGCGCACACACAGCCCTCAGTGGGCCCAAGGCCCAGGCTGGCACAGAAACTACATACATGGTATCCAACCCGTCCTATGGCTCTCAGGTGCTGGGCATCAGGTGTCATGCCCAGAGGTGACCTCGACGCCTCCCACAAGGGGGGATGACCAGGTGGCCTGGCAACTCCCTTCGGTTCCCTCTGTGCCTGAGCCTCTGTGCATGTCTGTGCTGGCCTCGCCACATGGCTGGGCCACATCCCAGGGTAGGAACACGGCTGCCTGTATCCAAGGGCCAGGCACACAGAGGGCACCAAAAAGAAAGCAAAGGGCAGCCATGACACACTGCAGCTGCCGCCGGCTCTGACACAAAGCCCCACATGGGCCTCAGCTCCATGAGGACACAGGGTCCCGGAACATGAGTCACAGAAGACAGAAGGTTGGCCCTCAGAGTCTGTGCTGGAGGCATCCCCAGGCACCCCTGCTCCCTTTGGAAGCTGCCATTCTCCTGGACATCTTGGAGTGGCTTGCACCCCCAAATGCAGAGCTGGGTGGACTGGGCACCCACAACCTCTCCTTCTGTGTGGCACGTGGCCGAGCACCAAGCAGAGTATGGTCCACACTGCCTTGTCTCTGGGCGCACGTGCACTGGCCCGAGTCTCTCCTGCAAATGTGTATCTTGCCCCCACCCTGCATCTCTGTGTTGATGCGGTAGCGTCCAGACTGTGCTTGAAGCCATGAAGAATTTTCCAGGATCTTCTACAAGAAACTGCTCCCACTGACCAAGAACTGGGCATCCCACTGCCACATCCAGCTCTCTGGACCCACAGAGGACAGGTGAGCGCTGGCTCCTGGGTGGCCAGGAGGGGCAGGGAAGGGGCAGGGAAGGGGCAGCCCCACCCCTGCCTCTGGGGGAAGGCCAGCTGCAGGCATATGAGCCTCTGGGGCACTGTGGCTGGTTCCAGTCGGAAGGCGTCAAGCCATGTAGTGGGGCTGAGCCCAGTTCCCGTGAGCAAGGCCATGCTGAGGGCAGATGGAGTTTGCTGCTGGAAGCCAGAGGCCAGTGCAGGTGAAGGCCTGGGCCCTGGCCTGGAGCTCAGCCCTGGACAGAGCCAGCAGGTCTTACGACTGTGGTCCTCCTGGCTCCCTTCCAGGAAACATGTACCATGTTGGCACACTCAGAAGGGCCGTGGCATGGGGATGGGACTGGCGAGTGCCTCCTGTAAGCTGGGACCTGCCCTAGACGGGCCACTCAGAGCCGTGCCTGCTGCCTCCTGCAGATGTGGGCAAGAGCCCCCCGTGCAGGCCAGGGCCACGGCCTCCTCCACGCACTGGCTGGTCTGTCACGAGTGTTCGCTACAATGCTGCCTCTGGAGTTAGCCCCAGCGCACCCTTCCTCAGCACTACTTCATGGAAGCCTGTGCTCCATTCACAACAACATTCCAGTTAACAGTGACTCTTGTCTTCAGAACCATTTTCCGCCAGCCTCAGGGAGCGCTGTAGAAATTAAAGCTAGTCTCGCAGACCAGATGGTGAGGGTGAGTGTGCAGGGGCAGCCTGTTCCCAGGCCTGAAGCCATCCTCCCTGCAGTCACTACCACTTGGAAAAACAGCCACACAAGTGCACTGCCACCATGGCACCACTCCTCACCCACGCACATCCCCAGGGACTCCGGATCCCTCACAATCCACTCTCCAGACCTTCACGGCACCGTCACCAGTGATCCCATGGCCCTAGCCCTTCAGGGACACTCGGTGATGAAGCCGTGCGGGTCCCGCCAAAAGCAAAGTGTGGCGCTCCGCAGAGTCGCCAGGGAGAGCCACGTCGGGGGTGCAGAGACACACCTGTCTGGGAAAGTGCTGCTGTTGGTGTTTTCAGACACGTACAGAGGCAGGAGCCAGCATTGCTCACAGGGAATTAATAATAGCCAATCTCATTTGTGTTATTTTGGGGGCTGGGGAGAGAGGGTAGGTCGGAGGTCTTGGCTCTTAGTGCGCCCAATCTCCACAGGGTTCTCTGCCACCGTTCTGTGGCACCCAGGATGCCTCGCACGGAACCAGGAGGTGGACTTTGGAGAAGGGAAGGAGTGAGTCCCCTCGCTGGCCCCAGCCAGGCATCACAAGGGGTGCCCTGGGTGACCCAGGACTGGCCCTCCTCAGTGGATACCACCTGGGAGGACAAGGACGATGGGCGAGGCTCTGGACAACACAAAAGAAGAAGGTGAGAGCCAGAGGGACACTTCGCTGTGGTGGCCTGCGACTCTCCTGGACGTCAGTAGGATCTGTCGCAGGGGGAACAGCTGCCAGGTGAGAGGAACAGCAATGTGGCAGGGAGGGCACTTGGCCAGGTGAGGGCGCACCTGGGCCCTGGGGTCTCCATGCCAGGTGGGAGGAGTCATGGCCAGAGGCGGAAAATACAGAAAGGCAGCACTTTTGTCTGAAAGCTGAAATGTATTTAATTCACAGGACAGCCTTTGATTCTGAGTTTGTTCATTTTAACTTAGAAAGGAGTTTTCTTTCATGAAATGATGGCAAAATTAGAAGGTAACAATCCAAGCAAGCCCCAATTCCCAAGCTATTCTCTAAAGAAAATGTCCCAGTGTAGAGTGGCAGGTCTAAACGCCCACGAGCAGCCCTCACGCTGACATCGTAGTCACATGAGGAGCACCTGCATTTTCCAGAGCGCACTGGCCTTGCCCCATGGCCCTGGGAGCTGCACTTCATGGTGAGGGCGCTGGCTCAGGGATTTTAAGGTTCATGGTGCAGCGCCTCCCAGGGAGAAGGCTCCAGGCCAGTGGGCCAATGGACAGGGGCCGGCCAAAGCCCTGACCACGAGAGAGGTGAACGCCCGCCCACCCCAGGTGCTCACATCACTGACTAATCATACCAGGAGCACCTGGCTGCTAAGTGGCACCATCCACTCACCAGCAAGCCCCTGTGCAAATGTAACTGGCAGAGAGAGCCAGATTGGGGCGGGGACAGCTCCCTGGATGACCTCACCCTGGTCTCCCTGTCCCGGATAGAGGCTCACAGGACCACCCAACTTACTGTACCTTACAGCGTGCTTCCCACCATCACAGGCGTTAGATGGTCACTCTCAGGAAGCACCAATCCTAACTCTATTGCATGTTAATTTCCAAGCAGACCTAAGCCCCTTCTCAAGACAGAGCTGCAGAAAATGTCTCCAAACACACCCAGAACTTTTTTTAATCAACTGCCAGAACAATGTCTTTCCAAAAAGGAAACTGATTGCGTGACCCGGCATGTTCTGTGTCTGGGGACCTCTGGGGACAGTGGGGGAGGAAGCAAGGGGCAAGTGTGGGCCTGGCCACCTGGTGGGGCTGTCTGCACCGATACAGTTCACACTGACACTGATGACCATCAAATGTTAGCTTTCTCACGCTCAGCAAACATGCAGGTCTAATTTACCCCAGGCCCTTCCAGGGCCCCAGACCTGGACAGTTCTCTGCTCCTGGACATAGCACCTTCCTCACCCACCCTCAGGGCCGCCTGGCTCTTGAGCCAGCCTTGCAGTCTCTGCAGCCTTGCCACAGCTGTGCAGATGTCCCTCTGTCTCCTGAGCCTCTAGCAGGCCTGTGGTCACCCCTCCCAGAGATGGGAGGCACCGAGGCCTCTGACTCTGGCCATGTTTGCTGATTGAGCACTGAGGCTATGACCAGTGATGCCCCAGGTCTGTAGCTCCCACCCCTCCTCCAACTCCTCCAGCTCATCCAGCCGGGGTACTGCATTCCCGCTCCCCGGGACCCCCAGCCCGGGACGTCTAGGTCCAGCCCCTCCCACTCGCCCAGCTCCTCCAGCCCGAAACATGGAGCCCCCACACGGCTCCCAGCCTAGGACAAGGAATTCCGATTCCCCTACCCGCCACTCAGCATGGGACACTAGCAAGGGCTCGCCCCACGGGAGCCCCAGACGTCGTGGAGGCTGGGGAGAGACTGGCTCTCCTGGCCCCCGGTCACTCGTGCGGCCATGGCGGCCCACGTCTCGCCTGTCCGCGGGCGGGCACCAGGAACAGCTCTGACACCGCTCCCCGCCCCCGGGCGGGTGCGCAGCGCGACCCCAGCCTCCGCCCCGCCGCCTACCTGCTTGTCCCGCGCGCGCCGCTCCGCTTCCTCCGCGCCTTTGCGGCCGCTCGCGTACGCGGACGCCACGAAGCTGTCCCCTGCGGTCCGGGGGCGGACGCGCGGGAAACCCGCACCGAGGAGGGAAAGAGACGCGCCGTGAGCCCCGCGGGCGCTGCGCCTTCGCTGTGTCCCCATCGCCTGGAGACCGCGCAGGGGCAGGCGTGGGGGTCCCGCGCGCTCCTGGAGACCCGCGGCCCCGTCCCCCCACTGCTGGCTCCAGGGCAGGACGCGCGCGGGCTCCTAGCTCTGAGGGTCCCGGGCCGGGTCGCCGCCCCCCGCCCCGCCCGTCGGCTCGCCCGCTCACCTTCCGGGCTCTCTCTCCGCTTGCGGGCGGCGGCGGCTGCGGCACGGCGGGACGCGGGGAGAGGAAAACGACAGTGAGAGGCGGCCCCACGCCCGCCCGCCCGCCCTCCCGCCCTACCGGCCCGCGGCTCACCGTGCTTCGACTGCAGTTTCCCCATCGCCGCCGCCACGCCCCGCCGGGCCCCGCGCTCAGGTGCAGGGCTGAGTTCTGAAGCCGGGGCCGGGAGCCCGCGGGGGCCGCATGGGCCGGGAGCAAGCTAGGGTGCCGGTAGGAGGTGAGGGAAGATGGCTCCACGCCGCGCGGGGGCCGGGGGAGCCAGGGGGCGCCAGGTACGGCCGCGGGGCGGAGGTGGGGGGCCACCGGGCGCAGGGCGCGGGGACAGCGGCGGCAGCGACGGCGGCCCGGCTCCCTCTGAGCGCGTGCGCCCGCGCCGGGGCTTTAACCGCGGCCCCCGCAGCGCCCCCGGCGGCCGCTGCCCGCAGCGCATCGGCCTCGACCCCCGTTCCCAGCCTGGAGCCCCACCAGCGATGAGGACCCGGCCCGGCCACCTGTGGGGGCGGTCAGGTGCTGCAGCGGAGCCTGGCGGGAGTCAGCTCCGACCCCTCACCAGGCCGTCCTGGGTCAAGGGATCCCCAATTCCAGAGGAGCCTGAGGGCACCTCCCTTTGAAAGGGAGGACCCGCCTCCCTTGGCTGCTGGAGAGGGGGTGGGGGTGTGGGCAGCCCAAAGGGGGGTGGTATCCGGCAGGACTAGATCCCCGCCCTCTCCTGGCGCTCCAAATTGATGAAGAACCAGCGTTGGCCCCCCCCGGCCCCGGCTGGAAGGGCCCTGCACCCCCTCACTTTGTCCTTGGTTTGAGCAGGGTCTCCTCCGACCTGTGCCTTGAGGGTGTTGGAGCCTCCCAGGAGCCCCAAGCCTGGCCACCTGCGCTGCCTCCTCCACGTGTCCAACTCAGTGGCTTCAGCTGCTACCTCCCTGGCCTCATCTCAAGCTCCTCCAGCTGGCTCTGGAGACCCGTCCCTCAGTACCCTTCACTGGACCCCCTCTCTGCCTCCTACCCTGCTGGGTACCTCAGGGCTCTCTTCCTTATTTACCTTCAGAGGAACCTTCTTCCCTCACTTCCTCCTGGAACCCTAACTTGCTCCTGTTTCTGGGACATTTCTCCCTTCCCTACCCATGACTCTCCTCCCTGCCACGCCCTGTTGCATTGATACATTGTATCTCCCCAGCCTTTCAAGAGCTAGCTCAGCATTTTCCCCACGGGCTGTTGCCACGCCCACGTCTCCAACCTCAGTGGGTGACCCCACCTTCTGCCAGGGCAGCTCCCGTCCCTGGAGTTGGAGCTCCGAGGCTGGCGGTGCGGGACCCCTCACCTGCCCAGCTCCGGCCCTGCCAGGCCTCCGCTAAGCTGGCCCAGGTCCCACCCGGTCTCTCTGTTCCCACTCCCCTGGCTGGAGCCCTGTCTCACAGCTGAGCAGCGCAGCTCCGCGGCTGCCCAGTGCTGACTTGCACCTCTGGAGCTGACGTCCAGCCAAGCCCTTTCACTCCAATTACTGCCTCCCATTCTCAGACCATCCTCGGGGCAGATGCCGCCATCACACGATTTTACAGAGGCCTAGGCTGCTCAGTGGCAAAACGGAAAGTTAAACCAGAGGCCCGCCCCCCACCCCAGCAGCCTCCCCTGCTGGCTGTCCGCAGATACATGAGCTGTGGGCGAGCACATGAACAAGGGCACACGGACCCTCCTGGGAGTAGTCTTGCCTGCGAGCCATTCCCACCATCCTCTGAAGAACCCTAGTGGAGGGGCCACTTCCTGCAGGCAGACAGCTCTGGCACCTGGTAGCAGGGTTGCACCCGGCCAGGCCGTGCCTGCGATGGGCTCAGAGCGCCCTTGTGTATAGCGTCCAGGCGTCCAGATTCAGGGCCAGGGCCACCCTCCCAGGCTCTTTCGGCCCCTCCTCTCTCCCTTGCGCTACCCCAAGTGGACTTTAACTCCCAATTTGGAAGGTAACAATGCCATCTTCTGTGGTCTCAGGGTCCTAGTGAGTGTGTGAGGATGATAGTGTTACATGTTATGCAAAGTAGCACAGCCTGAGGATTGCAGCCCTTCCCGTGCCTCTAAATCCTGCCCTTACATGAGGACCGATGAGCCACCCTGGGTGAAGATCTGCTGGTGGGCTCGTGTCCCCTGTGTGGCTGGGAGCCTTGCCTCACACATGCATGGGCCCTCCTCCCAAGACCCCGAGAAGGTCCCACTGGGGGAGGTTGGCTGAGGTGCCCCAGCCAGGTGGGGAAGGGCCATTGTGTTTCACTCCTCTGCTGACTGAGCTCTGGTCCTTGCTAAATGCAGATGTCAGGAGGTCTGGGGGAGGAAGTGTCCTGGGAGGACAGGTGGAGGTGGGGGGTGGGGGCGGGCCATGGCACCAACCCCACACCCTACAGGGTGCCCAAGCTGGAGGAGCCCATGAGGCTGGGCCTGCACTGGCTGCCGTGCCCTCGCACCCACCTTGTCACTTGGAACTAGGCACATGCAGAGTCCAAACAGCAGAAACTCCCCATGCACTCCAGTGAACCTGAGTTACTAGGCAAAGGTTTTACATTTATTCTTTAGCAGCTTTATTGAGATACATACAATTCAGGGGCCCTACAATTCACCCATGAAAGTACAGACCATCTCCATCCATCCCAGGCGGGACGCCGCCAGCACACAAGGCGCACAGCTTGACCCTCAGCCCCACTGACTGGCAGATCAGGGCTGTGTGTCCTCCTCCCACTGGGCTCAGACAGTGTCCTGGGAGTCCTCTGAGGTAGAGGAATGGGATCCCCCAGGGCTCCTCTGAGTGGGAGCTGGAGAGTGAGAGCAGCCGATTCACCCATTCCTTCCCAGAGGGTCCGGAGTTCCCACCCAGCAGGACACGCCTGACCCTCACCTCGCGTGTCCTCAGGGCATTCCCCCGGGTGGATCCGCAGTGGGGGTTAGGGGCACTGCAGAGCTGAATCTGTACCCCACTGTCAGCTCAAAGGGCAACCCTAAGTGGCCCCTACGCCTCCAATGCCCACTGGACTCTTTCCCCTATGACCATCTCTCCTGGGTAGGGCAGAGCCGGCCTGGGGTTGTTCTAGAGCTGGAGTCACCAGCTCCAGGCCCTGCAAACCTGACCCCCATGCCAGTTCACAATCCCTTTGCATAACATGTAACACTATTATCCTCACACACTCACTAGGACCCTGAGACCACAGAAGATGACATCATTACTTTCCAAATTGGGAGTTAAAGTCCACATGGGGTAGTGCAAGGGAGAGCCCCTTGAGATGTCTGCATCACAGAGCGGCCTGGTCCCCTCAGCCATTCCAGGAGGAAGGGGTTCTCTTTGCTCCCCTTGACGTTCCCTTCTGGCGTGTGCATGCCTTTGCCCTCTGCGGGGCCAGTGGGCACCCACCATGCTTTCCCGGTGCTGCCTCAGTGGTGGCTGCCGCGAGATGCCCATCTACTTTTCGTGGAGGCCTCGGGACCAGTGTGGTTTGCTGGACGCTCTCCTCACGTGATGCCAGCCCGGCGTGTCCTCTCCTGGGCCCGTCTGTGGGGCAGCCCCCTGCCTGCCTCTTCCAGGGGCCCTGCAGGGACTTCCAGGTTCCTCAGGCCCGTCCTGCCTCGCCTTTCGCTCTGCGTCTGCCCGGGGCAGCCCGAGCTGGGACCTTCTGGCGGGAGCCGCAGCTTTTCAGGGCAACTGTCCTTGTCCCTGGGGGACGGCCAGTGTACGCGGGGACACTTGCGGCCCCAGCCCACTGCCGGCCTGGAGGAAAGGACGCGGGGGACCCCCATACGTGACCAGCGGCTGCAGCGCAGCTCGGGCTCACAGCGGGGCGGCCGGAGCAGCCTGGACCCCCGACGCCCGCGCCGTCCAGTCCGGGGACTCGGAGGCTGAGCCCGTAGGGGGCCGGCCCGGGGGCCATGGGCGTCCCCGCCCTGCCTTTTGCTGGGCCACGGAGCTTTGAGGACAGTTTCGCCTGCTGATAAAATCCGTTCCCAGCACTTTCGAAAGGCAGGGCGGGGCTCAAGCCGTCCCTGGAGGTTAAAATGCGCGTCCTCGCAGCTTTTCAAATCAGCCTCTCCTTATCTCCTCAGCCGCGGGCGGGGCAGGGGCCTGGTCTCCGGATGGAGGAGGAGGTGCGGCCGCAGGACGCCCAGCGGGGAGACCCGGGGAGACCCGGCCGGCGTCCGCCTCCGCTCCCGGCACGGCCGCCCGCGCCCGCCCTTCTCTGCCCCAGCCCGGGACCGGCAGGGTCAGAAGCGGGCGGCGGCGGGCGCGGGGCTCTGTCCTCCCGGCCCCTCCACCTCAGCGGGCGCAGCCGTGGGGTCCCCACCAACAGCGTTCGTGGGGGCAGCGCGGGCCCCGTCTCCCCCCGTGGCTATTCTCCCCGCGAGGCCTTGGCGCTCGTGCGGCCTTGGGAGCAAGAGCGCCCCCGCGCGCTCCTCACTCGGCTTGGGACACGCTCGTGAACTCTCGGCGGCGTCACCCTCTTCCACCGCGACTCCGCGTTCTGGGAGGCGGGGCTCATCCTGTTTTGTGGTTGTCACGGTGGCCACGGCTCCTCCCCTCCCGTTTAGAAAGCGGCGAGGTCGGGGTCCGCCGTGTGAGGGGGCGTCCGCCATGTGAAGGGGCGTCGAGGCATGTCCGCTGTGTGAGGGGGTGTCCGCGGCGTGAGGGGCGTCCCTGTGTGAGGGGCGTCCCTGTGTGAGAGGCGTCCGCGGAGTGAGGGGCGTCCCTGTGTGCGGAGGCCTCCGTGGCATGAGGGGCATCCGCTGTGTGAGGGGCGTCCCCTGTGTGAGGGGCGTCCGCGGTGTGACCTCACGGTGTGGCGTGCCTGGAAGGCATGGTGTAGCCAACTCTGACCCCGGGGTCAGGGGCCTCTTTTGAAGACACTGTCTTGGCCCCAGGCTGTGGCTGGAGTTGAAATAGGCGCATGCGCGGAGCCGGCACACACACACACACACACACACACACACACACACACACACCCACGTCCCCTTCAGTGCCCGGCTTTTTCCCCATAGTGCGAGCAAAGCCGTGAGCCTCGCGACCCGAAGTAGCCGGCAAGACTGAAATTCACACACGGGTTGGTCTCCACCGGAGCCCTGGGGACGTCTAAGAAAAGCACTGCCTGACATCGGACAAAACGCTACTGTGACGCGTCACACGGAGCCTGCCGGGACATTTCCCCTCCCTGCCCATGCCGCGTTGGCCCTGGCGGATTGGCCCCACGAGGGAGGATGGCGACTCCGGGTCTGGATGTGTGCTCCCCTTGCGTGCTCTTCGCTTTGCAAATGGATCCCTACGTTTTTAAGTGCACAAGATCCCCTGGGTGTCGCCTGCACACCGCCCCCGAGGCCGCCCTTGTTTGAGTCCACCTCTCCTTGGCTGTGCAGCGTCCGCCAGCCATGCTGACCCCTGAAGCCTTGGCTGTGCCTCCCAAGTGCACCGGGTTTCCCTGCAGACACACGCTTTGGCATGAACATGCCTTCTTAGGCATGAACAAGAAGTTCACGTGGCTGCCACACCCAAGTGCCTTGCATTTCGCCTGCTCCCCGCACCCCCCCCAACCATGTTGCCACACGAGGCTTATTCTGAATTACAGGTTGGTTGTGATATCACCTCTGGTACATGGACTGTTAAAACTATTGAAAGGGAGGTGGATCTGAAGCACGCCTACCTGTTTCCTGGCATACTTGGAACGTTGCCAGACCACTGGATACTTAGAAGGCTAATTCTACATTTATCCTCAGCCATCATTCTGAGCGCCTTCAAAAGATGAATCATCTGCACCGACTATTAAATTTAATAACCATGCACTTCTCCAGGGAAATTGCCTCAAAGGGACCCACAACTGGCCACGATTCATGGTTGAGGAAACACCTCTTCCAGTTTCAGGTAAATATTTGTGCAAATCTTTCAGGCAATTTGTGATTAGAGACCTAGAAGGAAAAAACCCACCCAAGTCAGAAAATGGTTTTCCAAAGGTGTTCTGGGCATACTTTTGTATGCACTTGTTTTTTGGGTTTTACTGGTTTTTATTGCAATCAAAGTAAGTTCAGTAAAAGGGCCTTGCAAGCTGGGCAGCGAGGGCAAGTAGAAGGCATGATTCGTGGGCAGCAGAGAAGCCCTGGGCTCCTGGCTTCTCAGTTCGAAGCACACCCGGGCGTACACACCGGTGAACATGTGAAACACAGCCGTCACATGTAGCAGGGCAGACGGCAGTGACGGTGAGAAGCTGCCTTCCAGGAGTCCCGTATGCGTGATTTTTTTTTTTTTTTTTTTTTTTTTTTGGAGACGGAGTCTCACTGTGTTGCTCAGGCTGGAGTGCAGTGGCGTGATCTCAGCTCACTGCAACCTCCACCTCCCGGGTTCAAGTGATTCTCCTGCCTCAGCCTCCCGAGTAGCTGGGATTAGAGATGCATACCACCACGCCTGGTTAATTTTTGTTTTTAGTAGAGATGGGGTTTTGCCATGTTGCCCAGGCTGGTCTCGAACTCCTGACCTCCAGTGATTCCTCCCCCCACCCCCGTCTCGGCCTGCCAAAGTGCTCAGCCTCCCAAAGTGCTGGGATTACGGGCGTGAGCCACCACGCCTGGCCGTGATTTTTAAAATAACCCAGGAATCTGAGTGAGCAGTGAAGGAAGCCCAGATGCCAAGAAACATGTGTGGGCATCAATTATGATCACTGAGGTCCTCTCCACCTAAACACTTGCTGTAATTTGGTGATATTTATCTTATCCCAACCTGGGGAGTTTTAGTCTTAGTCTTTGTATCTTATCAGCTCTGGCTTGGAGGAAAGTCTCTCCTGGCTGGAAATGAAAGTGTGAATCAGCAGTGAGTTGCTGCTCTCACTTCCAGGTGAAGGGGCTCAGGTTCATCCTCCGCTCAACTCAACGTGCGGTCGGCCTTGGGTCCCCAGGCCGGAACTGGCCTGAGACACGGAAACTCCCACAGCTTCTGCACCCGACCACTGAGGCCTGCTTCTGCCTGAGCTGCAGCAGCCATGTTCCAAATGTGTGGTTTGTGGTGAAATTTCACTGGGAAATCAGAAAAGATCACAAAGCGACCTCGGCTCAGGGATTTCTGTGGACATCTGTTTCCCACGCAGGCCTTGTCTGGGGACAGGGGATGCGATCGTTGGGCATGGTGACTGATGCTTCTGCAGAGGCTCGAGGGCCGTTAGGTGTCCTGCTGTCCACAGCCCAGGGGGCTCACACACCTCTTTGCCTGCCCCTGAGAAACCCAGAGAACTGCTTCTCCACTGCACTGCAGTCTTCCATGTGTGGCTTTCAGCTGCTTCTGGAAGAATCTGCATGCCTTCGTGGGTGTTGTCAGTGAGTGTGCAGGGAATACTCCCTGAGGGAAGTCTCCGCCATCTGGTAGGCCACAAGATGCCCCTCTGTGGCCTGGTCCCGCGGGCTTCCCCTTCTCCAGCCTGGTCATGCAATGCCAGACTCTCTCCTGATGGTTCTCACCAGGGATGCGTCCTCCCTCCTGCCAGGACACCTGCCACTGCCCCTGACTGCCCTGCCTCCTGCCCCGTCCATGGGGCTGCGTGCATATGGAAGGCGCTTTGTGTGTGCCAATCAGCCCCGAGAAGGAAGGAGGGTTCCCCTGTCCATTCCTCTACCCAGGATCCCCAGCTCCTGGGGCAGTGCTGAGACATGCTGCTATTACCTGCCCAAGTCCCAAGTTCCCAGGGACAGCAGGCCAGCTGGGTCTACCACCTCATAGCTGCCCAGGACAGTCCCCAGCCCTGGGCTCACAAAGCTAAATAAATAAATCTTTTATTTGTTTATTTATTTATTTATTTTTGAGAGAGTCTCAGTCTCTCACCCAGGCTGGAGTGCAGTGACATGATCTCAGCTCACTGCAACCTCTGCCTCCTGGGTTTGAGCGATTCTCCTGCCTCAGCCTCCCGAGTAGCTTGGATGACAGGCACCCACCACCACGCCCGTCTAATTTTTTTTCTATTTTTAGTAGAGACAGGGTTTCACCATGTTGGCCAGGCTGGTCTTGAACTCCTGACCTCAAGTGATCCGCCCACCTCAGCCTCCCAAAGTGCTGGGATTACAGGCGTCAGCCACTGAGCCCAGCCTAAAGCCGCTTATCTTTAAGATGGAGGCCTCGGCCCCTTCAACAGGTTGTGCAGCTCTTGTGGTGGGGGGAGTCCCTTTCCATGGCCCACCTCATCCACCGCTGGGGACTCCCTGGGGTCCCAGCAACAAGGACCCACTCCTTCCCCTGCCCGGTGCACAGGTGTAGATGCCAGGCAGATTGGGTTGGGGGTGTACTGCACATTTTCCTTGCAGCAGCGGACGTGGACTCAGGGAACGAACCCAGTCCTCAGTCTTCAATTCTCAGCCCACAAAAGGGGCTTTCTACCTTGAGGAAGGAACCCCTCATTTAACATCTTTTTCTTCAAGTCTTCACCACATCATGGATGTCTGTACGATGAGATTGCAGCAGGCACAGAAGCCTGAGGGTACTTGGTGGGAGGAGGCCTGGGGATATTGAGGGACCACATGGCAGGCAGTGGTGGGCAGATTGTGAGTTCTATCCTGATGGGCGCCCACAGGCAGCAGGACCCCTGGAGGCGGCCGTGCCTCCATCTCCTAAAGAAAGGCAGCGCTCACTCATGCTGGGAACGTGTGGGGCAGCATTTACAGCCCAGGTTGTGACAAGGATGTATAAGTCACTGTGCCTGAGTCACGGAAACCCAATGGTGTTTATCACTTCTTCCCTGAGAGAGATGAGGGGACCAGGCACGGCGCTTACCATGAGGGTCAGGGAACTGCACTCAAGGCCTGGACTGGGTTCCATCTTCCCATAGCTGTCAGGGAAGGAAGCTGGCCCTCCCATTCCTCCTGGAGGGACCAGGCCACCAGGTCTTTGATCCTGAGAGGCATCTTTGCCAAGGAGCAAAAAGGATGGTGTCTGCTCAGGGCATAGCCCAGGAGACTTCCACCCATTGCCCCTTAGGAGCCCCTTAGGAGGCAGCAGATGGGCTCAGCACAGGTGGCTGGAAGGGTCCAGTCCCTCCATCCCCAGGTCTCTCAGAGGAATCGCATAGTTCTCCCTCTAACCCAGGACCTAAAAATCTCCAGCTTGCCTCCAAGAAGAATCCTGCTGGCCATTTCCCAAGGCACACCCAGACCACAAGAGGCTGGAGGGTCTGCCCACATCCTTGCCTGGGTGCACCTACCCCATTAATGTTCCCTGCAGCCCAGGGCTCCTCGGCAAAAGCCTCGTGAAGTCACGTGTCCAGTTTTTGGGGAGTTAGTTTAGTTAAAACTGGACATCACGATCTGAAGTCCTCATGTCCATCTTGGGTGAGCTGTGGAGTGGAGCTGGTATAGCTGGGTGCTGGAGGGTCCCAGTGGGTCTCTGGGATTCTCCTGGCAACAGGGGAGCCTGCTGGGCTGCCTAAACAGTGCCTGCTGGGCCAAGCCTATTGCTTAGAGAGCAACTGCAGCAGTCCTTGTGTTATAGTTTCTTTTCTCACCTCAGAGGGTCAGGGTGGATATGTCCAGGATCCCCTCTTCAGTGGCAGTTTTGGGAGTTACTAAAAGAGGCTCTTCCCACCCCACTGCCAGAATAGTGAATTGCAGTGAGGCATCCCTGACCCCACCGCCCCACACATGGCCCCAGGTGGACACAAATAGTCTTTTCTGCAGAATGTGAGAGCCAGTCCTCCCTGCCTTGGACATCCGGCTCCCCACCCTGGGTAGTGAGGCCAGGCATTCCTGCAACTCTCTCCTGTGGGTGGTGTCTTGAGTCTCTGCAACCATGGACACAGGTGGCAGCAATGTACTTGGATTCCGACGAAGGGGGTGCCCATGGCTGAGGCAGGACTGGGTTCACAGCCATCCAAGTTAGCATCTGGGAGAGTTGGCTCATGCTCCAGAGAGCCTCCTCCCTTCAAGTCTTGGTGACTTGTCAGGGGATTTTTAGCACGAGGTGGTTGCCTCACCAAGGGAGCAGCATTCTTGGGCCTTGTAAACTGTCTGGACACCGCAAAGCATTGATGCCTCCCTGGACAGCATGGGCCTGGCTCTGCCAACACATCCGTCATCCTACTACACACTTCCAGCAAACAGGGATGATGCTTTTCATCCAAGGTCAAGGTTGGTGGGGAAGGGCTCTGTCTTGGCCCATGGGCCTGCAGGTCTGTCTCTGAGTTGGGACAGCTGCTGGAAGGCCCCACTAAACTAATGTAAGATACTCGGAAAGTTTGTCACCAGGGGAAGAAAGCATTCTGGACTGCATCATTGGTGTCAGATTCCACTGTGTGTTTAGAAGGCACAGTTTGTTTCCGAGAGTCTCAAAATGTAAGCAGCAAACACCCTGCCAAGCTGCAGACATAGGGCAGATACAGAGAGGGGTGAAGAACTGGAGCAACTGAAGGCACTTCCCATGGATGCTGCGGGGAGAGGACCTCTTCCTGGGAGCTGAGGGCCAGGATCCCCCTGAGGCCCTCTCTGGTCAAATGAAAATGGTTCCTGTCTTATATATTAGGTGAAAGTTTGGATCTCTGTTCTGTAAACTGGCCAGGACTGCACAACAACCTCCCAGTGGCCCATGGAGTGGCACCCTCACGGGGTGAAGCCGCCCCCAGCACCAGTGCAGCCAAAGCTCCGGCTCCTTGGGTGAGCTGGAGAGGAGGAGGCACTTCAGCAGGGGCTGGGGGTGCTGTGTGATTTGCCTGAGAAGCTGCTTCTGTTAACGAAGTCCTGTGCCTGGTGGGAACTCGGGTCGGCCATGAGGAGGATGCACCCATGTCCTCACGCCTGTGGCTGGGTCTCCTCCTCATCTTGTGGCAGCGCCAGACATTCCAGAACATGGGTTCAGGAAACTTGGACTGGGTCTGAACCAGCAGGAAGCATGCCAAGAAACCTCCTCCCACCGTCCTGCTCTTCTCTCCCTCCCTCCCTCTTCCCTCCCTCCCCCGTCCCTCACTCTTCCCCTTCTCCCCCGTCCCCCTTTTCCTCTTTCTCTCTGATCACCAGTCTTCTGAGTTATCACAACCAAGTGAGACTGACTCAAGCTATTATTGAAAATATGGCCACATCGAATGTTTTTCTGATAAAAAGAAGAACATAAGTAATTGGGGCAGGGGGTGAGGTGAGGACCTGGCGGATGCCTTGGAGGCAACACGAGGGTGGATTTGCTTGGGCAGAGCTAAGCCAGTGAGGCCATCTCCACTCAGGCCCGATGGAGTGGAGGGCACTGCCTTGATCCAGTGGAGCCCGTGGACTGTGCCTTTTCCCAGACCTGATGCCTCTCCCACCCCTGCCCCTGTTGCCCCAGAGCCAGGTGAGGGCAGATGGCCCAGGGCCACCTCAGACCCCCACTGGGAGAGCAGCCAAAGCCATGCCCAGTACCAGTAGCAGTGCCTCATGTTCTGAAGATCTGCCTTGTGGATAAAAATGCCTCATCCATTCTTACCGCTATGGAATATTCACTTATAGACATTTATCACTTTTTCCAGGTTATAGTTTTGTGAAATAAAATGTTTATTATTTTTTGTTATGAAAGTGCTGTATGATCATTGTAAAAAAATTAGAAAAATGTGGAAAAATGTGAAGAGAAAAATAAAAATTCCCTCCCCCCCCCACAGATTCCCATCTCCCAAGATAATCACCTAATTATCTGCAGTTTTGTTTCCTACTTATTTTACTGAAAATCATTTCATGCTCATTTCTTTATATGTTGTCAACTGAAGATTCATGAGATTCATAAACATGGAAGGGAGAGCTTTATTTCTCTAAAGAGTTGCAGCCTGCAAGTAACCATCCACAGGCTGGGAGGTGTGGCCTCCACCCTAAACCGGAAGCAGGCACTTTGAGGGTGGGGAGGATGAGACAGGAATGTGCTGACCGTGGTGGCTGAGAGGCTACAGGAGGCACTGTGAGTACTCTACAAGGGTGAGGGGCACGCATGCACAGTGAGCTCACATGTGTGTTACATGTGTCCTGTGTTCACTTTGGGGTGGAGACTTCACATTTAAGTGCATTGAAATGAGGCTCTGTAGGTCAAAAGGTGAAATGAAGGACACAGAGGCATCCTGTGTGCAGCCTCTACACCAGCTAGAACCAGTCCACAGTCAGGATCTGTTATCAGGAAGGAATGCTGGCTGGTTGTTGTGTCAAAACTACACGAGGGGTGGGGAGTCTGGCAAATCTTTCAAAAGGGCTTTCTGTTTACCCTTAGGAAAGAAACTCAATGGCAGCGGTTAGTGAGGGAGGGGGCATAATGAGGTCTGTCTGGCATTTCATCCCTTCATGGCTTGGAACCCAGTGTTTAAGGTTTCTCTGGAGTCCCCTTGGCCAAGAAGGGGTTCATTTAGTCAGTTGGAGGTCTTGGGATTGTATTTTTATTTCTCAATGTTCAAATATTCTTTAAAAGTGCACTTTACCCTTCTGCCTGGTCCTTGAAGGTACAAATGTAGGGACATGGGTTTCACCATTTCTTCCCATCAAGCAGCTACATTGCTTTTAGTTTGCCATTGCAGGTAACATTGTATTGGGTGGCCTCCTTCACAAATTCCTGTTTATGTTTCTAAGTGATTCCTGAAACATTCCTCTTCCCTGGAAGAGGATGGAACTGCTTTTGTTCTTAGAGGTGCAGCCGCTCAGAAAGCTGTTGCCAGCCCACATGCCCACATGCCCACCAGCCACACAGGGGCAAGCTCGTTTCCTTTCCAAACTGTAGCAAACTGAAAAACAAAGTCTCATGATGGTTTCAGTGTTTGTTTCCTTGGTCATGGGCAAGGTTGACATCTACGTTGAATGTCTACAGTTATATTTCTCTTTCCATTATGGTGTTGTTTTCTTGATTAGTAAGAGCTTTTCCTCTGTGAAGGATATGTTTTCTCTGTAATTTTGCTGCAAACATTCACCCAGTTTGCTATTACATTTATCTGGTTTTTGATTTTTTTTGTGTGTGTGTGTGATGGGAGTCTCGCTCTGTTGTGCAGGCTGGAGTGCAGTGGCGCAGTCTCGGCTCACTGCAACCTCTGCCTCCTGAGTTCAAGCCATTCTCCTCTCTCAGCCTCCCAAGCAGCTGGGACTACAGGCACATGCCACCACGCCCGGCTAATTTTTTGTGTTTTGAGTAGAGATAGGGTTTCACCATGTTGGCCAGCCTGGTCTTGAACTCTCGACCTCAGGTGATCCACCCACCTTGGCCTCCCAACATGCTGGGATTACAGGCATGAGCCACCATGCCTGGCCCTGTTTTTTGATTTATAGAAGCTTAACATCTCTATGTAGTAAAAGAAAAAAAGTACATTCTTTTCTTATTTAATAGTGTAATCGGGAATCTTTGCCATTGGAATGGGCTGCTCCACGGTGTAGGTGTGAGTGATACCTGCCCAGTGGTGTTTCAAGCACCCTGCTCACTGCTGGGTCACCAGGTGGTGCTACAAGGTTGCCAGGGACCAGCCATGGCCCGTGTCCTTAGCTGCCTCTGCTCCCCTGGAGCTCACAACCTCAGCAGGATGGGGGTGGAGTGGGGTCTAGACTTTGGGTCCATTCCCTTCTGACTCATTTGCTGCTAGAAACGATTTGTGGCATCCAGGGGGCATTGTGTGCATGTGCTGTGGGGTAAGCACAGGGCTGGGCATCTGTGGGTGATGAACAGGTATGCCTGAGGGTGCTCACCGCCCCAGCAAGCAGGTGGCAGCAGGTCCTGGCTGTCTAGAGCACAGGACATTCACATGTGGAAGCTGGGCTGGGGCAGGTGGCCCCTTTGCACCTGCAGCAGAGCTGGCTTGGTGTCCGGCTGGAGGTAAGGACAGCCAGGTGGAGAGGGGGCGATGAGGGTGGATGGAGTTGCCCCTGAATGGAGATGTAGGCTCTGAGAGTCTTCCGTAGCCTTCCCAACAATGCCCTCCTGCAGGCAGGCCCAGGCCCACTGAGGTTTCCTCCTGCAGACAGCCCACCTGCCACCAACCCAGGCACTGACTGTCTCCTTAGAAACCAGTCTCCAACTCTTGGGCTGCAAAAGGAGATTGTGGCCACACTAGCTTCCGGGTTTGAAGTCCCCCAGGCCAGTGGGACATGGTGTAGGAAGCGGCCTTCTTCTTAGTGTTTCCCTCCAGAAGGCTGTGGGGAGGTGGAAGGGGCAGGCCTGCAGCCCCACCAGGCGGCCACAGTGAGGCTGGCTGGCCCAACTCACCCCTCCCAGGAAAAAGGATGGAGCACCCCTGGCCTCTGGTACCCACGGAGCCACTGGCAGGAGGCAGCCTGAAGTCCAGGCTGTTTCTCAGTTGGGCCAGACCAGTTGTCCCAGATGAAAGAGGTTGCCAGGCAGCTTTCTCTTGAGGCCTCCTCATGGCTGTTGACCAGAAGGCCACCTGCCCATGGGCTGTCATGTCTGTTTCCTGGAGCCTCAGGCCCACCCAATGGGCAGCACTCTGCATGGACTCTGAACACTGCATGGGGCCTGGGCATGGACACTGTGGGCTCCCAGCTGGCTGAGATGTGGAAGCGCTCTATGTGGGGGGCCCTCACCATGGGTGAGCCCAGGGTCCACTGAAGTAGAGGAGAGTTGTACCTGATGACACTTCTCTGCATACCTGCCCTCCAAACATGCACACACACGTTCACATGCATGCACACAGCACATGTACCCATATACAAGTTCACACAAGCACACACAGAGCCTGTGCACGGGGATAGATGCCTTTTGCATTTTCAAGGGCTCCATTGCCCTCTGCATGTAACACGCCCCACTTCCTGGGCCCTGAGCTTGGTTTAATGCTCTGCTGTTGCTGTCTTGAAATTCTTAACTTTTGAACAAGGGGTCCTACATGGACATCTTTCCCTGGGTCCTGGAAATTCTGTGGCAGGTCCTGCTTCCATGGCCTCTTATGGAGCAGGATCTATCCTAACAGAAGGCCAGCCTGGGAGCTGGTCCTTCCTCGCTCCTGGATGAGAATGGGCATTAGCCCTCCCAGGTACTCCCTGCTCCCCTCCCCTCCTCTCTCCCCTTCATTCTCCCTTCCCCTCCCTCCTTTCTCCCCTGGTCTCTCTGTCCTCTCTCCCCTACTCTCCTATCTCTCTTCCCTCCTTTCCTCTCCTCTCTCCCCTCCTCCCCTGGAGCCTGCAGGTACCTCCCATTTATAAAAGTTTCTTGCCGTGTAAGGGTCTCTGTGCAATTTGCAGGCAGAGTTCAGCCTTTGTGAAAAAGCCCTGTGAGGGGGCAGTGCATGCTGGGTCCTGGCTGTCATTCCCGTCCCACCGCTGACCCACTGGCCCTGCAGAACCTGTGTCACTCGTTCCTCCTCCAGACCCCATATCTCTTCCACATTGGGCAACTTGAGAGCGACAGACTGAGAGGTGGGGCTAGCTCGACTCCGATACTCTCTATCAACCAAGTCTGAAAAAATGGGTTTAAAGAGGTCGCTGCTGCTGTCTGGCTACTTCCTGCTTGCACAAGCTCTCCTGGAAATGACCACAGATTCCATCATCCTGGCTGACAGTCAGGGAGTGGGGGTGGAGGTTGAACTCCAGCCTTCTCCTCCCTGCTGTTTCTCTAAGAGCAGAGGGTGGGCTGTCCTCTCTGCAGTCACCCCAGAAATGGTTTCCTCGGGAACAGCCTGGGTGAGGAGTAGGAGGTGGCTCTGTGCCCATCCAGCTGCTCACGGCTGCTCAGCCGGGCCTCACAATCTGGGGTCATTTTCTTTTTTTTTTTTTTTTTGAGACGGAGTCTCGCTCTGTCACTAGGCTGGAGTGCAGTGGTGCGATCTCAGCTCACTGCAAGCTCCACCTTCTGGGTTCACGCCATTCTCCTGCCTCAGTCTCCTGAGTAGCTGGGACTACAGGCGCCCACCACCACGCCCGGCTAATTTTTTGTATTTTTAGTAGAGACGGGGTTTCACCATGTTAGCCAGGATGGTCTCGATCTCCTGACCTCGTGATCCCCCCGCCTCGGCCTCCCAAAGTGCTGGGATTACAGGCGTGAGCCACCGCGCCCGGCCGACCTGGGATCATTTTCTTCTGAACAACAGACCCCAAATCCAGGATTCTCCTTCATGGTGTCCCGGGACTCGACAAGGGTCCTCAGGGCAAACACCTGATGTGGCCCAGGCCTTCCATCAACAGTCGGTCCTCAGAGCCTGGGAACTTCAGAACCCCTCCCGCTCCCTGGTAACTCAGAGTTGCCGAGCATGTCACACCGTTCCCGAGAGCAGGGACCCCGTGTTACTCAGGGCACACAGTAAGTGCTTAATAACCATGCTGCACTGTGGAATGGAAGTGACCTGTTCTCTTTCCTGGGTTTTCCAAGTGTCCATAGATATGTCCCAAGAGGGAATGCACTTAAAAAAAAATCAACTCCCCTTCTACACAAGCCCTCCCTCCCTTGCCTGTTGCCCTGGCCACCTGCTTTTTCTCCCCAGTGAGTACAGGGGGCTCCCAGCTGCTCGGCAGTGATGGACAAAAGAGCCTTGCTCTGCTGCCCTGGGGGTTTCTGTCCTGGGCTTCTCTCCCGCAAGCCCATGGACACTTGGTGCTAAAAAGTTTTCGCCCAGCAGAAATTGCCTCTTTAATTTTAATGCTTATAACTTCCAGGAACTTCATTAAAGATAAGCCCCTCTCCTGGGATTCTAGTTGCCAGTTATTCCTCATTATTTCCCAACCCTGCCGGACATCCCAGGCCTCACGGCCTCTCAGCTGCACACAGGGTTCAGCCCCCAGAGCTGCCTTTCTGCTCCTTGGCAGCCGTTCCTTCAGTCTCACTGAGGAGTAGGAGACAGAGAATGTTCTGTGGGACCACAACCGAGACAGAAGAGCTCTGGATCGAAGGGGTTAAAAACCACCACTTTTATTTTAAAAAAAAAAAAAAAAAGCACAACAGGACAGACCCGTGGTTCTGTTCCTGTGCCACTGAGGGATGCCTGACCTTGCACAACTTAGGGTCATCTCGATTTCTTTATCGCAGAGGCTGGGGGTGGAGCCATGCCATTTCTGATGGGACCTGTGCAGGAGGGGTCGCCCGGGTGGGCACAGTGCCGCTCTCTTTGCTCTCCCTGGAAGATGGGCTTGGTCTGCAGTCCACACATCTCAGTCCTTACTTGCCCATGTACCAAGGTCCTGGGCACTCCACCTCCCCTTGGGCCAGACAGACCCTGATGCTGCCTGGGAGCCTGCAGAGAGAGGCGGTGCAGATGAAGGCCACCAGGTTCCAGAAGCCCCCTGCCAGGGCATCCTCTTGGCTCAGTCCCATAAAATCACTGTGGGGAGCAGGAAGTATCTGGGCCAGGCCCCCTGATCTTCAGGGCTAACCCTGGGCCAGGATGGAGATGAGGTGTACGGTGGAATTCTGCACTGGTGAGAAGTCCTGGAAGGGCTGAGAGCCGGGGAAGGGATTGCATTGGTTTCTTTCTGATCATCAGAGGGTGTGATGGGCATGCAGGTCCTCATCGCCAGTCTCCTCTGCTCCAGCACCCAGGGGCTCGGCGTCTGCCCACTGGTCCCTACCCCTCCTGGGGTTGGGGGTGGCACTGAGGGAGGAAACAGAGGCCTCCCAGGGCCAAGCCACACAGGCCAGCTCCATCTGTCTCACCCACCTCCCTGAGCTCACCATGGGCTGTGGGCCATGGCTGGTGGGCCAGGTGTGCTAAGTCCCCAGGCCTGGCCCCACAGCTTGTGGGCAGTGGTGGGGACAGGATGTGACAGCCGACCTCCTCTGGTACAAGCCTGTCTGCACCTGCCCCCTGTGACTGGGAGGCTCAGCTTCCCAAGCATAGCTGAGCTCCAGGGACAGCCACTCATAAACCTAAAAATTGGCCGGGCGTGGTGGCTCACGCCTGTAATCCCAGCACTTTGGGAGGCTGAGGCGGACGGATCATGAGGTCAGGAGATCGAGACCGTCCTGGCTAAAACTGTGAAACCCTGTCTCTACTAAAAAATACAAAAAAAATTAGTTGGATGTGGTGGCGGGCACCTGTAGTCCCAGCTACTTGGGAGGCTGAGGCAGGAGAATCACTTGAACCCAGGAGGCAGAGCTTGCAGTGAGCCGAGATGGTGCCACTGCACTCCAGCCTGGGCGACAGAGCGAGACTCCGTCTCAAAAAAAGAAGAACATGAGTTCCTCTGTGGTTGGGTGGAGGGTTCTGTAGGCATCAGTCAGATCGTGCTGATCGATGTTGTCCAATGTTCTTTATTTTTTTTATTTTTTTGAGACGGAGTCTCGCTCTGTTGCCCGGGCTGGAGTGCAGTGGCGCGATCTCGGCTCACTGCAAGCTCCGCCTCCTGGGTTCATGCCATTCTCTTGCCTCAGCCTCCCGAGTAGCTGGGACTACACAATGTTCTTTCTTGCTGCTTTGTCTGCTTGCTCTTTTTTCAATTATTGAGAGAGTGATGTTGAAATCTCTTACTGTAATTGTGATTTTAAAAATTTCTCCTTGCAATTCTATCAATTTTGTTTCAAGTATTTTGAAGCTTTGTAATTACGGGCACAAATAATTAGGACTGCTATGTCATCTTGATAAATTGCCTCTTTATGAAATGTCGCTTTTTTACCCTTGGTAATATTCTTTGCTTTGACAGGAGGGGTGCTGGGGGCTTGATGCCACCAAGGACCCCAGACCAAGTCATCTTTTTTTTCTCGCTCAGCTTTGAAGGGAAGTTAAAGACAAAGAGGAAGAGGCTGTATTTCATTCTCCCAGATGGCTCCTGCCAGCCTCCAGAGAAAAGGCAGCTTTCTTCTTTAGAAAATTGGCAGGACAAAAGAAGGAAGTCGACTTGGAAAGTCCAGCGACAGACCTCGTGCCCCTGCTCTGGGAGGCCGCAGGTCAATGGCTCCCCCTGGCTTCAGGGGACACAGCTCAAGCCTGGAAGGAGCCCATGGCCAGCCTGAAAGCCTTGCTCACACCCAGCATCCGCAGCTGGGGCAAGAGCGGCTACTCCCAAGACAGGAAAAGACACACAGCCTAACTTTGCCACTGTGAAGGGAGACTTCTCTCTAATGCCTAACTAGACACTTATCTTCCAACCTCCTCAAAATGCCTTCAATAGAAGTCCCAGGAAGACACGGAGCCCCAGCCGCCCACTGACTCCTACAGGATGCAGCTGCGCCAGGCAGCCCATCCCAGGGGGCCCAGGCCAAAGAGGGGCCAGGGTGCTTCCCCTGAGAATGAAAAGGGATGTCGGGTAGAGGGGGAGGGTGATGTGGGACTCGCTGGTGGCTGTTAAAGGAGCTCGCGTCTCGGTTCCTGCAGGAAAAGTGCTTTGAGCACTCGCCTGGCCTGGTGAAGAAGGAAGGCAGTTGGCGGGCATTTTTGGAAGCTCTCACCCCCCATGCTGGTCCTGGTACCCCTTCTCCAGGGATGCGGGGCCCACATTCATCACAGTGGGGTTCCATAGATGATGGTCCTGTCATATCAGGGTTCCCATTGAAGGGGGCCCTTTTTGGCACTTTCTTTTATTCCATTAGTCTGTTTGCCTGGTCACACATTTTATTGCTTTTTCCCGCAAAAGAATCAATGTGGGAATTTATTTATTTATTTATTGAGACGGAGTCTCACTCTGTCACCCAGGCTGGAGTGCAGTGGTGCAATCTCAGCTCACTGCAACCTCCGCCTCCCTGGTTCAAGCAATTCTCCTGCCTCAGCTTCCCAAGTAGCTGGAATTACAGGCATCTGCCACCATGCCCGGCTAATTTTTTGTATTTTTTGTATTTTTTTTTTTTTCTGAGATGGAGTCTCTCTGTGTTGCCTAAGCTGGAGTACAGTGGCGTGATCTCAGCTCATTGCAACTTCTGCCTCCCAGGTTCAAGCAATTCTTCCTGCCTCAGCCTCCCAAGTAGGTGGAATTACAGGTGCCCACTACCATGCCTGGCTAATTTTTGTATTTTTTAGTAGAGACGGGATTTCACCACATTGGCCAGATTGGTCTTGAACTCCTGACCTCATGATCCACCTACCTTGGCCTCCCAAAGTGCTGGGATTACAGGTGTGAGCCACTGCACCTGGCTGATTTTTTATATTTTTAGTAGAGACGGGTTTCACCATGTTAGCCAGGATGGTCGCAATCTCCTGACCTCGTGATCCACCCACCTTGGCCTCCCAAAGTGCTGGGATTACAGGTGTGAGCCACTGCGCCCAGCCAGGAATTTATTTTTAAATTAAATTTGATTTATTTAGTTTCCTAACCCTTTTATTGTTTTTAGGCAATTTTTTGAAGTATAATATGAATAAGAAAATTATGGTGAATTGTTACAGCATCGAGACCTCCAAGACCAGGACATAGAACAATCCCAGCCCCCAGAAACCTCCACCCCATAAGGCTCCACAACCCCTCTTCTAACACACAGATTACCTTCAGCTCTTCTTGAACTTCATATAAGTGTGAAACTCACCCATGCTGTTGAACACAGCACTGTTTCATTCATGTAAGCGGCCTTATAGTATTCCATTATGTGAACGCAGTTTATTATCCGTTCTGTTAATCACAGTAGTTTTTACCTGTTGTGAGTAAGGGTGTCACAAACAGCCTCATGTGTACTTTGTGGCAGATGGAATTCTTGTACAGATGTGGAACATACACTGGATTTGAAGTGCTGGGTTATAGAGTATGCACATGCTCAGCTTTATCAAACAGGGCTTAACAGCTTTTCAGAGTGGCTGTGCCAACTCACACTCTCCAACAGTCTATGGGAGTTCCAGTTGCCCCACACCCTTGCCACCACTTGCAATTGTCAGCTGTAAATTTTAGCCATTTTGTCGGGTGTATATTGGTATTTTATTGTGTTTTTGATACTCGTTGCTCCCGCAATCGTTGAAGTTGAGCACGGTTGTATATGCTTATTGGCAATTTGGATACTGTCTTTGCGTTTTCAAAAATTGGGTTTTTGTCTTTTATTGATTTGTAGAATTTCTTTATTCTGAATTTGAGTTCTTAGTTGTGCTTGTGTGTGTGCACATAGTAAACACACACACAGGTTAAAATAATTGGGAGATCATTAGAATGAGATGACCCCAGCGCCTTGGGTTTCAACTCAAGCAAACCAAAGTCCATCTCAGTGTACATGGTTATAGTTCAGGTAAGCAGAAACCACCGGCTGATCTCTAACACGGGGCTTTTGACTGGAATGATTTCTTTCCCTTTCTTTCTCTTTCTTTCTTTCTCTCTTTCTCTCTTTCTTTCTCTCTTTCTCTCTTCCTTTCTTTTTTTCTTTCCTATCTTTCTGCCTTTCTTTCCTTCCTTCCTTCCATCCTTCCATCTCTTTCTTTTTCTTTTCTCTTTCTTTTCTTTCTCTCCCTCTCTCTTTCTTTCCTCCCTCCCTTTCTTCCTTCCTTCCTTCTTTCCTTCCTTCCCTTCCTCCTTCCCTCCTTCCCCTCCCTCCCTAAAATTCATAGAATAAAAAAATGCCTGAATAGCCAAAGTAATCCTAAGCAAAAAGAACAAAGCTGGAGGAATCACATTACCTGACTTCAAATTATCTTACAAGGCTATGGTAACCAAAACAGCATGGTATTTAGGATTGTTTTCCCAATTCTTTGAAAAGCGATGTTGGTATCTTCATAGGAATTGCATTGAATCTGTAGATTGCTTTGGGTAGTGTGGTCACTTTCACAATATTGATTCTTCCAATCCATGATCATGGGATGTATTTCCGTTGGTTTGTGTCATATACAATTTCTTTCAGCAGTGTTTGCTAGGTCTCCTTGTAGAGATATTTCACCTCTTGGTCAAGTTATTTCTAGTTATTTTATTTTACTTTTTGCAGCTATTGTAAAAGAGCTCGGGTTCTTGATTTGATTCTCAGCTTGGTCATTGTTGGTGTATAGCGGTGCTACTGATTTGTGTACATTGATTTTGTAACCTGAGACTTCACTGAATTCATTTATCAGCAATTCATTCATTTTTAGAGGATACTTGGTCCATGCACATGTCAGAGATTGTTGTAATGTTTCTTTCTTGCAATGATCTCATCACATTTTAATCACAAAGTCAGGCTAGTCTTTTAAATAAAGTTGCAAAGCATTAATCATTTTTTCTCTTCTCTGGAAGAGTTTGTGTAAGATTGGTGTTTTTTCTCCCACAAACGTTTGGAAGAATGGTTTGCTGGTGGAGCCAACTGGACCTGAAGTTTTCTCTGTGGGAACATTTTAAATAAGATTGTTCAGGACTCATAAATTTTTCTTGCATCAGTTTTGGCAAGTTGTGTTTTTCAGAGTTTGTTCAATTTTTCTAAATTGTCAAATTTATTGGCATAAATTGTTCAGCATATTCTTTTATTATTAACTTAGTATCTGTGGGATCTTTAGTGATGTCTCCATTTTCATTTTTGATATAGTTAATGTTGGGAGAAAAGCTGAGTGTTGGGAGAAGCTGAGGCAGGGCTTGCATGTCTGACATAATGTAAAAGAGTCTTGGAACATGTCCGGGGTCCAGGATCTAAAACTCCTCGTGGCCTTTGGAACACCGAGCTCTGTGCTAAAGAGTGGAAGCCTACCCTGATGCACCATAATCTAAGCCCAGGGCATAAAACCCCTCATGGCTTGGATGGAATCCAGGTCAGAAACTATGTTCTGTATGTTTTCAACACCACCAATTTTGGGGGGACTCTTTAATGATCCAATGGGCCATTAGTTTTGGTAATGTTCCTTGTCTACTTGGAGAAATTCATAGGCTGAAGTCAGTCCTCATGCACGGGGCTCTGTCCATGCTGACCAAGTCAAATTTGTTGATCATTTTTCCCAAACATTCTGCTGGTTTTCTGTTTGCATGAGACACCTTTCCTATCTGTTGGGAGCAGGCCCCCCAAAATCTGGTCATAAACTGGCCCCAAAACTGGCCATAAACAAAATCTCTGCAGCACTGTGACATGTTCATAATGGCCATAACGCCCACACTAGAAGGTTGTGGGTTTACGGGAATGAGGGCAAGGAACACCTGGCCCGCCCAGGGTGGAAAACCGCTTAAAGGCATTCTTAAGCCACAAACAATAGCATGAGCGATCTGTGCCTTGAGGATATGCTCCTCCTGCAGTTAACCAGCCCAACCTATTCTTTTAATTCGTCCCATCCCTTCGTTTCCCATAAGGGATACTTTTAGTTAATTTAATATCTATAGAAACAATCCTAATGACTGATTTGCTGTTAATAAATATGTGGGTAAATCTCTGTTTCGGGGCTCTCAGCTCTGAAGGCTGTGCGACCCCTATTTCCCACTTCACACCTCTGTATTTCTGTGTGTGCGTCTTTAATTCCTCTAGCGCCACTGGGTTAGGGTCTCCCCGACCGAGCTGGTCTCGGCACTATCCTTCTGCCTTTAGGCACCTGCACTACCGAGTACCATCTAAAGGAACATATCATTTGTTTTGTTTTATTTTTATAATCCAGCATGACAATCTTTGTCTTTTAGTTGGAGTATTTGTGTAATTTATATGACTACATTAATTAACGATACTTCTGTGCTTAGATTTACCCCATTACAGTTTTCTTCATTGTGACCTCATTAGCTGGTTTTCATCTTTTCCTGTTAGTTTTTGATGAGTTAATACTTTTTCTTATTTTTCTCCACTAAGCTTTTAGTCATGTGCATTTTAAATCATTCTCTTAATGACTCCTCACCTGCATTGGTGATGTATCAGACTTAGCACACTTGCTCCTGGATGCAAGCACGTTATAATTCTTTAACCTCATTTTCCTATCCTGGCTTTTGCATCATTTTTCTGTATCCTAATTGTATGCATATTTAATTCTACAATATATCATTATTTTTATTGTTTTCAGTGGGTTTGCCCACAAGTTTACCTTTTCTATTGATTTTCAAATTTTCTCCTATTTTCTTGTGTTTGAAAACAAGATATTTTTGGATAATTTGCCTTTGGCCTGAAAAAGTTCCTTTACATTTATTTTAGTGAAGATTAGTGGTGATAAATTCCCTCAAACTTTTCATCTGAATACATCTTCAGTTCATGTTTATTTTCATAAAAATATTTTAACTGGATATAAGATTCTAGGTGAGCTGTTATTTTTAACCCCAGAATTTAAAAATACATCATTCAGTTGTCTTTCAGCTTCCATTATTTTCTGTTGAGAAGTAAAACATCAGCCTATTTACTGTCACAATTTTTCTCTTCCTTTTTATTTTTGACTGTAAGATGCCCAGGCGTGGTTTTCTTTGCATTCATTTTGCTTCATGTTTGCAGAGCTTCATAGATATGTGGTCTGATGTCTTTCATTGATTTTGGGAATGTCTTAACCAGTGTTTCTTTAAATATTCTTCTCCCTCATTCTCTCTCTTCTTCTTCTGGGACTCCAGTCCATACATGTCATGCATTTGCATCATGTCTCATACGTTGTCACGCCCTTTTTTCTACTTTTTTCCTTTTAGTTTTGATTGCATTATTCTTTATGTGTTCTACCTACCTAGCTTCTGGTTCACTGATCTTTATTCTGATGTTCAATCAGTTGCTAACCCCATCTTTTAAGTACTTTCAGTTAATACAGTTCTTAGTTCTAGTATTTCCATTTGATTTTCAAAAAACAAAAGACTTCAGTTATCCTGTAGTATTGTTCATATTGTCATGTGATTTTAACTAAAGTTAATTTAAAATCATATTTGGTAAGTCCAACATCTGCTCCTATTCAGTTCTGTTTATATTTCCTTTTTGTCTCTTGGTGATTGGCCTTGTGGTCTTTGGCATAGCCAGAAGTTTGTATTTTGGATGCTATGCATGAAAATAGAAGTTGTGGAGGATGTATCTTCCTCCAGAGGTGATTAAACCCACTTGTAGAGGAAGGTGAGCTCTTGGGTGAAGGGAACTAAACGCCCAAGCAATTTAAATATCACAAAAGAAAAAGCCACAAACTGGAAGGTGTATGACAGACATCTGAAGCAGGTGTGTTAGAATAGACACATGACTTAACATGAGTAGGATGCTCATATTTAACATGATAAGAAAAGATGTTAGCGGTGTGAAAAAGAAAAATGTCCTGAAAAAAGAACAAAGTGGAAATAATGGCTGTAAAAAAATACAATAGTTGAAAGAAAGAAGTATTTTGAGGGTATAATAAAAATAGTCTCATAAGCCTTCAGAAGACTTGCCAACAAAACCCACAATGAAAACATTTATGGAGAAAACCTCAAAATGAAAAGAAAAACAAATCCAGGAAAAGCTGCAAGAGATATGAAAAGAAAGAAAGAAAGATGAAGACTAAACTCTCGTAAAGTTTGTTGCCATCATTAAAAAAGGCCAGGACCAAAGAAATGTGCATAGACAAACACACAGACACATACACACCACACACTACACACACATAGACACACAAACACACACCACACACACACACACCACACACACTACACACACACCACACAGACACACACACACACACACCACACACACACCACACAGACACATCACACACACCACACAGACACAAACACACCACACACACACCACACTCACACAGACACACAAACACACACCACACAGACACACCACACACACACCACAGACACACACACACCACACACACACCACAAACACACACTACACACACACCACACACACAGACACACAAACACACACCACACACACACACACACCACACAGACACACCACACACACCAAAACCTAAAAACCACACATTGCCCCTGTGATGCAGATGATGGGCTGCTGGACCCAGCGATCTGGTCAGAGGCAAGGGGACTGCTGGACCCCTGGGATCCGGTGGGGGGTGGGGTGGGGCAAGGCTGCTGGACCCCCCTCTGTCCCCACTTGGGCTGCTGTCCCCCCCAGCATGTTCCACCTCCCACGTGGAATGGGGTCCGAGCCTCTGCTGTGGACGAGCGGCGTGGGTCAGTGGAAAGGGGTCCTTCTGCTTGCTGCCATGCCCCCGCCCTCACCCTGGACCACTTCACCAGCCAGCTCCCCTCCCAGAGGCCCCAGACTCCAATTCTGAGCCTCCTCTGTCTCTGCCCTGGCGCCCATGAGTACGTCCCCTCGAGCTCACAGCCAATGCCTCACGTCCCTGTCAGGGCTCTGTCCTCCAAACCCGCGGCCAACTCCCTGGACTAGGAGGAAAACCCTGGACCCCACCTTCCCCTCCCACTCCACCCCCAGCCATCCAGGTCCCCCTGCTGCCCCCAGACCTTCCTCCAGGGCGCCAGGGGCTCTGAACAGGCAGAGGCACAGGGAAAGCATGGGCCAAAACAGCAAAACCCAGCCCCGCGCAGCCCACATGGCGCCCCCCTTCCTTGCGGGCAGGGGTCCCACAGTGCCCCGGCCTTGGCGTCTTTGTGGCCCTGCTGCCCATTCAACTCGAGCTGCAGGTCCTGCCTCTGGGCCTCTGCCTGCCAGCCCCTCCCTGGAGATTCCCCGATGGCCTGCTCCAGGGCTGCTGAGTGGCCACAGCTTCTCATCCTGGCCAGCACAACACTTGCAGGGCGGGCACCCAGTGCGAGGGGCCTTTCCCCTCCCCGTTTCCAGCTCCCTCTACCCTCCCTCTACCTCTGCGACCACCTCCCCCAACATCTCTGCATCAGAGACACCATCCCAGTCCGCTAGGGGGCATCCCCGGCCCCTCCCCACAACACAGCCCCAGCCCAGGTCCCTCCTCCACACCCGGGCATCCTCGCCAGGTTACTGCCTCTCTCCATGGCACGGGCCGAGGGAGGCCTGGACCTCACTTGCAGCTGGGCCTGGAGCTGGGGAAAGGCCCTGGCACAGGAGTGCTGGGAAGCTGTGGAGAAAGGAATGGAGACCAATGCAGTGAAGGGGACGGGTGGGCTGAAGCAGGCCGGGGGCTCTGGACTGGTAGGGCTGATGCAGGCAGGGATCTTGGGATCTGTGCTTGGGGTGGGGCTGAGGCAGGCTGGGGTCTCTGGACAGGTGGACTGAGGCAGGCCGAGGTCTTGGGATCTGTGCTTGGGGTGGGGCTGAGGCAGGCTGGGGTCTCTGGACAGGTGGACTGAGGCAGGCCGAGGTCTTGGGGTCTCTGCTCGGGGTGGGGCTGAGGCAGGCAGGAGTCTCTGGACAGGTGGACTGAGGCAGGCCGAGGTCTTGGGGTCTCTGCTCGAGGTGGGGCTGAGGCAGGCAGGGGTCTCTGGACAGGTGGACTGAGGCAGGCCGGGGTCTTGGGGTCTCTGCTCGGGGTGGGGCTGAGGCAGGCAGGAGTCTCTGGACAGGTGGACTGAGGCAGGCCGAGGTCTTGGGGTCTCTGCTCGGGGTGGGGCTGAGGCAGGCAGGGGTCTCTGGACAGGTGGACTGAGGCAGGCCGGGGTCTTGGGGTCTCTGCTCGGGGTGGGGCTGAGGCAGGCAGGGGTCTCTGGACAGGTGGACTGAGGCAGGCCGGGGTCTTGGGGTCTCTGCTCGGGGTGGGGCTGAAGCAGGCTGGGGTCTCTGCTGGGGGGAATGCGATCTGGCGGTGGTAAGTGGTTTTGTTGTTGCCCTGGCCCATAAGCTTTCTCTGACCCCAGGCAAAAGGCTGCGCTGTGTGGCGCCCCTGGCTGGCCCTGGGAGAAGGAGCTCCGATAATGAGGGAGATCAAGAGGGCCCCAGATCCTGGCTGGGCCCTGGCGTCTGTTCCAGCTGCCTTCTTCCCACTCTGCCCCCTCATATGGAAATAATGTTGGACCTCATAAAAGATCCAGGTTCTTGTTTCAAATTATGAAACAAACATTCTCCTTGATTAATACCATGTCAAGCCACCAGTGAGGTTTTGAATTCCAACTTCAAGGGGAAGTTAAAATTAGTTCTAAACCATTGCATGTAAGTTTGTAATAAATTGGGGGCCATATTCTGCTGCCAATTAAAAGTAACTGTTGGATCCATTTCTTGGAATTTTTTGAATTTACGCTTATTTTATGCACTTCACAAAGTCTTAAGAGTTGTGAACAAAAGTATAAACTTCAAAAATAATTAATGCAATTTAATGACAATAAATAAACTTCAAAGTCCCGCCAAAACCAGCAGAACCTCATCAAAGCAAAAGAAACAAGCTTCTTTCCAGCTCAGAGGTGAAGCGCTGCAGATGGCCAGTGTTTCATCTCGAGGGGAGGGTTGGGAAAGGCTGTGGAATGAGGGGTGTGGCTGGTGCTTTGTCCTCTCCCCACAGTAACAAAACTCTGTCATATGGAGACGCTTTGTGTCCGGATGGAGTACTTAATGTTTTTAATTTTCTGAAAAGAGAAATGCCTCTTGGAGTAAGCAGACCTCAGACAATAATTTAGGAGTCCACATGGAGACACCTCCCAAAATGTAACAACCTAGTGTTTAGGTTTTTGTTTTAGTTCTGCTACTTTTAAAAGCAATCAGCTTCTGAATTTTTAGACGTTTCTGATAAGTGCAGCTCCAGGCTTTGCCGTGACAAATGTGCCTAAACAGAAACGGAAACCAGAACACTAAAAATATGTTGAAAAGATGAGTCTGATTTTGAGATATTTGTTAAAAAGCATAGAGATTGATTGTAAATGTTTAGAATCTGGAACGTTATGAGACCATGTCCTGTGTTTTGTGACTGGCTACTATTCTAGAAAACACGCAGAAATCATGGTCGTGATTTAGCGCACACATAAATTGGGCAGTGGGCCGCTGCTTTAGCGGTCTCTGGCACCCCAAATCGCCCAGCCTCAGAGGCCCCCGGGACGCCTCCCAGCCTCTTTCTCTGGCCACAGAGGGGACTGCCCAAGGCTCCCCCAGTGCCCTCCTTTCTCCGGCGGGAAGAACAATGCCCCTTTCTCTCGGCGCCCGCCAGGAAGTGTCTCCATGACATCCACACACAAAGTCAATTCCGCAAAAACCGAATCACCCGCCCACATGTTGTGTCTGTGTGGGGCTGAGCAGTTGTGGAGTTGCACTGCCAGGGACGTGAGGCTTTGATTAGCACTGTCCTCCCAGACCAAGTGTCTCAACGAGTGCTCCTTGGATGTAACCTGGACTGGTTTTTCTTCCCCCAAGTTCAGAAGGTGAATACTGAGCCCTGGGGCCCTCACAGAGTTGGCTTCTCTGTGCCAGCTGAGGAAATGGGAACTTGAGAAGTCTCAGGATGCCCAGGCCTCGTCCACACTCACACCACAATCCCTTGCCCAGGTTGGGTGGGAGGACCTGTGCGGTGAGCGAGGAGGCCCCACGGTGGCCAGGAGCTCTTGGCTGAGGCCCGAAATCTCTCCTCTTTATGGCCTCTGCCCTTGCCAGTGACCATTCACTCCACCAACATTTATTGAGCGCCCACTGTATACCAGGCACTGGGGTGGGAGTGAGGTCATCAGGAAGACAGTTCCTGCTGTAAATGATCAGGAAGCTCAGAAGGAGAAAAGCAAAGAAAGGAGGGAGAAAAGGGTGGGGCCCTGTCCACCTTTGCCCACCTCTGCCCGCCTCTGCCCACCTCCCTGTGCGGTGGCCCTGCACTGCACCCAGCATCTCCTGGATTGCTTCCACCGCAGGAGGACCAGCACCATCCAGGGTCCCAGCCACAGCTGCTGCCCTTGACAGCCTGGAGTCGACTCGCTCACCCCTTCCTGGAAGCAAACTGAAGTGGTTTTGCTTTGAATCCTCCCTGCAATGTGGGGGCACCTGCTGGCTGTGCACCCCAATCCCCTGTCATTACGAAGTCAGGCCAGAGGAGTGTTGGGCTTTGCCAGGGCGGGGCGAGCTGGGCGTCTCCAGCCCCAGTCAACCCGGAAGGGCTGCTCCTACCTCGGGCACATCCTGACGGCCGGTCGCGTGCACGGCTTCCCAGTCAGCATCCTTCAACTGGTTCCTTGTCAGGAAGATCACACAACCCATCACACAATTGTGTGGCTGCAGACTTATGGTCATGGAGACAGAACTCAAACCTCCCAGGCTTCTCATCCAGCTCGCTTTTGACAAAGTGGGAAGGGGAGGTTGGAGTTCCTGCGTGTGCGTGTGTGTGTGTGTTTGCATGTGTGTGTGTCTCTGTGTGCACGTGTACATGTGTGCGCATGTGCATGCGTGTGTTTGCGGGTGCATGTGTGTGCGTGTGTGTGTGTGCGTGTGTCTCCGTGTGTGTGTGTGTGTGTGTGTGCATGGGTGTGGGAATACAGTTCTTCTGACACTTGCTATCCATTTGCTGTTATTTCACAGCCAGCCCACTTTCCTTTGTCACAAAGGCCACCAGATGAGGGTTCGTGGACACCTGGCTGTCGGGGGACAGTGAAGGCCGCCGTGTCACTGGGCTTCCTGGAGGTCTGGGGTTCCTGTAGGGAGTCACAGCAGAACCCAAAAAGATGTCGTTGTCTGGGGTTCTGGCCTTCCTCAGTGCAGGCGTCATCCCGCCCACGTGCCCGCAGCTCCTCTCTGTCTTCCCTTCCCCTCTTCTCACCTCCTCTCAGCTCACAAGGGCCTGGAGCCCACATTGCGGATTGTAGCCAATCTGTCTGTTTCCTGTCTTCTTCCAGACTGTGTCTCTTGGGGGTGGGAACATGGACATTCCCCATTTCCCTAAGGAGACCCACAGGAACCTTCCATAAGCTGTGTCTTCAAATCCCTCCTCCCCAGAGCATGAGCCAGCCCCACCTATTTCCACCCAAAACAGCGACCCACGCCTTCAGCTTACAGGGAAACAGTCATAGTGTTCAGAGGTTTTCTTAAAGAACTGCTTCTAAACCCAGTTTTACAAACTTTAATAAAGCGATTTAAAAAAAACAGAAAATGTGCTGGCCGGGGTGTGGAGAAAGGGGAACCCATGAGCACCTTTGGCAGGGAGGTGACGGTGTGGAGGCTCCTCAGAAAACTAAAGACCAAGCTCCCACAGGGCCCAGAAATCTGCCGGGCACCCATCCAAAGGAAAGAAATTTGTGGAGGGATGTCTGTGCCGCTGGGTTTACTGCAGCCTAATCTCGATAGCCAAGATGCAGAATCAGCCTGGGCATCTGTCCATCAGCAGATGTGTGGACAGAGAAAACGAGGTGCGTGGACACCATGGGGTACTCTTCAGCTGAAAAGAGCAAAATCCTGCCGTTCGCGGCAGCGTGGATGGAACTGGAACGAAGCCAGGCGCAGAAAGATGAACGCCCCGTGCCTCCCTCCTGCGGGAGCTGAGAGTGGGTCTCATGGAGTAGATTGGTGGCCACGGACGCTGGGAAGGGAAGGGGGAGATGAAGGGCTGCAGGCATGCTGCCAGGCTGAAGAACTAGGACCTGCTGTTTGGTGGTACTGTAGGGTGACTATAGTTAATACTTTATCGTTTATTTCAAAATAGCTAGAAGAGAGGATTTGGGATGTTCCTGACAGAAAGGAATGATCAGCACTCGAGGTGATGGGTAGCCCAGTTTCCCTGGTCTGATCGTTAGGTGTTACGTGCACGCATCACTATAGCACACATACCTCATAAATATGTACAACTGTTATGTATCCAAAAAATTAAAAATAATTTAAAAAGGCGTGGTCCTCCCTTGGGTCCTCTGGGAAGGATGGGAAGGGGAAAGTCTGGAGTGGGGGCATGGGGACAGGGCGGCTGCCAGCCCGCCCGTGTGCCCCTCTCTGACCACCACTTCCCTGCGTGCAGAGGGCCAGAAAGAGGGGCTGCAGGTGAGGTGGCCTGTGGGGGCCTGGCAGCCCCTGCCTCATTTCCTGGGACCTGGCCCTCCCGCTGAGAGCTGTGCCCAGGCAGCCGATGCCACCCCACGTGCCACAGGGTCCACCAGGTCCAAGAGGGAAGGGCCGGTCCCCGTGCTGACCCCCACAGAAGAGGGTGGCCTCAGCCCAGGGCCTGTGTCCACAGAGCCACCACCCTGGCCCATGGTGGCTCCTTCACGCATGGTATGTTCTGGAGCTGGCCTTTCCCGGTCAGTGACGTCGGTGTCATCGAGATGTGCTTCAGGTTTCACTGCAGGGAGTGGCTCCGTGGGCTTCACTGGGGTCACAAGAGCCCCAGCTGGAGGGTGGGCTCAGCATCTGGTCCTGGACAAGGGACCAGTGCCCACGCTGAGGATATGTGTGGACGGAGTGAGTCCCCGGTGGAACCAGGAGTGTGGGGTGGGCAGTGGGGCCTCTGTGGAGAGCAGGCAACGGTGGGGCCATGGAACCCCTGAGCCACATCCAAGGCCGCTTCACGCCCTGGGCCCTAGTCCTCTTTCTCCAGCCACACAGCCCACATGTCCTTGCAGGGCGAAAGCCTCCCGAGGACCCAGCAGTCCAGGCCCGCGCGGCACAGCTGCCCAGAACCCCCAGCCTACCATCTCCCAGTGCCTCCAGCTTCCCATGCTGAAAGGCGCTGCCCGATGTAAGGAGGTCCCAGAACCTGGGAACCACCCACCAGGCCCCGGAGGAGGGGCCACTGCCTCAGCTCCATCCTGCTCTGTGGGAATGCACTCCAGCCCTGCTGAGGGACCTCTGGGGCAGCTCTCTCCTGGCCCTCCTTTCAAAGGAGAATTCAAACGGACCCAGCTCCTGGGCCCCTGGCTTGCTGCCCCCAGAAACCCTGTTCCTTGAATAGCCTATGGCCGTCAATCAGACCTTGTCATTTTCTGTGTAGAGGAAAGTTTAGCTAGATTTACCATAGCATTTTATGCAGCTGAAAATGTGATATTTTCCCATTTTTTAAATTTTGGTAAAATATACATAAACATAAAATTTACCATCTGAATCACTTTTAAGTACACAGTTCAGTGGCATTATTATTCCATGCCACCATCACCAACAACCATCTCTAGAACATTTTCATTTTGCAAAACTGGAGCTCTGTCACCATAAATGCTAACTCCCCATCCACCTCCCCCAGACCCTGGCACCCACTATTCTACCTTCTGTCTCTGTGGATTTGACAACCCCAGGGACCGTCTGTAAGTGAAATCATGCAGAATTTGTAGTTTTGTGACTAACCCATTTTACTCAGTATCATGTCCTCAGGGTTTGTTCATGTGGTAGCCTGTGTCAGAATCTCCTTCCTGTTAAGGGCTGAGCGACGTTCCATTGTGTGAATAGACCACAGTGCGCGTACCCATTCGTCCATGGATGGAGAAGGGCTGAGCGACGTTCCATTGTGTGAATAGACCACAGTGCGCGTACCCATTCGTCCATGGATGGAGAAGGGCTGAGCGACGTTCCGTTGTGTGAATAGACCACAGTGCGCGTACCCATTCGTCCATGGATGGAGAAGGGCTGAGCGACGTTCCGTTGTGTGAATAGACCACAGTGCGCGTACCCATTCGTCCATGGATGGAGAAGGGCTGAGCGACGTTCCGTTGTGTGAATAGACCACAGTGCGCGTACCCATTCGTCCATGGATGGAGAAGGGCTGAGCGACGTTCCGTTGTGTGAATAGACCATGATGCACGTACCCATTCTTCCACTGATGGAGAAGGGCTGAGCAACAGTCCATTGTGTGAATAGACCACGATGCATGTACCCATTCATCCATGGATAGAGAAGGGCTGAGCAATGTTCCATTGTGTGAATAGACCATGTTGCACGTACCCATTCTTCCATTGATGGAGAAGGGCTGAGTGATGGTCCATTGTGTTAATAGAACATGATGCGTGTACCCATTCTTCCACTGATGGAGAAGGGCTGAGCAATATTCCATTTTGTGAATAGGCCACGATGCATGTACCCATTCATCCATGGATAGAGAAGGGCTGAGCAATGTTCCATTGTGTGAATAGACCATGTTGCATGTACCCATTCTTCCATTGATGGAGAAGGGCTGAGTGACATTCCATTGTGTGAATAGACCACGTTATGCATACTCATTCTTCCATGGATGGAGAAGGGCTGAGCGACGGTCCATTGTGTGAATAGACCAAGATGCGCGTACCCATTCATCCATTGATGGAGAAGGGCTGAGCGATGGTCCATTGTGTGAATAGACCACGATGCACATACCCATTCTTCCATTGATGGAGAAGGGCTGAGTGATGGTCCATTGTGTAAATAGAACATGATGCATGTACCCATTTTTCCACTGATGGAGAAGGGCTGAGTTACGGTCCATTGTGTGAATAGACCACGATGCGCGTACCCGTTCTTCCATTGATGGAGAAGGGCTGAGTGATGGTCCATTGTGTGAATAGACCATGATGCATGTACCCTTTCTTCCATTGATGGAGAAGGGCCGAGTGATGGTCCATTGTGTGAATAGATCACGTTGCATGTACCCATTCATCCATTGGTGGACACTGGGGTTGCATCCACCTTTTGGCTATTGCAAGTACTGTTGCTATTAACATGGGTGTGGAAGTTCTGTTCTAGACCCTTCCTTCAATTAGTTTGGGTACAGACCCAAAGCAAACTTGCTGCATCATATGGCAATTCTATTCGTAATTTTTTGAGGAGCTGCCATACTGCTTTTCACAGAAGCTGCACCATTTGACATTCCCAGGAAATGTACACGAGGTTCCAGTTTCTCTACCTCCTCCCCAACAGGTATTATTATTATTATTATTATTATTATTTCTTGCCTTCTAATGGGCATGAGGTTGCATCTCATTGTGGTTTTGATTGAGTTTCCCTCTTGATGAGTGAGGCTCAGAGTATTTTCATGGGTTCACTGCCATTTATAAAACCTTACATTTTAAAACACTTTCTGTTTGCTTCTGCTCACCTGTAAAAATACAGCTTGTATGTTGACCTTGTACTCAATAACCTTGCTAAATGTATTAATTCTGAGGATCCATAGATTCATTTGGATTTTCTACTGGCACGGTTGTGTTTTCAACAAGTGCTAGTTTTATTTTGTGCTACTTCTTTTTCTCTTTTTCTTACCTGTCAGCACTGGCCATGACCCCAGCACCCTGCTGGGTGGACTAGGTGATAGCCGACCCATCTCAGGGAAAGCGCTCTGTGTCTTCCCATCGCACCTGCTGCAGGGCTTTGTAGGTGCTTTTTATCAAATTAAGGCAGTAACGTTCTATTTCTAGTTTGCTTAACATATTTTTCATGAGTGGTGTTGCCTTGTATTAAATGCTTTTTAAAAATCATCAGTTGAAATGACTATATGATTTTTCCCCTCTAGTCTATTAATATATTAAATTGCCAACCTTGAATTTCTAGAAAAATATGTCTTGGTTATTATATATTATGCCTTTTATGTAAATCTGACTTCAGTTTGCTAATATTTTGTTGAGGATTTTTGCATTCATGTCCACGAGAGTGATTGAGCTATAATATTTTTTCTTGTAATTTGTCTAGTTGTTGGACATGGAGGTATGCGAGCCTCACAGAATTATTTGTGAAATATTTCCTGCTTCTGTTCTGTGGAAGCACTCTACAAGTTTGGTGTTACTTCCTAAATGTTTAGAAGAATTCACTAGTAAAACCACTTTGGTCTAGAGTTTTCTTTGTGGTAAAATTTTAAATTACAGATTCCATTTCTTTTCTTTTCTTTTTTTTTAGATGGAGTCTTGCTGTGTCCCCAGGCTGGAGTGCAGTGGCACGATCTTGGCTCACTGTAACCTCTGCGTCCCAGGTTCAAGCAATTCTCCAGCCTCAGCCTCCTGAGTAGCTGGGACTACAGATATGCACCACCACACTCAGCTAATTTTTTTGTATTTTTAGTAGAGACAGGGTTTCACCATGTTGGCTAGAATGGTGTTGATCTCCTGACCTCATGATCCACCCACCTCGGCCTCTCAAAGTGCTGGGATTATGGGCGTGAGCCACCACGCCCAGCCCAGATTCCATTTCTTAAAGGAATCTATTCAGATTTATTCTTTTATTCTTTTTTTCCAAGGTGCTAGAACACCATGAAATAATCTTTATATTTTATTTTTTAACTTTGATTTTAGGTTTGGGGGTACACGTGCAGGTTTGTTACACAGATAAACACGTGTCACAGGGGGCTGTTGTACAGAGTATTTCATCACTCAGGCATCAAGTCCAAAAGATGACTGATAGTTATCTTTTCTGCTCCTCTCCCTCCTCCCACCTCCCCCCTCAGGTAGATCCCAGTGTCTGTTGTTCCATTCTCTGTGTCCATGTGTTCTCATCACTTAGTTCCCACTTATAAGTGAATATATGCAGTATTTGGTTTTCTGTTCTTGCATTAGTTTGCTAAGGATAATGGCCTCCAGCTCCATCCATGTTCTCTTGAAAGACATGATCTTATTCTTCTTTATGGCTGCATAGTATTCCATGGTGTATATGTACCACATTTTCTTTATCCAATCTGTCATTGATGGGCATTTAGGTTAATTCCATGTCTTTGCTATTGCGAATGGTGCTGCAGTGAACATTCGTGTGCATGTGTCTTTACAGTAGAATGATTTATATGCCTCTGGGCATATACCCAGTAATGGGATTGCTGGGTCAAATGGTATTTCTGCTTTTAGCTCTTTGAAGAATTGCCATACTGCTTTCCACAATGGTTGAACTCATTTTTACTCTCACCGACAATGTATAAGCATTCCCTTTTCTCCACAACCTCACCAGAATCTGTTATTTTTTAACTTTTTAATCATAGCCATTCTGACTGGTGTGAGATGGTTTCTCACTGTGGTTTTGATTTGCATTTCTCTAATGATCAGTGACATTGAGCTTTTTTTCCTATGCTTGTGGCTGCATGTATGTCTTCTTTTTTTTTTTAATTTTACTCTAAGTTCTGGGATACATGTGCAGAACATGCAGGTTTGTTATAGAGTTATACATGTGCCATGGTGGTTTGCTGCACCGATCAACACATCATCTAGGTTTTAACCCCTGCATGCATTAGGTATTTGTCCTAATGCTCTCCCTCCCCTTGACCCCCACCCCCAGACAGGCCCCACTGTATGATGTTCCCCTCCCTGTGTCCATGTGTTCTCATTGTTCAACTCCCTCTTATGAGTGAGAACATGTGGTGTTTGGCTTTCTGTTCCTGTGTTAGTTTGCTGAGGATGATGGCTTCCAGCTTCATCCATGTCCCTGCAAAGGACATGAACTCATTCTTTTTTATGGCTGTATGTCTTCTTTTGAAAAGTATCTGTTCATGTCCTTTGCTCACTTTTTAATGTGATTGTTTGTTTTTCTCTTGTAAATTTGTTAAAGTTTCTTATAGATGCTGGATCTTAGATCTTTGTCGGGTGCAAAGTTTGCAAATATTTTCTCCCATTCTGTTGGTTGTTTATTCTGCTGTATTTCCTTTTGCTATGCAGAACTACCAAGTTTAATTAGATCCCACTTGCAAACTTTTGCTTTTGTTGTGATTGCCTTTGGTGCCTTTGTCATGAAATCTTTGCCCTTTCCTATGTCCAGGATGGTATTGCCTAGGTTGTCTTCCGGGTTTTTATAGTTTTGGGTTTTACATTTAAGTCTTTAATCCATCTTGAGTTGATTTTTGTGTATGGCGTAAGGAAGGGGTCCAGCTTCAATCTTCTGCACATGGCTAGCTAGTTATCCCACATTCATTCATTGAATAGCGAATCTTTTCCCCGATGCTTGTTTTTGTCAGCTTTGTTGAAGATCAGATGGTCTTAGATGTGTAGTCTTATTTCTGGGCTCTCCCTTATGTTCCATTGGTCTGTGTGCCTGTTTTTGGATCGGTACCATGCTGTTTTGGTTACTGTAGCCTTGTAGCATAGTTTAAAGTCAGGTAACGTGTTGCCTCCAGCTGTGTTCTTTTTGCTTAGGATTGCCTTGACTATTCGGGCTCTTTTTTTGGTTCCATATAAATTTTAAAATAATTTTTTTTCTAGTTCTGTGAAGAATGTTGTTGGTAGTTTGATGGGAATAGCACTGAATCTGTAAATTGCTTTGAGCAGTATGGCCATTTTAATGATATTGATTCTTCCTATCCATGAGTATGGCATGTTTTTCCACTTGTTTGTGTCTTCTCTAATTTCTTCGAGTCTTCTTTTATTCTTGCATCAGTTTTGAAAAACTGTGTTTATTTGGAATTCATTCATTTCCTCTATATTGTCAAATATAATGGCACATTATTTCAAAATAAGCTCATTATTTTTAAGTATCCTCAGAATATACAGTAACATCTCTCTTTTTATTTTTAATATTAATACTTCATGTCTTTTCTCTTTTTCTTTTATTACTTTTGGCAAGATTTTATTAGTGTTTTTGTTCTTTTCAAAGAATCATCTTTTAAGATGTTCTATTGTGTCTCCTTTATTTTATTAGCTTCTGTTCTTATCTTTATTATTTCCTTTCTACTGCCTTCTTTGCCTTTTTAATCTAATTTCTTTTTTTTTTTTTGAGATGGAGTCTCGTTCTGTCGCCCAGGCTGGAGTGCAGTGACGTGATCTCCGCTCACTGCAAGCTCTGCCTCCTGGGTTCACGCCATTCTCCTGCCTCAGCCTCCCGAGTAGCTGGGACTACAGGCACCTGCCACCACGCCTGGCTAATTTTTTGTGTGTTTAGTAGAGACGGGGTTTCACCATGTTAGCCAGGATGGTCTCGATCTCCTGACCTCGTGATCTGCCCGTCTCGGTCTCCCAAAGTGCTGGGATTACAGGCATGAGCCACTGTGCCTGGCCAATCTAATTTCTTAAGATGGATAATAGGTCACTATTTTTGAGTCCTTTTTTTTCCCCTAAATATTTATTTAAGGCTATAAAATCACTACATCTCTCAAGTTTTAATTTGTCATATTCTTATTGTTTCATTCAAATATGCTTTAATTTCTCTTGCGATTTATTTTTTAACCCTTGAATTATTTAGAAGGTCACTGTTTAATTTTCAAACACTGATTTTTTTATGGTTTTTAAAAATTAGGTTTCCATTATTGCATTGGGATCAGAGAAAATATCCTAAATGGTTTTAATCCTACAATGTCATCTGGCTTCGTGACCAGTTTGTTGTCATTTAGTTTAAATGTTCTGTGTGCACATGAGCATTTTGTTTAATGCATTCTGTACAGGGCCTTGTATTTGATGATTATGTAAATGATGTTTTACAAATCAGTATCTTTTGGCGATTTCTTAGCAGGTTTAACAGTTACTGAGAATGCTGTGCTTAAAACTCCCACAACGACTGTGGATTCTGTTGAATTTTACAACCTATAATAAGGCTATGTGATTGGGTGCACACAGCTTGGAAATTGCTACACCTTCCTAGGGGACCAGTCCCACATCACCATGAGTGCCTCTTGCCCTAACGTCAGCTTGGACAGTGGTGCAGCTGTGCCAGCTTCCCTTTGACTGGAATTTGGATAGCACGTCTTTTTCTACCTTCTTACTTTTCACCTTTAATATACCTATATTTAAGACATATCTCTCAAAAGCCATGCATAGGTTTTTGTTTTGTTTCAAGTCCAACCTGACCTTGGAGATGTTTACCTCTTAACGAGAGTATTTAGTGCAATTCCTAATATATTTGTATTTAAATTGATCTTCTGACTTTACTAAGTAGAAATAAACCTTGTCGTGTTTTACGTATTCCAGTTTCCCTCCATGAACTCTTCAGTCAAACACAGCTTAGCGCCTCCTTCACAGAGCCCGGCTCACGCAGTTGAGCTCGTGGTGCCCGATGTGCAGAGCCCCTTTCGTGCTTTGGTGGCTGTCGTGCTTTAACTGCCCCATTTCTGCTCTTGGGGAGCCCCCATCAGTCCAAACACCCCTTTGTAGTTAATGTGCCTTAAAACAATTGTGTTTTTTTGCTTGAAAGATCTCAGTCTTCCGTGTTTTGTGGTTTCACTACAATGTGTCTGGATGTGAGTTTGTCTGTCTTGTTCTACTCACTTGGACTCTGACGCAGAGTTGCTTTGGAGCTCTCGCCAGCGTGCGGGTTTGTGGTGCATTTGTCCTCCTGCGCTTTGCAGTCCATCTGGCACTTTCTTGCTTCCATCTGTGATACATTTCCTCTGCCTGAGTAACTTCATATCGCGTCTCCTTCAGCACAGGATCTTGCCAAAGAGTTTTTTCTGTTTTTTGTTTTCTTTTTTAATCTGGAATGTCTGCTTCACCTTCACTCGTGGAGCCTGTTTGTCTTGGGCAGGGAAGCCTGGCTTGGCAATTGTGTTTTCTTCGCGTCAGGAGGATGGAGGTCCATTCTCTCCTGGATTCCATTATTTTACTGCTCCTTATAAAATGGCATTTCTTTTCTTTGAATGCCTTAGGGATATTTCCCCTGGCCTGTGGTTCCCAGCAGTTCTCCTGTGACTTGTCTACGCTGTTCTCTCTGCTCTTATCTGGCTCAGGGATGGCTACGCTTCCTGGCCCTCTTTCCAGGATGCCACAAACACTTCGCTGCTGCTAGTTGTTTCCAACACGTCTTCCATCTTTTAAATCGTTGGATTTTATTTTAGGGTTTAGGTTTTTCTCTCTGTTCTTCTGTCTGGATATTTTCCACTGCCTCATGGTCTGGCTTCCCAGTCTCCTCTTCAATTGTGTCTAATCCGCTGTGAAGCCTGTCTGTTAGGGTTTGTCTTTCTTTTCTTCTTCTTCTTTTTTTTTTTTTTATAGCCTTATGCAGGAACAACTGGCATACAAAAATGATTATATTGAAAGGCTACAATTTGGTAGGTTTTGAAATATAGATATAAACCCATGAAGCCATTATCATAATCAAGATAATGAGAAAAACCTCTCACCCCACAAACCGGGTGTCGAATTTGAGGCTGACTGCCATTCCCCCACTGTGTGGAAGGGACTTTGCGTCTCTGTCCTGCTTCTGCTCTTGGGAAGCCTCCATCGTTCAAATGCCCCTTTGTAGTTAACGTGGCTTAAAGCAATTGTTTTTTGCTTTAAAGATCTCAGTCTTCTGTGTTTTATGGTTTCATTGCAATGTGTCTGGATGTGAGTTTATCTGTCTTGTTCTATTATTGCCAGCCCGTAACATTTGATTTCCTGTTCCCCTGTGAATCCTGTTAACAACCAGTGGAAGCTTTTCATTCTCTCCTCTGTGTGTCTTCATCTCCCATTTGTCCGCACCTCCTTCACTCTCTGTGTGGACATTGTGGGCTATTTTGTAGGGGAAATCTTTCAGCTATGCTGAATCTGTTGCTTTTCCTATTGAAAATCACAGGGAAACTGCTGAAAACCCACAGAGAAAGGGAACTACCCCCTTCAGCCACTCAAAGAAAAAAAGAAATTTCAATAGCTCTACACTTCATTTTTAGAGGCTTTATTTTATTCTTTTAAAACTCTTCGTATTTTTCATGGTGTCCCATGTTTTCCTTTGATTTTGAACCCTTCTTCTACAGTTGATAACTTTAAAGATGGTCACTATAGATTAACTCTGGGGCTCGTGTCTGGGCACAGGCGGCCTCTGGCAGCTCTCACTCCTGGGGCTGGCTTCCCTGGGTGTTTCGTCACTAGGACTGTAGGATCGTCTTTGGGGGAACTCTGACCGTGGGAATCTCAGGAGGCAGGTGGGGGAGTCCCCCTTCAGAGCAGGTGGCCCTGGTTTAGGCAGTCTTGGCTTGTCACCAGCCTGGGACCGTTTCTGTTTGTTTGTCTTTTTACCTGGTAGTTCTGGCATCACAGAAATAATGTAAATATGGATCCCAGACTGGTTGATGAGCAGGTTCATCTATGGTCAATTTATCTCATTTTATCGACAGGTGGGTATTTTTTCGAAGTCTGTTCTTTCTTTCTTGTAAACTTAGAAGTTTGTTTTAAATGTTTGCTTTTGTTTTGCTTTGCGTCGTTCAGCATTTCTCATTGCCTCTGGGTGTCTCTCCGTTTTTCATGTGTCACAGCGATGTACACACAGGAAAACACCAAGAGGCATAGCCCCTGCTGTAAGTTAGATACGTGTTCATTTACATTTAAATTATTTCTTACAAGGAGGAAGTGTCGTACTCAACATCCATCTTTTGAGTATTTTGAATAATTCCTCCTTCATTCATTCCTTTATTTACCCATCAATAAATAATTATTAATAATTATAGGCTAATTTGCTATTCACATTTCTCTTTGCTCAGCGACACCCCAGCAGCAATGAGCACAGTTAGTGCCCTGACCTTGGTCTCTAAAGCTCATTCTCCAGTAAAAAGAGCAGGGTTCCTTGGAGAAATGATGGATTCCAGGGCTGGGGGAAAAACCGGGGCAGCCTGGGGTTATGCTGGAAAGCGAGAAAGTGCTCCCGAAGGATGGGAGGGTCCCAAGGGCCCGCCTGGAAAAGCCCAGTGGCCAGAGCTGGGTAAATTTTAGCAACTAAGTAAATAATGACAGTGTGGGATGATCATCCAAAGCATAAATATGCACAAGTCCACATGAAGGCACACGAGTGATTGAATAAATCAGTGAGGGGAGGGCGGTCCTTCCTTCAGAGGAATTCCAGCAGAGTAGTGAGGAAACAAATCATCTCAGAACACCACAGTAGTAATTGTTGCAGACAAAACCCACCAACCCATGCTAAAATTAGCAGAAAAGACTTTGAGGAGAAATAGGATACTCTTGTAGTCTCAAAGTATCTTCCCTGAGAGGCCAAGGCAGGTAGATCATCTGAGCTCAGGAGTTTGAGAGAAGCTTGGGCAACACGGTGAAATCCTGTCTCTAAAAAAATACAAAAATTACCTGGGCGCAGTGGCACACACCTGTAGTCCCAGCTACTTGGGAGGCTGAGCGAGTGGATTGCTTGAGCCCGGGAGGTAGAGGTTGCCGTGAGCTAAAATTGCACGACCGCACTCCAGCCTGAGGGACAGAGAGAGACCCCATCTCAAAATAAGTAAATACAAATAAATAAATTACAAATGAAGAATAGTAACGTTACAGTGGGGGAAGCCAGCAGATCCCACCAGAACCAGGTGACCAGGGCCAAAACAACCCATAATGAGGCAAAGCATAGGGCCCGTGAGTCACTACTGCGGACGCTGAGCAGGGTATGGGGCTTCTGCCAGTTTCTTGGCACAGACACATAACTTCGATCCAGACATGATAAAATAGCAAACTCAAACTGAGGGCTGTTCTTCAAAACACCCAGCCAGTGCTCTTCCAAGTGGCAAGGCCATGGGAGGCAAGGAAACACGGGGCCTGCCGTGGGCTGGAGCCTACAGCGAGATGACACCTGCGTGCTCATGGAACTCAGTGTTGTTTCTAAAGCAGGAGGTGGATGTTACCAGAAACTGGAGGAATCTGAATCAAGCTACTGTGTAGTTAATTGCCCCGTGTTAATTCTTAGCCTCAATCCTTGTGGTCAAGGTCGGGTATGCAAGGTGCTGACACGGGAGGAAGCTGCCTGAAGGGGGCGGGGACTCCTGGACGATCTTGGCAACTCTTCCATAAGTCTAACGTTATTTCAGAAAAAAAAGTGTAGTGACATAGCTTAACAAAAAATAAGTGTAAAAAAGCTGAAAAGCAACAGTTAATCCTACGTGAGAGACAACGATGGTTGACTTTCTATACTTGGTGTTTCCCCAAGAAAGAAGCCCCTGGATGCCAGGGTCCCTCCCACTCTACACGTCAGCACGAGGCCGCGGTTCGCTCCCATCATCCGGTTCTAGATGTCAGCACGAGGCCGCGGCTCGCACCTGTCATCTGGGAGTTTCTCCCTCCCCTCCTGCCCACAGGACAACTTCTACTTCTCCTTTGGAATTTCTGAACACAGGAGGCCCTTCTCGGAAGCTCAGCTCTGCCTTCGCCCGCCAGGGCTGTTTCTCCCCTCGAGCCTCTGTCTCCACACCTGTGAAACGGGACGATAAGGGCCCCTTCATGGTGCGGAGGGAGGGCTAAGTTCATAAACGCGTGCAAACGAGGTGAGGACTGGCCGGCACGTAGAGACCCCGTGATGGCTGTCGGCCACCAAACAGACATTCTCCGTGCTCTTCATGCTCTTGCTTATGAGGAGAGATGCTGTGAAGATAAGTTTAAAAACGGCCATGCCATGACAGTTCACAAATAATATTATTCCCTCTGCGAATGCCCTTACCTTCTCTGATGACACTTGTTTCCTATCAACATCGATTTCTGTTGGCTTTCATGCCACCCTCTCTGAATGAGAATTGGGAAGACTCCAATGGCTGTTTTTAACCCCATATTTTTCTGTTCTGTAAACTTCTGTTCATTGCCAGGCTTTGTATCTTCCTTCTTTTAAAAGCGAAAGTGTCCTTTCTCTTCTTGTTTGGAACCTAGAATTGTGTATCGATGCATTTTTGGTGATTTCCCAATAACTAGCTGTGATCCTGCTCCACAGAGCCCTAATGCTTGAGCTCAAACTGTCCGAACCCACACTGCACTCCTTGGAGAAAATGAATGCAGCCTGAATTCTGCTGCTGAGAGTGCCTGGCCGTCCTGGTGGTCACTGACTCACTGGGGTCTGGCCGTCCTGGCAGCTCCTCAGGTCACCGGACTCTGGGGAGGCACCGTGCTGGTTCTGCCTGTGCCTGGTGGGACCCCCTGGTTCCCGGCACTGTCTGGGCCTCGTTCTGAGAGATGACTCCTTCTCACCATTGGTCACCAGACCTGGGCCCTCGGCCACTCGTGGCGTGGCTGAGATTTCAGGTCTCAGAGGACTGTCACCCCCTTCCTCCTATTCAATTTCTGCATGAAGTCTCTAAATCAATAACAGAGAAGGGGAGAGGAAAAAGGAAAGAAAAACTCCCACCTAATGGCCATTTTCAGAGCAGCCGCAGAACCATGTGACACAGCTGACCGAGGCAGCATTGCAGATACATTTGTGTGCCTGCAGATCTCAGGTACACGGACCCGTCTCCATGCTCAGGGGGCCTCTAAAGGGGGTGCAGGCTTTGGGGGCAGAGCAGAGGGGTGTAGGACTCTGGGGAGGCCACGACCACTGAGGGAAGGACCTTGCTATCTCACAAGGCCGAATCCTCCCCAAGGTGGCTGCCGTCTCCCTGGACCCTGCGTTCTGCACCCCCGGGAGGTAGGGAGTTGGATCTCGTACCAACGATGAATGCGTGGACACGTGTGGATGCCGTCCGCTTCCCAGAGTCCCCAGCCGGGCTCCCCAGGGCTCTGCGGGACCCTCTTCCATGCACCTGTGCTGTTTGCTCTCAGGTGGCTGCAAGCAAGTCCCTTTTCTCAGCCAGGCAGGAGGGAGTGGAGGAAGGGCCTGTGTGTCTCCTCAGTTTCAAAGAAACTCCCACGGCAGAGCGTGCTCTTGAACTAAAGCTTGAATGAATCAGAAACATCTGGGCTGTTTTTTCTGTGCTTAAGATACAGGAAACAGACCCATCCAAAGCCGTTTGGGGTTTTATCAAGGGGTCATTTAAGATGCAGAGCAACTTGAAATCGCCCATCTGTTGGAGAGCCGTGCGTGCTGACAGAGGGTAAGAAACTACAGCCCGCGCAGCTGCGGTCTTCATGTGGTCGCTGCACGCAAGGGTTTGCCGTTATCTGTTGCTTCTGAAGGCAAGGGTGAGGGGAGCGGAACTGGGTGTTGCCTGGTTCTGCCGTCAGACCAGGCACTGGGGAGGGAGTCCTGTGGGGAGGTGGGGCCAGGCCTTGTCTCTGTGACAGTGAACGTCCCTGTCCATGTTGGTGTTTCTCAGACAAGCCACCTCCTTCCACCCCCACGGTGGTGCAAGGGGAGGCTTTAGTCCAGGATAACAAATTCTGAACCAGCTGCTGCGTCTGGAGCCCCTGAGGGCTTATGCACTGGTGACCAGGGAGTTTCCTGGCTTATCACATCCGAGGCCGACTTTCGGGCTACAGAGGGGCGTGTGAGCCCCTGGAGTAGACAGAGGAACTGCTTCTCTGCCAGGCGCTGTGTTGAGATGAGAGGGAGGGCAGGTCCTTCGGCTTCTGAAACATGAAACAACCCCACACCTAGGGCAGGGCGTGCAATGCCACCATGGCCTGGAAGACCCAAGAGTGATGAGTGCTGAGCACAGGCCAGGCCCGGGGCTGTCACGGGCAGAGCCACTGGCCCGGCGTGCAGGTGGGAAGGAGGTCTCGGTAACTAAGCATTCGCATGATTCTGTCCTCTGAGGACTGGGGCAGGTGCTTCCTCTACCTCCCAGCAGCCTCCCTAATTCCAGAAGAATAAGAACAGGGGAGAGGAAGCCAGTGCAAGGGCTCCCACCTGCTCCCTCCAAGCCAGAGGTGCTGCCTCGGTTCTTCACTTCCAGCCAGGCCATGCCTAGCAGGCCTTCGTCCAGTCCACGCGTGGCAGCGCTTGGCCTGCCTCAGGCCTGTGTCCTCAGGCATTGTTCCCTCCTGTGTCTGCCCTTGTCTGGGGAGTATTTTCTGTCCTCGCTTCAAGTCCCTGAGAGTCTGCCTGGCACCCTGACCCATTCTGCCAGCCCAGCCAGTCCATACCAGGGAAGCTCCAAGGGTGGGCCTGGGTGGGCCGTGCCCTGGAGGAACACTTCTTGTGGCCCAGATGAACGCCGTGGGTGTGGGGGCCATGTGGACGGTGGTGGGTGAGGCCGGGGGTCCCCACAGCGAGGGCTTGTGGGTCTTGGTGCTGCTTCCATGTGGAGGGGAACTGAGGTCTAAGGTACAGCCCAGGTCCCAGGCCGGGTCACCCCCGTCCACCCTGCCTGTCTTCCGTGTGCTTGGGGAAGTGGAGGCAGCCCTGCCGAGGCCCCACGTCCTCTGTCACCTTTGCAGACTTTGGCACCCCGTGATGCTACCGTCCTGAGTGCCCCGGGGCCTGGCTGGTGTAAGCGTCTTCCTGAATTCCCTCTTTCATTCAAGCTCTAGAATTGGGCGCCACTCTGTGCCAGGCGGCTGGGGCTAGACCCCGCTCCCCGGCTGATGCTGTCCTGCCCCAGGGATGCCTGGCCAGGCTCTTGCTGTGTCCACCACGCTCCATCCACACCCCTCCATCACATTTCACCAGGGGCCCGGGCCAGAGACGCATCCGACATCCCATCTGGGAACAACGGCCTCAAAGAATGGGGAGCAGCGAGGGCCGCCAGACACTGAGTCCTTCTGGATCTTTCTGGCCAGGCTCCTTCCCTGGCATCTGGGCTCGGTGGGGGTGGTCTGCCCCCTCATTCCCGCAGACCCTGGCCCCTGGCAGGGCCCCCAGTCTCCACCTGCCCTGTCTGTTTCCTCCCCAGTGTAACTATGCTGTAGAAATATATTTTGGCCACACCCTGCATGAAGGTTCCAGTCTCTGTGTCTGTGGGAAGGGCTAATCTGCGGCAAGAAGTGGTCCCTGGGATGGAAAGATCCTGACACAACGGAGGTTTGTGTCCTGCTCATGCAACGGCTCTGCCTGGTGAGCCTGGCTTCCTGGCACTCACGCCCTTGCGGTTTCTTCCACGTAGTCCCAGGTGAGTCTGTGCGGCCGACAGCATGCGGCAGAGTGCAGATGGGTCACTTCCGAAACTGGGCTGGACATGCCAGGTCTCCCTCCTGGTTGCTCTGTCTCCTGGGTCACGGGCTTGGGTGAAGCCAGCAGCCATGCCGTGGGAACTCAGGCGACGCGAGAACAGAGCGATCTCCCGAGGTGCACGGGACTCCAGACAACAGCCCGCAAGGACCAAAGCCTGCCAGCAGCTGTGCAGGACCCTCGAAAAGTCTCCTGGGGCCAATAGAGCCCTCACACGGCAGCAGACTCTGGGGGCCTTGGGAGGAGTGGCTGCATTTTGCTGGGAGAATCACAGAATCTCTGGGGCCTGAGGGCCCGGGACGGCCCAGAGACAAGGAGGTACTCAAAGCTGTGTGTCGTCCTCCCATGCCGGGCCAGGTGTGTCCATGTGACCAGAGCACAAGTGGATGCCACTCCTGAGTCCAGGGCCTGAAGGACCCTGTGGCTTCCCTCTGGGTCACTCTGTCTGCCTTGGGTCACTCGTCCTGAAGGAAGCCAGCCACTGCGTGCGGGGCCCTGCGTGGAGAGGCCCTCATGGTGAGGAGACGTCCGGCCCACAGCCACGAGGAGCCGCGACCTGCCAGCACTGGGGGTGAGCTTGGACCTGCCCCTCCAGCCCTGTGGAGGCTTCAGAGCCATGGCCTGGGACAGCTGCTCAGCTGAGCCAGACCCACCCAGCCAAGCCCTTCAGAACCCCGTTGAGTTTGGGGGTCATTTTTCTGCGGCAGTGTGGACCACCAGGAAGGACATCCTTCACGCAGACCCGCCGTGGCAGAGGCTTCACGGTCTCTGGGGCTGTTGTCTCCCCACCAGCTGGCCCACAGGTCCCAGAGGGACACGCAGGAAGACTCTTTCGCCCGTCGGGAGTGGCTCACCTCCCGTCCCCTGGATTCTCTGGAAGGACAGTGGCCTCATGGCCACGCCCGTGTGTGAAGGCTGCTGAGGAGAGCAGCCTGGCTGGGTTCCAGAGGACGAAGCAGGTCAGGAAAGAGACGGAGAAGGGGGAGCAGCTTGGCAAGTGGTCCCACGGTGGGCCCCCAGGGATCTCCCTGGAAGCTGTGGCAGCTGTGCTGCCGTGGAGGGCGCCTTGTCCTCACCAGATCCTGTGGCCTCCCTGGAGGGTGGAGTGTGTGCTGGCACCAAGGTGACGGAAAGGCCCCCCTCCATTACAGCATTGCACACATTTTTAATAGGAAGATACAAAGTGGTGTCAAAGGCCCACTGAGAAGACAGCTGAAGCTTGGCCACCCCACCTCCCACGCAGAGCCAGGCACTAGGGCAGAGGCTCCGGCTCTGAGTCCTGGCACCCCTGGGCCCTCCGTCATCATCACATGGGTGACATGGGAGGAGGTGGCCGAGGTGAGAAGCCCAGCCCATGTGGCCACTGTGAGTTGTGGGTGGGGAGGAGGCCTCTGCAGGAGTGGCAGGGCAAGGGCAGGCAGCAGCAGAGTCGCAGCCCAGGGCTGGCGTGAAGCAAAGCAGGAAAATCACATTATTCAGTTGCTTTAAAAATAACAGCATTTACAGGGCAAAACGGGGTGGCCCAGGTTTAAAAGAAACCACCTGTCTGTTCTGACGGTCAAAGCGTGAGGGAAGCCAGTGGTCCAAGCAGATGGAGGCGTCCGGGTCTGGGCAGGAACGTGTCTGCCACGTGCGGTCTGGGTTCAGGTGAATCAGGGAAGAGGAACCCCAGGGGCAGGAAGTGCTGGGGACGCCCCTGTGAGGCTCTGGGTCCAGCCTGCTGAGAAGGGGTTGCCAGGGGCTGGGGCGGCTGCCTGGACTCCCTGAGAATCCTGCAGCCCGGCTGACCTGGGCGCTCATACCAGGTGGGGTGGGGTGGGGAGGGCACACCAGGCGGGCACACACCCAGTGGGAGGGCACACCGGGAGGGCAGGCACACCGGGCAGGGCAGGCACACCGGGCGGGGGACACTCACTGGGAGGGGGGCCCTCACCACGCAGGGCAGGCACACGGGGGGGACACTCACTGGGCAGGATGGGCACACTGGGTGGGGCGGGCACACCAGGCCGGGTGTGCATGAGACAGCAGCCGCTCTGGAGAAGCGCAAAGCCTTTAGGATCTTAGTGTGATCTCACGTGTGGGTTCACGAGTCCTGTCCCATCCTGGTCATGGTGTCCAGAAAAACAGGACGGCGCATAAGTGGCCCTGCTGCTTTTGTGAGGACGAGGGAGCTTCAGGGGGTGAGAAGGGAATGGTGGGTGTGGCGCAGGAGATGGGCCAGCAGAGGGACGTCCGACCTGGGCAGCAAGCAGGAGAGCCCCAGAGGTCACCTCCATCGGAGACGCAGGCACGCCCTTCCCCACCTGCAGCCCTGGGCTCTCTCCGCGGCATCGGAGTGTGAGGGGAAGAGCTGCCTCTGAAACCCCCCACCGGCCCCACCATCTTATGGCGGCCCCGCTGACTGCCCCGCTGACCCCCCGCTGACCCCCCGCTGACCACTGGGGCCGTGGTGCCTCAAGCCTCGGCCGTCGCCTTGAATTTGGGCCCGGCTGGCAGTGCCCTGACTTGGCAACGAGACGCTGCCCAAGTCTCAGATATTCGATGCCTCACATTGCCAATATGGAGTCATTTCCCACATGGGGAAACTGAGGCACAGGGGGCACCCGGGCATTGCGGCACCTTGTGACCCAAGTCCCCATAGCGGCTTGAGGTCTACGGTCATCTCTGTCCCAGCCCCATGGTGGGGGAGTGGCCACTTGGGCTTTGGAAAGGGTACTCGTTTGGAAGGAGGCTTGCCTGTTGCGTGAGTGTGAGCTCAGATGGACTTGGGGGCCGATGGGGCCTTGTCACGTGGGGGGCAGGGCTGGGGGTGGGGAGCCGAGCTCGGCCCTTGGCAAAATGCCCAGAGATTTGTCAAGCGCAAGCACTGGCGTTCTCTGTCCCTTATGCTTACATTATTTGAATAGAAGAAGGCCAATCACATCGCTTCCCCAGGTGTGAATCACTGCCTACTTGGCAGGGACCGCAACCTTGGTTTGGCCTTTGGACACCGCACGCACATGTCATGACCCTCCTGGCTTTGGGAACGTGGTGTCCGGCTTACGGCTTGGGGTCCCCGTGCCAGGGAGCACTGAACGCAGCCGCCCACGTGTGGACTCATCGGACAGAGTGCGGCTGCTCCGTTTCCCATCCGCGCTGTTTTTTGTGCCCCTGGCCAGCAACGCCTTGGCGGGAACACCCAGTCCCTCCAGAACCGCCGAAGCTCCCCCGGCGCCTGCTCCCGGCCTGCGGGCTCCCAGCGCCACATCCTCCCCCAGGCACGGCTGTTGCCAGGCATCTGCACGGCCCTAGTCCTGAACCAAACCGCAACGGCAGAGCTGAGCACGTACCTGCGTCTGTTTGGTTTGTTTCCCAGGAGTCCGGCTCCAGATTAAAGAACCGTGTGAGGCCGCACTTTGCTTTTCGGGTACACGCCTCTGCACACTGTGTGTCTGGTGGAGGGCAGGGTCCTGTGGTTTCCAGCAAAGCCGACCTCCATGGAAACGCAAGTGGAAAATGCTTTCTTGAGAAAGTTCCAGTCAATGACAAAATGGCCCTTCCCCAAATGCCGTAGTCTCTCGCTGAGACCCTGTGCCAGCGTGGGGAGGTGCCCTTCCCTGAGTGCCGCAGTGTCCCCTGTGCTGAGACCCTGTGCCAGCGTGGGGAGGTGCCCTTCCCTGAGTGCCGCAGTGTCCCCTGTGCTGAGACCCTGTGCCAGCGTGGGGAGGTGCCCTTCCCTGACTGCCGCAGTGTCCCCTGTGCCAGTGTGGGTGTCCTCAGGGCTGAGCAGGGGCCCCGTGGCTGGAACTTTGTCACCTTTTGAGCCAGACAGCCTGCGAGGGAGACTCCCGGTGGTCACCACCACAGCAGGTGGCAGCCATGCGCCAGTTCTCAGCCCCGTCCACGCCTCATAGTGTTACGCACGAACCCTTCATCCTGCTCCAAACAGAATGAGAATGTCATGTCGCAGCCTTGTCTAGAAAGCTCACCAGAGAAGGGGGGTAAAAGCAAGTCCCTGAAAAGTCACAAGAAGACGACCCTGTGTGAGCAGTCCCTGACCCACTGATTTGACGTCCAAAATGGCTTCCACACTGGATTTCCTGCTTCCCCACACCCTCAGCTTTGGCTTAGGGCCAAAGCCATTCTAGCCAGAGCCGTGGGTCCTTCCCATCAGCAGGCCTTGCTTCCTGCTTCCCGCACTTCAGAGATGGGCGCCGACCACACAGGGCAAGGGACACGCTGGGTGCCCTCAAGAGGAGTGGGTGGAATGGCCCAGAAATACCCCAAATAAATAAGGCTGGGCATCGGTGGCAAGGATGGCAGAGGGGCCAGTGAGCCACTGCTGAGCGCAACCTGGGCTGGGCTGGACAGACGCTTGAGGAGGCCAGGTGGGCAGGGACAGGGGACACAGAGAAGGCTGCGGTGCTCAGGGAATGAAGCCAGCATGACCGGACGTCACCCCTTGGCCAGGCTGCACCAGGCCCTGAGCCACATCCCCTGCGAGGTCAGACCACAACCCAAACAGTTGTTTGATCTTAAAACTAAGCCTGTGTTTGTAACAGGAAACCAGCCCCAGCATGGCTGGGGTGAGTCGCATTAAACTGTGGTGCGTGCCACAGAAAACCTCAAAGGAACGAGGGCACGGTCCAGGGATGCTCCCTGCTTGGAACAGGAGCTCCGGGCCGGGCGCGCAGGCAATCCCAGGGGCGTCCAGAGGAGGCGCCACACCTAAACCGACCCTGGCGGGGTGACCTCAGCCTTTGAGGGTTCTCTTGGCCCCGAGGTCAGTCCCAGGGCACAGATCCATGGGGCTGCCCCGAGCCAGCTCTGAGGATTGGATGGGCTTCCCCCATTGTCTGGGGACCCTGACGAACACCACAGTCATAAAGCGCCTTTCATTTTCCTTTCAGGTCTTTTAGCTAAAATGCCACAAGAAAGGGGACTACGGCCCAGTCCCAGGCTAAGCGCGCTGCACAGCCCCCACTGGGCCTCTGCTTGGCCCAGATAACTGGAAAACATTCCAGGAATCTCAGCATTGCGGTTTTGTTTCCTCTTGGCTTTGTGAGAGTTTAAGGAATGTGTAATTATTTATGAAATGCCAGTGTCCTGGCCACAGAAGCCCCGATTGAAGAGAGAACCAGGCAGATGCAGAGCCATTCTTGGCTGGAGCTTTGAGCCCCACCGACTTTCCCTGCCATGATGCTGGGAATTTCTGCCCCACTCATGGGCATCAGAACTCCAAGGTGGAGCAGGACCTAAATAGACTGTAAAGGGAGGTGGAACCGAGATCCATGTGCGTGTTCAGAATTCAAGTAGGGTGAGTGGGTTTCCTCCCTTCACGTCCGCCCCCAACCCTGAAGAGTCCTTTGGGGAGTGCCGGCATCTCCTGCAGGAAGCCCGCCTCCCCTGGCCCTTCCGAGGTCCTGAGCCATGCTGGAGGGTCTTCAGCCCCCAGCCCTGCTGGGCTTCAGCTGCTGTGGGACTGCAAGGTGGGGTGGAGTTGCCCTCAGAGGGTGCCGGGTCTTCACGGGTGAGTTGAAGACCCCGTGGACGCCGCGTGTCAGAGCCCTGGGAGGGGGTCTCTGAGGTTCAAGATCTCAGTGGAGCTGCCGTTCTTTCTGGGACATCTCCTGGGTACTTGGCGAGAGAGCAGAGGTCAGTCAGAGGCGCCTTGGCCAGCACCAGCCCCTCACTCCCCGGCTATGCGGTAGCCCCTTCTGGTCCCCAGCTGTCACCTCCACTTGGGGCCCAGCTGGCACTGCCCTGAGTCCGAGGTCTCCAGCCCAGATCACCGAGATGGACCCATTTTCCAGATGAGGAAGCCAGGGTGCAGAATGGAGCCGGATGTGCAAGGTGCTTCGTAAACGGTGCCTTCCGGGCGGGCTCAGCGGTGAACACGGACAGGCCCGCCTTCCTGGAGCTCACGCTAGCAAAGTCAGGAAGAAAACCGCGTGGCCACCTTAGCAAATGCAGAACAGCATCTGGGAACATTCAACAGCCAGTCATGAAAAGGTTCTCAGCAGGCTAAGCATAGAAAGGCATTTCCTTAACTGGACAAAGGGTCTTCAAAAAACCTTCAGCAAATACAGTACGGCACTAAATGGCGAGACAGAGAAACTGTCCCCGTCAGACCAGAACACAGTAGACAGGCCTTCTAACAACGCTTCCATTTAGCATTCTAAGAGAGGCTATGGCTGTCACTCATAGGAGGGAGAGACTGAGAGACAGAGACAGGGTCAGAGAGACAGACAAAGACAGAGAGAAGCAAAGTCAGAGACGTAGGGAAACAGACAGAGAAATACAGAGAGAGACATAGAGAAACAGAGAAAGAGAGAAACAGAGACAGAGACATAGGGAAACAGACAGAGAAATACAGAGAGAAACAGAGACATAGAGAAACAGAGAGAGAAAGACAGAGAGAAACAGAGACAGAGACATAGGGAAACAGACAGAGACAGAGAAATACAGAGAGAAACAGAGAGAAAGACATAGAGAAACAGAGAGACAGAAAGAGAGAAACAGACAGAGACATAGGGAAACAGACAGAGACAGAGAAATACAGAGAAACAGAGAGAGAGACATAGAGAAACAGAGAGACAGAGAAAGACAGACAGAAGCAGAGACAGAGACATAGGAAAACAGAGAGACAGAGACAGAGAGAGACAAAGACAGAGAGAGAGACACTCACAGAGGATAATGAAACAATATCTGGAATAAAAGAGAAACGTTCTTCACAAATGGTATTTGCTGTGGTTAGAATGTCTCTCCCAAAACTCATGTTGAAACTTAATTGCCATTTTCCAGATGAGGTGCAGAGTGGAGGCAGACATGTTAAGAGGTGAGGCCCTCCTGAGGAATTAACGTGGTTGTCGAGGGAGCTCGATAACGACTACAGCAGTATAGTTATAAGAGTTAGGGAGAAAATGAACAAAATGAAAAGAAAATAACACAGATAAGAAACAAGAGATAAACATAGAAATTTAAAAGGATTTACATGTATATTATTAGATATAATAAAAAGTAGCAGCCAGGCACGGTGGCTCACGCCTGTAATCTCAGCACTTTGGGAAGCCGAGGCGGGCAGATCATGAGGTCAGGAGATCAAGACCATCCTGGCTAACACAGTGAAACCCTGTCTCTACTAAAAATCCAAAAAATTAGTCGGGCGTGGTGGCAGGCACCTGTAGTCCCAGCTACACAGGGGGCTGAGGCAGGAGAATGGCGTGAACCCGGGAGGCAGAGCTTGCAGTGAGCCGAGATTGCGCCACTGCACTCTAGCCTGGGTGACAGAGCGAGACTCCGTCTCAAAAACAAACAAAAAAAAGGTAGCAAGTATGTTGGATGCAAACCCAGCATTCACAATCAATCAATCATAATTCCATCATCCAGAAAAAAAGCCTTTTTTTTTTTTTTTTGAGATGGGGTCTCGCTCTGTCACCCAGCCTGGAGTGCAGTGGCACAATCTCAGCTCACTGCAACCTCCGCTTCCCAGGTTCAAACGATTCTCCTGCCGCAGCCTCCTGTGATAGGCACCCACCACCACACCCAGCTAATTTTTGTATTTTTAGTGGGAGATGGGGTTTCACCATGTTGGCCAGGCTCGTCTCGAACTCTTGACCTCGTGATCTGCCTGCTTTGGACTCCCAAAGTGCTGGGATTACAGGTGTAAGCCACCGCGCCCAGCTGACAAAAGCATTTACAGTTTAAAAATCAAATAAAAGATGCACAGAACAATTGAGGAAAACATCATAAAACTTTACCGAGAGACCTATTCACTGTCTGCCCTCCCTCTACCACGTCACTCCTGACTGATGGTGTGGATGGAGCTCCTGTCTATTGTCTGAGTTTTCTGATGTGGAGCGTGTCATCTCCACCAAAGCATGACTTTGCATCTCTTTTCCGTGTCATCAGCTGTTACCGAATGGATGAAGGAATTAATTTTAAGCTCCTTCTGCTGTGGGTGCTGGTACTCTGGCACAGCCCATCTACGTTTTTTGCTCTTTTGAGTCGAGGGCCAGCCCTGTGCCGTGCGAGGTCGAGTTGTTGTGTGTGTGTGTGTGTGGTGTGTGTTGCATTTTTACTTTTTACTTTATCCTACAGTCTGGGCCTCTGCTTCCCACACATGTCCCCTGACTCACCCTGTGGAGCGGGGCGAGGGTCCTCCAGGGTATGGGCTCTCTTTGGGGGACCCATCTAGCTCAGGCTTGCGAGCCAGGCCAGCACTCTCTCCACCTCAGCCACATGTTCTCAAAGACCCTCCATGACGGCAACCTCAGGGTCTCACAACCCGAGAGCATCTCTAACTCATCAGAGAACATGAGAGGACTTGGCTGGGGGTGCCTGCCTTCTCTCCTAGTCACCCCACTTGAGTCTTGCGAGCCTGGGATGGAGTCAGCGGCCCTGGGTGTGGGCTCCCCTTGGGTTCCCTTCCTTGGAGCCTCTCAGCAAGGCCGCGTGCTTGTGGGCCCTGCTTATCTGACTGCCCTGCACACACTGCAGGGGAAAGCGTGTGCACACTCCCTGCCGGCCAGGCTTGCCTCAAGGTACACGTTCTTATGAAAGTGCACATAGCGCTTGCATTTTAGTGAACTTGTGCCAGGAGTTTCCACGAGGGACTGCACACCCTCAGCAAAGCCTCCGTGCTTCCTTCCTGCCGTGTCCCTTCACCCACAGGATCACAGGTGAGGGGGATTCGATGCTGCCCAGATGGTGTTTCTGCTGCACTAGGATTCATCCAGTGGAATATGCACTGCCAGCTACATATGAAATTTTACATTTTCTAGTAGCTAAGTAACACTGAGAAAAAAGAAACAGGTATTAATTGTAATATGTGTTGTTTAACCCAATGTAACAAATATTATTCCAGCATGTAAGCAAAACGTAAAGGGTGTTGCTGAAGCATTTTGCCTTTTCTTCCCCCTCCTGCCTCTTCCCACCCCGGCCTCTGTTTGCACTTGTAGAACCTGCTACTGAGTGGCAGTTTCAGGGGCCAGCAGCCCCCGTGTCCTGTGGCCTCCGCACTTGACACTCAGGCCTAGGCTTGTAACCCCAGACTCAGGAGCTGCCAGGCCAGCCGCAGGCTCTCTAAGTTGGCTTAGGGGGCCCTGGCTGGGAGACGAACTCTGCCTTGCACTGAACATTTTGCTCCCTGGTATGGCCTGTGAGACTCAAACCTCCACTCGTGCCCAGGATGTGTGCCCGTTCCCTGTGCAGAGACCCTGCAGGCCTGTCCTGGCTCAAGGACGCCTGCCCCTGTGGTACATTCTGCATGCTCAGAGCCACAGGGCTGTCCTCCCGGAGCCCCCTGTGCTCCCAGCCCGGGGCCTGTGTTCACTGGACAGGAGGGCCACTGCCATCAGGGGTGTCTCAGCTCCTGCCCTAAAGAGGCCCCAGCGCCCTGCCCAGGTGTCTGTGCTGAGTGTGAGTGACAGTCTCTGGTTCCCTGCCCATGTTTAGAGGGGAACAGGCAAATGAGAACAGGGGCTGAGGGAGTGACCACGAAGACAGAGTGGGCATACAAGGCGGAGCCGCCTGACCTTTGCAGGGCAAAGACTCGGGGGGGCAGACTCTGGACCCCAGAAAGCAGGTGGAACCGCCCTCGGCTTCTCCACAGGACGTCCAGGGCAGGGGGCCTGTGCTCCGGACTCAGGGGCACCAGGTTCAGGGAGGCCCTACAGGGGCAGGGTCTTTCCCACCACTTGCCTGGGACCTTGGGAAGAGGATCATTCCCACAGCTACCCACAGCCACAGCCGAGGCCCTGGGAAGCGCAGGTGCAGGGTCAGCTCTGGCCCAGGCTGCAGGTCAGAAGGGCCCGTGTGTGGAGGAGACACCAGGAGATGTGGAAAAGTCAACAGCAGTGCTGGGGAACAGCCAGGGGAGGGAGGTGGGGGGTGGCCAAGACCTCTCCTGTCCTGCCGCCAGCTCTCCCAGGGCCACATGAGCCCACCCAGGGGTCAGGGTCATGCCAGGACAGCAGTGCACACGTGTAGCTCAGCCCCAGTCACGGTGTCTGAACGAGGACTCCTCAAGGAAGCCTGTGGGAAGAGCCCGTGTCCCTGACTCTGCCCAGGGAATGCAGGGGGTGGGAGCGGGGCCTGTGGGAAGGGGCTGGCAGCCTCTGGGCTTCCTCCCTCTCCTCAGGAGCTGACCATTAGGAATTCACAGGGAAGGGGCCAGCTGAGCTGGGAGGGGGCTCGTTTTCCAGAACATTGGCCAAAATTCTGGGATGAACTTTCCCTTCAGCTCCAACACGTAAAGAGCTTGGAAACCACTAAGTGAGAATCATCAATTTGTCTTGGACCCATGAAAGAACCAAGGTCAAAGGGCAGAGTGCCACCTGACACCTGGAGAAACAGGTGAACACAGAGTATCACAGCTGAGATCTGCCTACCTAAAGCCAAAGCCACTGGACCCAGAAACTAGTGCACACATGTAAATGATGGCTTTGAGGAAGTGGCAGAGGCCAGGCCTGGGCCATGTGAAGGTGAGCATAATGATGGCTTTGAGGAGATGGCAGAGGGTGGGCATGGGCCACGTGAAGGTGAGCATAATGATGGCTTTGAGGAGGTGGCAGAGGCTGGGCATGGGCCATGTGAGGGTGAGCATCTCCCTGGAGCTGCAGTCCTGGGGCTCTCACATTTATGGGTTTTACTTTCAGGAACCCCGCTGGGTTCTCAAAGATCCAAAAAGACCTCCTCTGGGTCTGGCAGAGAAGGAGAGGAGTAATCATTGTGGAGCACAGCCAGGGCATTTGCCACAGCAACCGCCTTTCCAAGGCAAACAGACCTTACCAGGGCCTTATCCCACTTGGACAAAAGGCACTCCTCCCACTCCAGCTCCCTGGAGCTTTCCTGTCTCACCACAGTGGGGGACCCTATGCCACTGAAAAAACACTAGTGAAGGTCACAGGCCAAGAGGCAGACCCAGTGAAAGGCAGAGACTTCATTATAAGATTGTAGCATGCTCCCTTCCCACACACCTGACTACCACACAACCAGGGTTCTATTATGACCAGGTTGCAGTGGATTACAGCTGAGTGAGCTACCAGATATGGATTCTATTTAAAGAGGAGGACCTAGGGAAGTCCAAAGTCAAAAGAGGAGACACACGCAAGGACATTAGGGGAATTTGAAGTCTCTGGCACCTAGAGCTATGGAAAATATTACACGTGGCCTAACTCTAGCCAGATTAAAATAAAACTTCAATCTAAATCCCCACTTTCCACCCTTCCTATTACTCAATGCATCACGTATGGCTTTCAACAAAATATTGCAAGCCATGCCAAAAGGTAAGAAAAAACTGAAGAGCAAACACAATCATCTGAACAATACTCAGATGTGGCAGAGGTTTTGGAATTACCAGGCAGGGAATGTAAAGTAATATGTTAAAGGCTCTCATGGAAGAGTGGACGGCATGCAGGAACAGGTGAAAGCTCTAAGAAAGAATCATAAGGAAAGGCAGGAATCAGCTGTAACAGAACCAAAGAAGGCCTTTTCTGGGCTCATCAGTAGATGGGACAAAGCTGAAAATGTATTAGTGCATTTGACAATAGGCCAACAGAAATGTCCCAAACTTCAGTTTAAGAAGAGAGACAAGAATGGGGAAAATTCAGGACATCCGAGAATTGCAGAAGAATTGTAAAAAGTGTAGCACATGCATAATTACAATACCAGAAGGAGAAGAAAGAGAGAAGGGAGAAGAAATATTTGAAGTAATAATGGCTGAGAACAGTCCATAACTAATGAAAGACACCAAACCACAGATCCAGATCCAGGAAGCTCAGAGATCAACAAAATAAATCCCAAGAAATCTACACCTTGGTATATCATATTCAAATGACAGAAAGCCAAAGACAGAGAGAAAATGGTGAAAGAAGCCAGAGGGGAAAACGCCTCACCATTAGGGGGACAGAGGCGGAAGCGACGCTGGACTTCTCCTCGGATGATGAGACGTAGTGAAACTGGCACTCGCCTCTCGGGTGTTCCCCCCGAAAACACTTACCTCTAGTCTAATCATGAAGAAACATCAGACAAATCTTATTTGAAGACCATTCTACAAAACACCTGACCAGTACTACTCACAATCATCAAAAACAAGGAAAGCCTGATAAACTGTCACTGCCACGAAGAGCCTAAGGAGGCGTGACCACGACGTGTCACATGGGATCCTGCACAGGGTCCTCAGGCAGAAAAGGGACATGAGGTGAAAACCAGGGGAATGTGAATGGGCTACGGACTTTTGTTAATGGCAGCGTGTCAATATTGGCTCACTAATTAGGACACATCCAGCGAATGAATGTAAGAGGTTAGCAGTAGGGGAATCCTGAGTGCCAGGAGTATACCAGCTCTCTGCAGCATCCTAGCAGTTTTTCTATAGCTTCAAAATTGTTTTAAAATAAAAAATATATTTTTAAAATATCAGAAAAAAATTTTTTAAATATATAGATGAAAAGATGGCAAACTATTTTTAAAGAGAAATGAACGAGCTCAAACAGAAATAAAAATTCTAGAAGTGAAAATGAAATAAATGAAAAAATGTGTTTAAAATTAAAAATTAGAAAAACAACCCTTAGGATAACCAAGAAAAATGAGGCATGCGTGGGACTGAGCTGGGTGAGACAGCCACCTGTCCATATGGAAGGAAAAGGCTCAAACAGAGCAGTGGGCAGGAGGCCCTGGGTCCAGTCACGGAACTTTGACAGCATCTCCCAAGCCCCTTGGGCCTCAGGGTCCTCATCTGTGGAAAACGATAACTGGATAAGCTGGTCCTTGGGCACCCGTCCAGCTCTGACCCCAGATCACGCTAAATGGCTGCCCTGACCCACCAAGGTGTTCAAATCTTGCCGTCCCTTACATTTAATTTCTCCTCCCAGGCCAAGCCTTCTTTTGCTCAGTTTACCTCTTGGGGGAGCAATCATGTGCCCCCTCACCTGGGAACCAGGTATCCCCAATACTGGAGCCGCACTCAGGCCTGGTCTGCTTGGTCCTTAGCCCTGCTCAGAGCTCCCCACCTCCTGTTCACTCACCCAGCCCTGCTCAGAGCTCCCCACCTCCTGTTCACTCACCCAGGTGCTCTGAGGGGTGACCTCACTGGGCTTTCCTCAAAGCCCCACTTCCATCCCTCCCGTCTTTCAGCCGTGGGCGTGGTGCCTGTTCTGGGGGTGCAGGTGGCGGCAGAGGCACTGGCCAGTGAGGAGGGGCCCACGGGGGCCAGAGCTCTGCGTCCAAGCATCAGGAGAGGATCGCACAGGGCAGGGCCAGCTCGGGGACATGAGGTAATGGGAAATGCAGTGAGAGGCCAAGGCCTGTGCCAAGCTCACCTGTGGCTCTGGGTGAAGGGGCCTAACTGGGGGCAGAAGCTGAACCTGCGCCATCCACTCTGCGCCCCCTGAAAACCCGAAGTTGAGCAGAAGATGCTGGACCCCATAGCACGCGTCAGCCCCCCGCCTCCCACGCTTCAGAAGGAGCTCTGAGCCCCATTGGGATTTTGTTTTAAACCCATGGTCTTTGGGCCATATGATGCAATTCAAGACAAGAAAGGGCAACTTCCTGAGATGACGACCAGCCTGGGAGGCCCAGCAAGTCCCCCAGCCCCAGGCCAGGGCGAAGGATGCTCATGAGAGAAACAGGCATTGCCGGCCTGCCTTCATCAAACAGGATCAGAATAACTTGCTGGTTGTTATTTTGATAGAGCAGAGAGGTTTCTCCAGCTCCCTCTGGAGTCTGCTAAGAGACCTCGAGATCGGAGAAGAGCTGTTGCCATTTTCCACTGAGAAGCCTGCGTTCCTGGGTGCAAGCGAGTGACGCCCACAGTGACACCCCATGGGGCACATGCAGTTCCCACCAGGCGCTTTCCTTGCTGTGTTTTAAGTGCCACTGGTGAAGACCCGTAGGGGACCTCTGGGGGTGTGGTCTTCTGACACTGGGCTGTCATCTGTCAAGCCCAGCCCTTCCTCCTCCTTCCCACGCCTGGGCCGCTCCCTCAGGCAGGACCACACGAGGCAGGACCCTCATCCAAGCCCAGCCACGGGAACCCAGGTCCCCCTCCCCGCCCCGCCCTCTCAATCCATCCTCAGGGCAGCTCGGAGCCACCCTGCTCCCCCAAAAAGCCTCGCAGTGTGAAGAAAGAAGCTTTTCACATCCTCCTGGTGTGTGTGTTGAGGTGGAGGGGTGGCGGGGGTGGGGGGTTGCCACAGGTCTTGGTGTCTGAACCAGATTCCCGGGAGGGATCTGTGTGGTTTCTGCAGAGGCCACAACAGGGAAGCAATTATCAGCAGTGCCCATCACAGTCCCCTAGAGATTCAGGTGCTGTAGACATGTTCTGCCACCCACACTGGTGTCTGGAAACTGGCCCAGATTTTGAGGACCAGATGTTATATCTGAAACATTCTCCTATCCACTCCCTGGCTGTGTGACCCCAGAAAAAGTCGATCAACCTCTCTGGACCTCCATTGACACCAGAAAGATACAGTCTTTGAACTAAATCAGCCTGCAGTCCCCGCCTGCCCCAGTATCCCGTGGTTCCTCTTGAGTTTTGATCCGACCTCAGCCCTGTCCCTGGTGCTAACTCACTCCTGTGGGGAAGAGAGTTTGGACTGTGGTGGACTCCGGGGTGTGACCTGCGGGGCTGGGAGGTACCTGAGACAGCAGGCATGGCAGAGACTCGACGGTCCCGGACCTCAGACAGCCTAGGGAGCCCAAGGCTCTTGTCCTGGCTGTGTGACCACAGGAAGCCACGTCTGTCTCCAGGCCCCACACCCACGCCTGCAGGGTCAGTGCGTGTCCAGTGCTGTGCACAGTGTGCCAGGAGTCAACAGAAAGCTCAGAGCAGGCTCTGGGGCCCAGCAGACGGCTTCTGCCTGTGAGTTCCATGCTGGATTTTACAAGAGGCCGTGGGGGCACAGGGGAGTCACACGAGGCACCGGAGCCCACAGAGCCAGCAGGCATCGAGGCTGAAGGTCAGCCCGGCCCGATTCCGGCCCTGAGCTGGATCCTCCAGGCCAACTGCCTGCTTCACTTCTGAGACATCAGAACAGGGACTGGGCTGGGGCCAGGAGCATAGAGCTGGAGCTTTCTCCATCATCCCTGCTGGCCTCGCTGGCTTGACCAAGGTCACGCTGAGGAGCGTGAATCCACATGCAATCCTAACAGCACGGACGCTGCCGCCTGCCCTCACGAGACCCAAAGGCACAGGCTGCACACAGGCGGTTTCTGCAGCAGCTGCAAACCTGACCCGAGAGAAACATAGCCTCAGATGCCCACCTCCTGGTGGACCAAGGGGACCCCAGAGCCACTCCCAGCATGGCGCTGTAAAGACCCCTAGAGCTGGAAGGAGAAGCTGAGCCCCAGGAGGGCTGAGGGCGGTTCCCTTTGAAAGGCCCTCCTATGGCCCTCATTTGGAGAAAGAGGCTTTAAAAACCATATAATTGGATGCAGGAGTCTATTTTCATTAAAGCAGTTTCCATGATGTAGCAAAGAAGCACTACAGCTCTCCAGTTACCAAAGCAGCCTGGGAACAATGGGGTTAAAAAGTCGCCAACGTACATTTCAGTGCCTGCAGCGTGCTGAGGACGACAGCGCTCAGAACACATGCCCCCAATCTGCTTTGTGTTTACCCGGGTTTACCCACCTCCAGAACGGTGCAGAACAATGCCTGGCTCTAGCGAGGTGAGGCTGCATCCGCCAGCTCTTGTTATTTCCCGCCCCAAAGCAGCCTATGGTGGAGGAACCAGGGAAACCAGGCTGTCCCGTGCATCTCTCCCCAGGAGAGCAGCCCTTTGCTGAGCATGACAGGGGAAATCATTGAGACCACACTTTTATTGAAAGCTCTGTGTCTGGCTGCTGTGTTCTGAACTGTGATTGATTACAGAGCCTGCTGGATGCGCCGGACAGCTCCAGGGTGGCGGGTGTGTTCCTGGCACAGACATGTGAGCTTGGGGTCACGAGGTTTAATGAACACTTTGCACCCTGCTGGCGCCTTGAAAGTTGATGCTTTCACAGGCGGCCGGGGCATCTGCCGGCAGGTTTTCCAGTTCAGCATTTTTCATTTTGCAGTCAAGGCAGGAGATGGGGGGAGAAGTGATAAAGTGGGACCTGGGGCATCTGCCAGAGCTATGCTGATGCTCCCCTCTGTGCTCCTGGCAGAAGCCACAGCCAAGGGGAACACTGGTCAGCCGGCCACCACCCTGCACCCTGACAAATGGAGCTGAAGCCACAGAACACGTGGGCTGCTGTGTGGAGCTGGCACTCCTGCCGGGCTGCCTCTCCAACCCAGAAGCTGAGGCTCCCCAGGAAAGTTCCAGCAGCAGCAGCCAGCCAGCCTAACTCCATCCTGGAGCACACCTGGTCTCAAATCTCTGCAGACTCACTCTCCGAGAGGAGCGCCTTCGTGGTGGGTTGAATCGATGCCATTGGGACATCACTAACAGCAACACACAGTACATCAAGGTGAGAGGAGGGCTGGTGCCCCACTTTTGGAGGCTGAAGCCTCCAACAGACTGCCCTTGTGGTCAGCACCCTGCAGTCTCTGTGGGTTCTCTCAGGGTCAGCGTGGCCAGGAAGCGTCTGCCAAGCCCTGCGCGGCACCAGCCAGATCCCCAATCCGAGTCTCAGACGGCAATGTAGAGTCCACATTTTCCTAATAACCTTAGCTCACATTGATGGCAATTGACCCTTTGGAACCTGCTTTTTATGGGGCATTTATGCAAAACCACAAAGACCAGAGGCTGCACATGTGCAGGTCCTGGGAGGGACCTTAGCAAAGTGTTCCCACAGTTACATCCTGGTGATGAGCAAAAAAGAGAAATTTTAACCAGAGTCAGACAAGACCGCACTCTCCTTCCACTCCGATTCCTCCCTGGTCCACATCCCCTGTGGCAGGAGAAGTCAGAGTCAGAGGAGGCAGGAGGAGCATGGAGAGTGATCATGGGAACACAAGGAGCACGGGGAGCATGGGGAGCACGAGGAGTATGTGGAGCACAGAGAGCATGGAGAATATAAGGAGCACTGGAAGCACAGGACACATGAGGAGTACGGGGAGCACAAAGATCATGAGGAGCAGGGGAGCACAGAGAGCATGGGGAGCACGAAGAGCATGGGGAGCATGGAGAATATAAGGAGCACTGGAAGCACAGGACACATGAGGAGTACGGGGAGCACGAAGATCATGAGGAGCAGGGGAGCACAGAGAGCATGGGGAGCACGAAGAGCATGGAAGCATGGAGAATATAAGGAGCACTGAAAGCACAGGACACAAGAGGAGTACGGGGAGCACAAAGATCATGAGAAGCAGGGGAGCACAGAGAGCATGGGGAGCACGAAGAGCATGGGGAGCATGGAGAATATAAGGAGCCCTGGAAGCACAGGGCACACGAGGAGTATGGGGAGCATGAGGAGTACGAGGAGCACTAGGAGCACGAGGAGCAGGGGAGCACAGACAGCATGTGGAGCATGAGGAGCATGGAGAATGTAAGGACCCCTGGAAGCACAGGGCACATGACGAGTATGGGGAGCATGGGGAACAAGAGGAGTATGGGGAGCACCAGGAGCACGAAGAGCAGGGCAGCATAGACAGCATGAGGAGCATGGAGAATGTAAGGAGCCCTGGAAGCACAGGGCACACAAGGAGCATGGGGAGCACAGAGCAGGGAGCACGGAGAGCAGGGGAGTGCAGGGCACTTGAGGAGCACAAGGAGCCCTGGGGTTGCCCAGGTGGGGGAACATGAAAAGCACTGGAAGTTACAGCCCTGGGCACATGTGTGTCCTCCACCACCCAGAGGGCACAACAGCTGTGGCCTTGGGGACCCTCCCCACTGGCCCCAGGCAGTTCTCTACAGCCCATAGCCCTCCTGATCCCCAGATTGTGAGGGCTGCTCATCCGCCCGGGTGACACCTTCCCAGGGCCCCACTGAACTCTGCTTCTATCTTGAACCTCTGTGATTGGAGGTTGTGCTTTTCTCTCAAGGAGCCAGATCCTTAAACATCAGAGGGAGTTTCTTCTGAATGAGCACAAAGTTCCCTGCATTTTCCTGCCATCCTCCCTCCCTCTCTCTGTGTCTGCTTCCTGCTTCTCCGGAGCCACCTCCGCCCCTTGTCACTAATGAGAACTTCTAGATGCCTGCTTCAGGCCAGGTCAGCCTCTTCAGCCCCACTTCTTAAACTCTCTGCTTTGATTCTGTCAGTTCTGAATTACTTTTGTGCTTCTTTTCTTGGTTTGCTATAACCTCTTTATGTGGATATTTTCAGTAGAGTTTCTTCTTCTCAGAAGCATTTACTCTTGTAAGACAGTTGTTTCCTCCTGTGCTGCTTGTTTCTTGAACTTAGGAAGGAATGTCTGGTCAGGATGGCTTTGATGGTCTCTGCTTTCAGGATGCCATCTGTTTCACAAAAAGTGCCAACACCAGATCGAATTTCAAAACATTAAGCCATGAGAGACTTTCATTCATGCACTATTACAGATTAGATATCTAGAAAAACACCCCTGGTACAAAACATGTAAAATACTGAATAAAGTTATTTTTTTCCTGTTTTAATGCATGGCTGAGCGGGCAAGAGTGAGCAGAAGTCCAGAGAGGGAAGTGGGGTCAAGGCGAGAGGAGCCACAGCAGTCCCCTGTGGCCAGGCGCATTGGATGCAGAACGGCATCAAAATCTGAGACCACGCAGGATGGAAAATCAGGCCTGAGAGTGCCACAGGGAGCTGGCACCTCCACCAGGTGAAACCCTCGACGAACAACTTAATAAAAATTGCTTATCAAGGGAGACAATACGGAAACTTGCCTGCCTTAGCCCTGGCTCTGGGAAGGTGCAGGGAAGGACTTTTCTAAGAATTCCTAACTATAAGCCCATATTCACGCAGCCTCCGCATCAGAATTTAGGTTTCCTGTGTGTCCTAAACTCAAGCTGAGAATGAGGCTAATAGAGGCTCTAGCTGGTCATGTTCCAAGGCATCCGGCAGCCTATGTGAGTTGTTTCTGGAAGAACCCACCCCAAGCCAGACTCATAGACTCTTACAGATAGAACTCTATTCAACAAGAATTCCTCTTCAAAAAAATCACAAAATATATTGATAAACTGCCCAACATGAGTGAGATTCACCAGAAGGAGCAAACAGCAGAATAAGACCTATGAACATTGGATACAAATTACTTTTTAAAAAATAAGTATACTTTATATATTTACATGTGGGAGGGGATATAAAAAAATATGACTAAGGAACACAAGACTATCCAAAATAACCAATCAGATTTGAAAGAGAGATAAATAGAACTTACAACAACATATGTGTGTGTGTGTGTATGTATATATATATGAAGAAATTATAGCTGAAATTAGAAGTGTAATGGTGTGTTTAACAGAGGATATGACACTGTTTCAGAGAGAACTAGTGAACTGGAAGACAAATCTGCAGGACAAAGAGATTTCTAAACAGGTTCAAGATAAGCGGCATGAAGAACAGAGCAAGGAAGTAGAACGTTCATTTACTCAGACTTCTAGAAGAAAACAGAGGAAGGCCATGTTGAAGAGATAATGGCTGAGAATTTTGAAGGGTTGAGAAACCCCAAACAGGGTAAATAAAAGAAAGTCAAATTTAGACACATTTTAGTGAAATTACAGAATACAAACAAAGAGAACATCTTAAAAGTAACCATAGAGAAAAGACACAGACCTCCTGGAAAGAATGCCAATCAGACTGACAGCAGACTTTTTTTTTTTTTTTTGAGACAGAGTCTGGCTCTTTCACCCAGGCTGGAGTGCAGTGGCTGATCTCGGCTCACTGCAAGCTCCGCCTCCCGGGTTCGCGCCATTCTCCTGCCTCAGCCTCCTGAGTAGCTGGGACTACAGGCGCCCGCCACCACGCCCGGCTAATTTTTTGTATTTTTAGTAGAGACGGGGTTTCACCGTGTTAGCCAGGATGGTCTCGATCTCCTGACCTCGTGATCCGCTCGCCTCGGCCTCCCAGAGTGCTGGGATTACAGGCATGAGCCACTGCGCCCGGCCAACAGCAGACTTTTCAACAGAAAAAACAAGAGGTCAGAATAATACCTTCAAGGACTGAAAGGAAATGCTTTGACCTTGACCTCTATATCCTGCAAAGCCATTTTTCAAGAATGAGCACTGAAGATAATTTTGTTTTTCAAAAAAAAAAAAGCAAGTTTACTATCAATAGATATTTCATAAAGGAGTTTCCAAGGGCAAACTTCAAGAAGGAGAGAAAGATCCCTAAATGATAATTGAGATATCAGAAGGAATGGCAAAGAATAAAATTGGAAACTGGGAGAACTGGCTAGTCATATGCAGAAAATTGAAACTGGATCCCTTCCTTACACCTTATACAAAAATTAACTCGAGATGGATTAAAGACTTACATGTAAAACCCAAAATTATAAAAAGCCTAGAAGAAAATCTAGGCAATACCATTAAGGACATAGGCACGGACAAAGACTTTATGATGAAATTGTCAAAAGCAATTGCAACAGAAGCAAAAATTGACAAATGGGATCTAATTAAACTAAAGAGCTCTGCACAGCAAACGAAACTATCTTCAGAGCAAACAGACAATCTACAGAATGGGAGAAAATTTTTGCAATCTATCCATCTGACAAAGGTCTAATATCCAGAATCTACAAGGAACTTAAGCAAATTTACAAGAAACAAACAACCCCATTAAAAAGTGGGCAAAGGATACGAATAGACACTTCTCAAAAAGAGACATACATGTGGCCAAGAAACATATGAAAAGAAGCTCAACATCACTAATCATTAGAGAAGTGAAAATCAAAGCCACAATGAGATACCATCTCACAGCAGAGTGGTGATTATTAAAAGGTCAAGAAACAGATGCCGGTGAGGCTGTGGAGAGATAGGAATGCTTTTACACTGTTGGTGGGAATGTAAATTAGTTCAACCATTTGGAAGATGATGTGGCTATTCCTCAAAGATTTAGAACTGGAAATACCATTTGACCCAGCAATCCCATTTCTGGGTATATACCCAAAGGAATATAAATCGTTCTATTATAAAGATACATGCACTTGTATATTCATTGCAGCACTATTCACAATAGCAAAGACATGGAATCAACCCAAATGCCCATCAATGATAGACTGGATAAAGAAAATGTGGTACATATACACCATGGAATACTATGCAGCCATAAAAAGGAATGAGATCACGTCCTTTGCAGGGACATGGATGGAGTTGGAAGCCATCATCCTCAACAAACTAACACAGGAACAGAAATCCAAACACCACATGTTCTCACTTATAAATGGGAGCTGAACAATGAGAACACATGGACACAGGGAGGGCAACAACATTTACTGGGGCCTGTCTGGGGAGGGTGGGTGGGGAGAGCACTGGGGAAAAGAGCTAACGCATACTGGTCTTAATACCTAGGTGATGGGTTGAAAGGTTCAGCAAACCACCATGGCACACGTTTGCCTCTGTAACAAACCTGCCCATCCTGCACATGTAGCCCAGAACTTTTAAAAAAAAAAGAGAGAGAGAAAAAAAAACCCACACATAGTCAATGTCATTAAACATTAGCTGTACAGCCGGGCACAGTGGCTCATGCTTGTAATACCAGCACTTTGGAAAGCTGAGGCAGGCGGATCACGAGGTCAGGAGTTCAAGACCAGCCTGGCCAACATGGTGAAACCCCGTCTCTACTAAAAATACAAAAATTAGCTGGGCGTGGTGACAGGCATCTGTAATCCCAGCTACTCTGGGAGGCTGAGGCAGGAGAATTGCTTGAACCCAGGAGGCGGAGGTTGCAGTGAGCTGAGACCATGCCACTGCACTCCAGCCTGGGCAACAGAGTACGACTCCATCTCAAAAACAAACAAACAACATTAGCTGTACAAAACAATAGAAATTAAACATATTATTGGAAATTAAAGAAAAGAAAATAGAACTAAAATACTGGACATTAACAGCATATAACTCAAGATGAATTGATTGGAAATAAACAAGGGAGGGAATTAAAATATACTTTTTTAAAACCTCAGAATGCTCAAGTTATATATATATTATAATGAATGTTAGAGTAGGATTTTAGAAGCAGCTCAGTAGTCTTCTCATGTTAAATGTATGCATATTCTATGACCCAACAACTCCGTTCTTTAGGTATATCCCGGTAAAAACCTTTATTCACCAAAAAACTGTGTAAAAACATTCATAGGATGACTCCTAATTGCCCCATACTTAAATAGTCCAAATGTCCATCAACGGCAGAATGGATGAATAGCCACATATTCACACCACAGCAGCTTTGAGAATGAACGGAACCCACTTACATGCAAAACCATGGCTGGATCTTACAAAGGAGCAAAGGAAGGTTTTTGCACGACCCTGTTTACAGACAGCCCCAAGCAGGCCACACCCATGGACAGCGTCAGAAGTCAGAGGGGCGCTACCCTCATTGTGGGGTGGAACAGGACCATGGAGTGGGCTGGGCCCTCCAAACTATGTGTGCTGACTCCCTAACCCAAAATGTGACTGTCTTCAGAGACAGGGCTTTTGGGAGGTAACTGTCAAATGAGGTCATAGAGTGGCCTTAACCCTATAAAACTGGTGGTCTTATAAGAAGAGGAAGAACTCTCTGCCTCTCCACGCCCTCCGCGTGCCGCTGAGGAAAGACCTGTGAGGCAGGAAGAGGGTCCTCACCAGAACCCAACCCTAGCAGACATAGATCTGGGACTTCCAGCCTCCAGAAGCAGGAGAAAATAATTTCTGCTGTCTAGAAGTCCCCCAGGTGTATTTTGTTATGGCAGCCCATGCTGACTGAGACAGATGGTGACCGGTAGGAAGACTGGGGCAGGGGCTTGTAGGGGGCCAGTCATGTTCTATTTTGGGTCTGGTTACTACAAGTGTGGTTAACTTCGTGAAAATTAAACAAGTTGTAAACTTGGGAGATGTACACTTTTTTTGCTATGTATATTATACTTCAAAAAAGTTTACTTTTTATTTTAGAAAAACATAAACAATCCCTGAAATATGGTAAAGAGACAAATTTCATATCTCTATATTGCTCCCATGGACCAAATTCAGAACAATTTGGGCAACAGAAAAAAAATGAAGATAATGGAGTATAAAATATTGAATTTCTAAAAATCTATGCATTCCTAGAGATCCAAGAGGGGAGAGGTAGAGGAGAGAGAGGAAAAGTGTGAAAATGAATTGCAAAAATAACCATTTGAAATGCTTTCTGAAATCGTAAAATACATTCAAAATAACTCCTGGATCAAAGTGACCATAGTGGAAATGAGAAGTTTCTGGAATTGAATGATAGACTCCCCCACTCTTGGGCATGTGGGAGGCAGCAGGAATGGCTCTGAGAGAAATGTGTTAAACACTCACCTGGAAAAGAAGAGAGCTTAGTGAGCAAAGCATCTAAGTTAAGAACTCAAAACAGGAGATTGAGCCCAGGAGACGCAGCAGGGGTAGACCACGGCAGAGGCGACCTGGCCTCCCTTCTCCCTGCCTGGTCCTCTTCAGTCTTGCTCCAGCTTTGGTCTGGCATTCGGTCTTCTCACAAGAACGTGGAGCTCTGGCCACCCACCTCCATCCTCTGTCCCTGCCTTCCCCCTGAGCCTTCCTCTCCTGACGAGAGGCCCGGTCCAGAGGAGGTGGTATGAGTGCCACACCAGGGGTGGGTGGGCTGCCACCAGCCTCAGCCCTGACCCCAAAGCCAGGGCCACTGGGCTGAGGTCTGTCCTGGAGGTTGTGGGTCCTGAGTCCTGGGCCTGGAGTCAGGGATACGTTCCCAGCCCAGCCCGGAACATGGGCCCACCTCTCTGCTTGCTCAGCAGTGACCCTGCTGGGCCAGACACCTCCACGGACAGGCAGTGGTCCCGGCATGCCGAGAACATGGACATGGGACAAAAAGGAACCTTTTTTTTTTTTTTGAGACGGAGTCTTGCTCTGTCACCCAGGTGGAGTGCAGTGGCACCCTGTCAGCTCATTGCAAACTCTGCCTCCCGGTGTTAAGCAATTCTCCTGCCTTAGCCTCCTGAGTAGCTGGAATTACAGGTGTGCGCCACCAGGACCAGCTAATTTTTGTATTTTTAGTAGAGACAGGGTTTCTCCACATTGGCCAGCTGTGCTCGAACTCCTGACCTCAGGTGATCCACCCACTTCTGCTTCCCAAAGTGCTGGGATTACAGGCGTGAGCCACTGCGCCCAGCCACAAAAGGGAAACTTTAAGCGAAACAAAACACAAGCATCCACAGCTGATCCTGCTTTGGGTCACCAGAGTGAGAATCTTCAAGTGTGCTCCACACCTGGGAGCTGCAACCTGCAACTGTTGGTCAAGGAGCCTCTCCTTGGGTCGCGGTGCAGCCCTGGGATGCCAGCCCCTGCTCCCCAGGGGTGTCAGGTGGTGGACACTCAGTGCCCAGGTGCAGTCCTGCCACCGCCCGCCATGCTTATAGTGTGTGCTCAGGGGTCCCCTTGGCCCAGACGGCCTCTGACTTTACTTCTGACATCCAAGCCCTGGTCCTTGCCCCAGTTTGGGAGGATCTCAGCCCCGCTGACTTGATGGCTTTCAGCTGCCTGAACTCTTACCCTAAAACTCTGCCTTAAAGCTCAGGGTGGCTTTACTGAAGCAACACACTCCCTCTTGAGGAAGGAGCCAGTCTGTCCCCTTTGTTTTGCCAGAGGCTCTATGTCACCTAGCATGGTGTCTGGGATCATGGCGACCAAGACACTGAATCCTCCAGCCTGCTCCGGGCGGATCAAGGCACAGGCCCACTGGCCCCAGCAACCTACACGGCCTCTGTTTCCCCTTCAGCACGATGGGAGAGATTGCAAAGCTTCCCAAGAGCTCAGGTCCAAGCCTCTCCAGGAAGTCCGCCACTGAATGTTTTTCCTAGAACAAGTTCCCACCACACTCCTCTTTTATCACCCCTCCCCGGTATCTTGTTTTTCCCATCACAATCCCCAAGCTGGGGAAGAAACTTTTCTTCCTGAAAGGCAGCCTGAAGTAGAAGCGTGGCCTGCTGAACTCTGCAGAGCCCGGATGTGTTTCAGTATACGACAGAGGTGCACCTCTCCATGGGTGCACCAAGGAGAGGACCACAGACATGCCACAGGAGGTGGAGGCTATGGGGATAGGGGCCCAGAAAGAGAGCACTGAGGAGGCCTCAGACATGAGGGGGCTGCAGATGCACCAAGAAGAGGACATGGCGTGGGGGGCACAGGCACACATGTCATGGGAAGCCACCAACACACCACATGGGGCCACATTCTGGAGCCACCACAGAAGGGGGTCTCTAGGGGGCCACAGAACCACCTGTGGGGTCCCAGATTCCACCTTCCTCTCACCAGAGAATTCTGTTTCACTTCATTTACAGGGTGGGCTTCTAGGTAAGACTTCTTCTAAAGGAAGTTTCTGTGGATTTCATGAAAACAACTGGCATGAAGGTGAAAAGCAAAGCTCTCTATCCAAAGACGTCATGATTCCCAACCCAGCCTCTCCCTGTGACGGCACCAGCTTGAGTGGGCAGCCAGGATGCCGACTGGCTCTCTCCGTGCTGGGGTGGGGTCAGGGCTATAGCCCACGGAGGAAGCCAGAGGGAGAACTTTAAAGCGGGGCAAAGTCCCAGTTCCCCAGTCCCATGGGAATGAACCCCAGTCGGGAGAAACAAGAAGAAACTTTCCTAGATGGCTTCTCATGAAGGTGCAGAGCAGGACCCAGCAGCGGCCGGAGACAGGCAGATCCAGCGTCAGGGCACAGGCCTCGTGACAACAGACCATGGGCAGGAGAACACACAGGAACGAGGGTGAAGTGGAACATTCCAGAAACACCACCGCTTGCCACCGTGGGGGACAGTGTGGGACTGCCAGCACCAAGCATCTGTGAGGAAGGGTCCAGGCTGCCTCTGGGCTTAGAGGCTTCCAACTTCCTGAGGACCCGATGACTAAAGTGTTGAGCCATGTAATAGGTATCAACTCCACTTCCTCACGCAGGCGAGAGAGGGTCTGCTTGTAGTCACACACGCAGCGTAAGACCAAGCCTTTGACTGTGTCGAATGGACAGCTTGTCATCTGCCTGCTGGAAGTTTAAGTTGCAGCAATTCACTCATTCCTCAGGCTGTGCAAACACTGAGCTGCTCATCTCGCCACAAGGGAAGATTAGTGATATGGTTTGGATTTGTGTCACCCCTAAATCTCATGTCAAGTTGGAGGAGGGGCCTGGTGGGAGGTGATTGAATCCAAGGGGCCAACTTCCCTTGCTGTTCTCATCATAGTGAGATCTCACGAGATCTGACGGTTTAAGTGTGTGCAGCACTTCCCCCTTCGCTCTCTCTCTCCTGCTCCACCACAAGATGTACCTTGCTTCCCCTTCTGCCATGATTGTAAGTTTCCTGAGGCTTCCTACCCATGCTTCCTGTTAAGCCTGTGAAACTGAGTGAATTAAACCTCTTTTCTTCATAAATTACCCAGTCTCAGGTAGTTCTTTATAGCAGTGTGAGAATGGATGAATACAGAAAATTGGTACCAGGAAAGTGGGGCATTACTACAAAGATACCTGAAAATGTGGAAACAACTTTGGAATTGGGTCATGGGAAGAGGTTGAAACAGTTTGGAGGACTCAGAAGAAATAGGATGATGTGGGAAAGTTTGGAACTTCCTAGACTTGTTGAATGGTTTCAACCAAAATGCCGATAGTGATATTGACAATGAAGTCCAGGCTGAGGTGGTCTCAGATGAAGATTAGGAACTTATTGGGAACTGGAGTAAAGGTGACTCTTGCTATGCTTTAGCAAAGAGACTGGTGGCATTTTGCCCCTGCCCTAGAGACCTGTGGAACTTCAACTTGAGAGAGATGATTTAGAGTATCTGGTGGAAAATATACCTAAGCAGCAAAGTGTTCAACATGTAACCATGTGACCTGGCCGTTTCTTTGTTTTATTATTTTTATTTATTTATTTATTTTTGGAGACAGATTCTTGCTGTCACCCAGGCTGGAGTGCAGTGGAGCGATCTCAGCTCACTGCAACCTCCACTTTCTGGGTTCAGGCAATTTTCCTGCCTTAGCCTCCAGAGTAGCTGGGACTACAGGCACACATCGCCACACCCAGCTAATTTTTTTTTTTTTTGTATTTTTAGTAGAGACAGGGTTTCACGTGTTGTCCAGGCTGGTTTTGAACTCCTGAGCTCAGGCAATCCACCTGCCATGGCCTCCCAAAGTGCTAGGATTACAGGCATGAGCCACTGCACCCGGCCAACCTGGCTGTTTCTAAAAGTGTATGCTCATATGCGTGAACAAAGAGATTATATAAAGCTGGAATTTATATTTAAAAGGGAAGCAGAGCATAAAAATTTGGAAAATCTGCAGCGCAGCCATGTGGTAGAAAAGAAAACCCATTTTCTGGGGAGAAATTCAAGCTTGCTGCAGAAATTTGCTTGTAAAGATGAGCCAAATAGCCAAGACAATGAGGGAAATGTATCCAGGGCATGTCAGAGACCTTCATGGAAGCCCCTTCCACACAGGCCCAGAGGCCTAGGAGGGAAAAATGGTTTCATGGGCCAGGCCCAGGGCCCAGCTGTTCTGTACAGCATCAGAATATGGCATTCTGCATCTTAGTTGCTTCAGCTCCAGCTGTGGCTAAAAGGGGCCAAGGTACAACTTGGGCCATGGCTTCAGAGGGTGCAAGGCCCAAGCATTGGTGACTTCCACATGGTGTGGGGCCTGCAGGTGCACAGAAGTCAAGAGCTGAGGTTTGGGAACCTCTGCCTAGATTTCAGAAGATATATGGAAATGCCTAGATGTCCAGGCAGAAGTCTGCCTGCAGAGTCCTCATGGAGAACCTCTACTAGGGCAGTGCAGAGGAGAAATGTGGGGTTGGAGCCCCCACACAGAGTCCTCACTGCAGCACTGCCTAGTGGAGCTGTCAGAGGAGGGCCACTGTCTTGCAGATCTCAGAATGGTAGATCCACTGACAGCTTGCACCATGCACCTGGAAAAGTCACAGGCACTCAACACCAGCCCATGAAAGTTGCCATGGTGGCTGTACCCTGCAGAGCCACAGAGGCAGAGCTGCCCAAGGCCATGGGAGCCCACTCCTTGTGTCAGTGTGGCCTGGATGTGGGACACAGAGTCAAAGGAGATCACTTTGGAGCTTTATGGTTTAATGCCTGCCCTGCTGAGTTTTGGACTCGCATGGGGCCTGTAGCCCCTTTCTTTTGCCCAATTTCTTCCATTTGGAATGGAAGCATTTACCCAATGCCTATACCCCCATTATATCTTGGAAGTAACTATTTTTTATTTTACAGGATCATAGCTGGAAGGGACTTATCTTGTCTCAGATAAGACTTTGGACTGTGGAGATTTCAGTTAATGCTAAAATGAGTTAAGACTCAGGGACTGTTGAGAAGGGATAATTGCATTTTGCAATGTGAGAAGGACGTAAGCTTTGGGAAGGGCCAGGGGTCAAATTTTGTGGTTTAGATTTGTGTACCCACCCAAATCTCATGTTGAATTGGTGAGAGGCCTGGTGGGAGGTGACTGAATCCAGGGGGCTGACTTCCCCCTTGCTGTTCTCATGATAGTGAGTTTTCATGAGATCTGAAAGTTTTAAAGTGTGTGGTACTTCCCCCGTCACTCTCTCTCTCCTGCTCCACCATAGGAAAATGTGCGTTGCTTCCCTTTCACCTTCCACCATGATTATAAGTTTCCTGAGGCCTCCCAGTCATGCTTCCTGTTAAGCCTGCAGAACTGAGTCAATTAAATCTTCTTTCTTCATAAATTACCCAGTCTCTGATAGTTCTTTATAGCAGTGTGAAGACAGACTAATATAATTAGAAAGTACACAGAGACCTAACTTTAGGTTCATTTCCAGAAGAGGGCCTGACCTGCTGCTCAGGGGTTAGTATTTCTTGCTTAGTCTTGTCTTTCTCATGGAGACACAGGCATACACACTTTCTCCATCTTCACATCCAGCTTCACTAATGGGTCATACTTTCCTTTCATTCCAAAATTTAAGCCAAATAAAAACTAGCCAGAACATTGGGCAATTGTTCTCCAAAAGGGAAATAAAAGAAGTCATTTATCTCAGCAGAAAGTATAACAACTCTGTTATGAGTTTATGGGTGAACCCAGGAATTGCCTTCCCTTTGGATCACCCCTTATGGCTCTAGTTCTGCCCAGAAACAGAAGGTTCAAGCCCTGGCCAACCAAAGCCAAGAGCTGCCCTCAGTCCTCATTCCTTGCTGGAAAACGGGCAGCCATATCCTTTTTCACAGAGGTGCAGAGGTCAAGTTAGTCACAGCTCAGCTCAGGATGTGGTTCTGAGGAGGCGACTGACAGGTGGCAATCGTCACTGATGCCTTGTTGCTGTTCTTCTCCAGTGACCATCGTCAGCCTCTGATTTATTCCCAGGCACCAGCAGCCAGGCTTCAGTCATCAGCCTTGCCCAGCTGAACACAGCTCCTGCTCTTGGACAGAGGAGGGTGGGTTTCAGGAGGGCAGCCACTCAGTCCCGCAGCTCGGGCCCAGGCTACCATGCTTCCTCTGGGCAGACCACTCTGTCCCTCAGTGAGCAGAGGGCTGGCATGTTAATGTCCCACTTGGAATTACTGAATTGACTCCCATCATCCTTGTATTCCTCTCTCTGTTCCTTCCCAGGACATAGCAATGCCTGAAGGGAGGAGCCTGTCCATGCCATCTGCCCCTCAGACACCAGCTCCGGCGGCGTGGATGCTGCTGCCTTCCAGGTGGCTGGGAGCCCGCTCTCACGTTTGGGGGTTAATGTCTGTGGAAAGGGAGGGTGCCCAGTTCACATGGGATTTTGCTCCCCTGACACAGAACGCAAGGATGCTGTGAGCTGAGAGTGAAGTCATTGTCCACCTCCCAGGGGCCACACTGCAGGTCCAAGTACAGAAAAGAGAGTGTCTTAAAGGAAGCCTTTGACTCTCTTTGGCTGAGTTTATGGAAAGGAAAATGAATCAAGCCCAAAATGGCCAGTAATGGCAGGGTCATTATTCCTTAAATGAAGCTCCACCTGCCTTTCCAACGAGGCAAGAACCAAATGCGTCCTTTGAAAGGAGGGCTCAGAGGTGCGGGTGCAGAACCCCATGCTCTCTTGAAGCGGTGTGGCCTGTCCCCAAACTGAGAGTCCCCATCTTCAAAACGGAGAGTTTGGTCACTTGAATTTTGTTGACATTTCTTACCTTGGGAAGCAGCTGGCTTCGTGCTGTTCGAAGTTGACCTCCTTTGCTCCAGATGGGAAGTGCCCCCAAAGCTGGCATGAACAGCTGTCACTCCCTAAGAAACTGCAGCTTTTTCTGAGGGCGGGAGCAGGTGCTCACCGATTTCCTTCTGTGGCGTGATCCTGAAGGAGCTAAGAGCCCACCACCCCAAAGGCATTGCTCTGGCTTTAAGCTGATCGCCATTCCATGTCTTAAAAGCAGGAGACGAAATTCTCATGTGAAAGATGCCCTCCCCATACGTTTGGGAAAGCATCTTTCTTATCAACAGTGGGAGGCCCAGACCCAGAGAGATTTCAGCATAGCCTCCTTAAAATCACTCTTCTTGGCAGCCTCCGCACACAATGTATTTTTCACAGCTTACTACTCCACCTCCAATTCAGGGTGCACAAAAGTTCTTTGAAAAGGAATGTAGAGGAAAGACTATTCCTATGAACAGTTTGTGAAGTGGGAGATGCTGCCTTCAGCGTAAAACCAGGATGCTTTCCAGAGAACAAAGAGAGGGTCCAGCTTTTATACTGAAAGTTCTCACATAGGTTCGCTTATGCAAATGAAAAATTCAAACTTCCTGTGTTCTGATGGGTTGGTTCAGGGGAGCTCTGGAAGTCCCAAAGTTTAACAGAGGTATGGGATTTCAAGGAACTCCGGGTACCCGTGTGACCTCTAGTCAGCAAACGGTCACTGGGCTCTATGAGGATTTAGGGCCGGTGAGCCACTAGAGATCCACCCATCCACTTCTTGCAAGTCCTGTTTGCTCACATGGGTGTGAGTGTCCAACTCTGTGGCTTTAGGGCATTCCTTCCATGGGAGGCTCTCCCACCATATAGAGCTTCCTTTAAATAAGCTTCCGTGCTTTCCTCCTGTTGATCTTTCTGCGTCAGTTAAATTCTCCGGTGCAGCCTGAGAGTCTGTACACAGGTGATCATATTCACAGGTTAATGTGCTCACAGGTGAATGTACGGGGAGGTGAATGTGTTCACAGGTGAATGTACTGGGATTAAATGTGCTCACAGGTGAATGAATGTACTGGGAGGGGAATCTGTCACAGGTGAATGTACTGGAAGGTGAAGGTGCTCACAGGTGAATGTACTGGGAGATGAAGGTACTCACAGGTGAATGTACTGGGAGGTGAAGGTACTCACAGTGAATGTACGAGTAGGTTATGTGCTCACAGGCGAATGTACTGGGAGGTGAAGGTGCTCACAGGTGAATGTACCAGTAGGTTATGTACTCACAGGTGAATGTACTGGGAGGTGAAGGTGCTCACAGGTGAACACATTTGGAGGTGATGGTGCTCACGGTGGAAGTATTTGGAGTATACCTGTGTATGTCTGTTCTTGCAGTGCTCTAAATACCTGAGAAATCTTACAATCATTGTGGAAGTCTAAGGGGAAGCAGGCACATCTTCACTTGACCAGAGCAGGAGGAGGAGAAAGAGAGGGTAGGTGCCATATGCTTTTTAACAGATCTCATGAGACCTCTATGAGAACATCAGCCAAGGAAGAAATCAGCTCCCACGATCCAATCACCTCCCACCATGCTCCACCTCCAGCTTTGGGGATTACAATTCAACATGAGGTTTGTGTGGGGACACAAATCCAAACCATATCATTTCACCCCTGGCCTCTCCCAAATCTCATGTCCTTCTCATATTGTAAAATAAATCATCCCTTCCCAACTGTCCCCCAAAGTCTTAAGTCAGCACTAACTTAAAAGCCCAAGTCCAAAGTCTCATCTGAGACAAGGCAAATCCCTCCTTCCCCTGAGCCTGTAAAATAAAAAACAAATTAGTTACTTCCAAGATACAATGGAGGCACAGGCACTGAGTAAATGCTCTCATTCCAAGTGGGTTAAATCGGTCGAAAGTGAGGGGCTACAGGCCCAATGCAAGTCTGAAACCTAGCAGGGCAGCCATTAATATATTAAAGCTCTGAAATGATCTCCTTTGACTCCATGTCTGACATCCAGATCATGGTGATGCAAAGGGTGGGCACCCATGGCATTGGGCAGTTCTGCCCCTGTGGCTCTGCAGGGTACAGCTCCCATGGTTGTCTTCACAGGCTGTTGTTGAGTGCCTGCAGCTATTCCAGGTGCATGGTGCAAGCTGTCAGTGGATCTACCATTCTGAGGTCTGCAAGACAGTGGCCCTCCTCTGACAGCTCCACTAGGCAGTGCTGCAGTGAAGACTCTGTGTGGGGGCTCCAACCCCACATTTCTCCTCTGCACTGCCCTAGTAGAGGTTCTGCATGAGGGCTCTGCCCCATACCAGACTTCTGCCTGAACATCCAGGCATTTCCATGTATCTTCTGAAATCTAGGCAGAAGTTCCCAAATCTCAACTCTTGACTTCTGTGCACCTGCAGGCCCCACACCATGTGGAAGTCACCAATGCTTGGGCCTTGCACCCTCTGAAGCCATGGCCCAAGTTGTACCTTGGCCCCTTTTAGCCACAGCTGGAGCTGGAGCAGCTGGGACACAGGGCACCATGTCCTGAGACTGTACAGAGCTAGCTGGGCTCTGGGCCTGGCCCATGAAACCATTTTTCCCTCCTAGGTCTCTGAGCCTGTGATGGGTAGGGCTGCTGTGAAGATCTCTGACATGCCCTGAAGACATTTTCCCATTGTCTTGGTTATTAACATTTGGCTCCTCTTTACTTATGCTATACAAATTTCTGCAGCAGGCTTGAATTTCTCCTTAGAAAATGGGTTTTTCTTTTTCTACAACAAGGCTGGGCTGCAAATTTCCCAAACTTTTATGCTCTGCTTCCCTTTTAAATACAAGTTCCAGTTTCAGATAATCTCTTTCTTCACACATATGAGTGTACACTTTTAGAAACAGCCAGATCACCTCTTGAAAGCTTTATTGCTTAAAAATTTCTTCTTCCAGATACCCTAAATCATCTCTCTCAAGTTCAAAGTTCCATAGATCTCTAGGGCAGGGGCAAAATGTCACCAAATTCTTTGCTAACGCATAACAAAAGTGACTTTTTCTCTAGTTTCCAATAAGTTCCTCATCTCCATCTGCGATCACCTCAGCCTGGACTTCATTGTCCATATCATTATTCAGCATTTGGGTCACAACAATTTAACAAATCCCTAAGAAATTCCAAACTTTCCCTTATCTTCCTGTCTTCATCTGAGCCCTCCACACTCTTCCAACCTTTACCTGTTACCCAGTTCCAAAGTCACTTCCATATTTTCAGGTATCACTACAGCAATGCCCACTCCTAGGTACCAATTTTCTGTATTAGCCATTCTCCCATTGCTATAAAGAACTGCCTGAGACTGGTTTATTTATTTATTTATTTAGAGATGGAGTTTTGCTCTTGTTGCCCAGGCTGGAGTACAGTAGCACGATCTTGGCTCACTGCAACCTCTGCCTCCTGGGTTCAAGTGATTCTCCTGCCTCAGCCTCCTGAGTAGCTGGGATTACAGGCGTCCGCTATCACCCCTGGCTAATTTTTTGTATTTTTAGTAGAGACAGGGTTTCATCATGTTGGCCAGGCTGGTCTCGAACTCCTGACCTCAGGTGATCCACCCGCCTCGGCCTCCCAAAGTGCTGGGATTACAGGCTACGGCCACCACGCCCGGCCAAGACTGGATAATTTATAAAGAAAAGCAGTTTAATTGGCTCATGTTTCCACAGGTTGTAGAGAAAATATGGCTGGTGAGGTCTCAGGAAACTTACAATCATGGTGGAAGGTGAAGGGGAAGCAGGCATGTCTCCGCATGGCCAGAGCAGGAGGAAGATGGGGAGAGAGTCATGTACTTTTAAACAAGATCTCAGGAGAATTCTATCAGAACAGCACCAAAGGAGGAAATCAGCCCCCATGATCCAATCACCTCCCACCGACCCCCACCTCCAACACTGGGGATTGCAATTCGACATTAGAGTTGGGTGGGGACACAAATCCAAAGCATATCAACCTGTTTGTAGTATTCCGCTCCCTGGACATCATGAAGGCAGGAGTGAAATTCCAACACTAAAGGTCGGTGATGGTCTTCAAGTACTTACCTGTCGGTTCACTGGAGCAACTTTTAAGCATTGTAAATAGAGATCTGTTGAGGATGTCAGTGATGACGTCACCCAGTACTCTCTCTAGCCCCAAACACAACTGGATGTACGTTTTATAAGTTCTTAGATGGCTGTTGAGCAGTAGAAGAAGATATCCTAAAAAGCCTCCTGGCTTAAGCACATTTTTTAAAAAACTAACACATCAGTGTAAAATAATATTTTGTTAGTACTCATCGATAACGAAATCAGCTCTGAGCAGATTCTCCCAGTGAAGGCGTCCCTGCTCTGGCTCGCGAGGACGTGAAGCCTGCGGGGGCAAAGGCCGGAAGGAGAGGCTGCCAGAAAAGGCCAGGGGAGAGGCTGGGGTAAAGGATGGGAGGAGGGAGGCCAGGAGGGGCTGGAACAGCAGGGCCGGTGCAGTCAGTCGCTGGCCCAAGGGAAGCCCCAGGTCGCTGGGCTAGGATTGTGTCTTGGATTTGGGGTCCTGGCCTGGATTTGGGGTTGCAGGTTGGATTTGGGGTCCTAGCCTGGATTTGAGGTCCTGGCCTGGATTTGGGGTCGTGGCCTGATTTGGGCTCCTGGCCTGGATTTGGGGTCGCCCCAGCGCCACCCGCGCCCACCCAGAGCCGCGGAGAACAGGGCTTCGGGACAGGTCTGGAAGCCGGTGAGGCTGGGGGCGAGGGCTTCGTGGACTCGGTGCGTGGGGTGGGGCCAGTTCCGTGGCTTCCAGGGTCCTGGGCGCGGGTGTAGACGCAGCCTCCCGCACTAGGGGGCGGTCACACCCTGCCTGGCCTGGGGCGGGGCCCGAGTCCCCGCGAAGCCGCCCTCGGAGCGGCCCTGACGCAGCCCCCAGGCTCGCCCGGTCCCTCCTGGCCTCGGGCACACGGGGCTGCCAGGCGCGGGCGCCATCCAGCCGTTCCTCCCTTTCCGCCGGTTCCCGCCGGGTGCCTCGCAGGGCCGGCAAGTCCGCGTTCCCGGGGAAATATTCGGAGAGCGCTTCTCCAGCTGATGGCAGGAAGAAATAACCCTGAGCAACAGGGAAGCCGAGGGCGCGGGAACACAGCGCCGCGTGGCTCCGGAGGCTCTGGGTGCCTTCCCTCCCCAGGAAACGCTGCCGAGTAGGTAGAAAACACTAAATAAAAGCCACGTGTGGAGTGTGAAGAGCTCTGGGAAGGTTTTCATAGAGGACACCAAGATGACAGACGCAGCAGAGTTTCAGTCACAAACGAAGCTCGGGTGACAGGGAAGGGGGACGCGAGGGGCCCAGGAGGGGCGGGCGGGGAAGAAGCGCGGACGGCGGCCCCCGCAGGGCGGGAGGAGGAGGCTGCGGCCGCGAGGACAGCTCGGACGGGGGAGAGAAAGGAGGTTTCCAGTAAAAATAATAACGCCAGAGAGAAAACCGTAACTCGCGTGACACAGACAGAAATTTCCAGTAATAATCATCAGGTGATAGAGAAGGAAGGCTTCCAAAATGAAGAACAAGTGAAATAAAGGTTTTAGTCATGAATTACAGCACGTGCGATGGATGAGTGGTGATTTCTCATCATAAATGGTAACTCGGGAGATAGAGAAACGTGTCCAGCCCTAAACTACAACAGGGTTTGGTTTGAAAGAGAGGTGCTGTCATAAAGCGGAACTCAGGGGATGGGGAAGACGGCCTCCGTCCCAAATGACAACTCAATGACAGAGAACAAAAGATCCAAACTAAAGTGATGGAGAAAAAGGGTTTCCAACCACCACACAAATGAAGAGAAAGACTGATCACATAATGAAGTATTCAGTCATTAATACATGATAAACCCGGTGATAGAGAAAGAGGCTTAGTCACAAATTACTCAGATAATGGAGAAAAAAGCCTTATTCATGTATCACTCAGGTAGATACATCAAGGCAGGTTTCCTGCCATAAAGGATAACACAGCTAAAAGAGAAATAAAGGTTTTAGTAATAAGTGACAATTCATATAACAGAGAAAGAAGGCTTCTGGCCATAAGGATAACTCATGTAATAAAGAAAAGTTTTAGTCATAAATAATAGAGAAAGAAAGGTTTCCGATAGAAAATGGTAGAGATAGAAAGGTTCTAGGTAACAAACGGTAACTGAAGTGATAGAGCAAGGTCACAAATAATAACTCAGGTAATAGAGAAAGATTTCTAGTCATAAATAATACATCTGCTACAGAAATAAGGGTTTTGATTCATAAAGTTATGTCATAAGTGATAAGTGGTAGAAAAGGAAAGGTTTTAGTTATAAATTATGATTCAAGGGATAGAAAAACAAAGGTTTCAAGTTATAAATATCATTTCAATGGTCAAGAAAGGTTTTCAGTCATGAATGAAAACTGGGTGAAGTTTTCCAGTCACAGGTTATAACTCAGGCAATGGACAGAGAAGGAAAGATTTTTGTCATCAATCAACTCAGGTGGAGAAGGAAAGGTTTTTCAATAAGAAATAACTCAGTTGAGTGAAAGAAGGCTTGAGGTCATGAATGATAATTAGGTGATAGAGAAAGAAATGTTCCAGTCATAAGGGTTAAATCAGATGCTAGAGAAAGAAAGGTTTTTAGTCATAAATAAAACTCAGCTGCTAGAAAGAATAGGGCTACCAGTCATAATTGATAACTCAGGTGAGAGAAAGATTGCTGGTCATAAATTGTAACCCAGGTGACAGAAAAGAAGGTGTCACTCACACATGATAATTCGGGTTATGAGGAAGGTTTCCAGCCACAGTGGTAACTCAGGTGCTAGGGAAAGAAGGTTTGGGCAATAATGACAACTCAGGTAATACAGAAAAACGATTACAGTCATAAATGACAGAGAAGGAAAGGCTTTTATTCATAAAGGATATCTAGGTGATAGAGATACAAAGTTTCAGTCATAAATGATAGCTCAGATGATAGAATGCTTCACTCAAAAATAATTCATGTAATACAGGGAGAAGCCTTCCATCATAAGCAACTCAGGTGAGACAGAAGGAAGTTTTCCTGTCATAAATGATAACTCAGGTAACAGAAAGAAGGTGCCAGTCATAAATGGTAATTCAGGTGATAAAGAAAAAGCGGTTTTGTAAGGCTGGGCACAGTAACTCACGTCTATAATCTCAGCACTTTGGGAGGCTGAGGCAGGAGGATTGCTTGAGGCCAGGAGTTCAAGACCAGCCTGGGCAATATAGCAAGACCCTGTCTCTACTAAAAATAAAAGGATAGCCAGTGTGGTGGCGCAGGCCCCTGGTCCAATCTATGCAGGAGGCTGAGGCTGGAGGATTGATTGAGCCCAGGAGGTGAAGGCCAAGCTGTGATGGCACCACTCACTCCAGCCTAGGTGACAGAACAACACCCTGTCTCAAAAACAAAACAAACAAAAAACACACAAAAAAAATCAAACAACCCCCCACTGCCACCCAAAACCCAAAAAGGCTTAGATAGAAATTTGGTGGTAGAGAAAAAGGTTTCCATTCATACATTTTTCCAGTCATATGTGATAATTCAGGTGATAAAAAGAAAGGCTGTAGTCATAAATCACAATTCAGATGATGGAGAAAGAAAAGTGTCCAGCCACAAGGAACTGAGGTGACTGAAAACGGTCTGAATCATGAATGACAACTAGATGATGGGGAAAGACATTTTCCAGTAATAATTCAGTTGATAGAGAATGAAAGGTTTTAGACATAAATGATACCAGGTGAGAGAGATGCGGGGTGGCCAGTCATAAATAAATGATAACTCAAGTGCTAGAGAGACAGACGCTGTAGTTGTAAATAAGTCCAGTAATACAGAGAAGCCTTCCATTACAGGTAACTCAGGCGAGAGAGAAGAAAGTTTTCCAGCCATATATGATAGCTCAGCTGATAAAGATAAAAGGAATTCACTCATAAATGATAACTAAATTGACAGATGAAGCTGCAAGTCATAAAGGATAATTTATGATTCTTGTAGGTATGACAAAGAAAAGATGTTTCAATCAAAACTAAATAGCTCAGGTGATGGACAAGGTTTTCAGTCACAAGTGATAGCTCAGGTGATAAAGGTTTTAGTAAAAAATGACCCAGAGGCAGTAAGAGAACGGTTTTAGTCATAAATGGTAACTCAGGGGAGAGAGAAAGAAGGCTTTCAGTCACAGATAACTCACATGAAAGACAAAGGTTTTGGTCACAAATCATAATTCACACGACAGACACTAGGACTCGGAGCTGAGGCTGCTGCAGAGTCAGCACAGGGTCAGGGCAGGGCCCAGGGCCGCTGGTGCTGGGGCCTTGGCTAAGCCGCTGGCTGTGCGTCTCTGGGGCAGCGCCGCCCTCTAGCGGGCAAGGGAAAGGGGTCCTGCGGCAGAAATGCCACAACGCGCTTCCTATCTGGGCCTGTCGGGGTCCACCTGTCTGTCCGCAGGCCCCTGTCTGTTCCTTCCTCCCCTCAGTCCACAGGCCTCCTCCTTCCACCTGGGTTCTAGGACCTGGGCGGTGTGGGGCGCCCCTCCTCTCCTGCTAGAGAGCCCTCAGACCCCTTTTTCATTCCCTTGGGGGGCACAGGGACGCCCTGTGCATCCCATTTGTCCTCTGGCTGGCATCACTGTCCTCACTCACAGGCAGCAGTGCCAGGGGCTGGGCATTGGCTGGGAGGGCCTGGGTGCAAGTTGGTTCCGGTCCTCAGGCCCATGCCTGGGGACCTGGGGGCTGGCCCTGCCTTAGAGCCCCCCAGCACCCCCTTCTCCTGCCCCTCCTCAGGGCACACCCATCTCCTTCTCAAGGGCAGCCGCTCTGGACTCCTTCTGGAACTGCCTGGACATCCCCAGGCCACTCTGGCAGGGCCTTCCTTAAGGACCATGACCTCAGCAGCTGTGTCCCTGAGGTCTGAGGACGTGACCTCATCCCTGACCAGTGACCACAGGGCACAGTGGGAAAGGTATGGATCACCCTGTGCATGTCATGGCAAATGGTGCAGATGGGGCCTTGACTGCAGTGGGAGGCGGAGGGGCCAGGAGGGAACAGGGCACAGGCGTGGCTCTAGATGGCAGCTCTTCTGAGGCCACGCTGAGGAACGGGTGCCCAGCAGTCGCCCACAGCCTTCCGTGACTGTCAGCATTGTTTACCAGGTATCTCTCTCTGTGGTCACAGGTATTTACCAACTATGAGGGCCACCTGCACACTTCTCTCCGTGGCAAAAGTAACCCGGCTGCCCAGCAGAAGCATCACCCTCGGGGCCTCAGGTCTGTTGGAACCAGCACTGCCCCCCCGCCTCTGCACCGCCTGCCAAATCCCTATGCCCCAGACCTGTCCAGTCTTCTGACCCTCTGCAGTGAGGATGGCACAGGAACAAGCCCAGTAGCTGACCTGGACCAGGGGAGATGTCCTAGAGCCTCTGGAGTATCACACAGAAACCCTCGCCCTGGTCCTGGAGTGTTGGTTTGGAGTCCCCCTCTGCCAGCACGTGGACACGAAGTCTCTGAGTGTCAACCATCCTGAAAGTGCATGGGGCCTCACCAGTGAGGTTTGGGACATCAACCAAGGAGCAGAGGACCCCTGACCCCATGGTGAAATGCCACCAAGAGCAGGCGAGTTGGGCAGAGGTGGCGTTGGAAGAGGAAACCATGTCTTCAGAGGCCCTCTGTGGCCTGGCCTGAGAGGGGTTATGGGAACCTAAGTTACAGGAACTGGGACAAAGGACCCCTGGGCTGACCAGGGTCCCAGGAGCTACCAGAGGCCTCACTGCCTTGACCCAACATGGCTCACTGCCAGGCCACCCACCCAGGCGAAAAGCTGATACTGAGAAAAGCAGCACCAACAGAAGGTACCTGGAACCCGTCTGTGCTGGGGTCTCCCTGAGATGCTGGGGTCTCCCTGAGACACCGGCGTGAGCAGTGCATGATGGGTTTCTCTCAGTGTTCATGACATCCCATCCTGTCTGGTAGCCCATCCACTTCTGGGAATTGGTCAAGCCTGGGTTTTGGCAAATGTTTCTTTAAAGAGCCAGACTGCAGACAGTTTAGGCTTTGTGAGCTGTGGCTTCTATCAGCCCCTTGACCCTGCTGCTGTTGTCCAAACGAAGTATGGCTGTGTACAGAAAACTTTTCTCATGGAAGCAGCTCCACCCTGGAGTCACCCAGAGAAGCTACTTGAGACTTCCCAACAAGGCTTGAAAACAAGACTAAAGGGCATACACGGATCCACAAGTAACCAAACTACCTGCTAGAACTAAGCTGAACACTCTTTAAAGACAAAACTAGCACTCAACAATATAAGGTTCACAATGTCTGGCATCCAGTAAAAAATTACTAGATACGTGAAGTAGCAAATTGTGATATATAAACTGAAGGAAAGAAAAATCAGTCAGTAGAAATAATCCAGAAATGATAAAGATGATGAGATTAAAATACAAGAACATTACAGAGTTTAGAGAAATGCTTGTTTTATGCTCAAGGATATAAAGGAAAACATGAATCTAAGTAAAAAGGGAGATATAACAAAAAACCAAACAAGTTCTAGAAATGAAAAGTAAACTCCACAAAATGAAAATCTCACTGACTTACAAGGCAGCAGATTAGACATTGTAGGGAGAAAAAAGATTGTGAACTTGAAGACAGGAATAGAAAGTATTCACACTGGAAGCAAAGAGAAAAAAGACTAAAAATAAATGAACAACATTTCAATGACCTGTGTGACAATATCAACTGGTAGTTGTTAGCCACATGTGAGCATTTCAAATGTGGCTAGCATAACAGAGAAATTGAACTTAAATTTAATTTTAATTAATGTATGCAGCTACCTGTGGCTAGTGGCTACCACATCAGACAGCATAGTCTTAGAGCAACCATGAAATAATACAAGATGTATAGGAAGTAAATCCATAGTAGAGATAAAATGGAATACTTTAAAATATTCAATTAATACAGAAGGCAGGAAAAGAGGAAAAAGGTAACAAAGAACAATGAATAGCAAAACTGGTGAAAAAATAAAAGGCAGTCTGTCAGACTGGATAAAAATATGAGACCCAACTATATGCTGTCTACCACAAACTCACTTAAAATATAAAAGCCCAGATAGGTTAAAAGTCAAAGGATGGAAAATGAGATACCATGTAAATGCTAATCAAAAGTCAGCATGGCTAACCTAGTATCGAAGTAGACATCAGAACAAGGGATAAAAGAGGAAATCCCTTGATAAAGCACCAATTTACAATGAAGACAATAGTCCCACACGTTTATGCCCCAGCAGCTCCAGAATACAGTGTCGGGGCACACAGGGCTGAAAGAAGAGACAGTCAAGTCCACACTAACAGTGGAGGTTCCAACTATCGGAACCTCCCAGCTGGGAGGTTCCCAGCTATTGACAGAGTAGGGGAAAGAAAATCAGTGACAGGTCATGAGACCTGACTGGCACGTAGAAACCACTGTGCCTGACTGCAGGAGGTGCATTCTTTCCAGAGCACGCCACGTGCTGAGCCACCAAATAAGTCTCAATTCATTTAAAAGATTTAGAATAATACAACATATGTTATCTGACCACAACCAATTTAAAGAAAATCAGTAAGAGACAGCTATCTGGAAAATCCCCAAATATTTGGAAACGAAACAGTTCTCTTCTAAATAACCCATGGGTCCAAGAAGAAACTACATGGGAAATTAGAAAATATTTTGAACAGGATGAATGAAAAGTCACACATTTCCATCCATCTGTGGGAAGCAGCTATGCAATGTGCAAAGAGAGAATGTTTTCAATGCTGAGAAACAAAGCTCTCAACCAAGGGGCTCAGCTTCCACTTTAAGAAGCTGGGAAAAGGACAAATCTAACATACGTAGAAGGAAGAAAAGAAAATTAAGTGCCAAATTAATAAAATAGAAAACAAATAATAGATAAAATCTGTGAAACCTAAAGCTGGTACTTGAATGAAAGTGGCACATCACTCCAGAGCTTACAGACAGAAGAGGCCAAGACATCCACTAAGGCATTTTTATTCAACCTCATACTTGCCATGGCCTATGCAGCAAGGCAAGAAAATGGGGGGGGGGGGGAGGAAGCGCACAGATTAAAAAAATAAGCAAATTGTCTTTATTCCCAGCTGGCACAATCAAGTGCCTAAAGAATCCTAAGAATGCTGTCAAAAAACTACTAGAATTAATATGTTTAAAAGTCGTATTTCTATACTGAAATTGCCATTTTCAACCTCTATTTCTTAGTAAGGTTGTGCTGCGGTAGGTCTCTGAACTTGGGCAAGTACTTTGTTATCAGTTGATCTCTTAATCCCCATTTTGCAGAGGTCATGCAGTTAAACACAACAATCATCCTACTGTTGACATGTGAAATTCCCTGAATTCCCACTCGGTTAATAGCCTGAAGGGACTTCAAGGACACAGCCTGGTTTCTCTACCACAGGTATCTTATTTTCAGGAACTTGACACCTGCAATGAGTCCATGAGAAGTCCCTGCCACTGCCGAGTCCCACCACATCCAGTGGGCCTGCCTGAGACGCACGAGCCAGCGGCCTCCAGAATTCAAGTGTGGTTTCAGAAGTGGTGTAAATGAAATGGCACGTTTATCACTCATCTATCTTTTGATTGATTGATTTTATATAACAAGCAAATCAAACAGGACAAACTCAGATGGCCTGAGCTGTTTGGACCCACAGATCTCATCTGAGTGCAGCATGGGCTCCACAAGGCTGACCTCCATGACCTTGGTGTCCTGTCAAGACTTGCCCAGTGATACTGGAGCTGGGGTCCACAGCACCTCACCCATACTCATCCTCCATAACTGCAGGGAACCTTCTGTCATGCCTTCCAAGCTATGTCCTTCACAGCAATTCAGGTTTGGCAATTTTTTCTTTTCTTCGGCAGCAAGAATATTGTACCTTTTGTCTTCTAGACATGCGTCTGCCTGTGATGGTTAATACTGAGTGTCAACTTAATCAGATTGAAGGATACAAAGTATTGATCCTGGGTGTGTCTGTGAGGGTGTTGTCAAAGGAGATTAACATTTGAGTCACTGGGCTGGTAAAGGCAGACCCACCCTTAACCTGGGTGGGCACCATCTAATCAGCTGCCAGTGAGGCTACAATATAAGCAGGGAGAACAATGTGAAAAGGCGAGACGGGCCTAACCTCCCAGCCTACATCTTTCTCCTGTGCTGGATGCTTCCTGCCCTCAAATATCGGACTCCAAGTTCTTCAGTTTTGGGACTCGGAGTGGCTCTCCTTGCTGAAGCTTGCGATGGCCTACTGTGGGACCTTGTGATCATGTGAGTTAATACTTAATAAACTCCCCTTTATATATGTATCTATCTATTCCATTAGTTCTGTCCCTCTAGAGAACCCTAATACACTGCCTTTACTCTCAGATGAGTCTTTTGCCTTATTCACTATACCCCACCCCCAACTGTTTTAAAAAGCTCAAATTGTTTCTTGAAGAACTTGTGAGTACAAGGGCCGCAAGCCACTGTGGACCCCAAGCTGACTCCTGGAGAGTGGAGGTGGGGGAGCTGTTAGGGTTGTGCCCACTGGTGAAAAGATCCTTTAACAGCACTGACATGCATGGACTGGGCCCACTCCTCAACCTGCCACCCCCAGAGCCAGGCTCTGCTTTCCACGGCAGGAGTGGCTCCGGGTTCTGAATCTAGAGTTAAGGCCCAGCAGACGACACGGTGACCAGAACCTGCATATGCCTTGGCCTTGGTGATCTACCTCCTGAATCTGCACCTGGGCCACTGGCACCTTCCCAATTTCTTCTGGATGATGCAGTTACACCATAAGGTCCCCACACCATAAATCAGGCTTAAAGTTAAGTAATCATGTGAGTAATTTTTAGTAAAATTAAAAGCACTTGGAAGAGATACTTAGAATCAAAACAAGAAAATTCTAAAAAATATTTTAATACTTGAAAACTTCTAAAACAAAAGGTAAGGTAACATGTTCTTTCAAAAGTGAATTTCACATGCAAACCATTAATTATATTTATTTTACTGTGAGATAAAAGCAAAACATAACATTCGGAGAAAGAGACCAGTAACTGACCTATTTATTTTATATTATATTAATGTGAATCCTCATTAGAAATGTGATAACGTTATTGCACAAACAAAACCGTGGGCAGAAACATCCCAGCAATGCAGGGGCGCCCATACCGGGTTACAAGGGATGTCCAGCATGTGTTTCCCTGGAACACTCAGAGTCTGCACTTTTCCTGCAAATGGGACCATGTCTGATTATTTATTATGAAAGAACACTTTACCGACCATTTTTTTCTCAGTTGGTATAATGTAGAAATAGGCTTTTTTACATCCATTAAATAGTCTTGAAAACATTTTTGCACTAAATCAAACGAGCTGATATCAGAAAGCAATTGCCACCTTCCACCTGGAGTAATGTGTGCATTTTTAATGCTATGATTATATGCTTCTTTAGGGTGACACAGTTTCTCTTCTGGCTTCTATAACACCTGCATTAATCTTCCTTTTTTGCTGTTAAACAAAACTTGCTGGCATTATGCATCCCATCCACTGGGGGTGGGCTGGGAACAAACAGGTTTCGATGGTTCTTCACAAGGAGACAAACAATCTGAATTATCTTTTACAAACAGTGAAAATGACAAGATGTTTGTCTCTCAGTATGCATTTTAAAACAACATAAATAGAATACACTTCTTTTAACAAAGCCTGGCCTTGGTGGCTTTCTAGCTTGCAGTCTAAGTAACGTTTGGTTTGCAGAAGGGATTCCCTGGGAGACGGCTGTGTGGGGCAACCTCACTTACTGGTTGTGTGTTCTCCATGGGAAAAGCACCAGATGGGGAAGCCCAGGATCAGATGTAAGCTGCAAGCTTCTTTCTCTCTTCAAACTGCTTGTCCACTGCCAGAGACAGGGCCTGGAGGAACCCCTCTATGGTGACGGTGGGGGCCTAGAAGGTACACGGTCATTGCTGGAGGGGCTCAACTCACGTTTGGTGGGGCCATCTGGCATCCACAGCCCCTGCCGCCACCCACAGTGCAGATAGCACAGAAGGGGGTGGTAGCTGATAAGGTGAGCAGTGAGTGCGCACCACACACGTCCAGGACGCACATCAGCCAAGCTCTTTACTTCAGAAAAGGCGAACAAGGTGGCTACGTGACCCCCGCCCCCGCCATGTCCTGAATGTCAGAAACAGCTGCGGGGGTGGGCAGGGGAGCACCAAGGCAGCCACCCACACACTGAGAAGGATGAGAAGCTGTAGGGAGCAGACCCTGGAGGGCCCACCCTATGTCCCAGGCTTATAACCAGAGAATTCCCATGGCCCAGTGCCCAGAGCTGTCACCTCCCCTGCATCAAAAGGCTCCCACTCATGATCCATGGCCACTGTCACCTCTGTGCTGAGCACTGTGTCCAGCACAGAGGCTGCTACTGATCAGACAGAGCCTGAGTCACTTCTGATTTGAAAGGAAACATTCCAAGATGGGGGTTTTCTCTTCTCAGATGTAAGTGTATCTGCTCTGCCAGACACTGAGTCCTTACCCCAACCGGCTGCTGGGGACAGTGCAGGGGAGGGGTGAGTGCCCCAGGCCGAAGCATCTGCAACAGGCCCAGCACCCAGTGGGTGAGGCTGTGGATCCAGGTCACTGTTCTATGTGAGCTGAACCCAGACTGAAAGAGCACAAACCTCTGGTGAGGCCAGCGAGGGCCCTGGCCACGAGCTCAGCACACCACAGAGGCAGACGTGCATGTGTGTGCATGCATGCGTGTGAGCAGAGGCATGTGGCACAGCCGCCTCCTCCCAAAGGACTCAAGACAGCCCCTGTGTTTCGGTGCCAAGGTCAGCTCCTCCTCCGGCCCCAGGACCCTGTGGTTTAGAAACTGAGATAAAATGAGGCTGATACCCCAGGGCTACTAAGCGGAATCTCCGGCGAGGCTGAGACCTGTGGACAGGGCGGGTGCTGGAGGACAGCAGTGGAGACTCACCTGGACATACAGCGCATGAGCCAGAAAGGGGAGTTTTCTCAGGACCCGGCCGCTGAGGCCCTCGCTCTTCCTGTGTAAAGAAAACCCAGTTCAGAGACAGCAATTTATACAATCACACGTTTCAGGACTAATTTTCCTCATTGGCCGAGGCATCCCTGGGAACACAAGCCGAGGCGTCCCAAGCACACCCTGGGTTCACAGGGCACTTCCTGCCCCTCACTGGTCTCCTGAGCCTTGCCCTCTGAATGTCTCTTTGCCCCCGGCCTCTCGTATGGGGCCGGTCTCTCCCCATCCTCAGCTCCTGCTCTGGGAGGCAGTGTCCTCGCGGCTCTGAAGCACACCCAAGGCACACCTGTGTGCTCTGCCCCAGGGCCAGCATCCTTGTGCTCAGGGAAGGCATCACCTGCCCGGGAGCCTCTGCCCCAGGGCCAGCATCCTTGCGCTCAGGGAATGCATCACCTGCCCGGGAGCCTCTGCCCCAGGGCCAGCATCCTTGCGCTCAGGGAATGCATCACCTGCCTGGGAGCCTCTGCCCCAGGGCCAGCATCCTTGCGCTCAGGGAAGGCATCACCTGCCCGGGAGCCTCTGCCCCAGGGCCAGCATCCTTGCGCTCAGGGAAGGCATCACCTGCCTGGGAGCACCAGGCGTAAGGCACGATGCAGCGGGCACATGGTCAGTAGGCACAGAGTCCCCAAATAATGGGTGGGTTCACATCTTCAATTTTTGTAGAAGTCTCTGAACTGTTCTTCGTTCCCATCTTAACTGATTTAAATCTCTTCAACAGATAATCCAAATCCTTAAAAAATACTACATTCTTCATGTTATCCCTTGTTTAAAGCCTTCCACATTCTTGCCAACTTCAAAATAAAATTCAAACTCTGGCCAGAAACCCGAGGCTCTGTCCATTCCACCCCCCGCCTCTCCGGCACCTCCCCAGCCTCCACACTGCAACCCACTAGACGGTCACCTGAACACACTGCTCCAGCAGCCTTCCTGATTTCTCTCCAGCTGGAACCAAATTCTATCCTTCAAGGCACCGTTTGATTTTCCTACCTTCCCTTCCACCCTCCCTGGACCCCCAAAGCCATTTCCTTTCTGTGGACTCTGCGAATCCTTGTAAGTGTCGTCAGCCGTAGGGTTGCAGGCTTCCAGTGTGAGCCAGCGCCCTCCCTGAGCAAGGGTTACATCTCCTTTGGAAGGAGGTGGCTGTGCTGCGTGTTTCTACTCACATGCACACACACACACACACACACGTGTGTACATGCATGTTCATACCTATACTGTGTTGAGAGTTCACACCCAGGGCCCTCCCTGGTCTCCTCAAAGGAAACAATGACTCCCTAGTTAATATCACAAATGGATTCTTCTTGATTACAAAAATGAGGTCAATTTGCACCTTGAAATGTCATTCAAAAGAAGGCTCAATTTTGACACGTTGTTTTCAATGAAGCCAATCATCTCTAGCTCTCGGAGGGTCAGCAGCTGCTGGCGAGGGTATATGATCTGACACTGGGGAGACAGAAGTACAGGCGGTTAGCTGAGTCCACAGAGGCCTGAGCGTAGGCACCGTCAGCAAGAGGGACAGCACCTGCAGGTCAAATGTCAACCACGCCACGTCTCACAGAAATCCAGACGGTGACGACTCAAGATGCACAGCTGCACTAGGGAACAAGCTCGCTCTCTCATGCCTCTCAGCGTACACATTCTGCTTTTTCAAACAAATACAAATAACGGAACATGCCTCAGAAACCAGTAGCAACATAGCCTCTTCTGTGTTTCGAGCCAAAACTTTTCCTCCCTGTGTGTCAGGAAGGGAAGGGACCTGGAGGCACCCAGTCCAGTCTGTTATGCCACCTTCGGAGACGTCAAAACCCACAGTGGGCAGAGCTGGGACTTAGAGCCAGGACTTCCACTGACTTCCAAAGCAGGATCCTAGTTTGTCTGTTTTAAAGGTGAGGCTTGTTTGGCAGCATGACAGTGTCTGACTGACCGAGGAGCTGAGCACCAGAAGTTCCCCTCAGAGATCATTTGTCTGGAAGTCATGCTTTTCCAAGCAGCCTTGCCAACAGTCAGGTGCGCACACTGACTTACTATGACTGAATTCTAATACGAACCGTTCTGACTCAGGAACAAGGAGAAGGAAGAAAATAGCATTGTCTGAACATTTTGGAGGTTTGTTGAGGGGTGTGAGCAAAATTAAGACAGTTTGTGCTTGTGCTTTGGGGGATATTGAGCTTTCGAGACCAGTTCAATATCCACTGTGACATCTGCATGTCTTAATTTCATATAAACTGCCTAAAATAAGAAACTACCCCTATCACTGGGCACGGTGGCTCACGCCTGTAACCTCAGCACTTTGGAAGGCTGAGGTGGGCGGATCACTTGAGGTCAGGAGTTTGAGACCAGCCAGGCCAACATGATGAAACCCTTTCTCTACTGAAAATACAAAAATTAGCCAGGTGTGGTGGCATGCACCTGTAATCCCAGCTACTCACGAAGCTGAGGCACGAGAATCGCTTGAACCCAGGAGGCGGAGGTTGCAGTGAGCTGCGATGGCACCACTGTACTCCAGCTCTAGGTAAGAGTGAGACTGTGTCTCAAAATAAACAAACAAACAAAAAACTACCCCTGTCCTACACTGTCCCAGAAAAAGTCCATCCCTCTTAGCTAACACTTTAAACAGCCCCTGGATTCACAGCACGAGTGTACAAGTGTATAAACGTCACACTGCGAGGGCTGGAACCCACACTGAAGGTGCGTGAGGACCTCCAACACACACGACTTCCTCGCAGGATCTGCTATCACGTGGGGCTCCTTGGCAGCAAAACTGCTGTAGAATCAGTCTTCAGATCACTGGCATTCTCCAGGCAAAGCTCCACAGAGCTCCGTCTCCTTTCCCCAACCCCCAAGAAAACCATGCCTGGACAGTGCTGACCCGGGCAGGCCCAGTGGGTCCATGGCTGAGACCAGTTCTCCCGTCCCCAACCACAGCAGGGTGTGCCATCCTTGTTAACACCCCTACTCTGTGGTACCAGCAGGTGGCAACAACTGCATTAAACTCATCACTGTTTAAATCCCCATTCACTGGTTTGCTTGGTTACCGCCCAACTACCCTAAACAAAGGCCCCTGCAGGATGATTTGTCTGGGACAGGTCTGTTCCCACAGGGGCTAGAGCAGCAGAAACACAAGCATGGGGCAGGTCCCTGCTAGCCTGACTCACACACACCGCAGCGTCACTGCCCATGGCGACGGCGTTCCAGACTCACGCACACTCACCACACGCGTCACTGTGCCCATGGCGACGGCCTTACTGACTCACACTCACCGCACATGTCATTGTGCCCGTGGCGACGGCCCTCCTGACTCACACTCACCGCACGTCACTGTGCCCGTGGCGACGGCCCTCCTGACTCACACACGCTCCCCGCACGCGTCGCTCTGCCCGTGGCGACGGCCTTCCTGACTCACACACACAACCCGCACGCGTCGCTCTGCCCACGGCAACAGTGTTCCTGCCTATCATCACAACAGGCGACTCAAGAACGTGACGTCATGTGGACCCCGTGACCAAAACCAGGCCCATACTACGCCCGTGATGTTTCCTCTTTCAGGTAAGGATACAGGCCCCCGAGAGGCAGGGCATTGGAAAAGCCCGGGGTAAGCTGAGAACTAAGGTTTGTGCAGCCAGCCAGGTAAACACAGCCGGTCACTGACGTCCCCTACACTGACTGGTACCTCAAATAATGAACAATGATGACTGTATTGTGCCAAAAGAACAAAAATATTGAGTCAGTGGCCCTAGTTTCAACTATCAGCTCAACCTGTCACATACAAAACTAGTTTTCAATTTAAGAAGGGAGTTAATGCATATGTTGAAATCCTCCGTACTGGAACGAGCTTATTTTAAGCTATCTTAATTAATTAAGAACATATAAGAAATCCATTTGTATCAAGAGGAAAAAAAAAATAAAGGTACCTTCATCAGTTCTTCCAAACAAGAGAGGTAGATTTTGAAGATGGCTGCTGCAGAGGGTGGCCCAATGTACTGCTTGATGTCAGCCCTGTCCACGAAGGCCACGTCGATCTTCTCGGTGATGTTAGAAGTGGTCAGAATCACAACATTGGAATGCCTGTTGTGGCCGAGAAGCAAGCACCACAGTCATCACGGCTGTCGGTGACCCAATTCTATCCTGCCCTATCTGGCAAGGAGGTTGGCAGGACGATGGCCAGCAGGCTGCCAACAGGAAGGAAAGTGGCCTTGTGCCAACACAGGCCACGCAGACCCCCCAGCCTTTGCTCTCGCTGCTCCTTGGCCTTCTGGGAATTCTACAGCCCCACTTCGCTCATTCCCTCACTGCCTTCAACCTTGGCAAGGATCTCACTTTCCTTTTTTTTTTTTTTTGAGACAGAGTCTCGCTCTTTCGCCCAGGCTGGAGTGCAGTGGTGCTATCTCGGCTCACTGCAAGCTCCGCCTCGCCGGTTCACACCATTCTCCTGCCTCAGCCTCCCAAGTAGCCGGGACTACAGGCGCCCGCCACCGTGCCCGGCTAATTTTTTGTATTTTTAGTGGAGACGGGGTTTCACCGTGTTAGCCAGGATGGTCTCGATCTCCTGACCTCGTGATCCGCCTGCCTCGGCCTCCCAAAGTGCTGGGATTACAGGCGTAAGCCACCGCGCCCGGCCTAGCAAGGATCTCACTTTCGCATGGCGTTCCTGATTGTGCCACCTACCGTGGGCTCTGGTGCCCACCACCACCTGGGCATGGCCACTCATCATCCCTAGACATACTCTAGAGCTGGGTTACTTCCCATGTTCATGATCTGCTCTCCCCTCTAGCGTCTAAACTCCATAGAGAGAGCCCCTGTTGTCTGGTCTGTTGACCAATGTCCCCCAAGGACCCAGCATGAGCCAGCAGAGCGGGCACAAGGTGCCCCCAGGGAGCATGCTGCACAGGCCTGGGGGGCGTGGCTGCACATGTGGCAGTGCTACCACTGCTGCCTGGGGAAGGTCAACTTCACCTAGACCCTGGCCAAGGGAGGGCAGGCCCTGTGCCTGCGCGCCGGGGTGAGCTAAGCAGAGGCAGGACAGGGAGCCTGTGGGTCCCCGGCAGAGGAACAAGGCACAGAGGTTGGGTGAGCTCACAGCTGCTCAGTCCAGCACCAGGAGGGTGGGGCTGCAGGAAGGGCCAGAGGGAGGCCTAGGCCTGCAGATCACGACCCAGGGGCTGACAATCCAGAGATGCGGGAGTGGACAGGACTGGTGGGGGACAGAAAGAGTCCTCTAGAGAGGGGCTGGAACCAGAAGCACGAGGGAATGAAGGCAAGAGAGGCAAGCGTGTCTCCTTGTTTCTTCCTGAGCCACACCCCCTTGTGACTGACAGGGAGAAGTCACGGTGGCCTCCATCCTCTGGTTTGAGTGGCAGGTGCACAGCGAGGCCATCAGCGTCGTGTGGAATCCCAGGAAGTTAGGGATTTGGGGCCCAGTGAGCAGTGTGGGAGTGTGCCTGGCATCCCGGGCATCTAAGCCTGATGTCTGGTCACAGGTGGATGTGCAGGTCTGGGATTCCCCCCACAGAACCCTGAGCTATGCTGAAGGGGCACACGCCAGGAGAGAAGGCCACAGACAGGCTGTGTAGACCCCTCCCTGCGGAGAGACGCCAGCAGCATAAACCGGGGAGACAGGAGAATGGAGGCCGGGGAGGGAGGCACAAAGAGATTCAGGGAAGGGGCCATCAGGGTGTCAGCGCTGTGCAAAGTTCCAGAAAGAGAAAAGGGAACACTCATGTGAATGCGGGGCTGCTGGGCTGCGGCGGGGGCAGGAGCCAGATTGCAGTAGACTGAGAGACAAGCCAGGTGGGGAAGGAAGTGGACAAGAGGAGAAGGAAGCCAGAGGCAGGGGAGGCCCCCCTCCAGGACCTGCACACTTGTTGGGGACAAGCCCCCCAAAATCTGGCCATAAACTGGCCCCAAAACTGGCCATAACAAAATCTCTGCAGCACTGTGACATGTTCATGATGGCCATAACGCCCACACTAGAAGGTTGTCGGTTTACCAGAATGAGGGCAAGGGACACCTGGCCCGCCCAGGGTGGAAAACCGCTTAAAGGCGTTCTTAAGCCACAGACAATAGCATGAGCGATCTGTGCCTTAAGGACATGCTCCTGCTGCAGTTAACTAGCCCCACCTATTCCTTTAATTCGGCCTATCCCTTCGTTTCCCGTAAGGGATACTTTTAGTTAATTTAATATCTATAGAAACAATGCTAATGACTGGCTTGCTGTTAATAAATACGTGGGTAAACCTCTGTTCGGGGCTCTCAGCTCTGAAGGCTGTGCGACCCCTACTTCCCACTTCACACCTCTATATTTGTGTGTGTGTGTGTCTTTAATTCCTCTAGCGCCGCTGGGTTAGGGTCTCCCCGACCGAGCTGGTCTTGGCACACATTCCTGCAGCTGACCCCAAAACGAGCGCTTCTCAGGAAGCCAGATACGCTCTCTGTGGTGAGACAGTGGTGATGGCCTGGACAAAACGTTCCTCTGCACAGTTCAGTCTGCTGTCACCCCACACTCAACAATCCAGCTTCTGAGAATGCCAGGGACTCCCCAGGCACCCTGAGGACAGAAAGAACATTTCACAGAAGGAACCTGAGTCCTGGCTGAGCACCACACAGGGACAGGCAGGTTCTGGCTCGCCCATCACTTCCTTGGGAGTTGGGCCAGCAGCTGTCGCTCCTTAAGCTTGATAAACTTGGGCTACAATGACAACAGGCCCTGGCCCTGTGAGGCTGGGCTGTGGAGACGTGGACCATCTGCACACGAAGCTGTCTGTCCTGGGCCAGCAGGGCGAGCAGGGGACAGCCATTCACCTACGAGCAGCACTAGTTGGTGCTGACAGTGGGTGGGATAGGAGAGAAGTGGGTGGGATAAGGCCTGAACGTAGCAGTTCTTCATTTTATGCTTTTCTGTGCTACGTAAAATGCTTACCATGCCTGAGTTTTCTTTCACATTTTTTTTTTCTGAGACGGAGTCTTGCTCTGTCACCCAGGCTGGAGTGCAGTGGCATGATCTCGGCTCACTGCAAGTTCTGCCTCCCGGGTTCACACCATTCTCCTGCCTCAGCCTCCAGAGTAGCTGGGACTACAGGCGCCCGCCATCATGCCCAGCTAATTTTTTGTATTTTTAGTAGAGACAGGGTTTCACCGTGTCAGCCAGGATGGTCTCAATCTACTGACCTTGTGATCCGCCTGCCTCGGCCTCCCAAAGTGCTGGGATTACAGGTGTGAGCCACCGCGCCTGGCCTTCTATTACATTTTTAACACACTAAAAACAATTTCTTTAAAAAGCATTTGTGATATGCTGCTTCCAATGTGGAAAAGGAGTCGATACTCAATGCCAAATGCACTTTCCGGTGAAAGAGCTGGGCACTAAGATCTAGGGTTGCACAAGTATCACGCATTTCTTTGGGACAAACTTCTCATCACTTCTCAGGGAAAATTGCTGCATGTCCTGGTTACCTTTTAATCTGATCAATTTGGGTCAAGACAGCATTGACCACGCGGATGGCATCTGATGGCTCGGTGCCCGCCCTGCAGGCATTTCGGGCGGCTGTGAGACTCTCCACCTGTTGGGAGGGAGCAGTGGGGTCAAAAAGGACAGGGCCTGGCACTTCACAGGCAGCTATGGGGATACGTCCCGCTGAGCACGTGAAAAAGATGAATGAATGGGTGTTCCCGTGCCTAGCCTGCGGATGCTGCGGCAAGGTGGAAAGGCGCACAGTGCAGGGAGGGATAGAGGGCAGCCCGGCTGTAGGAGGGGAAAGCTAGGAGCATCAGGAGTAGGCTGTGTCCCCACAATGGCAAAAGGCGATTCTGTCATGAATTTCCTTATCTGGAAATGCCTACCTCATCAATCAGCACGAACACCAGGGCGTCTTTATCATCAATCAAATCCTGAATCTTCTGAAACATCTTGGTTACCAGCTTGCCACTCTGGAACCCAAACACCCTTTTAGTGTCAACGTGCAGGGACCACACTGCCAGGTGCACAGGGGGACCCTGATGTGGCCTGCTGCCCCAGTTGTCCCCACAAGCCCACTGTCTCCTGACGGCCCCTCAGAAAGCTCCCTAAATCAGAGAAGCTAGGGCAGCATGGGAGGAGGTCAGCCTAACACTCTTCCCCTCTGCTTTGAATGCCAGGGTGCTGAGACCTGAGACCACACCTGACCTGCCCGGGGCGGCACAGTGAGGGTGACCTGTACCTCTGCTTTACCTGTGTGTCCTCTCTGATGAGGAAAAGAGGCAGACCACAGATGCAAACAGGCTGGGATGCACTCCTCACAGGCTCTCCTGTGCCCAGCGTGCCTGGTCCCACCTCACCTCACCAGAGGGATGTGCGGATGCCAGGTGACTTGGGCACAGCTCCTCAGAGGTAAGAATCACATGTGACATCACCTTGTCTGACCCCCTCAACTCACAGACAGTGCTAGGGCGCATGAGCACCAAGGACATGCATGGCAGGGCTGCAGTCCCCTGAGTGCCAGCCCTGCCCTTCTGAGAGTCCATCGATTGTCCTGTCCCACCCAGTCACAGGTCTGGGGAGAACCAAGGGAGGGTCCCCAAGGGCCCCAGCTCCGGAACCTTCTCTGATCACAGTCAGCCCCAATCCTCACACACCCTTCCCACCCAGTTCTCTCCTGAAGCTTCTGGAGGAGGATTTGCCTAACATACAAGACATTTTTTCAGCTATACAATCCAGACAATTAGAATTAATATTTAATACTTACTTCCGAAAACCACTTAGAAAAGAGGCTGTGGCTGTTTATTTCAATTAATTGGCCATATCGGTACCTGAGATAGAAAAAAGGAGTTGAGAGAATTACTAACTGGTCCTGTGGATCCTCAGCGGCAGCCATTCACGCGTCCTGAATGCAACATCTCAAGTGCCCAGCATCGGGGGAATTACAATTACTGACAAAGAATTGAGGAATCCAGCCCTCCGTGTACTAAATAATTATGAAAAAGTCTAACAAGATTCAATCAGTAGTTCTAGACTGTATCAATTGAGTTAAAGAGTAAAAACTCCCATTTTATATCTATTTACAAATTATATTTCTATGTTTAAAAATATTAGCAGTACTAACATAAGACAGAAAACAAAACAAAATAGAAGCATCAAGAGCTTTTGGCAGGAGCTGAGCATTTTCCCCTCCTTCCACAGAACCCTAAACAGCACAGACCCCAGAGCCCAGGAATGCTCAGGTGGCCCAAAGTTAACCTTAACACACACAGACTGACTGGAACCCAGAAACACTCCTCTATCCATTCAGAAGCCCGCAGACAGATCTGGGCGTGCTTAGCTGCTGACTAAATCACCAGAGAACAAGACTGAGGCCAGAGAGAAACTGACTTCCAGGTCCTCTTTTCAGTTGCTTCCATGTCAAAAGTCCACAAAAGAAAAAGAATTACGTTCAAGAAGCATCACTGGCATTCCACGTAAAAAAGAGAGAGACCGTTTACTGATACTGTTTATTAAAACAGTGGAGGGATACAGACAATCTAACAAAATATAGACTGGGTTGAATATTAAACAAAATTAATTATAAAACATTTTGATTCTTTGATAGAGTGAGGAAAAGTCTTGCTAGGACTTCTTTTTGCCATTTCTAAGCCATAAAACCAATGCATATTTCCAGATCTTTGTACTGGAAAAAGCTATATTCCTTACAATAACATTTTCCTTCTCTTGTGTTGCCCTCTCTGCCCCTAGAGATCTTTTTTGGTTACTCTTTGGAGGCAGGGTCTCACTCCCGTCACCCAGGCTCACCACAGCCTGGACCTCCTGGGCTAAGGTGATCCTCCCACCTCAGCCTCAAAAGAAGCTGGGACCACAGGCATGTGCTCCCAGCTAATTTTTTGTATTTTTTTGTAGAGACAGGGTTTCTCCATGTTGGCCAGGCTGGTCTCAAACTCCTGGTTTCAAATGATCCACCTGCCTCAGCCTCCCAAAGCGCTGGGATTACAGGCATTGAGCCGCCATGCTGGCATGCCCCTAGAGATCTTGAAAACACACATGTATTTCAATATGTCAAAGCAAAGGGCAAGTTGCTAAACATAAGCTAAGGGGTCAAAATAAAGCAATTTCCCTATGTAAAAACATTTACAAGACATTTTTGAAGAACAAAAATTATGTATACGAAATTAAACCTCACAGGATTTCCGCTAGTCATACTGGAGTAACAGGAAGCAGATTTACCATCTAATCTTAAATGAGAAAACCTCATTTAAGGCAAAATGGATGAAATGACATCTGGTAAGGTTGCTGTACACAGGGCAGTGAGGGCTGGGACTCCTGAGTCGGAAGACCAGGGACCCTCTCTACAAATGCTCTAACTTTCTTGCCGGGAGGCATCTTCCAACCACAGGCACGGGAGGGAGCCCAAGTGGAGCACAGCCACTCGCTGAGTCGAGGAGACAGAGATTGGAGTTCAGGGAGTCTGAAGTGACTGAAGGCTGCAGAACAGAATTCCAGAGGGGAAGGAAATATGAAGAAATACCTCAGAAGGAGTGCCCAGGATCCTCATGGCGCCCCCGATGTCCTGGATGAATACTCAGGTGTGTGTGAGCAGGGGACATTCCCTGCAGCTATGTAAAGGGCGCCCGTGGTCTGTGAGCTGAAGGGCTCCTGGACCTCACACAGGCTGAGAGGAGTGCATACTCCGACCGCCAGAGTGGAGAGTGCCCACGGATCCTTCAGCACACTCAGTGGAGACCCCAGAGGACCACAATTGAGTGTTAAGACCAAACCTAAACCCCTCCCAGTCAAAGCTTAAAAAAACCAAACCTCAAAGGATCACACCAAATCACAAGTAATGGAAATGCCTAACGGAACAAAATCTAACACTCACTAAAGGAACACACAATCCACACACTTCAGATCACAATGTTCAGCAGCTAATCAAACACTACCTAACATGCTAACAAAGCAAAACCATGTGACCCCTAACCAGAAGAAAAACCAGTCAATAGAAACACAATCAGAAATGACAATCATGATGGAATTAGCAGACAGAACATTAAAACAGCTATTATGGGGTTGTTCAAGACGTGAACGAGAACATAATGAAAAAACAGTATAAAAAGAATCAAATAGAACAGAGCAGAAAAATACACTATCAGACATAACAACTTCACTGAATGGAATTAAAAGCAGATTAGACGATGTAGAAAATCAGTCAACTTAAAATACGGCAATAGAAACTTTCGAATAAAACATATTTCTAAAGAACTGAAAAAAAAAATGAAAAAGCACAGGAGTGGCCTGTGGAACAACATCAAACAGTCTAACATGAAAGCAGACAGAGTCCCAGATAAAGGGGAGGGTCAAGGAAATTCAGTGAGGAAACAATGACCAGGTATTTTCCAAATGTGATGAAAACCATAAGCCCCAAACAGACAGAACTCAAGAGGAAAAGACAAATCCGTAATTAGAGACGAACACTGCATCCAGCAAGGGGAGAAAGTATAGTCTTCTGAAGTGCAATTCACCAGCAGAGATCATGTGCTGGCAATCAAGTAAGTCTCAAATCTTAAAAGACTGAAATCATAACTCAAAACTATGCTGAATACAGAGGAATCAAGTGACTTACAGTGGAGAGGAATCTATTATTTGCGTAAAATGATTTAGAAAAAAAAAAAAACAACCTCCCGTTATAAATCCCATTCCCATGGCTCTCCTCTCACAGATTACCGAAAGTTACCTGCTTGAAAGTCTAATTGTCAATTTCTGGGCTAACGCTTTACACAGGGATGTTTTTCCAGTGCCAGGAGGACCTGTGACAAAGATCCAAGCAAATATATTTTTAAGTCAGTGCTACAACAAATTTCTTAAAACAACAGTAACTTCCATTATCCATAAAATATAAGGAATACAGTTAAAAGCTATTAATGTTATTACTACAATGAAGTCTGCTTAGAAACTTAAATGCTATGAAATATTACCAATACACTTACGTCTCCCCCTCTTTCTTATTTGTACTCAACTTCGTATTTCTGGTCTCAGCCTCCATCGCCTCCCCACCCCCAGCACTGCTCCCAGCTTCTCGGCCTACAGTCTCACTTAGCGTCGGGAATGAACATTGCATTTTCTAGCCTACATCTTTGCTGACACCTGTCCTTGTCCCCACTCTTCCTTTATGAAATCCACTCATCAAGGCACCTTTCAGAGATCAAACACACCTTTCTTGATAAATGGAGGTGGAGGGGTCATGTGTTATTCCTGTTGCCCCCAGAACCACCCTCTTTCCTAAGACAATTCTCAGTGGGCTCATACCCCATACTAGAAGAGGCAGAGGCCAGCACTCTTCTTGCACGCCTGCCTGCCAAGCGTCCCCTAGCATGATGTGGGCGGCAAGCCACCCAGGTGCCGAGGCAAGAGACCGAGGGCACGAGCTGTTCCAGTATAATAAAATAAATAAAATAAGAATAATTATACTAGATATAGATCTTAGATATGATTATATATGAATATTAATCATTAATTTGTAGCAATTACTCTTTATTCCAATATTATAATAATCCTTGCTCTACAATCATAACCTAGGAAAAACCAGGCCATACAGAGATAGGAGCTGAGGGGACATAGTGAGAAGTGACTAGAAGACAAGAGTGCGAGCCTTCTGTTATGCCTGGACAGGGCCACCAGAGGGCTCCTTGGTCTAGCAGTAATGCCAGCGTCTGGGAAGAAGCCCGCTGCCAAGCTGACCGTGGTCTAATGGTAGCGTCAGTGTCAAGGAAAAACACCTGCTACTTAGCAGACCGGGAAAGGGAGTCTCCCTTTCCCCCGGGGAGTTTAGAGAAGACTCTACCCCTCCACCTCTTGTGGAGGGCCTGACATTAGTCAGACCCGCCCGCAGTCATCCAGAGGCCTGTCTCCCTGTGATGCTGTGCTTCAGTGGTCATGCTCCTAGTCCGCCTTCATGTTCCATCCTGTACACCTGGCTCTGCCTTTTAGCTAGCAGTAGCAAATTAGTGAAAGTACTAAAAGTCTCTGATATGCAGAAATAATGGTGTAAGCCGTCTCTCTGTTTCTCTTCTCTCTCTCTGCCTCAGCTGCCAGGCAGGGAAGGGTCCCCTGTCCAGTGGACACGTGACCCACGTGACCTTACCTATCAGTGGAGATGGCTCACACTCCTTACCCTGCCCCTTTGTCTTGTATCCAATATATATCAGCGCAGCCTGGCATTCGGGGCCACTACCGGTCTCCGCGTCTTGGTGGTAGTGGTCCCCCAGGCCCAGCTGTCTTTTATCTCTTTGTCTTGTGTCTTTATTTCTACACTCTCTCGTCTTTGCACATGGGGAGAAAACTCACCAACCCTGTGGGGCTGGACCCTACAAAAGATGCCTCACAGAAGCTGCGAGGTGACCAATATGGAAAAAGGAAAGCATCTAACAGAAAATGGAGACATACAACTCTAATTTTCTGCAGGTATTTTCAAGAATTAAAGAGGAAATACGTAACTGGTTCCAAACAGAAACAACTTATTTCACTAATTAAAACACCTGCTGCTTACTCTGACTGTGCTATGAGGGCAGTATGCGGGGCCTGTCTGCTCTTTAAAAGAACATTGTGTTTTAAGGTCACTTTGTCACGCAATCTTAACTGACTTAAAGAAGCCAAGTACCCTTCAAGCTTCTATTTAACACTTGGCTACAGTTTCATACTCTCGAGTCCACTCAATTCCCGTGTCCCCATTCTACCCGGTGATATTGACAACAAAACAAAACAAAACCAAACAACAAACCATCAGTATTTTCTCCTGAGAAGAACCAGACAGAATTTCTTTAAAATATGGCTTTTTCAGTTTACTCCTCACAAAGTAAAGCTCTGAGTACTACAAGCCTAATTTATAAGTTAAGCTTTATCATAGGAATGTCTGTAGGAAAAAATAGTCTACATAAGGTTTAGTATTATCCACGTTTGGGGCATCTGAGGATGTCTTGGAATGTGGCCCCCCACAGGAAGACTTGATTAAGTGCCGAGTAATCAATGCCCCAGGGGCCGCGCGCGGTGGCTCAAGCCTGTAATCCCAGCACTTTGGGAGGCTGAGGCGGGCGGATCACCTGAGGTCAGGAGTTTGAGACCAGCCTGGTCAACGTGGTGAAACCCCGTCTCTACTAAAAATACAAAACTTAGCTGGGTGTGGTGGCGCATGCCTGTAATCCCAGCTACTCGGGAGGCTGAGGTAGGAGAGTTGCTGGAACCTGGGAGGAACCCAGGAAGTGGAGGTTGCAGTGAGCCGAGATCGGGCCACTGCACTCCAGCCTGGTCGACAGCGAGACTCTGTCTCAAAAACAAAAACAAACAAACAAACAAAAAATGTCCCAAGTGTCATGAGCTGGATCTGCTTCACAGAGAGGGGACATTCTAGGACAGCTGTGGCTCCTTCAGAAAACAAAGAGCCGTAACTCCTTGCAGAAGGACGAAGGTACAAGTAAAGGCTAAATTTCATGCCACTTATCTGGTCAAATAAAAGCCTGCATAATTTACCGTGGAGCAGCACCACCCGGTTCCAGGTGATGAGGTTGCTGTTGACGTTCTTGTCTGAAAACAGTAAAGTTGTCATCACATAATCGAGGAGCTGATAGAGAAAAAGAAAAGAGCTTGACAAAGATACCAACAAGGCAAAGGTCCCCAAGAAATGTGCCCTCCCCCAGGGCTTAATCCTACATGAGAAGAGGGAGCACAGGGAGCGAGGCCGCCTCCTAAGAGATCATCACCTCCAAACGCTTTCATTTCAGAAGAGAAGGTGCTTCCAAAAGGGAAAAGGAAAAACACTGGCTATTACTATTATAAATATAAGAAGAGCAACAAAATGATCACTTTTATTTAAAGTGCCAACATTAAACAAAACCACTAAGGGGTTTGTTTATCAAGTAATGAGTAAGCTCCTTCCCTAGAATGATACAGCAGTTATTATTCGCAAAATAACAACAGCCACAATGCAGAGGAGCAGTCTGAGTGATAGTCTCAGACTATCAATGCAGAGGACAGCTGAGTGATAGTCTTCTAGCCAGCTGCTGGCATGGGAAAGACCCTTCCCGTTGAAGAGGGTGCAGGGGTTAAGACACACCGGCCTTTCCTTTGTGCGGACCAGGCTTGCTCACCTTCCCTCCTCCCATCTCCAGAGGGTTTAATTCTCTAAGTTGCCTTCACGTTCTCCCTTTCCCTCTTCTCCCTCAGGGAGCTCCTCAGAGACCAGCTCTACTCTGGAGCAATACTAGAGGATAGATGTCCAGGACAAGGGCTGCCAGCAGACAGGGGCTCCCAAAAACCCATCTGCATCAAGTTGCTCAGGGGTGTTGGAGAGCAAAACAGTAATGGTTCCTCTTCAAATAACAGGGCATTCTGGGAAAAGGCACAGCAACTTACATGGGATTTGACTTCCACATCGTATACCAAGCTGTCCCAAAGCCCATGGAATTCAGCTGTGACAGAATTAAACAAAGACCTGATTTCAGGAAGGCAAGCAATTACAGCCACCCCCAGTCAGTCTCCCCTGAGCCTAAGCCTGAGCTTCCCATTGTGCTGCTCCAGGCAAGACTATGATTCTGATTACAGGAAAGTATAAATTCTGCAAATTTTTCTTCAAATTTTGATTTTTATTAAAATCAAAGATGCAAAATAAATGCCAGTCACATGTAACTTCTGGCAGACAACTGGATGGAGTCAAAGAATTACACTTTACGTCTCATTATCACGCACAATTGTCTTTTAAAAAAACTTTAACTTCCCATCCTTCTTTAAGGTATTGTTGTCATTTATTTTCCATTGACGTATAACATAATCCCCACAATATGTTTTCATTAAACTATCATTTTTTGGTGGTGAACAACACATTATAAAATTTATGATCATAGCCACTTACAATTGTCTTTTATCCATATGCTTCAGCACAAGTCCAGATGCCAAATCCACCTGTTTCCCCACACACTGACTGAATGAAGCCCTGGGCTTGGCCTGCTAGAGCCCATCCAAATCCACCTGTTTCCCCACACACTGACTGAATGAAGCCCTGGGCTTGGCCTGCCAGAGCCCATCCAAATCCACCTGTTTCCCCACACACTGAATGAAGCCCTGGGCTTGGCCTGCCAGAGCCCATCCAAATCCACCTGTTTCCCCACACACTGACTGAATGAAGCCCTGGGCTTGGCCTGCCAGAGCCCATCCAAATCCACCTGTTTCCCCACACACTGACTGCATGAAGCCCTGGGCTTGGCCTGCCAGAGCCCATCCAAATCCACCTGTTTCCCCACACACTGACTGCATGAAGCCCTGGGCTTGGCCTGCCAGAGCCCATCCAAATCCACCTGTTTCCCCACACACTGACTGAATGAAGCCCTGGGCTTGGCCTGCCAGAGCCCATCCAAATCCACCTGTTTCCCCACACACTGACTGCATGAAGCCCTGGGCTTGGCCTGCCAGAGCCCATCCAAATCCACCTGTTTCCCCACACACTGACTGCATGAAGCCCTGGGCTTGGCCTGCCAGAGCCCATCCAAATCCACCTGTTTCCCCACACACTGACTGAATGAAGCCCTGGGCTTGGCCTGCCAGAGCCCATCCAAATCCACCTGTTTCCCCACACACTGACTGAATGAAGCCCTGGGCTTGGCCTGCCAGAGCCCATCCAAATCCACCTGTTTCCCCACACACTGACTGCATGAAGCCCTGGGCTTGGCCTGCCAGAGCCCATCCAAATCCACCTGTTTCCCCACACACTGACTGCATGAAGCCCTGGGCTTGGCCTGCCAGAGCCCATCCAAATCCACCTGTTTCCCCACACACTGACTGAATGAAGCCCTGGGCTTGGCCTGCCAGAGCCCATCCAAATCCACCTGTTTCCCCACACACTGACTGCATGAAGCCCTGGGCTTGGCCTGCCAGAGCCCATCCAAATCCACCTGTTTCCCCACACACTGACTGCATGAAGCCCTGGGCTTGGCCTGCCAGAGCCCATCCAAATCCACCTGTTTCCCCACACACTGACTGAATGAAGCCCTGGGCTTGGCCTGCCAGAGCCCATCCAAATCCACCTGTTTCCCCACACACTGACTGCATGAAGCCCTGGGCTTGGCCTGCCAGAGCCCATCCAAATCCACCTGTTTCCCCACACACTGACTGAATGAAGCCCTGGGCTTGGCCTGCCAGAGCCCATCCAAATCCACCTGTTTCCCCACACACTGACTGAATGAAGCCCTGGGCTTGGCCTGCCAGAGCCCATCCAAATCCACCTGTTTCCCCACACACTGACTGAATGAAGCCCTGGGCTTGGCCTGCCAGAGCCCATCCAAATCCACCTGTTTCCCCACACACTGACTGAATGAAGCCCTGGGCTTGGCCTGCCAGAGCCCATCCAAATCCACCTGTTTCCCCACACACTGACTGAATGAAGCCCTGGGCTTGGCCTGCCAGAGCCCATCCAAATCCACCTGTTTCCCCACACACTGACTGAATGAAGCCCTGGGCTTGGCCTGCCAGAGCCCATCCAAATCCACCTGTTTCCCCACACACTGACTGAATGAAGCCCTGGGCTTGGCCTGCCAGAGCCCATCCAAATCCACCTGTTTCCCCACACACTGACTGAATGAAGCCCTGGGCTTGGCCTGCCAGAGCCCATCCAAATCCACCTGTTTCCCCACACACTGACTGAATGAAGCCCTGGGCTTGGCCTGCCAGAGCCCATCCAAATCCACCTGTTTCCCCACACACTGACTGAATGAAGCCCTGGGCTTGGCCTGCCAGAGCCCATCCAAATCCACCTGTTTCCCCACACACTGACTGAATGAAGCCCTGGGCTTGGCCTGCCAGAGCCCATCCAAATCCACCTGTTTCCCCACACACTGACTGAATGAAGCCCTGGGCTTGGCCTGCCAGAGCCCATCCAAATCCACCTGTTTCCCCACACACTGACTGCATGAAGCCCTGGGCTTGGCCTGCCAGAGCCCATCCAAATCCACCTGTTTCCCCACACACTGACTGAATGAAGCCCTGGGCTTGGCCTGCCAGAGCCCATCCAAATCCACCTGTTTCCCCACACACTGACTGCATGAAGCCCTGGGCTTGGCCTGCCAGAGCCCATCCAAATCCACCTGTTTCCCCACACACTGACTGAATGAAGCCCTGGGCTTGGCCTGCCAGAGCCCATCCAAATCCACCTGTTTCCCCACACACTGACTGAATGAAGCCCTGGGCTTGGCCTGCCAGAGCCCATCCAAATCCACCTGTTTCCCCACACACTGACTGAATGAAGCCCTGGGCTTGGCCTGCCAGAGCCCATCCAAATCCACCTGTTTCCCCACACACTGACTGAATGAAGCCCTGGGCTTGGCCTGCCAGAGCCCATCCAAATCCACCTGTTTCCCCACACACTGACTGAATGAAGCCCTGGGCTTGGCCTGCCAGAGCCCATCCAAATCCACCTGTTTCCCCACACACTGACTGCATGAAGCCCTGGGCTTGGCCTGCCAGAGCCCATCCAAATCCACCTGTTTCCCCACACACTGACTGAATGAAGCCCTGGGCTTGGCCTGCCAGAGCCCATCCAAATCCACCTGTTTCCCCACACACTGAATGAATGAAGCCCTGGGCTTGGCCTGCTAGAGCCCATCCAAATCCACCTGTTTCCCCACACACTGACTGAATGAAGCCCTGGGCTTGGCCTGCTAGAGCCCATCCAAATCCACCTGTTTCCCCACACACTGACTGAATGAAGCCCTGGGCTTGGCCTGCTAGAGCCCATCCAAATCCACCTGTTTCCCCACACACTGACTGAATGAAGCCGTGGGCTTGGCCTGCTAGAGCCCATCAGCAATGCCCACGGAGAAGCATCAAGCAGACAAGGAGCCACTCAGCAGGACAGACCAAGCAGGCATGTGAGAAGAGCACATGGGCACTCTCCGTTAGCCAGGAACTCTAAGGTACCCACCCAAAGGAACAGTATGGTCCCACACTGGAAATCTCTACTTTCCTCTTTTGTGATATACTTTCCATTTCATAAGAGAGAAAACATCCTAAAATCCTACAAAACAAATGGACAAACAGAACCCCCCCTGTGAACTGACATGGCATGGAGTATACAATCCTCTGACCTCAGCCTCCCCTTCAACTCCCATCACACCCCATACCTGCAGGTAGAACCCAGTGATTTGCTGCAATTATGTTTTCTGTCTCTTCCTCCAGATTTTCACTGCTGGGGCCATCTTCATTCAGCTGGAAAATGTGAAGTGCAACAGTGCATGCACTCAAATCGATGGGCTAAAATGAGGGAAAAGCCAATATCGACACACATTTCCAACTCTCACTTAACTGCAACCATACAAATTAGATGTTAAGGTCTACAAATAAAAACTGAATGTACAGTATAATCAAAGCTAGTTCTCAGATTAGATGAGAAGGCTATTATTTTATTTCAGATTGAGGATTGGCTCTTTTGAAAGCTAATACCCATCCCTTGCTCTTTGGGCCCTACATTTACTTACAGAATGAAAAAGTGCCCTAAATCCAGCCTCCGGGACGTTATTATATAAATACACTCACACAGATGGGACCAAAAACTGAGTTTTATCATATAAGGTTTTTTGTTTTTTTTTAATTAACTTATTTTTTGCAACGGGATCTTGCTTTGTCGCCCAGGCTAGAGTGCAGCAGCACGATCACAGCTCACAGCAACATTAAATTCCTGGACTCAAGTGATCCTCCCACCTCCAGCCTTCTGAGTAGCTGACACTACAAGTGTGCGCCACCGCACTGGCTAATTTTTTAAAACTCTTTTTAGAGACGGGGTCTTGCTATGATCCCCGGGCCATTCTCCAATTCCTGGCCTCAAGTGATCCTTCCATCCTTCTCCCACAGTGCTGGGACTACAGGCATGAGCCACCTTGCCCAGTCGGTTTCCTAACTGTGTCTTTTTACATTTGTTATTAACTCAGAGAAATGTTTACATTGGTAGATAGAAATCTATTTCATTCTTCTTAATGGCTATATTGTACATAGTGTAGATATATGGAATTCCTACATTTATTAACTGACCTCTGGTGGACAGTTAAAATATTTCAAATTGTTGGCTATTATTAACAGCATCTAACAAACATCTGTTCAGAAAGATCTACAAAATTGCATGATTATCAGCTACGATAAATTCCTACAAGTGAATCTGCAGTCAGAGAACATTAGAACTTTCCCTGGGCAGCCCGTGCCCTCCAGTTAGGGTGTCCATCCCTCCACAACAGTGTGGGAAGCTCTTCCTTCCCTCAGACTGGCCAAAACCACGGCATTATCAGATCTCAGTGTGCACAAAGCTCTGAGCATGCACAAACATGAGTCCTAACGTATGAATGGGGAGGTCCACCTCACGAGCAGAACTTAGTACCAAGCCTGTCCTTCACAGCTGGTTCTTACAGGACAGGAATTGTACTGCTGTAAGTGATAAGTCTTCCTTAGGAATGTTTCAGGTTGTTTTTATACTGGTGCCAGAATCGCCCCAATGCCTCCACGCCCTCACACAAAGCTCCTCTAACCCATACGCATCAACTCAGATGGTGGGTGAGGTGGCCATGCATGGGATGAGATAAAGGAATTCTATAAGGCAAGCCCATCTTCTCATCTCTGTGGCCCCACACCTCCTATGGTCCTAGCACACACTGAGCACTTTATAAACATTTGCTGATTGAAAGAATGAGACATGGCACACAGGCCTTACCAGCGCAGCCCACTATTGTACAGCACTGCATTCTCATTCCTGGTTTCCAATCTGTTACTGCTATACTGAGAGCACCCCGACATCAGGGCTACTTCCTACTCCCAGCACCTGGCTCCTGACAGCTAGTGAAAAGAACTTGTCTAGCCACCCAAACCAACAGAGAAGTGAACCTGTTTCTGACAACAGGCTATGAAAACGGCAAGACATTCATGATACAACCTTTTGTATTCAGCTAACTGTTCCTTGGCCCAGCAAATTAGTAACTTACCTGTGAGTCTTTAACCTTTAATTCTGTGTCAATAATAGACACAGACTGCACATTTCTGGTCAAAAAAGGTTCATCAAACTCAGTCCATGTGTAATCACCAAACACAATATTATGTCTGTTGAGTAGCTTTCTAACACTCAGGTTTATGTCTTCTTTCTTTGCAGTGCTAAAAAAAGAAGCCAAAACACACATAAATGATCTTAGTTCAAAAACAAAATGTTAAAATGAAGTGTTTTGAAAAACTCAGACAATACATAAGAAAGCCCAGTAGTTAACAGGGTAAGTTGGAGTTGGCCTGCCTGGGACCAAATCTAGAGCCACCCCTTGCCTGTGGGTCCTCTACCAGCTGTGCCCTGAAGAAGCTGTGCCTCAGCTCCCAGTTAGAAAAAGGGGACAACAGTAAGAGTTCTCGCTATGCTGGGCTACTGTGAAGTCATTAATACACTCAAAGTGTTTAGGACGATACCTGGCACATAGTAAGCACGCAATAATGTTGGCTTTCACTATTACTAATGAAGTTCCACAGCTGTGGGGTCAGGCCTGGGGTCTGCATTGTAACAAGTCTCCAATAGCCGTGATTCGTGCTGAGAAAATCTAATGCTTTCAGCTTGGTATCCAGGGCTTCCCTTGGTCCCCCTTGCTGCAGTCCTCCTAACACCTCCCCTTTCTACAACAGTGACCTGGTCCCGGATCACACCTCTGTGCCCTGCTATGCACTGTCCCAGCTTACTGGCCTGATCAACTGCAGTCACCCTCTAAGTCCTATTCAATGTCTGCCTCCCTCTGAGCCCTCCTGGACAGGCTCCTCAGAGCCAGGCAGGTGACATGTGGCCCCTTTGCAATCGTCCCAGCACCCTACAAGCAGCGACCACCATGCATAGTGCGGTTGTGTGCAGGTGTCTATGAACTCTGGTGCAGTTGTACGTAGGTGTCTGTCCTCTAGGTGCAGCTGTGCTCTGGTGTGATTATGCCTAGCGTCTCTGGGCCCAGGTGTGGTTGTACATGGGGTGTCTCTAGGCTGCGGTGGCACTGTGTACAGGTGTCTCTGAGCGCTAAGGTGTTTACACAGGTGTCGCCAGGCTGTGATGGGGCTTTGTGCAGGTGTCTCTGGGCCCTGGTGCAATTATGCTGACGTGTCTGAACTCCAGCACCTAGAAAATACCCAGTCAACAGCTATTCTGTTAAAGGAAAGGTCTCTTCCTCTGCATCCCCTCTGAGGCTGGTGGTCTCACCTGACCTCAATCCACCCTCCGTGGACATAAGGAGGGTCTGTGAAGGTCTGGCCCCGCCGCTGAGTTCCCCCCACTCCAGGGAGCAGCACAGCCCACAGGCCCCACCATACCATGAACTGACTTGGTCACAAATGAGTGGGATGTGCTTTGAACCCTAAAAATTTAACATCGAGTCCGTGAGGAACGGGAACAATTAAAGGGTCTGAGAAGCAGTGGCTCAAAGAATAACCACCCAGCTTTCGGCTGAGACTAGAGCTCTCTGTAATGCGCAGCCATCCTATTCTCCAACGTGGGACTCAGGGCCACATCAATGCACTGGAGGACAGCCGGGGCAGGGGCAGGGTCAGGGCCAGGTCCGTGAGCTGAGGTCGGGTCGGGGCTCAATCTGTGAGCTGGGGTCCTGCGCGCAGGGCTCGGGTCGGCCGGGTCAGTGCCCTGCGGTGGGGTCGCGTCATTGCGCTAGGATCCGGTCGGGGCCCGGCGGCCTGTGCGCCCGGGTCCAGTCGGGCCGGATCAGTACCCTGGGGTTCGGTCGCATCAGAATCAGTGCGCTGGGGTCGGGGCTCGGTGCACGCGCTGGGGTCGGGGCGGGTGGGTGCCCAGAGGATGTGTCGGACAGGTCCGGCTCACCTGCTGCCGCGCTGATGCACCTCCACGTGGACCGTTGGCGACTCGGCCACACAGGGAAGCGCCTGCTTCAGGTCGCCCACGGCCTCGTCCATGGCGCCCCCGAGAGCAGTGGGGACCCAACCAGGGCGCGGCCGCCGCCACCTCACGCCCAGCGTCGCCGCCACAGCCGCTGCCTCAGCCCGCGGGCCCCGCCCTAGCTTCGAATCTGCCGCGCGAGGCGCACCACCTCCTGACCCGGAAGCGCTCGGGCCCGGCAGGGCCACTTCCTGCCGCGGCCCCGCCTCGCCCCGTTTCCGGCGCGGCCCAGCGAGCTCGGCAACCTCGGCGCAGCGAGCGCGGGCGGCCAGCCAGGGCCAGGGGGCGGTGGCGGCCAAGGTCCGACCGGGTGCCAGCTGTTCCCAGCCCCCGCCTCGGGCCCGCCGCCGGCGCCGCCATGGGCAAGAAGCACAAGAAGCACAAGGCCGAGTGGCGCTCGTCCTACGAGGGTGAGGCGGCGGCGCTTTGTGACGCGCGGCGGGCGGGGTCCCGGGCACGGGGGAGGAGTTCCGGGCACGCGGACGGGGGTCCTGGGCACCGGGCGAGGTCCTGGCCACGAGGGAGGGGTTCTGGGCACGCGGGAGGGGGTCCTGGGATTTCGGGCAGGGAACCGGGCACACGTGAGGGGTCCTGGGTAGGCGCTTACGTTCCTGGTAGAGGGTTCTGGGTTCGAGGCTGCAAGCCCACTCACCCCGGTCCTGGAGACTAGGGAAGCATCTGTGCTGGCTTTTGTGTGGAGCTCAGGGAGAAGCTGGGCTGCCCTTTCTCCCGCCTTTCCCTCCCTCTCCCTTGCTCCCGCAGCAGCTCCATGGGTGTCAGCGGGCAGCACGGGCGCCTGCAGGAAGTCAGGCGAGGGTGAACCGAAGTGCTGGGGGTTTCTAGGAGGGAGATCGGGCTCCGGGGTTCCAGGTCCCTCTTAATCCATCTTCTTGAACGAGTAATGTGAACAACATCCCACAGGGCCTCTGGTGAGGACACCGTGGCTCGAAAGGGACCTGAAGCTCCCTGCGGAGGGGAAGGGAGAACAAGGAGGCAGTGACATGCCGCCACTGTGGTCTTCCCTTCCGTCTTTCCCTGCTGGTTGGCAGCCCCGCTGTACTCCTTAGGGAGGCCTTTCCCTCTTAGCACCTTCACGTCTCACCTGGCTGCGTGGCGTTTGCACCTGAGCACGCGGGTAGAACTCGGTCTGTGTCTGTGCAGATTATGCCGACAAGCCCCTGGAGAAGCCTCTAAAGCTAGTCCTGAAGGTCGGAGGAAGTGAAGTGACTGAACTCTCAGGATCCGGCCACGACTCCAGTTACTATGATGACAGGTCAGACCATGAGCGAGAGAGGCACAAAGAAAAGAAAAAGAAGAAGAAGAAGAAGTCCGAGAAGGAGAAGCATCTGGACGATGAGGAAAGAAGGAAGCGAAAGGTAAAGGAGCAGCGGCGGTGGCCCGGACGCTGCCCACGAGGAGCCCGTGGGGAGCCTGGTCCCAGGACCCAGGCAGAGTGCGCCTGCGTGGCTGGAGGAGGGGAGGGGGTGTTCCGTTGGTAGCAAAACGCGAACCGCTGAGGCCCGCAGACTCAGTTCCAGGATCCTGGGTGTGCTGTTCCTCAGCAGACCCTGCCAGGGTCTCTGTGAGGAGGGAGCCTGGCATGAGGAGGATCTCGGAGGGGGTTTCCCTTAGTTCTGTCCCTCCCCTGAGAACTGCGAGGGGATTGGGCAGACCTGTCCGGATCCCGCCTACTCCTGCCTTTCTCACTCCCTTGACTCTGCCGCCCAGGAAGAGAAGAAGCGGAAGCGAGAGAGGGAGCACTGTGACACGGAGGGAGAGGCTGACGACTTTGATCCTGGGAAGAAGGTGGAGGTGGAGCCGCCCCCAGATCGGCCAGTCCGAGCGTGCCGGACACAGCCAGGCAAGGGTGCACTTTTAGAGACTCTCCTGGTGTTCACAGCTCATCGTTGTAAATGAGGGGTCGGCACCGTGTCCTGTTGCTTTGGGGAGAAGCATGGGAGGGAGGAGAGCTGGTATTTCCAGGGCCTCATCCCAGGTGTCCTCTGGCCTGAGGTTTCCTCCGGTGTCTCTGAATGTCTAGAGCAAGGCGTGGCCAGTTACCACTGGTGCCCTTCAGTTTTGTTTTTTAACTTGTTAGCTAAGGATGGCTTATATGTTTTTTAAGCGTTCATAAAAAGAAACAAAAAGGCATCTCCACAGAGACCAATCGTATGTGACCCGCAAAGCCTAGACTGTTTTTTGTCTGGCCTTTATGTAAAAAGTTTGCCAGCCCTGGGTCTTGAAGTTTGGTTTTGTTTGCACTTAAGACAGTATTGGAACAGTAGCCCCATCTGGGTCAGACTGGTAAGAGAGATGCATGTCAGTGAAAACGCAGGTAATTCCCCTTGGGAAGAAGGGACCTCGAGGCCCAAATGGTGGGTCTGAAGTTGCTGAAAGTGACCATAGGCTGAGACAAAGGAAGCTGGAGGCCTTTAGTAGAATCTCTGTCGTGGGCACCATCTGCGAAGGATGGCATTTGGCTGGAATTTCCAGTTGACAAGGACTTGCCCTCTGAGTTCTCTTTGTCCCCAGCCTTCCTGTGCACAACTCACAGTGATGAGGCATTTGTACCTAAGACAAGGGGTGTCTCTTCCCAGCAACTCTCAGCATCCAGTGGTTCCTGGATTATAGGGAAACAGACGGCTGGGCTTTGGGACATGGGACATCAGGGAGTGGGGAGGCTAGTGCTGCGATCATTCAGGCCGTCAGAAACTGTCTGAGGCCTGCTGGCTCCACTGAAGGAAAGTTCTGGAAAGCTGGTGGCCTTCTGAGCTCCTGTGGTCATTTGGCTCTTCAGGCACTTTCTTTTTTTAATTTATTTTTGAAACATGGTCTTGCTGTGTCGCCTAGGCTGGAGTGCAGTGTCGTGATTCACTCCTGGGCTCAGATAACCCTGGGCTCAAGCGATCCTCCCACCTCAGCCTCCCAAGTTGCTGGGACTACAGGCACGCACCACCACGCCGGCCATTTATTTACTTTTTGTTGAATTTTAAGGGACCTCAAGTGAAATAATAATCGGTGAATTCAGGATCAACCTTTATGTCCAGAGCGTTTGTTCCGTCGTCCATTTCTTGTCTAGAGTAGTGGTATGAGCTGAAAACATTGCTAAGTGATCACCACATATTGTTGATGTAAGGGCTACCGGTTATTACAAGAGATTTTTATGACTCCTGCTGTGGGGGTGCCCTTTCTACCCGGCTGAGCTTGGTGGGAGCCAAGGCTGAGTCGGATGTATCTTTATATCCCCAGTTCTCGGTGGAACTTAAAATGCTGTGAGACACCAGACAGACAGATACTGTGAACTTGGAGCTCTCTAATGAAGGGATACCAAAGTCTTGTATTCAATTTTTTTTTCCTTAAATTGTCAGCCGAAAATGAGAGCACACCTATTCAGCAACTCCTGGAACACTTCCTCCGCCAGCTTCAGAGGTAAACCGGGGCGTTTCTGAAGAGCTAGTGTCTGGGGGGGTGTGGTGTCATCTTTTCTGAGGCCTTATTCCCCACGCCAGCCTCGTCAGCTGTGAAACAGACCCTGCACCTTCTCTTGGTGACTCCCAGTCCACTTCGGGGTGCGTAGGAAGAGTTCATGAACTCATTAGTGGCTCACTCTGAAGTCAGAGTAGAGTGAGGGAAGTCAAGGCTAGAGCTGGGACATTGATGGCCGCCAGGATGCGTTGGGGGAATTTTTATTATATCTGAAATACCTATCACAATAAATTAAAAGACGCTCGTAACTTTTTTATTTTTAAGAAACAAAATTCGGTCAGTTGTATCCAATTTTTGGATTGTAAGAGATTTTGTATCATTTAGAAATCTAGATTTTTCCGCTTTAAGATGTCTTTGCTTTCAGAAAAGATCCCCATGGATTTTTTGCTTTTCCTGTCACGGATGCAATTGCTCCTGGATATTCAATGATAATAAAACATCCCATGGATTTTGGCACCATGAAAGACAAAATTGTAGCTAATGAATACAAGTCAGTTACGGAATTTAAGGTAAGTTACTTTCATTGCCCGAAGTAATCGTGGCATAGTTCTGTGTATTCATGTCTTGTGAAGACTTCATTCACCTTAGATCATTTCTAGTTTTTGAGCTTTCACAGGTGTTTCTGTGTTCGGATGATGTTTTACAGACACAGCATTAAGGAAATGATTGGTCGTGAACGTTTTCTCTGTGCTTTGGTCTAGAAACTAGGTCAGGTTGCACGCTGTTAGAAGTCTGTTTCTTTTCTTTCTAAGTTACTGCGCTGGCGTAAATAGGACATGTTGTTTCAAGCAGTGAGGTGTCCGGTGTGGCACGGCTTGAGACTAGACATTTTTAAAAACATACTTCTTTTTAATTCTTAGTTTTGTCTTACACTAATTGAGCATTTAGTTTTTTTAGCATAGTAAGTTTTTCTGTCTCCTGAGTACTTTGCTCTTAGCTCTGTTTCTTGCTACTGGCTGTGAGAATTAGCAACTGCTCATTGGTTTTGCAACCCAGGGGAAGAAAGCAAAACAAATGCTTGATAAAGTTGGCATTAGTGTAGTTTAGAAAGGCATTAGATTTCTCTCTTAGGTTCCATTCCCCTGGGGAAAGCTTGACTTTTCTATTTTATGCTTACTGAAGGGTTTGCTGACTCACAGAAACACAACAGAACAGACTTAAAGGAGAGTGGGAGAAAAGGAAACTCGATGAGAGGATCAGGCAGCGCCTGAGGGTAGATGTTAAGAGCACTCCATGCCCGAAAGCCCTCTGTATTCCCTGCTTCGGGCCCCAGTCTGGCCATTCCTAGCAACAAAGTGAGAAGGGGAGCAGCATTCACTCCGTGGAGTGTCCGCAGTGGAGTCTTCAGGGGAGGGGCTCCACAGCCTCGGGCCGGGCCCTAGGGCTGCTGGCTCTGGAACCGGGACTTGGGGAGGGTCCAGATGGCACGTTCTCAGTTAGGGTGGCCGGCCTCCGGGGTCATGCTCCAGCCTGACGTTGGTACTCACCTTTGAGAGGCCTGTGCTGAGGAAACTGGCCTCTCATAATAAAATACTGATGCTTCCGTATTTTCACCATAAATTACAAAATAAGGTTGTCCTTTTGTGGGGCAAAGTCTTTTTCTAGTAGTTTGAGGGAACCATTTGGTGACAGAATTTTAAATTCGATTCTGTGGAGAAATTCTAGAGATAGAGGCTATCACTGTGCCGCACGCCTGCCTTCATCCCTTGACTTGCACTTGAAAGAATCGGGTCGTTGCTTCTCGTTCCTGTTTATGTTCTGGAGAAATGCAAGAAGCGCAGGAAACGCTTTTTCCTCACACAGCATTTGTATGTGATGCTTAGAAAGAAGTTACAGGCTTGGCCAACTGTTTGCTGTAATATTTTTCATGCAAGACCAATGTGCAACTAAGAAAACTTCTCTTAAGTTCTTAAACGTTATGTTTAGATCAGAGAGCCCAGTTGAATTGTTTTCTACTCGATTGTAGCTTTTTCCTTTTGGTCTCTTGGTAGTCATCTAGAGCTTTGCTGTTGTCTGTGGCATTTCAAACCTGATAAGTCTTTCCTGTTTTCTTTTCAGGCAGATTTCAAGCTGATGTGTGATAATGCAATGACATACAATAGGCCAGATACCGTGTACTACAAGTTGGCGAAGAAGATCCTTCACGCAGGCTTTAAGATGATGAGCAAAGTAAGAAACTCACTGGCAGCAGCGAGCTACGGAAAGCAGGGGCTCTGCCCCCCGTCGCTTGTGCCCGAAGGGAGCCTCACAGTGAACACGTGCTCCATCCACCCGCCACCCTCATGGTGTTGCCCCCTTTGCTCTAGGGTAGACGTCCCCGGCCGCCCTCTCTGCTCATGACCTAGCTGTAACATCTCATTGAGGGTTGGTGGAAAGTTCCGCATCTCTTGATCTTAAGCCTGGGTGTCAGGTGTCAGTCTTGCTGGATGGCAGCCAGCATTGCGGGCTTGTTTTGCGTGACTGCCTCACTGAATCCAGACGGGACATCCTTGTCTTCCTTGGCCATCCTGAGTGGCTTCCCAGATCTGTGCCGTGAGCCAGGCTGCATGCATCCCACGTAGGAGAAGGTAAAGGGGAGGTGCGGCACCTGCCGCGCTCTGGCGGTGGGTCAAGCCCCCACAACCACCTCCCGCTGCTCCGCCGTGGAAAGTTAGCTCTTAGGCCAGGTGAGGCTGTGACCATCCCCATCCCATCCCATCGTCACGGCACCCTGGCTGTGAGGGAGAGGTAAATCCCTGCTGCTCTGTCCTTTCTGATTCTAGGAGCGGCTGTTAGCTTTGAAGCGCAGCATGTCGTTTATGCAGGACATGGATTTTTCTCAGCAGGCAGCTCTTTTGGGCAATGAAGATACAGCTGTTGAGGAACCTGTCCCTGAAGTTGTACCAGTACAAGTAGAAACTGCCAAGAAATCCAAAAAGCCGAGTAGAGAAGTTATCAGGTAAAGGTTCTGTGGAAACCACATTTGCTTTTGGAGTTGAGCACCATAGCCAGGAAAGCAGGTGCCTTGTAGGGGAGAGTGAGTGAGTGAGAGAACGGATGTCATGTCACATAGACATTCTTGGTGTAGCTTATTCTGGCAGGAGGAGTGTGGCCAGACAGCCCCTCCTGCCCACCGGCCACGTGCACTCTCTGACCCAGGTGTGGTACCCAAGCCCGTCCGATCACCCCTGCCCCCAACTGCTAGTGACTGGTGGTCTCTGTCTCTACACGCCGTTAAGATCATTGGCCCCTCCCTCCCCTGCACAGCGCCTGCCGGCAGCCAAGGCTGTGCCCTTGTCCCAGACTGTGCCGCACAAGCGGGCTGACTTTGGGCAGCCAGCATTGGCAGGGGGCTTCTTTGTTGCTGTGGGGCAGATGCACACTCCTGAACTGCTCGCTTCTGTGTCTGTGTAGACGCTGGAGTGGAGCAGGTGCAGGCCTGTGGTCAGGAAGGTGTGGATGCTGCGGGGGAAGCAGGTGAGGACTGCAGGCCACAGCTCCCTGTAGCTCTGCTCCCTCCCACAGGGAGCAGCCGACTTGGCTGGTCCTTCAGGGAACCTTCTTCCTTTTTTTCTAAACCCCAGAGTGGTTTTCATGGGGGCTCTTTGTCTCATGGTGGCTGAGCATTGAGATTGTATCAAAGTCCGTATCACACGTCATTCCTGTAGACGCTCCTCCACCTATGTGAGGTGGCTGCCTGATAGGACCAAACAAAGCGAGAGTATCGCCAGGGGCCTTAGAGGCACCAAGAGCACTTAACATAGCCTGCAGCGGGCAGAAGCGCCTGGCACAGAGCCTGCTTCATCACGTGTCACTTGCTGAGTGCAGGCCCCAGAGAGCGCAGTCTCAGGACATCCACCCTCATGGCCGTGTGTCTGACAGCACTGTGGCTCGCGGTCTTCCCAGTATCCTGAGAGGACTGGCCTGTTGCCATCCTGGGGACAGATCAGATTTGAAGGATGGTTTCTGCTGAAGTGTATTGCTTTTGTGCCATCTTGTGGGAAGTCAGGGACCGTCTGGAGTTGGTACTGAACGTCCTTGAGGCAATTGTGATGGTCACGGCCCTCCATTGTTTGTTTCCTTCTCACATGTGTATGGGACTCACGTGGATTTAACAGGTGGGGCGGCAGCGGTGCTGGGCTCGGTGCTTCTGCTCTGAGCAGCTCCCTCCAACCGTCAAAAGGGAGAGTGGTCTTGAGACCAGCCCCTCAGGTCCTGCAGCCTTGGCTTAGGAGACAGGGTGCGCTGCGTGGCCAGAGTGTGTTGCTTGGCAACGGACGACAGTCCCCTAAGGCGGTCTCCCCACGTGCGTTGCATTTCCCACCCCGCTGCCGTGTGAACACTCACTGCGTGGTTGGCTGGTGGCTGTGTCCGGCCTCAGCCCCCGACTCGAGTGTGCTGCTGGCCTTCAGGGGTCGGGGTTTCATGGCCGCCCTTTGCCGCCTCATGGTGACTGAGCATCGAGGGGGAATTGAAGTTGGTGCTGGTCAGCATGCTCAGCTGCGGTGGGGTTGTGTCCTGGCAGACCCACCCCAGGTTGGTTTTGGGTGTCTCTGGTGCTGCAGCTTCACCCTTGCCTGTGGGATCCAGGCCCTTTAGATGGATCCCCAGCTGTCAGTCTGCAGGCAGGAGAGCGTGCCGAGCTCAGGCAGTCACCTTCACCTAGTGTCACAGCAGTGCGCATCGGTAATGGGCTCACGCAGGTGCCTGAGTGGAGCCCCTCCCTGCGGAGCTCATGGGGCTGTGACTCCTGTGTAGGGTTGCCAGGTTGTCACTGTAGGTCAGGCAAGGGCAGGGCCGCTCTCATGGGCAGGGCTTGTCCTGGGCCTGCACCTGGCCCTAGGCCACTCAGACCCATGCCCAGGCAAGTGCCCAGGGTGGGAAGGAGCCCACTCGCTTGCTTCTAGAACCTTCCACACTCCTTGGGTGCTACAGCCTGTGCCCCTCAGCTGTTGGAGAACTGCTTCAGGTGGAACCTGGGACCACTTGCTGACGTCCTTGTGTGTTCTTTGTGCCACCCAGTGGCCACAGCAGAGGGGGCTGCTGTCCACCCAGCCCAGCAGCACCAGACCACACCCGAGCAGCCCCGCCTATCCTGCCTTGCTGTGAACCCTGCGTAGTCAGGGGTGGCTTTTCCAGTCACTTTTCTGATGGGGCCTTTAATAACTAACCAGTGTGGGCATCTGTTACTTTGTTGCTTTTGTTGCTAAAGCACTTTAACTGAGTTTGCACTGCGTTGAAAAATAGGAAGTCTGTCTACTTGGCTTACACTTACCCTTTATTTTAATAAAAGTGTCTTAATTTGTCATTTGGTTAGGGTGAAAAGGGATGCTTTGAGACCTAAAAGGAGTTAAGTATGCTCTGCCAGCTCTGTGTCTGAGGGCAGGGTCGGTAGAAGCTGGGTTAGGTGCCGACGCATGGGGAGCAGGTGTGCGGTGGGGACGCTGCCTCCAGGTGACTTGGTTGTCCCCACCTCACAGCTGCATGTTTGAGCCTGAAGGGAATGCCTGCAGCTTGACGGACAGTACCGCAGAGGAGCACGTGCTGGCGCTGGTGGAGCACGCAGCTGACGAAGCTCGGGACAGGATCAACCGGTTCCTCCCAGGCGGCAAGGTAGTGCTCTGTGGCCACCGAGAGAGGGTGCCACGTGGCCCCAGACTCTCTGTGTGCCTCTCCTTCTGGGTTGGTGCTGTGTGATCTAGCACAGCCACCGGGATCCAGAGGTCAGCGTGGGGCCCTGACGGGAGGTCCGGATCAGACACACATAAGGCTGGTCTCTTCAGTCGGGGTCCAGGTGCCTCTGGCAGGGCTGCCGCTGGTGTTTCATGCATCGTGGAGGCCACGTGGTCACTGACCTCATTTCCTTGATGGAGGCCCTGCTGCAGGCTAATCCTTTCTCTTGGAGTGAATGCTGACTTCTGTGTCTCTGTCACTGGGTGTTGACGTGAGGCACCGCCCTTGTTATTCCAGTGGGGGTGCTGGTGTTGGATCCGACAGATGGTCCATAATAGGCCACCGACTGTGTTCACGTGGCTCCTGCCACAGATGGTCTTTGTGGTGGTGGGGCCCACTCAGCTGACCACGCTCTCCTTTCTGGCAGGAGACGTTCTAGACCCAGTGTCTTCAGTGGAAACAGAGCACAGGCTGTCTGCAGTCTCAGGCTTCCTAGCAGCCCTGATAAGAGAAGTAGAGCAATGCAGGTGACATTAATCCTTGCAGGTTTCATTTCACCTCTATATCCAACATTTTATCTCAACATGTAGTCTGTAGAAAACGTTAATTTGAGCTTTATGGGTTTTTTTCATATTAAGTCTTCAAAATGCACATGGGATGGGATGTAAAGAACGCTGAAGTGGGGGCATTTCAGAGGTGTCTGCTGCTTTTTGCCTGTGCCTGCTGGGAAGTTGCAGTGCTCTGTGTGGCTTGCGTGTTGCGAGGTTGCGGTCTGCGTGGCTCACGTGTTGGGAGGTCGTGGTCTGCGTGGCTCACGTGTTGGGAAGTTGCAGTGGTCTGTATGGCTTGCGTGTTGGGAGGTTGCAGTCTGTGTGGCCCGTGTGTTGGGAGGTTGTGGTCTGCGTGGCTTGTGTGTTGGGAGGTTGTGGTTCACGTGGCTTGCATGTTGGGAAGTTGCTGTGGTCTGCGTGGCTTATGTGTTGGGAGGTTGTGGTTTGTGTGGCTTGTGTGTTGGGAGGTTGCAGTCTGCGTGGCTCGTGTGTTGGGAAGTTGCTGTGGTCTCTGGCTTATGTGTTGGGAAGTTGCTGTGGTTTGCGTGGCTCGTGTGTTGGGAGGTTGCAGTTTGCGTGGCTTGCGTGTTGGGAAGTTGCTGTGGTCTGTGTGGCTTATGTGTTGGGAGGTTGTGGGTTTGTGTGGCTCAAGTGTTGGGAGGTTGTGGTCTGCGTGGCTCACGTGTGGGGCGGTTGCTTGGCTCGCCTGTTGGGAGTTTGTGGTTTGCATGGCTTGTGTGTTGGAAAGTTGCTGTGGTCTGTGTGGCTTATCTGTTGGGAGGTTGTGGTTTTTGTGGCTTGCGTGTTGGGGGGTTGTGGTCTGTGTGGCTCACGTGTTGGGAGGTTGTGGTCTGCGTGGCTCACGTGTTGGGCAGTTGTCTGCTTGGCTCACGTGTTGGGAAGTTGTGGTCTGCGTGGCTCATGTGTTGGGAAGTTGTTTATGTGGCTTGTGTGCTGGAGGTTGTGGCCTGCGTGGCTCACGTGTTGGGCGGTTGTCTGCTTGGCTCATGTGTTGGGAAGTTGTGGTCTGCGTGGCTTGTGTGTTGGGAAGTTGTTTATGTGGCTTGTGTGCTGGAGGTTGTGGTCTACGTGGCTTGCACTGTAGTTCTTTTGGACAGCCTTGTTCTGCAGTCTGTGTTTCAGCCCTGGAATTGCCACATTCTCCAAGAAGCCCTGGTTTCTTGACTAGAGAGCCTTGTGTAGAAGCCAGGACCTGGGTTCTGGGTGAAGCCCTCTGCAGATAGAGCTGGGAGATGCCTGTTGTGTGTGTCTGCACCACATACATGGACACTGTGCAGAGGGATTCTGTTGGCACCTGTGTTTACATGGGTTGAAAACTGTTTTTACACGGAAACTTCCAGTTCCCTCGTGCCCCGTGGGTTCCGCCCACTTCTTCCCTTTCAGTTTTGTATCTGCGCCGTGAGGACTTGTCTCCTAATCTTCGTATCAACTCCGTGTCCCATTGAGCTGACCTTCCGCCTCTCCCCCAGGGCCCTGGCCATCCTGTGGGCTCTGAGACTTTGCATGGATCCGCGGTGGGGAGCTGCCCCCACACAAACGTCCGGCTCTTCTCAGGCCAGGTGGCTGCCCTGACATGGCATGATGTCCAGCGCATGGACGTCACCCTTGCACTGGAGCCCAGCCAACCGCTGCATGACAGCCCTCTTCCCCCTTGAACCCCAAGTCTGCACACACCAGTGCCTCCTCTTCCTGGATCCTCCTGATGGCCTGTACACAGAACTGGGGTGTGGGTGGTGGGTTTTTAAATGAAAACCAGTCCACACATGCTTGAGGGCTGGAGCCGCCTGCCGTCAGGGCAGTGCCATGCTGACCTGCTGACCGTTCCATTTTGTCAAGGCTCATGAGCAATTTTAAATGTTTACTCGTGGGTGAAGGTTTTTGTTTCAGCTGTACCCCCTATAGCAGGGCCATGGGGAGCCTAAGAGGTTCTCCTTGGCACCTGTGCGCGCTCTGCTGTTGCCGGTGAGTCTGAAATTCCAGGGAATGCCGTGAGGGGCCCTCTGGCGTTTGTTCTTGGACAAATGTGCTTTCACCCCCATTAAGCCCTGCTTGTTGGTCTTCATTTCATTTGTGCTGCGCTGCCCCTCCTGAGGGACAGACGCTCAGGCAGTGCTTCCTTCCAGATGGGCTATCTGAAGAGGAACGGGGACGGGAGCCTGCTCTACAGCGTGGTCAACACGGCCGAGCCGGACGCTGATGGTGGGTGCCCGCTCAGGGCTGGCTTTATGCTCTCCGTACACTGCTTTTTGGGCCTCCGTTGATATTCTGTAATGAAAAGCTGAGCCATGGCCATGGGGCAGCATGAGAGGCTGCCCGGCTTCCCGACCTTGCTCGCACCCCAACGTGACACGTGCGCTGAGTGGAGGTGTGGACGGCCATCTCGCGGGGCGGGGGTGCTGGTCAGACCTCGGTCAGGGCTCCTTGGGAGCAGCGGGACTCGAGCCATGTTCCTGAAAAGCTGCCGAGAGGCCTTTAAGGCCAAACCTCACTAGCATCAGGAAGGGTTCACATCCCGAGCTCAGTCTTCAGCAAAGACCAGAGTGCTGGCCCACCCTGCTCCTTGAATCTGGAAAGCAGTCTTAGAAGAGCTGTTAGATGATGACGTCAGGACAGTGTTGAAGGATGGTGCACACTAGGCCTGTCCAGCCCGTCAGGGGCACTTTGTTGGCCTGGAAGTAATTAAGAGGCTTGTCCTTTGAACGAAAGTGTGATCACTTGGGTTTGAAACGCACTCGCGGGCTCGCGTGAGGAACGTGCAGCCTGGCACGGGTTGCCTCTAGATTCCTGCTTCCCTCGCTCTCACCCTCATGCCTGCTGGTGGTCTTTCACCCAGCTCCACCATGCCAGCGTGGTTTTCTCCAGTGTGTGAAGGATAGAAACGGGCTGATCTATATAATCTTCAGCTTATTTTCCTAAAGAGGATGGACCGTTGATCCATATTTAGCTTATGAGAGTGTTGAGACCGAGGCAGCGGTTGGGAACTGAGGAACTCCTGCTCTGATCCCATGAGTGGTGTGTGGGTGGTGACTTGAGCATGGCAGACATGCTGTCAGATGCACGCGCTCCAGGTACACGCCACCGTTTCGCTGTTAGAACACGCAGGACAAGATTTCTTCTTGGAGTTGTTGAGTGATCCATTTGAAAATGTTCTCAAAGTATTGCTGGTGTGGTGGCCAAAGATGTGGTATTTTTTATTGTGTTGACTTTGGGGTGATAAAGAAATGAAATTGAAATGCAGTTAGTTTTGAGAATGGTAGTTGGCTTTTGCAAATTTGTTTTCAGGTGATCATTATAAAATCCCCCCACCTGCACCAATCACATCCACTGTGATGTGGAGAAAGGGCTCATGGCACTGCACTGGGGCACCGCGTTGGGGTCACACCTGCCACTCACGGCCCGCCATGTCCGTGTTGCAGAGGAGGAGACCCACCCGGTGGACTTGAGCTCGCTCTCCAGTAAGCTACTCCCAGGCTTCACCACGCTGGGCTTCAAAGACGAGAGAAGAAACAAAGGTAAATCCATAGTCCCGTCCCAGGAGCCAGCCGGAGCAGGGAAGGTGGCAGGGGTTTAGTGGAGTGATGGCAAATGCTGCTGATTCGTACTTCAGAGTTTCCTCACTGTACCTGGATTCATGTTTTCACATGGGTAAGATTGAGATCAGTTACAGTGACAGGAATGAAACTCGTGTTGGATGGGGACACACACAGCGGGCACCTTGGTTGCATCACTGGACTTCACCTTGGTCAGTGTTTTGGGGTCCTTGTGTTTCTGTCCCTGTCGCATTACAGAACATCCCTTCAGGGGTCAGAATGTGTGGCCCCTGGGCCTTGGGTCTGGCCTGTGTGTTCTCTCCATCTGCACTGCTGCCTCCTGGCTGCGCTGCTGCTGGGACCTCCTGCATGGCCCCACCCTCCACTTCTCCACCTCTGCTGGGTCCCTCCCATGCAGACAGCTGCATGGACACTGCTCCTGCCGGCCCTTTCTGCCTCAGCCACTCACACCATCTGCTAATGGGACAGCTCACTCTTCCCTCCAAACCATGGCCTTGGCTCAAGAGCTTCCTTGTTTCTGGAATGTTCTTTCCTCCAGCTCCAGGTGTTGAAATTCTGCCTGGTCTGGGTCTCCTGTTGAAGGACGCCCTCCACTGGGAAGGATCCTCTTGCCTTCACCACTTGTCTTCACCAGCCCCTGCTCCCCTCTTCCTCTTGGGGCTGTTGTGGTTGTTGATACTTTTTTTTTGTTGTGTTTGACACACATCTTCTTCTCACCCTCTAACACAGTTCTCAACCACAGCACTTTTGTCCCTGGAGATGTTGGCAGTGTCCAGAGGCGTGTTGATGGTCCCACTGGGGTTGGGGGTGCTGCTGGCACCAGATGGTAGGGAGATGCCAGGGGTGCTGCTCCACACCCTATGGGACACTGCACAGTACACCTGGCCTGTGTCCCCCACAGCGAGAGCTGGCCCTGGGCAGGCGTGGTCCCTGCGGTGTGTGTTGGTTGGGATCCTCCACAGTGACAGACGGTGCGCTCTGCCCACGTTTCCACACAGCTCTTTTGCTTGTGGAGCTCACCCCTTTGCAGAGAGCTCATTTCCCTGCGGTCTTTGGCCTGCAGAAGTAAAATGAGGGGTGGTGAATTACACCCCTGCTGGTTACACATGGAAAACTCAGGAGTGAGAATTTTGTGGAGAGCAAGAGAGGTGAGACTGGGGTGCTGGCTGCCAGCCAGGCGGTCCCTCAGCCCCTGGAGAAGCGGGGTGGGGCCTGCACACCGAGTCCTTCCAGTGAGTCCAGTGATGCTCTCTCCTCTTCCTCCCAGTCACCTTTCTCTCCAGTGCCACTACTGCGCTTTCGATGCAGAATAATTCAGTATTTGGCGACTTGAAGTCGGACGAGATGGAGCTGCTCTACTCAGCCTACGGAGATGAGACAGGCGTGCAGTGTGCGCTGAGGCAAGTGTCGGCCCCGGGGAGCCCTTGGCTGCTGTGCAGCTTGAGCTGTGCCCTGGTGTGGGACGTGGAGTCCCACATGTGTGCGGGTGGGGAGAGAGCCATCTTGCAGCCGTCCATATGGCAGCCTGGGTCTTCCCGTTGCTTTCAGTCATCCACACAGGTCTGCCACAGGCCAGTCCTGAAATCTGGGTAACTCAGTCAGAAGGTGGTGATCAGGGCGTAGCTTGTGAAGGGGTTGGGGGTGTGTTGAGCACACTGGATCGTATTGAATTGTGTTTCCTAAGTGACCGTGCTAGCTCAGGCTGCAGTGACAAAGCACCACAGACTGGGGTCTTATTCCTGGGGGCTGGCATTTGCCATGAAGGTGTGGGCAGGGCTGGTTCCTCCCGAGCCCTCTCTCCTGGGCCTGCAGGTGCCGTCTTTCCGTCTTTTCCCTGTGCCTTCCCGGGGCCATCCTGCGTGTGTCTGTGTCCTCGGCTCTCCTGGAGACCCTACCGTTCTCAAGGACCCTGGTCATATTGGATCAGGGCCACCCTAATGGCCTCATGTCACTGCAGTTACCTCTAAAGGCCGTTAAAGTCCCCAGCTCCAAGTATAATCACATTCCAAGGCACTGGGGTCGGGATTTCAACTTACGAACTCTGAGCGGGAGATACAATTCAGGCCATGGCAGGCTAAAGTATAATACTAAAATCACAAATGTAGCAGCCTGCTTTTCCGTAGAATGTTGCTGTGTGTATTTTTTGTTTTCTGTGGCAAAATAAAAGTGGGTCACTCTTGTAAAATTTGGCAGTTTTTAATGGAGAAAGCAACTTAATTTTGCTAGCCTTTAAGAAATGGCATCTTGACATATCAGGTCTTCATTTTATTCCAACAAGAATGCAGAATATGTTTTAAAAATAAACAAGAATCCCCTTAGTGCTTCATAAAATAAGTGAAAACCTGACCCTGATTTTTGTAGCAAAAAATGAAGTAAACGTGGAAAATGAAGAGGAAATTCTAGTAGGAGACGATGGGGTCATAAGTCAGAAATTAAAGAGTTGTTTGCTCCCCACCCTCCCGCCAGCCCTCACCTCACCCCTGCTGTGGGGCCTCTGCCCAGCCTGGGCCAAGGCCGTGGCTCCCCTGGTGCCATCCTGTCCGCAGTCGGCTCCCTGTCCACGGCGTGTGGCTCCTTCAGGACATCAGTCACCTGTTGTCCATGTGGCACATCAGTGGACTGTGCACACCCCCCGCCTTCCCCAGCTGTCTGTCCCTAGAACGCATCAGGTTCCATGTTGCCGTGAAGAAAGATCATTCTGACCCCGCCTGCCTTGTGGCTGCAGGGGCAACACTCAGAAGCACATCTCCTAGGGCCTGGCATGAGGCTACGTGGTCCCATGCCAGCCTCAGCGCACAGACACCCAGATCCTCTGCCCCTGAGTGCTGCTTCCGTGCACGCTGCGAGTGCCGAGCTTGGCCTGTCCCGGGCTGTGGGTGTTTTAACAAAGACACGGAGTCTCCCTGTTGCCTCCTGTGACCGTGGTTCAGCTTCTGACCAGCAGCCATCCTTGTTCCTCTCTGTGAAGGTCTTTGGAGTCTGGGGAGCCCTTCTGAGGCGCTTGCTTGGTGCTTTGATTCTAAGACTATGCATTTTTGTTCCTGGCCTACTTTTTAGATTGTATTATATTTTATTTTTTAAGCTGTTTCATGTATATGGCCAAGAATCAGGATGGTACTAAAAGGAGTGCCTTGGAAGTGTCGGCCCACCCCTGCCCCACGCGCCCATTCCTCACCGGCAGGCACTGCCCACTGGTGTGCTTCTGTCCACACCCACTTGTGTTTTTAAACGCATAACGAGTGGAAAGATAGGAGTATTCTTTTACAGATGATAACATAGCACACGTGTGTTTCTAGGCTGTGTGCATGTGTATTCATGCTTTTCTCCCTCTCCCCACTGAGATCTTTTTAACCTTTTTGGGTCATGGACCACTTTGAAAATCTAATGAAAACTATCAGCCACTCCCCACAAAATACCCGCTCTGGGAGGGTCACGGGGACCGAGGAGCTGCGCTGGCACGGCAGGCTTCTGTGATCAGGGCTGCCGCGAGGGCCAGGCGACAAGGGCTCCTTTCAGCGTACCTTCTCCCGCGGCCCCTCTAGCCTGCAGGAGTTTGTGAAGGATGCTGGGAGCTACAGCAAGAAAGTGGTGGACGACCTCCTGGACCAGATCACAGGCGGAGACCACTCTAGGACGCTCTTCCAGCTGAAGCAGGTGGGCTGCACTCGCACCGGGGTTGGGGGGCAGGTGCCCTTGGGGTGCTGCTGGCGGGAAGAGCCTGCAGCCTGACCAGGCTTTCGGGGACGAGGAGCTGTCGCAGGGACTCTGCTGCCGGCTCCTCGTCAGGATCTGCGTGCTTCTCTGCACGGGCAGGTGTCCCCCGGAGACCGTGACTGTGTGCTCACCACTCCCAGCGCACTCGTAACTCTCTATTTCCATCTTCATCTTTCATCTCTGTCACTTTCCTTCATCCTGAAGAGTTTAAAAAAATATTTCCTGTAGTTCAGATTTACTGACAGTGATCTCTCAGCATTGGCTTCTCTGAAAGTCTTTATTTCATCTTCATTTTTGAAATTCATTTTCCCTGTGTATGGAATTTTAGATGACCTTTTTTCCCATCTACTGTAAAATAGGTTTGACTTGCATTGTTGCTATAAAAAAGCATCTGGGCCAAGCATGGTGGCTCACACTTGTAATCCCAGCACTTTGGGAGGCCGAGGCGGGCAGATCCAAGGTCAGGAGGTCGAGACCATCCTGGCTAACACGGTGAAACCCCGTCTCTACTAAAAAATAGAAAAAATTAGCTGGGCGTGGTGGCAGGTGCTTGTAGTCCCAGCTACTCGGGAGGCTGAGGCAGGAGAATGGCATGAACCCGGGAGGCAGAGCTTGCAGTGAGCCGAGATCATGCCACTGCACTCCAGCTTGGGCCACAGAGCCAGACCCCATCTCCAAAAAAAAAAAAAAAGCGTCTGAAGTCATTGTCATCTTTGTTTCCCACATGTGACGTGTCTTTTCGGCCAGATCTGACCTGAAGTCTGCTTTTGTACAGACCACAAGCCAGGAATGTCTTTTACATCTTTAAAAGGGTGTTTACAGAAAAGAAAAGGAAGAAGAAGATGCTTCGGGCAGCGTGTGGCTCACAGAGCCTCGGCTGCTCACTCCCGGGCCCTCGGCAGGACGGGATCTGGCCGGTGCTCTAGGAGCTTTTGAACTTTTATCTTTCTTTATCAGTGATTTTCAGCATTGTATTTTCCAGGTGCCTTGGTGGGCTTTTCTTTGTGTTCTACTTAGCATTTGTTGTTTCTTGGATCTGTCTGTAGTTTTCATCATATTTGGAAGATTTTTAGCCATTACTCAAATGTCATTTTCCACCACTGCCTCTTCCTCCTCCTGCTGGACTGTGGCACTCTGAGGACAGCTCGTGTTATCTCACATGGCACCGACACTGTGCTGCCGCACCAGGCTGCTGCAGATTAGTTTCTGATGCTGTTGGCTAAGTTCACTCACCTGTTCTCTGGCCACACCTGAACCTGTTATCCCAGATCAGTTTTCACTGATGATGTCGTCCCGCGCTGCTCATCACTTGGGCTCCATTTGCTGCTTTTGTGTATCTTCTCTCATGTTGTGTGTATGTTTTTCCTTACATCCTTGAGCCACGTTCGTATTTATTGCTGCTGCTTTTGAAGTCCTCAGTCACTGAGTCTGTCGCCTCTGCCGTTTCCGGTTCTGTTTCTGTTTGACACTTTGCTGCACTTGGAGCTGTGGGCCATTGTGCACGTGCCTGGTGGACAGTCCTGACCCTCGCTGTCTGATAAAAAAGCACTGGCCACATGGCCGCTGGGAAATTTGAATGTGGCCAGTCTGAATTTAGATGTGATGTGTGAGCTACAAACTAGATCTTAAAAAACTAATGCAAAAAACGTAAAAATATGAGTAACGATTTCTTATGGCCCACATGTTGGAATAAAAACATCTTCAATAAATTTGTCTAAGTAAAATGCATTAGTTAATTGAATGTTAAGAGTAATTTTAATGTGGCAGCTAGAATTTTAAGAGCTGGGTATGGTGGCATGCACCTGTCATCAGCTCCACAGGAGGCTAAGGTGGGAGGATCACTTGAGGCCGGGAGGTCGAGGCTGCAGTGCGATTGCACCACCGCACTCTAGGCAATAGAGCAAGACCCTGTCTCAAAAAAAAGATAAAAAAACATTTAGAACGAGGCGTGTGCTCGCGTTATGTCTGCTGGGCAAGGCTGATCTGGGTTCTTTCTCTCTTTCAGAGAATACTGATGATCATTTTGGCAGTTGTTACTTGTGGATAATGGCCGGATCCTACCAGGCTTGTCTGGGGTGGGTCCAGGGCAGCCTTATTCTAGGGTTCGTGTAGCCTTAATGCTAAGGAGTGGCCCTTCGGGGAGCCCTGTCTTTTCAGCGTGGTCTCTGCTGTGGGTGGAGTTCGGATGAGTCTCTGTCCTTCCCAGGCTCTGAGAACGTTTGGCTCATGGCTCCCAAGGAGGGGTCAGTCCCTTGACCTGACGGTTTCATCTGTGCTTGTTACAGATGAACTGGGGTCCACATGCCTGGTGCAGTAAACCCAGACACCCATGCCGAGGTTTTGTCATAGAAAGGACGTGTGTATTTGCAGGGCGCCAAGCAAGGTGGGCCAGGAGGCTCATGTATAAATCCTGGCCTCCCCCACTGGCTACAGGCAAGGCTTGTAAAGCGGGGGTAGATCTCAGGAAAGCAGAACTGAAAGGCAGAGTCGTGCATAAGGACACAGAGGTTACATGTCGGCTTGGCCTAGAAGGGCGGTATCTGCAAGCAGGGCCTTATAGGTTATAGGTGGATTCAAAGGTTTTCTGATTTGCAGCTGGTTAAGGAGGAGAAGCTTTGTTTAAAAATTTGGGGTGAAGAGAAAAGAATGTTAGCTTAGGCTTGTGGGTGTGGCTTCCTCCAGGCCCGTCAGGAAGAAATTCAGAACAAAGAACGGGGTCAGAGCTCAGTCTTCAGTTTCTCCTTATCTGAGCCCTTCATGCCAGTAGATTAGTTTGTTGGGGAGGTCCTAGGTGGAGGGTCCAGGTTTCTGAAAGACAACTCAGGGATATACATTAAGATGTTATCTTTACTTTCTTTCTTTTTTTTTCTTTTTGAGACATAGAGTCTCACTCTGTCACCCAGGCTGGAGTGCAGTGGCGTGATTGTGGCTCACTGCAACCTCTGCCTCCCTGATTCTAGCGATTCTCCTGCCTCAGCCTCCCGAGTAGCTGGGATTACAGGCATGCGCCACCACACCTGGCTAATTTTTGTATTTTTAGTAGAGGCGGAGTTTCGCCATGTTGGCCAGGCTGGTCTTTAACTCCTGACCTCAAATGATGCATCCATCTCAGCCTCCCAGAGTGGTAGGATGTTGTCTTTTCTTTCTACAGGGAACAGTGCTGGGAGGTTGTCTTTACTTTCTACAGGGAACAAACATCTGTCTCCACCTTCCTTGACTGTTGTTTTAGGATACTGTTACCTTCTTGCTTATCAAGTCGCTGATTTACTTCTCAGAGTTATCTAAGTAACTGGAATTTCCCTTGAAGGAACTCAAGATTTTCCTTGATTTCCATGCTTGGAGGGCTCGCAGGCCCCTGAAGAGAGGGTTGCAGCCAGGCGGGAGTCCCCAAGCAGATTTCTGCAGCTCTGAGGAGCAGCCCCCTCTGCAGAGCCTGCCCCACCAGCTCGTGGTTCTGACTCTGAGCTCTGGTCACCCTCCCGTGTCGTGGCCTGCAGGCTCCTTCCAGGCAGGAAGCTGGCCCCCCCAACACAGCGTTAGAATCAGGCATTGCTGTGGGGTAGGGAAAGTGACCCCCTCACAGCCCGGAAATGGGAAGGCTCTGTGGTTTCCTCTCTGGGTTCCAGTTAGATTCCTTTCGGGAAAGTGAACTTGGATATGGAGTTGAGTGACCCCGAGTGCACCCCCGCAGTAAATGATGCTCAGGACTAAAGTGACTGAAGGCTTTTGGGGAAACAGATGCGAACAAAACAGCAGTATTCATTTTCTAATTAAAAGCTTGTGAAAATCGATGTCATTGAATCTGAGAAACATTATTTCGAACAAAGATCACACATGATAGAGTGCATATACTACAGCATCGCTCCACCGGAGCACAGGACGGGTGTGCCACGGAGGCCGACAGTTGTGGAAGGAGACAATGCACGGCCCGGCCCACCTGCTGCAGGCACCGCCAGGAGGTGTCTGCCTCCTTCGCTCCTGCGCCCACGGCAGGCCCACCTGCCACAGGCACTGCCAGGAGGTGTCTGCCTCCTTTGCTCCTGCACACACCTGCCCCTGCAGGACTCGAGCTGGTCTCAGGCAACTGGTCATATTCCAGGTGGAACCCACGAGACCCTTCTTATCCTAAGCTTCCCATAGGATCTAGGCACATCTTTTTTCTTTTGTTTTAAGCCACCCAAGGCTGCCGAAACAGCATCGGCGTCCTCTCTCTGTCCGCTCCATCTCGCCCTGTGGAGCGCTGTCCCCGGCACACAATCCTGGCGCTGAGGAGGGGGCTGGGCGTGGTTGGGTCAGTGACTGGTGATGAAGAAGGTTTGGAGGACCCCCAGCCTTAATCCATTAAGATGGTGTGACTGGGGAGCAGAATTCGCAGAAGCGCACAAGCCATTTTTACGTGTGTGTAATGTCAGCGAATTGTCCGTTTCTATGAAATCACTCTGGAAAAACTAGTTTCTGTCCTCATTTACTTTTCAGAGAAGAAATGTTCCCATGAAGCCTCCAGATGAAGCCAAGGTAAGTTTTTGAACATGGAAGGGCAAGCCAAATATTATTCTCACAGGGAAAGTTGTATCCAGCCTTTGAGGTGGGGAGGTCTGTGTGTATGACGGCGTTTAGAAATGGAGTCCGTTTCTGATCAGTAAGATCAATAGTGTTTCTCCTCCTCTTTTCATGACTTGAGGTGAGTGGTGTGAAGCCGCAGTACATTCTTCCAAATCCAGAAATGGGTAGTTTCAGAGCAGTTGGCCCCGCTGGGTGCTGTCCTTGTGGGACACCCTTGCAAGGGTTGGGCAGGATGGGCCTTCTCAGGACCTGCTTGGTGAGTAGCAGGTGTTGTCCCAAGCACAGTGGGCTCTGGGGCCAGTGCTGGCAGGGCAGTGCTGTGAGCCCAGACTGCTGCACCTGCCGATTGGCAGGTGTGTGTCTCTGACAGTCAGCAGGCATGGGCTTGGGCTTTGGTCCAGGGTCCCTGGGAACCTGGAGAGACCCCTTAACATCTGTTTGAGGGCAGAGGCCGAGCTGCAGGGAGCTGATGAGAGAGTATGTGTTAGGGTGGCTGTAGTCTAGCCCTGAGGACACGCCTTGCTGGGAAAGGAAAGGGAACGTTGTGTGCTCTGTGAAGTGCCTGAGAAATAGTCCTGGACCCTAAAATTCTGTGTGTCTTCCTGTTGCATAATGTCCCTCCCCAATTTCTTTAGCCCCAAAAAGTTAACAAAGGATTGTTAGTTTGCGTTGTTGGTCTCAGTAGGTTTTTCTTTGACATGGATTTGCATATCCATTCATGAGCTCCAACCTGACAGTCCCTTGAACAGCAGCCTCAGTGAACAGGGCTTGGTCTTGTCACTTACTGAGGGGTGGGTTCACGTTTAGCAAATAATTAGAGTGATTTCAATAGCGAGTGTGAAGTAACATTTCGTTTTTCGTTTGATGTTTGAATTGCTCTTGATGTGTGTCTGTCTCCACAGGTTGGGGACACCCTAGGAGACAGCAGCAGCTCTGTTCTGGAGTTCATGTCGATGAAGTCCTATCCCGACGTTTCTGTGGATATCTCCATGCTCAGCTCTCTGGGTGAGTTGTAACAGGCACTTTCCCACAGCACCTGGTGAAGGTGTGATAGAGGAAGAAAACACACGGCCTCCACCTCCTCTCCCTTCCTGACTAGACAGGGATGCCAGGAAAATCTTTTGTTACGGTATTTGGTCTTTGTCCCAGGTTTTTGGACCATAGCTCCTAAAATCCTTGGAATCTCCTGAGTGTTGTGTCTTTTTTAAGCTAATGAGAAGTGGTTGCAGCCCCTGGGTAACCTCAGGATGGGGTCTGGCCGATCCCCAGTGGCTGTGGATTTCATCAGTGTTGCCTACCGCCTCCATGAAATCCCAAAAGGTGGGGTTCCCTAGGGAGCCTCATTGCTGGACGCCTGGAGGCTCTGGGAAGAAGGCAGCCCCTTCCCACGGGTCCCCTCTGCATCGCTCCCACCTGGGGCCCATCCGTACCCTGGGTGACACCCCGCAGAATAAATGGGTAAATGTCAGCCTAGTGTGTGGACAGAAGAGTCAAACTCTGCAGGGTATTTAGAGAGGTTTCTTCTGAGTGAAATACGAAGACCGTGGCTGTGACACAGTCCCAGGAGGTCCCAAGAACATTTGCCGAGGAGGACTGGTCTGCAGCTTGTTTTGATATGTTTTAGGGAGACAGAGGACATCAGTCAGTACATGTCAGTTGTAACAGTGGTTCGTGTTGGAAAGGCGGGACAACTTGAAGCGAGGAATGTCGGGTCGTTGGTGGATTCAGAGATTTCCTGATTGGCATTTGGTTGAAAGGGTTAAGCTCTGAAGAGCTGAAGTCAGAAAGAAATGTGCATGGTTAACATAAGCAGTTGTAGAAGCCAAGGTTCTTGTCACATAGATGAATTCAGCCTTCAGGTAGCAGGCTTCAAAAAGAGTAGAGTAGATGGCAAACATCACTCATGAGGCCCTCAAAGGTACCAGATTGTTAGTTAAATCTCTGTTGGGTCAGGAAGAGACTTGGAAGGGGCAGGAGATTCTCTACAGAATGTAGATTTTTCCCACAAGATACAGCTTTGCAGGGCTATTTCAAAATATGTCAAAGGGATATATTTTGAGATAAAATACTCAGTTTCTTTCAGGGCCTGCCATCTATCACGTGATGCTGTACTAAAGTCGGATCGGAATTTGGTGTCTTATTACCACGGAGTCTGCTTTGTCAACCTTCAGATTTCTGTTTTAAAGTTAATGCTGGTCAGCTGTGCCTGAATTCCAAAAGAGGGGATAATGAGGCAAGTCCAGTCCCGCTTCACATCATGGCCTGACCTCATTTTCCAGGTTGACTTTGGAGTGCCCTTGGCCAAGAGTGGGAATCCGTTCAGTCCATGGGGCTTAGAATTTTATTTTTCATTTACAGATGTTTCCCTGACTTCTGTGAGTCACTCTAGGAAATTCATAGAGCTCAAGTCTGGTCTTCTGGGAACCCCATTTGATAGCTGGTTAGTCGGAAGCACAGACCACAGCCTGGGGCTTTCAGTTGGCATCAGCCGGTGGGGCCATCCTGGAGACTGTGCCCTCACCTGGGAGGCTGCCGGTGCAGCGCCCCCGAGCTGTTCTGACCTCCAGCAGCATTTGTGGTGCCTGGATCCATGGGTCCCACTGCTTTGCGTGGTGACGTTCCACCTGTCTCTGCTGGCTCTGTTCAGGCACTTATGGCCGTGATTTATTATAGGGGAAGGGTGCCAACAGCAGCAGAGGGACAAGAGTGACATCCAAGGAAACCCAGCGTGAGGCCCAGATCCACTCCCAGCAGAGGCACATGGGACACGCTTAATTCCCAGGAGTGAGCTGTGACAACACACGTGAAATGCCCACCAGGGAAGCCCGTCAGAGGCTTGGTGCTCGGGGTCACAGGGCACCCCCTTGCCAGGCAGGTACCAAAGTCCAGACCCCGGAGGGAAGGTGAACTTTAGCATAAACCACTCTGCTCCTGTTGTTGGAGCTGTGAACAATCCCTAGCACTGGGGGGGACCCCAGATGCCAGCCGTGGCTGGCCTTGCCTTCCAGGGGACCCTGGCCCCAGGCCGCTGTGACAGCACTTTTCTGCACAGCAGCTGTTTTTCTCAGCACTTCTAAGATTTTGTCCTTATTACTACTTCTCAGCAGCTTGGTGCTGATGGGCTTTGGTGCTGATGTGCTGTGGTGTGTTAGTCTGTCCTCACACTGTTATAAAGAACCACCTGAGACTGGTCATTGGTGAAGGAAAGAGGTTTAATTGACTCACAGTTCCTCAGGCTGTTTGGGAGGCATGGCTGGGAGGCATCAGGAAACTTCCAATCATGGCGGAAGATGAAGGAGAAACATGCATGTCTTCACATGGCGGAGCAGGAGAGAACGCAAAGGGGGAAGTGCTTTGAAACAACCAGATCTCATGAGAAGTCACTCACTATCATGAGAACAGAGAACAGCAAGGGGGAAATCCATCCCCATGATCCAATCACCTTCCACCAGGACCCTCCCCTAACATTGGGAATTACAATTCAACATGAGATTTGGGCAGGAATACAGAGCCAAACTGTATCATTCTGCCCCTGACTCCTCTCGAATCTTTTGTCCTTTTCACATTTCAAAACACAATCATGCCTTCCTAACAGTCCCCTAAAGTCTTAACTCATTCCAGCATTAACTCAGAAGTCCACAGTCCAAAGTCTTATCTGAGACAAGGCAAGTTACTTCTGCCTGTGAGCCTGTAAAATCCAAAACAAGTTAGTTAATTCCAAGATACAAATCGGGTACAGACATTGGGTAAATAGACCTATCCCAAGAGGGAGAAATCAGCCAAAACAAAGGGGCAGCAGGCTACAAATCTGAAACCCAGCAGGGCAGTCATTACATCTTGAGGCCCCGAAAGAATCTTCTTTGATTCCTTGTCTCACATCCAGGCTACACTGATGCAAGGGATGGGCTCCCACGGCCTTGGGCAGCCCCGCCCTTGTGGCTCTGCAGGGTACAGCCTCTGTGGCTGCTTTCCCTGGCTGGTGTTGAGTGCCTGCAGCTTTTCCAGATGGCATGGTGCAAGCTGTCGGATCTACCATTCTGAGGTCTGGAGGACGGTGGCCCTTTTCTCACAGCTCCACTAGGCAGTGCCCCAGTGGGTACTCTGTGTGGGGTGAGGGCTCCAACCTCACATTTCCCCTCTGCACTGCCCTAGCAGAGGTTCTCCATGAAGGGCCTGCCCCTGCAGCAGACTTCTGCCTGGACACCCTGGCTTTTCCATACATCCTCTGAAATCTAGGTGGAGGCTGCCAAACCTCAGCTCTTGCCTTCTGCCTACCCACATACCCAACACCATGTGGAAGCTTCCAGGGCTTGGGGCTTGCACCCTCTGAAGCATCGACCCTTTTAGCCCTGTACCTTGGCCCCTTTTAGCCATGGCTGGGACACAGAGCACCATGGCACATGTCCCAGTGCTTCACAGAGTAGTGGGGCCCTTTTCCCTCCTAGACCCCCAGGCCTGTGATGGCAGTGTCTGGGCAAAGGTCTTTGAAATGTCCCTGAGGTATTAACATTTGGCTCCTCTTTACTTACGCAAATGTCTGCAGCCTTCTTGAATTCCTCCCCAGAAAATGGGTTTTTCTTTTCTACCACATGGCAGGGGTACAAATTTTCCAAACTTTTACTCTCTGCTTCCCTTTTAAATATAAGTTCCAGTTTCAGGTCATTTTTCTGTTTGTGCAAGTGAGCATAGGCTTTTAGAAGCAGCCAAGTCACCTCTTGAATGCTTTAGTGCTTAGAAATTTCTTCCACCAGGTGCCCTAAATCATCTCTCTCAAGTTCAAAGTTCCACAGATTTCTAGAGCAGGGTCACAGTGCTGTCAGTCTCTCCTAAAGAATAGCAAGAGTGACCTTTGCCCCCATTCCCAATGGGGTCCTCGTCTCCATCTGAGACCACCTCAGCCTGGATTTCACTGTCCATATCACTATCAGCATTTGAATCATAGCCATGCAGGAAGTCTCTAGGTAGTTCCAAACTTTCCCTCATCTTCCTGTCTTTAAGTTCTCCCAGCTGTTCTAGCCTCTGCTCATTACCCAGTTCTACAGGGCATGTCTGTAGTCACTGTTACTACACTTTGTCTACTGATTCCCTGATATCAGCTTTGAGTCTCTCCTAGTTTGGGGCTGTGTTTTCCTGCTCCTTCGTGTGTGTTGGAATCATTTACTGGATACCAGGTGGAGTTTGTAGTTGATGCCGTTGGGTGATAGGTCTGCTTACACACCTTTGAGGCCTGGCGGCCTTTGTTCTGAGTTTGAGAAGTGGCTTAGACTCTGTGGGACCTTCCCCAGGCATTGTCAGGGTAAGCCCAGAGTCACCCCGGGGAGGGTGAAGCTGGTCCCCTGGCTGGTGGGGCTCAGGTGACCACAGACCTGTGTGCAGGTTCTTGGCATGTCTGGTGCACAGTTCAGGAGTGGGCTGGGAGCTCATCCTTTCCACCTCTCAGCTGGACGTGCTGGGTCCCCGATGGCTGTGGCCTGGAACCTGCTCCACAGTGAACTGGGCGGGTACCAGGGTCTGCCGGCCTCTTGCACCCTCCATCCAGCTGTCTGGCCTTTGTGTGTTGAGGACAGGAGCCCACACCAGGCCCATCCTGGGTTGTGGCCACATCCCTCCACGGTGTCTGTGCGTGCCATGACGTGGTCTGTGCGGTGCTAGGTCTTGTCTGATGCTTTGCTTGAGCAAAGGACGCTGGGTGTCTGCCTTCCCTTCACTCACTGCTAAGGGTAATGTCTGTCCTCCAGGCCTGTCCACCTGTCTGCTGTGAGCTCGTCCACTCAGTTTCCAGAGCAATTATTGTCCTGAGCAGAGAGGCCTGTCTGGATGGGCAGTGTGCTCCTGCCCTTAGGGTAGACGGGCCGGCTGAGCTCAGCCGACGTGGGGTCATGTCCTGTTTACACAGGGAAGGTGAAGAAGGAGCTGGACCCTGACGACAGCCATTTGAACTTGGATGAGACGACGAAGCTCCTGCAGGACCTGCACGAAGCACAGGCGGAGCGCGGCGGCTCTCGGCCGTCGTCCAACCTCAGCTCCCTGTCCAACGCCTCCGAGAGGGACCAGCACCACCTGGGTGAGATGCCCCCACCCACGCCGCATCCCCAGAGACCCCAGCACAGTCAGTGTGACGTCTAGACGAGGTAGTGGGCAGCATTGTAGTTGTGGGAAGGCTGGAGGCTGCATGGGCAGCGGTGCTGTTGTGGAGGTCGGTTTCCACAGATGTCCTTGGGTCGCGGCCTCGGTGCAGAGCCGGAGCGGAGCTGGGATGCTGGCCTGGCCGCACGCTGGGTTACAGGCTTTCTGCCAGATACCGTCCCCAGTTCTGTCCACCCCTGTGCCCTCTGTGGACCCTGGTTCCAGTGTTTCTGCTGGGGAGAGAGCATGGCTTCCTTGGCCATGTGTCCTGGAGTGGTTTTGGTGGGTGGGGTTTTGTTCCCACTTGTAAACACTGGATCACTCTGTCGGCAGAGTGAATCTTGGCAGTTCTTCAGCTGCAGAGGTTTAGCTGCAACCATCTGCAAAAAGGCCGGTATTTTCGATTCCATTGACCTTGTGATCAGGGTGTTAACAGTGCATGGAGCAGGCTTTGGAGGGCCGTAGGTCAAAGTCTGAGGCCCCCGATATCCCAGTATGACTTTGGGAACTGCCCTGAGGTCTGGGCTGTGTCTGAGGGACTCCTGGCCAAGGAGCGTTCTCTCCTTCAGAAGCAGCATCCGTGCTGTGTGCTGGGTCAGGGCGACCCCTGGCTCCAGGGTCTCTACACACAGCTCTCCTTGGCAGGGAGTGAGAGGTGCCCCTGTGTCCTGGGAGTCCCTGAGCCCTGGCGGTAGGTCAGGAAGCAGACCTTGGGCTCCAGGAGCCCCACGTGTGCTGCGGGTCTGTCCTGTGTGTTGAAGTCCTGTGTTCTGAAAATTGCAGGAAGCCCTTCTCGCCTGAGTGTCGGGGAGCAGCCAGACGTCACCCACGACCCCTATGAGTTTCTTCAGTCTCCAGAGCCTGCGGCCTCTGCCAAGACCTAACTCTAGACCACCTTCAGCTCTTTTATTTTATTTTTTTAGTTTTATTTTGCACGTGTAGAGTTTTTGTCATCAGACAAGGACTTTGATCCTGTCCCCTTTGGCATGCGGGAAGCAGCCGCGGGGAGGTAATGAATTGTCTGTGGTATCATGTCAGCAGAGTCTCCAAGCCCCACGAACCCTGAGGAGTGGAGTCATACGCGAAGGCCATATGGCCATCGTGTCAGCAGAGAGAGTCTCTGTACACAGCCCCGTGAACCCTGAGGAGTGGAGTCATACACGAAGGGCGTGTGGCCATCGTGTCAGCAGAGAGAGTCTCTGTACACAGCCCCGTGAACCCTGAGGAGTGGAGTCATACGCGAAGGGTGTGTGGCCAGGCTGCAGAGCTGCGTGCCGTTTGTGTCCGAGCATCACGTGTGGCTCCAGCCCTTGTTTCTGCCAGTGTAGACACCTCTGTCTGCCCCACTGTCCTGGGGTCGCTCTTGGGAGGCACAGGCATGGGTGTGTCTGGCCTCATTCTGTATCAGTCCAGTGTGTTCCTGTCATAGTTTGTGTCTCCCAGGCAGGCCATGGTAGGGGCCTCGCAGGGGCCATTGGGGAGCACAGGGCCAGGCTGGGGTGAGGAGAGCTCCCCTGTTTTCTGTTTAATTGATGAGCCTGGGAAAGGAGTGTGTTCTGCCTGCCCGTTACAGTGGAGCGTTCCGTGTCCATAAAACGTTTTCTAACTGGGTGTTTACTGAGTGCCCATTTATGTTAGTATTTGCAAAATACCATAAACACAGCTTCCAGTCACAAGACACAGAGCGCCAAAGTGCACCCAACTGCTCCCAGCACGCGAGGGTGCTGTGTCCTACCAGCTGGTGGTGGTCCTCTGGCCCAGCTGTCGTGCCCACAGTGACATCAGGTGCACCTGTGCGCCCACCAGCACCTCCTGCAGGGTGCCCTGCTCTGTGACCATGGAAACTTGAAAGTGAAGAAGCCACACCTTCCAGAGGCCAGGCATGGATGGGAGCTCAGTCGTCCTGGGGGCAGCGGCATTTGTGACTCTGAAGAGGCCCCGGGGGCAGTATGCAGTGCCTGGGCCCTCACACCACGGGACCACAGGGCTGACCCTCGCAGGCCATTGACGCTGGGTGAGCAGGGTGGCCGGTGCTCTGTGTGGCATGGGTGAGCATTCTCAGGTCCTTCCTGGGCCCTGGTGGAAGTGGGAGCAAAGCCATTGCCTCTGGACAGAGCATGAAGAAGCCACAGTAGCTGACTCACAGGAAGAGTTTGTGAACAGGGCTCAGACGAGGGGCAGAGCCTGGGCTGCACCCTCCGTGCTGGCTGGGAAGCAGACTCCACGCTTGTCTGCACAGCTGCACCTGCCATCCTGTCCCTGGATGCCACCAAGTGCACCGTTCCAGTGGCTGCCTGCAGGCTCTGCTCCCCACCCCCAACTCTGGGAGGACGCCCTTGCTGCAGGGAGGCTGGGAAAGGCAGCATCTGCAGTCCCAAGCTCAGTGGGGCTGTGTACCGCACCCAGCTTCCACTGGGGCTCCAGAGGCCAGGATTCCCTTAACAGGACAGACACTTCCCACAGCCGGGTCCCCAGGGTACAGCCTTGGAGAGCTTGGGCTCAGGAACAACGTGGCTCCTGACAGCAGGTTGCTGTGGAGTCAGGTGTCCTCCCACCATCCGATCTCTGAACACCTCGCTCCACATCCACTGTGAGTGGAGGAGCCCTCGCCACATGCTGGGGCCCCGTCTTAAACTTTGCAGCCCCAGGACCATGAGCCAAATAAGCCTCGTGTCTTTCAGGTTACCCAGTCTCAGGCATTCTTTTACAGCAGCACAAAGCAGCCTGCATCGAGATGACACAGCTGTGCCCTCATGGTGCGGCAGGCGTGGGCGGCCGTCCCTCTGGGCTCGTAGCGCTCTGAAGCAGTTTCTGGGTGGAGGTCAGGTGCAGCCCACAGGCAGTGCTGAGCTGCGGGAGGCAGCCACCCTGCCCGGCTTCCTGGTGGCCTGGCCCTTGTTCCTGCACCCCTCACTCCCCGAGGTCCCCGAGACTGGCTATCCCTCTGGGCGGCATTGTTGGTCCACAGGGTCCCAGCAGAGAGGGGCACTGGGCAGCAGCCACCACGTGGCTTCAGTCTTAGTGAGTGTGCAATGAGGGGACATCTTGAAGAGGCCTATGGGTGACCTACAGGCCGAGAGGCTCCCCTCGGGTCAGGAGATGGGAGTGGGCTGGAGAGTCCAGGGCTCCTCCCGCTGCCCCTTGGGCTGCGCAGATACGGGGCCACCCTGGTCAGCTGATCCTGCAGGACTTAGAGGGCCCTAGTGGTGGCTGGAGCTGTCCAGGTAGGTCATGCGTGGCCTCCCCGGGATTCCGGCAGCCTCTGCTCTTGCTAGCAGCCCGTGAGCCCCTCCACCCTCTTTTGTGGGTACACCACCTTTGGGTGTCCCCAAGCCCGCATGCCAGGGCACAGAGCAGCCACGGTGGAGGGAGCAGGGGCTGGGGCCTTCCCTGAGCTCAGCTTCTCTCTGGTCCCTGGATGCTTCCTTTGTGGTCACACAGTGACTGCTGCTGTGGCAGCCATCTCACGTTGAGGCCAGAGGAGGGGCAGAGGGGAACAGGCTGCCACGCCTGTGTCTGACAGGACACAAGAGCTTTCCAGGGAGGCCCCACAGACATGGCCGTGTCTCAGCCTGGGGAGCGGCTGGGTGTGCAGCTCCAGCTCTCCCTGTGCAGGCAGGGAACAGCTACCGGTACCCCCTACCCTGCTCCCCGCTTGATGTGGGCAGAACCTGGGTAGGGGAGGGGGAGATAGCTGGGAGCAGAGGGCGGCAGTGACAGGGACCACTTGCAGATTGTGGGGCGTGAGGGCCAGCAGCTGTGCATCGCCGGCCAGGGCCCTGCAAGCCTGTGCTTGTCTGAGCCAGGAAGCAGGAGGGTGGTGGGACCTGCTGTGTGGGAGGTGGCATCCTCTGGGCTTGGCTTGGGCCACACTTCCAACCTCTGTCCAGCCCCTCCCACCCTTTGGTGGTTCTGGGGCCTGCAGAATCCAAGATCCGCTCACCCCGTGGTGCCCTCAGGGCTTTGTTGCAGGTGGGGAAACTGAGGCAGATGCCCAGTCGCCCAGAACTACCCTAGGTCCTCTGAGTGTGGCTGAGCCTCCCCCACCATCTGTTAACCTTGGGCACTTGTCAACTTTTAGGTGCCTGACCCCTCCCCGAGCTCACAGCTTCCTGTTCTGAATTGGGAGGCAGAGGAGGGGCAAAGGGGTCTCCTCCAAGACCTCAGTCTGGATAGGGAGTGCGTGCATGGGCTGCAGGTGTGGGGGTGTGCAGGTTCGGATGGGGTGCAGGTGTGGGGGTGTGCAGGTTCGGATGGGGTGCAGGTGTGTGTGCAGGTGTGTATGGGGTGCGGGTGTGGGGGTGTGCAGGTGTGTATGGGGGTGAAGCTATGGGGTCTATGCAGGTGCGTATGAAGGTGCATGTATGGGGGTGTGCAGATGTGTATGAGGTACAGGTATTGGGTGTGTGAGTGTGTATGGGGTGCAGGTGGGTGTGTGGGTGTGCGAGTGCATGATGTGTTTGGTGTGAGGGGTCGGGGTGTGGGTGTGCTGTGGTTTTTGTCTCCACCAAAATTTAAGCGTCATAACCGAATGGCCAGTGTGATGGTGTTAGGAGTGGTGAGGCCGTGAAGGGGATGAAGGTCCTTGCAGACCAGGCCTCAGTCAGCAGAGACCTCTCACCCTCCCAGCGCCTCCACGTGAGAACACAGTGTCTGTCCCCTCCGTAGGATGCAGCAGAAAGGTACCACCTTGGAAGCTGAGCGCCCCCCTCGCCAGACACCAGACCTGCTGGCTCCTGAATCTTGGACTTCCAGCCTCCAGAATGGGGAGAAATAAGTTTCTGTTCTTTAAAATTACTCCGTCTCAGGTATTTTGTTACAGCAGCACATGGGGACTGAGACTGGGTGTGCAGGTGGTGGAGGAGGGTGTGCAGGTGTGTTTGAGGGTGTTTGCCTCAATCTTTAGACAGCATCAGGGCCACAATACCTGCAGGTGTCAGGACGTTAACTGCAGACATTGGTGAATAAAAGCCAGTTGTCCTGAGTTTGGCAAGAAAACCTTTGGAAGAGGCCTCACAAGCCACTCCAGGCTACAAGACGGGGCGTTTGTCCTGGGGGACCTGCCGTCACCCTTAGTGGTCCAGCAGCACCGTCTCAGCCTCTCTGGCCAGAGCAGCTGCCCCGCAGGGGCCCCCGAGTCCTGGAGAGCTCTGTCAGGTAGGCTTCCCTGCCCCTTCCCCCCATGTCGTCCTGGGCACCCGCCCCAGCCCAGCTGTTCCTCTTACTTGTGTACCTCGTGTGTGCCCCTGACAGACAAGATGTCCATGGGCAGCAGACCTCTGGCCACTGCAGGCTCCAGGCACCAGAGTGAGACCCAGCAGGCTTCAGCCGGCAAGAGGGCCCCTGACTGTGGACGACTCCCTCACGGTGGTGGTCTTGGAGGGACCCCTGCTAACAGAAAGGGTGCATCCCTGTCCAGCTTCCCGTCCTCACCCCCAAAGTCAGCGTCAGCAGCTGGCCCGCATCGGAGGCATTCAGATAGGAGTCCTTGGGGACCCCCCCCAACCGACACGAACTGGAAATGCCTTGAGTACTGAGGGAGGAGGGCTGCAGGGACAGGAGGGAGGATGTCCTTAAACACACTTGCTGGCCCTTCTCAGGAGAAACCCTTCCTTGTCATGGGTCGTGGTGAAGCTGTGCTCCGAGTTAAGCCAGTGACCGAATTCCTGAGCTCAGAGGATGGCCAGTGAAACAACTTGCTAAAATGCTGAGACTCCCTGCACTCGCGAGACTACGAAAACACGTGCTGAAGTCAGTGAGAGCCACGGTGGCCAAAGTCTTTGCTCAGAACCAGCTGCGCAGGTCCCTCCCCCGGTTCCTCCTAGGCTGAGTACTCTGGGGTCGCAGTCTTCCTGGACGTCGCCTGTTGGTTGTTGTAGGGGTTTTAGGTGTTTTTTTTTAGGGTTGTCTTGCTGCATTTTGTTGCGGACCACAACGCGTTGCAATCCTAGTCAGCTCAGGGGCTTTTCAGGTATTTGACTTAAGAGCTGAGTAGCTGGGCAGGCTGATAAGAACAGACAAAGCGAGCTCTTTTGCAGGCTAGTAAACTTTCATCTTAGACTACTTTGGTTCAGGTGAGGGCGGCTAAGCAGGTGGGAAGGCAGGGAGGGGGAGGCCGACAAGCAGGCATTGGGGCCCATCCAAGCAGGGGCCTAGTACGTCCTGTTTTTTTGTAGTTTGCTGACCTAAACCGGATCAAGCCACCTTGTCTTGGAAATGGACCACTGCATGCATTATTTCACCTCCACCCGAGTCCATCTCACGCTTTCCTCCCTCCTCATGCCCCCTTGTCCCCTCATCCTCCCAACTGCCATGGCTTTGTGAGGCGCCCTGGGTTCCATGGCTACCGTGTCGACCAGGGCAGCCCACCCACTTCTCACTTTGGTCTGGAGTTAGCGAGAGCGACGCTGCTTTTCTCTTGCTCTTCAGCCTGGACCTGTGATGTGATAGGCGTGAGAAGGAACTGTGGGTTCTGGCGGTAAGGAAAGTGGGGCCTTACTTTCCCATGTTCCCAAAAGGCAGATGCAATCCCTGCACTCCTGAAGGAGTCAAGCAGTAAAGGCAACACAGCAAGACTGTCCGGGACTCAGGCTGTGAGGATTTGTCTTATGAGGGGCCTCAGAAAAGGCCGTTTCCACTGTGGGGAGTAGAGGAATGGAAGGTTTCACCAGGGTGGGGTGGCTTCCAGAGGGTCCCCATGGAAAAAGCGTGGCTGAGCAGGCCCAGAGGGGGACGAGGACACGTTTGGGGGGCTGGAGGAGAGTGAGGATATGCTCAGGGGTGCCAGAGTGTCATAAGGGCAGGGACGGTGAGGACAGACTCAGGGACCACAGTGTCATAAAGGAAGGACAGGGATGAAGAGGACAGACCTGTGGGACCATGGTGTCATAAAGACAGGATGGGGACTTGGACCAGGATAGATTCAGGGACCACGGTGTCATAAAGACAGGACGGGGACCTGGACAGACTTGGGGGACCACGGTGTCATAAAGACAGGATGGGGACCAGGACAGACTCTAGGGGCCTGGTGTCATAAAGACAGGGTTGGGACCTGGACAGACTCTAGGGGCCTGGTGTCATAAAGACAGGATGGGGACCAGGACAGACTCTGGGGATCTGGTGTCATAAAGACAGGGATGGGACCAGGACAGACTCTGGGGGCCTGGTGTCATAAAGACAGGCCTGGGACAGGACCGGGACAGACCCGGGGGACCACGGTGTCATAAAGATAGGACGGGGACCAGGACAGACTCTAGGGGCCTGGTGTCATAAAGACATGACAGGGACCTGGACAGACTCAGGGGACCACGGTGTCATAAAGACAGGCCTGGGACAGGACCGGGACAGACCCGGGGGACCACGGTGTCATAAAGATAGGACGGGGACCAGGACAGACTCTAGGGGCCTGGTGTCATAAAGACAGGACAGGGACCTGGACAGACTCAGGGGACCACGGTGTCATAAAGACAGGACGGGGACCAGGACAGACTCTGGGGGCCTGGTGTCATAAAGACAGGATGGGGACCTGGACAGACTCAGGGGACCACGGTGTCATAAAGACAGGATGGGGACCGGGACAGACTCGGGGGACCACGGTGTCATAAAGACAGGACGGGGACCGAGACAGACTCAGGGGACCATGGTGTCATAAAGACAGGGATGGGACCTGGACAGACTCTAGGGGCCTGGTGTCATAAAGACAGGGATGGGACCGGGACAGACTCTGGGGGCCTGGTGTCGTAAAGACAGGATGGGGACCAGGACAGACTCGGGGGACCACGGAGTCATAAAGATAGGACGGGGACCAGGACAGACTCTAGGGGCCTGGTGTCATAAAGACAGGGATGGGACCGGGACAGACTCTGGGGGCCTGGTGTCATATACACAGATGGAAACAGGAAAGACTGAGGAGGTCATGGCATCTTAAAGACCTGATAGGGTGGGATGGGCACCTGTGGTCTCTGGGGTCTGTGGCAGGGGCTGGTTCTCATGTGTGGTGGTGCAGAGAAGGATGGAGTCCCAGTCTGAGAAGGGGGCTGTCTCCACATCCACAGATGGGGGCAGACAGGAGGCGCCTGGGGTCCACCACACAGGATTGCGCTGCAGGCCCCGGTGCTGGGCAGCCAGTTCCCCGGGCATCGGTCCGGTTGTCATAACACAGGGGGGCCCATCCAGCCTTAGTCGTGCTAAGGGGACCTGAACCCAACATTACAAGTCTTCAGTGTCATGACTCACAGATGCTCCTTTCACTTGAATTGTGTGTGGGAGTGTGTGTGCATTGTGTGGTGTGTGTGGGAGTGTGAGCATTGTGTGTTGTGTGTGGTATTCTGTGGGGGTTGTATGTGTGCGGTATGTGGTGTGTGTGGTTTGTGTGCTGTGTGTGGTATGCGGTGTGTAGTGCAAATGGGTGTGCTCGGTGGTGTGTGGTTTGGTGTGTGTGTGGTGTGTGGTTTGGTGTATGTGTGGTATTTTGGGGGTGTGGTATGTGTGCAGTATGTGGTGTGATGTTTGGTGTGTGTGGTGTGCAGTGTGTAGTGCAAGTGTGTGTGCTCTGTGTGTGGTTTGTGTGGTGTGCTGTGTGTGGTGTGTATTCTGTGTGCGTGATGTGTATTGTGTGTATTGTGTGGTCCCTGTGTGGTATGGGGAGAGTGATGCGTTTGTGGTTGGTGTCTGGTACTTGTCACGTGGTGCACGTGCAGTGTGTGGTGTGTTTGGTGTGTGTGTTTTGCTTCTGTTGCATATGTGTGGCGTGAGGTGTGTGCGTGTGGTTTGTGTGGTGTGTGGTGCATGTGTGGTGTGCATGGAGTTGTGTGGTGTGTGATCTGTTTTGTGTATTGTGTGGTGTGTGGGTGGTGTGTGTTGTGGATTGTGTGGTCTCGTGTGTTTCGTGTGGTGTGGTGTGTAATCTGTATGATGTGTGTTGTGTGGTTTCTGTTTTGTGGTTTGTGTTGTGTGTCTGTGGTATGTGTTGTGGGTGGTCTGTGTTGTATGATATATGTGGTATGTATTGTGTGGTGTGTGGCGTGTGGTGTATGGTGTGTGTGGTGTCTTGTGTGTGTGTTGTGTTTTGTGTGTTGTGGTTTCTGTTTGGTGTGTGTTGTGTGTTTTATGTGGTATGCGGTGTGTGGTCAGTGTGGTCTGTGTTGTGTGGTGTGTGGTGTGTGTGGTACGTGGTCTGTGTGGTATATGGTGTGTGATGTGGATTGTGTGGTGTGGTATATGAACGTGCTTACAGGCCACGGTGGTATCGAGGCTGAGCGTGGGCCTGAGGGGAAGGAGCTGTCCTGGAGTCTTCTCTGGCTGATGTGACGTCCGTGTCCCCTGCTCGCTGTCCTCCATGGGGTCCATGCCCCTTGCTTGCTGTCCTCCGCGGGGTCTGTGCCCCTCGCTCACTGTCTGTCCTCTGTGGGGTCTGTCCCCCCGGCTCGCTGTCCTCGGTGGGGTCTATCCCCACTGCTCACTGTCCTCTGTGGGGTCTGTGCCCCTCGCTCGCTGTCTGTCCTCTGTGGGGTCTGTGCCCCCCGGCTCACTGTCCTCTGTGGGGTCTGTCCCCACTGCTCACTGTCCTCTGTGGTGTCTGTAACCCTCGCTCGCTGTCCTCTGTGGGGTCTGTCCCCGCTGCTCACTGTCCTCTGTGGGGTCTGTCCCCCCGGCTCACTGTCCTCCGTGGGGTCTGTCCCCCCGGCTGGCTGTCCTCTGTGGGGTCTGTGCCCCCCAGCTCACTGTCCTCGGTGGGGTCTGTCCCCGCTGCTCACTGTCCTCTGTGCGGTCTGTCCCCCCGGCTTGCTGTCCTCCATGGGGTCTGTCTTGCCGGCTCGCTGTCCTCTGTGGGGTCTGTGACCCCAGCTTGCTGTCCTCTGTGGGGTCTGTCCCCGCTGCTCACTGTCCTCTGTGGGGTCTGTGCCCCCTGGCTCGCTGTCCTCTATGGGGTCTGTGCCCCCTGGCTCGCTGTCCTCTGTGGGGTCTGTCTCCCCGGCTCTCTGTCCTCTGTGGGGTCTGTGCCCCCTGACTCGCTGTCCTCTGTGGGGTCTGTGCCCCCTGGCTCGCTGTCCTCTGTGGGATCTGTCTCCCTGGCTCGCTGTCCTCCATGGTGTCTCTCCCCCCGGCTCGCTGTCCTCTGTGGGGTCTGTCCCCGCTGCTCACTGTTCTCCATGGGGTCTGTCTCCCCGGCTCTCTGTTCTCTGTAGGGTCTGTGTCCCCCGGCTCGCTGTCCTCCATGGGGTCTGTCCCCGCGGCTCGCTGTCCTCCGTGGGGTCTGTCCCCGCGGCTCGCTGTCCTCTGTGGGGTCTGTCCCCCTGGCTTGCTGTCCTCTGTGGGTTCTGTCCCCCTGGCTCACTGTCCTCTGTGGGGTCTGTCCCCCTGGCTCGCTGTCCTCCGTGGGGTCTGTGCCCCCCGGCTCACTGTCCTTGGTGGGGTCTATCCCCACTGCTCACTGTCCTCTGGGCAGTCTGACCCCCTGGCTTGCTATCCTCCATGGGGTCTGTCCCCCCGGCTCGCTGTCCTCTGTGTGGTCTGTGCCCCCCGGCTCGCTGTCCTCTGTGGGGTCTGTCCCCGCTCCTCACTGTCCTCCGTGGGGTCTGTGCCCTCCGGCTCGCTGTCCTCGGTGGGGTCTGTCCCGGCTGCTCACTGTCCTCTGTGCGGTCTGTCCCCCCGGCTTGCTGTCCTCCATGGGATCTGTGCCCCCAGCTCACTGTCCTCTGTGGGGTCTGTGACCCTGGCTCGCTGTCCTCTGTGGGGTCTGTGCCACTCGCTCGCTGTCCTCTGTGGGATCTGTGACCCCTGGCTCACTGTTCTCTGTGGGATCTGTCTCCCCGGCTCGCTGTCCTCCATGGTGTCTCTCCCCCCGGCTCGCTGTCCTCTGTGGGGTCTGTCCCAGCTGCTCACTGTCCTCCGTGGGGTCTGTCTCCCCGGCTCTCTGTCCTCTGTAGGGTCTGTGCCCCCCGGCTCACTGTCCTCCGTGGGGTCTGTCTCCCTGGCTCTCTGTCCTACATGGGTTCTGTCCCCACGGCTCGCTGTCCTCTGTGGGTTCTGTCCCCCTGGCTTGCTGTCCTCCGTGGGGTCTGTGGCCCCTGGCTCACTGTCCTTGGTGGGGTCTATCCACACTGCTCAATGTCCTCTGGGCAGTCTGACCCCCTGGCTTGCTATCCTCCATGGGGTCTGTCCCCCCGGCTCGCTGTCCTCTGTGTGGTCTGTGCCCCCCGGCTCGCTGTCCTCTGTGGGGTCTGTCCCCGCTCCTCACTGTCCTCCGTGGGGTCTGTGCCCCCCGGCTCGCTGTCCTCGGTGGGGTCTGTCCCGGCTGCTCACTGTCCTCTGTGCGGTCTGTCCCCCTGGCTTGCTGTCCTCCATGGGATCTGTGCCCCCAGCTCACTGTCCTCTGTGGGGTCTGTCCCCCTGGCTTGCTGTCCTCTGTGGGGTCTGTCCCCCTGGCTTGCTGTCCTCTGTGGGGTCTGTCCCCCTGGCTTGCTGTCCTCTGTGGGGTCTGTCCCCGCTGCTCACTGTCCTCTGTGGGGTCTGTGCCCCCAGCTGGCTGTCCTCGGTGGGGTCTGTCCCCGCTGCTCACTGTCCTCTGTGCGGTCTGTCCCCCCGGCTTGCTGTCCTCCATGGGATCTGTCTCCCCAGCTCACTGTCCTCTGTGGGGTCTGTCTCCCTGGCTCACTGTCCTACATGGGGTCTGTCCCCGTGGCTCGCTGTCCTCTGTGGGGTCTGTCCCCCTGGCTTGCTGTCCTCTGTGGGGTCTGTCCCCGTGGCTTGCTGTCCACTGTGGGGTCTGTCCCCCGGGCTTGCTGTCCTCTGTGGGGTCTGTCCCCGCTGCTCACTGTCCTCTGTGGGATCTGTCTCCCCAGCTCGCTGTCCTCTGTGGGGTCTGTGCTCCTCGCTCGCTGTCCTCTGTGGGGTCTGTGCCCCCTGGCTCACTGTCCTCTGTGGGGTCTGTCCCCGCTGCTCACTGTCCTCTGTGGGGTCTGTCCCCCTGGCTCGCTGTCCTCCGTGGGGTCTGTACCCCCGACTCGCTGTCCTCTGCGGGGTCTGTGCCCGACTCGCTGTCCTCGGTGGGGTCTATCCCTGCTGCTCACTGTCCTCTGTGGGGTCTGTGCCCGCTGCTCACTGTCCTCCGTGGGGTCCGTGCCCCCCGGCTCGCTGTCCTCTGTGGAGTCTCTGCCCCCTGGCTCGCTGTCCTCTGTGGGGTCTGTCTCCCTGGCTCGCTGTCCTCCGTGGGGTCTGTCCCCGCTGCTAATTGTCCTCCGTGGGGCCTGTGTCCCCTGGCTCGCTGTCCTCCATGGGGTCTGTCCACCTGGCTCGCTGTCCTCCGTGGGGTCTGTGCCCGCTGCTCGCTGTCCTCCATGGGGTCTGTCCCCCTGGCTCGCTGTCCTCCGTGGGGTCTTTCCCTGCTGCTTGCTGTCCTGCGTGGGGTCTGTCCCCTCGGCTCGCTGTCCTCCGCGGGGTCTGTCCCCGCTGCTCACTGTCCTCCGTGGGGTCTGTCCCCGCTGCTCGCTGTCCTCCGTGTGGTCTGTACCCCCGGCTCGCTGTCCTCCGTGGGGTCTGTCCCCGCTGCTTGCTGTCCTCCGTGGGGTCTCTTCCCCCGGCTCGCTGTCCTCCATGGGGTCTGTCCCCCGGTTTGCTGTCCTCTGTGGGGTCTGTCCCCGCTGCTCGCTGTCCTCCGTGTGGTCTGTCCCCCCGGCTCGCTGTCCTCCGTGGGGTCTGTCCCCCTTGCTCACTGTCCTCTGTGGAGTCTGTACCTCCAGCTTACTGTCCTCCGTGGCGTCTGTCCCCGCTGCTCATTGTCCTCCGTGGGGTCTGTCCCCCTGGCTCACTGTCCTCTGTGGAGTCTGTCCCCGCTGCTCGTTGTCCTCTGTGGGGTCTGTCTCCCTGGCTTGCTCACATTTTCTCTAATTTGGATGTATTACTTTTTCCAATCATCCTTTCCAGCTCTTGGTGCACAGTTTCGACCTGAAGTCTTCAGTCTTCTCAAAGTTCTTCAGTGTTTTCTTTTTTCTCTCACAGACTCTCCACCTTTCTGTTCTGAAATCCTGACAGATGAACGTGTTGTCTCCAGGCTCAAGGCTCAAGGCCGCTGAGCGATTCCCCTCTTCTCCTCTCTAAGATCTGTGGTCCTTCCTGGATTTGATATTCCAGGTTTTACCAATGTGACTTGGCGACATCATTTCTGTTTGTTGGCACTTTCATTTGGGTTTTGTTTTTAACTGGGAATTGTGTTTTTAATGTACAGGGTTGTCTTTCTGTGTTTCTATTTCCTTCCTTGGTAACTTTGACTTTTCTTTCTTTCTTTTTTTTTTTTTTGAGATGGAGTCTCCCTCTGTTGCCCAGGCTGGAATGCAGTGGTGCAATCTTGGCTCACTGCAGCCTCGACCTCCCAGGTTCAAACGATTCTCATGCCTCAGCCTCCCGAGTAGCTGGGATTAGAGGCATGTGCCACCATGCCCTGCTAATCTTTGTATTTTTAGTAGAGACAGGGTTTCGCCGTGTTGCCCAGGCTGGTCTGGAACTCCTGACCTCAGGTGATAGGCACGCCTCGGCTTCCCACAGTGCTGGGATTACAGGCGTGAGCCCCCGCGCCCGGCCAAAGAACCATGGTCCTGTTTCATAACTGTGAGTCTCTCGGGTCTCCCAGAGACATTCTTGTGTGACTCAAGCCCCAGGGTCCTGTGGCCCCGCATCCGCCTGGTGTCACATTTAGAGGACCAGGGAGGAGCCACCAAAGGCAGCGCAGAGCCACTGTATCATGGACGTTCACGACTGCAAGAACGAAGAATTGTTAACTATTTCTCAATGTCTCTCTTCTCAAAGAAATACATTTAATATCAACTTCATTTTCTGAAGGTTTTTTCCCAAAGAGACAACAAGGACTTTGAGCGAGGCATAACGTGGCGAAGCTTCCTAACCCTCCTCTGTAGAGACCGCCCAGCCCCTCAAGATCAACCCCCCACCCCGTAGCGGCCGTTGAGTGTCTTTCACTGCCGCTCTGTGACACCACGTCCCTCCCACCCCTGCCGCCCTCCCCACCTGACTGGCCAGGAGCAGCCGCAGCGTGTTCAGAACCTCCCAGCCACTGTCCACCCGGGCGGAGACCCCAGCCCCGCGTGGCTGGACGGGCTTCCCTGTCCTGTGGAAGGGGAGACACACAGGACCCTGTGAAGTGAGCTCTCGGGTCCTGCTCCTCTGGGAAGCTCAGAGAAGCCTCTCAGGGAGGATCTGGCAGGTTTCAGTGTTGCACCAGTGAGTAACGGCTCACGAGCTCTTCAGGCATTGCCTCAGTTTCTCACAGGCGCAGCCCTCTGCTCAGTGTGGCCTCTTTCTGACGTGGGTTTTCTTCTTGCACCTGGGGAGTCCTGGGTGGGCCTGTGTATTCGTGAACGGGTTGTGGGACCTGTCGCTGTGTGGGGGCTGTCGAGCACTCCCCAGAACGTAACAAATCCTCAGGGGAACTGATGGGCGGTCGCGCGGGCACTGGGTCCTCCACACCCTGGAGAGCCGTTTTCCGTTGCCACTCGGCTCTGGCCGGGGTCACATTCTGCAGCATGTCTGTTCATTCCCCTGGGCGGGGCCCTGCACCGACTCCAGCCCAGCCCCTGCTCCCTCTGCGGGGAACGTGGCCCCAGGCAGTGCTGGGCCATTGGCTGTCAGTGCTGGTCCTGGCGGCTGCATTCCCAGTCCCCTTGGTCTCTGTGACAGTGGGCGGGGCCGGCCCTCCCAGGATCTGACGGCGCAGGTCCTCCCCTTCTGTGTCCTGCAGATGGACACCCGCTCCGGGAGCCAGTGTTCCGTCACCCCAGAAGCCATACTCAATAATGAAAAGCTGGTCTTGCCGCCCCGCATCTCCAGAGTGAACGGCTGGTCGTTACCCCTGCACTACTTCCAGGTGGTGACCTGGGCTGTCTTCGTGGGCCTTTCCTCGGCCACCTTCGGGATCTTCATTCCCTTCCTGCCTCACGCGTGGAAATACATTGCCTACGTGGTATCCTTTTCATCGTGGCATGGTCTAAGCGGGAGGGGTTCCTGGAGGAACTTGCGATGGACCTGGCTGTGGGGTCTGGGCCATGGCTGCCCGGTGGCACCAGTCACCTGCCCTGGGCCAGACTATGTCCCCTGAGCCTGCAGGTGGGCCCAGTGGCCACTCATGCTCTGTGCAGCCCCTGCTTAGGGTCAGGACAGGACAGCGTTGGCTGAGGGGGCTCCGGAGAGGGAATCTGTCAGGAGGGACAGCAGCCCCCTGGCGTGGCGCAGGACCCGCCCTGCTGGCAGCCTTCCGCTAAAATCCCTGCGCAGCATTTTGCACATGGCCAGCACCTTTCTCCTTGCCCCTGGTGCCAAGGAGGAACAGCGCCATGCCCCGCAGGTCGGCAGCCTGCGTTTCCATGCCAAGCTTAGGCCACACTGCGAGGGCCTCTGGGCTGCCCTGCGGAGATGGCTGTCAACCCTGAACTCCTGGCTAGAAGGCGGTCCAGGGGCCAGGCAGGGTGACTGGAGGGCCCCGCACTCCACCCCTTCTATTTGGTTGCCATGGAGAGTCTGTGTTTGTCCCAGGGTGAGAGGAGGAGGGAGCCAGGATCTGAGGGCGGGAGCTGACGTCCCAGGCACGGGGAGCCCAGCTTCTCCTGGCTCCAGGGGACAAGGATCCTCTCCCCAGTGCCCCCGCAGCCAGGCTCTGAGCCCAGAGGGCCCAAGAAAGAGGCCCAGGGTCCCTGAGTGAGTCTGGGGTCCTCGAGAGAGTCTGGAGTCCCCGAGAGAGTCCGGAGGGGCCCTGAGGGAGTCTGAGGGGGGTTTCCCTGAGCTATTCTCGGGGAGAGGGTCCCTGAGTGAGCTGTCTGGGGTCTACAGGGAGCGGGTAGGTTGTGCAGCTCCCTCGCTCCTCCCCCTGCTCCTCCTGTCTGAGGCTGTCTTCTCTCCCAGTGCTCAGGGGTCTCTGGTATGAAAGAACCCAGGCTCCTCCAGGGCCTTTGGGGCTGCATCCGGCTGTGTTTATACCTGGGATGTCCCTCCTGTGGCCCTGCTCTGTCCCTCAAGCTGTAAAGGGTTTTGGGGTCACTGTGCTTGGCTGGGCTGACTGAGCCTCTGGGGGTGCGGTACATTCTGTGGGGGATTTGCCCTGTGTCCAACAGGGATGAACCAAAAGGGGCACGGGGGCAGCCTTCCCGGTCCCCGACTGGCACAGGGCTGTGTATGCAGGGCCAATGGGTAGCCTCATCTTCTCTAGGCCTGGGTAAGCAGGGCTGTGTGTGCAGGGCCGACGGGTGGACTCATCTCCTCTAGATCTGGGTGAGCAGGGCTGTGTGTGCAGGGCCATGTGTGAAGGGCCGGGTGTATAGGGCCGTGTGTGCAAGACTGGATGAGCAGGGCCATGTGAGCAGGGCCGGGCATGGGTGAGCTGGGCTCGGGTGAGCAGGGCTGGGTGTGCAGGGCTGGCTGTGCAGGGCTGGCTGTGCAGGGCTGGGTGTGCAGGCCCAGGTGAGCACGCCCAGGTGAGCAGGGCCAGGCGAACAGGGCTCAGTTGTGCAGGGCTGGGTGTGCAGGGCTGTGTGAGCAGGGCCAGGCCTGGGTGAGCTGGGCTCACGTGTGCAGGGCTGGGTGAGCAGGGCTGACCAGCGGCCACGCCTCTTCTGGGCCCTTGGGCCTCACGGGGACGCCTCGTGCCAGGCTGACCAGGCCCTGGGCCAGGTTCTTCCTTGACATGCCAGGTGACCGGGGGGATCTTCTCGTTCCACCTCGTCGTCCACCTGATCGCGTCCTGCATCGACCCGGCCGACTCCAATGTCAGACTCATGAAGAACTATTCTCAGCCCATGCCCCTCTTCGACAGATCAAAACATGCACACGTGATCCAGAATCAGTTCTGCCACCTGTGCAAGGTCACCGTGTGAGTGCCCGCCCTCGCCGAGGCCCCAAGGTGTCAGGGTCACCTCCAGGGTCCTGGTGCTCAGGTCACTGCTGGCCCCTCAGGGCCCGTGCCATGGCCGCAGCTGATGCTAGTGGAGCTTCCAGGGCCCGGCCCTGTGGCTGCGGGTGGATCGCCCCTCATCTCGCTGTGAACCGGGCGCGGTGCCGGGCCGCCCCAACTCCTCCGCAGGCAGGGCTGAGACTGGAGGGCTGGGTCTGTCACCTGCAGGTGACCCGCTGCTCCCCTGGAATGAAACACAGCAGCACTCAGGCATGTTTGGTCCTCAGTGGATTTTGTGCACGAGGTCCCTCCCCTGAGGGCCCAGGGCAAGAGAGCACTGTCTTTCTTGGGGAGTTTCAAGACAAGCCCCTAGGAAAGTGGGAGGTAAGGGTTCCAGTGTCTCCAGGGGCCCTGGAGGCCTCTGTGATGGCCTAGGGGTTGGCTACAGGGCTGTTGTCAGCTGCAAGGGAGGCCCTGTAGGCACAGGTGGGATCCAAGCCCCCGGCCTCAACTCCTGGAACCATGGGGCAGGCGCGGCCTCCTCCAGGGCCATGGCCCAGAGTGAGGCTGGTGTAGGACGGCTGGCGGGGGGTCTATGCTCAGGGCGGCCAAAGACACAGCTCCTCCTGCTCTGTGGCTACCTCTGCCCACAGCTGCCCTGCTTCTCCTCCTCCCCACAGGCCTCAACACCCTCCCCCAGCCTCCCATTCCCTGCTGGACGCCCTCTCCCCAGGCCGCACAGGGCTGGTTCCTCCGAGGCACCTGGCTTCCAGTGATGGACCTCTGGCCCTGCCCCAACCTGCGCACTTGGGGCCTGACAGGCGTTCCCCGATTCATCCCTCCAGGAACAAGAAAACCAAACACTGCATTTCCTGCAATAAGTGTGTGTCCGGCTTCGACCACCACTGCAAATGGATCAACAACTGCGTGGGAAGCCGGAATTATTGGTGAGGGGCACAGAGGGGATGGCCGGCACGGGCCAGGCTTGGGGGAATTTGGAAGGGAGGGGTCTGTGGGCAGGGGTCATCGTGTTGAAAGGGTGGAGGGTCCTCTTGGGGCCGCGTCCCTGTCCTGATGTGGTGGCGCTTGGTGCCTGCGTGCCCCGGCCTCCTGTCTGGCTCTGGGGCTGTGGTGCAGCCGTCCCTGGACAAGCTCATCCGCATAGAGTAAGTCCCTGGAGGCCCCCCGGGGGCACTTGCGGGGCCACGCTGGCTGAGGCCTCCTGACCACGCTGTCCTGGGCTGGGCTGCCTTCTCTCCACCCAGGCTGAGGCTCATCCAGCACAAGGGTGGGGCCACGGAAGGGCAGTGGGCACCCAGCGCAGATGGGCGAGAGGTGTTTCCCCTGAGCATGGTCGAGGCTCACAGATGAGAGGTGTTTCCCTGAGCACGGTGGAGGCTCATAGACGAGAGGTGTTTCCCCTGAGCACGGTGGAGATGCAAGGAAGAGAGATGTTTCCCTGAGCACGGTGGAGGCTTACAGATGAGAGGTGTTTCCACTGAGCATGGTGGAGGCTCACAGGCGAGAGGTCTTTCCCCTGAGCACGGTGGAGGCGCAAGGATGAGAGGTGTTTCCACTGAGGATGGTGGAGGTGCAAGAACGAGAGGTGTTTCCCCTGAGCACGGTGGAGGCTCACAGATGAGACGTGTTTCCCCTGAGCACGGTGGAGGCTCATAGACGAGAGGTGTTTCCCCTGAGCACGGTGGAGGCTCAAGAACGAGAGGTGTTTCCCCTGAGCATGGTGGAGGCTCAAGGACGAGAGGTGTTTCCCCTGAGCATGGTGGAGGCTCACAGGCGAGAGGTATTTCCCCTGAGCACGGTGGAGGCGCAAGGATGAGAGGTGTTTCCACTGAGGATGGTGGAGGTGCAAGAACGAGAGGTGTTTCCCCTGAGCACGGTGGAGACTCACAGATGAGACGTGTTTCCCCTGAGCACGGTGGAGGCTCAAGAACGAGAGGTTGTTTCCCCTGAGCACGGTGGAGGCTCATAGATGAGAGGTGTTTCCCCTGAGCACAGTGGAGGATCCAGGGACTCTCAAGGCCCCGTGTGCTGAGCCCCGGCTGTCTGCAGCACTGTATTGTGAAGATCACCAGGGAAAAGAACCACGCCTGCTCCCCAGCTACTCTGTGCTGACCTGAAAGAGGCCTTGGTGTGCGTGGGAGTGGGGACCAACGTTGCCTGGTGTCACAGGACGCACCGGGCGGTCCCTGCCCTGCCTCCCTGCCATCCCGTCTGGAGCACAGCATGTGTCCAGAGAGGCTGAGCAGCCCGGCAGGGACAGAGAGGTTGCATGACCGCACAGCGAGTCCAGAGGCTGCGTGAGATGGTAGGGGCCGGGGAGACCCACCGGCCTCCTCCCCTGGAGAAGAGCAGCTCCACGATGGCCAAGGTGGGGCCAGCTCCTCTGGCTCATGCTAGCCCCAGGTGCCACTTCCTTCTGGACTCATTCTGCTCTGGTGCCTCGAGCTGGCTCAATCTGGCGGGTCCTGGTGGGGAAGGTGAGGGGGTGAGGGCCCACAGGCAGGTGGCAAGGAGAGGGTCTGCCTTCCTCAGGAGGGGTGCTGGAGAGGGACCACGTGGGTGCCAAGTGTAGACACCGCCTGGGTGTGGGAAAGGGGCATCAGGAGAGCAGGGCCGGGGTCATGGGCGCCCTCAGCTCCAGGCAGCAGCCAACGCCGGCATCTGTGCCAACCTCGCTTCTGTCCCTTCATCCGCCAGAGGCGGAGAGAGCAACGGCATTGAGAGCAAGATGAGGAAAGTTGAGGAGCTGATGGCAGAGCCCCCGCGAGGGAGGCCGAGCTGATGGCGGAGCCCCCATGGGGAGGCCCAGCTGATGGCAGAGCCCCTGTGAGGGAGGCTGCATACTTCGTAGTGATAAGAGAGGAAGGGGGACGGAAAGAAGGCAGGCGGCGCTGGTGTCCTGGGAAGACTGTGAGCGCTGGCCTCGGACTCTGCAGGTTAAACACAGGCAGCAGGGGCAGGAGGCTGTGCTAACCAAGAGGAGAATGTCCCTGGGTGGCTGCGGGGAGAGGAGGCCCCGCGTGAATGGCTCTGCCCCATCCTGTGGGCTTTTGTCTCTGTGGTCTTAGAGACCCGCCTTCTTTCCTGGATGAAGAGGGGAGTCCTGTCCAGACAGTAGGATGAAGATGAGGGGTCTTTACTCCCCACAAGTGGGCTCAAGCCCAGGAGGACTGGGGGCAGGGTAGGGCGTGTCCGCTGCCTGGAGGGGCTGCTGCTTGGGAAACCTAAGCTGTGAGAGGGAAGGCAGTATGAGGGAGCAGCAGTCAGGGAGCCGCTCATGCCTGGAGCCACCCGTCACCCCTGGATTATCCAGAAGACTCTTGGAGGGAGGAGGAGCGCGGGGAAGGCAGCTGTGCCCTAACTGCCTCTTCGGAGGACTGCGGCATTCATGCTCTGGCCTCCAGTTGAAAATAGAAAAAGGGATTTAAACAAGCTTAGGTGAACATAATACAATGGAAAGGATTAAAGGAGGTTAAAGGATACTTTTAAAAAAATATCATCATGGCAGAAAGACCAAGGGAAGATGGTTTAGTCAAAGTATGTTCCAGGAACTGCTGCCCAGAATTGGTTTTTGTGGATGGATTATTCTCTGCATCTTTTGAGCAAAGACGAGAGACTGGGAGTGGATTTGGTCTCACGTCTACAGCATGGACATCGCTTTTGGCTCAGATTTGCACGAGACCCTTGGAGAAGGGGGGACTGCAGCCGAGGTGTGGCCGGGCTCCTCCAGGGCCTCCTCAGCCCGAGTTCCCTTTGGGTGCAGAGATCCAGGTCCCTGAGCCTGCAGGCCCTCCTGGGTGCCACGGCACTCTCGTGGCTCTCCCCTTCCCTGGCTTCAGTGCCTTTGCCCAGCATGGTGCCATGGAGACCCCAGCACAGACCATGCTCAGGGCCCCCCGAGTGGACCGAGCCCGCGTGCTCCTTGGCTGGTAGGGAGGCCTGTCTGCATCAGGTGGAGTCGGGAGGTGCGGGCAGAGGCCCCAGAGCTGTGACACTGGAGACGCCGTGTGACCCTCATGCTCCGCTGGTAGGCTTGGGCGAGTCGCACCGCATCTCTGACCTCACTTTCCCCACTCGTGAAAAGGGCTGGTTCCCCCTCCTCACAACCTCCTTGTTCCTTGTGGGGATTAAAGGCAATCACGTTTGCAAGAAGCGCTGCCTGAATTGTCGGGCGGTGTGCTGGTGGGAATGTCCCACGGCCACCCCTCTCCAGCGAGAGGCCTGGAGACCTGGGGGGGCGTCACAGGACGGCACAGAGACAGGAGCCTGAGCTTCCAGGCGCGGTCGGGAGCAGGGTTTGAGGCCAGCGTTGGGCGGTGGCCAGGCGCCCTCAAGTGGACGCCCACACTGACCTGTCACCTCCACCCTGCGGGCTCCAGATGCCCTGCGCGTCCCCACCCCTGCGCCCCCCACACCTGCCCTGCATGCCCCCGCCCCTGCCCCAGATGCCCTGCGTGTCCCTGCCCCTGCCTCTGCACCCCCCACCTGCCCTGCATGCCCCCGCCCCTGCCTCAGATGCCCTGCGTGTCCCTGCCCCTGCCTCCCCGCCCCCACACCTGTCCCACATGCCCCGCATGCCCCTGCCGCTGTGCCCCCCACGCCCGCCCCTGCCCACCCCGTGCACACCCCCTGCCCCCGTGCCCCCCACACCTGCCCCTGCGCCCCCACTGCTCCCACGTCCCCACCCCCATGCCTGCCTGTGTGTCTCCCGGCAGGTTCTTCTTCAGCACTGTGGCCTCGGCCACAGCTGGCATGCTCTGCCTGATCGCCATCCTGCTGTATGTCCTCGTCCAGTACCTCGTGAACCCCGGGGTGCTCCGCACGGACCCCAGGTATGAAGGTACGTGGCCGCCGCTCTCAAGGGGCCTCATCCTCGCCTCCAGCCGTCTTTCCGGGTGGTAGTATCGGGTCTGGGGTGGTCGGCCCCTCTTGTCCCAGGGAGAGGCCGGGGCAGGCAGCCCCATGCAGGCTCTGACCTGGCCCGACGGCAGCAGCCCAGTGTTCATACAGCCCAGCAGCCCCCAGCGCGCGGGAGGCAGGCTCGGGGAGGGCGCTGGCCACGCTGCTCTGTAGATGCTGCCAGGTCGTGTCAGGCGAGAGACAGTGGGGTCCACCTCTGCCCCTGCCCTCCGCAGTCATCCCTGTAGCACCTGTCACACCATCCTGTGGGGCCATGTAGTTGTGGGAGGGTGGGGGTGCCCATCCTGCAGGAGCAGCCCATGGGGAGGGAGAGTGGAGGCAGCGCTGAGGGTGCTGGGCTGTAGGCTGCGGTGCGCTGAGGCCCTTGGCCAAGTGGGCCCGGAGCCTGGGCCTCGGGAACCGATGCTCACACTGAGCCACTGGAGAGACGTGGCGGTGAGGACTGTGGGCTCCAGAGGCGAGTCCACGCCTAACCCAGATCCCGTGATGCCAGCATCCTCGGGAAATGGGCCTGTGGCTGTGACTTAATATCTGAGGTGGGAGGGTCGTGCTGGGATGTCCCAGGGGGCCCAAATCCAGCCACGAGTGTGCTTGTAAGAGAAAGGAGAGACACAGAGGGGAGGTGGCCTCGTGAGGATGGAGGCAGGGGTGGAGTCACACAGCCACAGCCCGGGGTCGCCGGGAGCCACAGGAGCTGGCAAAATTGGGAAGACCTCCCTGGACCCTGCGGAGGCAGCGTGCCCAACTGTCCTGCAGCTGGACGTCAGAGCCCTGCCTGCCTCAGACTGCAAGAGTCTGCTGGAGAAGCTGCCCCCACCCGCCACCATTTGATGTATTTATTGCAGCAGCGCCAGGACCCTGACCAGGAGGACCTGGGCCAGAGAAGCCCCTCGGGGTGCAGGACAAGACTGCCAGTCTCAGCCCCAGGCATGGCTGCACCCGCACTGCACACAGCCCGGGTGGCGAGACAGGGAGGACTTGCCTGCCCTTGTTCCAGAACATTCCGGAGCCAACACGGTGTGACATTTTTTTCAAGGATGAGCTTTGCCAGCTCCACGTGGAAGTCCCTAAAGCTCCTCCTTCCACTTCGAAGCGTGACTGATGCCTCCAGGGCCTCACAGCCGCTTCTGAAGCACTTCCTGAAAGCCAGCTCCACCCTGGCGAGGCCCTGACCTCAGCGGACCCAAGCCCAGGACGATGCCTGTTGCGTTCTTCTCCCCCAGTAGCAAGTCACCTTCCCCAGCAGCCTCCATGTTGTCTGGGCTCTCCCTGTGGGGGATGCCAGGGGAGAGTGAGAGAGCAGAGGTGGCCAAGATGGCATGTGCTGCCTTCTCTCCTGGAACATGCTGCTTCCACAGGGCAGTGCCAGTGTCTCCGTGTGAATTCATTGATTGTGGCCTGAGTGAATTCCTGGGTTTGCTGTTCCAGATGATTCTGCAGGGCTTCAAAACCAGCAAGGCCCTGAGCAAAGCTGCTCCTTCTTCTCATGGGCTGAACTCATCGTGATGTCACTGGCTAAGGGGGGCAGCATGGGGTCCAGCCCGGCCCAGGCACATGGAGCTGCGGTCCTGTCAGGCTGAGTGTGGTGTTTGCCTTCTAGGATGGCCCCGAGGCCACCAGTTCCAGAGAGGGTCTGTCACCGAAAGACATCCATGCTGAGTCACCCAAAGACATCCATGCTGAATCCATCCCTCTGCCATTCTGCCTTGCCCCACCCTCTGCCATTCTGCCTTGCCTGGCCCTCTGCCATTCTGCATTACGCCTGATTTTTGGAAGTGTGGTTTTGAGTGTTGGCAGCCCAGTGTCACAGAGGACCATATCTTAGAAATGACCCCAGGCGAGAGCTGTGGCTTTCCTGTTCTATTTGAAGGCAGCTGTTTTAGGGTGCAGCGGGTCCAGGGACACAGAGTGGGCCATGAGCAAGGGATGGGTGCTGGGGCCTGGCAGAGCTGGCAGGCTCTGTGACCCCGGCACTTAGGAAGGGGTGGGCACCGTGACCCTGGCACTAAATAAGGAAGGGATGGGTGCTGTGACCCTGGCACTTAGTGAGGAAGGGGTGGGCACTGTGACCCCGGCACTTAGTGAGGAAGGGGTGGGCACTGTGACCCCGGCACTTAGTGAGGAAGGGGTGGGCACTGTGACCCTGGCACTTAGTGAGGAAGGGGTGGGCACTGTGACCCCGGCACTTAGTAAGGAAGGGGTGGGCACTGTGACCCTGGCACTTAGTAAGGAAGGGGTGGGTGCTGGGGCCCTGGCACTTAGGAAAGGATGGGTGCTGGGGCCCGGCAGAGCCGGCAGGCACTGTGACCCCAGCACTTAGGAAGGGGTGGGTGCTGTGACCCCGGCACTTAGGAAGGGGTGGGCACTGTGACCCTGGCACTAAATAAGGAAGGGATGGGTGCTGTGACCCTGGCACTTAGTGAGGAAGGGGTGGGCACTGTGACCCCGGCACTTAGTGAGGAAGGGGTGGGCACTGTGACCCCGGCACTTAGTGAGGAAGGGGGGTGGGCGCTGTGACCCCGGCACTTAGGAAGGGGTGGGCGCTGTGACCCTGGCTCTTAGTGAGCAAGGGGTGGGCGCTGTGACCCCAGCACTTAGGAAGGGGTGGGCACTGTGACCCCGGCACTTAGTGACAATGTTGGAGCCTCACCTCCCAGATCCATAAAGCAGGGATCATGAAAACCAACCGAAGGCAGCAGGGCCTACGGGGCACTCAGGTAAGGGAGGCGTCCACCTGGGCAGGGAGACATCCCTCGCACTGGCTGTCCCCACACCGCCCCATCCCCAGCACGCTCTGGTCTGTGACGTCCACCTGATGTGGCACCCGTCAGCAGGTGCTGGACACAGTGGCTCTCCCTTGTCTCCCCAGATGTCAAGAATATGAACACGTGGCTGCTGTTCCTCCCCCTGTTCCCGGTGCAGGTGCAGACCCTGATAGTCGTGATCATCGGGATGCTCGTGCTCCTGCTGGACTTTCTTGGCTTGGTGCACCTGGGCCAGCTGCTCATCTTCCACATCTACCTGAGTATGTCCCCCACCCTAAGCCCCCGATCCCCCCAAGGCTGGGTGGTCAGAGCTGCTCATCTTACACCTCTACTTGAGTATGTCCCTAACCCTGAGCCCCCCACGCCTGGGGCCAGAGTCTTTGTCCCCCGTGTGCGCATGTGTTCAGGGTCAGCCTCTCCCAGAAGTGAGATCATGGACAAAAAGGGCAAATCACAGGAAGAAATTAAATCCATGAGGACCCAGCAGGCCCAGCAAGAAGCTGAACTCACGCCGAGACCTGCAGGAGTGGTGCCAGGTGCTTGAAGTAACAAGTTTAAAATGTTCAGAGACAATGGAATGGAATCTATTAGGCAAGAACAGGACATTATGAAATAAGGACAGGTGGACTTCCAAAAACACAAGTAGAAATTCTAACAATGAAATATATTACAGGCAGGTCACCCACTAACCAAACAACTGAAGCGAGAGCTGGTGGTCTTGCTTGGTCTCACAGTGGGCACAGCGGTAGGCGGTCAGTCATGTTGCTGAACGACGGAGGGTAAACTCCCCAGCCCCAAGGAAACCTGTGTTGGAAGTAACAACAACCTCCCTGCTCCTGGCACCAGCCGTTTTGGTCATGGTGGGCCAGCTGCAAAGCGTCTTCCATTCTCTGGGCAGTGGTGGCCCCGAGGCTGTGGCCTCTCAGGGGGTTTCTGTGGACACGGGCAGCAGAGTGTGTCCAGGCCAGCCCCCAAGAATGCCCTGCTCCTGACAGCTTGGCCAACCCCTGGTCAGGGCAGAGGGAGTTGGGTGGGTCAGGCTCTGGGCTCACCTCCATCTCCAGAGCATCCCCTGCCTGCAGTTGTGGCAAGAACGCCCAGCTCAGAATGAACACACCCCACCAAGAGCCTCCTTGTTCATAACCACAGGTTACCCTACAAACCACTGTCCCCACACAACCCTGGGGATGTTTTAAAACACACACCTCTAACGCATATCTTACAGTCACTGTTGTCTTGCCTGAGGGTTGAATTTTTTTTAATGAAAGTGCAATGAAAATCACTGGATTAAATCCTACGGACACAGAGCTGAATGTGCTGTTTTCAGAGTTTTAATTTTGGATGTCAAGGCCAGTGCCTGTATAGAATAGGTGCTTAGGATATGTTTACTGAATGGAATGGAACTAAAGCCTCAGGTGTAACTTCATGGAGACACGCGTCTGCCTTGTAGAATGTTACAGGCTGCCTGTTCCTGAAGCTGAAACCCTTAAGAGTGAGAAGTCATTTGGGCCTCCTTCAAAACTCTCCACCCTTCTTAGAATCAGGAATATTTTTAAAAGTACTTTCTAGAATTATCTAGCAATCTCTCTTATATTTAAATATTTTTGGGTTTACCACCTATGAAGGCTTTTCTGGAGTTTCACTCCACCCAGAATTCATCATCTCTCCTTATCAGGAAATCTCTCACCCTCAGATGCTTAGAGTCAGGGTGAGTCCCCCCACAACAGGAGAATCGGCCGAGGTTGGGCCGAGGCCACATGGTCTCATCCACATGTGCCGCAGATTAAGGGATGCTCAAACTGCCCAGTAATACAAAGTCTGCACTTGTCATTTTTTTCCAACTTTGTGTACAAAATGTTTCCCTGGGTTAAAATAGTCAATGCCCACTGTGTGCTGAGCACGTGGGGTGCTGCAGGCCCTTGTGCTGCAGAGAAGCTGGCCCTTGCCTCAGGCGGCAGAGCAGGGAAGTGCAGTGGGCCTGAAGCCATGCGGGGCTGGGAGGGATGACCTGGTCTGTCCTCTGAGCCAGGCACTGCACTTGGAATGGGCTTCTTGAACGCAAAGCCCAGACCAAGTGTGGCAGAAACATGAAAGGACAGGCAGTCGGCTGCTGTGGGCGGGAGGCAGGACGCCCAGGCCTGTCCCCACCCCCGTGACCCAGAGCCTCCCTGGGCAGTGACTCCAGGATGTCCAGGAGCTTCTTCTCTACCTCACAGGACTGGAGAGGCTGTGGTGAGACGCATCCTGTGAAGGCTGGGCTGGCCACAGGCAGCTCCCCAGGGCGCCCACCGCCATCTGCTCCTCACTGCAAATAGGCCTCTGTGGGCGGCCGCCCCAGTCTCCAGAAATAGTCACAAGACATCGGCTCTCACGGTGTTGGTGTTTAGGGAAAGAAGCATGGAGAGTTTGGCCCCTCCATGGAAGCTCGTGGCTGAAATAGGTGCAGAGCCCATTTTATTAACGTTTGTTAAGACGGCTCTTTTAGATAAACGGGTGTATCAGGTTTTGCTTTGCTTCCCTGGGCTGCTTTGCTGCCTGCAGGACAGGCCAGGTGGGTAGGGCTCTGGCCAGCCTGCTGAGCTGTCCTGTGGGCACTGTGCAGGGCTGCAGGGATGGTGACCTGTCTCAGCCCCATCAGAGGCTGTGCTGAGTGGCACTCACAGCACTCGTGTTCACCTCCTGGGCCTGGGGCTCTCAGCACGCTCAGGAGTGTGTGGTCCCAGGACCCGCTAGCCAGCACCTCGGGGTGGCCGCCCCACTGCGTGGTCCTCCGACTGTGGGGTCTCTGTGCATCCCCCAAGGTGCGCCCCACCCAGTGTCCAGATGTGGGGAACCCCACAGGCCATCTGGACCCTCAGACAGAGCGGCCCCTCCTGAGCTGGTCTCTTACCCCTGCCAGCGATCCCAGGGGATCTGGAGCAACCTCTCAAGCTGCATGGTATAGGGGACCCAGGTCTGTGAGAGACAGCTCATCTCTGACACCACTAACAATGCAGCTCAATGAGGCCGTGGCAGGCGGCAGGGGCGTGGGTCAGCACTGTTCCCCAGGTCGCAGCTGCAGACCCCTCCTGCTGACCATCAGCTAGCTGCAGAACTGGGCCCACAAGGCACCTGCACTCATCCTGACCTCACAGGGCCTGCATGGTGGGCGGAGCAGTTCTCCCTGTGCAGGGGCCGGATCAGTGGCACTGGCCACTCTGCTGAGCTGTCCTGTGGGCGCCGTGCAAAGCCGCAGGGCTGGTATCTTGTCCTGTTCCTCCTTTTCCCTTTCCAGAGGCCAAGAAGATGACCACCTTTGAGTATCTCATTAATAACCGCAAAGAAGAGAGTTCAAAACATCAAGCAGTGAGGAAAGATCCATACGTGCAAATGGACAAAGGAGTTCTCCAGGTACCACCTGTCTCTCTGCTCCATTTCTCCAGGCCTGGGACAATGTCTAAGGTCACTCGGTGGTTGGGACCTCTCAGCCATGCTCCTTTACTTCAGGGCCGATGCAGCCCATGGACTCTGCTGTGTGTGTGTCTGTGTGTGAGGCTCTGTGCATGGGTGTGTCTATGTGTCTTTGTGAACATAAACACCAGTCATGCACCACGGACTTCCTAGTGCAAAGATAGGAAAGGAACTGAGTCTCCTGGACATTTCTATACTGCACGATACATCTTCCAAAGTTGAAATGTGCTTTTTGCATCTTTTTTTTTGAGACAGAGTCTCGCTCTGTTGCCCAGGGTGGAGTGAAGTGGTGAAATCTCAGCTCATTGTAGCCTCCACCTCCTGGGTTCAAACAGTTTGCCTACCTCAGCCTCCCAAGTAGCTGGGATCACAGATGTATGCCACTACGCCCGACTAATTTTTGTATTTTTAGTAGAGATGTGGTTTTAACACGCCAGGCTGGTCTCAAACTTCTGGCCTCAGGTGATCCGCCCGCCTTGGCCTCCGAAAGTGCTGGGATTACAAGCATGAGTCACTGTACCTGGCCTGAAACATGATTTTTAACTTAAGGAAGTTAGTTCCCTTTCCGGTTAAGTGACATGAATTATTATAACTAACTCAAGAAGACATAGAAAGTCTAAATAGACATAGAACAGCCAAGAGACTAAACTACTAATTTAAAATCTCCCAGTGAAGAAAAATCCCAGGCCCTGTAGTCTTCATGCATGAATTCCAGCAAAGATTTAAAGAAAAAATACAATACAACCTACACACAGACTCTTTCAGAAAACAGAGAAGGAAGCAACACTTCCCAACTCATTCAGCAATGCCACTATCAACCTGACACCAAACCAGATATTCATAAGCCAGTACATTCAGGAAACACAGGCAGAGATCACTGATAAGACCTTGGGAAACCAAATCGAGCAGCACGGGGCAGGAATGTGCACTGTGGCCAAGTGATATCACTCCAGGGGTAAGCAGTGGCTTAAGGCCTAGGAATCAATTACTACAGCTCAGCACGTTAGTCCAATAGAGAACGGTAACCACGCAATCATGCCAATCAATGCAGAAAAGGGTTTGTTAACAGCAAGTTCCCATTCATGATTTTTAACAAATCTCAGTGACCTAGGAATGATAGGAAAGCACCCTGTGTACCTGACGTGACATTTACTGGTGAAAGGCTTGTGACCCTCTCTTGGAGGCTGGGCACAGGTGATGACGCCCTTTCCTCCTACTTCTGATATCACAGTCACATTCTGGCCAGCCCAGCATAGCAGGGAAAATGAAGGCACAGAGAATACAAAATAAAACTGTGTTTATTTGCAGACAATGAAACCTAAAAAGTATGTTTTAAGACCTAGTTAAGATAATTAAATCACTTAACAAGGATGTGGGGCACATATTAAAATACACGCTCGCACATCTCTATCCACCAGCAATGAAAAATCCGGGTTATATTTTTAAAACTTCCTTTCATAGTCTAATAAAAAAAGAATAAATTTGACAAACCTTATGCAAATATGTACACTGAAAGCTACACACCATGACTGAGAGAAGTCAGAGACGCTCTATTAAGTGAAAAGGTGTACAGCATTCATAGATTGGAAAAAAATACTATTAAAAGGGCAATTTTCCCCAAAACTTATCTACAGATTTACCACAATCCCTGCTGAACCCCAGCAGGCTTCTGTTTTAGCAGAAATGACAAGGTGGTCCTAAAATGTATATGCAAATTCAAAAGACCTAGGCTACTGTACTAGCCAAATGATTTTGAGAAAAAATAAAATTGGAGAACTTACACAACCAGACTTTAAATGTTACTATAAAGCTGTAGCACTAAAGACAGGTGGCGCTGACAGAGAGAGAGACATAAAGCTACAGTAATAAAAACAGTGTGGCACCGACAGAGACAGATATAGAGAAATGGACCAGAAGAAAGGTCCAAAGTTAAAGCTTTCATTTATGGTCAATTGACTTTAAATAATGGTACTAAAATCATTAAATAGGGAGAAATTATAGTTCAACAAGTGGTACTAGAACAATTGGATATCCACATGGAAAAGAAAAAAGAATGATTGAGTTCTTCATACCTGTACAAAGATTACCCAGGATCACTTCATTCGCCACGGAAGAATTAGCCCCAAATCCATCTGACACCTAAACTTAAAAGCTGAACATAGAACACTTCTAGAAACAAGCATAGAATGAAATCTCTGTGATCTTTAGTGAGACAAAGCTTGTCTTTGATCTGACACCAAAATCACTGCCTATTAAAGAAAAAAATCATAGTTTGGACTTTACCAAAATTGAAAATATTTGCTCTTCAAAAGTCACCATTAAGAAAATAAAAATACAGGCACACATGAGAGATACTGCAGGTTTGGTTTTAGAAAGCCACAATAAAGTAAACATGTCAGTAAAACAAGTCACATGAATTTCTGGTTTCCCAGTGCTTATAAAAGTTACGTTTACATGACGTGTGCAACAGCATTATGTCTAAAAACTATGTGTCTGAATTAAAAGTGCTTTATTGCTAAAAGCTGCTTACACAGACAATTGAAGTGAGCACACACTGCGGGGAAAATGGCGCCGACATACTTGCTTGACCAGGGTCACCACAAACCCTCAATTTGTGAAAAAACACAGTATCTGTGAAGTGCAGTAAAGCAATGCACAATAAAGCCAGGTGTTCATTCCTGTGCAAGCCACAGGCAAACAAAATATTTTCAAGTCTTAGACTGATGTCCAGAATACACAAAGACACAAAGAGCTTTCAAAGTGCAATTGTAAAAAAACAACAAACAAAAACATAAACAAACAGAAAACTCAGTTTTTCAAATGGGCAAGAGGGCTGGACACAATGGGAAGCACCTATAATCTCAGTGCTTTGGGAGGCCAAGCAAGAGGATTGCTTGAGGCCAGGAGTTCAAGACCAGCCTGAGCATCTCTACAAAAATAAATAAAAATACATACATACATATAAAAAATGGGCAAAAGATTTGAACAAACTCCTTACCAAGGTAGATGTAGATGTATAGATATATGGATGCCACATAAGCACATGGAAAAAAATGCTCAACATCATTCTACATCAGGCAGCTGCAAATAAAAACCACAATCAGATACTACCACACACCCAGGAGAATGCTTGTCATCAACAAGACAGACACCACCGAGGGTTGGTGAAGTTGTAGAGAAATTGCAAGTCTCCTGCGTTTTTTTGCTAGTGGGAGTTAAATGAGGGTGTAAAGTGCCACCACACTGGAAAGCAGTTTGGCATTTCTTTAAAAGATAAATGTCTAATACATGACCAGAATCCCACTCCCAGTTTCTCACCAGAGAGAAATGAAAACACGTGCACACGTAAGTGGTTCTGAGATCTGAACTCAGGACCCAAGAGAACTCCAGGTACCATTCCTCAAAACCCAGGAATAATAGACGTCACTTTTATGTAAGAATCAGCTGCATGTCAACAACTTCTTTTTTCATGTGACGAATTTTCTTTTGCCCCACAGCAAGGAGCTGGCGCCCTGGGCTCATCTGCACAGGGGTAAGTTGCAAGCTTCCTGCAGTAGCTTGGTCCTTCTGAAGAATAGCTGTATTCTTTTCTTAACTCAAATGACTTTGGAAAATAATTCACCTATGATGAGACATTTTGAAATCATGGGATGATGCAGTAGAAGATAAAATAGTTTTGTTTAATGTTGTTAAATTATACCAAATTATCTATCTCGATGTGCTTGTCTTACTTGCAGAAACTACATTCTTCACTCCCTTCTTCATAACTAACATCTAAACTAACACACAAGAGTAAGATCCGCTTATTTATTTCTACATCTCTCCATGAACATGTGGGTAGTTGTGAGTCTGAATGTATTTCTTATGATCTCTAATAGTGTTTCATAGACATTGTAAGCTCTGAGAGTCCAACCCATTCCTGAGTCAAGGTGCTAAGTAAATGGGAGCACTGGGGGTGCCTTGACCCGGAGCCCCACCCAACAGGGCCAGGGCTGGCTTCACAAACAGGGTTTCAAGAAGCGTCTTGGAGCTAGTGCTGTGCAGTGCGGTTCGTTTTATTTTGGAAGCTGAGAGTCAAAGGGCACGCGCATTTTCAGTCTTCACAGACTCTTTCTGATGACTTCTCAAAAGGGTGGAGCAGTTCACACTTCATTCAACGCTGTCGCTCTTCTCACTATGAGATACTAACAGTATGCTTAGTTTTATTCAAAGAAAATATATAATGTTTTAATATGCATTTCCTTACTACAATTACGACAACATTTTTTCATGTTTTGACCATTTTACAATTTTTGTTGTGTGAATTAATGTTCAACAGTTGGGCTATTTGGATTATCAAACGTAACAGCTCTTTGCTTATTAGGAACCCTATGGGATCTTTCACAGTGTAGAGGTTGTGGACTTTTCTGAAGCCAAATTTGTTAACATTTCCTTTTGTCTTGCTTTAAAAAGGCGTCGTTACTCTAAGGTTATACAAATATCCTCCAATACTCTTTGCTTATATAGTTATAACTTTTTTATTTTTATTTTTATTTTTTGAGATGGAATTTCACTCTGTCACCCAGGCTGGAGTGCAGTGGTGTGATCTCGGCTCACTGCAAGCTCCACTTCCCGGGTTCATGCCATTCTTCTGCCTCAGCCTCCCTAGTAGCTGGGACTACAGGCACCGGCCACCACACATGGCTAATTTTTTTGTTTGTTTGTTTTTTTAGTAGAGATGGGTTTCACCCTGTTAGCCAGGATGATCTCTATCTCCTGACCTCATGATCTGCCTGCCTTGGCCTCCCAAAGTGCTGGGATTACAGACGTGAGCCACCGCACCAGTCCTAGTTATAATTTTTATTTTTATTTTATTTCAATAGTTTTGGGGAACAAGGTGTTTGGTTGCATGGAAAAGATTTTTAGTGTTGATTTCTGAGATTTTGGTGCACCCACCACCCGAGCAATGTATACAGTACTCAATGTGTAGTCTTTTATCCATCACCCTCCTCCCACCACTCCCCCTGAGTCCCAAAAGCCCATTACATCATTCTTATGTCTTTGCATCCTCGTAGCTTAGCTCCCACTTATAAGTGAGATACTACGATGTTTGGTTTTTCATTCTTGAGTTACTTCACTTAGAATAATGGTCTGCAACTCCAGGTTGTGTGAGTGCTGATATTTCATTCCTTTTTATGGCTGAGTAGTATTCCATGGTATTTACATATATACAGATCACAAATATATATCACATTTTCTTTATCCACTGATTTGTTTTAGGCTGGTTTCATATTTTTGCAATTGCAAACTATGCTGCTATAAACATGTGGGTGCAAGTATCTTTTTCATAAGATAACTTCTTTTCTTCTGGGTAGATAGCCAGTAGTGGGATTGCTAGATCAGATGATAGTTCTACCTTTAAGTTCTTTACAGAATCTCCGTACTGTTTTTTATAGTAGTTGTACTAGTTTACATTCCCACTAGCAGTGTAAAAGTGTTCCTTTTCACCACATCCATGCCAACATCTGTTATTTCTTTATTTTTTAAATTATGGCCATTCTTCCAGGAGTAAGGTGGTATTGCATTGTGGATTTTATTTGCATTTCCCTGTTAATTAGTGATGTTCAGCATTTTTTCCTATGCTTGTTGGCCATTTGTATATCTTCTGTTGAGAACTGTCTCTTCATGAATGTTGCCCACTTTTTGATGGGATTGGTTTTGTTGTTTGTTTGTTTGTTTGTTTGAGACAGAGTCTCACTCTGTCACCCAGGCTGGAGTGCAGGGGCATGATCTTGGCTCGCTGAAGCCTCTGCCTCCTGGGTTGAAGCGATTATCCTGCATCAGGCTCCCAAGTACCTGGGATTACAGTCACCCACCAGCACGCCCAGCTAATTTTTGTGTCGTTAGTAGAGACAAGTTTCACCATGTTAGCCAGGCTGGTCTTGAACTCTTGACTTCAAGTGATCTGCCTGCCCCAGCCTCCGAAAGGACTGGGATTACAGACATGAGCCACCACACCCAATTGGATGATTTGTTTTTTCTTGCGGATTTGTTTGAGTTCCTTTTAGATTCTGGATACTAGTCCTTTGTCAGATGTACAGATTGTTAATATTTTCTTCCTTTCCGTGGGTTCTATTTAGTCTGCTTATTACTTCTTTTCCTGTGCAGAAGGTACTTATTTAAAATAAAGATAAATTAAGCTAAATTGCATCTATTTATCTTTGTTCTTGTTGCATTTGCTTTTGGATTCTTCGTCATGAGCTCTTTGCCGAAGTCAATGCCTACAAAAGTTTTTCTGATGATATCTTGTAGATTTTGCTTTCAGGTCTTAAGTCTTTTATCCATCCTCAGCTGATGTTTGTAAAAGGTGTGAGGAGAGGATCCAGCTTCATTCTTCACATGTGGCTTGTGAATTATCCCAGCACCTTGTATTGAATAGGATGTCCTTTCCCCACTTGATGTCTTTTGTTTGTTGAAGATCGATTGGCAGTAAGTATTTGCCTTTATTTATGGGTTCTCTATTCTGTTCCATTGATCTACACACCTATTTCCATATTAGTTCCCTGCTGTTTTGGTAACTCTAGATTTGTAGTATAGTTTGAATTCAGGTAATGTGATGCCTCCAGATTTGTTCTTTTTGATTAGTCTTCCTTGGCTATCTGGGGTCTTTTTTGGTTCCATATGAATTTTAGGATTGTTTTTTCTAGTTCTGTGAAGAAAGATGATTCTGCTTTGAGGGGAATTGCATTGAATTTGTGGATTGCTTTGGCAGTATGGTCATTTTCACAATAGTAATTCTACCCATCTATGAGCCTGGGATGTGTTTCCATTTATTTGCGTTTTCTATGTTCACTTTCAGCAGGTTTTTGTAGTTTCCATGTAGAGATATTTCACCTTTTGTGTTAGGTATATTCCTAAGTTGTTTTTTTTTCTTTCACCTGTTGCAAAAGGGGTTGACTTATTCATTTGATTCGCAGCTTGGTCATTGTTGGCACATAGCAATGCTACTGATTTGTGTCCATTGATTTTGTATCCTGAAACTTTACTGAATTCATTTATCAGATTTAGAAGCTTTCTGGATGAGTATTTAGAGTTTTCTAGGTATACAACCATATCATCAGTGAACAGGGACAATTTGACTTCCTGTTTACCAATTTGGATGCTTTTTCTTTCTCTTCTCTGATTGCTCTGGCTAGATCTTCCAGTACTGTGTCGAAAGGAAGTGGTGAAAGTGGGCATCCTTGTCTTATTCCAGTTCTGAGGGGCAATGTTTTCAACTTTTCCCCATTCAGTATAATGTTGGCTGTGGGTTTGTCATAGAGGGCTTTTATTACCTTGAGGTATGTCCCTTCTGTGCTGATTTTGATGAGTGTTCTATTTATAAAGGGATGGCAGAGTTTGTCAGATGCTTTTTCTGCATCTATTGAGATCTCTGATTTTTTGTTTTTAATTCTGTTTATGTGAGGTATCACATTTATTGACTTGCATATATTAAACCATTCCTGCATACGTGGTATGAAACCCACTTGACCATGGTGTTATTATCTTTTTGCTATGCTGTTTGATTCGGTTCGCTAGTATTTTGTTGAGGATTTTTGCATCTATATTCATGAGGGATATTAGTCTGTAGTTTTCTCTTTTTGCTATGTCCTTTCATGGTTTGGGTATTAAGGTGATACTGGCTTCATGGAATGATTTATGGACGATTCCCTCTTTATCTTTTGTAATAGTTTCCATAAGATTGGTACCAGTCCTTCTTTGGATGCCTGATAGAATTCAGCTGTGAATACATCCTGGATATTTTAGTTGGCAATTTTTTTATTACTGTTTCAATCTCGCTACTTGTTATTAGTCTGTTAAGAGTTTCTATTTCTTCCTGATTTAATCTAGGTGGGTTGTATATTTCCAGGAAGTTATCCATCTCCTCTGGATTTTCTAGTTTGTGTGCATAACGGTGTTCATATTGGCCTTAAATGATCTTTTGTATTCCTGTGGTATCAGTTGTGCTATCTCTCATTTCATTTCTAATTGAGCTTATTTGGATCTTTTCTCTTCTTTTCTTGCTTAATGTTGCTAATGGTCAATCAATTTTGTTTGTGTTTTCAGAAAACTGGCTTTTTGATTTATCTTTTGTGGTTTTTTTGTTTTTTTGTTTGAATTTCATTTAGTTCTGCTCTGATGTTCGTTATTACTTTTCTTCTGTTGGGTTTGGGTTTGATTCGTTCTTGTTTCTCTGGTTACTTCAGGTGTGACTTTAGATTGTCTGTTTGTGCTCTTTCAGTCTTTTTGATGTGGCCATTTAATGCTGTGAACATTCCTTTAAACATCACTTTTGCTGTGTCCTTGAGGTTTTGATAAGTCATGCCACAGTTATTCAGTTTGAAGAACTTTTAAATTTCCCTCTGGATTTCATTGTCGACCCAAAGATCATTCAGAAGCAGTTATTTAATTTCTACATATTTGTGTAATTTCATGGGTTCCTTTTGGAGTTAATTATCAATTTATTCCCCTGTGGTCTGAAAAGATACTTGATGTAATTCTGACTTTCTTAAATTCATTGAAACTTGTTTTGTGGCCTATTATATGATGTATCTTGGAGAATTTTCCATGTACTGATGAAAAGAATGTACATTCTGCAGTTGTTGGGTAGAGTGTTCTGTAAATATCTGTCAAGTCCTTTTGTTCTAGGATATAGTTTAAGGTCATTGTTTCTTTGTTGCCTTTCTGTCTTGATGACCTGTCTAGTGCTATCAGTGCAGTATTGTGTCCGTCACTATAATTGTGTTTTCATCAGTCTCATTTCTTATGTCCAGTAAGAATTGTTTTATAAATTTGGCAGGTCCCCCGTCCGGGAGGGAGGTGGGGGGTCAGCCCCCACCCGGCCGGCCGCCCCGTCCAGGAGGGAGGTGGGGGGCACCTCCACCCGGCCAGCCGCCCCGTCCAGGAGGGAGGTGGGGGGCACCTCCACCCGGCCAGCTGCCGCATCTGGGAGGTGGGGGGTGCCTCCGCCCGGCCGCCCCTTCTGGGAAGTGAGGAGCCCCTCTGCCCGGCCACCACCCCGTCTGGAAGGTGTACCCAACAGCTCACTGAGAACGGGCCATGATGACAATGGCGGTTTTGTGGAATAGAAAAGGGGGAAAGGTGGGGAAAAGATTGAGAAATCGGATGGTTGCTGTGTCTGTGTAGAAAGAAGTAGACATGGGAGACTTTTCATTTTGTTCTGTACTAAGAAAAATTCTGCCTTGGGATCCTGTTGATCTATGACCTTACCCCCAACCCTGTGCTCTCTGAAACATGTGCTGTGTCCACTCAGGGTTAAATGGATTAAGGGCGGTGCAAGATGTGCTTTGTTAAACAGATGCTTGAAGGCAGCATGCTCATTAAGAGTCATCACCACTCCCTAATCTCAAGTACCCAGGGACACAAACACTGGGGAAGGCCGCTGGGTCCTCTGCCTAGGAAAGCCAGAGACCTTTGTTCACTTGTTTTTCTGTTGACCTTCCCTCCACTATTGTCCTATGACCCTGCCAAATCCCCCTCTGTGAGAAACACCCAAGAATGATCAATAAAAAAAAAAAAATAAAGAATAAAAAAAAATAAATTTGGCAGGTCCCTCATTACGTGCATATATAGTTAGGATAGTGATATTTTTCCTTTTGGAGTGATTCTTTTATCATCGTATAATGTTGCTCTTTGTCTTTCTTAACTGTTGTGGCTTTAAAGTCTGTTGAGTCTGGTATCAGAATAGTTCCTCCTGCCTGCTGTTGGTTTCCATTTGTATGGAATATCTTTTCTGCCACTTTACCTTAAGTTTATTTCAGTCCTTATACATTAGGTGTGTCTCTTGAAGACAGCAGATACTTGGTTGGTGGATTTTTCTCCATTCTTCCACTCTGTATTTTTTAGAAGGTGCTTATAGGCCATTTACATTCAGTGTTAGCATTTGGATGTGAGGTACTGTTTTATTGATCATGCTAGTTGTTGCCTGAATACCTTGGTTTTTTAATTTGTGTTACTGTTTTCTCAGTCCTGTAAGATTTATGCTTTAAGGAGGTTCTGTTTTGGTGTATTTTGAGGTTTTGTTTTAAGATTTGGAACTCCTTTTAGTATTTCTTGTAGGACTGACTTATTAGTGGCTAGTTCTCTCAGCATTTGTTGTTCTGAAACAGACATTTTCTCTACTTCATTTAGGAAACATAGTTTTGCTGAATACAAAATTATTGGCTGTTAATTATTTTGCTTGGAGAGGCTAGAGATAGGACCCCAATCCCTTCTAGTGTGTAGAGTTTCTGCTGAGAAATCTGCTGCTAATATGAGAGGTTTTCCTTTAGAGGTTACCTGATGTTTTGCCTCCCAGCTCTTAAGATTCTTTGATTTGTGTCGACTGTAGATAACCTGATGACCATGTGCCTCGGTGATGATCTTTTTGCAATGAATTTCCCAGGCATTCTTTGAGCTTCTTGTCTTTGGATGTCTAGAACTCTAGCAAGGCCAGGGAAGGTTTCCTTGATCATTTCCTCAAATAAGTTTTCCAAACTTGTGGATTTGTCTGCTTTGTCAGGAACACTATTTTTAGGTTTGGCTGTTTAACATAATCCCTAAGTTCCTGGAGGCTTTGTTCTTTTTTAAAATTATTTTTTTCCTCTTTGTCTGGCTGGGTTATTTAAAAAGCCTTGTTTTTGAGTTCTGAAGTTCTTTGTTCTACTTGTTAGATCCTGCTGTTGAAAGTTTCTGGTGCATTTTCCATTTCTCTTAGTGTGTCTTTTGTTCCAGAAGTTGTGACTGTGTTTTCTTTAGGATCTCTATTTCCCTGGAGCATTTTTCATCTATATCCTGTATTGATTTTTAAATTTCTTTAAGTTGGTTATCACCTGTCTTTGGTATCTCCTTGAGTAGTTTAATAATCAACCTTCTGAATTCTTTCCAGCAATTCTGATTTTCTTCTTGGTTTGGATCTCTCACTGGGGAGCTAGTGTGGTCTTTTGAGGGTGGAATAGAGCCCTGTTTCATGATATTACCAGGATTACTCGTCTGATTCCTTCTCATGTGTGTAGATTATTTCAGTGGGAAAATCTGGAACTCAAGGCTGCTGGTCAGATTCTTTAGTCCCATGGGGTGGTCCCTGATTTGTGCACTGCCCCTTCCCCTAGAGATGGAGCTTCCTGCAAACCAGACAGCAGTGATTGCTATTGTTCTTCTGGGTCTCTCCACCCAGCAGGGCTACCAGGCTGGTGCTGGGGAATGTCTGCACAGAGTCCTGTGATGTGATCCGTCCTCAGGTCTCCCAGCTGTGGATGCGAGCACCTGCTCCGGTGGAGGTGACAGGGGACCGAAGTGGACTCTGTGGAGGTCCTCGGCGGCCGATAGGTTTACTGTGCTGACTTTCTCAGAGGCTGGTTATTCTAGCAGTGAAGTTGTCACATGGGCAGACTCAGGACCTCTGGTTATCCAGGATGTTGCAGGAGGTGGAATAAGCTCTTGTTTTCTCCTTCCTAGGAGCAGGGTTGTTCTGTCATGAGTTGCTGTCATGTCCTGAGCTGACTGGCCTCCAGCCAGGAGGTGGCACTTTTGAGACAGCAGCGGAGTTGTCACCTGTTCTGTGGAATTTGCAGTGGCCTATGGCATCTTCCAAAGGCCCTGTGACTTTTTGTTTTTTCTGGTATGCTGCTGTGGTGGTTCCTGGAGTGAAAGGCCACAGTATGAGTCTCCACATGCTGTTCTGTCTCTCCATGTGGGAGCTGCATATCAGACCTGTCTCCCATCTGCCATCACTCTTCAGAACCTGTCTTAGGCACTGGTGTAGGGCAGGTCTCACACGGTGGGTGGAGGGACTGCTTTGCATTGTCCCAGTGGCAAAGAGTCATGGTCCTTTACACGAGAAGCTTCTTACGTGTGCCACTGCACATAACGCAGGAGTACTTAGACAACCTCCCAGGAGCTGCTGGTCTACAAGTTTCTGAGACATGTGTGCCCCACAGCAGTGGTGCTGACACGACGCGGTGCAGCCTCCAGTGCCACCCTGAGTCCCCCTACAAAGCTGAGATGAGTTTCTCTCCTCCTTTCTGTCCCACCAGAGTCAAAGCCAAGAGCTCCCTGCTGATTCACAAGCACTTATGTCACTTCTGCACTTCAGTAAACCAGGATGGGGATTCGACGGCACGGGTAAGTTGCAGTCACCAGCGATGCACCCCGAGGTCAGGGCCGTGTGCAGAATATGTGGTCTCGGGTCCCCCAAGCTGAGGTTAAGGCAGTATTCAGAATGGAAGCACTCTGTGTCCAATGGTGCTGCTCACATGGGAATGATGGTGGGTGGAGCACAGAAGAGAGATGGAGTGAGAGGCAGGAATGCTTCCCAGCTGTGGGTGACAGAGACAGATGGGTACCAAAGTGGGAGCCCCCAGCACTGGAGCACCACCATCAGGCTGTGGTGATGGGCAGATGCCCAAGGCAGGCTCTGAAGTGCCCAGAACATGCAGCGAGGGACAGTGCTGTGATAAAGGATGGAGGGAAATTGGTAGCCATGGCAGAAGCCATGTGCTGTTTTTTTTTTTTTTTTAAATAAAATGCTTAGGAAAGACTGTGTGTAGGAGACAGATGGGAATAGACGATGTATGTGTGGTCACACGTACAAGTGTATGGTGTGTGGTTGCACATATGTGGGGGGGTGTGGTTATGTGTGTGGTTTTGTGTGTGGTGTGTGGTCACGTGTATATGTGTGTGAATGGTGTGTGTTTGTTACATGGACTCTGTGTCCATCCTTCACAGGAAAAGACCAGCGCGGCTGCCGGCTTTAGGGCCACATATTTCTGTTCCTGCTCTGGGGTCAGCTTCCAGTGGTTTCTGCTGGGTCATTATTTATTTTTTAGAGATGAGATCTCACTCCATCACCCAACATGGATTGCAGTGGTGGGATAATGGCTCACTGCAGCCTCCAACTCCTGGGCTCAAGCAATCTTCCCACCTTAGCCTCCTGAGTAGCTGAAAGTACAAGCGTATGCCACCACGCCCAGCCAATTTATTTTTTATTTCTTAAGAGATGGGATCTCACTCTATTGTCCAGGCTTGTTTGGAACTTCTCATCTCAAGTGATTCCTTGACCTCAGCCTCTAATAGCACAGGGATTAGAGGCGTGAGCCACCACGCCAGGCCGCAGGCTGGTCCTTTTGAGCAGGTTTTGTCATGGGGCCAGCTTCTGGAGGTTACAGGTGTGTTCTCCTTCCCTGTGGGGGCAGGGCCACCTCACCACACTTCCCCAGGATTTCAGGGAACAGGCTCCTGTGACTTGGAAATAAAAAGGGATCAGCCCAGCCTGGAGGAACAGCGACGCTGGTGTCCAAGCCTTGCCCCTTGCCTGCACTTCCAGCAAAGATTTGGAGACACACTCGGTGGAAATCGATTGAGCCCCCAGCCCACCCTGGCCCAGACTCAGCCACCAAAGTTCCCTCACTGCATGTGGCACACGGGCTCATGGGAGTTTCTCTGCCTGTGTTTGTCCACGTTGACACCTTCTGCACAGGTGCATTTGTGAGTCCCCTCAGTGTCTCTGCAGCTTCTATGTGTGGATGAATAGTGAAGCCACATGAGGCCTGGTCTGAAGCAGAGAAGATCCGCTCAGCATCATGTTGAATCCCAAGCCCGCGTCTCCGTGGGCTCCAGGACAATCCTATGAAAGTGACACCGTCGTTCATTGTTCACATCGGGGAGGAGAATTCCATCTGAAAATGCACGTGACTTCACTGACACCCGCGTCCGTGGCACAGCCCTGTGCTGAGCTCCACAGACCTACAGTCCATCGCCTCCCCTTGGAGTGGGCCCACAGCTGCAGACAGTGTTGTCCAAAGAAGATGCTCTGAGTAGATGAATGGAACAAACTGGAAACTCCAGAAACAAGCCCTTCTTTACATTTCTAATGTTTGGCTTAAATGGAAGGTGCCAAGGTGAGGCAATGGGGAGACATGGAAGGGTTTGTAATGAGTGTGGTGCAGCAGCTGCATAACCACATGCCAAACACACACACACAGCTCAGTCCCACCTAGAAAGCAGTGCACAATCCATCAGAGACCTCATAGTAAGAGGGGGAAACTTTAACATTCCTACAAAAATCCTAGAATATCTCCGGGGTCTTGTGTTAGGCAAACTCTTCTTTGATAGATACCAAAAACACTATTTCACAAAACGGATACATTTGACTTTAAGCATTTAAAATTATTTCTTCCATTGTCACCAGTAAAAGAATGAAAATATAAGCCACAGGCTGAAATAAAATATTTACAAGTCATATGCTTTCATCCAGAATATTTAAAGAACCATGAAAACTCAAAAATACACAACAGCTCAGTTTTTAAATGGGTGAAAGATTGAACACGTTCTTCACCAAGGCAACAATATCCATGAGAAATAAAGCCCACAAAATGGTGCTCAACATCATTTGCCACCAGGGAACCACCAGCTAAAATCACAATAAGATACTGCTGCACCCCATTAGAGTAGCTGCAAGAAAGCAGATTAAGGATACCATCCAGGCACAAAGCTTCACACCTGAAATCCCAGAGCTTTGGGTGGCCCACAAGGCAGGAGGATCCCTTGAGGCCAGGAGTTTGAGACCACTATGGGCAACATAGCAAGACCCTGCCTCTAAAAAATATAAATAAAAAAAGGTGATCAATATCAAGTGTTGGTGAAGAGTTTGGAGAACTGGAAGTCTCATCCATTGCTCATGGGGATGAAAGATGATGCCACATTGGCGAGCAGTTTGGCAAAGCTTCAGATGCTGAGCATGTACTTATCATATGAGCCAGCACTCCCACTCCCAGGTTCTTACCCAAGAGCACTGAGAACAACATGTGTGTGCACACATAGCAGGTGTTTTTCTTTGCTAGAGCTTCCACAAGCAGGAACCATGGATGGGGTGTTGCAACAAGAAATGTATTTTCTCACATATCTGCAGGCTGGAAGTCCCAGAGCACGGTGTCTGCAGGGTTGGTTTCTCCCAAGGCCTCTCTCCTTGCCTTGTAGATGGCCACCTGTTCTCTGTGTCCTCTCACAGTCTTCCCTCTGTCTGTGTCTTTGTTATAATCTCCCCTTCATAAAAGGACACCAGTCACTCTGGATTAGGGCTCACTCTAATAGCCTCATCTAACATCCATTACCTCTTTCAAGACCCTGTCTCCACATATAGTCACATTCTGAGGTACTGGGTGTCAGGATGTCAACCTATGAATTTGGAGGAGGATATAGTTCAGCCCATAATACAAGGATTGGGAGGAAGTGTGCTGTGTCACCACTGAGATCCTATTCCATGATCCAGGCAACCTTGATGTACCATTACTCAGAAGTGACTGTCAGAACTGACTAGAAATGGACTTGAATTTTTTTTAAGAATAAGTTCAATGTCAATTCATTCTATGAATTTTGCTTCACTTCCCCACAGGAAGGGGATGAAGACCCGTGTCCATCTGCACTTGGGTGAGTTTGTAAGTTTAATGGGATTATTTTATCTATTAGTAACATAGTTATACACTCGTCTCATCTCGAATTACTTAGGAAAATATGTCATCCATTTAATGTCTTCAAATATCCTGAAGTGCCAGGAGGTGGCACTTTCGAGAGAGCAGCAAAACTGTCACCTGTCCTGTGGAATCACAGCAGCCTGCGGCTTCTTTTAAAGGCTCTGTGATTTGTTTTTTTCCTGGTACGCTCCTTGGTGGTTCCTGCAGCAAAAGTCCACAGTATGAGTGTCCACATGCTGTTCTCTGTCCTGGTGGGAGCTGCACATCAGCCCTGTCTCCTGTCTGCCGTGAGCCCTGCACGCTTTCACTTGATGCTTCCCAAAACAGTTGTGTTGTGTAGTGGAGAAGAGAAGGGTAGTTCACACCCCTTCAGCAGCAAAGAAGCAGTCCTGAATATTGAATCTTTGCAGTTTCCATCCTAAATGGCTTGGCTGAGCCGCCATCTCCTTGTTTCAGTGCTGGGCACCACAGGCCTGCAGCTTCTTAGGCTCTGGGAGGAGGCGCAGTGGAAATTGAGGTCGCCGTGAGGTCGCTCCAATGTCGCCGTACACTGTTGCTGCCTGGCTACCTTCCCATCTCTGTCATCATGGAGAGTGTGGGCAGGGGACCCCTGGCCCTCTTCCTTCTTCTCCTGCCCCGGGGGGAGCAGCAGAGAGCCAAGGGGCTGGAGGAGGGTAAAGACGTTATTCATATTTCCATTTGCTTCCTTTACATTTTGATTTTTCAGGCCAGTTGGGATTTATTGTTGTATTCAGGGAGTTAAGAGATAAGGTTATTTTATCCCAACGAAGTAACTGTTGGTTTTCACCTCATGTATTAAATATTGCACCTTTCCCCATCAAATTGAAAGGCCCCTTTTCTGGTTCACTGTGTTTCCCTAAACACAGGCCCAGGTCTGTGTCTGTCTCATGGGTCTGTGTCCTGGAGGTGCATCATCTGTTTAAATTACAGAACCTTATTTAGCTACTATATTTTAATATCCTGCAGGCAAATAAGCCTCTAAAGATTTTTTCATTTTTCATTTACTTTTGACAATTCTTACACATTTATTTTTCCATATGAGCTTTCAGATGACTTTGTCCAGTTCCTAGACACATGAAATTCAAGTTCCAGTTACATTAGTTACACACTTTCCATTGGGAGGGGACCACATCACAGCCCCCACAGAGAGGCAGCAAAGGTCCTGGAAGTCAGAGTCTCCACCATGGCCAGAAAGTGGAGTGCAGCCCCCCTTCCCCAGGTGTGCACCAGCCCCACCCCTCACAGACACCGGCAGGGGCTCAGCCCACAGCTTCCTGGGCAGAAGAGACAGGGCCTGTGTCCCTGGAAATGTCACCATCCCTTACTCCACAGCCAGAGGGCAAAGGGCTTCTTAGATCAGGACAAGGCCCTGTTGGTAATGATCACAACTGCAGAGAATTCATGCAGACTTTTGCTTAGTTCAGCAGTCAAGGTGTATGGCTTACTGGGAAAAGTTCATTCCCTTTCAAACGACCCATTAAGTCTTCTATGAAATTGCTTTTCTTAGAAGGGTAATTGGCAAAACTACTGTGTAGATCCGAAGCACTTGAATATCACTTCAAACTATCATGTAACTATGGTCTTTTAAGTAAAATACAAAAATGCTTTCTCTGTGATGCATTTTGGGCAAGATTAATAGAAATGTAACTATAACCGGAATTACAAACTTTCTCTCTAAAACCAAAACAAAAGGAAAAACTAAAGTTGTGTAATGATTGCCAAATCGACATGTATATGTTGTAGAAAATTAGGGAATGGCAAGGATTTCCAGGTAAAAATGAAGGTCACCTGACCCACCTGACACCCCTGTGACATGTATGATGTGCTGTTTTATAAAATTACAGTCACCTTGTAGCCCAGTGTAGACCAGCTACACTAACGGAGGACACTACCTGTCTAAGGCACTGGTCTAGGGTGGGGCTCGCAGACTTCAGGGAGGTACTGCTTTACAGAATCCAAGTGGGAAGGAGTCCTGGTCCTTTACACGAGAAGCTCCTTCTGTTTCCCACTGTGCAGTAACCCGGGAGCACTCACACAACCTCCCGGGAGCTGCTGGTCTCCAGTTTCTGAGACACATGGGCCCCACTGCAGTGGTGCTTACAGGACACACTGTAGCCTCCAGTGCCATCCTGAGCGCCCTACAAAACTGTGGTGTGTTTCTTTCCTTCTGTTTGCCCCACCAGAGCCAAGGCCAGGAACTCCCGGCTGATTTGCAGGCGCCTGTGTCAGTTCTCCACTCGTGTACACCCAGACGGGGGCTCGATGGCACAGGTAAGTTGCAATCACTGGCGCTGTCCCCGAGGACAGGGCCATGTGCAGAATGTGTGGTCTGAGGTCCCCCAAGCTGAGGTTAAGGTAGTATTCAAAAGGGAAGCACTCTGTGTCCAAGGGTGCTGCTCACATGGGAATGATGGTGGGTGGAGCACAGAAGAGAGATGGAGTGAGAGGCAGGAATGCTTCCCAGCTGTGGGTGAGAGAGACAGACGGGTACCAAAGTGGGAGCCCTCAGCACTGCAGTGCCACCATCAGGCTGCGGTGATGGGCAGATGCCCAGGGCAGGCTCTGAAGTGCCCAGAACATGCAGTGAGGGACAGTGCCGTGATAAAGGATGGAGGGAAATTGGTAGCCATGGCAGAAGCTGTGTGCTGTGGTTTTAAAATAAAATGCTTAGGAAAGACTGTGTGTAGGAGACAGATGGGAATAGAGATGTGTTTGTGGTCACATGTGCACGTATGTGTTGGTGTGGTTTTGTGTGTGGTGTGTGGTCATGTATATGTGTGTGAATGGTGTGTGTTTGTTACATGGATACATGGACTCTGTGTCCGTCCTTCACGGGAAAAGCCCTGTGTGGCTACCGGCTTTAGGGCCACATATTTCTGTTCCTGCTCTGGGGTCAGCTTCCAGCGGTTTCTACTGGGTTGTTATTTATTTTTTGGAGATGGGATCTCACTCTGTCACCCAGCATGGATTATAGTGGTGGGATAATGGCTCACTGCAGCCTCCACCTCCTGGGCTCAAGCGATCTTCCCACCTCAGCCTCCCGAGTAGCTGAAACTACAGGCGTGTGCCACCACACCCAGCCAATTTATTTCTTATTTCTTAAGAGATGGGGTCTCACTCTGTTGCCCGTGCTGGTTTGGAACTTCTGGTCTCAAGCAAGCCTCTGGCCTCAGCCTCCCATAGCAGGGCGATTACAGGCATGAGCCACTGTACTAGGCTGTGGGGGAATCCATCTGAGAAGGCTTTGTGAGGCGGCCAGCTTCTGGAGGTTACAGGTGTCTTCTCCTTCCCTGTTGGGGCAGGGCCGCCTCACCACACTTCCCCAGGACTTCAGGGAACAGGCTCTTGAGACTTGGAAATGAAAAGGGATCAGCCAGCCTGGAGGAACAGCGACGCTGGCGTCCAAGCCTTGCCCCTTCCCTGCACTTCCAGCAAAGATATGGAGACACTCAGTGGAAACCGATTGGGCCCCCAGCCTGCCCCGCCCAGACTCACCCACCAACGTTCCCTCACTCCATGTGGCACACAGGCTCACAGGATTTTCTCTGCCTGCAATCGTCCACATGCACACCTGCTGCCGGGGTGCAATTGTGAGTCCCCTCGGTCTCTCTGCAGCATCTCGGTGTAGATGACGATTTACAGTCACCCTTGTGTGAAGCCACATGAGGCCTGGTCTGAAGCAGAGAAGATCCGCTCAGCATCACGTTGGATCCCAAGCCCGCGTCTCCGTGGGCTCCAGGACAATCCTATGAAAATAACACCGTCGGTTCATTGTTCACATCGGGGAGGAGAATTCCATCTGAAAATGCACGTGACTTCACTGACACCCGCGTCCGTGGCACAGCCCTGTGCTGAGCTCCACAGACCTACAGTCCATCGCCTCCCCTTCGAGAGGGCCCAGGGCTGCAGACAGCGTTGTCCATAGAAGACACCCTGACTCGATGAATGGAACAAACTGGAAACTCCAGAAACAAGCCCTTCTTTATATTTCTGGTGTTTGGCTTAAATGGAAGGTGCCAAGGTGAGGCAATGGGGAGACATGGAAGGGTGTGTAATGAGTGTGCTGCAGCAGCTGCATAACCACATGCCAAACACACACACACAGCTCAGTCCCACCTAGAAAGCAGTGCACAATCCATCAGAGACCTCATATTTAGAGAGGAAAGTTTAACCTCCCTAGAAAACTCACAGAATATGTTTTTTTAATACTAAATATACAGTTGTCCTCTTAAATTGGTTAAGAGCACAAAACGTAACAGGCAGAAGGTCTGTTTCAAACAAATTAAAAAGCTATGTTTTTTCAAGTGTGTTTTTAAAGTTTTCCCCAAGTGAGATATATACATACCCACAAAAATAGTGTGTGAAGGAAAGCTGTCATACGGAAGGAGTTGTGTCCTGAATTCTTCAAGGAAACACATATGGAAATATGAATTGATAGAGACAGCAACACATTAATAATTTTTTAAAATTGAATCTTAAAATGCTGCATGGCACAAAGCTATAGTATAAAGTATTGATAAGTACAAAGGGAAAAGTCTGTACAGCTTTTAGCAAAAATGCTTTTGCAGAAAAGCAAATTAAAATAATGCAAACAGCATACCGAGGTGGCCACAGCTTGACCTCAGAGCTACAACTTCTCATATCTGTGTCAGAAAATCCTATGTATCCAGAATAGAGTAAAATTTCAGGACAAAACATGGACTTTTTAACAGTTCTTACTTTACCCATTTTAAGTTATTTTTATCTCCCCTACCCCCCAGGGCAGTAATTCAGCAAGATCCAGCAGAAAGAGGGCTATTTGATGTTTCTTCCCATGGGGAGAGTGTCAGGGAGCCTGGACATTTCAGGCTCATGCATCCATGACCAGTCTCCCACTGGGGTCAGAAAAATTCAGCCATAGACTTGGTGAACTTGGCTTCCCGCTGCTGCTTTGTTCTCCTGCTGATGAAGGTCAGCTTCAGGGTGTATCTGCCATCAAACCTTTTAAGACTGGAGGGCAGCTCCCAAATAGCATCAGAATCCACTCCTGTAGGCTCTTTTCTGTGGGCCACGAGAAAGATGGTCTTCTCCTTAGATGAGGTCTAAATAGTCAGAATTCCCATCATCACAAAGCCAAAACGGGCTTGGACTCTGGAAAGGGATGCATATAATCCCAAATCACAGCCACTATGGCAAAGCAACAGGAGATTGTACAGATGGTGAGGTGACCGTCAATTAGACAAAAATTCTCCACGTATTTGTATTTTTCCAGAAGTATCTTTTTGGCAGAATCATCCAGAGTTTTTCACAGCTGATCCATCCCACTTGTCCGTTTTTCCAGGCATATCACTTATCTTCGACTTATCCACATGCCGCTACGGCCACTGCCTGTCCCGCAGCTGGAACCCCCGCCAACCCCACCACCGCCTGCGCTACCGCCCCCCTCCCGCCCGTGCAGCTGCTGCCGCCATCTGTCCGCCTCTGAGTCTCCCTCCAGAGAATATCTTTGTGATCTTCTGTTAAGCAATGTCTTCTTTGATAGATCCCAAAAACATTATTTCCGAAAAAAGAAGAATAAATGTGACTTTAAGCATTTAAAAATTTCCCTTCAATTGACACCATTAAGAGAATGAAAATATAAGCCACAGACTGAAATAAAATATTTTCAAGTCATATACTTGTATCCAGAATATTTAAAGAATTTTCAAAACTCAGCAATAAGAAAACTCTGTTTTCAAATGGGCAAAAGATTTGAACACAAAACTTCCACAAGGCAATAATATGAACGACAAAGCACATGAAAAGCTGCTCAACATCATTTCCCACCTGGGATCCACGAGCTAAAACCACAATAAGATAGCATGGCACCCATGTTAGAAAGGCTACAATAAAAATGATCAACAAGATAAGCCAGGCACAGTGGCTCATGCCTGAAATCCCAGCACTTTGGGAGTCCAAGGAGGCAGAAGGATGGTTGGAGGCTAGGAGTTTGAGACCAGCCTGGGCAACCTATCTTTAAAAAAATTAATTTTTAAAAAGATGAACAATACCAAGTGTTGGTGAATATGTGGGAGAATTGGAAGTCTCATCCATTGCTGATGGGGATGAAAGATGATGCCACATCGCCAAGCAGTTTGGCAAAGCTTCTGATGCTGAGTAGGTACTTATGATATGACCCAACACTCTCACCCCCAGATTCTTACCCAAGAGCAATGAAAGCAAGACTCTGTCTCTAAAAAATATAATTAAAAAGAAGATGAACAATACCAAGTGTTGGTGAAGACATCGGAGAACTGGAAGTCTCATGTATTGCTCATGGGGATGAAAGATGATGCCACATTGGCGAGCAGTTTGGCAAAGCTTCAGATGCTGAGCATGTACTTATCATATGAGCCAGCACTCCCACTCCCAGGTTCTTAACCAAGAGCACTGAGAACAACGTGTGTGCACACATAGCAGGTGTTTTTCTTTGCTAGAGCTTCCACAAGCAGGAACCACACATGGGGTGTTGGAACAAGAAATGTATTTTCTCACATATCTGCAGGCTGGAAGTCCCAGAGCACGGTGTCTGCAGGGTTGGTGTCTCCCAAGGCCTCTCTCCTTGCCTTGTAGATGGCCACCTGTTCTCTGTGTCCTCCCAGTCTTCCCTCAGTTTGTGTCTCTGTCATAATCTCCCCTTCATAAAAGGACACCAGTCACTCTGGATTAGGGCTCACTCTAGTAGCCTCATCTAACATCCATTACCTCTTTCAAGACCCTGTCTCCACATATAGTCACATTCTGAGGTACTGGGAGTCAGGATGTCAACCTATGAATTTGGAGGAGGATATAGTTCAGCCCATAATACAAGGATTGGGAGGAAGGGTGCTGTGTCACCACTGAGATCCTATTCCATGATCCAGGCATTCTTGAAGTACCATTACTCAGAACTGACTAGTAATGAACTTGAATTTTAAGAATAAGTTTAATGTCAACAAGGTCTTTGTTCATCCTATGAATTTTGCATCCCTTCCCCCCACAGGAAGCAGATGATGCCCCGAGTATATCTACACTTGGGTAAGTTCGTAAGTTTAACGGGAACGTTTTGTCTGTCTCTACACTTGCCTGAACTCAAATTACATAGGAAAATATGTTCTCTATTTAACATGTTCAAATAATCTGATGACATAAGGGAAAGTAGAAATGTTTCTCTGAACATTTATAGCCATTCATGTGGCTTATTGCACTCATCTTACTTGAAAAAATTATAGAATTCTTTATAACTAACATTTGAACTTACGCACAAAAATAAGGCCAAGCGTAGTTATTTTCTTTCTTTAAACACGTGTAATGTTGTCAGCCTGAATGTTTTTTAATGTTTCTAATAGTGTTTCATTGAGAGTCAGATCTTGTCATTTCAACTCTAAATACATCCACTGATGACAGCTCTGCCCCAACACTGCACAATTCCAGCCCAACTGCACACCACTTTTTCACCCTCCAAACTACAAAGCTGAAAGAAGACCCTTATAAAGAGGACCATGATCCAGTTTTAAGCACACATTCTAAAGGGTACCCTGTTCCCATGATGAAATAAAATTGTACAGCCATGACAAATGCATATTCTTCCCAGAGAATCTCAAGTACAGGATACACTTCTCACAGAACATAGAGTAATAGGAAATCTACTCACACATGATGCTGAGTAAATTATTTACTCCTTGTTTGCTGTTTCATTTTTCTTTCCATAAAATGAACATATATTAACTTTATATTTTAAAAAGCAGCTTTATACAACATTTCCCAGAGTTTTAGGGTTTAGATATTGCGCTCCTACACTCTACTAAAGTTTCATCTAGAACCATTTAATACAACCTAAAAGAAAATGAAGTGGAAAGGTAAGAGTCATTGGCTCAAACCACCCCAGGTGCACAGACACAGGCACGTGCACACACACACACTCGCACACAGTCACACTCTCTCACACTGACACAGCCTCCTTCCTGCCTTCACCTCACATCTCAGTCCCCAGCCTGCCTGCCATATTCCTCCCATCACTGCAGGGAGTCCCAGCCGGCCCCACAGGGGAAGCCCCCACCCCAGCCTGCACAGAACAGCCCCGTGCTCTCTGGGCACACAGCAGCTGCAGCCGTCCTGGCCCAGGACCTCTGGGGTCTCTGCCACCATTCCAGTAGGTCATGCTGCTCAGGGGGGCCAGATGGCCAAACCAGGTAGGGCCCAGTGGACATAAGCCCAGTGACACGGCCGACATTATTCAGGGAGGGTGTGTGAGGGAGGCTGCTCGTGCTGGGAAGAAGGAGCACCCACACCTCATGGCTCGGAGCTGCTTGGGGTTCCTCTAGAGGCACCTGGGACCCCAGACTGCTGAGGTCACCGCATGCCTCCCGGTCTCCCCCTCACAGATGAGTGCACCCAGCTGGCCTCATCCTCCCAACCCAGCTGCCCTGGATCATGGAGGAACATTTATTTTTTTATTTTTTTATTTTTTTGAGACAGGGTCTTACTCTGTCACCCAGGCTGCAGTGCAGTGGCACAATCTCAGGTCACTACAACCTTTGCCACTTGGATTCTTGCAATCCACCCACCTCAGCCTCCCAAGTAGCTGGGACCACAGGCTCATGCCACCACACTGAGCCAACTTTTGTAGAGATGGGGTGTCACCATGTTGCCCACACTGGTCTCGAACTCCTGAGCTCAAGCGATTTGCCTGCCTCAGCCTCCTAAAGTGTTGGGACTACAGACATGAGTCACTGTGTCTGGCCATGGAGCAACATTTAGATGGGGGAGAATTTAATACCTAACTTATACTCAGAACTTATAACCTTGTTACATGCTAATTGTATCAGTTTGAAGATGATAGTATAGGTTAAAAATATTCTGCACCTCCCTTCCTGAATTTTAATTTCTTCAACAATATGGCATAGATTACACTCATGACGTTTCATATAGATGTGTTTTATTCTTGTCAGGAAATTCACCCTCTCATGATGTGCATATACCGTGGCTTAGTCAACCATTGTTCACTATGGGATATTAAGTTTATGACCAAGTTTAGGTTTTGCAAACAAAATTGCAAGAAGCACCTTTGTGCCAAGGTTGTCAGATACTGACAATATTGTTTTGTTTCTGTGGAACACTTAAAAGTCAAAGGGCATTTGCATTTTAAATCCTCATAGTTTCTTTTTACTTACTTTACCAAAAGGTTTAAACAATGCAAATTTCCTTCAATTTCCTCACCCTTTTCAGCACCAGATATTAGCAAGGTATTTTTAGTTTTATCCAAATAACACTTTTAATTGTTTCAATGTGCATTTTCCTTATTACTAATGAGACTGAACATATTGTCATTCTCTTTTTTACCGTTTCACAGTTCCTCTTGTATGAATTAGCTTTTCAAAGGTTTGCGCACTTTTAAATGGAGTTGTTTGTATTGTCGATACTAAGTGCTCTCTGCACGTTAGGGATAGTAATTCTCTGATCTGTGTGTTTCCAACGTATTTCTTTCAGTCTGTCTTTTAAAATTTTGTGTTTATCGTGTCTTTTGCAACGTGAAGTTCATAAATTTTTGTGAAGTCAGTTGTCAAATGTACCTGTCTTGCTTTAAAAAGTCTTTCTTACTCCAGGGTTATACCAAAATCATACAGAACTCTTTGCTGATATTTTTATAATTTTTCTGTTTTGACTTTCCTTATATTTTGATTTTCAAGCCATCTTCAACTTATTTTTGCATACAGGGAGAGAGCTAAGGTTACTTTATCTCGAAGACTTAAGTAATGGTTACCACCTCGTTTATGAAACAATACACCTTTCCATCTAATTCAAAGGCCCCCTTTTCTAGTGCTTGCCATAAGCACTAGACTCAGATCTGTTTCTACACGTTTATTTCTGCCTTGTGGATCTGTGTCCTAAACCGTGCTGTTTTAATTACTGGACCTTCTGAGCTACATTTTAATGTCCGACAGTCACTTTCTCAGGTTTTTTCATTTCTAAAAGTTTTGACAATTTTTAAACTTTAATTTTTTCATATAAGTTTGTTTGAAATTTATATGGAAAATACATTTTGTTTCGGTTCCAGGAAACCTGGAATTTGGAGCAAAATTATATTAAATATACACCTCATTTTGAGAGTGGCCGATAGCGTTTCCCTGGCATCCCAACTCCGCTGGGAGCCACAATAAGGACCCAGAAGTCAGTCTTCCCCAGGTGGGCAGAGGATGCAAGTTCCTGCCTTGCTCTTCCTGAGTTGCCCCAGAAGCTCCGTCCTTCACGGAAACGTGCTGGGGGCAGCGCCAGAGTTCCAGGCCAGGGAAGGCCAGCCGGGTTCTCCAGCTCAAGAGGCAGGCAGCTTCCTGGGTCAGAAAAAGTAGCCCAGGAGAAGTGCCCCATTCATCAATTTCTCAAATCTGAGAATTGCTTAAGAGTTTTGCCTAGTTTCAGCAATCAAGGATTACATATCACTTAGTGTGAAAATGCTCTTTCACACAACCCATTAATTTTCCTTGTAAACTGGTTTTCTTTGATTTAGTGAATTCAGGTTATTTTGGATTTTACTTTGAAGTATAGCCTATGGTTCTATTATTAGGTAAAAACTAAGACATTTTCTCCTTTATCCATTTCTGGCAAGAATGATAGAAAATTAATTGTGACCAGGATTGTAAACTTTCACTTTGAAAAAAAATATATGTTTTATCAGTACACATTCAAAATAGAAAATTGGGAAGTTACAAACATTCTTGGTGTAAAAACCTAAGTCACTCACAGTCCCCCCACCCACCAATGGCTACTGCAGGCATTTTGATTGGCACCTCCTGCAGCTTCCCTTTTAACATTTTTTCTGTGTATTAGACCCATTTTCTAAATGAAATTATCATTTAATACACCTCTTTAGGCACCTGCTTTTTAAACTCTACATTGTTGCGTTAAAGATGGGCATAAACCGCTCCATCTTTAAATCATATTCCTCTTTGTTGGAAGCCTTCTTCATTTCATTCAAGTCTTCTCCACAGGAGAATGAGCTAACCTTGTTGAATGTGAAAAGTGTTATACCAACACCACACGAGTTTACAAAGCCTCTAGATGCAACAGGCGATAAGTTACCATTAACCCTTTTTTTGTCACAGAATATGCTTCCAGGGTCACCTAACAGTTTGGATCCAGCTGGTCCACCTTATAGACTCACTCACAGCCTTTTACTTCAGGCTCTGCCTGCTGCGCACATTACAAACATCTGTTTCTAGCGATCAGGGACTTTGTTTAAATCATGTCACGCTTTGCCACACGGGGAAAGTCCATTCATTAAGAGCCTGTGAGGTGTGATGTTGCTAATCACAGGTCTATTTTGTGGGAAATGTGTAGGAATTTATAGTGTCTCTAGTGGTGGATATTAGACAAACCGATGGGGGATATTCTGGTCTGCGTGTTTGCTGTGGGATGTCGAAGGGAATGGGTGGACGTAGCTGACCAGCTGGAATGAAAGTGGGAACAGGGAGCAGGATTTCGCGTGTGAAGACCCTAATCCCCAGCGCCTCATTCAGTGGCTTGTATTAATTTTCCACTGGAGGTTGGAGCTGTTCCTTTGCATCATCCCCCTGCCAAGCATCCAGGGTGCTTTCCATGTAAGCGTCATGCCCAGGTGGTGTCTGTTGTGTAGTATACTCCCGAGCACTCACGCAGCCTCCCAGGAGCTGCCTGTTCCTGGGATCTGCTGACAAGCAGAAACCACGGTAATGGTGCTTGTCTGGAACTTTGGAGCCTTAATGGCCTCTTGTGAGCTCCTCCCCAAAGCGAGACCCTGCCTTGCTGACACATGGTCTTTCCTTCCTCCCGCGCTTCCTAGAAGAGGGGATCATGAGGAGCTCCTGTCTCCCTCCCAGGGCTTGAGCCTGAGCCCCGCTGCTGTTTGGCCTCTAGAAAGGACCTCGTCATCTGGGGTATCCCCAAAGCCGCTGGCCTCTTCCTTCCAGTGGGCAGCACAGAGCCTTCCTCCACAGTGGAGGTTACAACAATATTCCGAGTTGCTCGTTTGACTAATTGTAAGCATTCCTAGGTGTTTGAGTCTGTTCAGCCTGCTTCAACAGAAATACCACACACCGGGGGCTTAGGCAACAAACATGTATTTCTCACCATTCCAGAGCCTGGGAAGTCCCAGCTCAAGGCACTGGCAGATCCGGTGTCTGATGAGAGCCCCTTCCCGGTTCTCCGACGGCCTCCTCTGGTTGTCCTCACACAGCAGGGGAAGTCCCAGCTCAAGGCGCCGGCAGATCCGGTGTCTGATGAGAGCCCCTTCCGGGTTCTCCGATGGCCTCCTCTGCTTGTCCTCACAAGGCAGGGAGTTGAGAGTGAGATCTCACTCACATGCGTGTTCTGAAGGCACTCACGAATCCTGTCATCCGGGACCCACATTTGGGAGCTGACACCAAAGGCTCCGCTTTATGACACACAACGCTGGGGTTAGGACTTCAGCCTGTGAATCTGGGGACACAGGCTCACCATCTACAGGAAGGGTCCTGAAGGGTGCTGCTCCAACAGCAACAAAGGCCCAGAAGTGCCGTGTGTGCATCTCAGCGAGGGGTGCAGATGTCTGCAACCAGTCTGAAATGCGGCAGACCAGAGTGATGGGCAGACAGTTATGTGATGGGGTGGAGGACAAACATTAGCCCTGGTCGCTTCCAGGTGCTGGGTTCAGGTTTTGTTTGTTTTTTATTTTTTTGTAAAGCCTTTTCCAGTCCTGTTTATGTTTGAAATTTTAATAAAATATTGGGAAAACTGCATATAGGAGACAGGTGGGGAATAAATAGTGTGCGTGTGTGTGTGTGTGTGTGTGTGTGTGTGTAACTGATGGTCAAAAGATGGAGCATGTGGGGAGGCCGAGACAGCAGATAAAGAGGACAGGAGATCAAGACTGTCCTGGCTAACACGGTGAAACCCTGTCTCTACTAAAAATACAAAAGGATTAGCCAGGCGTAGTGGCAGGCACCTGTACTCCCAGCTACTCGGGAGGCTGAGGCAGGAGAATGGCGTGAACCCAGGAGGCGGAGCTTGCAGTGAGCCGAGATTGTGCCACTGCACTCCAGCCTGGGCGACAGAGCAAGACTGTCTCAAAAAAAAAAAAAAAATTAGCTAGGTTTGATGGCATGCTCCTGTAATCCCATTCCTCGGGAGGCTGAGGCAGGAGAATCGCTTGAACCTGGGAGGTGAAGGTTGCAGTGAACCAAGATCGTGCCACTGCACTCCAGCCTGGGTGACAGAGTGAGACTACGTCTCAAAATAAATAAATAAATAAAAAAGATGGAACACGTAAGTGTGTTGGAGACACATGCAGACGTCCAAAGGGAACTGAGTGAGGGAGTCTGGAAGTGGGGCATGGCTGGGAGCACTGATGACACAGCACAGGATGTGTGGACAGGTCTGAACCCACACCCAGAGGACAGCTCAGGCAGAGCAGAGGAGCTAGAGAGGAGAGGAGGGCAGATGCAGCTACCATAGGGCTGTCTCTCTGCACTGAGAGCTGAGCAGTCATACAGCCAGCAAAGGGTCTAAGGCTAAGGGTGCAGGTCCTCTCAGATGTCCTGCGTGCTCCCTCCCAAGAGGCTGCACAGCGAGGGGGAGGCTGCGCAACTTGACCCCTCCCATCCCCATGGGGCTGCAGTGCTCAGTTTTCCTTCTGTGGCACCAGAGATTCAGAAGGACCCACCTGAAGATCTAGGGTTTGTCTTTCAGTCCACTTAGGAGAGCCCCATTCTGACCACGGAAGGTCACACTCTGGCCCTTAACCCCAGTGGCCACAATCACTGAGAGTCTGATGGGGACTGGCCTGCACCCCCAGACCCCGCCTGTGGCCTTCTCTTAGCTGCAGGCTCAGTCCAGGACCTGCGTCTGATCCTGTTGCTCTGATATCCCCCAGAGGCATCCCAGGCTGACCTCTCTCACTCTTCACAGGAATGCAAAGCTCCTCTTAGCAGAGTGATCAGAAACTAATTGGCACCGTAACCTGCATTTGGACTTTGGCATCAGACAGACCTCGTTTCTGGGCCAGTGTGGAGATGCTGCTGGTTCTATAATCTCATAAGTTTTTAAACCACTCTGAGCCGCTATTCCTCACAAGGAAATGGGACATATTAGTATCTCTTCCCAAGAAGGTTGTGTGTGAGCTCCTGGAGTTGTGAACATCACTGCCCAGGGTCTGGCTTTGGGATGCCCAGTGAATGGTGGTTGCCTCTTTCCCCTTGTTTTGGATCCCAGGTGCCCAGAGTCACACGAATCCCAATCCTGGGTGGGAACAGATTCATCCTTGATCTGTGAGTGACCTGCTTCCTTCATTGACTCCGTATTTTGTTTATTTATGATAGTGGAGGAAGCACCAACAACAAAAGCAGAGTCTGACATCATCTTTGTCTGTTGAGACGGGGCCCCTATTCCAAGTCCTTGCACCCCGCTCATGCTCTTCATTCTCTTGCTTTCCTTCAAATTTTGTTCCTTAGATATCTATATAGATATAGTTGTATATTCCTAAAGAGTACATACATACGTGCAATACATTGGATACTTTTTCATTTTTTTTTTTAACAGAAAGGGCATTGTGTGTATGTAGTATCTGGAATCTTTGAGGAATCACCTTTTTCACTTGGTACTAAATTGCCAAGGTCTGTCCATACTGCTTGTCGCTGTAGTCTGTTGGCGTTTGCTTCTGTGGCTGTTCCACCCCGTACCACACTTAATTACCCCCTCTGCTATGGTTGGGCATGGAGATGGCTTCCAGTTTTTTGCTACCCAGCTGTGCTGCTTGATCTTGACAGATCTCCTGTTGTACAGGTGCAACCATTTCTCCCGGGGCTATTCCTAGTGGTGCAATTGCTAGAATGTCCAGCTCTCAGAGATAAGGCCACTGTTTTTTAAAGGTGTTGCACATGTTACACTCTCACAGCAGGGTATAAGAAGTCCTATTGCTTCATGTCCTCTCCAACACTTGGAATTGACAGTCGAGTAGTGTGAACTGGTGGCTTATTGTGGCCTTCTTCAGTATTTCCCTCATTATTAATGAATCTGAACACATGTGAGCCATACGAGTTTTCTCTTCCATGAAGCACTTGCTCATGTCCCTAGTCCATTTTTCCACTGGACTCTTTGTGCTTTTCTTATTGATTTATAGAGTTTTTATATATTCTTTATACAAACCTTTTGTCAGTTGGGTGAATTACAGATAGAGTCTGTCCATGTGCAGCTTAACTCCATGTTTAATTTAATATACCATTCTAGAAACCAGATCATGCATTACAATATAGTCATGTTTATACATATTGTATAAGTAATGCTTTTTGGTCTTGATTAATGAACCTTTTCACAAAATATCCAAAAGATAGCCATCTATTATTTCTACTAAGGGTTTTCAGTTTTGATTTTGAGAGCTAAGACTTTATCTTTGGTTGATTTCAGTGTATGGTGTGAGGTAGAGATCTAACTTCATTCTTCCCTCTATGGATTTGTATTGTTTCCAGCTCCATTCATTGAGCAGGCCCTCTCCCCACTGGCATAAAAAGCTTCTTCTGTCCTGAATTCCATTTATGCACATATTTGAGTCTATTTCTGGGCTGTCTAGTCAATTCCACTCATCAGTTTTGTCTATCCCTGCACTAATTTCTTATCATCTTACTTCCCATAGCTTAATAAGTTCTGAGAAGTAAGTACTCCCTCTCTCCCACGAAAGGCTGTAGTTATTCAGTATTATGATCACTAACCCCACTCTTTCCTTTCCAGCACCTCCCCCATTCTCCCACCTGCCACACCTCTGGTGTCCTGACGTCAGACCCTTCTTATCTCCTGTGGGGTGGCAGAGGCTAGCCGCTTGCTGTGTGGGGTCAGCAACATGTTCCATATATGAACACTTAGCTACCACCCTTGTGCTTAACCTCACATCCCACCCCCATCCTCGCTCCTCACCCTTGCCCCTGGGACCCTCCATATCTCAGGGCCCGGGAGCTTCTCTATTACTCAGTAAGGAAGACAACCTCCTTTAACTCAGCATCTTTGTCCACAGGCACTTCAGCTTTTTAAAAATCCAATCCGCCAATCCCTGACTTTTAATTAAAAAGTTCAATATATCTATCTATGTATATATATATAAAATGTTTAAAGTAATTACTGATAAGAAATGATTCACTTCTGCTATTTAGCTTTTTGCATTGTGTATATCATATATATTTTTATTTCTCAATTCCTGCCCATTTAAAAAATCTTTAGTTGAATGTTTGTAATGTTCCATTTTGATCCCTTTGTTCTTTCCTTTTTTGTACATTTTCTAATTATCTTCCTAGTGGTTATGCTGGGGATAATAATTAATGTCTTAAATGTATAACACCCTAGTTTGAATACCAATGTAGATTTTTTTTTGAGACAGGACTCAGTCTGTTGCCCAGGCTGGAGTGCACAGTGATAACTCACTACAACCTCCTACTCCTGGGCTCAAGCAATCTTTCCACCTCAACCTTCCAAGTAACTAGGACTACAGGCACACATCACCACGCCTGGCTAATTTTAAATTATTTTTGTGGAAATGGGGTATCAGTATGTTGCCAGGCTGGACTTGAACTCCTGGTCTCACACGATCCTCCCACTTTAGCCTCCCAAAGGCTAGGATTACAGGAGTAAGCCACTACAGTCAGCCCCAACTTAGTTTCAATAGTACACAAACACTGCTTTTATCCATCTCCATCCCTCACCCTTTATATTGCTGTTGTCATTGATTACATCTTTATACAGTGTGCACCCATTAACAATATTTATAATTATTGTAATATGCATTTGACTTTTAAATTATATAGAAAAAAAGAGTTACAAACCAAAAGTACAATATTATTGACTTGTATATTTACCTGTGTTCTTTATTTTTTTGCCAATGTTCTTTATTTCTTTGTATGGTTTTGAGTTACTGTCTAGTGTCTTCATTTAGGACTAAATAATTTATTTAATATTTCTTTTAGGGTAGGTCTGCTGATAATGAATTCCCTCAATTTTTGTCTATGTGAGAATGCCTTAGTTATTGCTTTATTCTGGAAGGATAGATTTGTCACATATAGAATTCTTGGTTGACAGGTATTTTCCACCTTCCAGGGCATTTAACTATGTCACCCCACTGCCTTTGAGCCTCCTTAGTTTCTAATGAGAAATCACCTGATAATTTTACTAAGGATCTCTTGATTCTGATTAGTCACTTCTCTCTGCCTGCCTTCAAAATTCTCTTGTTGTCTATGCCTTAACAATCTAACTGTAATGTGTCTTGGTGTAGATCTTTTGGCGTATAGCCTGCTTGGAATTCGTTGAGCTCCTTGGATGTGTAGATTCATTCCTTTAATTAGATTTGGAAAGTTTTCAGCCATTATTTCTTTAAATAGAGTAGTCTCCTGCTCCCCCATTATCTGTGGGGGATACGTTCCAAGACTCTCAGTAAGTATCTGAAACTGTAGATAGTACCAAACCCTGTATACACTATGTTTTTTCCTGTACATTAATGGGCAGATTGTGTATACAGCATGGATATGCTGGACAAAGGAATGATTCATGTCCTGGGTGGGCAGAGCAGGGCAGAATGATATTTCATCATGCTACTGAGAACTACACACAATTTAAAACTTGTGAATTGTTTATTTCTGGAATTTTCCATTTAATATTATTGGACTGTGGTTACCCAGAGGTAACTGAAAGTGCAGAAAACACAACTGCTGATAATGGGCGAACACTGTATTTTTTCTGCCTCTTTCCTTTTCTCTTCTACTTTGGAGACTCCTATGTTGCATATGTTGGTACCCTTGATGGTGTCTAACAAACCTTTCAAGCTCTGTTCATCTTCCTTAATCTTTTTTTTTTTTCTGGTCCTAAGACTGGATAATTTCGATTGTCTTCAACTTAGCTGATCCTTTCTTCTGCTTGCTCAAATCTGTTGAACTCTTCTAATGAACTTTTTATTTCAGTTATGTACTTTCCAGCTCCAGTTTCTTTTTGGTTTTTAAAAAATATATAATTTCTATCTCTACTACTAATCTAATTTGCTCATATGTAATTTTCCTACTTTATTTAGTTGTCAGTGACTTCCTGTAGTTTACTGAGCATATTTAAGACAGCTGATTTAATGTGTTTGACTAGTAGTTCAAATGTCTGAACTTTCACAGACATAGTTTATGCCAAGTCTTTTTCCCCTGTGAGTGGGCCATATTATTCTATTTCTTTATATGTTCTATAATTTTTTGTTAAAAACTGGACATTCTGTGTATCATAATATGGTAACTCTAAAAATCAAGTGCTTCTCCTCCTCTGGGACTGTGGATTTTCTCTTGTTAAAGGCTGGAACCATCAGTTTGTGCCCTTTCCAAAGTAGTTTTGCAAAATGTGTATTTCTTGTCACTGAAGTTGCTCTTCCTTTATCTCTATGACCAGTTAGTGAACTATCAAAGATTTCCTCAAATATCTAGCTACAAACAAGCTACAAACAAGGGGGGAATGTCTGTCTCTGTAAATCTTCCAAGGGATGCTGCTGGAGGAAGCCACTGCTGCCAAGTGGATCAAAACCAAGGCAAGCCTCTGTATTGATCCCTCAGGGCACCACCAGACTAACCAAAATGTACCACCTCAAATTTATTGAGGACAAGGTTCCTGATGCTCACTGTGACATCAGCCAGCTGCTCCAAGAATGTAGGTTGCTGCCCTTATAGCCACAGGAAGACTAAGAAATCGAGGCGGTAGCTGGCTCATGTACACCATTCACGAAAGACCAGCAGCTTCTCCTTTCTTTTTCTTTTTTTTTTTTGAGATAGAGTCTCGCTCTGTCGCCCAGGCTAGAGTGCAGTGGCACAATCTCTGCTCACTGCAAGCTCCACCTCCCAGGTTCACACCATTCTCCTGCCTCAGCCTCCCAAGTAACTGGGACTACAGGCACTAACCACCACATTTAGCTTTTTTTTTTTTTTTTTTTTTTTTTTTTTTTTTTTTTTTTTTTTTTTTTGTATTTTTGTATTTTTAGTAGAGACAGAGTTTCACCATGTTAGCCAGGATGGTCTCGATCTCCTGACCTCGTGATCCACCCACCTCGGTCTCCCAAAGTGCTGGGATTACAGGTGTGAGCCACCGCACCCAGCCCAGCTTCTCCTTTCTTCAAGCACTCTCCCATAGATGTCTGACCAGGTTGCAGAGTTTCCAAATAATTCATTGCAATTGCTCTTTATAGCTCAATGGTTGTTTCAGTGGAAGGACCAGCCTCTATAGCTTTCTACAATACCATTTTGTCTTTAGGTAAACTTCCTCTCCATTTTTATATACATACTTACACACTTTTACAACACAATTATCTACATTCTTCCCCACCAACCTGTATGTCTCACAATCCTCCACCATTTCACCTATCATACTTTGTCATGCCTTTATGTTTTCATTTGAAATTAATATTTTATTTTCTCTTTATTCTCAGTAATTTTTGGATTCGTTTGGTGATACCCCAGTTCTCCTTTGCTTACTGAGTCCTGTCACTTCCTTCTGTGCATTTTTTCCTAGCACTTCTCTGTGTCTACCAAGACTACTGCTCCCCCTGCAATAATCTGGTGGCAGACACTCCCATTGTTGCCTATGGTTTGGGAAGTCTTGCAGCAGCAGTCACTGCCTGGCCGCTCAGCCTACAAGTCCCCCAGCTAATCACCCCATCAGGAGCCCTGCCCAGCTGAGCATCCACTGCTCCTCTGTGGCAATTCCTGGGGGTCTCTTCCAGGTTCTGCAGCACACTCCTGACCATGGCCTTCTGCATCAGCTCCCATTTGCATCCTTTCCTTCTAGGAGTCATCATTTCTGATCCAAGAAAGGTTTCCCTCTTGCTTTTCTTTGATGTAATGTCCTTACTCATTTATGGATACATTTATATCCTGATTATAATTTTTAAGGATTGGATCAGAGAAGGGAGACTATAGCATGTGATGGATACGCAGTTTTGATTTAGAAGTCTCCTAGTGACTATTTTGCTTGTGGGTCTTTCAAAATCTTTCAAAGCAAAATTTTGCGTGTTTCTGGTGTCTAATTCCCGACACATTCAGCGTTGCAAGTTAAGCCCGATCTCCAACCCTCTGCAAAGTCTGGGCAGCAACACGGTCACTTCTACTGCCAGCTGGCCAGCACACATAAACAATCAAGTCATTAGCTGGCTGGGGTAGTGTAACATCAGGGCAGAGAACAAAACACCTGTACTCAAGATGTGGGTATAAAAACACTTAAGGCTCCCTGATAGCCAGAACTCATCACAATCAAGCAAGAGTTGTGAGAAGAAGGTACCAGGCATGAGCTGACCTCCTGTGGGCCCCACATTTCCCCACTTTTCATGCTGGAAATCCAAACAAGCCTCCTTGGCTACCACAAGACCCTCTTATTTATCAGGGAAAGCACACTTTGTCTCTATATCAGCACACATGCAGAAGAAAAAAGCAACATTCTTTCAGCAGTGCAGTCATGTTACTGTTTTCACAAAAATGAAGGCTCTGAAACTCAGAGAGGTGAAGTGATTGCCCACGTCACAAGCTAATCTCTAAAATGTACTCTTGTTTACACATTTTGTGCACTTTGGCATTATAACAAGTATTACATCATACGTTCTCTGTTGTTTCTCTTTCTGAATATTGCAAACAGGCTGCAACAAGAAACAACAGAGCCCATGAAAACTGACAGTGCTGAAAGTGAAGACTGAGATTCAGGTAAGATACGTGGCAGTGCGGGTCATGTTGAAATCTACCCAAGTTTGGTTCTCTAGAGAGTGAAATATCTTCTTTAAAAAATCACCAGTGCAAACTCAAGGGCTGGGCTGCTTGTCGTTTGTCTCTTGATGTCAACAGTAACCCCAGAACAGGAACCGTGTGTCCATCTTTAGAAGTAGTGCATGGCAGCCGAGCTGTGAGAGTATCAATTCATCTTTATTTTCTAGGCAGTAAACAATGTATAGATTGAACACCTCTCATTTCCATACTTGCCTTTAAGTCTAAACTAAGAATTATTTTCACCCAATTGTACTGATCTAAGAACTTTAAATAATGAACACCTGCCATTTTAAGATGGTCTCTGATTAGATGCCTCTGACCGTACCTATCCCTGCTTTCTGCTTAAACATTTAGGACGATCCATAGAATGCAGTGAAATTTAACCGTGAAACAAATGATCATTTACTTCCAGAATCAGGGGGAAAGTTTACTCACTAGAAGGCTAAAGGAATTTGCTATCAGGCACACACATGAGTTGGCAAACCATCCAGACATGCTCTGCCAGCAGAATAGGTAGACTGAGCACTTGAAAACAGAGGGGCATGCTCTCCCTCCACTACTATATCCCCTCAGCTAAGAAACATGAGACATGATTGTACCTTAAAATGAGACTGCAACCCTTTCTCTAAGGTGTTACCTTGGCTTTCCAAGGCAAAGCAAGCTGCTTTACACCCTGAAGTCTACCGTTCAGTACCTGCCTTCTCACAATGCTTCAGAGAGGCACCTCCCAAAAGCTAGCTGGACAGGAAAAGGGTATAGGGCATACTGTATCCTGAAAGGCATGATCCATACAAGAAAAGCCCTATGATCGGGCAAAACATCAAAAGCCCTGGTATCCTCAGAGTTCCTGTGCTCCAGGCAGCTTCCCACAGCCGTCTGGGTGCCATAGAGCCCTGAGGAAGGTCAAGGTCTCCCAGCAGCACAGCCCTGACCAGCACCCTAGAGGACAAGAGGGTAGGACTCATGGTTCTGTGTATATCCTGTGAAAATTTTGCAGAACTGGGAATAGACATCACCTTGAAAGCCCAGAGAGACAGCAAACCTGTGAAAATTGTTCTCTAGAAAAAAAAGTGTTTGAGATGCATAGCACAGGGTCTTCATGAGGCAGGAGTCAAAATCATAATTGGAGACAAGTTGAGATGAGAAGACAAATCCACTGAGATTGAAGGGGAGATGAAAGAGATGTGGAAAGATTGCAAGAAACTGACCATGAAGTTGCAAAATTAAAATCTTTCAAGGAAAGAAGAAGTAAATTGGTGCAGTAAAAAATTGTCTCAGTGGTATGGAGGACAAACTTAAGAAGCTACAACTTGAGCTCATGTAGAATGTCTATAGAACAGCGCCTGAGTCTACGTGCTCCTCCCACCATTTCCTTTGTGTGGAACAGTGAAATGGCTGAGGAGTAGCAGAGCCTGAGAAGTGGAGCTGGACGCTTGGCCGAAGCATCAACTTGCAAATAATCTGCAAAAACTGACAGCTTCTGTGGACATCCTTCCATGTGAGCATCAAATGGAGCTGTGGACTCCCTTCCGTGAGCAACAGTGACTAACAGTGATGGACACAAGGCGTGTCTTAGTCTGTCAGTGTTACTACAAAGAAACACTTGAGCCTGGGTAATTTATAAAGAAAAATCGTGTATTTGGCTTATGATTCTGATGGCTGAAAAGTTGAAGATTGAGCTCTGCATGTGGTGAGGGTCTCAGCCTTCTTCCACTAACAGCAGAAGGTGAAGGGAGCTGACATGTGCAGAGATCACATGGAGAGAGAGGAGGCGAAGGGCTGGGGGAGGCTCCAGGCCCTTTTCGACAACAAGGTCTCATGGGTTCGTTAGAGCAAGAAGTACTTGAGCATGAACTCACTCCCTTCAGAGGGAGGGCATTAATCTGTTCATAGGGGGTCCAGCCCCATGACACAAACACGTCCTATGAGGCCCCATCTCCAACAATGGAGATCAAATTTCAACATAAGGTTTGGAAGGGTCAGATGTCCAAACCACAGCAAAGAGCAAGCTCCCAGGGCAGAGCTTGATTAGTGACTGAAACAAGATGGCTCAGTGTGTTTTATAGAAGCCCAAACTCAGCCAACCACAGCTTGTCTGCTGAAGTTGCAGATAATTTCAGGTCACATTCTTTATCATTTGCATGCTCTTTATCATTTGCATTATTTTTGAATGAGTCTAAATCATTTCAAAAGCATCTGGTCTTCCTAGGGTGCTTTCGAAATGAATTAGCCTCATTCAAAAAAAAAAATATTCACCACTAAGGTTTTAAACAGCAAATGTTCGCTGTGATAACGTCTTAGAGTTGTGAATTACTGTAGACCACACAAAACACTTCTTCAGTATTACACCTTACCCCTCCAAAGTGCCTGTGGTGTAGGAGTCAGTCACTCCTATCTCTAGAAAAGGATGGTGGCTAGGAGAGTTGTCTGATTTTTACATAATCCCAGAAAGTACTTAAGGTAGATTTTAAAGATCGTGGAATACAGACCGATGGCATAAAGGGAAAAGGGAGGGGAAAGAAAGAAGGAGTGAAATGAAGCCAGAGGTTCTAGTCATGTGGCAAGTCACTTACAAGGATCGGACAATGCTCCGAAACTGAGCAAGTTAAGGGTGTGTGTGTGCACGCGTGCGCGTGTCCGTGTCCATGTGAGTGCGAGTGTAAATATTCTTAAAGGCATTAATGAACTGAGGAGACATAAGGAATTCTCAGGCCATGGTTGAAGGCACAGAGGAACCCAAAGAGAAATCTAGTGGGGAGTGCAGCTGGCCTTTGCCCTGAGGGCATTTGTGAAACCTGGTCAACTTCATTTTCACCTTTTCAAGAGATACAAATGGAAGATCAAGCTGAGAGCACAGCCAAAATGGCAAGCCAATCAGTAATCTCTTAAAGTAAGGGCCCCCAGAGGGCGGTACCCTCATTGCAGTGGCAAACTAGAGGCAACTCACTTCTCTACCCGCAAAGGAATCAGGGGGGATCAGTCATTTCAAGCCCTAGAGCTGAAAGAAAAAGAGAAAAATCACTGCCGAGTATTTGGAGCAACAGGTTCTCCCTAAATTTGTGTGAGGTGGGTGACCAAAAGTCCCCAAGCTGAGAATTTAATAGAGAGTGATTCTGAACTGGTCATTCCCAGGAGCCAAGCATAATTCCTTCTGAGTAACAAACCTTCATCCTAAGCCTCAAAGATTTCTCAAAAATAAAACTACAAAGCAAAGAAGCAATTCTCAATGAAAAACAACCCACCACATGTGAAAATAAAGCACTGAGTGAGAAGCAGCAGAAAACGTAGTAGAAACAGACACATAAATATTTCAGATGTTGAATTTGGCAGACCAAAACATGAAGAAAACACAAAGTCAGAAATATCTGAAGAGAACAGAAAACTATTTTTTAAATTACAAAGCAGATATGGAAAAACACCAAATAAAACTTATGAGAAATATCACTGATTTTTTTTAAAGTGGATGGATTTAACAACAAATTAGACAGTTGAAAAGTGAATTAGGGAACTAGAATCTAGAGCTGAAGAAATTACTGAAATAGATACAAAGTGACAGAAACGCAAAATGTGAAAAAAATGAATGAGAATACAGTTTGAAGGCTATGTTATGTTTAGAGTCCTAGAAAGAGAAAAGAGAGAAAATTGGGAAGATGTCATATTTAAGGAGATTTGGCTGAGAATTTGCCAACATTGTTAGAAGACACCAACTCACAGATTCATAAAGCCCAGTGAATCCAAGAAGGGGAAATAAAATTCTAGACACAACATAATTCAATTGATAAATGCCGTAAACAAAGAATATATATATATATACACACACACACATATGTATTTAGACAGAGTCTCGCTGTGTCACCCAGGCTGGAGTGCAGTGGCCCAATCTTGGCTCACTGCAAACTCCGCCTCCCGGGTTCACAACATTCTCCTGCCTCAGCTTCCTGAGTAGCTGGGCCTACAGTTGCCCACCACCACACCCAGCTAATTTTTTGTATTTTTAGTAGAGACGGGGGTTCACTGTATTAGCCAGGAAGGTCTCGATCTCCTGACCTCATGATCCACCCGCCTCGGACTCCCAAAGTGCTGGGATTACAGGTGTGAGCCACCACACCTGGCCAAAGAAAATATTTTTTAAAATATCTAGTGATAAAAGATGGGTTATCTTTCAAAAGGATGTATTTCCGAAGAAGAACAATAGAAAATGGCCTCTGTCGGTGATGCACTCATCTCTAAGCTTTCTGGAAGGATGGGGAGGGCAGGAGCCTGGCTCGGGAGGACTCTCACTAGACCCAGCTGGGAGTGGGGCTCTGTGTCTAAGCCAAGGTGATGATCCACCCAGAAACCAGCCCTGCCTCTCCAGGCAACAGGTTGGGGTAAAAGCCACCGGTGGGTTTCCATCACAAGTAGAGCTGAGCTTCCTCCCTGGTGGCTGCTCAAAGAGTGACTTTGTTTTGTCCTGCAGGAGCTCAGGTGCCCCTGTGATCCAGGTCTTCTACCCTGAAACCCCACCCTCCATCAAGGTCCTGCCTGTAGAGTCTACCTTGCAAAGCCTCCTGCTCCTACCCATGCTACAGGCCAGGAACCAGAGCCCATCATCTCAGAGGCCCCTGGATGTCCTTCGAAGGAACCAGGACCCTCAGAGCCCAGCATCCATCTCTGTCATCATCTTCATCACACCCAAAGAAGAGCCAGCCTTGCAGGAGGGTTTACATCTCCAGGAAGATGGGCTGCCAGCAACTGCAGAGGATGCAGCCACCTGCTTAACTGTGCTGTCCAGCCAGCCAGCCAGCTGCAGGGCCTCTTGCTGCTTAAGAGCTGATGGGCCGGGCATGTTGGCTCACACCTGTGAGCACAGTACTGGGAAATGGGAGCACAGTACTAGGAAATGGGAGCACAGTACTGGGAAATGGGAGCACAGTACTGGGAAATGGGGGCTCACAGCACTGCAAAATGGGAGCACAGTATTGGGAAATGGGAGCACAGTACTGGGAAGTGGGAGCACAGTACTGAGAAGTGGGAGCACAGTACTGAGAAATGGGAGTACACTACTGAGAAATGGGAGCACAGTACTGGGAAATGGGCATACAGTACTGAGAAATGGGAGCACACAGTACTGGGAAATGGGAGCACAGTACTGGGAAATGGGAGCCCACAGTACTGGGAAAGGGGAGTTCACAGTACTCGGAAATGGGAGCATAGTACTGGGAAATGGGAGCACAGTACTGGGAAATGGGAGCATAGTACTGGGAAACCCCAGACCTGGATTCTGAGTTTTTCAGCCTAGCCCAGACTTCTTATCTTAGTAGACAAAAAGAGTCAATACCAGAGAACCAGAGGCATCCTCTGTATTTTAATGAACTCTGCATTTTAATCTGTTTAGTAGTCATTTTTTAAAAGATAATCAGTTTTCCAAATATATCTATAAGTTACTACGTGCATTGGGCTGTTTTTGTGTTTCTGTAAAGAAATACCTGAGGCTGGGTAATTTATTTAAAAACAGGTTAAACTGGCTCACAGTTGTGCAGGCTGTACAGGAAGCATGGTGCTGGCATCTGCTTGGCTTCTGGTGAGTCCTCAGGAAGCTTCCGTCATGGCTGAAGGTGGGGTGAGAGCCAACACATCATGTAGTAAGAGCAGGAGCAAGAGAGAGTGGTGGGGTTGAGGGAGCACCATGCATTTTTAAATGACCAGATCTCAAGTGAACTACCAGAGCAAGGACTCACTCATCACCAAGGGGATGGCACTAAACTATTTATGAGGAACCTGCTCCCATGATTCAAACACCTCCCACCAGGCCCCACCTCCAACACTGGGGATTACATCTCAACATGGGATTTGGAGGGGACAAACCTCCAAGCTTTATCATTCCATCCCTGGTCCCTCAAATCTCATGTCCAGCTCGCCTTGCAACATATAATCATCCCTTCTCAATAGTCCCTGAAAGTCTAAACTCATTCCAGGATCAACTCAATCAAAAATGCCAAGTCCAAAGTCTCATCTGGAGATGAATTCCTTTCACCTATGAGCCTGTGAGATCAAAAACAAGTGATTTACTTCCCAGATACAATGGATACAATGATGGTACAGGCACTGGGTAAACATACCTATTCCAAAAGGAAGAAATTGGCCAAAAGAAAGAGGCTACAGGCTCCAAGCAAGTCTGAAACTCAGCAGGGCAGACATTAAACCTTAAAGTTCCAAAATAATCTCCTCTGACTCCATGAGGCACACTGGTGTGAGGTGTGGGCTCCCAGGGCCTTGTACAACTCCACCCCTGTGGCTTTGCAGGTTGTGGCTCCTGCAGCCAATCTCATGGGTTAGAGTTGAGTACTTGTGGCTTTTCCAGGCTGAGGTTGCAAGCTGCCAGTAGATCAAACATTCTGGGGTCTGGAGGGCAGAAGCCCTCTGCTGACAGCTCCACTAGGCAGTGCCCTGGTGGGGAGTCTGTGTGGGGCTCCAACCCTACCTCTCCTCTCAGCATTGCCCTCATAGGGTATCTCTGTGAGGGCTCTGCTGCTGCAGCAGGCTTCTGCCTGGGCACCCAGGTTTTCCAACACATCCTCTGTAATCTAGGGGGAAGCTGCCAATGCCCCTTCACTCTTGTGTTCTGTGTTCCTGCAGATTTCACACCACTTGGAAGCCAGCAAGGCTTACCCTCTAGAGCAGCAGTCCACACTGTACCTGGAGACTGTTGAACCACCACTGTAGCTGAAGAAGTTGGGATACAGGGACCAGTGTCCCGAGGCTGCACAGGGCATCAGGGTCCTAGTCCTGGCCCATTAAGCCATTCTTTTCTCCTAGGCCTCTGGGCCTGTGATGGGAGGGGCTGCTGCGAAGATCTTTGAAATGTCTTCAAGGTCTTTTTCCCATTGTCTTGGATATTAGCACTTGGCTCCCTTTTAGCCATGCAAATCTCTCTAGTAAGTGGTTGTTCTGCAGCCTGTTTGGATTCCTCTCCTGAAAACATTTTTTTCTTTCTCTACCACATGGCTAAGCTGCAAATTTTCCAAACTTTTACAGCCTGCTTCCTTTTGGTATAAATTCCAACTTTAAGTCATTCATTTGCTCCCCTATCTGATCATAGGTTGTTAGAAGCAGCCATGTCACCTCTTGAATGTTTAGCTGCTTAGAAATATCTTCTGCCAGATGCGCTAGGTTACCATTCTTAAGTTCAAACTTCCACAGATCACTAGGACACAAATACAATGTAGCCAAGCTCTTTGCTAAGGCACACAAGGGTGACCTTTGCTCCAGTTCCCAATAACTTCCTCGTTTCCATCTGAGATCTTGTCAGCCTGGCCTTCATTATCCATATTTCTATCTGCATTTTGGTTCCAACCACTTAATAAGTCACTAAGTTCCAAACTTTCTCTCATCTTTCTGTCTTCTTCTGAGCCCTCTAAAGTCTTCCAACCTCTGCTCATTACCCACTTCCAAAGCTACTACCACATTTTCAGGTATCTTTATAGCAGTGTCCTGCTCCTCAGTGCCAATTTTCTGAATGAACCCATTTTTGCATTGCTATAAAGAAACACCTGAACCTGGGTAATTTCTGACAAAAGACCTGAATCCACAGGTATATGAGGAGTAATTCATGACAAGCTGCACGAATAAAAATAAGAAATCCAGGCCTAAATACATTGTAGGGTAAGGTGGAACACAAAAGAAAATCTAACTTTAAAAACCAGAAAGAAACAACAAATCATCCACAGAAGAAAAGCAGTTCGACAGCAGATGTATTAATCATAAGAACAGTAGATAGATAAATAATACAAAGTGTGACAAAAAAAAAAAACAACTTTTGATCTGGAATTATGTACCCAGCAACACTATCTTTAGGAAAAAGAGCAAATTAATCACATTTCCAGATAAATCAAAGCCAAGTTTACCACCAACAATCCTACACTAATGGGACTTCAAAAAAGATGTATTTATTGAGGGAAAATGCATAAAGCAAACACAGAGCCCACAGGGAATAATTTTTTAAAATTCACCGTGACTTGTGGAAGTTTTCAATGCAACTCTCAATTACTGTCAGGTCAATCATATTTTTAAAATAATAAAAACATAGATTTGGACAACACCATTAACAGGCTTGAATTATGGGATATCTGTGGAACTGCAAGCTCATTTATTAATAGAAAATGTGCATTCTCCTTAGGCACACAAGGAATATTGCCCAAAACACTGCTTACTAGCCTCAACAAGTCTCAAATAACTTCTATGGGATGGACCAGTGTTCCCCTTTACATACTTTGTCTGACATTTTTTCCTGTCTGCTTTTAAAATTTCTATTTATCACTGGGATTGAGCGATTTGATTATAATGAGACATGATGTAATTTTCTTCAATGGTACTTGTGCTTGAGGTACATTGAACTTCTTGCATCTGTAGGTTACTAGTTTACATCGAATTTGGAAAAAAATGTTGTCATTATTTTTCCAAACATCTTTTTTAATGCACTACCCTCATTCCTCATGTTTTCTTCTGTCCTTTGGGGACTTCAATTAAACATATATTAAGCCACTTGAAGTTGTCCCACAGATCACAGATAATTTGGCTTAAATTTTTTTAAATCCTCTTTGCTTTTGGTTTCATTTTGGATAGTTTATATTGCCATGGTTTCACAATGAATAATCTTTTCTTCTTTAACATCTAATCTGCCATTAATCCCATGCAGTGCAGTTCTCATTTTATACGTTCTAGCTTTCACCTCTAGAACAGTGATCCAGAGTGTTGTTATATCTTCTGTGCCTCAAATTAGCTTTTACAATACGTGGAATGTAGTTTTGATATTGTTTAATGCCCTTGTGTCCGTTCTGGATCAGTTTTAATAGACTCATTTGCCTCCTTATGGCTCCTATTTTCCCACTTGTTTGTGTGCCTAATATTTCTGATTGGTTGTCAAAAATTGTTGTCTTCTCTGGTGTTGGATATTTCTGTAGTCCTATAAATATTCCTGAGGATTTCACAGAACTGACAAAAGACATGAATCCACAGGTATATGAAGAGTTGATTTATGACGAGCTGCATAAATAAAAAGAAGAAATCCACACCTGGGTAAACCTTATTCAGGGAGGCAGATAAGATAAAATCTTATTCTGAGATGCAGTTATTTAAGAACAGAGTTTTAAAATGTTTATAGATGTAAGGGGTAGAAGTGCAGATTTCTTCCACGCATATATTGCATAGTGGTGACATCTGGGCTTTTAGTGTACCCATCGCCTGAATAGTGAACATTGTACTGAAGAAGTAATTTTTCAACTCTCACCCCCTTCCACCCTCCCATCTTTTGGAGTTTCCAGTGTCATCTTATTCCACTCCATATGTCCATGTGTACACATTGTTTAGCTCCCACTTATACTTGAGAACATGTGGTATTTGACTTTTTGTTTCTGAGTTATTTCACTCAGGATAATGGCCTCTATCTATGTTGCTCAAAAGATATGATTTCATTCTTTGTTACGGATGGGTAGTATTACCTTGTGTATATATGCTACATTTTCTTTAACCAGCCCTCCACTGATAGACGCTTAGGTTGATCCATTTTCTTTTCTGTTGTGAATAGTATTGTGATAAACATACAAGTGCAGGTGGTTTTTGATATAATTAATTCTTTCCCTTTGGGTATATACCGAGTAGTGGGGTTGCTGAACCAAATAGTTGTTCTATTTTTAGTTCTTTGAGAAATCTCCATATTGTTTTCCAGAAAGACTACACTGATTTACATTCCCACCAACAGTACTTCAGCATTCCCCTTTCTCCACATCTTCACTAAAATCTCTTACTTTTAGACTTTAATAATAGCCATTCTGACTTGTCTAAGATGGTATTGCATTCAGATTTTAATTTGCCTTTCTCTGATAATTGGTGATGTTGAGCATTTTTTTCATGTTTTTTGACCACTTTTGTGTCTTCTTTGTAAAAATGGCTGTTCATATCCTTTGCCCACTTTTTAATGGGCTTATTTGGTTTGAGTTCCTTGTAGATTGTGGATATTAGCCCTTTGTCAGATGCATAGTTTGCAAATATTTTCCCATTCTGCAGGTTGTCTATTTACCCTGTTGATAGTTTCTTTTGCTGTGCAGAAGGTTTCTAGTTTAAGTTCCATTTGTCTATTTTTGTTTTTGTTGCAGTTGCTCTTGAGGACTTGTTCATAAATTCTTTGCCTAGGCCAATGTCCAGAAGAATTTTTCCTAAGTTTTCTTCTAGGATTTTTATAGTTTTTGCTCTTATGTTTAGGTCTTCAATCCCTCTTGAGTTAACTTTTGTATATGGTGAGAGGTATTTGTCCAGTTTCATTCTGCTGCATATGCCAATACAGTTTTCCCAGCACCATTTATTGAAAAGGGTGTCATTTCCTCAGTGTATATTTTTATTGACTTTGTGTCTTTATTTCTCAGTCCTCTATTCTGTTCCATTAATCTAGATGTCTATTTTTGTACTACTACCATGCTGTTTTGGTTACCATACCCTTGTAGTATAGTTTGAAGTCAGGTAATGTGATGCCTGCAACTTTGTTCTTTTAGCTTTGGATTGCTTTGGCTAGTTGGGCTCTTTTTGGGTTCGATGTGAATTTTAGGATTTTTTTCCTAATTTGATAGAGAGTGTGTTGGGTCTGTAGATTGCTTTGTACAGTATGATAATTTTTAACAGTAGTGATTCTTCCAATCCATGAGCATGGGGTGCTTTTCTATTTGTCATGTATGATTTCTTTCATCAGTGTTTTGTAGTTCTCCTTATAAATATCTTTCACTTCCTTGGTTAAATACATATCTAGGTAATTTTTTGTAGCTATAATAAATGAGATTGCCTTCCTGATTTGGTTCTTGGCCAGATTGTTATTGGTATATAAGAATGCTATTGATTTTTGTACATTAATTTTGTGTCCTTAAATGCTACAGAATTTATCAAATCTAAGAGTTTTTTGGTGGAGTCTTAATATGGTTTGGCTGTGTCCCCATCCAAATCTCATCTTGAATTGTAACTCCCATAATTCCCATGTGTTGTGGGAGGGACTGGGTAGGAGACAATTGAATCATGGGGGCAGTTTTCACCATCCTTTTCTCATGGGAGTGAATAAGTCTCACGAGACCTGACGGTTTTATAAGGGGAAACCCCTTTCACTTGGCTTTCACCCTCTCTCTCGCCTGCTGATGTGTATGATCTGCCTTTTGCCGTCCACCATGACTGTGAGGCCTCCCCAGCCATGTGGAACTGTGAGTCCATGAAACCTCTTTTTGTTTATAAATTACCCAGTCTCAGGTATGTCTTTACCAGCAGTGATACAAGTCTTCAGGGTTTTCTATATAGAATATCATTTCATCAGCAGAAAGGGATAGTTTGGGCTCCTTCTTCTCCAGTGTGCATTCCCTTTATTTCTTTCTCTTGACTGATTGCTCTGGCCAGGACTTTCAGTACTGTGTTGCATAAGAGTGGTGAAAGTAGGCATCTATGTCTTATACCAGTTCTTAGAGGGAATACTTTCAACTTTTCCCCCTTAATTCTGATGTTGGCTGTGGATCTGTCATATGAGGCTTTTATTATGTTGATGCATGTTCCTTCTATGCCTCATTTGTTGAGAATTTTTATCATGAAGAGAGGCTGAATTTAATCAAATGCTTTTTCTGCATCTATTTAATGATCATATGGTTTTTATCCTTAATTCTGTTCATGTGATACGTCACATTTATTGATTTGCGTCCCTGGGATAAATCCCACCTGATCAGGGTGTATTATCCTTTTGATGTGCTGTTGGGTTCTATTTTCTGGTATTTCGTTGAGGATTTTTGCATCTATATTCACAGGGATATTGATCTGGAGTTTTCTTTTTTTGTTGCGCCTTTGTCTGGTTTTGGTCCGAGGGTGATACTGGCCTCATAGAATGAGTTAGAGAGATATCCCCCCTCTTCGATTTCTTGGAATAGTTTCAGAAGGATTGGTATTAGTTCTTCATATGTTTGGTAGAATCTGGCTGTGAATCCATCTAGTCCTGGGCTGAGTGCAGGACATCCACACAAGTGAAGCCACTTCCGGCAGTGGGGAAAACAGTTGCAGGGACAGAAGCTGACCAGGCTCCTTGTGGTCTGCTTGGAGCCATCTCGGCTTTACAGAGCTCATTGCCCACTGCGTCTGAAAGCCACACCCAGGGCCTCAGCCCCTGCCCTTGCCAGAGGGGTGTGTCCTCTCCACTGCAGACACCAGTGACTCCCTTCTCTGCGGCCCTCTGCTCTGCGACGCCATCCTCTCTGGTCCTCCGTGTCTCTGCCAGGCATGGGCTCCTGTCCACATCTTTTCTGCCCAGCACGCTGTCCTGTTGCCGTGTCCCCGCATCTTTCTTCCCTAATATCGGCTGTGGAACTGAGGTAGCGATGGCTGGCGTATTAAGAATGTGCTCCAAGCAGCTCTGCCTAGGGCTGAACAGCCCCATTTGGCTTCCCGTCCTCATCAGCACCTGACCAGTGGCAACAGTGAGGCCGCAAGGCTCACCTGCCGTTCTCTGGGTCACAGGCATGTGATGGGGGGCCAGAGTCGCTCCCTGGCAGCAAGACCCGGAACCTGCACTTTAATTCCATGTTCCACAGCAATTCCACCCCCAGAATAACCAGATGCAATCACAGCCCAAACACACACAGGCACGTGCACACACACAGGTGCAAACACACACACATGCACACAAAGACACACAGGCCCATGCACACACAGGCACATGCAGGCACACAGACACATGCACACACATGCAAACACACAGACACAGGCACGTGGACATACAGGTGCAAACACACATGCACACACAGACAGGCACACGCAGACACACTCATACAAACACAGAGACACACAAATAGACACACACACAGCTGAACATACACAGCTGAACACATACCAACATACATACACCGGCATGCATACTCACACATACAGGTGCACATTCACACATAGGAATGCACAAACACACGCATGCATGTGCACACTCTCACACTCTCACAGGTGCACACACATATCCCGGCAGACATTTTCCCTAAGCTGCCAAGGACCCGTGGGAGCTGCTTCAACACCCCCATGAGGCTTCCCAGGCCCCACACCCAGGCAGGCACGTCGTTACTTCACTGACCACCCCCTCTGACCTCATGCACCTAGGCTGTAGCTTGTCCCCAGCCCAGGGCCCACACAGGAGCTGGTTAGGGTTCTCAAGGGGCCCTGACTGCTCACCTGCTGTGGGACACACCCCCACGGGGCCCAGAGAAGCTGCTCAGCCTATAGGCCGTCAAAGGACATGCAGCTGCCAGGGGTGGGTGGACACCTGACAGGTCCAGCTGCAGGACACCTCAGTGCTGGGACCCGGCATCCTCACACTTGGCCTCGGAGGCCTTTTCATGTCTGCTGCTGTCCCCGTGAGTCCATTGCTCCCCCCGCTCCCCGTGCCTCCGTCTTCAGCATGGGGCCTCCCAATGGACCTGGGCTCCTGTCCTGGTCTCCCACTGCAGACCCAGATGGCCCAGCATCTCCCACCATCCCTTCCACCCAGGGCTTCCAGTGCTACCCACCATGCTGTGTCTGCTCTTCCCAACCTCCACTGTCAGCCTGAACCTCTGCCCACAAAACCCAACCCCAAACCCAGGCAGGGGTGGGCGCGGGTGCCGGGCAGCAGGGGCTTGTCCCGGAGAGCTGTCCTCCTCCTATGTGACAGCTGCCTGGCCTGGTGCTCCCAACTGCGGACGCAGAACCTGTGCAGGAAGCCGTGGAAACAGCTACAAGCAGGCAGGTGTCCCGGGGAACGCTCCTGGTCACTGACACGGTAACACAGGTGGAGCTGGGAAAAGCATTGGTGCTGGGGTGGTAGTGACCCCCACCCAAGAAAGTCACATTGACCCGGAACCTCAGAGTAAGACCTTACGTTAAAATAGGATCTTTGTAGATGTAATTCGATTAAAGATCTTGAGATTATCCCAGCTTCTCCTGGCGGCCCTTAAATCCAGTGACAGGTGTCCCGATAAGCAAAGGAAGAGACAGACACACTAACTTGGGGGAGGAGGCCCCGTGAGGACAGGGGCAGAGGTGGAGCCATGCGGCCACCACCCAGGACCGCCTGGAGCCACAGAAGCTGGAAGAGGTGGGAACCTCCGGAGCGCACAGGCCTTGATCTCGGACTTCTGGCCTCCTAAGCCGTAAGAGGAAAGCCTTGTTGTTCAACCCATTTGTAGTGATTTTCTAAGGATCCCCAGGAAACATCTTATAACGGGACACTTGGCGTGGATCACATCATTGGCTGTGAGTCGGTTTTCAGTAATTGCAGGGTTAATGGAGGCTGTCCAGGTCTGGCAGTGGAGCAAGAGCTGGGGGCCAGGAAGGGCCACCGGACGGGCAGCCATGGCCAGGTGAAGAGCCTGGAGTCCCGAATCAGGATCCACCTCTCCCTGCTGAGCAAGATCCTGTGCCCCTGTTTCTGGTGATTTTGTAAGTGCTGACTGAACCGACTGTCGCTGGGAAATAACACACCCGTGACCCCAAGCCAAAGTTTCACCCACAGACAAGGAAACAGACTCCATGAACACGCCGACTCCCGACGGTAGAACCGGGGTGCCCACCCCAGCCCCGGTCACTGTGTGTCCTGCGCAGGGGCCAGGGCAGCCCAAGGCTCAGCTCTGTCCTCCTGCCCAGACCTCGCTCAGCCCCCTGGACGCCGCCCCGCGCCCGCTGCCTCTCCTCTCCTCTCCTCCCAAAGGCTCCAGGACCATGTCTGCCTCTGAAGCCTGACGTTACCTCCCACTGCGATTTTATTGTAAACTCACTGCATTTATGTCAAGAGAGTTTGTACAGGTTTTGGAAAATGCACTGAAGAGTCCCCTTGTGCCTATTAGGACGGTAAGAACACACCAAGGAGAGATTATTTCATTATTTCTTTGATGCTGTTAGTAGGATCTACCCGAGGGGGAGGCACTCCGGGCTCCGCGGGACGAGAAGGCAGCCGAGCCCGCACCCGAGCAGGAGGGAAGCAGGAGCCGCAGCGTGGCCGCCGCACAGCTTCGGGGGTCCCCCGACTTCCCAGCTGCGAGTGTGGAATTTCTCAGGAGAACTAGACAGAAGCCCATCTCTGGGCAGCACTGAGTGGAAGGAGAAACCACAGGAGAGGAGAGGAAGTGTGGGGCGCGGGACCACCGTGGGGTGGGTGGGGGCCAAGCCGCCGGGCTGTGAGGCCTCAGCACCCCCTGCCCAGCACCCAGCACCCCAACTTCCCCTTCTGCCTTTGCGGATTCCAGGGCCTGCTGGACACCTGGGGCAGGGACAGAGCCGGGACTGGGGGAGGAGCTCAGCTGCACTAGAGTCCGGCTGGAAGAGTCCCGCTGAAAGTCACCAGAGGCACCCCTTCCTCCTGGGGGGCTGCGCCTCGGCCTCCTCCAGGGCAGGTGCCCCTGTGCCCCTGAAGTCCCAGCACCCAGCACCACAGAACCGCCCTGTCGTCTCGGCCCCGGAACCTTGTGGGGAGCCAACTCCTGCGGAGGGCCCGGCAGCCCCGGGCGGAATGAGCCCCCTCCGCAAAGCCTGTCTGGGGAGCGGGGGAGGGGCGGCAGGTGCCCGGAGAAAGGCGAGATTGGAAGAGCGGCCGGGATGGTGGCGCTGCACACGGGCGACCTGCAGGGAGAACGGAAGCTGAGGCCGGGGTCAGGGGTGCGCGCTCCGCTCCTCCACTCCTGCGTGAAGGGCGGCCCACTCCCGAGCAGCTGCGCTGGGCGCCCGGCACGGACCCGTCTCCCTGCTCAGGTCGATCCCCGGCCGCGCTGTCCCCACCTGGAAGCCCAGTCCCCTGGGTGCGCCCCGCCTTGGGGTCCGAGCACCCTCACAGCCCGGCCCTGCCGCTTCCCTGCACCGTCTGCGGCTCCTTAAAGAACTGGGCGCGGTCGGGGCTCGCCCCGCACTGTCCTCGAGGCCCCGCCGCCAACCCACCCCACCCCAGGAGGCCGCGGCCGCGCTCATCCATCCCCCGCCGCACCGTCAACGCGCGTCCTGCGGGGCGCAGAGATCGGGGTCCGGTCGTCCCCGGGGGGCCCCAGAGACAGGTGAGGGGCCTCGCTGCCACTGCCCAGCGGTTCCCACGGCCCGCAGGTCCGCCGCGCCCTGCGCTGAGCGGATACCTGGCGGCCGGCGGAGCCTCAGCGGAGCCGGTCTTGTAAGGCTGAGGTCTCAGTGCGCCCGCGCATGCTCCGGGCCTGGTGGGGCGGCGGGGGCGGGGCTGCCAATGAACACGAGGGGCGGGCGCGGGACGCTGGGGGCGGGGCTGGGGGCGGGGCGGGGCGGCAGGGGGAGCGCTGCGCTGAGCACTTGGTCGCGCGCGGCCGGGTCGCGGGGGAGCCTCCGCTGCAGTTGCTGCGTCTCCAAGGTAAGCGGGCGCGGGGCTCGGTCCTGCGGGCGCGGCGCGGGGGGCACCCGGGGGCGGAGACTGGGCCCGTCAGCCCCAGCAGCCACCTGCGCCGCAGCCCCTGCCCCCCGCGCTCCCCCGAGCCACATTCCCGGGCCGCCCTGCGCGTCCCTGAGCCCCCGGATTGGGATGCCCGGAGTTCGGCGCTGCGGGCTCGGTGCGAGGACGCGACGGGGAGGCTTTGCAAAGGCCGCGAGCGGGGGTCACCGTCGGCCGCGCCAGGGACAGGTCTGTCACTTTCTCCGGGCCCTGTGCCTGGCGCTTTGGCCTTTCTTCGCGGCCACGGACGCCCCTGCAGCCCTTCCCTCCAGACCCTGCCCAGCCCGGGGCTGGAACCGTTTCCCTATTCCCAGGCGTAGGGGGCCGCCGGTGTGAGGCGTGGGAAATTAGGGCGTGGAGGGCTGGAATGAAGCCACTGCCCGCAGCACGTTTTGAGATCCCTGGCCACAGAAACGGCCCAGAATGAGCGGGTCTCGGGGTCCTGACACCACCGCGTCCTGGCAGGTGGGGCTGTCAGACCGCCCCCCGCAGAGCCTCCAGCTGCCCCGGGCCTTGGCTACTGTCCGCGGGCCTGTGGCGATGGAGAGGCGCTGCCGGGACACCTTCCCGCACCCCTGGGAGCAGCGCCCGAGGATCTGAGGAGCCCTTTATTCTGCGGTTTCGGTTACGTAAACGGAGCCGAGGGAGGTGAGAAGCCTGTCCCTCCCGGGCAGTGGCGGGGCTGCTGTTTTGATAAGCGTTTAGGGGGGCTGCTGTCTTGATGGGGCTTGGGGGGCTGCTGTTTTGATGGGGTTTGGGAGGCTGCTGTTTTGATGGGGTTTAGGGGGCTGCTGTTTTGATGGGGTTTGGGGGCTGCTGTTTTGATGGGTATTTGGGGGCTGCTGTTTTGATGGGGGTTGGGGGCTGCTGTTTTGATGGGGGTTTGGGCGCTGCTGTTTTGATAGGGGTTTGGGGGCTGCTGTTTTGATGGGGGTTGGGGGCTATTGTTTTGATGGGGGTTGGGGGGCTGCTGTTTTGATGGGGTGTTGCGTTCCCTCTCAGTGTCACCGCTGATCCACCTGGCATGTTTATTGGCTCTTCTGCGTGCAGGGCCCCTGGGGGACCGATAGAGGACTGGGCCCCTCCGCCCACCCCGGCCACCCCTCCCCGCCTGACTTCTCAGGGGGAGAGGTCTCCCCCCACGCCCAGCCAGCCCCTGCCCCTGGGAGGTGACCCAGCTCCCTGTGGCCTGGGACTAGGAGATGGGGCTGGACCAAGGCCGGGAAGGGGCAGGAAGTGGAGGGGAGTGAGGCAGCTGCAGCCTGATGCCGGCGCCTTGAACTGGGCTCTCGCGCCTGTCAGCCGCTCGGTGCCAGCGCCTCCCCACCACGTGATCCTCGGAGGGCCTGTGGGGGAGGGGCGGGCTCCCGGAGCGGCTGCAGAAGGCGAGCTCCAGGAGGGTGTGTGCGTTTTCCCGGGAGGGGTCTGCAGCTTTCATGGTTTCTAAAGGGATCTCTGATTCAGAAAGGCGCCGGCATGAACTCGCTTTGCATCTTCACAAAACATGAAGTCATGGGGATTGGACCGCGTGTGCGTGGAGGAAGCTCCGCTGGTCACTGGCTGCGTTTTAATCTTACAGCTGCGGTTGGTCTATCTTCCCGAATTCCCTGAAGTTGCAATAAATGTTTTAGCGATTATACGAGGTTATAAATGCTCGTTGTGGAAATGAGCATAGAATGCTCACAGAAATGGTCAACAGGGGCTTCCTTTTGACCCCCTACCCTAATTTGCAAGCCTCACACTGGCAGTGGCTGCCCTAGGCCTGGGAATCGGTAAACAGGGTTCGTGCACCGGGCTGGGCAGGGCCCGGAGGGAGGGGCCGCAGGGGGCTTCCGTGGGCACAAAGGCCAAAGCGCCACACGCAGGGCTCAGGAGAACTTCCTGAAGAAAATTAGGATCACCCATCGCAGATGGAGACTGGGGAGCTCTCTGGAGAGTCAGGCAGTCTGTTCCCTCCCAGGCCTGTGGGAGCCACCCCCTGCAGAGGACGCAGAGAATTAAAAGCTTCCTCGGGAGAGGCCGTGCCAGCAGAGAGCCGAGTCTATTTATAGCTGTTGGTGAGACAGGGGGAGTGTGTGAGAGGGATGCCATCTGGGGCTCTTGGGGCCCCCAGGCCAGTGCTGGTCAGCGCCCTGCAGTACCTGGCCCAGCCTGGTGCCCTCAGGCAGAAGCGCCTTCGGGAAAACACTCTGGGTGAGGAGAGTCGCTCAATGCCTCCGCCTGGGCTGGGGGAGCCAGAAGGCTATGCCCAGGAGGGTTGTGGCCGGGTGTCTAGTCCATCTGAGCCCACAAACCCTCAGCCAGGAGCCAGGATCAGGCAGCAGAATCTACACACGCCTAGTTCCTACTGCTCGAGCAAAAGGTGTTTCCTGGGAAGGAAGGGGTGGAGCTGCCTGGGTCAGGCCCAGCCACATCTGGGGCTCAGGCCTTGTCCCCAGCATCCACGAGCCAAACCCCAAGCTGCCCTGCGTGGATCCTCCTCCTAGGGAGACCAGCTTCTTCTTGGTGTGTGTGTGTTTGGGGTTGCCACAGGGCCATAACCCACTGCATCCCCCTGATAAGATCTTCCACCCAGGGCAGCCCCCACCCAGGGCAGCCCCCACCCAGTTGATCCCCCACCCAGATGATCCTCCACCCAGATGATCCCCCACCCAGATGATCCCCCACCCAGATGATCTGCCACCTGGATGATCCCCCACCGGGGACATCCCCCACCCAGGGCAGCCCCCACTCAGATGATCCCCCACCCGGGGCAGCCCCCACCCAGATGATCTCTCACACAGGGCTTCCCTCCTAGGGCATCTGCAACAGGCTTTCCCCCTAAGGTGACATCCCCCTCCCAGGACATCCACATCCCAGAGCCACCCCCTCCCAGAGCCACCCCCTAGGCCATTCCTTCACCAAGGCTCCACCACCCAGGACAACCCCCACAAAGATTCCCCACCCAGAGCATCCTCCCCACATGGCATCTCCACCCAGGGTATTCCCCCACCCAGGGCATGTTCCCCACATGGCATCCCACGTTTGACTTCTTGGCATGATAAAAGGTGCCTGCCCATGTGGGCTCCATGAGATCCCCCAGGGCGCATGGCATCACAGACCACATTTCCCAGATCCTATAACCTGTAACCCCAACCTGCTCGTTTGTTCACAAATGTCCAACGTGGCCTCCGCCCAGGGAGTGCCACCAACAGCCGCACCTGCCAGGCGACTTCACACAGCTGCTGTCCCCCTCTGGCCATCAGTCATCAGTCAATGGGGCCAGGAGCAGTGAGCACCGTGTATGGGGTATGGAGGTGGCTTCAAACCCAGGCCCTGGTCCAAGGGCCCTCATGTCTGACACAGGCGAGCTCCCAGCACCCTCTGCCTTGTCAGGAGTATGTGACATGCCTTCCTGGCCCACAGAGGTGGGTGAAGTGTGCGTACCTCAGCGTGCCCATGGCTGCCACTCACTGTTCACCCACTCACACTGGATCCCCGCCCAGAAACACACCAGGCCAGTCCCACCCCACTCAGAAGTGCTGCTGGTGCCTCAGGGCCAGGGAGCCATGTCCAGGCCCCAGCCAGCCCCGGGGACCTGACCCAGCCCCTCCCCCTGAGCCCAGGGCACCGCTGCACAGCCACCTGCATCTCCCACCCATGGCATCTCGCAGGTAACCTGGCCACCGTGGCTGCTTCTGGGGCGTCCACCCTCTCCTGCGCACACCGGCCCCCGCTTCTCCTAAGGCTGCCCAAGGGCCGGTTTCCTCTGCCCCTCGGCGGGGTGGCACCTCTGCCTTCTCAGTGCCTGAGGAGCCTGGGCCATGGACAGAGCCACTGGGGTGAAGCTCATCTCAGCCTCACCTCCCACCAGGCTTGTTCCTGCCACCTTCGCCAGTGCCCACGTGTCCCCAGGCCGCCTGCTGGGAGGGCCCCACCTGGCACCTGGCACAGCCCACCTGCAGTTCTAGTGCCAGCCGTTCTGGGCCGCCTCTCTTCATGTTCCGGGAGTGGGATGGGGTCTTACCGTCCGTTTTCCCGTCGAAGCTGCAATTCCTGAGCACTGTGCTTTGGCTTTGCCTGTTTTTAACCTTTAACCAGAAGCCACGTGGTGGGCACACTGCTGTGCTGGCTAACGTGGATCAATAGTGTGCGCGAGTGGTCCGTCCACACTGCGTCGAGGAGCCCCAGGTGCTCGTGCTCAGCGCCGCCCACACTCCCACGGGGATGCCCGCTGTCCCTGAGACCACCATACTGTCAGCAGGTGCATGTCCACGCGGTTCCCCTTTCTTGGCAACTAGGGATGAAGCTGTCGTGGGCATTCCTGGGATGTTCTTTGGGGCATGTGGTCATGAGTCTCTTGGGTCAATCTGGAAGTGGAGCCGTTGAGTCTGGGATCTAGTGTGTCTTTTCATTCATCAGATGATGCCAAGCAGTTTCCCAAAGGGATTAAAGCCATTCGCCCCCACAGTTTCCTGTTGACCCACATCCTTGCCGGCACTAGCCACTGTCAGCCTTTGCAATGTCTTAGCCTTTTGTAAGGCTGTGTGGAAGCCTTATGATTTGCATTTTCCTGGTCATACTAACGAAGCTGAGTGCTTCCCACCGAGCACTGGGCACTTGGATACCCTCGTCCCCGAGGGGCCTGTTCAAGTCAGCTGCCCTTTGTGGATTGAGTTCCTATCGATTTGTAGAGGTTCTTTATATATTCTGGAGACAAGCCAACATTTGTTGTGCATAGCAAACATCTCCTACCCTGGGGTTTGCTTTTTCACTCTCTTGATGATATTTTTTCAACGAACAGAAGTTCTTTCTTTTAATCTGGTGCCTTCTAAGAATCTTTTCCTGCAGGGCAAGGCTTTCTGTGTCCGTGTAACAAATTTCCCCCACGCCAAGAACATCAGAAATTCTTTTGCATTACCTTCCCAAAGCTTCTAGATCTGATCTGGAGGACAGCCCTTTAGCATGCAGACGCAGCTGAACCTTCCCTTAAATCAGCAAATTCCCGTCAGCTGACTTCCTCACACCAGCCACGTATGCAGCCTTCATTTTCTCCACCTAAAAATGGGCAACCAGAGGCTGGATGTGTCTCAGAAGGCAGGTGCTGTTGGCAGCCCTGGCCTAACACCCATCCTGGCTTAGGTGGACCCCCAAGGGCCTCTGGAGCCCCCTGTGGTCTCTCAGTGCCACCTGAGGGCCTCAAAGACTTTGTTCCCCATGAGGGGTGCTGAGCCTCTGGTCCCACCCGCTGTGTCACTGTGTCCAGAGGCTTCTGACAATTGACACAGTCCGGGGTTAACACAACAGGGACGCATTCCCCCATCATCCTGGAGACCAGAAGCCCAGCGTCCAGGCATCTCATGAGTCAGCTTCCTCTGGAGGCTTGGTGGGACGCTCCCTGCCTCTTCTAGCTTCTGGTGGCTCCAGTTGTCCTGGGCGTGTGGCTGCATCACTGCAGCCCCAGCCTCAGGGCGACTGTGTTAGTCTGTGTGTGTTGCTGTAACAGCACCAGGCATGGTAATTTATGAAATGATATGTTCACTTCTCACAGTTCTGGAGGCTGGAGAGTCCAAGATCAAGGCACCTGCAGGCTTGGCGTCCGACAAGGGCCCTTCCCTGCTTCCAAGACAGGGCCTGGTTGCCATGTCCTCATGCCCCAGCCCTTTGATAAGGCACTCGGTCATTCCCAGGAGCCTGGCCCCCATAGCTGAATCTCATCCCCCAAAGGCTCTGTTAATGCCACCACAATGGGGATTAGGTTCCAGCGTGGATTTTGGAGGGGACGAATTCAGCCTGTAGCACCTTCTTCTCTTCTCTCTGTGTCTTCTCTTCTGCCTCTTCTAGGTAGAGACACTCACCATTGGATTTAGGGCTCAGCTGTGGATAATCCAAGATGATCTCATTTCCAGATCCTTTCTCCAAACAAGGTCGCGTTCACAGGTTCTGGGGATTAGATGGGGCCACCATTGGCCCAGAGCTGGCCTGGTCCCAGCTGCCTGCAGGTGCCCTGGACCCTGAGCCCCAAGGGTAACCCAAGGGCAGTGAGTGGGCTGGGGCGGGGCAGGGCAGGGTCCTCGTGAGTCTGGCACTCAGTGAAGCTGCGCTGGATGAGGGACCAGCCCCTGGTTCTGCAGTGTTCTGTAACCTGCTCTGCCCCCTTGAGAGCCTCGGCTGTTTTCTCCTGTAACCCATTGTGCCTCCCTTGAGAGCCGCGGCTGTGTCCTCTAACCTGGTGTGCCCCGCGTGAGAGTCCTTGCTGTCCCCACAGAAGGTGCCTTTAATGGAGGCAGGTCCCACCGCATCTGCAGCCGCCGAGTCTCCGACATGGTTGATGGGATGAGCCAGCCGGGATCTCTATTCCCTTTTGGGATGCTCTGTTGGTGGAATGTCCTGTGTCGTGCTTTAGAGAAATGGTGTTGGCCCGGGTGGTGGGCACTGGCTGGGCATGTGGTTTAATTCTCACTTGGGCCTTGGACAGCCATCTCAGACCCGTATCAGTCTCCGCCGCAGCGTCCTTTGCAGAGTCTGGGAGCCCCCTTGCCCCTCTGTCCTACGGTGGCTGCGGAGGTGCGCCGGGTCCCCCAGCACTGCCAGCCCGCCTGCGCCATGCTCAAATTCTCGCGGGGCCTCAGCCGCCTCCCTGCTGGGCAGGGCTCGGGACCCGCCGACCGCCATGCCGAGGCCACGCCCCCCCTCCCCCGCCCCGGGCTCCCTCGGTGCTGGGGCCTCCCGGAAGGGCGCCGCCCCCGCCGGGTCCCATGGACCGCCCAAGGGCTGAGGAGTGCGGGCGCGTGGCGCAGTACTGGCGGGCAGCTCCGCCTGCTGCGGGGCTCAGGATCCGATAGAGAAAGCTAGCTAGACTCCTGAGTGGAGTGGGGGCTTGGAGAACTTTTATGTCTAGCTAAAGGCTTGTCAATGCACCAATCAGCACTCTGTCAAAATGGACCAATCAACGCTCTGTAAAACGGACCAATTAGCTCCCTGTACAATGGGCCAATCAGCAGGATGTGGGTGGGGTCAGATAACGGAATAAAAGCGGGTAGCCGGAACGCCCTGCCGCAACCTGACTCCATTCTCTTCTCCGCTGTGGAAAGTTTGTTCTTTTGCTCTTAGCAATAAATCTTGCCGCTCAGTCTGGGTGCGCGCCGCTTTTGTGAGCTGTAGCACTCACCAGGGAGGTCTGCAGCGAAGGTCTGCAGCTTTGCTCTTGAGGCCAGCCAGACCACGAGCCCACCGGAGGGAGCGAACAGCTCCAGACGCGCTGTCTCTGAGAGGCGTAAGTAACACTCACCACTGAGGTCTGAATTGAAGCCGGCGAGACTAGGAACCCACGGGAAGGAATGAATGACTCCAGAGGCGTCACCTTGAAGAGCTGTAACACTCACTGCGAGAGTCCGCGGCTTCACTCCTAAAGTCAGCGAGACCACGAACCCACCAGAAGGAAGAAACTCCAGACGCATCTGAACATCTGAAGGAAGAAACTCCAGGGTCGCCATCTTTAAGAACTGTGACACTCACTGCGGGGCTCCGCAGCTTCATTCCTGACGTCAGCGAGACCAATAACCCACCAATTCCAGACACACTGCGTCCTGTGCTGCAGGGGGAAAGGCACGGACTCAAAACTGCCAGCTTTGTTCTGATTGGGAGCTCTGCCTGCCTGACAGGCGGCCTGGGCTGAGAAGAGTGGGGCGGTTCACAGGGAGAGTCCCGCGGAGCAGGAGGGCCGTGCGATGATAGTGAAAAACAAGAACCATCTGCCAAAGGGCTGTGCTGCACCCAAATGGGCTCTGAAATAAGGAATGGGACCTGAGCCGCCTTGTTCCTTGGCCCTGTTTAATGGGGAAGCACCTCCTCGGCAGGAGGGCAGGGCTCCCAGGTCCTAGAAGGCCCCTTGGTGGGACAGGAGGGCTGGGTGAGCTCCACAGGGGCTCTGTCCACTCCTTCCGCTGTGAGGGTGGCTTTTGCTTCTGGGGCTTCGGGTCGCTGTGGTCTTTGATGTTGCTGTCCCATTCACCAGCGAGGGTCTCGAGCTGAGAGCTGTCCAGGCTGAATGCCCAGTGGGCAGTTTGAGGCCAGGAGCACACTGCGTGGGCCCAGCAGGCGCCTTGCAGTGGAGACTTTCCCCTCAGCCCTGCTGGCCAGGGGCCTACCCGGTCTCCCTTGGGGCTGTGCCATTCCTGTGCTTCGGATTTACTGGGGGGTTGCTTCTCCCTGGTCCTGATCCCCTCCACTCCCTCAGTCAGCGACCTGGGTCCAGGTCATGATGGAGCACTGGGCGTTGCAGAGGGGCCATCCCAGGGCTTCGGTGCCAAGGTGGGACCTGTGGCCGTGGGACATTGGAGGGTCCATCAGGCCCTCAGGAGCTTTGCCACCTGCAGGCACGAGAGGGTCCCGTTCCAGCAGTGGGGTCTGGCCCTAGGGTTTCCTAAACAGGAGTGGGGTTTAATGACAACAGTCTCCAGGGACTCTGGGCAGGATTGAGGGCTGTGATGGCAGCCAGCCTGGGGTGGAGGGTGCTCCCCCTGGACAGGACTTGGGCGTAAAGGTTCTGAAGAGCCCAGCGGCAGTACACCCAGCTGAGCCTGCGGAGGCCAGGGTATCTGCATGGGAATCTGCCCATGGAGAGAGGACCAGGGACCCCCAGGGGTTCCTGGCATGCACTCCCACCTGCAGGGCCTGGGACAGCTCCTGTCACCAGCTGAGAGATGCCTGAATACTGCTGAGCGCCTCGGCCCCCACCCCTCCAACCTGTTTCCCAGTCAGCTTGCAACACAGCGTGTCCTTCACAGCTCCCTGGATGCCAGTGCCCCGAGGGCATGGAAGGAAGGGGTTGGAGAGAGGCATCTGAGCCAGCATGGCCCCTGCCAGGGGCATCCTGCAGTCACAGCACGTTGGACTCCTGGGCGGCGTCTCCAGGGTTAGAGGGAGCAGCTCCCACCCAGGCCCCAGGCCTCCAAATCACCAGGGAACCCATTGTCATCCCTGAACAGGGAGTTCTCCAGGGCACGAGCATCGGCTCCTGCCAGGCAGAAGCACGCGGGGCTCCTGGGAACCTGAGTTAACAGAAGGTTTGGGTTGAGTGTGTGGCGTGCGTGCCTGATGTTCCCAGCCTGGTCCCTTCCCAAGGAATGCTTGCCTTCGGGTTCTGGTGGAATCCAGTTGGCTGCCATCACAGAGTCTTTCTCCGCAGAGACAGGTTCTCCCTCAGGCTGTGCCTGCATGAGGCCATCGGGTGCGAGGGAGATGGGGAGCGGCTGCACCCCTTCAAGGATGAGGAGACTGAGGCGCAAGCAACTGTCCCACCATGGGCACCTGCCTGGGAGCGAGCTCTGGGGGTCAGCGGGTGCAGCTGGAGAAGCTGCTGGTGGCTTCTCCAGAGCAGGTGGAGCTGTCAGAGGTCACGCCCTGGCCTGGTCCAGCCCAGCACAACCCAGGGGGCCTGCAGGACACTTGTGACCAGGACAGAGGTTCTCAGGGAGGCCAGAGCCTGAGCAGGGCCGAGGGCTGGCTCTGAGGTCTCAGGTCCCAGGGAGGGGTGATGAGCTGAGGGGTAGTAGCTCCCACTGACTCCATGGCTCCTGCCTCCAGCTTTGACCCGGCACTGCTGATGATGTGAGCATGGCCTGTCCACCAGCCTCCTCTGCCAGCAAGGCTCAGCCACCCCACAGCCATCCACGTGAAGAGCAGTGGTGTAGGCTCTGTCGGCGCCACCCCCGCGTGGGCGTGGGCAGTGAACAAGGGAGCACCGAGGCTGCTGCTATCTTTAAAACAGCAGCTGGCCCTAGTGAGAGAGACCCCAGGCCCTAGTTACAGGCTCCAGGCCCAAGGGGCAGACCCCTGGCGCTAGTGACAGACCCCAGGTCCTAGTAATAGGCTCCAGGCCCAAGGGGCAGACCCCTGGCCCTAGTGACAGACCCCAGGTCCTAGTTACAGGCTCCAGGCCCAAGGGGCAGACCCCTAGCCCTAGTGACAGACCCCAGGTCCTAGTAACAGGCTCCAGGCCCAAGGGGCAGACCCCTGGCCCTAGTGACAGACCCCAGGCCGTAGTTACAGGCTCCAGGCTCAAGGGGCAGACCCCTGGCTGTAGTGACAGACCCCAGGTCCTAGTAACAGGCTCCAGGCCCAAGGGACAGGTCCCGGCCCTAGTGACTGACAGGCCCCTGGTCCTAGTGAGAACCCCCTGGCCCAAGTGCGAGACCCCTGTTCCTAGTGACAGAGCCCGGTCAGTCCTAGTGCCTGGCCCCGCTTACTGATGCCACATGGACACCCGGGTTTCCAGCCCCTGGACAGCTCTGTGATCAGAGGCTGGGGCTGCTGTTTCCCCAGCCCTGTCAATTCTGTTCTGGCAGGTTTTCTGTAAGTTTGGCTTTGGGCAGTCCAGTGTCCAGTCTGAAGGCATTTCCCAGGAGATTCATTCTGACAAATGGGGCCCAGGTGATTTTCCGTGGGGCCTCTTGGGAACAGGAACAGCCTGTGGGGTTGGGGCCAAGGTGGCCTGCGGTGTCTGGGACGAAGCCCCGCCTAGGTGGCCGAGTCCTTGGAGCTGGTGACACACCTGGGACAGGCATTCCCTGGCCAGCGAGGATGCTTCGGACAGCCACCCTCTGGGGTCTGCCTTTGCCTGCCCCACTCTGAGGTCTGTGGTGCCACCTCTGCCCTCATCTTCTGTCCTCTTCAAGCCTGTTTTGAAGATGCCAGTTGGACAACACAGTCTTGCCCACACCTGTGGGTGAGCCCGTAGGCACCATCCTCCTGACTCCCTGGGGAGGTGCTGCAGGTGTGTGGGAGTGGGGTGGGCTCAGTCTCCAAGCAGGTCCTGGCCCTGGGGGTTGGGGCGCAAGTGGGGTGGGCTCAGCCTCCAAGCAGTTCCTGGCCAGGCCCCACTTGGGCTCCCGTGGGGTTTGGCCAGGGAAGGGGCATGTGCTGTGAGCAGGCACCTGGGTCGGGGCAGGGCTGGGCACGTCCCTCCTACCAGGGAGGTGCTGGCCAGTGGGAGAGGGTGCAGGTGCACACCTGGATGCAAGCCACAGGCCTGGGAGTACAGGGCACAGCTGAGATGGTGGGCACAGGCCTGGGAGTGCAGGGCACATGTGGGATGGTGGGCACAGGTCTGGGAGTGAAGAGCGACCCCCTGGAGGTTCAGGGCACACACGTGGAGATGGTGGGTACACGCCTGGGAGCTTGTCCTTGGACCCCATGTGAGCAGTTTGTCTTCCTGGAGTCTCTTCTGCTACACAACCTTCTTTTCCCTCACGGTGAAAGAGCAGAGCCTCTGGGGGAAATGGTGTGAGGGTCTGCACCCAGGGCTCAGGTGCACTGCACCCAGAAACTGGGAAAGTGGAGGACACCTGGCCTCTGCCCATCCAAGGAGAAGCAGCTGGCACAGCAGCATGCCATGCTCGGTGGAGAGCGCCAAGGTAGAGGCGCCCGCCCAGGCTCGTTGTCCGTCTGACACCTCCTCATTCTCTTAAAACTAAATGTATTCTTATTACCGTCATTGTGGAAACAGCACGTGGGTCTAATGAAGCGATCCAGACAGTGCATCTCCCATCTTCTCCGCTCCTGATCTGTGTGTGTGGCCCGTGTCCTGCTCCTCCAGACCCAGCAGCAGCCTGGCTGTCTTCCCACAGCGGCACATCGTGCCTAATTCATTCTGTCATTTTTAGTTTAAAAACTTTTTTAAAAATATTTTGTTAAACTAATACATGTTTGAGGTAAAACAAAACTACAAGAACCTAGAACAGTGAAGCTCAGATGGGCTCTGAGGCGAGTCCCCACGTGAGACCCCTCAGCACACACCCCACGCAGAGGCGGGCTTTGGAAGCATTTCTGGCAGCTGGCGTCTGAGGTCGGCACTGCTCCACCCCTTGGTGCAGAAAGGCTGGGGCTGAGTTGGGACGGGTTCCACTTTTCCCTCCAGAACTGCCTGGGCCTGGTTCTCAGCCCTCCCAAGCGCCCGTGGACTCACTCCCGTGTGACGGCCATGGGTTCCTGCATCTACTACTTCTTCTCGGCTGTTGACGGCTGTCACCCTCGTCTTCCTGGGAAGCCCAGTCACCAAGCACCTCCGCAGGGGGTGTGGCCACGTCTCTGAGGTCACACCCACTGCAGGTGGCCTTGCTCCCCTCAGCCTGAGTGGGACAGTGGACGTGGGTATCCAAGTCCCAGCCCGAAGCATTTTTCCTCAGAACGTTTGAAGGCAGTGTCTGTCTTCAGTAGATCCGGCGATGGTCTGACCCCTGTTCCTTTCTGCCCTCTCCCCCACGGCCCCCACCGTGCTCTCATGCGTGCCATCTCATGCTGCTTGCTGTGCTGAGAGGGGCTGAGCCTAGCACAGGTGGTGCCTGCCCAGCAGGGGCGCAGGGGCCGCGGGCCGGACCGTTCTCACGCGTCGTGACTCCCACCCGTCCGCATCTCTGCTCACGCACATTCTCTTCCGCCAGGTCTGAAATCGCCTGCTGGCCTCCCTCTGACCTGCCTCAGTTTCTCCTCTTCACTCCTCGCTGCCTGATGTGTCATTGCTTATTTGTTTATCACTTGTCCCAACTGAAGGCCTCACGAGGGCAGGACGTTTTATGTCCCGCTCAGCCCTCCAAGGCCAACCTCCAAGCTTATCAAAACCTCATGCAAAGCACGTGCTGATGGGCTGGGAAGTCCTGCGTGAGCCCTGAAGGTGGCTCTGAGGGGCTTCCCTCATCCCTTTGCTCCCAGGCGGGCCCCACGGGGTGCAGGTTCTCAGATGACTCTCTGAGGTGTGTGAATAAGGGTCTCTGTTCAGGCGCATCCCCACAGGAGATGAGACCACAGAACGCAGCCCTGAGTTTGAAGCATCCCAGAAGGTTCTTTCTCTCTGACCCGCACGCCCACCACTGTTCTGGGTGCTCACAAAACCCACCATTGCTTCTGGTAATTTCTCAGCTGCTCCTCCTGTCCAGCGACCCCTGCTGCAGAGGCCCAGGGGAAACACAGGCCAGGCCTGTGAGAAGCTCCTGTTTCAAAGAAATGTTGTCAGCGATAAAACTGGAAACGGTTCCTGGCTCGACACCTGACCCAGCCTTTCCACCCCCAGGATCCTGCCCCCAGACGGCCCTTCCACCCCCAGGATCCTGCCCCCACCAGGATCCTGCCCCCACGCGGTCCTGCCCCCATGAGACCCTGCCCCCATGCGGCCCAGCCCCCACCAGGATCCTGCCCCTGCATCCTCCGCTGGGTTGGCATCTGCATTTTTGGTGTCTTCCAGGGAAAGGGGTGAGTGGGTGGGGCCTGAGGCCCTTAAGGTCTTCAGTGTAGGGAGTGCCCCTGGATTTTTTTCCGGCTGTTTTGGGGGAATTTGTGGGATCTCAAGTTCAGCAGGGGCCACACTCAGGACCCCCACGATGACAGAGCCACACTTTGGCCATGACTGGCGCTGAGAACTCCAGATCTGAGAGGGCTTCGTGAGTCCCAGGGTTGGGACACGCACATGTGTCCTCGGCACGGACCCTCCCACCGGCTCTTGTGTCTGTGGGCAGAGGCCATGTTCAGCTCTCAGTGCAGTGCTGACGGCCCACCTGGTGTCCAGGCCCCTTTGGGAAGCAGCTTTCATGCCCTGAGTCCAGCACCTCAGCCTTGAGTCCTTCAGGGCCTGACTGGGTCTTACCGAAGCCCATGCATGGTAGGGAGGTGGCCTCGGCAGCCCTGCCCTGTGGCGTAGCCCTGCGTCCCCAAGCCCTGCCTGGGTGGCACCCCTCAATCTTAGCCCCACAGCCCAGCCACCTGCTCTGGGGGCGGGCGCCTTACCAAGTCCAGAGGGCATCCCTGCACCCTGACACCGGTGCCCCCAGCACTGCCTCAGCCCTGCACACTGGCAGTCCCCTCCCCTGGCTGGGGCCAGGCCCAGGGCTCCTGGGAAGAGCATCCTGAGGCACCCCCAGGGCCACCACACACCCTCCCCAGCCTAAAGCTCCATCTAAGGTCAGAGGCTCTGCAGTGGGGAGGGAGCGGCTGTCGCACGACTGCTGTGGACCTTCCCAGAGGAAGGCAGCACGTCACAGACCCTGGGGAGTGCGTGATCCCGAGGTGTCCTCCAGAGCTGCAGAGCGGGCGTCCACAGGAGGGACAGTGGAACTGCGGCGGGGAGGGGACCCGGAATAGGCTCTGATGCTGCCAGTCACACACTGAGCCTCCTAGGCCTGGAGCCCCTGGCACCCAGCTCAGCTCCCACCCTGGGCTCTGCGTGCTGCTGGCTTTATTTGGCTTAGGGGGTCCTTGGCCCAATGATGGCAGTGGGCAAGGCCTCGCTTGGCTCCACTCTGCCCGGGGCTGGACATGCGTGCCTGCGGGGCAGCTGGCTCCAAGGGTCTGAGGGGCCTCACGCCCAGCCCCAGGAGGGCCTGCCCATCTCAGCCCTCGCCACGTCCTGGTGCTCATTGGTATGGCGGGGTTTCCTGGGCTGCACCCGGCTCAGCTGGGACATGGCCCGGGTGACACCTTTCTCCTCTCCTTCCTCCATAGCAACATGGCTGACAAGGCCAAGCCTGCCAAAGCTGCCAACAGGACGCCCCCCAAGTCCCCGGGGGACCCCTCGAAGGACTGGGCAGCCAAGAAGCTGTCGCTGGAGTTGGAGGACATGTGCACCGAGTGGTGTGGACGGCCGTCTCGCGGGGCTGTGGTGCTGGTCAGACCTCGGTCAGGGCTCCTTGGGAGCAGCGGGACTCGAGCCACGTTCCTGAAAAGCTGCCGAGAGGCCTTTAAGGCCAAACCTCACTAGCATCAGGAAGGGTTCACATCCCGAGCTCAGTCTTCAGCAAAGACCAGAGTGCTGGCCCACCCTGCTCCTTGAATCTGGAAAGCAGTCTTAGAAAAAGAAGAGCTGTTAGATGATTATGTCCAGGACAGTGTTGAAGGATGGCGCGCACTAGGCCTGTCCAGCCCGTCAGGGGCACTTTGTTGGCCTGGAAGTAATTAAGAGGCTTGTCCTTTGAACGAAAGTGTGATCACTTGGGTTTGAAACGCACTCGCGGGCTCGCGTGAGGAACGTGCAGCCTGGCACGGGTTGCCTCTAGATTCCTGCTTCCCTCGCTCTCACCCGCATGCCTGCTGGTGGTCTTTCACCCAGCTCCACCATGCCAGCGTGGTTTTCTCCAGTGTGTGAAGGATAGAAACGGGCTGATCTATATAATCTTCAGCTTATTTTCCTAAAGAGGATGGACCGTTGATCCATATTTAGCTTATGAGAGTGTTGAGACCGAGGCAGCGGTTGGGAACTGAGGAACTCCTGCTCTGATCCCATGAGTGGTGTGTGGGTGGTGACTTGAGCATGGCAGACATGCTGTCAGATGCACGCGCTCCAGGTACACGCCACCGTTTCGCTGTTAGAACACGCAGGACAAGATTTCTTCTTGGAGTTGTTGAGTGATCCATTTGAAAATGTTCTCAAAGTATTGCTGGTGTGGTGGCCAAAGATGTGGTATTTTTTATTGTGTTGACTTTGGGGTGATAAAGAAATGAAATTGAAATGCAGTTAGTTTTGAGAATGGTAGTTGGCTTTTGCAAATTTGTTTTCAGGTGATCATTATAAAATCCCCCCACCCGCACCAATCACATCCACTGTGATGTGGAGAAAGGGCTCATGGCACTGCACTGGGGCACCGCGTTGGGGTCACACCTGCCACTCACGGCCCGCCATGTCCGTGTTGCAGAGGAGGAGACCCACCCGGTGGACTTGAGCTCGCTCTCCAGTAAGCTACTCCCAGGCTTCACCACGCTGGGCTTCAAAGACGAGAGAAGAAACAAAGGTAAATCCATAGTCCCGTCCCAGGAGCCAGCCGGAGCAGGGAAGGTGGCAGGGGTTTAGTGGAGTGATGGCAAATGCTGCTGATTCGTACTTCAGAGTTTCCTCACTGTACCTGGATTCATGTTTTCACATGGGTAAGATTGAGATCAGTTACAGTGACAGGAATGAAACTCGTGTTGGATGGGGACACACACAGCGGGCACCTTGGTTGCATCACTGGACTTCACCTTGGTCAGTGTTTTGGGGTCCTTGTGTTTCTGTCCCTGTCGCATTACAGAACATCCCTTCAGGGGTCAGAATGTGTGGCCCCTGGGCCTTGGGTCTGGCCTGTGTGTTCTCTCCATCTGCACTGCTGCCTCCTGGCTGCGCTGCTGCTGGGACCTCCTGCATGGCCCCACCCTCCACTTCTCCACCTCTGCTGGGTCCCTCCCATGCAGACAGCTGCATGGACACTGCTCCTGCCGGCCCTTTCTGCCTCAGCCACTCACACCATCTGCTAATGGGACAGCTCACTCTTCCCTCCAAACCATGGCCTTGGCTCAAGAGCTTCCTTGTTTCTGGAATGTTCTTTCCTCCAGCTCCAGGTGTTGAAATTCTGCCTGGTCTGGGTCTCCTGTTGAAGGACGCCCTCCACTGGGAAGGATCCTCTTGCCTTCACCACTTGTCTTCACCAGCCCCTGCTCCCCTCTTCCTCTTGGGGCTGTTGTGGTTGTTGATACTTTTTTTTTGTTGTGTTTGACACACATCTTCTTCTCACCCTCTAACACAGTTCTCAACCACAGCACTTTTGTCCCTGGAGATGTTGGCAGTGTCCAGAGGCGTGTTGATGGTCCCACTGGGGTTGGGGGTGCTGCTGGCACCAGATGGTAGGGAGATGCCAGGGGTGCTGCTCCACACCCTATGGGACACTGCACAGTACACCTGGCCTGTGTCCCCCACAGCGAGAGCTGGCCCTGGGCAGGCGTGGTCCCTGCGGTGTGTGTTGGTTGGGATCCTCCACAGTGACAGACGGTGCGCTCTGCCCACGTTTCCACACAGCTCTTTTGCTTGTGGAGCTCACCCCTTTGCAGAGAGCTCATTTCCCTGCGGTCTTTGGCCTGCAGAAGTAAAATGAGGGGTGGTGAATTACACCCCTGCTGGTTACACATGGAAAACTCAGGAGTGAGAATTTTGTGGAGAGCAAGAGAGGTGAGACTGGGGTGCTGGCTGCCAGCCAGGCGGTCCCTCAGCCCCTGGAGAAGCGGGGTGGGGCCTGCACACCGAGTCCTTCCAGTGAGTCCAGTGATGCTCTCTTTCTCCTCTTCCTCCCAGTCACCTTTCTCTCCAGTGCCACTACTGCGCTTTCGATGCAGAATAATTCAGCATTTGGCGACTTGAAGTCGGACGAGTTGGAGCTGCTCTACTCAGCCTACGGAGATGAGACAGGCGTGCAGTGTGCGCCGAGGCAGGTGTTGGCCCCGGGGAGCCCTTGGCTGCTGTCCAGCTTCAGCTGCGCCCTGGTGTGGGACCCGGAGCCCCACATGTGTGTGGGTGGGGAGAGGGCCATCCCGCAGCCGTCCAGATGGCAGCTCAGGTCTTCCCGTTGCTTTCAGTCATCCACCCAGGTCTGCCACAGGCCAGGTCCTCTGCCCAGGGTCCTCCACACCCTGGAGAGCCATTTTCTGTTGCCACTCGGCTCTGGCCAGGGTCAGATTCTGCAGCATGTCTGTTCATTCCCCTGGACAGGGCCCTGCACCGACTCCAGCCCAACCCCTGCTCCCTCTGCGGGGAACGTGGCCCCAGGCAATGCTGGGCCATTGGCTGTCAGTGCTGGTCCTGGGGGCCATGTTCCCAGTCCCCGTGGTCTCCCTGACAGTGGGTGGGGCCGGCCCTCCCCGGAGCTGATGGCGCAGGTCCTCCCCTTCTGTGTCCTGCAGATGGACACCCGCTCCGGGAGCCAGTGTTCCGTCACCCCAGAAGCCATACGCAACAATGAAGAGCTGGTCTTGCCGCCCCGCATCTCCAGAGTGAACGGCTGGTCGTTACCCCTGCACTACTTCCGGGTGGTGACTTGGGCTGTCTTCGTTGGCCTTTCCTTGGCCACCTTCAGGATCTTCATTCCCCTCCTGCCTCACTCGTGGAAATACATCGCCTATGTGGTATCCTTTTCATCGTGGCATGGTCTAAGCGGGAGGGGTTCCTGGAGGACCCTGCGATGGACCTGGCTGTGGGGTCTGGGCCATGGCTGCCCGGTGGCACCAGTCACCTGTCCTGGGCCAGACTATGTCCCCCGAGCCTGCAGGTGGGCCCAGTGGCCATTCGTGCTCTGTGCAGCCCCTGCTCAGGGTCAGGACAGCTGCTGACCCCACATCAGGCCATTCCTGCGTGGCCCATCGTCGGGTGGACAGAGCAGCCACTGACCCTATGTCAGACCGCTCCCACATGGCTCAGGGTCAGGTTGGACAGGGCAGCCGCTGACCCCATGTCAGGCCGTCTGCTCCCATCTCCCAGCAGGTGGGGGACCTGGTTCTGCTCCCATCTTCCAGCGGCAGGGGTCCCGGGTCTGCTCCCGTCTCCCAAAGAGGGGGAAGCCCGTGTCTGCTCCTGTCTCCCAGTGGGTAGGGGACCTGCATCTGCTCTCACCTCCCATCAGGCGGGGACTCATGTCTGCTCCCATCATCTTCCAGCGGGTGGGAGCCTGTGTCTGCTCGCATCTCCCAGGGTGCATGTCCATGGGGCATGTGGGCTCTGCACTACCTCCAGCTGACCATGGCATTCAGTTGAGAAACCCCAGGCCCCCTAGGGTCACTGAGACATGGATGTGTGGGGACAAAGGGGCCTGGGGAACAGTTGGCCTGCGTTCGGTGCCTTGGGGCACTGGAACCATATTTCTGAAAGTAGGATGTGTTATTTCTCACTAGAGCCTTCCTCAGTGGGGAAGTGGTGACACTGTGTCCGGAACTGGTGGGTTCTTGGTCTCACCAACTTCAAGAATGAAGCCGCAGACCCTCGCGGTGAGTGTTACAGTTCTTAAAGGCGGCGTGTCTGGAGTTTGTTCCTTCTGATGTTTGGATGTGTTCAGAATTTCTTCCTTCTGGTGGTTTGGGGTATCCCTGGTTCAGGAATGAAGCTGCAGACCTTCACTGCGAGTGTTAGAGCTCATAAAGGCAGTGCGGAGCCAAAGAGTGAGCAGCAGCAAGATGTATTGCAAAGAGCAAAAGAACAAAACTTCCACAATGTGGAAGAGAACCCAAGCAGTTTGCTGCTACTGGCTTGAGCAGCCTGCTTTTATTCCCTTATCTGGCCCCACCCACATCCTGCTGATTGGTTCATTTTACAGAGAGCTGATTGGTCTGTTTTACAGAGAGCTGATTGGTCCGTTTTGACAGGGTGCTGATTGGTGTGTTTACAACCCCTAAGCTAGACACAAAAGTTCTCCAAGTCCCCACAGAGCACTGATTGGTGCATTTACAAACCTTGAGCTAGACACAGAGTGCTGATTGGTGTATTTACAATCCCTTAGCTAGACATAAAGATTCTCCAAGTCCCCACCAGATTAGCTAGATACAGAGTGCTGATTGGTGCATTTACAAACCTCGAGCTAGACATAGGGTGCTGATTGGTGTATTTACAATCCCTTAGCTAGACATAAAGATTCTCCAAGTCCCCACCAGATTAGCTAGATACAGAGTGCTGATTGGTGCATTTACAAACTTCGAGCTAGACATAGGGTGCTGATTGGTGTATTTACAGTCCCTTAGCTAGACATAAAGGTTCTCCAAGTCCCCACCAGATTAGCTAGATACAGAGTGCTGATTGGTGCATTTACAAACTTCGAGCTAGACATAGGGTGCTGATTGGTGTATTTACAGTCCCTTAGCTAGACATAAAGGTTCTCCAAGTCCCCACCAGATTAGCTAGATACAGAGTGCTGATTGGTGCATTTACAAACTTCGAGCTAGACATAGGGTGCTGATTGGTGTATTTACAGTCCCTTAGCTAGACATAAAGGTTCTCCAAGTCCCCACTAGACTCAGGAGCCCAGCTGGCTTCACCTAGTGGCTCCCACACCGGGGGCAGGTGGAGCTGCCTGCCAGTCCCGTGCCATGTGCCCGCACTCCTCAGCCCTTGGGTGGTGGATGGGACCGGGTGCCGCAGAGCAGGGGACGGTGCTCACTGGGGAGGCTCGGGCTGCGCAGGAGCCCATGGCAGCGGGGAGGCTCAGGCATGGCGGGCTGCAGGTCCTGAGCCCTGCCCCGCAGGGAGGCAGCTGAGGCCCAGTGAGAATTGAGCACAGCTACAGCAGACCAGCACTCCTGGGGGACCTGGCGCACCCTCCACAGCTGCTGGCCTAGGTGCTAAGCCCCTCACTGCCCGGGGCCGGCAGTGCCGGCCGGCTGCTCTGAGTGCAGGGCCCGCTGAGCCCATGCCCACCCCGAACTAGTGCTGGGTTCCCGCCTGTGCCTCTCCCTTCATACCTCCCCACAAGCCGAGGGAGCCGGCTCTGGCCTCGGCCAGCCCAGAGAGGGACTCCCACAGTGCAGCAGTGGGCTGAAGGGCCCCTCGAGTGTGGCCAGAGTGGGCACCGAGGCCGAGGAGGTGCCGAGAGTGAGCGAGGGCTGCCAGGGCTGCCAGCGTGCTGTCACCTCTCAACACCACTGCGTGGTCCTTGGGCTGGGCCATCCCGGGCAAGTCTCTGGTAAATGGTGAGCGTGGTGTGTATCGCTGTGGTGCAGGCAGGGAGGTGTAGGGGCTGGATGCAGAGTGAGCAGGTGCCATGAGGACAGCAGCCTGCCAGCCTGAGTGCCTCAGCCATGGGCAAGGCCATGTCTCTCTTTCCTGAAACTTGTTCCTGTGGCGTCTTTCAGTTTATAGAGGTAGAGAGTACAGTCAAGCGGACCCGCAGGTGCCAGTCACCTGCTTCAACAGTGAAGCTTTTGCTAACCTTGTTTTATATCTCACATGCATGTGTATCCGAGTAACCTTTAAAAATCTCGGACATCGGGAAATTTCACCTGTAAATGCTCCAGTTTGTGTCTAACAAACTTTTATTTTTATAACACCATGCTTTATCTCACTTAAAAATATCTCACTTAAAAATTATATAGCCATTTCTTAACATCCTGTATTCGTTCTTATCCATGTGGCCATTTCCCCAATTTTCGAAACAAGTCTCTACAGATGCGTGGCTCACATCAGGAGCCCACGTGCCATGGGGCTGCTGTGTCCCTGAAGCCCCCTTTCCTCCATCCGTTTTGCTCCCAGGCCTTTGACTGGTCAGAGAAACTGATGCCTTTGCCCACAGGAGGCCCCTCAGTCTAGACTTGGCTGGATTTTTCCCCAAGTGCAACAGTCTCCCTTGTGGGAAGGCTTTTGATAATGAATTCAGTTTCTTTGATAAAAAAGCTATTCTGTTTCTCTGTTTTCTTGTTTCTATTTTCATAGGTTGTATTTTTCTTCTTCTTCTTCTTTTTTTTTTTTTTCCCGAGATGGGAGTCTCACTCTTGTCACCCAGGCTGGAGTGCAGTGGTGTGATCTCGACTCACTGCAACCTCTGCCTCCTGGGTTCAAACAATCCTCCCGTCCCAGCCTCCTGAGTATCTGGGACTACAGGTGTGTGCCACCACGCCCAGCTAATTTTTGTATTTTTCAGTGGAGACAGGATTTCACCATATTGGCCAGTCTGGTCTTGAACTCCTGACCTTGTGATCCACCCACCTCGGTCTCCCAAAGTGCTGGGATTATAGGCGTGAGCCACCGCGCCTAGCTGATAGGTTGTGTTTTTCAGGAAATTGGAGTATTTCATGTAATTTGTCATATTTCTTGGAATACAGGTGTTTACAGTGTTTCCCACAATCCTTTTCCCATCTGTAGGGTCTGAGTGCTGCGCCTTCCTTCCTCACTATCCTGGCCATTTGTGTCTTCCTACCTCTTCTTCATCAGTCTTCCTGGGGCTTATCCCTTTTATTGATCTTGAAAAGAGTCAGCTTTTTAATTATTAATTTTCTCTATTGTTTGCCTGTTTTTATTCTATTAAAAAAAAATTCTGCTTTTATTTTTACTACTTCCTTCAACTGACCTTGGGTTTACTTTGCTTTTTTTTCTATCATCTTAAGACGGAAACTTAGGTCATTGATTGTAGACCTTTCTTACTTTTTAATGTGTGTTTAAAGCTATGTATTTTCTGTGAGCACATGCACAGACCCGGGCATGCACAGACAGATACACACTGCCAGTAAGGCTTTTGGCCTCTCATTCAACCACCCCATCTGGCTTAGTGATTCAAGGGTGTCTCCCTGGGGATTTGGGGCTCAGTCTCTGGGTCTTGGGGTGCCTTGTGCAGCTAAAGTTCCCTTGGGAGGTCAGGCCACACCCTATCTACAAGTCTGAAATGGGCTGGGTCCAGCTGGTCTCACAGAGAGCCTTGCCAGGGGTCCAAGGATGTGCTTTAGTGAGAGACGTGGGTGCTGACTGTGGCATACACTCATCCTGGGCGCTATCTTGCTGCATCCCTCTTGCAACCTGCGTCTTGTTTGTAGGTGGCTGTCTGGGGCTGTGAGTGGCCGTTGAGGCTGTGAGTGGCCATCTGGAGCTGGCATGACTGTCCAGGGCTGGGAGTGGCCATCTGGGCTGTGAGTGGCTGGCCGGGACTGTGAGTGGCCGGCTGGGACTGTGAGTGGCTGTCCAGGGCTGTGAGTTGAGTGGCCATCTGGGCTGTGAGTGGCCGTCTGGGGCTGGGAGTGACTGTCTGGGGCCATGAGTGGCTGTCTGGGCTGTGAGTGGCTGTCTGGGCTGCAAGTGGGCATCCAGGGCTGTGAGTGGCTCTCCAGGGCTGTGAGTTGAGTGGCCCTCTTGGCTGTGAGTGGCCATCATGGCTGTGAGTGGCCAGCCAGGACTGTGAGTGGCTGCCCAGGGCTGTGAGTTGAGTGGCTGTCTGGGGCTAGGAGTGTCTGTCCAGGGCTGTGAGTGGCTGTCTGGGGCTAGGGGTGGCTGTCTGGTCTGTGAGAGGCTGTCCAGGGCTGTGAGTAGAAGACTTTGTGTCCCCCTGTCTGCTCCGTGGCCTTCCCAATCCTAAGGGATTTAGGGAAGCAGTGCTCACTTCCCAAGAGGCCTTTTCTGAGAGGCCCTGAGTGTGCCCAGTCACCAGAGTGGGGGTTCCATGGGGTTCTAAGGCCTGGACACACATGTGGGGGTTCAGGCTTCTACCATGGGAGGTGCTGGAACGTGGCAACCCACGTGTCCACCCGGCACACACTGCCAGCCTTGCGCCCCTCCACTCATCAGGAGGACAGGTCATAGTTCTGAGTAGTGGCCTCTCTCTGCCAGGCCCAAGGTGTGCCCTGTGGCCCTGCTGGCATTCCCCAAGATCCCCTGCCATTGGCCCAGCTTCTGCTGTGGCCCAGCCTCCGAGTTCTCCACCTACATCCCTGAGTCCCCATACCCCCAAAGCCTGGGTCCTAGATGGCCTCCCCCACCTCCAGGGCCCAGAAATCCACAGACCCACAGAGCTGCATGGCAGCCCCATTGGCCCCGGGTGTCCTGCAGTGAGGGATGAGGATGTCACTAAAGCCCACAGTCACTAACCCTGTGCTGCACGGCCCACCTCCCTGCTCTAGCACATGCCCTCCAGACACGGGTGTCCTCCTGTATTGCACCTTCATGGCAGGTGAGAAGACAGGCTGTGATCGGACCGTGGTCAAGGCAGTCCACGCCAACATTCTCCAACAGCCCCCAGATGTGCTTGACAGGATTTTTTAATCCAGAATCCGGCCGAGGTTCTGGGCATGTTGCGACGGAGTCTCTTGGTGTGTTTAGGTCAGCACAGCGCCCGCCTGCCTTTTCCTGGCAGCTGCTGGTATCTCCTTGACCACAGCATCATGGCATATCCAGACCAGTGTCTTGCTCCACCACCTGGGGGTCTGTGTGGTTGAAGCTGAGCAGTTTCAGAAGAACGCTGCACAGGTGGTGGTGGCCTGTCCCGCTGCACTGTCAGGAGGCCCTGTAGGTGGGGACGCAGCGGTTCCTTGGGAGGGTGGGCCGGGTCACTGCCCCTGCCAGTCCGGAGTGGTGCACATGTGGACTCTGAGTCTCAGGCATATCGCTTTCTGTTGCAATCCTCATCTGAATCACAGTTACGCTAGGGGTGTAAAATGCTGTGTTTGCATCTGCGATTCCACCGCAGGGCCCAGTGCATGCTCTGCAGAGGAAGGTGCCCTCCCCTGCTGCTTTGGCCACCATCTGTCTCTCTCCCTCAGCATCACCAGGTGGCCGCGGCGTGTCCTGGGGCTGCCATCACAAAGCACCAAAAACCGGGTGCCTGCAACAGCAGACATATCTGGTCTCACAGTTCTGGGGCCCGGGGTCTGGAATCGGGTGCTGGCTGCACACTGCTCCCCCTGAAGCTGCTGGAGGGGATGGTTCTGGCCGCTCTCTGTGGCTCGTCTTCTCGTGTTCACACCGTCTTTTCTCTGCGTGTGTCTGCTGCCGTTGGGTTCCCGTTTTTGTAAAGATGCCAGTCATTGGAGTAGGGCCTACCCGAAAAGACCTTGCCCTGACAGGATTATCTGCAAAGACCCTATTTCCAAGCGAGGTCACATCCACGGGTGCTGCGGGTTAGGGCTTGGACCTATGTGGGGGATCGAGTCGACCCTCCACACCTGGCTGTTTCCTTATGTGCTGTTAGAATCCCTTCTCTCCACTCTTCCTTTGGCCCGTGGCTCGGCCACGCGTGCCTCTGAGCTGTCACCTGCTCTCTGGTAGGTGAACCCTCTGTGGCTCCCCTGTACCCCCCACTCCACACCTGGATCTCCATTTCTAAAGGAGCACTTGGTGCCCCAGCCCTTGTCCATGCTGCCCCTCCCGCTGGCCGGCGCTGGGCTCAGGACGGCATCCCCGGCTGCACTCCCCATGCCTGCACCTCAGCGACCCCCTCGGGCCCCTTGGCCAGCAGCATGTGGCTTTGCATTGTGGCGGCTGGAGGGTGCCTGTGCTATCCGGCACCTGCAGGGACCCGGGCGGCTCTGGGAAGTGACCTCCCAGGCCCAGTGGCTGCAGCCCCTGACCCCAAGGGAGGTCAGGTGCAGGGTAAGGGATGCTGTGTTGTGGAAAGTGGGGAAGAATTGGAATAAAGACCCCAGGTTAGGCGGACGTTTGAGTGCCAGGCTTGGCCAACCGTCCAGCGGCCGCGTGTATGGGCCCTTCCAGAGCATGCCTCAGTGCCCGCGTGCCCGCGTCTGTTCTTCTGCAAAGGGAAACAGGCTCCGCCGCCACCACAGCGTCTGTAGGGCCTGTTGTGTGGAATGGATTGGAATCTGTAACTCTGTTTAATCTGGAGAAATCTCTTCCCAGCAAAGCTCCTTGCTGTGGCCCAGGGCAGCACGAGCTCGGTAGCTGCAGTGGAAGATTCACCAGCATGGAGTGGCGCGGCGCCTTCAGTGGCACGTGTCAGCTTTGAACCCCGCAGGGATTGATAAGACGACAAGACGTGACCGCACCGGGCCCCAGGAGTAGGGGCTGTGGGCTCGCTCTCCACCTCCTCTCTTTTCCTGCCTGCAGAACAGGGCGGGGGAAAGGTTAGCAGTGTTAACAAAGGGCGCAGGGTGTGTGTTCTGGGCTGGCGCTGCGGCGCCGTTTATTTACAAAATACAGATTGTTGCTAGGGGAGGTTCCAGCATAGCTACGGTTCTCAAGACAGCTTGAGACCGAAACTTCCAGAGGGCAGGCAGTTTGGGTGATGAAAGGGAGACACTTACTCTACTTCTTTTACTTTTTATTGCTCATTGGAACATAAAACACTACCGGCATAAAATTAAACGTGAAAGTAGAAGCAGAGAAAATTGAGAACACGGTGCTCCGTGTCATCTCTATCCCGGGGCTCCCCGCCAGCTCAGGAAGGGTTACCCGAGTGGGTGATGGGCAGAGTGGCTAGCTGGGTCAGTCTGGGCAAAACATAGCCAAATTAAGGTCACCAGCATCGTTCCTATGGGTGACGGATGTCCCAGGAGGACGACCCAAGCCCACCCGCAGAGCGCGGACCTCGCTGGCCAAAGTGCGGCCAATGGACAGCAGGGCACCCTAGTGTGCGGTGAAAGATTTGCTTCAACCTGGTTCCATGAAAAAAGCTTTGAGTCCCAGGGAGCTGTCCAGGTGAAGACACTGCCCTGGAATCTTGGTGGGGGGGAGTCCCTTGCCAGCTGAACCCTTGTTTCTGGGTGGACGCCTTCAGGGTGACTGCCTGGCCATGGCGCCTGCAGGTTTGGGGACTGGCTCGGGAATGGGCTCAGGCAGCTCCACGGGGTTTGCCTGGCAGGTTCAGGCTCAGGACAGCCCTGAGCTCCTCCACAGGGAAGTCAATGGGTCCCGGTTAGGGCCACACCATCCCCAGGCTGTCTCCTGGTGGCCCCCAGCAGCAGCACCGTCTCCCTGGCAGCGGGCTTCTTTGTGCGAAGCCCGGAGAATGTGAGGCTGCAGTCGGATGTGGCGACCAAGGGCCTGGGAGGGCATCCTCAGCCTGAGCTTCACCTGCTGCTCGTGCAGAGGCCCTGCCTGGCCCCACCCTCCCTGCCACTGGTTTCCAGTGAGGGAAGTGCTGCTCCAGCTCTGCAGAGGAAGGGGCTTCCCCTGGGCCACAGTGCAGCTTCCTGCCTCATCTCATTGTCCTCAGCTGCCACCGATAGCGTCCCAAGGCTCCAGACGAGCTCCCTGTTGCCCCGGTGACCACATAAATAGTGCAGTGTCCCCAGCTCAGCCTGCAGGGAGCGGGTACATGGGGACAACAGCCGGGATGCAGGCTCGGTCATGTCAGTGTCACCAGCTGGACAGTGAGCCCTGTGCCCGGCCCAGCTGACCCACACCCTTTACAGCCCCTGCAGCCTCAGTCCACTCCCAAGTCCGGTGGGGCCCCTGCAGACCTCTCCTCTACCATGGTGGGATTAGACTGGCCACTGCAAGTGTCTGACCAGTCCTGGCCCCCATGTGAGTCCCCCAGGGCCTGGCTGGCCCCGTTGCTGCACTGCCTAGCTCCCACCACACCCCGGCCTGGGCAGCAGCTCCCCAGTCCCATCCCCTTGGCATCCAGATCATTCTCGCCTGTCCTCCTTGCAGCCATGTCTGCACACACAGAGTCTCCTCCCCAGCTCACACACACCGGCACCCAGGGCCCGGGGCCACGTGAGTGCCTGGAAGATGCAGGGTGTGCGGTGCATCCTGCTGAGGGATTCGGCACCTGTGTCTGCATTTCAGTCGGAACCAGCTTCACACTCAGGCTTCCCATGCATTGCAGCACGCTTCTTACGGGACCCTCATCAGGGAAGGGCTGCTGCATAAAAACCCTAACCCCATGCCCCAAGGTGGTGCCAGGACGAGGCTGAGGGTGAGCCCAGCAGCAGTGAACCTGTCCCAACGTTGCCTGAGGGGGCTCCAGAGAGGGGCTCTGTCAGGAGGGACAGCAGCCCCCTGGCCTGGTGCAGGACCCGCCCTGCTGGCAGCCTTCTGCTAAAATCCCTACGTGGCTTTTTGCACATGGCCAGCACCTTCTTCCTCACCCCTGGGGCCAAGGAGGACAGCGCTGTGCGACACAGGCCGGCAGCCTGCGTTTCCATGCCAAGCTTAGGCCACACTGTGAGGGCCTCTGGGCTGCCCTGTGGAGATGGCTGTCAACCCTGAACTCATGGCTAGAAGGCGGTCCAGGAGCCAGGCAGGGTGACGGGAGGGCCCCGCACTCCACCCCTTCTATTTGGTTGCCATGGGGAGTCTGTGTTTGTCCCAGGGTGAGAGGAGGAGGGAGCCAGTATCTGAGGGCGGAAGCTGACGTTCCAGTCACGGGGAGCCCAGCTTCTCCTGGCTCCAGGGGACAAGGACCCTCTCCCCAGTGCCCCCACAGCCAGGCTCCGAGCCCAGAGGGCCCAAGACAGAGGCCCAGGGTCCCTGAGTGAGTCTGGGCTCCCTGAGAGAGTCTGGAGTCCCTGAATGAGTCTGGGGTCCCTGAATGAGTCTAGGGGGTGTTTCCCTGAGCAAGTCTCGGGGAGAGGGTCCGTCAGTGAGCCGTCTGGGGTCTAGAGGGAGCGGGTAGGTTGTGCAGCTCCCTCGCTCCTCCCCCTGCTCCTCCTGTCTGAGGCTGTCTTCTCTCCCAGTGCTCAGGGGTCTCTGGTATGAAAGAACCCAGGCTCCTCCAGGGCCTTTGGGGCTGTATCCGGCTGTGTTTACACCTGGGGCGTACCTCCTGTGGCCCTGCTCTGTCCCTCAAGCTGTAAAGGGTTTTGGGGTCACTGTGCTTGGCTGGGCTGACTGAGCCTCTGGGGGTGCGGTACATTCTGTGGGGGATTTGCCCTGTGTCCAACAGGGATGAACCAAAAGGGGCATGGGGGCAGCCTTCCCGGTCCCCGACTGGCACAGGGCTGTGTGTGCAGGGCCGATGGGTAGCCTCATCTTCTCTAGGCCTGGGTGAGCAGGGCTGTGTGTGCAGGGCCGAGTGGACGGGGCTGGGTGAGCAGGGCTGTGTGTGAAGGGCCAAGTGTATAGGGCCATGTGTGCAAGACTGGACAAGCAGGGCCATGTGAGCAGGGCCAGGCCTGGGTGAGCTGGGCTCACGTGTGCAGGGCTGGGTGAGCAGGGCTGACCAGTGGCCACGCCTCTTCTGGGACCTTGGGCCTCACGGGGACGCCTCATGCCAGGCTGACCAGGCCCTGGGCCAGGTTCTTCCTTGACATGCCAGGTGACCGGGGGGATCTTCTCGTTCCACCTCGTCGTCCACCTGATCGCGTCCTGCATCGACCCGGCCGACTCCAATGTCAGACTCATGAAGAACTATTCTCAGCCCATGCCCCTCTTCGACAGATCAAAACATGCACACGTGATCCAGAATCAGTTCTGCCACCTGTGCAAGGTCACCGTGTGAGTGCCCGCCCTCGCCGAGGCCCCAAGGTGTCAGGGTCACCTCCAGGGTCCTGGTGCTCAGGTCACTGCTGGCCCCTCAGGGCCCGTGCCATGGCCGCAGCTGATGCTAGTGGAGCTTCCAGGGCCCGGCCCTGTGGCTGCGGGTGGATCGCCCCTCATCTCGCTGTGAACCGGGCGCGGTGCCGGGCCGCCCCAACTCCTCCGCAGGCAGGGCTGAGACTGGAGGGCTGGGTCTGTCACCTGCAGGTGACCCGCTGCTCCCCTGGAATGAAACACAGCAGCACTCAGGCATGTTTGGTCCTCAGTGGATTTTGTGCACGAGGTCCCTCCCCTGAGGGCCCAGGGCAAGAGAGCACTGTCTTTCTTGGGGAGTTTCAAGACAAGCCCCTAGGAAAGTGGGAGGTAAGGGTTCCAGTGTCTCCAGGGGCCCTGGAGGCCTCTGTGATGGCCTAGGGGGTGGCTACAGGGCTGTTGTCAGCTGCAAGGGAGGCCCTGTAGGCACAGGTGGGATCCAAGCCCCCGGCCTCAACTCCTGGAACCATGGGGCAGGCGCGGCCTCCTCCAGGGCCATGGCCCAGAGTGAGGCTGGTGTAGGATGGCTGGCGGGGGGTCTATGCTCAGGGCGGCCACAGACACAGCTCCTCCTGCTCTGTGGCTACCTCTGCCCACAGCTGCCCTGCTTCTCCTCCTCCCCACAGGCCTCAACACCCTCCCCCAGCCTCCCATTCCCTGCTGGACGCCCTCTCCCCAGGCCGCACAGGGCTGGTTCCTCCGAGGCACCTGGCTTCCAGTGATGGACCTCTGGCCCTGCCCCAACCTGCGCACTTGGGGCCTGACAGGCGTTCCCCGATTCATCCCTCCAGGAACAAGAAAACCAAACACTGCATTTCCTGCAATAAGTGTGTGTCCGGCTTCGACCACCACTGCAAATGGATCAACAACTGCGTGGGAAGCCGGAATTATTGGTGAGGGGCACAGAGGGGATGGCCGGCACGGGCCAGGCTTGGGGGAATTTGGAAGGGAGGGGTCTGTGGGCAGGGGTCCTCGTGTTGAAAGGGTGGAGGGTCCTCTTGGGGCCACGTCCCTGTCCTGATGTGGTGGCGCTTGGTGCCTGCGTGCCCCGGCCTCCTGTCTGGCTCTGGGGCTGTGGTGCAGCCGTCCCTGGACAAGCTCATCCGCATAGAGTAAGTCCCTGGAGGCCCCCCGGGGGCACTTGCGGGGCCACGCTGGCTGAGGCCTCCTGACCACGCTGTCCTGGGCTGGGCTGCCTTCTCTCCACCCAGGCTGAGGCTCATCCAGCACAAGGGTGGGGCCACGGAAGGGCAGTGGGCACCCAGCGCAGATGGACGAGAGGTGTTTCCCCTGAGCATGGTGGAGGCTCACAGATGAGAGGTGTTTCCCCTGAGCACGGTGGAGGCTCATAGACGAGAGGTGTTTCCCCTGAGCACGGTGGAGATGCAAGGAAGAGAGATGTTTCCCTGAGCACGGTGGAGGCTCACAGGCGAGAGGTCTTTCCCCTGAGCATGGTGGAGGCTCACAGGCGAGAGGTGTTTCTCCTGAGCATGGTGGAGGCACAAGGATGAGAGGTGTTTCCCCTGATCACGGTGGAGGCTCACAGATGAGAGGTCTTTCCCCTGAGCGTGGTGGAGGCTCATAGGCGAGAGGTGTTTCCCCTGAGCACGGTGGAGGCTCATAGACGAGAGGTGTTTCCCCTGAGCACGGTGGAGGCTCATAGATGAGACGTGTTTCCCCTGAGCATGGTGGAGGCTCATAGACGAGAGATGTTTCCCCTGAGCATGGTGGAGGCTCATAGATGAGAGGTGTTTCCCCTGAGCACAGTGGAGACTCATAGATGAGACGTGTTTCCCCTGAGCACGGTGGAGGCTCAAGAACGAGAGGTTGTTTCCCCTGAGCACGGTGGAGGCTCATAGATGAGAGGTGTTTCCCCTGAGCACAGTGGAGGATCCAGGGACTCTCAAGGCCCCGTGTGCTGAGCCCCGGCTGTCTGCAGCACTGTATTGTGAAGATCACCAGGGAAAAGAACCACGCCTGCTCCCCAGCTACTCTGTGCTGACCTGAAAGAGGCCTTGGTGTGCGTGGGAGTGGGGACCAACGTTGCCTGGTGTCACAGGACGCACCGGGGGGTCCCTGCCCTGCCTCCCTGCCATCCCGTCTGGAGCACAGCATGTGTCCAGAGAGGCTGAGCAGCCCGGCAGGGACAGAGAGGTTGCATGACCGCACAGCGAGTCCAGAGGCTGCGTGAGATGGTAGGGGCCGGGGAGACCCACCCGCCTCCTCCCCTGGAGAAGAGCAGCTCCACGATGGCCAAGGTGGGGCCAGCTCCTCTGGCTCATGCTAGCCCCAGGTGCCACTTCCTTCTGGACTCATTCTGCTCTGGTGCCTCGAGCTGGCTCAATCTGGCGGGTCCTGGTGGGGAAGGTGAGGGGGTGAGGGCCCACAGGCAGGTGGCAAGGAGAGGGTCTGCCTTCCTCAGGAGGGGTGCTGGAGAGGGACCACGTGGGTGCCAAGTGTAGACACCGCCTGTGTGTGGGAAAGGGGCATCAGGAGAGCAGGGCCGGGGTCATGGGCGCCCTCAGCTCCAGGCAGCAGCCAACGCCGGCATCTGTGCCAACCTCGCTTCTGTCCCTTCATCCGCCAGAGGCGGAGAGAGCAACGGCATTGAGAGCAAGATGAGGAAAGTTGAGGAGCTGATGGCAGAGCCCCCGCGAGGGAGGCCGAGCTGATGGCGGAGCCCCCATGGGGAGGCCCAGCTGATGGCAGAGCCCCTGTGAGGGAGGCTGCATACTTCGTAGTGATAAGAGAGGAAGGGGGACGGAAAGAAGGCAGGCGGCGCTGGTGTCCTGGGAAGACTGCGAGCGCTGGCCTCGGACTCTGCAGGTTAAACACAGGCAGCAGGGGCAGGAGGCTGTGCTAACCAAGAGGAGAATGTCCCTGGGTGGCTGCGGGGAGAGGAGGCCCCGCGTGAATGGGTCTGCCCCATCCTGTGGGCTTTGGTCTCTGTGGTCTCTGGTCTCTGTGGTCTTAGAGACCCGCCTTCTTTCCTGGATGAAGAGGGGAGTCCTCTCCAGACAGTAGGATGAGGATGAGGGGTCTTTACTCCCCACAAGTGGGCTCGAGCCCAGGAGGACTGGGGGCAGGGTAGGGCGTGTCCACTGCCTGGAGGGGCTGCTGCTTGGGAAACCTAAGCTGTGAGAGGGAAGGCAGTATGAGGGAGCAGCAGTCAGGGAGCCGCTCACGCCCGGAGCCACCCCTCACCCCTGGATTATCCAGAAGACTCTTGGAGGGAGGAGGAGCGCGGGGAAGGCAGCTGTGCCCTAACTGCGTCTTCGGACGACTGCGGCATTCATGCTCTGGCCTCCAGTTGAAAATAGAAAAAGGGATTTAAACAAGCTTAGGTGAACATAATACAATGGAAAGGATTAAAGGAGGTTAAAGGATACTTTAAAAAAAATATCATCATGGCAGAAAGACCAAGGGAAGATGGTTTAGTCAAAGTGTGTTCCAGGAACTGCTGCCCAGAATTGGTTTTTCTGGATGGATTATTCTCTGCATCTTTTGAGCAAAGACGAGAGACTGGGAGTGGATTTGGTCTCAGGTCTACAGCATGGACATCGCTTTTGGCTCAGATTTGCACAAGACCCTTGGAGAAGGGGGGACTGCAGCCGAGGTGTGGCCGGGCTCCTCCAGGGCCTCCTCAGCCTGAGTTCCCTTTGGGTGCAGAGATCCAGGTCCCTGAGCCTGCAGGCCCTCCTGGGTGCCACGGCACTCTCATGGCTCTCCCCTTCCCTGGCTTCAGTGCCTTTGCCCAGCATGGTGCCATGGAGACCCCAGCACAGACCATGCTCAGGGCCCCCTGAGGGGACCCAGCCTGCGTGCTCCTTGGCTGGTAGGGAGGCCTGTCTGCATCAGGTGGAGTCGGGAGGTGCGGGCAGAGGCCCCAGAGCTGTGACACTGGAGACGCCGTGTGACCCTCATGCTCCGCTGGTAGGCTTGGGCGAGTCGCACCGCATCTCTGACCTCACTTTCCCCACTCGTGAAAAGGGCTGGTTCCCCCTCCTCACAACCTCATTGTTCCTTGTGGGGATTAAAGGCAATCACGTTTGCAAGAAGCACTGCCTGAATTGTCAGGCGGTGTGCTGGTGGGAATGTCCCACGGCCACCCCTCTCCAGCGAGAGGCCTGGAGACCTGGGGGGGCGTCACAGGATGGCACAGAGACAGGAGCCTGAGCTTCCAGGCATGGTCGGGAGCAGGGTTTGAGGCCAGCATCGGGCAGTGGCCAGGAGCCCTCTCTCAAGTGGACGCCCACGCTGACCTGTCACCTCCACCCTGCGGGCTCCAGATGCCCTGCGCGTCCCCATCCCTGCCTCTGCACCCCCCACCTGCCCTGCATGCCCCCACCCCTGCCCCAGATGCCCTGCGTGTCCCTGCCCCTGCCTCTGCACCCCCCACCTGCCCTGCATGCCCCCGCCCCTGCCTCAGATGCCCTGCGTGTCCCTGCCCCTGCCTCCCCGCCCCCACACCTGTCCCACACCTGCCCTTGCGTGCCCCCTGCCGCTGTGCCCCCCACGCCCGCCCCTGCCCACCCTGTGCACACCCCCTGCCCCCGTGCCCCCCACACCTGCCCCTGCGCCCCCACTGCTCCCACGTCCCCACCCCCATGCCTGCCTGTGTGTCTCCCGGCAGGTTCTTCTTCAGCACTGTGGCCTCGGCCACAGCTGGCATGCTCTGCCTGATCGCCATCCTGCTGTATGTCCTCGTCCAGTACCTCGTGAACCCCAGGGTGCTCCGCACGGACCCCAGGTATGAAGGTACGTGGCCGCCGCTCTCAAGGGGCCTCATCCTCGCCTCCAGCCGTCTTTCCGGGCGGTAGTATCGGGTCTGGGGTGGTCGGCCCCTCTTGTCCCAGGGAGAGGCCGGGGCAGGCAGCCCCATGCAGGCTCTGACCTGGCCCGACGGCAGCAGCCCAGTGTTCATACAGCCCAGCAGCCCCCAGCGCGCGGGAGGCAGGCTCGGGGAGGGCGCTGGCCACGCTGCTCTGTAGATGCTGCCAGGTCGTGTCAGGCGAGAGACAGTGGGGTCCACCTCTGCCCCTGCCCTCCGCAGTCAGCCCTGTAGCACCTGTCACACCATCCTGTGGGGCCATGTAGCTGTGGGAGGGTGGGGGTGCCCATCCTGCAGGAGCAGCCCATGGGGAGGGAGAGTGGAGGCAGCGCTGAGGGTGCTGGGCTGTAGGCTGCGGTGTGCTGAGGCCCTTGGCCAAGTGGGCCCGGAGCCTGGGCCTCGGGAACCAATGCTCACACTGAGCCACTGGAGAGACGTGGCGGTGAGGACTGTGGGCTCCAGAGGCGAGTCCACGCCTAACCCAGATCCCGTGATGCCAGCATCCTCGGGAAATGGGCCTGCGGCTGTGACTTAATATCTGAGGTGGGAGGGTCATGCTGGGATGTCCCAGGGAGCCCAAATCTAGCCACGAGTGTGCTTGTAAGAGAAAGGAGAGACGCAGAGGGGAGGGGGCCTCGTGAGGATGGAGGCAGGGGTGGAGTCACACAGCCACAGCCCGGGGTCGCCCGGAGCCACAGGAGCTCGCAGAGGTGGGAGGACCTCCCTGGACCCTGCGGAGGCAGCGCGCTCAACTGTCCTGCAGCTGGACGTCAGAGCCCTGCCTGCCTCAGACTGCAAGAGTCTGCTGGAGAAGCTGCCCCCACCCGCCACCATTTGATGTATTTATTGCAGCAGCGCCAGGACCCTGACCAGGAGGACCTGGGCCAGAGAAGCCCCTCGGGGTGCAGGACAAGACTGCCAGTCTCAGCTCCAGGCATGGCTGCACCCGCACTGCACACAGCCCGGGTGGTGAGACAGGGAGGACTTGCCTGCCCTTGTTCCAGAACATTCCGGAGCCAACACGGTGTGACATTTTTTTCAAGGATGAGCTTTGCCAGCTCCACGTGGAAGTCCCTAAAGCTCCTCCTTCCACTTCGAAGCGTGACTGATGCCTCCAGGGCCTCACAGCCGCTTCTGAAGCACTTCCTGAAAGCCAGCTCCACCCTGGCGAGGCCCTGACCTCAGCGGACCCAAGCCCAGGACGATGCCTGTTGCGTTCTTCTCCCCCTGTAGCAAGTCACCTTCCCCAGCAGCCTCCATGTTGTCTGGGCTCTCCCTGTGGGGGATGCCAGGGGAGAGTGAGAGAGCAGAGGTGGCCAAGATGGCATGTGCTGCCTTCTCTCCTGGAACATGCTGCTTCCACACGGCAGTGCCAGTGTCTTTGTGTGAGTTCATTGATTGTGGCCTGAGCGAATTCCTCCGTTTGCTGTTCCAGATGATTCTGCAGGGCTTCAAAACCAGCAAGGCCCTGAGCAAAGCAGCTCCTTGTTCTCATGGGCTGAACTCATCGTGATGTCACTGGCTAAGGGGGGCAGCATGGGGTCCAGCCCGGCCCAGGCACTTTGAGCTACTGTCCCGTCGGGCCATCTAGGAAGGCCCCCAAGGCCGCCAGTTCCAGAGAGGGTCCGTCACCCAAAGACATCCACACTGAATCCAACCCTCTGCCATTCTGCCTTGCCCGACCCTCTGCCATTCTGCCTTGCCTGGCCCTCTGCCATTCTGCATTACGCCTGATTTTTGGAAGTGTTGTGGTTTTGAGTGTTGGCAGCCCAGTGTCACAGAGGACCATATCTTAGAAATGACCCCAGGTGAGAGCTGTGGCTTTCCTGTTCTATTTGAAGGCGGCTGTTTTAGGGTGCAGAGGGTCCAGGGACACAGCGTGGGCCATGAGGAAGGGATGGATGCTGGGACTCGGCAGAGCCAGCAGGCGCTGTGACCCTGGTACTTAGTGAGGAAGGGGTGGGTGCTGTGACCTCGGTACTTAATGAGGAAGGGGTGGGCACTGTGACCCTGGCACTTAGTGAGGAAGGGGTGGGCACTGTGACCCCAGCACTTAGTGAGGAAGGGGTGGGTGCTGTGACCCCAGCACTTAGGAAGGGGTAGGCACTGTGACCCCGGCACTTAGTGAGGAAGGGGTGGGCGCTGTGACCCCAGCACTTAGGAAGGGGTGGGCACTGTGACCCCGGCACTTAGTGAGGAAGAGGTGGGCCCTGTGACCCCAGAACTTAGGAAGGGGTGGATGCTGGAGCCCTGGCACTTAGTGACCCTGTTGGAGCGTCACCTCCCAGATCCATAAAGCAGGGATCATGAAAACCAACCTCAGTCAGCAGGGCCCATGGGGCACTCAGGTAAGGAAGGTGTCCACCAGGGCAGGGAGGCATCCCTCGTGCTGGCTGTCTCCACGCCGCCCCATCCCCAGCAAGCTCTGGTCTGTGACATCCACCTGATGTGGCACCCGTCAGCAGGTGCTGGACACAGTGTCTCTCCCTTGTCTCCCCAGATGTCAAGAATATGAACACGTGGCTGCTGTTCCTCCCCCTGTTCCCGGTGCAGGTGCAGACTCTGATAGTCGTGATCATCAGGATGCTCGTGCTCCTGCTGGACCTTCTTGGCTTGGTGCAGCTGGGCCAGCTGCTCATCTTCCACATCTACCTGAGTATGTCCCCCACCCTAAGCCCCCGATCCCCCCAAGCCTGGTTGGTCAGAGCTGCTCATCTTACACCTCTACTTGAGTATGTCCCTAACCCTGAGCCCCCCACACCTGGGGCCAGAGTCTTTGTCCCCCGTGTGCGCATGTGTTCAGGGTCAGCCTCTCCCAGAAGTGAGATCATGGACAAAAAGGGCAAATCACAGGAAGAAATTAAATCCATGAGGGCCCAGCAGGCCCAGCAAGAAGCTGAACTCAACGCTGAGACCTGCAGGAGCGCTGCCGGGTGCTTGAAGTAACAAGTTTAAAATGTTCAGAGAAAATGGAATGGAATCTATTAGGCAAGAACAGGACATTATGAAATAAGGACAGGTGGACTTCCAAAAGCACAAGTAGAAATTCTAACAATGAAAAATATTACAGGCAGATCACCCACTAACCAAACAACTGAAGCGAGAGCTGGTGGTCTTGCTTGGTCTCACAGTGGGCACAGCGGTAGGCGGTCAGTCATGTTGCTGAACGACGGAGGGTAAACTCCCCAGCCCCAAGGAAACCTGTGTTGGAAGTAACAACAACCTCCCTGCTCCTGGCACCAGCCGTTTTGGTCATGGTGGGCCAGCTGCAAAGCGTCTTCCATTCTCTGGGCAGTGGTGGCCCCGAGGCTGTGGCCTCTCAGGGGGTTTCTGTGGACACGGGCAGCAGAGTGTGTCCAGGCCAGCCCCCAAGAATGCCCTGCTCCTGACAGCTTGGCCAACGCCTAGTCAGGGCAGAGGGGATCGGGTGGGTCAGGCTCTGGGCTCACCTCCATCTCCAGAGCATCCCCTGCCTGCAGTTGTGGCAAGAACGCCCAGCTCAGAATGAACACACCCCACCAAGAGCCTCCTTGTTCATAACCACAGGTTACCCTACAAACCACTGTCCCCACACAACCCTGGGGATGTTTTAAAACACACACCTCTAACGCACATCTTACAGTCACTGTTGTCTTGCCTGAGGGTTGAATTTTTTTTAATGAAAGTGCAATGAAAATCACTGGATTAAATCCTACGGACACAGAGCTGAATGTGCTGTTTTCAGAGTTTTAATTTTGGATGTCAAGGCCAGTGCCTGTATAGAATAGGTGCTTAGGATATGTTTACTGAATGGAATGGAACTAAAGCCTCAGGTGTAACTTCATGGAGACACGCGTCTGCCTTGTAGAATGTTACAGGCTGCCTGTTCCTGAAGCTGAAACCCTTAAGAGTGAGAAGTCATTTGGGCCTCCTTCAAAACTCTCCACCCTTCTTAGAATCAGGAATATTTTTAAAAGTACTTTCTAGAATTATCTAGCAATCTCTCTTATATTTAAATATTTTTGGGTTTACCACCTATGAAGGCTTTTCTGGAGTTTCACTCCACCCAGAATTCATCATCTCTCCTTATCAGGAAATCTCTCACCCTCAGATGCTTAGAGTCAGGGTGAGTCCCCCCACAACAGGAGAATCGGCCGAGGTTGGGCCGAGGCCACATGGTCTCATCCACATGTGCCGCAGATTAAGGGATGCTCAAACTGCCCAGTAATACAAAGTCTGCACTTGTCATTTTTTTCCAACTTTGTGTACAAAATGTTTCCCTGGGTTAAAATAGTCAATGCCCACTGTGTGCTGAGCACGTGGGGGGCTGCAGGCTCCTTTGGGTGAGGCATGGTCACCTGCACGCTGCGGGGAGAGGATGAAGAATGAGACACAAACAAGTGTGGCTGGCCCTTGTGCTGCAGAGAAGCTGGCCCTTGCCTCAGGTGGCAGAGCAGGGAAGTGCAGTGGGCCTGAAGCCATGCGGGGCTGGGAGGGATGACCTGGTCTGTCCTCTGAGCCAGGCACTGCACTTGGAACGGGCTTCTTGAACGCAAAGCCCAGACCAAGTGTGGCAGAAACATGAAAGGACAGGCAGGCGGCTGCTGTGGGCAGGAGGCAGGATGCCTGGAAGCAGGACGCCCAGGCCTGTCCCCACCCCCGTGACCCAGAGCCTCCCTGGGCAGTGACTCCGGGATGTCCAGGAGCTTCTTCTCTACCTCACAGGACTGGAGGGGCTGTGGTGAGACGCATCCTGTGAGGGCTGGGCTGGCCACAGGCAGCTCCCCAGGGTGCCCACCGCCATCTGCTCCTCACTGCAAATAGGCCTCTGTGGGCGGCCGCCCCAGTCTCCAGAAATAGTCACAAGACATCGGCTCTCACGGTGTTGGTGTTTAGGGAAAGAAGCATGGAGAGTTTGGCCCCTCCATGGAAGCTCGTGGCTGAAATAGGTGCAGAGCCCATTTTATTAACGTTTGTTAAGACGGCTCTTTTAGATAAACGGGTGTATCAGGTTTTGCTTTGCTTCCCTGGGCTGCTTTGCTGCCTGCAGGACAGGCCAGGTGGATAGGGCTCTGGCCGGCCTGCTGAGCTGTCCTGTGGGCACTGCGCAGGGCTACAGGGATGGTGACCTGTCTCAGCGCCATCAGAGGCTGTGCTGAGTGGCACTCACAGCACTCGTGTTCACCTCCTGGGCCTGGGGCTCTCAGCACGCTCAGGAGTGTGTGGTCCCAGGACCCGCTAGCCAGCACCTCGGGGTGGTCGCCCCACTGCGTGGTCCTCCGACTGTGGGGTCTCTGTGCATCCCCCAAGGTGCGCCCCACCCAGTGTCCAGATGTGGGGAACCCCACAGGCCACCTGGACCCTCAGACAGAGCGGCCCCTCCTGAGCTGGCCTCTTACCCCTGCCAGCAATCCCAGGGCATCTGGAGCAACCTCTCAGGCTGCATGGTATAGGGGACCCAGGTCTGTGAGAGACAGCTCATCTCTGACACCACTAACAATGCAGCTCAATGAGGCCTTGGCAGGCGGGGGGGCCTGAGTCAGCACCGTTCCCCAGGTCGCAGCTGCAGACCCCTCCTGCTGACCATCAGCTAGCTGCAGACCTGGGCCCACAAGGCATCTGCACTCATCCTGACCTCACAGGGCCTGCATGGTGGGCGGAGCAGTTCTCCCTGTGCAGGGGCCGGATCAGTGGCACTGGCCACCCTGCTGAGCTGTCCTGTGGGCGCCGTGCAAAGCCGCAGGGCTGGTAACTTGTCCTGTTCCTCCTTTTCCCTTTCCAGAGGCCAAGAAGATGACCACCTTTGAGTATCTCATTAATACCCGCAAAGAAGAGAGTTCAAAACATCAAGCAGTGAGGAAAGATCCATACGTGCAAATGGACAAAGGATTTCTCCAGGTACCACCTGTCTCTCTGCTCCTTTTCTCCAGGCCTGGGACAATGTCTAAGGTCACTCGGTGGTTGGGACCTCTCAGCCATGCTCCTTTACTTCAGGGCCGATGCAGCCCATGGACTCTGCTGTGTGTGTGTCTGTGTGTGAGGCTCTGTGCATGGGTGTGTCTATGTGTCTTTGTGAACATAAACACCAGTCATGCACCACGGACTTCCTAGTGCAAAGATAGGAAAGGAACTGAGTCTCCTGGACATTTCTATACTGCACTATACATCTTCCAAAGTTGAAATGTGCTTTTTGCATCTTTTTTTTTTTTTGAGACAGAGTCTCGCTCTGTTGCCCAGGGTGGAGTGAAGTGGTGAAACCTCAGCTCATTGTAGCCGCCACCTCCTGGGTTCAAACAGTTTGCCTACCTCAGCCTCCCAAGTAGCTGGGATCGCAGATGTATGCCACTACGCCCCACTAATTTTTGTATTTTTAGTAGAGACGTGGTTTTGACATGCCAGGCTGGTCTCAAACTTCTGGCCTCAGGTGATCCGCCCGCCTTGGCCTCCGAAAGTGCTGGGATTACAAGCATGAGCCACCGTACCTGGCCTGAAACATGATTTTTAACTTAAGGAAGTTAGTTCCCTTTCCGGTTAAGTGACATGAATTATTATAACTAACTCAAGAAGACATAGAAAGTCTAAATAGACATAGAACAGCCAAGAGACTAAACTACTAATTTAAAATCTCCCAGTGAAGAAAAATCCCAGGCCCTGTAGTCTTCATGCATGAATTCCAGCAAAGATTTAAAGAAAAAATACAATACAACCTACACACAGACTCTTTCAGAAAACAGAGAAGGAAGCAACACTTCCCAACTCATTCAGCAATGCCACTATCAACCTGACACCAAAGCCAGATATTCGTAAGCCAATACATTCAGGAAACACAGGCAAAGATCACTGATAAGACCTTGGGAAACCAAATCGAGCAGCATGGGGCAGGACTGTGCACTGTGGCCAAGTGATATCACTCCAGGGGTGAGCAGTGCCTTAAGGCCTAGGAATCAATTACTACAGCTCAGCACCTTAGTCCAATAGAGAACGGTAACCACGCAATCATGCCAATCAATGCAGAAAAGGGTTTGTTAACAGCAAGTTCCCATTCATGATTTTTAACAAATCTCAGTGGCCTAGGAATGATAGGAAAGCACCCTGTGTACCTGACATGACATTTACTGGTGAAAGGCTGGTGACCCTCTCTTGGAGGTTCGGCACAGGTGATGACACCACTTCCTCCTACTTCTGACATTGCAGTCACATTCCGGCCAGCCCAGCGCAGCAGGGAAAATTAAGGCACACAGAATACAAAGTAAAACTGCGTTTATTTGCAGACGATGAAACCTAAAAAGTATGTTTTAAGACCTAGTTAAGATAATTAAATCACTTAACAAGGATGTGGGGCACATATTAAAATACACACTCGCACATCTCGATCCACCAGCAATGAAAACTCCGGGTTATATTTTTAAAACTTCCTTTCATAATCTAATGAAAAAAGAATAAATTTAACAAACCTTGGGCAAATATGTACACTGAAAGCTACACACCATGACTGAGAGAAGTCAGAGACGCTCTATTAAGTGAAAAGGTGTACAGCATTCATAGATTGGAAAAAAATACTATTAAAAGGGCAATTTTCCCCAAAACTTATCTACAGATTTACCACAATCCCTGCTGAACCCCAGCAGGCTTCTGTTTTAGCAGAAATTACAAGGTGGTCCTAAAATGTATATGCAAATTCAAAAGACCTAGGCTACTGTACTAGCCAAATGATTTTGAGAAAAAATAAAATTGGAGAACTTACACAACCAGACTTTAAATGTTACTATAAAGCTGTAACACTAAAGACAGGTGGCGCTGACATAGAGAGAGACATAAAGCTACAGTAATAAAAACAGTGTGGCGCCGACAGAGACAGATATAGAGAAATGGACCAGAAGAAAGGTCCAAAGTTAAAGCTTTCATTTATGGTCAATTGACTTTAAATAATGGTACTAAAATCATTAAATAGGGAGAAATTATAGTTCAGCAAGTGGTACTAGAACAATTGGATATCCACATGGAAAAGAAAAAAGAATGATTGAGTTCTTCATACCTGTACAAAGATTACCCAGGATCACTTCATTCCCCACAGAAGAATTAGCCCCAAATCCATCTGACACCTAAACTTAAAAGCTGAACATAGAACACTTCTAGAAACAAGCATAGAATGAAATCTCTGTGATCTTTAGTGAGACAAAGCTTGTCTTTGATCTGACACCAAAATCACTGCCTATTAAAGAAAAAAATCATAGTTTGGACTTTACCAAAATTGAAAATATTTGCTCTTCAAAAGTCACCATTAAGAAAATAAAAATACAGGCACACATGAGAGATACTGCAGGTTTGGTTTTAGAAAGCCACAATAAAGTGAACATGTCAGTAAAGCAAGTCACATGAATTTCTGGTTTCCCAGTGCTTATAAAAGTTACGTTTACATGACATGTGTGCAACAGTGTTATGTCTAAAAACTATGTATCTGAATTAAAAGTGCTTTACTGCTAAAAGCTGCTTACACAGACGCTTGAAGTGAGCACACACTGCGGGGAAAATGGCGCCGACATACTTGCTTGACCAGGGTCACCACAAACCCTCAATTTGTGAAAAAACAGTTTCTGTGAAGTGCAGTAAAGCAAAGCACAATAAAGCCAGGTGTTCATTCCTGTGCAAGCCACAGGCAAACAAAATATTTTCAAGTCTTAGACTGATGTCCGGAATACACAAAGACACAAAGAGCTTTCAAAGTGCAATTGTAAAAAAACAACAAACAAACAAAAACATAAACAAACAGAAAACCCAGTTTTTCAAATGGGCAAGAGGGCTGGACACAATGGGAAGCACCTATAATCTCAGTGCTTTGGGAGGCCAAGCAAGAGGATTGCTTGAGGCCAGGAGTTCAAGACCAGCCTGAACATCTCTACAAAAATAAATAAAAATACATACATACATATAAAAAATGGGCAAAAGATTTGAACAAACTCCTTACCAAGGTAGATGTAGATGTATAGATACATGGATGCTACATAAGCACATGGAAAAAAATGCTCAACATCATTCTACATCAGGCAGCTGCAAATAAAAACCACAATCAGATACTACCACACACCCAGGAGAATGCCTGTCATCAAAAAGACAGACACCACCGAGGGCTGGTGAAGTTGTAGAGAAATTGCAAGTCTCCTGCGTGGGAGTTAAATGAGGGTGTAAAGTGCCACCATATTGGAAAGCAGTTTGGCATTTCTTTAAAAGATAAATGTCTAATATATGACCAGAATCCCACTCCCAGTTTCTCACCAGAGAGAAATGAAAACACGTGCACACGTAAGTGGTTCTGAGATCTGAACTCAGGACCCAAGAGAACTCCAGGTACCATTCCTCAAAACCCAGGAATAATAGACGTGACTTTTATGTAAGAATCAGCTGCATGTCAACAACTTCTTTTTTCATGTGACGAATTTTCTTTTGCCCCACAGCAAGGAGCTGGCGCCCTGGGCTCATCTGCACAGGGGTAAGTTGCAAGCTTCCTGCAGTAGCTTGGTCCTTCTGAAGAATAGCTGTATTCTTTTCTTAACTCAAATGACTTTGGAAAATAATTCACCTATGATGAGACATTTTGAAATCATGGGATGATGCAGTAGAAGATAAAATAGTTTTGTTTAATGTTGTTAAATTATACCAAATTATCTATCTCGATGTGCTTGTCTTACTTGCAGAAACTACATTCTTCACTCCCTTCTTCATAACTAACATCTAAACTAACACACAAGAGTACGACCCGCTTATTTATTTCTACATCTCTCCATGAACATGTGGGTAGTTGTGAGTCTGAATGTATTTCTTATGATCTCTAATAGTGTTTCATAGACATTGTAAGCTCTGAGAGTCCAACCCATTCCTGAGTCAAGGTGCTAAGTAAATGGGAGCACTGGGGGTGCCTTGACCCGGAGCCCCACCCAACAGGGCCAGGGCTGGCTTCACAAACAGGGTTTCAAGAAGCGTCTTGGAGCTAGTGCTGTGCAGTGCGGTTCGTTTTATTTTGGAAGCTGAGAGTCAAAGGGCACGCGCATTTTCAATCTTCACAGACTCTCTGATGACTTCTCAAAAGGGTGGAGCAGTTCACACTTCATTCAACGCTGTCGCTCTTCTCACTATGAGATACTAACAGTATGCTTAGTTTTATTCAAAGAAAATATATAATGTTTTAATATGCATTTCCTTACTACAATTACGACAACATTTTTTCATGTTTTGACCATTTTACAATTTTTGTTGTGTGAATTAATGTTCAACAGTTGGGCTATTTGGATTATCAAACGTAACAGCTCTTTGCTTATTAGGAACCCTATGGGATCTTTCACAGTGTAGAGGTTGTGGACTTTTCTGAAGCCAAATTTGTTAACATTTCCTTTTGTCTTGCTTTAAAAAGGCGTCATTACTCTAAGGTTATACAAATATCCTCCAATACTCTTTGCTTATATAGTTATAACTTTTTTATTTTTATTTTTATTTTTTGAGATGGAATTTCACTCTGTCACCCAGGCTGGAGTGCAGTGGTGTGATCTCGGCTCACTGCAAGCTCCACTTCCCGGGTTCATGCCATTCTTCTGCCTCAGCCTCCCTAGTAGCTGGGACTACAGGCACCGGCCACCACACATGGCTAATTTTTTTGTTTGTTTGTTTTTTTAGTAGAGATGGGTTTCACCCTGTTAGCCAGGATGATCTCTATCTCCTGACCTCATGATCTGCCTGCCTTGGCCTCCCAAAGTGCTGGGATTACAGACGTGAGCCACCGCACCAGTCCTAGTTATAATTTTTATTTTTATTTTATTTCAATAGTTTTGGGGAACAAGGTGTTTGGTTGCATGGAAAAGATTTTTAGTGTTGATTTCTGAGATTTTGGTGCACCCACCACCCGAGCAATGTATACAGTACTCAATGTGTAGTCTTTTATCCATCACCCTCCTCCCACCACTCCCCCTGAGTCCCAAAAGCCCATTACATCATTCTTATGTCTTTGCATCCTCGTAGCTTAGCTCCCACTTATAAGTGAGATACTACGATGTTTGGTTTTTCATTCTTGAGTTACTTCACTTAGAATAATGGTCTGCAACTCCATCCAGGTTGTGTGAGTGCTGATATTTCATTCCTTTTTATGGCTGAGTAGTATTCCATGGTATTTACATATATACAGATCACAAATATATATCACATTTTCTTTATCCACTGATTTGTTTTAGGCTGGTTTCATATTTTTGCAATTGCAAACTATGCTGCTATAAACATGTGGGTGCAAGTATCTTTTTCATAAGATAACTTCTTTTCTTCTGGGTAGATAGCCAGTAGTGGGATTGCTAGATCAGATGATAGTTCTACCTTTAAGTTCTTTACAGAATCTCCGTACTGTTTTTTATAGTAGTTGTACTAGTTTACATTCCCACTAGCAGTGTAAAAGTGTTCCTTTTCACCACATCCATGCCAACATCTGTTATTTCTTTATTTTTTATATTATGGCCATTCTTCCAGGAGTAAGGTGGTATTGCATTGTGGATTTTATTTGCATTTCCCTGTTAATTAGTGATGTTCAGCATTTTTTCCTATGCTTGTTGGCCATTTGTATATCTTCTGTTGAGAACTGTCTCTTCATGAATGTTGCCCACTTTTTGATGGGATTGGTTTTGTTGTTTGTTTGTTTGTTTGTTTGTTTGAGACAGAGTCTCACTCTGTCACCCAGGCTGGAGTGCAGGGGCATGATCTTGGCTCGCTGAAGCCTCTGCCTCCTGGGTTGAAGCGATTCTCTTGCCTCAGGCTCCCAAGTACCTGGGATTACAGTCACCCACCAGCACGCCCAGCTAATTTTTGTGTCGTTAGCAGAGACAAGTTTCACCATGTTGGCCAGGCTGGTCTTGAACTCTTGACTTCAAGTGATCTGCCTGCCCCAGCCTCTGTAAGGACTGGGATTACAGACATGAGCCACCACACCCAATTGGATGATTTGTTTTTTTTTTGCGGATTTGTTTGAGTTCCTTTTAGATTCTGGATATTAGTCCTTTGTCAGAAGTACAGATTGTGAATATTTTCTTCCTATCCCTGGGTTCTATTTAGTCTGCTTATTACTTCTTTTCCTGTGCAGAAGGTACTTATTTAAAATAAAGATAAATTAAGATAAATTGCATCTATTTATCTTTGTTCTTGTTGCATTTGCTTTTGGATTCTTCGTCATGAGCTCTTTGCTGAAGTCAATGCCTAGAAAAGTTTTTCTGATGATATCTTGTAGATTTTGCTTTCAGGTCTTAAGTCTTTTATCCATCCTCAGCTGATGTTTGTAAAAGGTGTGAGGAGAGGATCCAGCTTCATTCTTCACATGTGGCTTGTGAATCATCCCAGCACCTTGTATTGAATAGGATGTCCTTTCCCCACTTGATGTCTTTTGTTTGTTGAAGATCGATTGGCAGTAAGTATTTGCCTTTATTTATGGGTTCTCTATTCTGTTCCATTGATCTACACACCTATTTCCATATTAGTTCCCTGCTGTTTTGGTAACTCTAGATTTGTAGTATAGTTTGAATTCAGGTAATGTGATGCCTCCAGATTTGTTCTTTTTGATTAGTCTTCCTTGGCTATCTGGGGTCTTTTTTGGTTCCATATGAATTTTAGGATTGTTTTTTCTAGTTCTGTGAAGAAAGATGATTCTGCTTTGAGGGGAATTGCATTGAATTTGTGGATTGCTTTGGCAGTATGGTCATTTTCACAATAGTAATTCTACCCATCTATGAGCCTGGGATGTGTTTCCATTTATTTGCGTTTTCTATGTTCACTTTCAGCAGGTTTTTGTAGTTTCCATGTAGAGATATTTCACCTTTTGTGTTAGGTATATTCCTAAGTTGTTTTTTTTTCTTTCACCTGTTGCAAAAGGGGTTGACTTATTCATTTGATTCGCAGCTTGGTCATTGTTGGCACATAGCAATGCTACTGATTTGTGTCCATTGATTTTGTATCCTGAAACTTTACTGAATTCATTTATCAGATTTAGAAGCTTTCTGGATGAGTATTTAGAGTTTTCTAGGTATACAACCATATCATCAGTGAACAGGGACAATTTGACTTCCTGTTTACCAATTTGGATGCTTTTTCTTTCTCTTCTCTGATTGCTCTGGCTAGATCTTCCAGTACTGTGTCGAAAGGAAGTGGTGAAAGTGGGCATCCTTGTCTTATTCCAGTTCTGAGGGGCAATGTTTTCAACTTTTCCCCATTCAGTATAATGTTGGCTGTGGGTTTGTCATAGAGGGCTTTTATTACCTTGAGGTATGTCCCTTCTGTGCTGATTTTGATGAGTGTTCTATTATAAAGGGATGGCAGAGTTTGTCAGATGCTTTTTCTGCATCTATTGAGATGATCTCTGATTTTTTGTTTTTAATTCTGTTTTTGTGATTTATCACATTTATTGACTTGCATATATTAAACCATTCCTGCATACGTGGTATGAAACCCACTTGACTATGGTGTTATTATCTTTTTGCTATGCTGTTTGATTCGGTTCGCTAGTATTTTGTTGAGGATTTTTGCATCTATATTCATGAGGGATATTGGTCTGTAGTTTTCTCTTTTTGCTATGTCCTTTCATGGTTTGGGTATTAAGGTGATACTGGCTTCATGGAACGATTTATGGACGATTCCCTCTTATCTTTTGTAATAGTTTCCATAAGATAGGTACCAGTCCTTCTTTGGATGCCTGGTAGAATTCAGCTGTGAATACATCCTGGATATTTTAGTTGGCAATTTTTTTATTACTGTTTCAATCTCGCTACTTGTTATTAATCTGTTACGAGTTTCTATTTCTTCCTGATTTAATCTAGTTGGGTTGTATATTTCCAGGAAGTTATCCATCTCCTCTGGATTTTCTAGTTTGTGTGCATAACGGTGTTCATATTGGCCTTAAATGATCTTTTGTATTCCTGTGGTATCAGTTGTGCTATCTCTCATTTCATTTCTAATTGAGCTTATTTGGATCTTTTCTTTTTTTGCTTAATGTTGCTAATGGTCAATCAATTTTGTTTGTGTTTTCAGAAAACTGGCTTTTTGATTTATCTTTTGTGGTTTTTTTGTTTTTTTGTTTGAATTTCATTTAGTTCTGCTCTGATGTTCGTTATTACTTTTCTTCTGTTGGGTTTGGGTTTGATTCGTTCTTGTTTCTCTGGTTACTTCAGGTGTGACTTTAGATTGTCTGTTTGTGCTCTTTCAGTCTTTTTGATGTGGCCATTTAATGCTGTGAACATTCCTTTAAACATCACTTTTGCTGTGTCCTTGAGGTTTTGATAAGTCATGCCACAGTTATTCAGTTTGAAGAACTTTTAAATTTCCCTCTGGATTTCATTGTCGACCCAAAGATCATTCAGAAGCAGTTATTTAATTTCTACATATTTGTGTAATTTCATGGGTTCCTTTTGGAGTTAATTATCAATTTATTCCCCTGTGGTCTGAAAAGATACTTGATGTAATTCTGACTTTCTTAAATTCATTGAAACTTGTTTTGTGGCCTATTATATGATGTATCTTGGAGAATTTTCCATGTACTGATGAAAAGAATGTACATTCTGCAGCTGTTGGGTAGAATGTTCTGTAAATATCTGTCAAGTCCTTTTGTTCTAGGATATAGTTTAAGGTCATTGTTTCTTTGTTGCCTTTCTGTCTTGATGACCTGTCTAGTGCTATCAGTGCAGTATTGTGTCCGTCACTATAATTGTGTTTTCATCAGTCTCATTTCTTATGTCCTGTAAGAATTGTTTTATAAATTTGGGGGGTTCCTCGTTAGGTGCATATATAGTTAGGATTGTGATATTTTTCCTTTTGGAGTGATTCTTTTATCATCGTATAGTGTTGCTCTTTGTCTTTCTTAACTGTTGTGGCTTTAAAGTCTGTTGAGTCTGGTATCAGAATAGTTCCTCCTGCCTGCTGTTGGTTTCCATTTGTATGGAATATCTTTTCTGCCACTTTACCTTAAGTTTATTTCAGTCCTTATACATTAGGTGTGTCTCTTGAAGACAGCAGATACTTGGTTGGTGGATTTTTCTCCATTCTTCCACTCTGTATTTTTTAGATGGTGCTTATAGGCCATTTACATTCAGTGTTAGCATTTGGATGTGAGGTACTGTTTTATTGATCATGCTAGTTGTTGCCTGAATACCTTGGTTTTTTAATTTGTGTTACTGTTTTCTCAGTCCTGTAAGATTTATGCTTTAAGGAGGTTCTGTTTTGGTGTATTTTGAGGTTTTGTTTTAAGATTTGGAACTCCTTTTAGTATTTCTTGTAGGACTGACTTGTTAGTGGCTAGTTCTCTCAGCATTTGTTGTTCTGAAACAGACATTTTTTCTACTTCATTTAGGAAACATAGTTTTGCTGAATACAAAATTATTGGCTGTTAATTATTTTGCTTGGAGAGGCTAGAGATAGGACCCCAATCCCTTCTAGTGTGTAGAGTTTCTGCTGAGAAATCTGCTGCTAATATGAGAGGTTTTCCTTTAGAGGTTACCTGATGTTTTGCCTCCCAGCTCTTAAGATTCTTTGATTTGTGTCGACTGTAGATAACCTGATGACCATGTGCCTCGGTGATGATCTTTTTGCAATGAATTTCCCAGGCATTCTTTGAGCTTCTTGTCTTTGGATGTCTAGAACTCTAGCAAGGCCAGGGAAGGTTTCCTTGATCATTTCCTCAAATAAGTTTTCCAAACTTGTGGATTTGTCTGCTTTGTCAGGAACACTATTTTTAGGTTTGGCTGTTTAACATAATCCCTAAGTTCCTGGAGGCTTTGTTCTTTTTTAAAATTATTTTTTTCCTCTTTGTCTGGCTGGGTTATTTAAAAAGCCTTGTTTTTGAGTTCTGAAGTTCTTTGTTCTACTTGTTAGATCCTGCTGTTGAAAGTTTCTGGTGCATTTTCCATTTCTCTTAGTGTGTCTTTTGTTCCAGAAGTTGTGACTGTGTTTTCTTTAGGATCTCTATTTCCCTGGAGCATTTTTCATCTATATCCTGTATTGATTTTTAAATTTCTTTAAGTTGGTTATCACCTGTCTTTGGTATCTCCTTGAGTAGTTTAATAATCAACCTTCTGAATTCTTTCCAGCAATTCTGATTTTCTTCTTGGTTTGGATCTCTCACTGGGGAGCTAGTGTGGTCTTTTGAGGGTGGAATAGAGCCCTGTTTCATGATATTACCAGGATTACTCGTCTGATTCCTTCTCATGTGTGTAGATTATTTCAGTGGGAAAATCTGGAACTCAAGGCTGCTGGTCAGATTCTTTAGTCCCATGGGGTGGTCCCTGATTTGTGCACTGCCCCTTCCCCTAGAGATGGAGCTTCCTGCAAACCAGACAGCAGTGATTGCTATTGTTCTTCTGGGTCTCTCCACCCAGCAGGGCTACCAGGCTGGTGCTGGGGAATGTCTGCACAGAGTCCTGTGATGTGATCCGTCCTCAGGTCTCCCAGCTGTGGATGCGAGCACCTGCTCCGGTGGAGGTGACAGGGGACCGAAGTGGACTCTGTGGAGGTCCTCGGCGGCCGATAGGTTTACTGTGCTGACTTTCTCAGAGGCTGGTTATTCTAGCAGTGAAGTTGTCACATGGGCAGACTCAGGACCTCTGGTTATCCAGGATGTTGCAGGAGGTGGAATAAGCTCTTGTTTTCTCCTTCCTAGGAGCAGGGTTGTTCTGTCATGAGTTGCTGTCATGTCCTGAGCTGATTGGCCTCCAGCCAGGAGGTGGCACTTTTGAGACAGCAGCGGAGTTGTCACCTGTTCTGTGGAATTTGCAGTGGCCTATGGCATCTTCCAAAGGCTCTGTGACTTTTTGTTTTTTCTGGTATGCTGCTGTGGTGGTTCCTGGAGTGAAAGGCCACAGTATGAGTCTCCACATGCTGTTCTGTCTCTCCATGTGGGAGCTGCATATCAGACCTGTCTCCCATCTGCCATCACTCTTCAGAACCCGTCTTAGGCACTGGTGTAGGGCAAGTCTCACACGGTGGGTGGAGGGACTGCTTTGCATTGTCCCAGTGGCAAAGAGTCATGGTCCTTTACACGAGAAGCTTCTTACGTGTGCCACTGCACATAACGCAGGAGTACTTAGACAACCTCCCAGGAGCTGCTGGTCTACAAGTTTTTGAGACATGTGTGCCCCACAGCAGTGGTGCTGACACGACGCGGTGCAGCCTCCAGTGCCACCCTGAGCCCCCCCACAAAGCTGAGATGAGTTTCTCTCCTCCTTCCTGTCCCACCAGAGTCAAGGCCAAGAGCTCCCTGCTGATTTACAAATGCCCATGTCACTTCTGCACTTCAGTAAACCAGGACGGGGATTCGAAGGCACAGGTAAGTTGCAGTCACCAGCAATGCACCCTGAGGACAGGGCCGTGTGCAGAATATGTGGTCTCGGGTCCCCCAAGCTGAGGTTAAGGCAGTATTCAGAATAGAAGCACTCTGTGTCCAAGGGTGCTGCTCACATGGGAATGATGGTGGGTGGAGCACAGAAGAGAGATGGAGTGAGAGGCAGGAATGCTTCCCAGCTGTGGGTGACAGAGACAGATGGGTACCAAAGTGGGAGCCCCCAGCACTGGAGCACCACCAAGAAGCTGCGGTGATGGGCAGATGCCCAGGGCAGGGTCTGAAGTGCCCAGAACATGCAGCGAGGGACAGTGCTGTGATAAAGGATGGAAGGAGATTGGTAGCCATGGCAGAAGCCACATGCTGTGTTTTTAAAATAAAATGCTCAGGAAGGACTGTGTGTGGGAGACAGATGGGAATAGACGATGTGTGTGTGGTCACACGTACAAGTGTATGGTGTGTGGTTGCACATATGTGGGGGGGTGTGGTTATGTGTGTGGTTTTGTGTGTAGTGTGTGGTCAGTTGTATATGTGTGTGAATGGTGTGTGTTTGTTACATGGACTCTGTGTCCATCCTTCACAGGAAAAGACCAGCGCGGCTGCCGGCTTTAGGGCCACATATTTCTGTTCCTGCTCTGGGGTCAGCTTCCAGTGGTTTCTGCTGGGTCATTATTTATTTTTTAGAGATGAGATCTCACTCCATCACCCAACATGGATGGCAGTGGTGGGATAATGGCTCACTGCAGCCTCCAACTCCTGGGCTCAAGCAATTGTCCCACCTCAGCCTCCCGAATAGCCGAAAGTACAGGTGTGTGCCACCACACCCAGCCAATTTATTTTTTGTTTTTTATTTCTTAAGAGATGGGATCTCACTCTCTTGTCCAGGCTTGTTTGGAACTTCTGGTCTCAAGTGATTCCCCAGGCTCAGGGGAATTAGAGGCGTGAGCCTCTAATAGCACAGGGATTAGAGGCGTGAGCCTCCATGCCAGGCCACAGGCTGGTCCTTTTGAGCAGGATTTGTGAGGGGGCCAGTTTCTGGAGGTTACAGGTGACTTGTCCTTCCCTGTGGGGGCAGGGCCGCCTCACCGCACTTCCCCAGGATTTCAGGGAACAGGCTCCTGTGACTTGGAAATGAAAATGGATCACCCAACCTGGAGGAACAGTGAGGCTGGTGTCCAAGACTTGCCCCTTGCCTGCACTTCCAGCAAAGATTTGGAGACACTCAGTGGAAACCAATCGAGCCCCCAGCCCACCCCCGCCCAGACTCAGCCACCAAAGTTCCCTCACTGCATGTGGCACACGGGCTCATGGGAGTTTCTCTGCCTGCGATTGTCCACGTTGACACCTTCTGCACAGGTGCATTTGTGAGTCCCCTCGGTGTCTCTGCAGCATCTATGTGTGGATGAATAGTGAAGCCACATGAGGCCTGGTCTGAAGCAGAGAAGATCCGCTCAGCATCACGTTGAATCCCAAGCCCGCATCTCCGTGGGCTCCAGGACAATCCTATGAAAATGACACCGTCGGTTCATTGTTCACATCGGGGAGGAGAATTCCGTCTGAAAATGAGCGTGACTTCACTGACACCCAAGTCCGTGGCACAGCCCTGTGCTGAGCTCCACAGACCTACAGTCCATCGCCTCCCCTTCGAGTGGGCCCAGGGCTGCAGACAGCATTGTCCAAAGAAGACACCCTGACTCGATGAATGGAACAAACTGGAAACTCCAGAAACAAGCCCTTCTTTACATTTCTGGTGTTTGGCCTAAATGGAAGGTGCCAAGGTGAGGCAATGGGGAGACATGGAAGGGTTTGTAATGACTGTGCTGCAGCAGCTGCATAACCACATGCCAAACACACACACACAGCTCAGTCCCACCTAGAAAGCAGTGCACAATCCATCAGAGACCTCATAGTAAGAGGGGGAAACTTTAACATTCCTACAAAAATCCTAGAATATCTCCGGAGTCTTGTGTTAGGCAAACTCTTCTTTGATAGATACCAAAAACACTATTTCACAAAACGGATACATTTGACTTTAAGCATTTAAAATTGTTTCTTCCATTGTCACCAGTAAAAGAATGAAAATATCAGCCACAGGCTGAAATAAAATATTTACAAGTCATATACTTTTATCCAGAATATTTAAAGAACCATGAAAACTCAAAAATACACAACAGCTCAGTTTTTAAATGGGTGAAAGATTGAACACGTTCTTCACCAAGGCAACAATATCCATGAGAAATAAAGCCCACAAAATGGTGCTCAACATCATTTGCCACCAGGGAACCACCAGCTAAAATCACAATAAGATACTGCTGCACCCCATTAGAGTAGCTGCAAGAAAGCAGATTAAGGGTACCATCCAGGCACAAAGCTTCACACCTGAAATCCCAGAGCTTTGGGTGGCCCACAAGGCAGGAGGATCCCTTGAGGCCAGGAGTTTGAGACCACTATGGGCAACATAGCAAGACCCTGCCTCTAAAAAATATAAATAAAAAAAGGTGATCAATATCAAGTGTTGGTGAAGAGTTTGGAGAACTGGAAGTCTCATCCATTGCTCATGGGGATGAAAGATGATGCCACATTGGCGAGCAGTTTGGCAAAGCTTCAGATGCTGAGCATGTACTTATCATATGAGCCAGCACTCCCACTCCCAGGTTCTTAACCAAGAGCACTGAGAACAACATGTGTGTGCACACATAGCAGGTGTTTTTCTTTGCTAGAGCTTCCACAAGCAGGAACCACACATGGGGCGTTGGAACAAGAAATGTATTTTCTCACATATCTGCAGGCTGGAAGTCCCAGAGCACAGTGTCTGCAGGGTTGGTTTCTCCCAAGGCCTCTCTCCTTGCCTTGTAGACGGCCACCTGTTCTCTGTGTCCTCTCACAGTCTTCCCTCTGTCTGTGTCTTTGTTATAATCTCCCCTTCATAAAAGGACACCAGTCACTCTGGATTAGGGCTCACTCTAGTAGCCTCATCTAACATCCATTACCTCTTTCAAGACCCTGTCTCCACATATAGTCACATTCTGAGGTACTGGGTGTCAGGATGTCAACCTATGAATTTGGAGGAGGATATAGTTCAGCCCATAATACAAGGATTGGGAGGAAGCGTGCTGTGCCACCACTGAGATCCTATTCCATGATCCAGGCATTCTTGAAGTACCATTACTCAGAACTGACTAGTAATGAACTTGAATTTTGTTTAAGAATAAGTTTAATGTCAACAAGGTCTTTGTTCATCCTAAGAATTTTGCTTCCCTTCCCCCCACAGGAAGCAGATGATGCCCCGAGTACATCTACACTTGGGTAAGTTCGTAAGTTTAATGGGAACGTTTTATCTGTCTGTACACTTGCCTGAACTCAAATTACCTAGGAAAATATGTTCTCTATTTAACATGTTCAAATATTCTGATGACATAAGGGAAAGTAGAAATGCTTCACTGAACATTTATAGCCATTCATGTGGCTTATTGCACTGATCTTACTTGAAAAAATTATAGAATTCTTTATAACTAACATTTGAACTTACGCACAAAAATAAGGCCAAGCGTAGTTATTTTCTTTCTTTAAACACATGTAATGTTGTGAGCCTGAATGTTTTTTAATGTTTCTAATAGTGTTTCATTGAGAGTCAGATCTTGTCATTTCAACTCTAAATACATCCACTGATGACAGCTCTGCCCCAACACTGCACAATTCCAGCCCAACTGCACACCACTTTTTCACCCTCCAAACTAAAAAGCTGAAAGAAGACCCTTATAAAGAGGACCATGATCCAGTTTTAAGCACACATTCTAAAGGGTACCCTGTTCCCGTGATGAAATAAAATTGTACAGCCATGACAAATGCATATTCTTCCCAGAGAATCTCAAGTACAGGATACACTTCTCACAGAACATAGAGTAATAGGAAATCTACTCACACATGATGCTGAGTAAGTTATTTACTCCTTGTTTGCTATTGCATTTTCCTTTCCATAAAATGAACATATATTAACTTTATATTTTGAAAAGCAGCTTTATACAACATTTTCCAGAGTTTTAGGGTTTAGATATTGCGCTCCTACACTCTACTAAAGTTTCATCTAGAACCATTTAATACAACCTAAAAGAAAATGAAGTGGAAAGGTAAGAGTCATTGGCTCAAACCACCCCAGGTGCACAGACACAGGCATGTGCACACACACACACTCGCACACAGTCACACTCTCTCACACTGACACAGCCTCCTTCCTGCCTTCACCTCACATCTCAGTCCCCAGCCTGCCTGCCATATTCCTCCCATCACTGCAGGGAGTCCCAGCCGGCCCCACAGGGGAAGCCCCCGCCCCAGCCTGCACAGAACAGCCCCGTGCTCTCTGGGCACACAGCAGCTGCAGCCGTCCTGGCCTAGGACCTCTGGGGTCTCTGCCACCATTCCAGTAGGTCATGCTGCTCAGGGGGGCCAGATGGCCAAACCAGGTAGGGCCCAGTGGACATAAGCCCAGTGACACGGCCGACATTATTCAGGGAGGGTGTGTGAGGGAGGCTGCTCGTGCTGGGAAGAAGGAGCACCCACACCTCATGGCTCGGAGCTGCTTGGGGTTCCTCTAGAGGCACCTGGGACCCCAGACTGCTGAGGTCACCGCATGCCTCCCGGTCTCCCCCTCACAGATGAGTGCACCCAGCTGGCCTCATCCTCCCAACCCAGCTGCCCTGGATCATGGAGCAACATTTTTTTTTTTTTTTGAGACAGGGTCTTTCTCTGTCACCCAGGCTGCAGTGCAGTGGCACAATCTCAGCTCACTACAACCTTTGCCACTTGGATTCTTGCAGTCCACCCACCTCAGCCTCCCAAGTAGCTGGGACCACAGGCTCATGCCACCACGCTGAGCCAACTTTTGTAGAGATGGGGTGTCACCATGTTGCCCACACTGGTCTCGAACTCCTGAGCTCAAGCTATTTGCCTGCCTCAGCCTCCTAAAGTGTTGGGACTACAGACATGAGTCACTGTGTCTGGCCATGGAGCAACATTTAGATGGGGGAGAATTTAATACCTAACTTATACTCAGAACTTATAACCTTATTACATGCTGATTGTATCAGTTTGAAGATGATAGTATAGGTTAAAAATATTCTGCACCTCCCTTCCTGAATTTTAATTTCTTCAACAATATGGCATAGATTACACTCATGACGTTTCATATAGATGTGTTTTATTCTTGTCAGGAAATTCACCCTCTCATGATGTGCATATACCGTGGCTTAGTCAACCATTGTTCACTACAGGATATTAAGTTTATGACCAAGTTTAGGTTTTGCAAACAAAATTGCAAGAAGCACCTTTGTGCCAAGGTTGTCAGATACTGACAATATTGTTTTGTTTCTGTAGAACACTTAAAAGTCAAAGGGCATTTGCATTTTAAATCCTCATAGTTTCTTTTTGCTTACTTTACCAAAAGGTTTAAACAATGCAAATTTCCTTCAATTTCCTCACTCTTTTCAGCACCAGATATTAGCAAGGTATTTTTAGTTTTATCCAAATAACACTTTTAATTGTTTCAATGTGCATTTTCCTTATTACTAATGAGACTGAACACATTGTCATTCTCTTTTTTACTGTTTCACAGTTCCTCTTGTATGAATTAGCTTTTCAAATGTTTGCACACTTTTAAATGGAGTTGTTTGTATTGTCGATATTAAGTGCTCTTTGCACATTAGGGATAGTAATTCTCTGATCTGTGTGTTTCCAACGTATTTCTTTCAGTCTGTCTTTTAAAATTTTGTGTTTATCGTGTCTTTTGCAACGTGAAGTTCATAAATTTTTGTGAAGTCAGTTGTCAAATGTTCCTGTCTTGCTTTAAAAAGTCTTTCTTACTCCAGGGTTATACAAAAATCATCCAGAACTCTTTGCTGATATTTTTATAATTTTTCTGTTTTGACTTTCCTTATATTTTGATTTTCAAGCCATCTTCAACTTATTTTTGCATACAGGGAGAGAGCTAAGGTTACTTTATCTCGAAGACTTAAGTAATGGTTACCACCTCGTTTATGAAACAATACACCTTTCCATCTAATTCAAAGGCCCCCTTTTCTAGTGCTTGCCATAAGCACTAGACTCAGATCTGTTTCTACACGTTTATTTCTGCCTTGTGGATCTGTGTCCTAAACCGTGCTGTTTTAATTACTGGACCTTCTGAGCTACATTTTAATGTCCGACAGTCACTTTCTCAGGTTTTTTCATTTCTAAAAGTTTTGACAATTTTTAAACTTTAATTTTTTCATATAAGTTTGTTTGAAATTTATATGGAAAATACATTTTGTTTCGGTTCCAGGAAACCTGGAATTTGGAGCAAAGTTATATTAAATATACACCTCATTTTGAGAGTGGCCGATAGCGTTTCCCTGGCATCCCAACTCCGCTGGGAGCCACAATAAGGACCCAGAAGTCAGTCTCCCCCAGGTGGGCAGAGGATGGAAGTTCCTGCCTTGCTCTTCCTGAGTTGCCCCAGAAGCTCCGTCCTTCACGGAAACGTGCTGGGGGCAGCGCCAGAGTTCCAGGCCAGGGAAGGCCAGCCGGGTTCTCCAGCTCAAGAGGCAGGCAGCTTCCTGGGTCAGAAAAAGTAGCCCAGGAGAAGTGCCCCATTCATCAATTTCTCAAATCTGAGAATTGCTTAAGAGTTTTGCCTAGTTTCAGCAATCAAGGATTACATATCACTTAGTGTGAAAATGCTCTTTCACACAACCCATTAATTTTCCTTGTAAACTGGTTTTCTTTGATTTAGTGAATTCAGGTTATTCTGAATTTTACTTTGAAGTATAGCCTATGGTTCTATTATTAGGTAAAAACTAAGACATTTTCTCCTTTATCCATTTCTGGCAAGAATGATAGAAAATTAATTGTGACCAGGATTGTAAACTTTCACTTTGAAAAAAAATATATGTTTTATCAGTACACATTCAAAATAGAAAATTGGGAAGTTACAAACATTCTTGGTGTAAAAACCTAAGTCACTCACAGTCCCCCCACCCACCAATGGCTACTGCAGGCATTTTGATTGGCACCTCCTGCAGCTTCCCTTTTAACATTTTTTCTGTGTATTAGACCCATTTTCTAAATGAAATTATCATTTAATACACCTCTTTAGGCACCTGCTTTTTAAACTCTACATTGTTGCGTTAAAGATGGGCATAAACCACTCCATCTTTAAATCATATTCCTCTTTGTTGGAAGCCTTCTTCATTTCATTCAAGTCTTCTCCACAGGAGAATGAGCTAACCTTGTTGAATGTGAAAAGTGTTATACCAACACCACACGAGTTTACAAAGCCTCTAGATGCAACAGGCGATAAGTTACCATTAACCCTTTTTTTGTCACAGAATATGCTTCCAGGGTCACCTAACAGTTTGGATCCAGCTGGTCCACCTTATAGACTCACTCACAGCCTTCTACTTCAGGCTCTGCCTGCTGCGCACATTACAAACATCTGTTTCTAGCGATCAGGGACTTTGTTTAAATCATGTCACGCTTTGCCACACGGGGAAAGTCCATTCACTAAGAGCCTGTGAGGTGTGATGTTGCTAATCACAGGTCTGTTTTGTGGGAAATGTGTAGGGATTTATAGTGTCTCTAGTGGTGGATATTAGACAAACCGATGGGGGATATTCTGGTCTGCGTTTTGCTGTGGGATGTCGAAGGGAATGGGTGGACGTAGCTGACCAGCTGGAATGAAAGTGGGAACAGGGAGCAGGATTTCGCGTGTGAAGACCCTAATCCCCAGCGCCTCATTCAGTGGCTTGTATTAATTTTCCACTGGAGGTTGGAGCTGTTCCTTTGCATCATCCCCCTGCCAAGCATCCAGGGTGCTTTCCATGTAAGCGTCATGCCCAGGTGGTGTCTGTTGTGTAGTATACTCCTGAGCACTCACGCAGCCTCCCAGGAGCTGCCTGTTCCTGGGATCTGCTGACAAGCAGAAACCACGGTAATGGTGCTTGTCTGGAACTTTGGAGCCTTAATGGCCTCTTGTGAGCTCCTCCCCAAAGCGAGACCCTGCCTTGCTGACACATGGTCTTTCCTTCCTCCCGCGCTTCCTAGAAGAGGGGATCATGAGGAGCTCCTGTCTCCCTCCCAGGGCTTGAGCCTGAGCCCCGCTGCTGTTTGGCCTCTAGAAAGGACCTCGTCATCTGGGGTATCCCCAAAGCCGCTGGCCTCTTCCTTCCAGTGGGCAGCACAGAGCCTTCCTCCACAGTGGAGGTTACAACAATATTCCGAGTTGCTCGTTTGACTAATTGTAAGCATTCCTAGGTGTTTGAGTCTGTTCAGCCTGCTTCAACAGAAATACCACACACCGGGGGCTTAGGCAACAAACATGTATTTCTCACCATTCCAGAGCCTGGGAAGTCCCAGCTCAAGGCACTGGCAGATCCGGTGTCTGATGAGAGCCCCTTCCCGGTTCTCCGACGGCCTCCTCTGGTTGTCCTCACACAGCAGGGGAAGTCCCAGCTCAAGGCGCCGGCAGATCCGGTGTCTGATGAGAGCCCCTTCCTGGTTCTCCGATGGCCTCCTCTGCTTGTCCTCACAAGGCAGGGAGTTGAGAGTGAGATCTCACTCACATGCGTGTTCTGAAGGCACTCACGAATCCTGTCATCCGGGTCCCACATTCGGGAGCTGACACCAAAGGCTCCGCTTTATGACACACAACGCTGGGGTTAGGACTTCAGCCTGTGAATCTGGGGACACAGGCTCACCATCTACAGGAAGGGTCCTGAAGGGTGCTGCTCCAACAGCAACAAAGGCCCAGAAGTGCCGTGTGTGCATCTCAGCGAGGGGTGCAGATGTCTGCAACCAGTCTGAAATGCGGCAGACCAGAGTGATGGGCAGACAGTTATGTGATGGGGTGGAGGACAAACATTAGCCCTGGTCGCTTCCAGGTGCTGGGTTCAGGTTTTGTTTGTTTTTTATTTTTTTGTAAAGCCTTTTCCAGTCCTGTTTATGTTTGAAATTTTAATAAAATATTGGGAAAACTGCATATAGGAGACAGGTGGGGAATAAATAGTATGCATCTGTGTGTCTGTGTGTGTGTGTGTGTGTGTGTGTGTAACTGATGGTCAAAAGATGGAGCATGTGGGGAGGCCGAGAAAGCAGATCAAGAGGACAGGAGATCAAGACTGTCCTGGCTAACACGGTGAAACCCTGTCTCTACTAAAAATACAAAAGGATTAGCCAGGCGTAGTGGCAGGCACCTGTACTCCCAGCTACTCGGGAGGCTGAGGCAGGAGAATGGCGTGAACCCAGGAGGCGGAGCTTGCAGTGAGCCGAGATTGTGCCACTGCACTCCAGCCTGGGCGACAGAGCAAGACTGTCTCAAAAAAAAAAAAAAAAAAAAAAAATTAGCTGGGTTTGATGGCATGCTCCTGTAATCCCATTCCTCGGGAGGCTGAGGCAGGAGAATCGCTTGAACCTGGGAGGTGAAGGTTGCAGTGAGCCAAGATCGTGCCACTGCACTCCAGCCTGGGTGACAGAGTGAGACTATGTCTCAAAATAAATAAATAAATAAAAAAGATGGAACACGTAAGTGTGTTGGAGACACATGCAGACGTCCAAGGGGAACTGAGTGAGGGAGCCTGGAAGTGGGGCATGGCTGGGAGCACTGATGACACAGCACAGGATGTGTGGACAGGTCTGAACCCACACCCAGAGGACAGCTCAGGCAGAGCAGAGGAGCTAGAGAGGAGAGGAGGGCAGATGCAGCTACCATAGGGCTGTCTCTCTGCACCGAGAGCTGAGCAGTCATACAGCCAGCAAAGGGTCTAAGGCTAAGGGTGCAGGTCCTCTCAGATGTCCTGCGTGCTCCCTCCCAAGAGGCTGCACAGCGAGGGGGAGGCTGCGCAACTTGACCCCTCCCATCCCCATGGGGCTGCAGTGCTCAGTTTTCCTTCTGTGGCACCAGAGATTCAGAAGGACCCACCTGAAGATCTAGGGTTTGTCTTTCAGTCCACTTAGGAGAGCCCCATTCTGACCACGGAAGGTCACACTCTGGCCCTTAACCCCAGTGGCCACAATCACTGAGAGTCTGATGGGGACTGGCCTGCACCCCCAGACCCCGCCTGTGGCCTTCTCTTAGCTGCAGGCTCAGTCCAGGACCTGCGTCTGATCCTGTTGCTCTGATACCCCCAGAGGCATCCCAGGCTGACCTCTCTCACTCTTCACAGGAATGCAAAGCTCCTCTTAGCAGAGTGATCAGAAACTAATTGGCACCGTAACCTGCATTTGGACTTTGGCATCAGACAGACCTCGTTTCTGGGCCAGTGTGGAGATGCTGCTGGTTCTATAATCTCATAAGTTTTTAAACCACTCTGAGCCCCTATTCCTCACAAGGAAATGGGAACATATTAGTATCTCTTCCCAAGAAGGTTGTGTGTGAGCTCCTGGAGTTGTGAACATCACTGCCCAGGGTCTGGCTTTGGGATGCCCAGTGAATGGTGGTTGCCTCTTTCCCCTTGTTTTGGATCCCAGGTGCCCAGAGTCACACGAATCCCAATCCTGGGTGGGAACAGATTCATCCTTGATCTGTGAGTGACCTGCTTCCTTCATTGACTCCGTATTTTGTTTATTTATGATAGTGGAGGAAGCACCAACAACAAAAGCGGAGTCTGAATCATCTTTATCTGTTGATGGGGCCCCCATTCCAAGTCCTTGCACCCCGCTCATGCTCTTCATTCTCTTGCTTTCCTTCAAATTTTGTTCCTTAGATATCTATATAGATATAGATGTATATTCCTAAAGAGTACATACATACGTGCAATACATTGAATACTTTTTCATTTTTTTTTTAACAGAAAGGACATTGTGCGTATGTAGTATCTGGAATCTTTGAGGAATCACCTTTTTCACTTAGTACTAAATTGCCAAGGTCTGTCCATACTGCTTGTCGCTGTAGTCTGTTGGCGTTTGCTTCTGTGGCTGTTCCACCCCGTACCACACTTAATTACCCCCTCTGCTATGGTTGGGCATGGAGATGGCTTCCAGTTTTTTGCTACCCAGCTGTGCTGCTTGATCTTGACAGATCTCCTGTTGTACAGGTGCAACCATTTCTCCAGGGGCTATTCCTAGTGGTGCAATTGCTAGAATGTCCAGCTCTCAGAGATAAGGCCACTGTTTTTTAAAGGTGTTGCACATGTTACACTCTCACAGCAGGGTATAAGAAGTCCTATTGCTTCATGTCCTCTCCAACACTTGGAATTGACAGTCGAGTAGTGTGAACTGGTGGCTTATTGTGGCCTACTTCAGTATTTCCCTCATTATTAATGAATCTGAACACATGTGAGTCATACGAGTTTTCTCTTCCATGAAGCACTTGCTCATGTCCCTAGTCCATTTTTCCACTGGACTCTTTGTGCTTTTCTTATTGATTTATATGAGTTTTTATATATTCTTTATACAAACCTTTTGTCAGTTGGGTGAATTACAGATAGAGTCTGTCCACGTGCAGCTTAACTCCATGTTTAATTTAATATACCATTCTAGAAACCAGATCATGCATTACAGTATAGTCATGTTTATACATATTGTATAAGTAATGCTTTTTGGTCTTGATTAATGAATCTTTTCACCAAAATATCCAAAAGATAGCCATCTATTATTTCTACTAAGGGTTTTCAGTTTTGATTTTGAGAGCCGAGTCTTTATGTTTGGTTGATTTCAGTGTATGGTGTGAGGTAGAGATCTAACTTCATTCTTCCCTCTATGGATTTGTATTGTTTCCAGCTCCATTCATTGAGCAGGTCCTCTCCCCACTGGCATAAAAAGCTTCTTCTGTCCTGAATTCCATTTATGCACATATTTGAGTCTATTTCTGGGCTGTCTAGTCAATTCCACTCATCAGTTTTGTCTATCCCTGCACTAATTTCTTATCATCTTACTTCCCATAGCTTAATAAGTTCTGAGAAGTAAGTACTCCCTCTCTCTCCCACGAAAGGCTCTAGTTATTCAGTATTATGGTCACTAGCCCCACTCTTTCCTTTCCAGTGCCTTCCCCAATTCTCCCACCTGCCACACCTCTGGTGTCCTGACGTCAGACCCTTCTTATCTCCTGTGGGGTGGCAGAGGCTAGCTGCTTGCTGTGTGGGGTCAGCAACATGTTCCATATATGGACACTTAGCTACCACCCTTGTGCTTAACCTCACATCCCACCCCCATCCTCGCTCCTCACCCTTGCCCCTGGGACCCTCCATATCTCGGGGCCCGGGAGCTTCTCTATTACTCAGTAAGGAAGACAACCTCCTTTAACTCAGCATCTTTGTCCACAGGCACTTCAGCTTTTTAAAAATCCAATCCACCAATCTCTGACTTTTAATTAAAAAGTTCAATCTATCTATCTATCTATATATATAATGTTTAAAGTAATTACTGATAAGAAATGATTCACTTCTGCTATTTAGCTTTTTGCATTTTGTATATCATATATATTTTTATTTCTCAATTCCTGCCCATTTAAAAAATCTTTAGTTGAATGTTTGTAATGTTCCATTTTGATCCCTTTGTTCTTTCCTTTTTTGTACATTTTCTAATTATCTTCCTAGTGGTTATGCTGGGGATAATAATTAATGTCTTAAATGTATAACACCCTAGTTTGAATACCAACTTAGATTTTTTTTTGAGACAGGACTCAGTCTGTTGCCCAGGCTGGAGTGCACAGTGATAACTCACTGCAACCTCCTACTCCTGGGCTCAAGCAATCTTTCCACCTCAACCTTCCAAGTAACTAGGACTACAGGCACACATCACCACACTTGGCTAATTTTAAATTATTTTTTGTGGAAATAGGGTTTCAGTATGTTGCCAGGCTGGACTTGAACTCCTGGTCTCACATGATCCTCCCACTTTAGCTTCCCAAAGGCTAGGATTACAGGAGTAAGCCACTACAGTCAGCCCCAACTTAGTTTCAATAGTACACAAACACTGCTTTTATCCATCTCCATCCCTCACCCTTTATATTGCCATTGTCATTGATTACATTTTTATACAGTGTGCACCCATTAACAATATTTATAATTATTGTATTATGCATTAGACTTTTAAATTATATAGAAAAAAAGAGTTACAAACCCAAAGTACAATATTATTGACTTGTATATTTACCTGTGTTCTTTATTTCTTTACCAATGTTCTTTATTTCTTTGTATGGTTTTGAGTTACTGTCTAATGTCTCTTCATTTAGGACTAAATAATTTCTTTAACATTTCTTTTAGGGTAGTTCTACTGATAAAGAATTCTCTCAATTTTTGTCTATCTGAGAATGTCTTAGTTATTGCTTTATTCTGGAAGGATAGATTTGTCCCATATAGAACTCTTGGTTGCCAGGTATTTTCCACCTTCCAGGGCATTTAAATATGTCACCCCACTGCCTTTGAGCCTCCTTAGTTTCTAATGAGAAATCACCTGATAATTTTATTAAGGATCTCTTGATTCTGATTAGTCACTTCTCTCTGCCTGCCTTCAAAATTCTCTCGTTGTCTATGCCTTGACAATCTAACTGTAATGTGTCTTAGCGTAGATCTTTTGGCATATAGCCTGCTTGGAATTCGTTGAGCTCCTTGGATGTGTAGATTCATTCCTTTAATTAGATTTGGAAAGTTTTCAGCCATTATTTCTTTAAATAGAGTAGTCTCCTGCTCCCCCATTATCTGTGGGGAATACGTTCCAAGACTCTCAGTAAGTATCTGAAACTGTAGATAGTACCAAACCCTGTATACACTATGTTTTTTCCTGTACATTAATGGGCAGATAGTGTATACTGCATGGATATGCTGGACAAAGGGATCATTCATGTCCTGGGTGGGCAGAGCAGGGCAGAATGACATTTCATCATGCTACTCAGAACTACACACAATTTAAAACTTGTGAATTATTTCTGGAATTTTCCATTTAATATTATTGGACTGTGGTTGCCCAGAGGTAACTGAAAGTGCAGAAAACACAACTGCTGATAATGGGGGAACACTGTATTTTTTCTGCCTCTTTCCTTTTCTCTTCTACTTTGGAGACTCCTATGTTGCATATGTTGGTACCCTTGATGGTGTCTAACAAACCTTTCAAGCTCTGTTTATCCTCTTTCATTCTTTTTTTTTTTTTCTGGTCCTCAGACTGGATAATTTCGGTTGTCTTCAAGTTAGCTGATCCTTTCTTCTGCTTGCTCAGATCTGTTGAACTCTTCTAATGAACTTTTTATTTCAGTTATGTACTTTCCAGCTCCAGTTTCTTTTTGGTTTTTAAAAAATATATAATTTCTATCTCTACTACTAATCTAATTTGCTCATATGTAATTTTCCTACTTTATTTAGTTGTCAGTGACTTCCTTTAGTTTACTGAGCATATTTAAGACAGCTGATTTAATGTCTTTGACTAGTAATTCAAATGTCTGAGCTTTCACAGACATAGTTTATGCCAAGTCTTTTTCCCCTGTGAGTGGGCCATATTATTCTATTTCTTTATATGTTCTTTTTTTGTTAAAAACTGGATATTCTGTGTATCATAATGTGGTATCTCTAAAAATCAAGTGCTTCTCCTCCTCTGGGACTGTGGATTTTCTCTTGTTAAAGGCTGGAACCATCAGTTTGTGCCCTTTCCAAAGTAGTTTTGCAAAATGTGTATTTCTTGTCACTGAAGTTGCTCTTCCTTTATCTCTATGACCAGTTAGTGAACTATCAAAGATTTCCTCAAATATCTAGCTACAAACAAGGGGGTACTGTGTGTCTCTCTAAATCTTCCAATGGTTGCTGCTGGAGGAAGCCACTGCTGCCAAGTGGATCAAAACCAAGGCAAGCCTCTGTATTGATCCCTCAGGGCACCACCAGACTAACCAAAATGTACCACCTCAAATTTATTGAGGACAAGGTCCCTGACGCTCACTCTGACATCAGCCAGCTGCTCCAAGAATGTAGGTTGCTGCCCTTATAGCCACAGGAAGACTAAGAAATCGAGGCGGTAGCTGGCTCATGTACACCATTCACGAAAGACCAGCAGCTTCTCCTTTCTTTTTCTTTTTCCTTTTTTTTTTTTTTTTTGAGACAGAGTCTCGCTCTGTCGCCCAGGCTAGAGTGCAGTGGCACAATCTCTGCTCACTGCAAGCTCCACCTCCCAGGTTCACACCATTCTCCTGCCTCAGCCTCCCGAGTAACTGGGACTACAGGCACTCACCACCACATTCAGCTTTTTTGTTTGTTTGTTTGTTTTTGTATTTTTGTATTTTTAGTAGAGACAGAGTTTCACCATGTTAGCCAGGATGTTCTCGATCTCCTGACCTCGTGATCCACCCACCTCAGCCTCCCAAAGTGCTGGGATTACAGGTGTGAGCCACTGCACCCAGCCCAGCTTCTCCTTTCTTCAAGCACTCTCCCATACATGTCTGACTAGGTTTCAGAGTTTCCAAATAATTCATTGCAATTGCTCTTTATAGCTCAATGGTTGTTTCAGTGGAAGGACCAGGCTCTATAGCTTTCTACAATACCATTTTGTCCTTAGGTAAACTTCCTCTGCATTTTTATATACATACTTACACACACTTTTACAACACAGTTATCTACATTCTTCCCCACCAACCTGTATGTCTCACAATCCTCCACCATTTCACCTATCATACTTTGCCATGCTTTTATTTTCATTTGAAATTAATATTTTCTTTTCTTTTTATTCTCAGTAATTTTTGGATTCATTTGGTGATACCCCAGTTCTCCTTTACTTACTGAGTCCTGTCACTTCCTTCTGTGTAATTTTTCCTTGCACTTCTCTGTGTCTACCAAGACTACTGCTCCCCCTGCAATAATCTGGTGGCAGACCCTCCCATTGTTGCCTATAGTTTGGGAAGTTTTGCAGCAGCAGTCACTGCCTGGCCGCTCAGCCTACAAGTCCCCCAGCTAATCACCCCATCAGGAGCCCTGCCCAGCTGAGCATCCACTGCTCCTCCATGGCAATTCCTGGGGGTCTCTTCCAGGTTCTGCAGCACACTCCTGACCATGGCCTTCTGCATCAGCTCCCATTTGCATCCTTTCCTCCTAGGAGTCATCATTTCTGATCCAAGAAAGGTTTCCCTCTTGCTTTTCTTTGATGTCCTGTCCTTACTCATTTATGGATCCGTTTATATCCTGATTATAATTTTTAAGGATTGGATCAGAGAAGGGAGACTATAGCATGTGATGGATACGCTGTTTTGATTTAGAAGTCCCTAGTGACTTTTTTGCTTGTGGGTCTTTCAAAATCTTTCAAAGCAAAATTTTGCGCGTTTCTGGTCTCTAATTCCTGACACATTCAGCGTTGCAACTTAAGCCGGATCCCCAACCCTCTGGAAAGTCTGGGCAGCAACACGGTCACCTCTCCTGCCAGCTGCCCAGCACACATAAACAATCAAGTCATTGGCTGGCTGGGCTAGTGTAACATCAGGGCAGAGAACAAAACACCTGTACTCAAGATGTGGGTATAAAAACACTTAAGGCTCCACGATAGCAAGAACTCACCACAATCAAGCAAGAGTTGTGAGAAGAAGGTACCAGGCATGAGCTGACCTCCTGTGGGCCCCACATTTCGCCACTTTTCATGCTGGAAATCCAAACAAGCTTCCTTGGCTACCACAAGACCCTCTTATTTATCAGGGAAAGCACACTTTGTCTCTATATCAGCACACATGCAGAAGAAAAAAGCAACATTCTTTCAGCAGTGCAGTCATGTTACTGTCTTCACAAAAATGAAGGCTCTGAAACTCAGAGAGGTGAAGTGATTGCCCACGTCACAAGCTAATCTCTAAAATGTACTCTTGTTTACACATTTTGTGCACTTTGGCAGTATAACAAGTATTACATCATACGTTCTCTGTTGTCTCTCTTTCTGAATATTGCAAACAGGCTGCAACAAGAAACAACAGAGCCCATGAAAACTGACAGTGCTGAAAGTGAAGACTGAGATTCGGGTAAGATACGTGGCAGTGCAGGTCATGTTGAAATCTACCCAAGTTTGGTTCTCTAGAGAGTGAAATATCTTCTTTAAAAAATCACCAGTGCAAACTCAAGGGCTGGGCTGCTTGTCGTTTGTCTCTTGATGTCAACAGTAACCCCAGAACAGGAACCGTGTGTCCATCTTTAGAAGTAGTGCATGGCAGCCGAGCTGTGAGAGTATCAATTCATCTTTATTTTCTAGGCAGTAAACAATGTATAGATTGAACACTGCTCATTTCCATACTTGCCTTTAAGTCTAAACTAAGAATTATTTTCACCCAATTGTACTGATCTAAGAACTTTAAATAATGAACACCTGCCATTTTAAGATGGTTTCTGATTAGATGCCTCTGATCCTACCTATCCCTGCTTTCTGCTCAAACATTTAGGACGATCCATAGAATGCAGTGAAATTTAACCGTGAAACAAATGATCATTTACTTTCAGAATCAGGGGGAAAGTTTACTCACTAGAAGGCTAAAGGAATTTGCTATCAGGCACACACATGAGTTGGCAAACCATCCAGACATGCTCTGCCATCAGAATAGGTAGACTGAGCACTTGAAAACAGAGGGGCATGCTCTCCCTCCACTACTATATCCCCTCAGCTAAGAAACATGAGACATGATTGTACCTTAAAATGAGACTGCAACCCTTTCTCTAAGGTGTTACCTTGGCTTTCCAAGGCAAAGCAAGCTGCTTTACACCCTGAAGTCTACCGTTCAGTACCTGCCTTCTCACAATGCTTCAGAGAGGCACCTCCCAAAAGCTAGCTGGACAGGAAAAGGGTATAGGGCATACTGTATCCTGAAAGGCATGATCCATACAAGAAAAGCCCTATGATCGGGCAAAACATCAAAAGCCCTGGTATCCTCAGAGTTCCTGTGCTCCAGGCAGCTCCCACAGCCGTCTGGGTGCCATAGAGCCCTGAGGAATGTCAAGGTCTCCCAGCAGCACAGCCCTGACCAGCACCCTAGAGGACAAGAGGGCAGGACTCATGGTTCTGTGTAAATCCTGTGAAAATTTTGCAGAACTGGGAATAGACATCACCTTGAAAGCCCAGAGAGACAGCAAACCTGTGAAAATTGTTCTCTAGAAAAAAGGCGTTTGAGATGCATAGCACGGGGTCTTCATGAGGCAGGAGTCAAAATCATAATTGGAGACAAGTTGAGATGAGAAGACAAATCCACTGAGATTGAAGGGGAGATGAATGAGATGTGGAAAGATTGCAAGAAACTGACCATGAAGTTGCAAAATTAAAATCTTTCAAGGAAAGAAGAAGTAAATTGGTGCTGTAAAAAATTGTCTCAGTGGTATGGAGGACAAACTTAAGAGGCTACAACTTGAGCTCATGTAGAATGTCTACAGAACAGCACCTGAGTCTACGTGCTCCTCCCACCATTTCCTTTGTGTGGAACAGTGAAATGGCTGAGGAGTAGCAGAGCCTGAGAAGTGGAGCTGGACGCTTGGCCGAAGCATCAACTTGCAAATAATCTGCAAAAACTGACAGCTTCTGTGGACATCCTTCCATGTGAGCATCAAATGGAGCTGTGGACTCCCTTCCGTGAGCAACAGTGACTAACAGTGATGGACACAAGGCGTGTCTTAGTCTATCAGTGTTACTACAAAGAAACACTTGAGCCTGGGTAATTTATAAAGAAAAATCGTGTATTTGGCTTATGATTCTGATGGCTGAAAAGTTGAAGATTGAGCTCTGCATGTGGTGAGGGTCTCAGCCTTCTTCCACTAACAGCAGAAGGTGAAGGGAGCTGACATGTGCAGAGATCACATGGAGAGAGAGGAGGCGAAGGGCTGGGGGAGGCTCCAGGCCCTTTTCAACAACAAGGTCTCATGGGTTGGTTAGAGCAAGAAGTACTAGAGCATGAACTCACTCCCTTCAGAGGGAGGGCATTAATCTGTTCATAGGGGGTCCAGCCCCATGACACAAACACGTCCTATGAGGCCCCATCTCCAACAATGGAGATCAAATTTCAACATAAGGTTTGGAAGGGTCAGATGTCCAAACCACAGCAAAGAGCAAGCTCCCAGGGCAGAGCTTGATTAGTGATTGAAACAAGATGGCTCAGTGTGTTTTATAGAAGCCCAAACTCAGCCAACCACAGCTTGTCTGCTGAAGTTGCAGATAATTTCAGGTCACATTCTTTATCATTTTCATGCTCTTTATCATTTGCATTATTTTTGAATGAGGCTAAATCATTTCAAAAGCATCTGGTCTTCCTAGGGTGCTTTCGAAATGAATTAGCCTCATTCAAAAAAAAAAATATTCACCACTAAGGTTTTAAACAGCAAATGTTCGCTGTGATAACGTCTTAGAGTTGTGAATTACTGTAGAGCACACAAAACACTTCTTCAGTATTACACCTTACCCCTCCAAAGTGCCTGTGGTGTAGGAGTCAGTCACTCCTATCTCTAGAAAAGGATGGTGGCTAGGAGAGTTGTCTGATTTTTACATAATCCCAGAAAGTACTTAAGGTAGATTTTAAAGATCGTGGAATACAGACCGATGGCATAAAGGGAAAAGGGAGGGGAAAGAAAGAAGGAATGAAATGAAGCCAGAGGTTCTAGTCATGTGGCAAGTCACTTACAAGGATCGGACAATGCTCCGAAACTGAGCAAGTTAAGGGTGTGTGTGTGCACGCGTGCGCGTGTCCGTGTCCATGTGAGTGCGTGTGTAAATATTCTTAAAGGCATTAATGAACTGAGGAGACATAAGGAATTCTCAGGCCAGGGTTGAAGGCACAGAGGAACCCAAAGAGAAATCTAGTGGGGAGTGCAGCTGGCCTTTGCCCTGAGGGCATTTGTGAAACCTGGTCAACTTCATTTTCACCTTTTCAGGAGGTACAAAGGGCAGATCAAGCTGAGAGCACAGCCAAAATGGCAAGCCAATCAGTAATCTCTTAAAGTAAGGGCCCCCAGAGGGCGGTACCCTCATTGCAGTGGCAAACTAGAAGCAACTCACTTCTCTACCCGCAAAGGAATCAGGGGGGATCAGTCATTTCAAGCCCTAGAGCTGAAAGAAAAAGAGAAAAATCACTGCCGAGTATTTGGAGCAACAGGTTCTCCCTAAATTTGTGTGAGGTGGGTGACCAAAAGTCCCCAAGCTGAGAATTTAATAGAGAGTGATTCTGAACTGGTCATTCCCAGGAGCCAAGCATAATTCCTTCTGAGTAACAAACCTTCATCCTAAGCCTCAAAGATTTCTCACAAATAAAACTACAAAGCAAAGAAGCAATTCTCAATGAAAAACAACCCACCACATGTGAAAATAAAGCACTGAGTGAGAAGCAGCAGAAAACATAGTAGAAACAGACATAAATATTTCAGATGTTGAATTTGGCAGACCAAAACATAAAGAAAGAAAACACAAAGTCAGAAATATCTGAAGAGAACAGAAAACTATTTTTTAAATTACAAAGCAGATTTGGAAAAACACCAAATAAAACTTATGAGAAATATCACTGATTTTTTTAAAGTGGATGGATTTAACAACAAAATAGACAGTTGAAAAGTGAATTAGGGAACTAGAATCTAGAGCTGAAGAACTTACTGAAATAGATACAAAGTGACAGAAATGCAAAATGTGAAAAAAATGAATGAGAATACAGTTTGAAGGCTATGTTATGTTTAGAGTCCCAGAAAGAGAAAAGAGAGAAAATTGGGAAGATGTCATATTTAAGGAGATTTGGCTGAGAATTTGCCAACATTGTTAGAAGACACCAACTCACAGATTCATAAAGCCCAGTGAATCCAAGAAGGGGAAATAAAATTCTAGACACAACATAATTCAATTGATAAATGCCGTAAACAAAGAATATATATATATATACACACACACACATATGTATTTAGACAGAGTCTCGCTGTGTCACCCAGGCTGGAGTGCAGTGGCCCAATCTTGGCTCACTGCAAACTCCGCCTCCCGGGTTCACAACATTCTCCTGCCTCAGCCTCCCATGTAGCTGGGCCTACAGTTGCCCGCCACCACACCTGGCTAATTTTTTGTATTTTTAGTAGAGACGGGGTTTCACCGTATTAGCCAGGAAGGTCTCGATCTCCTGACCTCATGATCCACCCGCCTCGGACTCCCAAAGTGCTGGGATTACAGGTGTGAGCCACCACACCTGGCCAAAGAAAATATTTTTTAAAATATCTAGTGATAAAAGATGGGTTATCTTTCAAAAGGATGTATTTCCGAAGAATAACAATAGAAAATGGCCTCTGTCGGTGATGCACTCATCTCTAAGTTTTCTGGAAGGATGGGGAGGGCAGGAGCCTGGCTCGGGAGGACTCTCACTAGACCCAGCTGGGAGTGGGGCTCTGTGTCTAAGCCAAGGTGATGATCCACGCAGAAACCAGCCCTGCCTCTCCAGGCAACAGGTTGGGGTAAAAGCCACCGGTGGGTTTCCATCACAAGTAGAGCTGAGCTTCCTCCCTGGTGGCTGCTCAAAGAGTGACTTTGTTTTGTCCTGCAGGAGCTCAGGTGCCCCTGTGATCCAGGTCTTCTACCCTGAAACCCCACCCTCCATCAAGGTCCTGCCTGTAGAGTCTACCTTGCAAAGCCTCCTGCTCCTACCCATGCTACAGGCCAGGAACCAGAGCCCATCATCTCAGAGGCCCCTGGATGTCCTTCGAAGGAACCAGGACCCTCAGAGCCCAGCATCCATCTCTGTCATCATCTTCATCACACCCAAAGAAGAGCCAGCCTTGCAGGAGGGTTTACATCTCCAGGAAGATGGGCTGCCAGCAACTGCAGAGGATGCAGCCACCTGCTTAACTGTGCTGTCCAGCCAGCCAGCCAGCTGCAGGGCCTCTTGCTGCTTAAGAGCTGATGGGCCGGGCATGTTGGCTCACACCTGTGAGCACAGTACTGGGAAATGGGAGCATAGTACTGGGAAATGGGAGCACAGTACTGAGAAATGGGAGCACAGTACTGGGAAATGGTAGCACAGTACTAGGAAATGGGATCACAGTGCTGGGAAATGGGAGCACAGTAATGGGAAATGGGAGCACAGTGCTGGGAAATGGGAGCACAAAGTACTGGGAAATGGGAGCACAGAGTACTGGGGAATAGGAGCACAGTACTGGGAAATGGGAGCAAACAGCACTGGGAGATAGGAGTATACAGCACTGGGAAATGGGAGCACGGCACTGGGAAATGGGAGCACAGTACTGGGAAATGGGAGCACAGTGCTAGGAAATGAGAGCACAGTTTTGGGAAATGGGAGCACAGTACTGGGAAATATGAGCACAGTACTGGGAAATGGAAGCACATGGCACTGGGAAATAGGAGTATACAGCACTGGGAAATGGGAGCACAGTACTGGGAATTGGGAGCACAGCACTGGGAAATGGGAGCACAGTACTAGGAAATGGGAGCTCACAGCACTGGGAAATGGGAACATAGTACTGGGAAATGGGAGCACAGTACTGGGAAAGGGGAGCCCACAGTACTGGGAATTGGGAGCACAGTACTGGGAAATGGGAGTTCACAGCACTAGGAAATGGGAGCACAGTATTGGGAAATGGGAGCACAGTACTGGGAAAGGGGAGGGCACAGCACTGGGAAATGGGAGCATAGTACTGGGAAAGCGGAGCACAGTACTGGGAAAGGGGAGCCCATAGTACTGGGAAATGGGAGCACAGTACTGGAAAATGGGAGCTCACAGCACTGGGAAATGGGAGCATAGCATTGGGAAATGGGAGCACAGTACTGGGAATTGGGAGCACAGCGCTGAGAAATGGGAGCTCACAGTACTGGGAAATGGAGCACAGTATTTGGAAATGGGAGCACAGTACTGGGAAATGGGAGCTCACAGCACTGGGAAATGGGAGCATAGCATTGGGAAATGGGAGCACAGTACTGGGAATTGGGAGCACAGTACTGGGAAATGGGAGCTCACAGTACTGGGAAATGGGAGCTCACAGTACTGGGAAATGGGAGCACAGTATTCGGAAATGGGAGCACAGTACTGGGAAATGGGAGCTCACAGCACTGGGAAATGGAGCATAGCATTGGGAAATGGGAGCACAGTACTGGGAAATGGAAGCTCACAGTCCTGGGAAATGGGAGCATAGTGCTGGGAAATGGGAGCACAGTACTGAGAAATGGGAGCACAGTACTGGGAAATGGGAGCCCAGTACTGAGAAATGGGAGCACACAGTACTGTGAAATGGGAGCACAGTACTGGGAAATGGGAGCATAGTACTGAGAAACCCCAGACCTGGATTCTGAGTTTTTCAGTCTAGCCCAGACTTCTTATCTTAGTAGACAAAAAGAGTCAATACCAGAGAACCAGAGGCATCCTCTGTATTTTAATGAACTCTGCGTTTTAGTCTGTTTAGTAGTCATATTTTAAAAGATAATCAGTTTTCTAAATATATCTATAAGTTACTACATGCATTGGGCTGTTTTTGTGTTTCTGTAAAGAAATACCTGAGGCTGGGTAATTTATTTAAAAACATAGGTTAAACTGGCTCACAGTTGTGCAGGCTGTACAGGAAGCATGGTGCTGGCATCTGCTTGGCTTCCGGTGAGGCCTCAGGAAGCTTCCATCATGGCTGAAGGTGGGGTGAGAGCCAACACATCACGTAGTGAGAGCAGGAGCAAGAGAGAGTGGTGGGGTTGAGGGGACGCCAACATTTTTAAATGACCAGATCTCAAGTGAACTACCAGAGCAAGGACTCACTCATCACCAAGGGGATGGCACTAAACTATTTATGAGGAACCTGCTCCCATGATTCAAACACCTCCCACCAGGCCCCACCTCCAACACTGGGGATTACATCTCAACATGGGATTTGGAGAGGACAATCCTCCAAGCTATATCATTCCATCCCTGGTCCCTCAAATCTCATGTCCAGGTCACCTTGCAACATATAATCATCCCTTCTCAATAGTCCCTGAAAGTCTAAACTCATTCCAGGATCAACTCAATCAAAAATGCCAAGTCCAAAGTCTCATCTGGAGATGAATTCCTTTCACCTATGAGCCTGTGAGATCAGAAACAAGTGATTTACTTCCCAGATACAATGGATACAATGATGGTACAGGCACTGGGTAAACATACTTATTCCAAAAGGAAGAAATTGGCCAAAAGAAAGAGGCTACAGGCTCCAAGCAAGTCTGAAACTCAGCAGGGCAGACATTAAACCTTAAAGTTCCAAAATAATCTCCTCTGACTCCATGAGGCACACTGGTGTGAGGTGTGGGCTCCCAGGGCCTTGTACAACTCCACCCCTGTGGCTTTGCAGGTTGTGGCTCCTGTAGCCAATCTCATGGGTTAGAGTTGAGTACTTGCGGCTTTTCCAGGCTGAGGTTGCAAGCTGCCAGTAGATCAAACATTCTGGGGTCTGGAGGGCAGAAGCCCTCTGCTGACAGCTCCACTAGGCAGTGCCCTTGTCGGGAGTCTGTGTGGGGCTCCAACCCTACATCTCCTCCCAACATTGCCCTCATAGAGTATCTCTGTGAGGGCTCTGCTGCTGCAGCAGGCTTCTGCCTGGGCACCCAGGTTTTCCCATACATCCTCTGTAATCTAGGGGGAAGCTGCCAATGCCCCTTCACTCTTGTGTTCTGTGTTCCTGCAGATTTCACACCACTTGGAAGCCAGCAAGGCTTGCCCTCTAGAGCAGCAGTCCACACTGTACCTGGAGACTGTTGAACTACCACTGTAGCTGAAGAAGTTGGGGTACAGGGACCAGTGTCCTGAGGCTGCACAGGGCATCAGGGCCCTAGTCCTGGCCCATTAAGCCATTCTTTTCTCCTAGGCCTCTGGGCCTGTGATGGGAGGGGCTGCTGCGAAGATCTTTGAAATGTCTTCAAGGTCTTTTTCCCATTGTCTTGGATATTAGCACTTGGCTCCCTTTTAGCCATGCAAATCTCTCTAGTAAGTGGTTGCTCTGCAGCCTGTTTGGATTCCTCTCCTGAAAACATTTTTTTCTTTGTCTACCATATGGCTAAGCTGCAAATTTTCCAAACTTTTACACCCTGCTTTCCTTTTAGGTATAAATTCCAACTTTAAGTCATTCATTTGCTCCCCTATCTGATCATAGGTTGTTAGAAGCAGCCATGTCACCTCTTGAATGTTTAGCTGCTTAGAAATATCTTCTGCCAGATGTGCTAGGTTACCATTCTTAAGTTCAAACTTCCACAGATCACTAGGACACAAATACAATGTAGCCAAGCTCTTTGCTAAGGCACACAAGGGTGACCTTTGCTCCAGTTCCCAATAACTTCCTCGTTTCCATCTGAGACTTTCATGCGCGTCCGTGTGAAGAGACCACCAAACAGGCTTTGTGTGAGGAATAAAGCTCTTTATTTCACCTGGGTGCAGGTGGGCTGAGTCCAAAAAGAGTCAGCAAAGGGTGGTGGATTGTCATTAGTTCTTATAGGTTTTGGGATAGGCAGTGAAGTTAAGAGCAATGTTTTGTGGGCAGGGGTGGCTCTCACAAAGTACATTCTCAAGGGTGGGGAGAATTACAAAGAACCTTCTCAAGGGTGGGGGAGATTACAAAGTACATTGATCAGTTAGGGTGGGGCAGGAACAAATCACAACGGTGGAATGTCATCAGTTAAGGCTATTTTTACTTCTTTTGTGGATCTTCAATTACTTCAGGCCATCTGGATGTATATGTGCAAGTCACAGGGGATGCGATGGCTTGGCTTGGGCTCAGAGGCCTGACATTCCTGCCTTCTTATATTAATAAGAAAAATAAAACAAAATAGTGTTGAAGTCTTGGGGCGGCGAAAATTTTTGGGGGGTGGTATGGAGAGAGAATGGGCGATGTTTCTCAGGGCTGCTTCAAGCAGGGGTAGGGGCAGCGTGGGAACCTAGAATGGGAGAGATTAAGCTGAAGGGAGATCTTGTGGTAAGGGGAGATATTGTGGGGATGTTAGAAGAAACATTTGTCATATAGAATGATTGGTGATGGCCTGGATACAGTTTTGGATGAATTGAGAAACTAAATGGAATAAGAGAAGGAGAAAAACAGGTATAAAAGGTCTAAGAATTGGGACGACTCAGGATATCTGATTAGAGAGTGCCTAAGGAGATTCAGCATAGTCCTGCCAGCAAAGATTATTTATTTACTTCAAGAGTTAAGAGTGGCAGTTTGGGGATAGCACAAGGAGATATCAGCTGTGATGGCTTGGAGAAACAGTGTAAACTGGCAGTGTAAACAAGAGCAGGGCATGTATGAGTACTTGAGAACAGAGAATAGGAGTATGACTAGACAGAAAATAGTAGGGATGACAAGTTTTTTTGGGGCACAGTCTAAGTTGGTCTGGTGTCTGGAATGAGACTGGGGCCTAATAAAAAGGAGCTCGAATGGGCTGTACCTTGTAGCAGTCCGAGGACAGGCCTGAATTCTGAGAAGGGAAAGTGGTAAAAATATTGTCCAGTCCTTTTTAAGTTGGTGGCTGAGCTTGGTGAGGTGTGTTTTTAAAAGACCTTTAGTCCGTTCTACTTTTCCTGAAGGCGGAGGACCGTAAGGGATATAAAGGTTTCACTGAATACTAAGAGCCTGAAAAACTGCTTGGCTGATTTGACTAATGAAGGCTGGTTTGTTATCAGACTGTATAGAGGTGGGAAGGCTAAACTGAGGAATTATGTCTGACAGAAGGGAAGAAATGACTGTGGTGGCCTTCTCAGACCCTGTAGGAAAGGCCTTATTCAGTGAAAGTGTCTACCTAGAGTAAGAGGTATTTTAGTTTCCTGACTCAGGGCATATTGAGTAAAGCTAATTTGCCAGTCCTGGGTGGTGGCAAATCCTCCAGCTTGATGTGTAGGGAAGGGAGGGGGCCTGAATAATCCCTGAGGAGTAGTAGAATAGCAGATAGAATAGCAGATGGAACACTGAGAAGTTATTTCCTTGAGGATAGATTCCACGATGGAAAGGAAATGAGAGGTTCTGAGAGGCGGGCTAGTGGCTTGTACTATAGCGTAGCCTGCCTTTGCTGGTGTGTGGCGATTAGGCCTGGTGGAACCACCATCAATAAATCAAGCGTGATCAGGGTGAGGAACAGGGAAGAAGGAAATATGGGGAAATGGGGTGAATATCAGGTGGATCAGAGAGATACAGTCATGGGGGTCAGGTGTGGTATCAGGAATAATGTGGGAGGCTGGATTGAAGTCCGGCCCAGGAACAATGCTAATTGTGGGACTTAAAGAGTGAGTACAGCTGAAGGAGCCGGGGAGCAGAAAGTATATGCATCAGGTATGAGGAAGAAAATAGATTTTGGAAGTTATGAGAAATGTAGAGAGTGAGTTGAGCATAGTTTGTGATTTTTGAGGGCCTCTAACAGTATTAAAGCAGCAGTAGCCACTGCACGCAGACCTGAGGGCTAGGCTAAAACAGTAAGTTCAAGTTGTTTGGACAGAAAGGCTACACGGTGTGGTCCTGGCTCTTGTGTAAGAATTCTGACCGCACTAACCACGCCTAGGAAGGAAAGGAGTTGTTCTTTTGTAAGAGATTGAGGTTTGGGAGATTAATCCGACACGATAAGCAGAGAGAGCACATGTGTTTTTATGAGAATTATGCTGAGATAGGTAACAGATGAGGTTGAAATTTGGGCTTGACTGAAGTAATGGGGACTGTCTCTGAAGCCTTGCGGCAGTACAGCCCAGGTAATTTGCTGAGTCTAATGGGTGTCAGGGTCAGTCTAAGTGAAGGCAAAGAGAGGCTGGGATGAAGGGTGCAAAGGAACAGTAAAGAAAGCATGTTTGAGATCCAGAACAGAATAATGGGTAGTAGAGGGAGGTATTGAGGATAGGAGAGTATATGGGTTTGGCACCACGGGGTGGATAGGAAAACAATTTGGTTGATAAGGTGCAGATTCTGAACTAACTTGTAAGCCTTGTCTGGTTTTAGGACAGGTAAAATGGGGGAATGGTAAGGAGAGTTTATAGGTTTTAGAAGCCCATGCTGTAGCAGGCGAGTGATAACAGGCTTTAATCCTTTTAAAGCGTGCTGTGGGATGGGATATTGGCGTTGAGTGGGGTAAGGGTGATTAGGTTTTAATGGGATGGTAATGGGCATGTGATCAGTTGCCAGGGAAGGAGTAGAGATGTCCCATACTTGTGGGTTAAGGTGGGGGGATACGAGAGGAAGACGCGAAGGAGGCTTTGGATTGGGAAGAAGGGTGGCAATGAGATGTGGCTGTAGTCCAGGAATAGTCAGGGAAGCAGATAATTTAGTTAAAGTGTCTCAGCCTAATAAGGGAACTGGGCAGGTGGGGATAACTAAAAAAGAGTGCATAAAACAGTGTTGTCTAAGTTGGCACCAGAGTTGGGGAGTTTTAAGAGGTTTAGAAGCCTGGCCATCAATACCCATAACAGTTATGGAGGCAAGGGAAACAGGCCCTTGAAAAGAAGGTAATATAGAGTGGGTAGCCTCCGTATTGATTAAGAAGGGGACAGACTTACCTTCCACTGTGAGAGTTACCTGAAGCTCGGCATCCGTGATGGTCTACGGCGCTTCCGAGGCGATTGGGCAGCGTCAGTCTTCAGCCACTAAGCTAAGAAGATCTGGGAAGGAATCAGAGAGCCTTGGGCCAGAGTTCCAGGGGCTCTGGAAGTGGCTACCAGGTGAGTTGAACAGTCCGATTTTCAGTGGGGTCCCGCACAGACGGGACACAGCTTAGGAGGAATCCTGGGCTGTCGGCATTCCTTGGCTTGGTGGCCAGATTTTTGGCACTTGTAGCAAGCTCCTGGGGAGGAGGTTCTGGAGGAACGCCTGGCAGCTGCGGTTCAGGTGTTTGGAAGTTCTTGTGTGCTGGAGATGTGGCTGGGGTTTGTCTCACAGTGGAGACAAGGAATTGCAACTTTTTTCTATTATTGTACATCTTGAAGGCGAGGTTAATTAAATCCTGTTGTGGGGTTTGAGGGCTGGAATTTAATTTTTGGAGTTTTATTTAATGTTGGGAGCAGATTGGGTAATAAAATGTATTTTGAGAATAAGACAGCCTTTTGACCTTTTAGGGTCTAGGGCTGTAAAGTGTCTCAGGGTTGCTGCCGAACGAGCCATGAACTGGGCTGGGTTTTTATATTTGATGAAAAAGAGCCTAAACGCTATCTGATTTGGGATAAAGAAAAAGGAGCATTAACCTTGACTATGCCTTTAGCTCCAGCCACCTTTTTAAGAGTAAATTGCTGGGCAGGTGGGGAAGAGCTAGTCACGGAACTAAACTGTAAGCCGGACCAGGTGTGAGGAGGGGAGGTGATAGAAGGATTATAGGGTGGAGGAGTGGAGGCTGAGGAAGAATTGGGACTTAGCTCAGCCTGCTGATGAGCAGCCTGGGGAGGAGGGGAAAGGTCAGATGGGTCTGTAGAAAAGGAAGACTGGAAAGACTCAGCGACACTTGGGGTTGAGACTGAGGGGACAGGCGGGAGGGAAAGAAGGAGGATCTGGGAGGAATCGCATTGGGAACAGAGGCTAGGGAGGGAATGAAGTGTGAAAAATGCCTGGACATAAGGCACCTCAGACCATTTGCCCATTTTTTGACAAAAATTATTTAGGTCTTGTAGGATGGAGAAATTGAAAGTGCTGTTTTCTGGCCATTTAGAGCCATTGTCAAGTTTGTATTGGGGCCAAGCAGTGTTGCAGAAGAAAATAAGGCATTTAGGTTTTAGGTCAGGTGTGAGTTGAAGAGGTTTTAAGTTCTTGAGGACACAGGCTAAGGGAGAAGAAGGAGGAATGGAGGGTGGAAGGTTGCCCATAGTGAAGGAGGCAAACCCAGAGAAAAGAGAGTGTAGAGACATGGAGGGAAGGGGTTTGGGGTTCTTACCCTCCAGAAAAGTGGGAAGGGGGGTTGGGGCACAGAAATAAGGGATTGGGGCACAGAGATAAGAGGTCGGGGTGTGGAAATAAGGGATTGGGGGTTCTTGCCCCCTAGAAAAGCGGGACTTGCCGCTAAGCGTGAAGGAGAAGGGGTTGAGGGGTACTTGCCCCTCCCCCAGAAAAGCGGGACTTGCCGCTGAGGGTGAAGGAGAAGGGGTTGAGGGGTACTTGCCCCTCTCCCAGAAAAGCAGAGAAGGGATAGAGACAAGGAGAGAAGGGGTTGGGGTACTTGCCCTTTCCCCAGAAAAGCAGAGAAGGGGTAGAGACAAGGAGAGAAGGGGTTGGGGTACTTGCCCTTTCCCCAGAAAAGCAGAGAAGGGGTAGAGACAAGGAGAGAAGGGGTTGGGGTACTTGCCCCTCCCCCAGAAAAGCGGGACTTGCCGCTGAGGGTGAAGGAGAAGGGGTTGAGGGGTACTTGCCCCTCTCCCAGAAAAGCAGAGAAGGGATAGAGACAAGGAGAGAAGGGGTTGGGGTACTTGCCCTTTCCCCAGAAAAGCAGAGAAGGGATAGAGACAAGGAGAGAAGGGGTTGCGGTACTTGCCCTTTCCCCAGAAAAGCGGGACTTGCTGCTAAGGGTGAAGGACCAAGGCAGGCGTCCCTGCGTGGTCTGACACCCTTGAAACGTGGGTGAATAATCAGAGAGGCGTCCCTGCAGTGATTAAACACCAAGGGAAGGCTGCCTTCCCAGTCTGTGACCGGCACCACAGTTTTGGGTCCACGTATAAAACGTGTCTCCTTTGTCTCTACCAGAAAATGAAAGGAATTAAAATTAAGAGAAGGGAGAGATTGAAGTGTGGCGCCAAGATTGAAAGGAGAAAGAGGTTGAGGGATAGTGAGGGAAGTTGGAGAAGAGAGTAAAAGGAGGCCGCTTACCGGATTTGAAATTGGTGAGATGTTTCTTGGGCTGGTTGGTCTGAGGACCTGAGGTCATAGGTGGATCTTTCTCATGGAGCAAAGAGCAGGAGGACAGGGGATTGATCTGCCAAGGGAGGTCCCCTGATCCGAGTCACGACACCAAATTTCATGCGCGTCCGTGTGAAGAGACCACCAAACAGGCTTTGTGTGAGGAATAAAGCTGTGTATTTCACCTGGGTGCAGGTGGGCTGAGTCCAAAAAGAGAGTCAGCAAAGGGTGGTGGATTGTCATTAGTTCTTATAGGTTTTGGGATAGGCAGTGAAGTTAAGAGCAATGTTTTGTGGGCAGGGGTGGCTCTCACAAAGTACATTCTCAAGGGTGGGGAGAATTACAAAGAACCTTCTTAAGGGTGGGGGAGATTACAAAGTACATTGATCAGTTAGGGTGGGGCAGGAACAAATCACAATGGTGGAATGTCATCAGTTAAGGCTATTTTTACTTCTTTTGTGGATCTTCAGTTACTTCAGGCCATCTGGATGTATACGTGCAAGTCACAGGGGATGTGATGGCTTGGCTTGGGCTCAGAGGCCTGACAGAGACCTTGTCAGCCTGGCCTTCATTATGCATATTTCTATCTGTATTTTGGTTCCAACCACTTAATAAGTCACTAAGTTCCAAACTTTTCCCATCTTTCTATCTTCATCTGAGCCCTCCAAAGTCTTCCAACCTCTGCTCACTACCCAGTTCCAAAGCTGCTACCACATTTTCAGGTATCTTTATAGCAATGTCCTGCTCCTCAGTGCCAGTTTTCTGAATGGACCCATTTTTGCATTGCTATAAAGAAATACCTGAACCTGGGTAATTGCTGACAAAAGACCTGAATCCACAGGTATATGATGAGTAATTCATGACAAGCTGCACGAATAAAAATAAGAAATCCAGGCCTAGACACATTGTAGGGTAATGGGGAACACAAAAGAAAATCTAACTTTAAAAACAACCAGAAAGAAACAACAAATCATCCATAGAAGAAAAGCAGTTAGACAGCAGATGTATTAATTGTAACAACACTAGATAGACAAATAATATTCACAAAGTGTGACAAAAAAAAAAAAAAAAAAAAAAAAAAAAAACACTTTTGACCTGGAATTATGTACCAGCAACACTATCTTTAGGAAAAAGAGCAAATTAATCACATTTCCAGATAAATCAAAGCCAAGTTTGCCACCAACAATCCTACACTAATGGGACTTCAAAAAAGATGTATTTATTGAGGGAAAATGTGTAAAGCAAACACAGATAGAGCCCACAGGGAATAATTTTTAAAAATTCACTATCACTTGTGGAAGTTTTCAGTGCAACTCTCAATTACAGTTAGGTCAATCGTATTTTTAAAATAATAAAAACATAGATTTGGACAACACCATTAACAGGCTTGAATTATGGGATATCTGTGGAACTGCAAGCTCATTTATTAATAGAAAATGTGCATTCTCCTTAGGCACACAAGGAATATTGCCCAAAACACTGCTTACTAGCCTCAACAAGTCTTAAATAACTTCTACAGGATGGACCAGTGTTCCCCTTTACATACTTTGTCTGACAATTTTTCCTGTCTGCTTTTAAAATTTCTACTTATCACTGGGATTGAGCGATTTGATTATAATGAGACATGATGTAATTTTCTTCAATGGTACTTGTGCTTGAGGTACATTGAACTTCTTGCATCTGTAGGTTAATAGTTTACATCGAATTGGGGAAAAAAAGGTTGTCATTATTTTTCCAAACATCTTTTTTAATGCACTACCCTCATTCCTCATGTTTTCTTCTCTCCTTTGGGGACTTCAATTAAACATATATTAAGCCACTTGAAGTTGTCCCACAGATCACAGATAATTTGGCTTAAATTTTTTTAAATCCTCTTTGCTTTTGGTTTCATTTTGGATAGTTTATATTGCCATGGTTTCACAATGAATAATCTTTTCTTCTTTAATATCTAATCTGCCATTAATCCCATGCAGTGCAGTTCTCATTTTATACGTTCTAGCTTTCACCTCTAGAACAGTGATCCAGAGTGTTGTTATATCTTCCGTGCCTCAAATTAGCTTTTACAATATGTGGAATACAGTTTTGATATTGTTTAATGCCACTGTGCCCGTTCTGCATCAGTTTTAATAGACTAATTTGTCTCCTTATGGCTATTTTCCCACTTGTTTGTGTGCCTAATATTTCTGATTGGATTTCAAAAATTGTTGCCTTCTCTGGTGTTGGATATTTCTGTAGTCCTATAAATATTCCTGAGGATTTCATAGAACTGACAAAAGACATGAATCCACAGGTATATGAAGAGTTGATTTATGACGAGCTGCATAACTAAAAAGAAGAAATCCACACCTAGGTAAACCTTATTCAGGGATGCAGGTAAGATAAAATCTTATTCTGAGATGCAATTATTTAAGAACAGAGTTTTAAAATATTTATAGATGTAAGGGGTAGAAGTGCAGATTTCTTCCATGCATATATTGCATAGTGGTGACATCTGGGCTTTTAGTGTACCCATCGCCTGAATAGTGAACATTGTACTGAAGAAGTAATTTTTCAACTCTCACCCCCTTCCACCCTCCCACCTTTTGGAGTGTCCAGTGTCATCTTATTCCACTCCATACGTCCATGTGTATACATTGTTTAGCTCCCACTTATACTTGAGAACATGTGGTATTTGACTTTTTGTTTCTGAGTTATTTCACTCAGGATAATGGCCTCTATCCATGTTGCTCAAAAGATATGATTTCATTCTTTGTTAACGGACGGGTAGTATTACCTTGTGTATATATGCTACATTTTCTTTAACCAGGCCTCCACTGATGGATGCTTAGGTTCATCCATTTTCTTTTCTGTTGTGAATAGTATTGTGATAAACATAAAGTGCAGGTGGTTTTTGATATAATTAATTCTTTCCCTTTGGGTATATACCGAGTAGTGGGGTTGCTGAACCAAATAGTTGTTCTATTTTTAGTTCTTTGAGAAATCTCCATACTGTTTTCCAGAAAGATTACACTGATTTACATTCCCCCCAACAGTACTTCAGCATTCCCCTTTCTCCACATCTTCACTAAAATCTCTTACTTTTAGACTTTAATAATAGCCATTCTGACTTGTCTAAGATGGTATTGCATTCAGATTTTAATTTGCCTTTCTCTGATAATTGGTGATGTTGAGCATTTTTTTCATGTTTTTTGACCACTTTTGTGTCTTCTTTGTAAAAATGGCTGTTCATATCCTTTGCCCACTTTTTAATGGGCTTATTTGGTTTGAGTTCCTTGTAGATTGTGGATATTAGCCCTTTGTCAGATGCATAGTTTGCAAATATTTTCCCATTCTGCAGGTTGTCTATTTACCCTGTTGATAGTTTCTTTTGCTGTGCAGAAGGTTTCTAGTTTAAGTTCCATTTGTCTATTTTTGTTTTTGTTGCAATTGCTCTTGAGGACTTGTTCATAAATTCTTTGCCTAGGCCAATGTCCAGAAGAATTTTTCCTAAGTTTTCTTCTAGGATTTTTATAGTGTTTGGTCCTATGTTTAGGTCTTCAATCCCTCTTGAGTTAACTTTTGTATATGGTGAGAGGTATTTGTCCAGTTTCATTCTGCTGCATATGCCAATCCACTTTTCCCAGCACCATTTATTGAAAAGGGTGTCATTTCCTCAGTGTCATTTCCTGATTTTTATTGACTTTGTGTCTTTATTTCTGAGTCCTCTATTCTGTTCCATTAATCTAGATGTCTATTTTTGTACTACTACCATGCTGTTTTGGTTACCATACCCTTGTAGTATAATTTGAAGTCAGGTAATGTGATGCCTGAAACTTTGTTCTTCTAGCTTTGGATTGCTTTGGCTAGTTGGGCTCTTTTTGGGTTCCATGTGAATTTTAGGATTTTTTTTCTAATTTGATAGAGATTGTGTTGGGTCTGTAGATTGCTTTGAACAGTATGATAATTTTTAACAATATTGATTCTTCCAATCCATGAGCATGGGATGCTTTTCTGTTTGTGTCATGTATGATTTCTTTCATCAGTGTGTTGTAGTTCTCCTTATAAAGATCTTTCACTTCCTTGGTTAAATATATATCTAGGTAATTTTTTGTAGCTACAATAAATGAGATTGCCTTCCTGATTTGGTTCTTGGCCAGATTGTTATTGGTGTATAAGAATGCTATTGATTTCTGTACATTAATTTTGTGTCCTTAAATGCTACTGAATTTATTTATCAAATCTAAGAGTTTTTTGGTGGAGTCGTAATACGGTTTGGCTGTGTCCGCACCCAAATCTCATCTTGAATTGTAGCTCCCATAATTCCCGTGTGTTGTGGGAGGGACCAGCTAGGAGACAATTGAATCATGGGGGCAGTTTTCACCATCCTGTTCTCATGGGAGTGAATAAGTCTCATGAGACCTGATGGTTTTATAAGGGGAAACCCCTTTCACTTGGCTTTCACCCTCTCTCTTGCCTGCTGCCGTGTATGATCTGCCTTTTGCCGTCCACCATGACTGGGAGGCCTCCCCAGCCGTGTGGAACTGTAAGTCCATGAAACCTCATTTTGTTTATAAATTACCCAGTCTCAGGCATGTCTTTACCAGCAGTGATACAAGTCTTCAGGGTTTTCTATGTAGAATATAATTTCACCAACAGAAAGGGATAGTTTGGGCTCCTTCTTCTCCAATGTGCATTCCCTTTATTTCTTTCTCTTGCCTGATTGCTCTGGCCAGGACTTTCAGTACTGTGTTGAATAAGAGTGGTGAAAGTGGGCATCCATGTCTTATACCAGTTCTTAGAAGGAATACTTTCAACTTTTCCCCCTTAATTCTGATGTTGGCTGTGGATCTGTCATATGAGGCTTTTATTATGTTGATGCATGTTCCTTCTATGCCTCATTTGTTGAGAATTTTTATCATGAAGAGAGGCTGAATTTAATCAAATGCTTTTTCTGCATCTATTTAATGATCATATGGTTTTTATCCTTAATTCTGTTCATGTGATACGTCACATTTATTGATTTGCGTCCCTGGGATAAATCCCACCTGATCAGGGTGTATTATCCTTTTGATGTGCTGTTGGGTTCTATTTTCTGGTATTTCGTTGAGGATTTTTGCATCTATATTCACAGGGATATTGATCTGGAGTTTTCTTTTTTTGTTGCGCCTTTGTCTGGTTTTGGTCCGAGGGTGATACTGGCCTCATAGAATGAGTTAGAGAGATATCCCCCCTCTTCGATTTCTTGGAATAGTTTCAGAAGGATTGGTATTAGTTCTTCATATGTTTGGTAGAATCTGGCTGTGAATCCATCTAGTCCTGGGCTGAGTGCAGGGCATCCACACAACAAGTGAAGCCACTTCTGGCAGTGGGGAAAACAGTTACAGGGACAGAAGCTGACCAGGCTCCTTGTGGTCTGCTTGGAGCCATCTCGGCTTTACAGAGCTCATTGCCCACTGCCTCTGAAAGCCACACCCAGGGCTGCCCTTGCCAGAGGGGTGTGTCCTCTCCACTGCAGACACAAGTTCCTCCCTTCTCTGCGGCCCTCCGCTCTGCAACGCCATCCTCTCTCTGGTCCTCCGTGTCTCTGCCAGGCATGGGCTCCTGTCCACATCTTTTCTTCCCAGCACGCTGTCCTGTTGCCGTGTCCCCGCATCTTTCTTCCCTAACATCGGCTGTGGAACTGAGGTAGCGATGGCTGGCGTATTAAGAATGTGCTCCAAGCAGCTCAGCCTAGGGCTGAACACCCCCCATTTGGCTTCCCCTCCTCATCAGCCCCTGACCTGTGGCAACAGTGAAGCCGCAAGGCTCACCTGCCGTTCTCTGGGTCACAGGTGTGTGATAGGGGGGCCAGAGTCGCTCCCTGGCAGCAAGACCCGGAACCTGCACTTTAATTCCATGTTCCACAGCAATTCCACCCCCAGAATAACCAGATGCAATCACAGCCCAAACACACACAGGCACGTGCACACACACAGGTGCAAACACACACACATGCACACAAAGACACACAGGCCCATGCACACACAGGCACACGCAGGCACACAGACACATGCACACACATGCAAACACACAGACACAGGCACGTGGACATACAGGTGCAAACACACATGCACACACAGAGACACAGGCACACGCAGACACACTCATACACACAGAGACACACAAATAGACACACACACAGCTGAACATACACAGCTGAACACATACCAACATACATACACCGGCATGCATACTCACACATACAGGTGCACATTCACACATAGGAATGCACAAACACACGCATGCATGTGCACACTCTCACACTCTCACACACAGGTGCACACACACATCCCGGCAGACATTTTCCCTAAGCTGCCAAGGACCCATGGGAGCTGCTTCAACACCCCCATGAGGCTTCCCAGGCCCCACACCCAGGCAGGCACGTCGTTACTTCACTGACCACCCCCTCTGACCTCATGCACCTAGGCTGTAGCTTGTCCCCAGCCCAGGGCCCACACAGGAGCTGGTTAGGGTTCTCAAGGGGCCCTGACTGCTCACCTGCTGTGGGACACACCCCTACGGGGCCCAAAGAAGCTGCTCAGCCTATAGGCCGTCAAAGGACATTCAGCTGCCAGGGGTGGGTGGACACCTGACAGGTCCAGCTGCAGGACACCTCAGTGCTGGGACCCGGCATCCTCACACTTGGCCTCGGAGGCCTTTTCATGTCTGCTGCTGTCCGCGTGAGTCCATTGCTCCCCCCGCTCCCCGTGCCTCTGTCTTCAGCATGGGGCCTCCCAATGGACCTGGGCTCCTGTCCTGGTCTCCCACTGCAGACCCAGATGGCCCAGCATCTCCCACCATCCCTTCCACCCAGGGCTTCCAGTGCTACCCACCATGCTGTGTCTGCTCTTCCCAACCTCCACTGTCAGCCTGAACCTCTACCCACAAAACCCAACCCCAAACCCAGGCAGGGGTGGGCGCGGGTGCCAGGCAGCAGGGGCTTGTCCCGGAGAGCTGTCCTCCTCCTATGTGACAGCTGCCTGGCCTGGTGCTCCCAACTGCGGACGCAGAACCTGTGCAGGAAGCCGTGGAAACAGCTACAAGCAGGCAGGTGTCCCGGGGAACGCTCCTGGTCACTGACACGGTAACACAGGTGGAGCTGGGAAAAGCATTGGTGCTGGGGTGGTAGTGACCCCCACCCAAGAAAGTCACATTGACCCGGAACCTCAGAGTAAGACCTTACGTTAAAATAGGATCTTTGTAGATGTAATTCGATTAAAGATCTTGAGATTATCCCAGCTTCTCCTGGCGGCCCTTAAATCCAGTGACAGGTGTCCCGATAAGCAAAGGAAGAGACAGACACACTAACTCGGGGGAGGAGGCCCCGTGAGGACAGGGGCAGAGGTGGAGCCATGCGGCCACCACCCAGGACCGCCTGGAGCCACAGAAGCTGGAAGAGGTGGGAACCTCCGGAGCGCACAGGCCTTGATCTCGGACTTCTGGCCTCCTAAGCCGTAAGAGGAAAGCCCTGTTGTTCAACCCATTTGTAGTGATTTTCTAAGGATCCCCAGGAAACATCTTATAACGGGACACTTGGCGTGGATCACATCATTGGCTGTGAGTCGGTTTTCAGTAATTGCAGGGTTAATGGAGGCTGTCCAGGTCTGGCAGTGGAGCAAGAGCTGGGGGCCAGGAAGGGCCACCGGACGGGCAGCCATGGCCAGGTGAAGAGCCTGGAGTCCCGAATCAGGATCCACCTCTCCCTGCTGAGCAAGATCCTGTGCCCCTGTTTCTGGTGATTTTGTAAGTGCTGACTGAACCGACTGTCGCTGGGAAATAACACACCCGTGACCCCAAGCCAAAGTTTCACCCACAGACAAGGAAACAGACTCCATGAACACGCCGACTCCCGACGGTAGAACCGGGGTGCCCACCCCAGCCCCGGTCACTGTGTGTCCTGCGCAGGGGCCAGGGCAGCCCAAGGCTCAGCTCTGTCCTCCTGCCCAGACCTCGCTCAGCCCCCTGGACGCCGCCCCGCGCCCGCTGCCTCTCCTCTCCTCTCCTCCCAAAGGCTCCAGGACCATGTCTGCCTCTGAAGCCTGACGTTACCTCCCACTGCGATTTTATTGTAAACTCACTGCATTTATGTCAAGAGAGTTTGTACAGGTTTTGGAAAATGCACTGAAGAGTCCCCTTGTGCCTATTAGGACGGTAAGAACACACCAAGGAGAGATTATTTCATTATTTCTTTGATGCTGTTAGTAGGATCTACCCGAGGGGGAGGCACTCCGGGCTCCGCGGGACGAGAAGGCAGCCGAGCCCGCACCCGAGCAGGAGGGAAGCAGGAGCCGCAGCGTGGCCGCCGCACAGCTTCGGGGGTCCCCCGACTTCCCAGCTGCGAGTGTGGAATTTCTCAGGAGAACTAGACAGAAGCCCATCTCTGGGCAGCACTGAGTGGAAGGAGAAACCACAGGAGAGGAGAGGAAGTGTGGGGCGCGGGACCACCGTGGGGTGGGTGGGGGCCAAGCCGCCGGGCTGTGAGGCCTCAGCACCCCCTGCCCAGCACCCAGCACCCCAACTTCCCCTTCTGCCTTTGCGGATTCCAGGGCCTGCTGGACACCTGGTGCAGGGACAGAGCCGGGGCTGGGGGAGGAGCTCAGCTGCACTAGAGTCCAGCTGGAAGAGTCCAGCTGAAAGTCACCAGAGGCACCCCTTCCTCCTGGGGGGCTGCGCCTCGGCCTCCTCCAGGGCAGGTGCCCCTATGCCCCTCAAGTCCCAGCACCCAGCACCACAGAACCGCCCTGTCATCTCGGCCCCGGAACCTTGTGGGGAGCCAACTCCTGCGGAGGGCCGGGCAGCCCCGGGCGGAATGAGCCCCCTCCGCAAAGCCTGTCTGGGGAGCGGGGGAGGGGCGGCAGGTGCCCGGAGAAAGGCGAGATTGGAAGAGCGGCCGGGATGGTGGCGCTGCATACGGGCGACCTGCAGGGAGAACGGAAGCTGAGGCCGGGGTCAGGGGTGCGCGCTCCGCTCCTCCACTCCTGCGTGAAGGGCGGCCCACTCCCGAGCAGCTGCGCTGGGCGCCCGGCACGGACCCGTCTCCCTGCTCAGGTCGATCCCCGGCCGCGCTGCCCCCACCTGGAAGCCCAGTCCCCTGGGTGCGCCCCGCCTTGGGGTCCGAGCACCCTCACAGCCCGGCCCTGCCGCTTCCCTGCACCGTCTGCGGCTCCTTAAAGAACTGGGCGCGGTCGGGGCTCGCCCCGCACCGTCCTCGAGGCCCCGCCGCCAACCCACCCCACCCCAGGAGGCCGCGGCCGCGCTCATCCATCCCCCGCCGCACCGTCAACGCGCGTCCTGCGGGGCGGAGAGATCGGGGTCCGGTCGTCCCCGGGGGGCCCCAGAGCCAGGTGAGGGGCCCCGCCGCCCCCTGCCCAGCGGTTCCCACGACCCGCGGGTCGGCCGCGCCCTGCGCTGAGCGGATACCCGGCGGTCCGCGGGGCCTGAGCAGAGTCGGCCTTGTAAGGCAGAGGTCTCGGTGCGCCCGCGCGTCCCCGGGCCGGGTGGGGCGGCGGGGGCGGGGCTGCCAATGAGCGCGCGGGGCGGGACGCTGGGCGGGCGCCGGACGCTGGGGGCCGGGGGCGGGCCCGGGACCGGGCTGGGCGGGGCTGGGCGGTGCTGGGCGGGACGGGCGGGCGCGGGGCGGCGGCTGGAGAGCTCCGCTGAGCACCGGGTCGCGCGCGGCCGAGTCGCGGAGGCGCCTCCGCTGCAGTCGCTGCGTCTCCAAGGTAAGCGGGCGCGGGGCTCGGTCCCGCGGGCGCGGCGCGGGGGGCACCCGGGGGCGGAGACTGGGCCCGTCAGCCCCAGCAGCCACCTGCGCCGCAGCCCCTGCCCCCCGCGCTCCCCCGAGCCCCCTTCCCGGACCGCCCCGCGCGTCCCTGAGCCCCCGGATTGGGATGCCCGGAGTTCGGCGCTGCGGGCTCGGTGCGAGGACGCGACGGGGAGGCTTTGCAAAGGCCGCGAGCGGGGGTCACCGTCGGCCGCGCCAGGGACAGGTCTGTCACCGTCTCCGGGCCCTGTGCCTGGCGCTTTGGCCTTTCTTCGCGGCCACGGACGCCCCTGCAGCCCTTCCCTCCAGACCCTCCCCAGCTCGGGACTCGAACCGTTTCCCTATTCCCAGGCCTAGGGGGCCGCCGGTGTGAGGCGTGGGAAATTAGGGCGTGGAGGGCTGGAATGAAGTCACTGCCCGCAGCAGGTTTTGAGAGATCCCTGGCCACAGAAACGGCCCATCTCAGGGTCCTGACACCACCGCGTCCTGGCAGGTGGGGCTGTCAGACCGCCCCCCGCAGAGCCTCCAGCTGCCCCGGGTCTTGGCTACTGTCCGCGGGCCTGTGGCGATGGAGAGGCGCTGCCGGGACACCTTCCCGCACCCCTGGGAGCAGCGCCCGAAGATCTGAGGAGCCCTTTATTCTGCGGTTTCGGTTACGTAAACGGAGCCGAGGGAGGTGAGAAGCCTGTCCCTCCCGGGCAGTGGCGGGGCTGCTGTTTTGATAAGGGTTTTGGGGGGGCTGTTGTCTTGATGGGGGTTTGGGGGGCTGCTGTTTTGATAGGGGTTGGGAGGCTGCTATTTTGATACGGGGTTGGGGGCTGCTGTTTTGATAGGGGTTTGGGGGGCTGCTGTTTTGATAGGGGGTTGGAGGGCTGCTGTTTTGATAGGGTTGGGGGACTGCTGTTTTGATAGGGGGTTGGGAGCTGCAGTTTTGATAGGGGTTTGGGGGCTGCTGTTTTGATAGGGGGTTGGGAGGCTGCTGTTTTGATAGGTGGTTGGGAGGCTACTGTTTTGATAGGGGGTTGGGGGGCTGCTGTTTTGATAGGGGTTGGGGGCTGCTGTTTTGATAGGTGGTTGGGGGCTGCTGTTTTGATGGGGTCTGGGGGGCTGCTGTTTTGATGTGGGGTTGGGAGGCTGCTGTCTTGATGGGGGCTTAGGGGGGCTGCTGTTTTGATAGGGGGTTGGGGGCTGCTGTTTTGATAGGGGTTGGGAGGCTGCTGTTTTGATAGGGGTTGGGGGGCTGCTGTTTTGATGGGGTCTGGGGGCTGCTGTTTTGATGAGGGGTTGGGGGCTGCTGTTTTGATACGGGTTGGGGGGGCTGTTGTCTTGATGGGGGTTTGGGGGGCTGCTGTTTTGATGGGGGTTTAGGGGGCTGCTGTTTTGATGGGGGTTGAGGGCTGCTGTTTTGATGGGGGTTGAGGGCTGCTGTTTTGATGAGGGTTGGGGGCTGTTTTGATGGGTATTTGGGGGCTGCTGTTTTGATGGGGGTTGGGGGCTGCTGTTTTGATGGGGGTTGGGGGCTATTGTTTTGATGGGGTTTGGGGGGCTGCTGTTTTGATGGGTATTTGGGGGCTGCTGTTTTGATGGGGGTTGGGGGCTGCTGTTTTGATGGGGTTTGGGGGCTGCTGTTTTGATGGGGGTTGGGGGCTATTGTTTTGATGGGGGTTGGGGGGCTGCTGTTTTGATGGGGTGTTGCGTTCCCTCTCAGTGTCACCGCTGATCCACCTGGCATGTTTATTGGCTCTTCTGCTTGCAGGGCCCCTGGGGGACCGATAGAGGACTGGGCCCCTCCGCCCACCCCGGCCACCCCTCCCCGCCTGACTTCTCAGGGGGAGAGGTCTCCCCCCACGCCCAGCCAGCCCCTGCCCCTGGGAGGTGACCCAGCTCCCTGTGGCCTGGGACTAGGAGATGGGGCTGGACCAAGGCCGGGAAGGGGCAGGAAGTGGAGGGGAGTGAGGCAGCTGCAGCCTGATGCCGCCGCCTTGAACTGGGCTCTCGCGCCTGTCAGCCGCTCGGTGCCAGCGCCTCCCCACCACGTGATCCTCGGAGGGCCTGTGGGGGAGGGGCGGGCTCCCGGAGCGGCTGCAGAAGGCGAGCTCCAGGAGGGTGTGTGCGTTTTCCCGGGAGGGGTCTGCAGCTTTCATGGTTTCTAAACGGATCTCTGATTCAGAAAGGCGCCGGCATGAACTCGCTTTGCATCTTCACAAAACATGAAGTCATGGGGATTGGACCGCGTGTGCGTGGAGGAAGCTCCGCTGGTCACTGGCTGCGTTTTAATCTTACAGCTGCGGTTGGTCTATCTTCCCGAATTCCCTGAAGTTGCAATAAATGTTTTAGCGATTATACGAGGTTATAAATGCTCGTTGTGGAAATGAGCATAGAATGCTCACAGAAATGGTCAACAGGGGCTTCCTTTTGACCCCCTACCCTAATTTGCAAGCCTCACACTGGCAGTGGCTGCCCTAGGCCTGGGAATCGGTAAACAGGGTTCGTGCACCGGGCTGGGCAGGGCCCGGAGGGAGGGGCCGCAGGGGGCTTCCGTGGGCACAAAGGCCAAAGCGCCACACGCAGGGCTCAGGAGAACTTCCTGAAGAAAATTAGGATCACCCATCGCAGATGGAGACTGGGGAGCTCTCTGGAGAGTCAGGCAGTCTGTTCCCTCCCAGGCCTGTGGGAGCCACCCCCTGCAGAGGACGCAGAGAATTAAAAGCTTCCTCGGGAGAGGCCGTGCCAGCAGAGAGCCGAGTCTATTTATAGCTGTTGGTGAGACAGGGGGAGTGTGTGAGAGGGATGCCATCTGGGGCTCTTGGGGCCCCCAGGCCAGTGCTGGTCAGCGCCCTGCAGTACCTGGCCCAGCCTGGTGCCCTCAGGCAGAAGCGCCTTCGGGAAAACACTCTGGGTGAGGAGAGTCGCTCAATGCCTCCGCCTGGGCTGGGGGAGCCAGAAGGCTATGCCCAGGAGGGTTGTGGCCGGGTGTCTAGTCCATCTGAGCCCACAAACCCTCAGCCAGGAGCCAGGATCAGGCAGCAGAATCTACACACGCCTAGTTCCTACTGCTCGAGCAAAAGGTGTTTCCTGGGAAGGAAGGGGTGGAGCTGCCTGGGTCAGGCCCAGCCACATCTGGGGCTCAGGCCTTGTCCCCAGCATCCACGAGCCAAACCCCAAGCTGCCCTGCGTGGATCCTCCTCCTAGGGAGACCAGCTTCTTCTTGGTGTGTGTGTGTTTGGGGTTGCCACAGGGCCATAACCCACTGCATCCCCCTGATAAGATCTTCCACCCAGGGCAGCCCCCACCCAGGGCAGCCCCCACCCAGTTGATCCCCCACCCAGATGATCCTCCACCCAGATGATCCCCCACCCAGATGATCCCCCACCCAGATGATCTGCCACCTGGATGATCCCCCACCGGGGACATCCCCCACCCAGGGCAGCCCCCACTCAGATGATCCCCCACCCGGGGCAGCCCCCACCCAGATGATCTCTCACACAGGGCTTCCCTCCTAGGGCATCTGCAACAGGCTTTCCCCCTAAGGTGACATCCCCCTCCCAGGACATCCACATCCCAGAGCCACCCCCTCCCAGAGCCACCCCCTAGGCCATTCCTTCACCAAGGCTCCACCACCCAGGACAACCCCCACAAAGATTCCCCACCCAGAGCATCCTCCCCACATGGCATCTCCACCCAGGGTATTCCCCCACCCAGGGCATGTTCCCCACATGGCATCCCACGTTTGACTTCTTGGCATGATAAAAGGTGCCTGCCCATGTGGGCTCCATGAGATCCCCCAGGGCGCATGGCATCACAGACCACATTTCCCAGATCCTATAACCTGTAACCCCAACCTGCTCGTTTGTTCACAAATGTCCAACGTGGCCTCCGCCCAGGGAGTGCCACCAACAGCCGCACCTGCCAGGCGACTTCACACAGCTGCTGTCCCCCTCTGGCCATCAGTCATCAGTCAATGGGGCCAGGAGCAGTGAGCACCGTGTATGGGGTATGGAGGTGGCTTCAAACCCAGGCCCTGGTCCAAGGGCCCTCATGTCTGACACAGGCGAGCTCCCAGCACCCTCTGCCTTGTCAGGAGTATGTGACATGCCTTCCTGGCCCACAGAGGTGGGTGAAGTGTGCGTACCTCAGCGTGCCCATGGCTGCCACTCACTGTTCACCCACTCACACTGGATCCCCGCCCAGAAACACACCAGGCCAGTCCCACCCCACTCAGAAGTGCTGCTGGTGCCTCAGGGCCAGGGAGCCATGTCCAGGCCCCAGCCAGCCCCGGGGACCTGACCCAGCCCCTCCCCCTGAGCCCAGGGCACCGCTGCACAGCCACCTGCATCTCCCACCCATGGCATCTCGCAGGTGACCTGGCCACCGTGGCTGCATCTGGGGCGTCCACCCTCTCCTGCGCACACCGGCCCCCGCTTCTCCTAAGGCTGCCCAAGGGCCGGTTTTCTCTGCCCCTCGGCGGGGTGGCACCTCTGCCTTCTCAGTGCCTGAGGAGCCTGGGCCATGGACAGAGCCACTGGGGTGAAGCTCATCTCAGCCTCACCTCCCACCAGGCTTGTTCCTGCCACCTTCGTCAGTGCCCACGTGTCCCCAGGCCGCCTGCTGGGAGGGCCCCACCTGGCACCTGGCACAGTCCACCTGCAGTTCTAGTGCCAGCCGTTCTGGGCCGCCTCTCTTCGTGTTCCGGGAGTGGGATGGGGTCTTACTCACCGTCCGTTTTCCCGTCGAAGCTGCAATTCCTGAGCACTGTGCTTTGGCTTTGCCTGTTTTTAACCTTTAACCAGAAGCCACGTGGTGGGCACACTGCTGTGCTGGCTAACGTGGATCAATACTGTGCGCGAGTGGTCCGTCCACACTGCGTCGAGGAGCCCCAGGTGCTCGTGCTCAGCGCCGCCCACACTCCCACGGGGATGCCCGCTGTCCCTGAGACCACCATACTGTCAGCAGGTGCATGTCCACGCGGTTCCCCTTTCTTGGCAACTAGGGATGAAGCTGTCGTGGGCATTCCTGGGATGTTCTTTGGGGCATGTGGTCATGAGTCTCTTGGGTCAATCTGGAAGTGGAGCCGTTGAGTCTGGGATCTAGTGTGTCTTTTCGTTCATCAGATGATGCCAAGCAGTTTCCCAAAGGGATTAAAGCCATTCGCCCCCACAGTTTCCTGTTGACCCACATCCTTGCCGGCACTAGCCACTGTCAGCCTTTGCAATGTCTTAGCCTTTTGTAAGGCTGTGTGGAAGCCTTATGATTTGCATTTTCCTGGTCATACTAACGAAGCTGAGTGCTTCCCACCGAGCACTGGGCACTTGGATACCCTCGTCCCCGAGGGGCCTGTTCAAGTCAGCTGCCCTTTGTGGATTGAGTTCCTATCGATTTGTAGAGGTTCTTTATATATTCTGGAGACAAGCCAACATTTGTTGTGCATAGCAAACATCTCCTACCCTGGGGTTTGCTTTTTCACTCTCTTGATGATATTTTTTCAACGAACAGAAGTTCTTTCTTTTAATCTGGTGCCTTCTAAGAATCTTTTCCTGCAGGACAAGGCTTTCTGTGTCCGTGTAACAAATTTCCCCCACGCCAAGAACATCAGAAATTCTTTTGCATTACCTTCCCAAAGCTTCTAGATCTGATCTGGAGGACAGCCCTTTAGCATGCAGACGCAGCTGAACCTTCCCTTAAATCAGCAAATTCCCGTCAGCTGACTTCCTCACACCAGCCACGTATGCAGCCTTCATTTTCTCCACCTAAAAATGGGCAACCAGAGGCTGGATGTGTCTCAGAAGGCAGGTGCTGTTGGCAGCCCTGGCCTAACACCCATCCTGGCTTAGGTGGACCCCCAAGGGCCTCTGGAGCCCCCTGTGGTCTCTCAGTGCCACCTGAGGGCCTCAAAGACTTTGTTCCCCATGAGGGGTGCTGAGCCTCTGGTCCCACCCGCTGTGTCACTGTGTCCAGAGGCTTCTGACAATTGACACAGTCCGGGGTTAACACAACAGGGACGCATTCCCCCATCCTCCTGGAGACCAGAAGCCCAGCGTCCAGGCATCTCATGAGTCAGCTTCCTCTGGAGGCTTGGTGGGACGCTCCCTGCCTCTTCTAGCTTCTGGTGGCTCCAGTTGTCCTGGGCGTGTGGCTGCGTCACTGCAGCCCCGGCCTCATGGCGACTGTGTTAGTCCGTGTGTGTTGCTGTAACAGCACCAGGCATGGTAATTTATGAAATGATATGTTCACTTCTCACAGTTCTGGGGGCTGGAGAGTCCAAGATCAAGGCACCTGCAGGCTTGGCGTCCGACAAGGGCCCTTCCCTGCTTCCAAGACAGGGCCTGGTTGCCATGTCCTCATGCCCCAGCCCTTTGATAAGGCACTCGGTCATTCCCAGGAGCCTGGCCCCCATAGCTGAATCTCATCCCCCAAAGGCTCTGTTAATGCCACCACAATGGGGATTAGGTTCCAGTGTGGATTTTGGAGGGGACGAATTCAGCCTGTAGCACCTTCTTCTCTTCTCTCTGTGTCTTCTCTTCTGCCTCTTCTAGGTAGAGACACTCACCATTGGATTTAGGGCTCAGCTGTGGATAATCCAAGATGATCTCATTTCCAGATCCTTTCTCCAAACAAGGTCGCGTTCACAGGTTCTGGGGATTAGATGGGGCCACCATTGGCCCAGAGCTGCCCTGGTTCCAGCTGCCTGCAGGTGCCCTGGACCCGGAGCCCCGAGGGTAACCCAAGGGCAGTGAGTGGGCTGGGGCGGGGCAGGGCAGGGTCCTCGTGAGTCTGGCACTCAGTGAAGCTGCGCTGGATGAGGGACCAGCCCCTGGTTCTGCAGTGTTCTGTAACCTGCTCTGCCCCCTTGAGAGCCTCGGCTGTTTTCTCCTGTAACCCATTGTGCCTCCCTTGAGAGCCCCGGCTGTGTCCTCTAACCTGGTGTGCCCCGCGTGAGAGTCCTTGCTGTCCCCACAGAAGGTGCCTTTAATGGAGGCAGGTCCCACCGCATCTGCAGCCGCCGAGTCTCCGACATGGTTGATGGGATGAGCCAGCCGGGATCTCTATTTTATTCCCTTTTGGGATGCTCTGTTGGTGGAATGTCCTGTGTCGTGCTTTAGAGAAATGGTGTTGGCCCAGGTGGTGGGCACTGGCTGGGCATGTGGTTTAACTCTCACTTGGGCCTTGGACAGCCATCTCAGACCCGTATCAGTCTCCGCCACAGCGTCCTTTGCAGAGTCCGGGAGCCCTGTTGGCACCTCCATCCCATGGTGGCCATTCGGTGGCAAAGTTGGTGGCCCTGGCAGCCCCGGCGTCTGTGGCCTGGATACTCAGCCATAGTGCTCTGGAATGTTCCATCCTCCCACCTGCGTCTCCCTGTCATCCTTAATCCTGAGTCTCCCACTCAGAGGGGATCTGCCGTGTGGCCTGGGAGGGTTTTCTCTGAGACTGCCCCGCCTTCTCATCCCTACACCTGAGTGCAGATGGGCTCTGGTGGCCGTCCCCAGAGTGGCCACGCTGGGCGCTGCAAGGACCACACTCTGCAGATGGGGGCCAAGATGTGGTTCCCAGAGGCAGAGGGCACCAGGGGCTGGGTGCACCCTGTTGACCCGAGAAGCTCCTCCGCAGCCATCTCTCTTCTTCTGAGGGCGGAGGGAGGGTGAGTGGAGGTGGCCAGGGCCATGCAGCCCCTGCTCCCCTGCCCCCCTTACCGGAAGGCTCCTTGTGCAGGGCCCCTCCCACCCCATGAGCCTTAGGAGTGTGCAAAGCCTGCCCTGTCCTGCCCAGGTCTGAGGCCATGCGGTTGTGGTGAGTGGCAGGGGTCCCGAGTGGCCCAGTGCAGGATGGCCGGAGGACGCCATGTGAGACGACCAGGATAGAAGTGTGGTGTGCTGGGGACGCTGCCACAGGACTCCACCCTGCCCTCCTCCTCCCACTTCCTTGGGGACTGCACTCAGCCTGGGCTTGGCTCTGGCCTTCAGGGTCCCTGGAGAGCAGGAGCCCGACCTCAGGTCTTCTATGGGGCAGAGCCTCAGCCCAGGCCTGGAGACCCCATCCTAGCGATCCCTCTGGACCAGTGACCTCTCAGGATCAACCAGTGACTCTCAAGAGTGATGACCTCTGGACCAGTGACCCCTCAGGACAGTGACCTCTCAGGACCAGTGACCTCTCTGGACCGGGCACCTCTCAGGATGGTGACCTCTCAGGACCGTGACCTTTCAGGACTGTGACCTCTCTGGACGTGTGTCCTGGGGCGGCCCCGGCCGTGTGCACCTGTCTGGCCTCTGGGTGGGGTGTGCTCCCGAGTGTGCCGTGGGGATGCTGGGCTGGAGCGGCTGATCATCCTGCCTCCTGTGCTGCAGGGGGATGTGCACAGACTCAAAACTGCCGGCTTTGTTCTGATTGGGAGCTCTGACTGCCTGACAGGCGGCCTGGGCTGAGAAGAGTGGGGCGGTTCACAGGGAGAGTCCCGCGGAGCAGGAGTGCCGTGCGATGATAATGAAAAACAGGAACCGTCTGCGCTCAAATGGGCACTGAAATAAGGAGTGGGGGCTGGCGGGGTGGCACGGTGTCCACCCTGGGCATGGCAGGACCTGAGCCACCTTGTTCCTTGGCCCTGTTTAATGGGGAAGCACCTCCTCGGCAGGAGGGCAGGGCTCCAGGTCCTAGAAGGCCCCTTGGTGGGACAGGAGGGCTGGGTGAGCTCCACAGGGGCTCTGTCCACTCCTTCCGCTGTGAGAGTGGCTTTTGCTTCTGGGGCTTCGGGTCGCTGTGGTCTTTGATGTTGCTGTCCCCTTGTCCTCTGGGTCTCCAGCGCCGAGAGCTGTCCAGGCTGAATGCCCAGTGGGCAGCTTGGGGCCAGGACCACACGGCGTGGGCCCAGGAGGCGCCCTGCAGTGGAGACTTTCTCCTCAGCCCTGCTGGCCAGGCGCCTACAAGGTCTCCCTTGGGGCTGTGCCGTGCCTGTGCTTCGGATTTACTGGGGGGCTGCTTCCCCCTGGTCCCGATCCCCTCCGCTCCCTCAGTCAGCGTCCTGGGGCCAGGTCATGATGGAGCACTGGGCGTTGCAGAGGGGCCATCCCAGGGCTTCGGCGTCAAGGTGGAAACTGTGGCCGTGGGACATTGGAGGGTCCATCAGGCCCTCAGGAGCTTTGCCATCTGCAGGCACGAGAGGGTCCTGTTCCGGCAGTGGGGTCTGGCCCTGGGGTTTCCTAAACAGGAGTGGGGTTTAATGACAACAGTCTCCAGGGACTCTGGGCAGGATTGAAGGCTGTGATGGCAGCCGGCCCGAGGTGGAGGGTGCTCCCCCTGGACAGGACTTGGGCGTAAAGGTTCTGAAGAGCCCAGCGGCAGCACACCCAGCTGAGCCTGTGGAGGCCGGGGTATCCGCAGGGGAATCTGCCCATGGAGAGAAGACCAGGGACCGCCAAGGTTGCCCAGCATGCACTCCCACCTGCAGGGCCTGGGACAGCTCCTGTCGCCAGCTGAGAGATGCCTGAATACTGCTGAGCGCCTCGGCCCCCACCCCTCCAACCTGTTTCCCAATCAGCTTGCAACACAGCGTGCCCTTCACAGCTCCCTGGATGCCAGTGCCCTGAGGGCATGGAAGGAAGGGGTTGGTGAGAGGCGTCTGAGCCAGCATGGCCCCTGCCAGGGGCATCCTGCAGTCACAGCACGTTGGATTCCTGGGCAGTGTCTCCAGGGGTAGAGGGAGCAGCTCCCACCCAGGCCCCAGGCCTCCAAATCACCAGGGAACCCATTGTCATCCCTGAACAGGGAGTTCTCCAGGGCACGAGCATCGGCTCCTGCCAGGCAGAAGCACGCGGGGCTCCTGGGAACCTGAGTTAACAGAAGGTTTGGGTTGAGTGTGTGGCGTGCGTGCCTGATGCTCCCAGCCTGGTCACTTCCCAAGGAATGCTTGCCCTCGGGTTCTGGTGGAATCCAGTCGGCTGCCATCAGAGTGTCTTTCTCCGCAGAGACAGGTTCTCCCTCGGGCTGTGCCTGCATGAGGCCATCGGGTGCGAGGGAGATGGGGAGGGGGCTGCACCCCTTCAAGGATGAGGAGACTGAGGCACAAGCAGCTGTCCTACCATGGGCACTTGCCTGCGAGCGAGCTCTGGGGGTCAGCGGGTGCAGCTGGAGAAGCTGCTGGTGGCTTCTCTAGGGCAGGTGGAGCTGTCAGAGGTCACACCCTGGCCTGGTCCAGCCCAGCACAACCCAGGGGGCCTGCAGGACACTTGTGACCAGGACAGAGGTTCTCAGGGAGGCCAGAGCCTGAGCAGGGCCGAGGGCTGGCTCTGAGGTCTCAGGCCCCAGGGAGGGGTGATGAGCTGAGGGGTGGTAGCTCCCACTGACTCCATGGCTCCTGCCTCCAGCTTTGACCCAGCACTGCTGATGATGTGAGCACAGCCTGTCCACCAGCCTCCTCTGCCAGCAAGGCTCAGCCACCCCACAGCCATCCACATGGAGAGCAGTCGTGTAGGCTCTGTCGGCGCCACCCCCGCGTGGGCGTGGGCAGTGAACAAGGGAGCACCGAGGCTGCTGCTACCTTTAAAACAGCAGCTGGCCCTAGTGAGAGAGACCCCAGGCCCTAGTTACAGGCTCCAGGCCCAAGGGGCAGACCCCTGGCGCTAGTGACAGACCCCAGGTCCTAGTAACAGGCTCCAGGCCCAAGGGGCAGACCCCTGGCCCTAGTGACAGACCCCAGGTCCTAGTAATAGGCTCCAGGCCCAAGGGACAGGTCCTGGCCCTAGTGACTGACAGGCCCCTGGCCATAGTGACAGACCCCAGGCCCTAGTAACAGGCTCCAGGCCCAAGGGGCAGACCCCTGGCCCTAGTGACAGACCCCAGGTCCTAGTAACAGGCTCCAGGCCCAAGGGGCAGACCCCAGGCCCTAGTAACAGGCTCCAGGCCCAAGGGACAGGCCCCGGCCCTAGTGACTGACAGGCCCCTGGTCCTAGTGAGAACCCCCTGGCCCAAGTGCGAGACCCCTGTTCCTAGTGACAGAGCCCAGTCAGTCCTAGTGCCTGGCCCCGCTTACTGATGCCACATGGACACCCGGGTTTCCAGCCCCTGGACAGCTCTGTGATCAGAGGCTGGGGCTGCTGTTTCCCCAGCCCTGTCAATTCTGTTCTGGCAGGTTTTCTGTAAGTTTGGCTTTGGGCAGTCCAGTGTCCAGTCTGAAGGCGTTTCCCAGGAGATTCATTCTGACAAATGGGGCCCAGGTGATTTTCCGTGGGGCCTCTTGGGAACAGGGACAGCCTGTGGGGTTGGGGCCAAGGTGGCCTGCGGTGTCTGGGACGAAGCCCCGCCTAGGTGGCCGAGTCCTTGGAGCTGGTGACACACCTGGGACAGGCATTCCCTGGCCTGCGAGGAGGCTTCGTTCCCTAGGACAGCCACCCTCTGGGGTCTGCCTTTGCCTGCCCCACTCTGAGGTCTGTGGTGCCACCTCTGCCCTCATCTTCTGTCCTTTCCAAGCCTTTTTTGAAGATGCCAGTTGGACAACACAGTCTTGCCCACACCCGTGGGTGAGCCCGTAGGTGCCATCCTCCTGACTCCCTGGGGAGGCGCTGGGGGTGGGTGGGAGTGGGGTGGGCTCAGCCTCCAAGCAGGTCCTGGCCAGGCCCCACTTGTGGTCCCATAGGGTCTGGCCAGGGAAGGGGCATGTGCTGTGAGCAGACACCTGGGTCAGGTCAGGGCTTGGCACGTCCCTCCTACCAGGGAGGTGCCGGCCAGTGGGAGAGGGTGCAGGTGCACATCTGGATGCAAGACACAGGCCTGGGAGTACAGGCACAACTGGGATGGCGGGCACAGGCCTGGGAGTGCTGGGCACATGTGGGATGGTGGGCACAGGCCTGGGAGTGCAGGGTGACCCCCTGGGGGCTCAGGGCACACGCGTGGAGATGGTGGGTACACGCCTGGGAGCTTGTCCTTTGACCCCAGGTGAGCAGTTTGTCTTCCTGGAGTCTCTTCTGCTACACAACCTTCTTTTCCCTCACGGTGAAAGAGCAGAGCCTCTGGGGGAAATGGTGTGAGGGTCTGCACCCAGGGCTCAGGTGTGCTGTGCCCAGAAACTGGGAAAGTGGAGGACACCTGGCCTCTGCCCATCCAAGGAGAAGCAGCTGGCACAGCAGCATGCCATGCTCGGTGGAGAGCGCCAAGGGAGAGGCGCCCACCCAGGCTCGTTGTCCGTCTGACACCTCCATGTTCTCTCAAAATTAAATGTATTCTTATTACCGTCATTGTGGAAACAGCACGTGGGTCTAATGAAGCGATCCAGACAGTGTGGCTCCCATCTCCTCCACTCCTGCTCCGTGTCTGTGGCCCGTGTCCTGCTCCTCCAGACCCAGCAGCAGCCTGGCTGACTTCCCACAGCGGCACGTCGTGCCTAATTCATTGTCATTTTTAGTTTAAAAACCTTTTAAAAAATATTTTGTTAAGCTAATGCATGTTTGAGGTAAAACAAAACTACAAGAACCTAGAACAGTGAAGCTCAGATGGGCTCTGAGGCGAGTCCCCACGTGAGACCCCTCAGCACACACCCCACGCAGAGGCGGGCTTTGGAAGCATTTCTGGCAGCTGGCGTCTGAGGTCGGCACTGCTCCACCCCTTGGTGCAGAAAGGCTGGGGCTGAGTTGGGACGGGTTCCACTTTTCCCTCCGGAACTGCCTGGGCCTGGTTCTCAGCCCTCCCAAGCGCCCGTGGACTCACTCCCGTGTGACGGCCATGGGTTCCTGCATCTACTACTTCTTCTCGGCTGTTGACGGCTGTCACCCTCGTCTTCCTGGGAAGCCCAGTCACCAAGCACCTCCGCAGGGGGTGTGGCCACGTCTCTGAGGTCACACCCACTGCAGGTGGCCTTGCTCCCCTCAGCCTGAGTGGGACAGTGGACGTGGGTATCCAAGTCCCAGCCTGAAGCATTTTTCCTCAGAACGTTTGAAGGCAGTGTCTGTCTTCAGTAGATCCGGCGATGGCCTGACCCCTGTTCCTTTCTGCCCTCTCCCCCACGGCCCCCACCGTGCTCTCATGCGTGCCATCTCATGCTGCTTGCTGTGCTGAGAGGGGCTGAGCCTAGCACAGGTGGTGCCTGCCCAGCAGGGGCGCAGGGGCCGCGGGCCGGACCGTTCTCACGCGTCGTGACTCCCACCCGTCCGCATCTCTGCTCACGCACATTCTCTTCCGCCAGGTCTGAAATCGCCTGCTGGCCTCCCTCTGACCTGCCTCAGTTTCTCCTCTTCACTCCTCGCTGCCTGATGTGTCATTGCTTATTTGTTTATCACTTGTCCCAACTGAAGGCCTCATGAGGGCAGGACGTTTTATGTCCCGCTCAGCCCTCCAAGGCCAACCTCCAAGCTTATCAAAACCTCATGCAAAGCACGTGCTGATGGGCTGGGAAGTCCTGCGTGAGCCCTGAAGGTGGCTCTGAGGGGCTTCCCTCATCCCTTTGCTCCCAGGCGGGCCCCACGGGGTGCAGGTTCTCAGATGACTCTCTGAGGTGTGTGAATAAGGGTCTCTGTTCAGGCGCGTCCCCACAGGAGATGAGACCACAGAACGCAGCCCTGAGTTTGAAGCATCCCAGAAGGTTCTTTCTCTCTGACCCGCACACCCACCACTGTTCTGGGTGCTCACAAAACCCACCATTGCTTCTGGTAATTTCTCAGCTGCTCCTCCTGTCCAGCGACCCCTGCTGCAGAGGCCCAGGGGAAACACAGACCAGGCCTGTGAGAAGCTCCTGTTTCAGACAAAGAAATGGTGTCAGCGATAAAACTGGAAACTGTTCCCAGCTCGACACCTGACCTGGCCCTTCCACCCCCAGGATCCTGCCCCCAGGCGGCCCTTCCACCCCCAGGATCCTGCCCCCACGCGGCCCAGCCCCCACCAGGATCCTGCCCCTGCATCCTCCGCTGGGTTGGCATCTGCATTTTTGGTGCCTTCCAGGGAAAGGGGTGAGTGGGTGGGGCCTGAGGCCCTTAAGGTCCTCAGTGGAGGGAGTGCCCCTGGATTTTTTTCTGGCTGTTTTGGGGGAATTTGTGGGATCTCAGGGTCAGCAGCGGCCACACTCAGGACCCCACGATTACAGAGCCACACTTTGGCCATGACTGGCGCTGAGAACTCCAGATCTGAGAGGGCTTCGTGAGTCCCAGGGTTGGGACACCTACCTGTGTCCTCGGCACGGACCCTCCCACCGGCTCTTGTGTCTGTGGGCAGAGGCCATGTTCAGCTCTCAGTGCAGTGCTGACGGCCCACCTGGTGTCCAGGCCCCTTTGGGAAGCAGCTTTCATGCCCTGAGTCCAGCACCTCAGCCTTGAGTCCTTCAGGGCCTGACTGGGTCTTACCGAAGCCCATGCATGGTAGGGAGGTGGCCTCGGCAGCCCTGCCCTGTGGCGTAGCCCTGCGTCCCCAAGCCCTGCCTGGGTGGCACCCCTCAGTCTTCTCAACCCCATGGCCCAGCCGCCTACTCTGGGGGCGGGCGCCTTGCAAAGTCCAGAGGGCGTCCCTGCGCCCTGACACCGGTGCCCCCACCACTGCCTCAGCCCTGCACACTGGCAGTCCCCTCCCCTGGCCGGGGCCAGGCCCAGGGCTCCTGGGAAGAGCATCCTGAGGCGCCCCCAGGGCCACCACGCACCCTCCCCAGCCTAAAGCTCCATCTAAGGTCAGAGGCTCTGCAGTGGGGAGGGAGCGGCTGTCGCACGACTGCTGTGGACCCTCCCAGAGGAAGGCAGCACGTCACAGACCCTGGGGAGTGCGTGATCCCGAGGTGTCCTCCAGAGCTGCAGAGCGGGCGTCCACAGGAGGGACAGTGGAACTGCGGCGGGGAGGGGACCCGGAATAGGCTCTGATGCTGCCAGTCACACACTGAGCCTCCTAGGCCTGGAGCCCCTGGCACCCAGCTCAGCTCCCACCCTGGGCTCTGCGTGCTGCTGGCTTTATTTGGCTTAGGGGGTCCTTGGCCCAATGATGGCAGTGGGCAAGGCCTCGCTTGGCTCCACTCTGCCCGGGGCTGGACATGCGTGCCTGCGGGGCAGCTGGCTCCAAGGGTCTGAGGGGCCTCACGCCCAGCCCCAGGAGGGCCTGCCCATCTCAGCCCTCGCCACGTCCTGGTGCTCATTGGTACGGCGGGGTTTCCTGGGCTGCACCCGGCTCAGCTGGGACATGGCCCGGGTGACACCTTTCTCCTCTCCTTCCTCCATAGCAACATGGCTGACAAGGCCAAGCCTGCCAAAGCTGCCAACAGGACGCCCCCCAAGTCCCCGGGGGACCCCTCGAAGGACCGGGCAGCCAAGAGGCTGTCGCTGGAATCGGAGGGTGCTGGTGAGGGGGCAGCCGCATCCCCTGAGCTCAGTGCCCTGGAGGAGGCCTTCCGGCGCTTTGCCGTGCACGGGGACGCCAGGGCCACCGGGAGGGAGATGCACGGCAAGAACTGGTCGAAGCTGTGCAAGGACTGCCAGGTGATCGACGGCAGGAACGTGACCGTCACTGACGTGGACATCGTCTTCAGCAAGATCAAGTGAGTGCGCTGGGCTCACGGGCCGAGGGACCTGACTTACGGGGGTCTGCGGCCCTGAGCCCCTGGGTGGGTTCTGTGGGGAGCGGGCCATGGGGAGTGGAGGGGGTTGTGCTTCAAGACCCCGCCCTTCTCAGAAGCAGCCCTGACATGGGAGCCTGAACGTGCCATCTGGGCCCCCAGGGAGCAGGGGTCCGGGCATTGCCGGACTTCTCGGTGCCGAGGCCTGAGTGGCAGCCCTGGCTCCTCTCAGCCCCGTGGGTGTGTAGGGTTTCGGCATGGGAGGTGGCCTATGAGGGGATGTCTGGCCTCAGAGCAGACTCGGGGTGAATGCTGCTCCCCGGAGTCAGGGAGCTGTGACTGGGATCACTGGGCTTCCCCAGGAGTGGGGGCAGTGGCTGCCTGGAGCCTGGAGGGGCAGGTGGCTGCTGGCGGGCAGAGCTCCTGACCCTCTGTGGGCTGGCTCAGCGGCTGAGTCTCAGAGGTTGGATGCTTGTGTCCCCATGCATGGAGCTGGCCATTCGGGTGTCCCCCAGCCCCTCCCAAAGCCTTTGTGCTGCTGTATTTCTGCCCCAGGATTCCCACGGGCGGCAAAATGGCAAAGGGCACCAAGGAGGCGGCTCCGGCCACCACCTTGAAACCGCATCGTGCCGTTTGCTTTTTCTGCGTCGTGTGCACGTGTGCGCGTTTCTGTGTGCACGTGTGTGCGTTTCCGCGTCGTGTGTGCACGTGTGCGCGTTTCTGCGTGTGCACGTGTGCGCGTTTCTGCGTCGTGTGTGCGTTTCTGTGTGCACGTGTGCGCGTTTCTGCGTCGTGTGCGCGCGTGCGTTTCTGCGTCGTGTATGCGCGCGTGCGCGTTTCTGCGTCGTGTGTGCATGTTTCTGCGTCGTGTGTGCGCGTTTCTGTGTCGTGTGTGCACGTGTGCGCATGTGTGCATGTGTTTCTGCATGTGCACGTGCGTTTCTGTGTCATGTGTGCACACGTCTGTTGCCGTGTCACGCATTGTCTGTTTTCTCCTGGATGAATGCTGGGAAGCACACTGAGGCACCCTCACACGCCCCAGCACATTTCACCTCATGTCCCGACACCCCACCATGATCGCACCCGAGAAAAGCAGCGGTTCTCCCTGAGCCCCGTCCTGTCCGCCTGTGTGGCAATGGCTTTATTTCGGTGGTTTGCACCTGCGTCCTCCTGTGGCCGATGTATTTCATTCCTACATTGCCGCAAACTCATCACCTCTTTCATCTCAGAGCTCCTGCACCTTCCCCCTCTGCGGCCTTGGCTTTGCAAGGGGCCGGGCCGTGGGTCAGATGCCCCTGTGTGGAAGGCTGTGGGGCCCACCTCTGCGGCGCCAGCGCCCCATCTACCAGCTCTGGGTGGGCGCCGTGACCTTTGCAGCTGTTCCGTCTCTGCTGTGCTCCGTGGCGATGTCACATGTGTCTCCCGGGTCACACATCCCCTGGGTCTTGGGTGTCTCCTGGGTCGTGCATGTTCCTAGACTGCGTGTCCTGCTGAGCTTCCTGTTGTGTACGGCGCATCTGAGTGCATCCGAGGGCATTTGGGGTTTGGAAAGTTATGCCAGAAAAGCCATGAAACTGCTCAGAAGGATGCCTGAACCCGGACCCTCTCTCCAGCTGACTGCCTTGCAGGCTCCCCCAGCTCTAGGGGACGGCAGAGGCAACCAGGGCCAGCGAGTCCTGTTCGTCTTCCTGACAGCTCCCAGCCTCAGTCCCAGAGAAGCTGGAGGGGAGGCTCCATCCAGGGCCCCGGGTGCGAGCTGGTCTCATCCTTGACCCTGTCCAGTCCCAGTGGCCCCGCCAACCTCCTCTGTGGCTTCCCAGCCTCAGTGTCCTCATGGGCTCAGCCACTGGCCGGTGTGAGAGGAGGCTGTGGCTGGCCCCTCTGTGTAGGTAGTCATGCAACCTTGTGCTCCCCGGCCTCGGAAAGGGCCATCATTTGCCAACACCTTAGCGGTTGGAGCCCACACTAACCCAGGACCACTCATCCCTGGGGCCCCTTGAGACCAGGAAGGCACAAGGAGCCTGCCAGAGCAAGGGGACCAGCAGGGGCCCAACAAGGGCTGGGGCTCAGCCCTCGAGGGTCCGTCCAACAGCCTGCACCTCTGGCACTGCACTCCCGGCCACACTGTACCCCCCATGCTGCACCCCTGGCCACACCGCACCCCCAGCCACACTGCACCCCCGGCCACACGGCATCCCCGGCCACACTGCACCCCTGGTCACACTGCAGCCCCGGCCACAATGTACCCCTGGCCACACTGCACCCCCTGTGCTGCACCCCAGCCACACTGCACCCACCGTGCTGCACCCCTGGCCACACTGCACCCCTGGCCACACTGCACCCTCTGCGCTGCACCCCCGGCCACACTGCACACCCCCACACTGCACCCCCAGCCACACTGCACCCCCGGCCACACTGTACCTCCCACGCTGCACCCCTGGCCACACTGAACCCCCTGGGCTGCACCCCCGGCCACACTGTACCCCCTGCACTGCACCCCCAGCCACACTGCACCCCCGGCTACACTGAACCCCTGGCCACACCGTACCCTCCATGTTGCATTCTCAGCCACACTGCACCCCTGGCCACACTGCACCCCTGGCCACACTGTACCCCCCGTGCTGCACCCCTGACCACACTGAACCCCCCATGCTGCACCCCTGGCCACACTGCACCCCCAGCCATACTGTACCCCCCTCACTGCTCCCCCGGCCACACTGTGCCCCCCTCACTGCTCCCCCGGCCACAGATCCTTTGTGGACTGACTCTCAGGGCTGCACCTCCCTCAGGACTGTGGCTGAAGCAACTGGCGCCTGACTCTGCAGTACAGGCCTTGCTTGTGGGCTCTTTGGCAAGGGGCAGCTCCCACAGGCTCGCTGGAGCTCCCACATCATCCACAGGGCTTATGTCAGCCGCTGCCTGGAGGACAGACCAGCCCACTGTCCCCTGCTGGAAACCTGCAGCCTCTGCCTGGAGGACAGACCAGCCTGCCATCCCCTGCTGGAAACCTGCAGCCTCCTGCAGCAGCGGGCCATGCGGTGTGGGCCTGTGTAGATGGCCCCAGCCAGCTGCTGGCAGGTCCTGGTGACCAGGGCCGCTCTGGTGGGTCACCAGCCATGGGCAGGCAGCAGTGACCTGGGCTGTGCCCGGGAGGTCAGGGGCCAGAGCCTCTGGCACAGACAGTGCCCTTGTCCTGAGCCCAGAACTCACTCTGCCAAGGGGACGTGTCCCGGGCACTCGGACCGGGAGAGGGAAACTGGGTCGGCTATATTTAGCCCACGCAGAAGCAGGTGGGGTTCGCAGTGTGGCCGCCAGGTCCAGAGCCTGCGTGGGCAAGGGCAGGGCAGCTCCTCCCCTTGGCTGCCAGGGCCCCTGTGCCCCCCAGTGCTCCTCCTCCCCCTCAGGTGTCCTTGTTTGGAGGGGACCCAGCCCCGTGCTCCTGGGCCCTGGCAGCTGCTCCTCAGCAGGCTCGGGCGTGTGGACACATCTGGGACGAGTCCCTGGGTGCCCTCTGTGCCGCCCAATGTGTGTTCCAGGATACACAGGAGCAGACCCGGGGCAAAGCGGTGTGGAGATGGTGCTTGTGGGTGAAGCTCCTAGAAGGGCTGGGCGGGAGGTAGGAAGAGCCTGTCCAGGGGCCGTCAGCCCTGCAGGGCCGGCCCCATGTGCACAGCCTTGGCGCTGGCCCGGACACACCAAGTGCAGTGCCGGCTGTGATTCCTTCTGCAGAAAGTTGCTTTCAAACTATGGCGCATGTGTGCATGCACATGGCCGCATGTGCACACACACGCCTGCACACACATGCAGAACTCTCCCTGCGGTGGGTGGGGCTGGGTGGCTGTGGCTCATTTGGAGAATGATGGGAGCCCTGCCTGCTTGTGGGGGTGCTGGCACCCCAGGAGGCCGGAGGAGCCCCAGCTGGTCTGGGCCTGTTCCCAGAGGCAGGGCTGGAGCTGCTCAGGCGCTTGGGGGGCTAAAGCTTGGCCCCCTGCTCCAGCACATTCACCTCCCCAGTGTGGGGCCGGGGACCAGCCTTGGGGTGTGCCAGCCTTGGCTGACCATGAGGGTCAAGGTCTGGGGGAGCAGACAGCTGTGGCCCAAGCCCAGCGAGGGGTTGAGGCTGAGACCCGGTCCTGGGCAGCCTGGTCGGCAGGCTGGGCACCGTGAGTGGGCGCCGTGTGGGAGATTGTCCTGCGGGCAGCAGCTCAGGTGGCCAGGACTGGGACTCCGGCCTGAGGGGAGGCCAAGGGATTCTGACCTCCCCCCCTCCCCATTCACCTGCAGCCATGGACCCCTGTGACCCTGGCCCCCCAGGGCTGCCCCCACCTCCTCCTCTCTCCCACCCTCAAACTGTCCTTCCCTCCTGCAGCTTGGACTCCCCTCGGGGGGTCCCTGTGATCCTGGCACGGGGTCCTGACCTCCCAGGTGTACAGCAGCAAGGGGCCTAAAAACTCACACCCTTGTCTCAGGAAGAGAGAGGAGCAGGGCCACCACGAGGCGTTGGGGACACTAGAGATTTTCCTTCGATTTCCGGGGAAAGCAAGGGGTGGTGGCGGCGGGCCTGTGGGAGTTGCTTTTGTTTTGCATTTTGGGGAGGGGGTGCCCACTGTCACTTGTGGGAGCCTCTGCCTCCCTCAGGAGCTTGGGGACCGTGAGGAAGTGGCCTTCGGTACTGCAGAAAGCTGCTGACTCTGACAGGACTTGTGGAGAAAAAGTCTACCGATTTCTGTTTTCAGGGCAGGTTGCCATGGCTCCACCGGCGTGGCGCCAGCTCGGGGTATCTGCGAGCCTTTGTTTAGTCCTCGTTGCCATGGCAGCGCTTGTTTGTTTTGATGTTACTATGTGTTAAATCTTAAACAAATTTCTTGCAGCCTTACGCCAGGTTTTTGTTGAAGCCTACTGTTAACCCAGACAATGACTCCCTCCTGCAAAGAGCGTGCGGTGGCAGCTTTAAAATATTAATGGAGGCATAGCGTGCACAGGCGGGACCGGACCACGGGCGGTGGGAGTGGGGCCCGGTAGAGCCATGGACAGCGAATCTCCCAGCGCCTCCTCGAGCCTGGGGAGGGGCCCATGCCATGGGTGCCTCAGGACCCCTGGGGTCAGGCTCAGCTGCTGCCTCCCCAACTGCACCAAACACCACCAGCCTCTGGGCGAGGGTCTGCCAGCCTTGCTCACTGGCCCCCTATGGGTCCATCTAGCTCAGGTGGGGGCACCCAGCCGATGAGGCAGAGGAAGGAGGGCTGGGCTGCGGTCTCAGCTGGCTGGGAGCCCTGGCCTCCCCCAGGACCCACGCTTGTGTGCTGGGTGTGGTGTATTTTCCCAAGTAAATGCACTGACGTTTCCTATAGACACCTGGGTGGATACTGGGTGGTGGCTTGGCTTGGGGGTTAGACTGATACCTGGACGCTGGTTAGAAGGAAGCCAGGGCCAGTGGGAGACTGAGAACAGCAGGGCCAGGCTCCCTGGGGTCTGCGGTTGCCCCGAGCGTGGAGGGCTGCTGAGCCTGGTACACCCCCCCGGCCAGCCGGCACTGGGGTCTGTGGTCACCCCAAGTGTGGAGGGCCGGTAGGACACTTTGTCCTAAAGTCTTCGGACTGTTCCCAGTACGGAAGCCAACCCAACCACCTCCCAGGAGCAGGACCCAGGTTTGGAGAGAATCCAGGTCACAGTGTGTTTGGAGGGCAGCCGCCACAGGGCAAGTGAGGTCCTCAGAGCACTGTGTGTGACGTCCTCCTGTCTGTCCATCCCAGAAAAGCAGGTGTCAGCTTCCCTGGAAGGGGCCAGGAGCCTCAGGGCTGCATTGCTCCCCTCCCCCTCCCCCGTGGTACCCAGCCCGGGGGAAGGGTGGGCTGCACTCCCCACACCCAACCCTGTCCCTCCATTGCTGTGGGTGCCACCCTGTCCCGGGCTTGCACTCGGCGGCTCTGGAGCCCTGGGGCCAGTTCTGTCTTTGGGGAGCCTCTAGTGGCCACGCCTGGCAGGGCAGGATGAACGTGGCTTCCGCAGAGTGGAGCCCCTGCGGGGGGACCCTTGGCCATGGACGTCTGTGGCTGAGGGTTCAGGAGCTTGTGGCCTCACAGTCAAGGCCTGTGGCTCCTGTACCCTGCAGGCCGGGCAGCACCAGCAATCCCCAGAGCACTGTGCGGCGACAGGCACCCGTCTCCTGCGCTTGGCCAGTGGTGGGCGTGGCCTTGGCTGTCCACTTTGCCCCATGAGCCTGACCAGGCAACACAGGTCATTTGAGAAGGTGATCTCCAAACAAACAGCCAGAAACTGACTTCAGGTGCACAGACCAAAGCCCTGCCCAGGCCGAGACTGGGGTGGATGGAGGCAGCCGAGCCCCTGGGGCCCCCTAGAGAAGGTCGGGCCCCTCAGATCTGCCCGGGGTCCCTCTGGGCCCCAAGTCCACGTCCCACCAAGGGCCACCTCTTCCTAGTGATGTCCACAGGGCGGTGACTACACACGCCCCACCCCCGCCCCTCCCCAGGAAAACGAAAAGGCCGGCAGCAACGCAAAATTAATTAGCAGCAAGCGCAGGGTGTGCGCCCAGAGGGAGACAGTGCGCTGATCCCAGGCGGCCCCTCAGGCAGGGGGGAGCCTTCGGTAGCCAGACCTCCGGAGCTCAGGCAGCCCCCCGACCGGCTGTGTGGGGGCTTCATGGTGGGTGTGCCTGGGGTTAGAGCTGGTGCAGCAATGGGAGGGCCCTGGCCCTCAGCCCGCCCTGGGGCCTGAGCTGCCGTGGCCCAGTGGACGTTGCCATCCATCCTCTGAGCCAAGTAGGGTGCAGGAAGGGCTCCGGTTTCCTGAGATGAGGGGAGAAGCCCTCTCAGGTGGCCAGACATCACCTCACCTGCCCCCAGGTGCTCAGCTGCTGGTGGAGTCACTTATGAGGGGAGAATAGGCAGGGCCTGGAGGGCTTGCCACCGACCTCTGTCGGCCCCGGGAAACGTTGCTCTAGGTCCTCTGTATCTTGCTGGGGCTTGCGGGAGGCAGGGGCGGCCAACAGGCATGGGGAACCCCAAGGCTGGGTCCTGCTGGAACGGGACCACTGGACCCTCCTGGAGCAGTGAGAACTCGGAGCGACGTGCAGGATGGCGATGCCAGACAGGGCTCCCCTAAGGCCGCGTCCCTACCAGGTAGGAACCTCCCCAGAAGCTCCCCCTCCCCCCGTGGGGCCCAGCAGCCAGGGAGTCCTTCCCAGCCTCCTCAGGTCTCAGGGGCTAATGGAAGATCCCAGAGGTTGGTGCCCTGGGGGAGCCGCAGCCCCTCTCTCTCAGACTCGCCTAAGTACAGGGAGAGGCTGTTTCCCCAGAGATTCCCCTCCACAGCCCCCAGCTTCCCACCTGTGGCAGCCTCTGGACAGGGCACTCCAGCCACAGCAGCTGCAGGCCCAGAGAGCCCAGGGGAGCTGGTAGCTGTCACCTCGCCCGCCGGCCCCCGCCCCTCAGAGAGGGCACCATGGGAGGGCATTCCTGATTCACAAGGGTGCTGGATGCACAGTCCCGAGCCCAGCGGGGCCTGTGACGTCCGCCCCGGAGGAACAGGCCTCAGTCCTCGGAGGGCTGTCCTGGCCTGAGCCCAGCTCCTGGAGGCCCCAGGCCGGGTCCCAGTGTCCCTGAGAGACTGAACCAGGCCCAGAGGCCAGGGGACTCAGAGCCTGGGAAGCAAGTCCAGGCCCCGCAGGGCATCGTGTATGAGCAGCGGCTGCGTCCTGCTGGGCCGGCTTTGGGGCAGGGCGCCGGGCTGGGGAGAGCATGGGCAATGAGGATGCCGAGCTCCACACTCGGAGGCTCCTCCAGCACCCTGGTCTCTGGAGGACAGGCCCACTCTATGTCAGGAGAGCCGGGCAGCCAGACTGAGTGTCTCTGGGGAAGAGGCAGGCACCGCTGTCCTAGAACTCCTGAGGACTGCCCCAGGCGGGGGGCACCCGGGTCTCCTGGGGAGAGCTCCCCGCCCGTGTGGGGCAGAGACCCGGGCGCCCTTTCCCCGAGACACTCGGGGAGCGCGCAGAGCAGGTGTCCGGATCTGAATGTCGCCTCTGATGGGGGAGCCCCTCAGCCATCCCCCTCCCGCCGAGTGACTCATGCTGGTGGTGCCTGGCTCCGAGGCCGTCAGAAAGGGCTGCGTGCCTCAGCACTGGTCACCAGGCTGGCAGTCAGGCCTGGCGTCCGCATGTCAGCTTGGGCAGGGTGGGAATAGAAGACAGGAGAGCCTTTGACGGCCCAGGACAGACAGAGGCCCCAAGGGCCCCAGAGAGTCAACACCCCCACAGGGCCCAATGGGCACTGTCAGTTCCAGGCACTGTGGGCTGCCTGGGGTGGCCTGGCTCTTCTAGCACCACAGGGAACGTGCGGGTGTCCACGCCGAGCGCGTCAAGGGGCTAAATCCACCCCCAACACCGCGGACCCCCACGCCACAGAGCTGCCCAGGGCACCTCCGGCTCACCGGGCTCACCAGCGCCCCCTGGGGGATGCTGCTGGACAACAGCGCCCTATGGCCGGCGGGTCTGGAATGTGCCCTGCGTGGCTGCCCTCAGCAGTCCAGGCCCCGCCCTGGGGCTCTGTCTCCCCAAAGCCCCCTCCGGACACAGCGAGGCCTCCGCTCCCCTCCCTGGGACCCCATGAGGCGTGAGGGTCTGAGCTGTGGGACCCCGAGCACTTGGTGTGTTTCTCAGCGCGATTTCTTCTTTGGCTCAGCGCTGTTGATGGTGTCTGTTGTGTCTTTAGGACACGCGTGTAAAGTGTATGGGAACCCTCAGGTGCTGTTTAAACACAGCATCCGCCTTGGGGTCTGGGAATCACCCAGCGGCACCTCCGTGCCTGGCTCCAAGCCTGGCCACTTGGCACCCACCGCGTTGGGTGCGTATCCTGGGCTTGTTCTCGAGGGGTGGGGGTGCTGTCCACGTGCGCACACATCACAGCACTGTGGTCTGGCCGCTGCTGAAGGGCACTGGATTGTTTGGGGTTTGGTGACTACGAGCAGAACAGTGGTAAACATTTGCGTTTATGTGTGAGCCTCTGTTTTCATTTCTCTTGAGCAAGGACCCAGGAACGGGACTGCTGGGCCACCTTTGGCTGTGATGAGAAGCTGTCCACAGTGGCTCTGCCGCGTTGCTCGGCCGGGTGTGGACGAGGCCCCCACCCCGCGGCCTGCTCAGCTCGAGGTGCCGGCAGTTTATTTGATTGTCTGAGCCCCCTGGAGAGTGTGCAGGGGCCTCGCTGTGGTTTCCATCTGCACTTCCCTGACGGCGCCCACGCGGCCCCCTCTCCGTGTGCTTGTCCGCACTTCCCTGACGGCGCCCACGCGGCCCCCTCTCTGTGTGCTTGTCGGTACTTCCCTGACGAGGCCCACGCGGACCCCTCTCCAGTGTGCTTGTCCGCACTTCCCTGACGGCGCCCACACGGCCCCCTCTCTGTGTGCTTGTCGGTACTTCCCTGACGGCGCCCACGCGGACCCCTCTCCGTGTGCTTGTCCGCACTTCCCTGACGGCGCCCACACGGCCCCCTCTCTGTGTGCTTGTCGGTACTTCCCTGACGGCGCCCACGCGGACCCCTCTCCGTGTGCTTGTCGGTACTTCCCTGACGGGGCCCACGCGGACCCCTCTCCGTGTGCTTGTCGGTACTTCCCTGATGGGGCCCACGCGGACCCCTCTCCAGTGTGCTTGTCGGTACTTCCCTGACGGCGCCCACACGGCCCCCTCTCTGTGTGCTTGTCGGTACTTCCCTGACGGCGCCCACACGGCCCCCTCTCTGTGTGCTTGTCCGCACTTCCCTGACGGCGCCCACACGGCCCCCTCTCTGTGTGCTTGTCGGTACTTCCCTGACGGCGCCCACACGGCCCCCTCTCTGTGTGCTTGTCGGTACTTCCCTGACGGCGCCCACGCGGACCCCTCTCCGTGTGCTTGTCTGTACTTCCCTGATGGGGCCCACGCGGACCCCTCTCCGTGTGCTTGTCTGCATGCACGTGTCTTCTCTGGTGGTGTCTGCTTCAAATATTCTGCCCGTCTTTTCACATGGATTTTTTTTCTTACTGCTGAGTTTTAAGGTTCCTTTGTGTATCTCAGAGACAAGTCCTTTCTCAGGCATGTCTCCTAGTCTGTGGCTTGTCTTCTCATTCCCTTAACGGTGTCTTCTGAGAGCAGAGTTTCGAACGTTTTGATGAAGTCTAGTTCATCCATTTTTTCCACTATAGGCCATGTTTTGTTGCCATTTCTAAGAAATCTTCGCCTAACCCCAGGTCACAGAGATCTTCTCTTTGGTGTTCTTCTAGAAGTTTTAGTTTCATAATTAGGACCGTCATCTATTTTGAGTTAGTTTTGTATATAGTGTGCAGTATAGACCAAAGTGCATTTTAATTTGCACAGGGATCACCAGTTGCTCCAGCTCCACTTGTGGAAGAAACAGTCCTTTCTCTCTGGCTTGCCTCTGCACCTGTAGACATCGGGGGGGCAGCATGCATGTGGCTGAGCCAGACTCCCCCTGGGCTGCGGGGCTGGCCGCGTGCCCGTGCCCACGTCGCTGCCACTTTGCAGTCAAGCCTCGATGAGCTTTGGAGTTGGGTAGTCAGTCTTCTGACTCTGTTCTCATTTCTTGAAATCGTTTTGGCTATTCTAGGCCCTCTGCTCACTGACTTCTGGAAAGGCTTGCTGGGGTTTTATGGGTCATTTGTCCCCTGACTCTTGGTCACTGTGGATTCTGCAGCTGGGAGTGCCCTCGGAATGCTTGGCCTGCTGGGTGCAGCCTTTCTCGCGCTGTCCAGAGGCTTCCCTGGTGAAATGCAGGTGCCTTTTGCAGAGCTGAGCCTCATCCACAGGATCTCTTGTTTTAAACACTGAAAAACCCCACTTTGGGTTAGTTGTGGTAGATCTGGTCAGAGGAGAAAAATGTTTTCTAATTAGAATTATTATATAAAAACCAAGAGTCAGTTTAGAACCCTCTAAAATTGCCTGAATGGCCTGTGGTGGGAGGATGTTGTAAGGCGTGGACTGTGTTTAGATGTGGCGTGTTGTGTGACCAGAAGCTTCTCATGGCACCTCCGGCCCACCGGGCTCTGCACCTCTGAGGCCAGAGCAGTGCAAGGGCACAGCGGGGCCGCCTGGCGGGTTTTGGAGCCAGGGCATCTGAGGCGTGGGCCTGCGCCCATGCTGCCAAGTGTCCGGGGGCGGCAGCCCCTCCTAACCATGTTCCTGTGTGGGGGACACCTCCACCTAGGACCCCAACACACACAGGCAGAGCCGGGGCCCCAGCAGGTCCTAGGACCCCCAGCTCCCGGCGCAGCTGGGCGGGGCTGTGGTGGCCCCGGGAGGAGGAGGTGGGCTCCGCTGCCTAATGGCCTCCGGCACTGCCCCAGCAGAGTGCAGACCCGCACACACCCTGTGTCAGAGCGGCCTGCAGGGCCGTGTGAGCATCCAGCTTTATAGAGGACCTGCTTCCGCCAAGCTTTCTTCCAAGACAGTTTGGATTTGCAGTGCTACCAGGGCGGCCGCCTGTGGGTGAAGCCTGTGGGCTGCTGGGCCATGGCTGTCCAGCTCTGCTCAGACCCACGCGTGGGGAGGGCAGCCCTGGGCCGGCCCGCGCCCAGCCCTAAGTCGCCTGTGCCCCTGTAGAGGGAAGTCTTGCCGGACCATCACCTTTGAGCAGTTCCAGGAGGCGCTGGAGGAGCTCGCCAAGAAGCGATTCAAAGACAAGAGCAGCGAGGAGGCCGTTCGCGAGGTGCACAGGCTCATCGAGGGCAAGGCGCCCATCATCTCAGGGGTGACGGTGAGCAGGGCGGGGATGGAAGGCGGGGCCTGGAGGGGGTGGGGGCGGGGCCTGGAAGGTGGGTGGTGCCTGGGGGAGGGGTGGTCAGGAGGGACATGGATTGGGGGCGTGACCTGGGGGGGGTCCTGGGAGGCGTGGTCAGGAGGGCGTGGCCTGGTGTGGGGTCTGAGGAGGTGTGGTCAGAAGGGGCATGAATGGGGCATAGCCTGGAGGGTGAGGCCTGGGGAGGCGTGGTCAGGAAGGGCATGGACTGGGAGTTGGCCTGGGAGGGGGTGGGTGGGTCCTGGGAGGCATGGCCAGGTCGGCGTGGCCTGGGGGGGTCCTGGGGAGGCTTGGTCTGAAGGGGCATGGATTGGGGGGGCATAGCCTGGAGGGTGGGGCCTGGCTGTTCTGACAGCCCCTTCCCTCTGAGGGTGCAGGTGGTGGGGTCCCCAACTACATAAACACCAGGTGGACCTGGGCAATTGTTAGGGTTGTGGCACCCCGCAGGCCCAAGGCTGCCCCAGGGTCAGGAGAGGTAAAAATAAGAATTAAAAGGGGCATAAATCCCAGGGTTTATGCCCCTTGCCCAGTGCCCCACCGCTGGGAGACCTGCCCAGGGCACAGCCATTTCACTTGCTGGCCTCACCTGGCTCGCAACTCACCTGCCCCCTTCCTCCTGCTCCTCTTGCAGAAAGCCATCTCGTCGCCCACAGTGTCGAGGCTCACGGACACCACCAAGTTCACGGGCTCCCACAAGGAGCGCTTCGACCCCTCTGGCAAGGGCAAGGGCAAGGCTGGCCGCGTGGATCTGGTGGACGAGTCAGGCTATGTGTCCGGCTACAAGCACGCAGGCACCTACGACCAGAAGGTGCAAGGGGGCAAGTAGCCCCCGCTCCATGCCTCGCGGCACTGCCGGTGTCCCCAGAGCAGGGACTCTGTCACCTCGCACTTCATTACATTCCTGTACTAACTGGGGCAGAACTCAGACGGGTGCCCCAGAGGGGGCTGGGGGGCGGCCAGGCCCAGGCCTCCCTCCTGCCCCTCCTCCTACCGGATGCCCCCAGCACTCCCCTCTCAAACCAGGTTTGGGCCCCAGTTCGCTGACCCTCCTAATACACCTGCCTCGTCCTCAGCCATTTCCAAAGTGTCTCGCGGATCACACCACACTGGGCACGTGGTTTGCAGGTCAAAGGGGCGTTTTAAAGCAGCTGGCTGTCATGGCAACAGGAGGCTGTGCTGACCTCCTGAGCGGCAGACACCTTCCAGGAGCCCTGAGGGTGGCAGGAGCTAACCCCAACCAGCAGGCAACTAACACGGAATTGGCCCCACACCGGACGTGGGAGGTGTCTGTGGGGCCCGAGGCCTGTCCTGTGTGCAGCGGACACCACGGGGCCTTCCTGCTTTCCTGGGCAGAGGGCAGAGTGAGGCCACCTGGCGGGGGTGCTGGGCGCCTGGCACATGTGTGGGGAAGCCGGTCACATGGACACACCTGTGCACACATGCCTACAGGCCAGCTCTGTGCCAAGGGCAACCTAGGTAAAACGAAAGCCGTCAGGGGCAGTGGGCGGCTTCCCGGCTGACCACAGTGGCTTGGACTGTGAGGGTAGAGTAGGCTCGCTTTGCTTTCCTGAGAAGATGCGGTGGCTGCCTATGTTCTCAGAGCGGGTCTGGGAAGATTCAGAATGTCCGGTCCCTGTGGTGTTGCCAGGCAAGAGACACGAAGTGCCGAGACACTCCTCGCCTCACCGCGTGACAGAGCCTCTGCCCGGCCCTCCCGTTCGCCCGTCCTCACTAGCTGCACCCTGTTTGCTCGCAGACCTCCCATTGCCACAGCCCAAGCACCTTCTTCAACTCTCCCAAAATGGCTCAGCCTAACCTCTCCTGGCCAATCCCCCCCGCCGGAGAGCAGGACACTAGGGAGGACCCCCAGTCCTGCAGTGTCTGTGGGGGTTTCTCTGCCAGCAGGGGGCTGAGCAGAGCCCATCCAGGACACTCCACACTGCCAGGACACACCCAGGCGGCCCGCCCTTGCCTGTCTGCACCTGGGGAGAAGCCGGCGCTCCTGCTCCCTCCTGGGGAGGCTGACGGGTGTGGCCACCCGCTGTCACAATGGCACACTGCCACTGTCCCTTGGCACGCACACAGCCACAGCCACACGTGTGACCTGCTGGGCCGTGGTTCTGGAGTCTACCTGCGGATGAGCCTGCGGCAGTCCTGGGGAAACTTTTCCAGAGCCTGTTAGCCCGTGGCTACGGTCAGGCTCTGGCCAGGGCAGAGGGCTGCCCAGGGCCAGGCTCACAGTACAGGAGGGTGGCGAGGCCCCTCCCTCACTGGCACGCATGAGCACCACCCGCCTCCCCGACTCCCAAGAGTGCACCTGCTGCGGCCACAGCTCCGTGGAAGGACTCCCCCTACCTGAGCAGAGCAGAAGCCCCAGGGCGGAGCTCCCAGCCAGCATGGTCCGCTGAGGGCTGGGGGGCGGTCTCCGAGGCCCCTCAACAGAGAAGCCTCCACCTGAGGATGGGGAGGACCTGGCAGGCAGCTTCCACGGCAGGGCTGGGAAGTTCAGTGCCTGGAAATAAAGAGCAAGGAAAAATGGACCTCAGGCTTCGTGGCTCCTTTAGGATGTCACCTCACCGGCCTGGGGAAGGCGGGGGGTGCCCAAGCCCAGCCCTGTGCCCCCGCTGAACCTGGCTGGACCGCGTGTGAAAGGCAGAACTAACGTGCGGAAACATTTGAAAACAACTCTGAATGTGCGGTTCGGAATCACCCGATCACAGACGAGCGGTCACCGGAATCGCCCGGTCACAGACGAGCAGTCATCGGACTCACCCGATCACAGACGAGCGGTCACCGGAATCGCCCGATCACAGACGAGCGGCCACCGGAATCGCCCAATCACAGACAAGCAGTCATCGGAATCACCCGATCACAGACGAGCAGTCATCGGACTCACCCGATCACAGACGAGCGGTCACCAGACTCGCCCGATCACAGACGAGCAGTCATCGGAATCACCCGATCACAGACGAGCAGTCATCGGACTCACCCGATCACAGACGAGCGGTCACCAGAATCGCCCGATCACAGACGAGCAGTCATCGGAATCACCCGATCACAGACGAGTGGCCACCGGAATCACCCGATAACAGCCCATCACAACTCCAAAGCCCTTGTGTTGAAAAGGCCGAGGACGAGTGGTCACCAAACAGGGTGGCTCCCCAGGTCCCGAAGCCTGAGACCCGGAAGGCCCTGGCACCCTTACACCCTCGGACTCCTGCCCTCCTCGGCCTCCCTGGCCCCAGCGCGGCTCCACCCTGGGCTGCGTCTCCTGGTCACAGGCTGCGTTTCTCCTTTCTGTCCGTGGGCAGCCCAGTCCCCACAGTCACGGCCAAGCCACGCAGAACGAACATGACTCCAGAGGACCTCGCCCTGGAGCTGAGCCTGGCGCCGGGTCAGGACGGAGGGAAGGGCGGGTTGGGGTCCGCGGGTCCTCACACCGCACGGCAGGCACAGAGGCTCGCCAGGCCCTGATCCGGTCTGTGGGGACGAGGGACACTGAGGAGAGGTGCTGGGCACCAGGACGCTGCCTCCTGGTCCCTGGTTGGCCTCAGACAAGCACGGCCTCGAGAAAAGAGCCAAGCGCATCGGGAGCACACCAGAAACCGGCCCTGAGCACGAGAAGAGCCTCCGCCCGGCCCGGGCACCACCCGACCTCGCAGGGAGCAGGCCCTGTCACCGACGGGTCACCTCGCCCACACGGCCAGCACCGACTCACCACAGCCCTTCCCAGACCTGGCTGGAGTGGCCGGAGCGGCGGGGCTCATGGCTCCCATCTTGGCCCCTGGAGGTGAGCTCATTCACAGAAGTGGTCCCTTCACTCTGAGAGAGAAAATCGTGGCGTGCATCCCAAACCCTAGGCCACGCCTGTGGGTTTCGTGAATGAGATCGAGGCTGCTGTGGCACCCTGCCCGTCCTGGCCTGGAGCACCCTGGGATCCTGGAGGGAGAGGCCCCACGCCCCCACTCTCCCTCCACACTTCCAGGGTTGGTGCCCACGAGTTAGAGGCACGCCCTCCCCCAGCGGCCCTCAGGCTTTTCTCAGACATGCGGGAGCCAGGAGAGCACCCTTCTCCACTCAGCTCCAAAGCGAATCTTTGAAAACACCCACTCGGCTCCCATCTCTGTCACCTAGCCAGGAGGGGTAGCAAAAATAAAGTCACGAGGACATAGTGGTCACCACTGTCAGTTACAACTTGTCTGTGGAATCCGTAATTGCATCTGTGTGCCGCCTCCGAACACAGAACATTGTTTGGACGGCAGCCCCACTGCACATAACAGACCCGTGCATCTTCCTCAGTCAGTTTCTGAATATTGTGAATTCAGGCAGGTGTGTGTTCTCTTCTGCATGTTTTTATGCACTGCCAATTAGCTTCTACTAACCACGGTTCAACAGAAAATAAATGTGTATTTGTGAATAACAAACTGCACAACCTGCAAACCAGGAGAGAGGGACAGGTTCTGTCAGGGGTGACACCAGGACACAGGGACAGGTTCTGTCGGGGGTGACACCAGGACACAGGGACAGGTTCTGTCATGGGTGACACGAGGACACAGGGACAGGTTCTATCATGGGTGACACCAGGAGAGAGGGACAGGTTCTGTTGGGGGTGACAAGAGGAGACAGGGACAGGTTCTGTCGGGGGTGACACCAGGAGAGAGGGACAGGTTCTGTCAGGGGTGACACCAGGAGAGAGGGACAGGTTCTGTTGGGGGTGACACCAGGACACAGGAATAGGTTCTGTCGGGAGGACAGTGCTGATCGTGTCTCAGCATCAGGAAAGGAGAAAGGCAGAGGGAGAGCGCTGAGAAGACTGTTCACGCCAGAGTGCTTATTTATTTTTAATTTACTGCTATAGGATAAGCAACCAGGTAGTGTTCCTAACAATTAGCGTTACCAAAATTAAAGTTCAAATTATATGTTTAAAATATTGTAGAAGATATATATTTATACTGGACTACTTTTACACCTTCTAATATCCTGTCCAAGTTTGGGCGCAGATGGTGGAGTTGGGCTGGCATCATGTCCTGTGGCCGCCCCACTTGCCTGTTGGTGCCACTCCATCCCGGGCCCCAGGGATGCCAGCTCAGGGCTGACCACAGCAGCCCTGCGTGGGCATCACCTCCTACCCCAGCCCCCATCCTGGGCTGCTGCGGCCGCCTGCTTTTGTGAATGGTGTTTTGTTGGCACAGGGCCTGTCCTGTGTTTTCACACAGGCCTGTGGCTCCTGCTGTACAAGTGGAGTGGGGAGGAGTTGAGATGGAGATGCCTTGGCCCTGGACACTTACCTGTCCCTCTACTGGCCCAGCTCATCTCCTCCTGTGGGCAATCACGCGTGCACTGGCCACCCTCCCACCCCACAGCACACACCACGAGGGGATGGCACAGGGGGAAGATGAGGCTGGACCGTGATGTTATCAATAGGCTAGAACGTCCTTCAAACACTGAACCTGCATCTTTCCTCCTCTTACTACTGAACACTTTGTGAGCTCTGGTGGTCCAGGGTGCAGCGTTTGTCCCTGGGCATGTGATGGGGAGTCCTGGGCACATCGAGATGCTTTACTTCTTTCTTTCGACCTCTTAAAAAACTAAACCAAGCCAAACCACAAAGGAAATCTGCACAACTTAAGAGAAACTTGAAAGGGATCGTGTAACTACTAGTTTGTACTAAGTTTTTTTCAAGAAAGGGAAACAAATTTATATATATATATATATATATATATGTGCAATATATTTTTACACTGTGTGATTAACATTAGGGAGTACTGAGTGCATCACTTTATCAGTGTGACGGGTGATGTCCACGTCATGGCTGTTCTGACTCTGAAAGCCACTTCTGCTGATGTCTAAACCGCACTCACCGCGGACGTCCGCGGGGTGGGGTGGCCCTGCTGTTCCTCCTGCAGGTGAGAGGTGTGGTGTTGCCTGTTGGACTTGCTGTTGAGCCTGGCTTGCAAACCTGTAGTGAAACAGCTCGTGTCTGTGTGCACACTGCTCCTGTGTCTGCTGTCGTTAACATTGTGTGTCAAGTTGGTAAAGTGACAAATAAAGGTGTTAAAACATGGATTTCTCTGTTCCTCAGAGCACACGTGTCTGTAACAGGTGATAACAGGGGATAGGTACTGGAGGGGCCCCAGGTGGGGAGTGTGCTGAGTGCCTCCACTGGGCTGAAGCTCACAGGGCCAAGGCCCTTGTGTCGCCTTTTCCCGAGGGAGTCTCTCGCTTCCTCATCTAGACAGGAGGACCGTGAAGGAGGAGCAGGCGGACCAGCCATCTGTCAGGTGTGAGTCCTGCTCTAGCACTGGTGTAGCCCTGGGTGGGGTCTAGATTCAAGGGGAATGGACATGAACACTGTGAACACCACCAGAGCCCCCAAAACAGGACAATGTCATCACAGGCTGCTATAAAAAAAATGCCAACCTGAGATACTAGCCCAGCGAAACAGTTTTCCAAAATGAGGATACAATAAAGGCATTTTTGGACAATGAAAAGAGAATTTGCCACCAGCAGACATTTAAAGAAATTCTAAATGCAGAAAGCAAAGGTGATCTCAAATGGCATGTCTGGTTTGTGAAGAAAGTGGAGCAAAGAGAATAAATAGGTCAATAACTCCAAATTAACAGTGGCTATATCAATACTTTGTGAGATTAAAATGTTTCATAAAAATACTTGGGAACCCCCACAGGTGAGCAGAACAGGAGCATGGAGAGGGACGCGCGCCTCGCGCTCCAGGAACCAACCCCAGAGGTGGGTGAGAGCATGGACTAAACGCACACATGCCATAAGCATGGGACAGAAGCAGAGTACAGTCTCCAAACGAGCAGAGGGACATGCGGGATGACAGGAGATCATCCAAAAGTGGCAAAAGTGAAGAGGGAAAAAACCATGAATAGAACAAACAGCACAAAATGAGATGGCAGATTTAAACTAATGAGATGGTGGATCAATCAGCTTCGCTGAGGCCGGGCGCGGTGGCTCACACCTGTAGTCCCAGCACTTTGGGAGGCCGAGGCGGGCAGATCACAAGGTCAGGAGATTGAGACCATCCTGGCTAACACAGTGAAACCCTGTCTCTGCTAAAAATACAAAAAATTAGCCAGGCGTGGTGGCGGGCGCCTGTAGTCCCAGCTACTCGGGAGGCTGAGGCAGGAGAATGGCGTGAACCCGGGAGGCGGAGCTTGCAGTGAGCCGAGATCACGCCACTGCACTCCAGCCTGGGCAATAGAGCGAGACTCCATCTCAAAAAAAAAAAAAAAAAAAAAAAAAAAAAAAAAAAAAAAAATCAGCTTTGCTGATAAAACAAGAGAAAGAAACACAGAACAGGGAAATTGATAAAATAATATTTTAACCCATATTTATTTGTAATTTCAGCATGGCTAATGATAGATCAGATCAGAAATTGAAAAGAAAATGGAGGCAAAGGGTGTTTCTTTGAAAGGACTGAAGAGAAAGTTCAAATAACGAATATGAAGAATGGCCAAGAATGGGCTGAGTCCCCGGGAGGCAGATGCTGAGGTGGCCTTTGTATCACAAGAGGCTCACTGGTGAGGAATGCCCCTGAACAGCAGCAAGGGGAGGAGGCCGGGAGGCCTCAGGGAGGCTCTGGAGATGACCTGCTAGGGAGCTCCCTGTGGTTCGCATTAGGCCCAGGCCCTGCCTGCTTGGACACTGGCTGCAGCTGCCTGGATGAGTGTGTCCTCAGCTCCAGAGCCCAGGCACAGCCTGACAGCATGGTGGCTGGAGATGGTCTCTACCCCTGTACTCCCTGCCCCTGGATGGCAAGGTCTCGCTTGAAGGGACACAACTGTCCCTACATCTCTGCCACAGGGACACACACAACTTCAAATGTTGAAGCCATTCAAATTATGTGTGTTATACCCCCCAAAATGGAAAATTAAGACAATATGGACCAATTCTTAGAGACACATAACTTACAAAAACTAACTCGAAAAGAAATGGAAAGCCTGCTCAGCCCTGTGACTTAGGGGAAGTCACTGCCAGCTACAAAAGAAAACCCCTAACACTTCAGTGGCTGGACACACAAAATGTATTACTCACACAACGTCCAACTTCAGGAATAACAAGAGATCTCTTCTAACAGAAGACAAACAGACTTCCTAATCCTGTGATGCAGCTGCCCAGGTCACTGGCAGGGAAGCTATCACAGTGACGCACCAGCTCCCGCTGCTCTGGCCCTGAAATGACTCACCTCAGTCCCACACACAGGCTGTTGCTCAGTAGTCACACGGCCCCAGCCCAACTCAGGGATATGCAGCGTAAAGGCAGGGGGGACATAAGGATGGTCTGTGTGAACGGTTCTGCCACATCCTGGAACACTGAGTTATACTGGATCAGTAGTCAAACCTCCTGACAAAGAAAGTTCCAGGCACAAGTGACTTCACCAGCAAGTTCCATCAAACATCCATGGAAGAAATAATTATAATCTTAAGTAAATTCTCCTAGAGAATGGAGAAAGAATACACAACCTAGCTCATTTTACGGTGGTGTAAAGATGCGAATCCTTTCAAGAACAGCATTACAAAGGAAAATCGTAAGTGGCTGTCACCCGTGAAGAGAGATACTAACCACTGTACTAGAGCACGCAGCTACCCAGTGCTCAGGACGCACCAGATGCTGCCCGAGAGTCTTATTCATACTAACTCATTTCACCTTCACAACAATCCTGTGAGGAAGCCACTATTTCCCCATTGTACAGACGAGGAAATCAGGGCCCAAACACAGGTGCTAGGTAGTATAGCTGGGCCACAAAATGCTAAACAAAATATTAACAAACCAAATATAACAATATGTATGTAAAAGAAAATCCATAATTATTAAGTTGGACTTATCTCAGAAATTCAAGGTTTATTTTTAACAAAAGCAAATTATGGTCGTTAAACACATCAATATATTAAATGATAAAAATCATGGTCATCTCCATCACTGCAGAAAAAGTGATAAAAGTCATCCATTCTTGAGGCGAATTATTGATAGAAGAAGCTTTAAAACAAGCAAAAAAAATCCATTACAAGTGAGTGGATAAATGGTGAGAATTTATCACCCCTTTGAATATCAGGAAGAAGACAACGATGCCCACTCTGTTACCACCTCTAATCAGCACTGCACTAGGGGTTCCGACCAGTGTAGAAAAGCAAAAAACAAAACAAAAATAAAAACATAAAGTAAAAATCCAGAACAACAGGAATGGGAAAGAAAACCCATTACTCATAGAAAACATGACTGTGTGCCTAAAAATGAGGAAACAGCTACAGGCAAATGATTAAAATTACTAGACTGCCGGATACAAATTAATACACAAAAATGAATTTCCATGAAATGGCAACACATAATTAGGAAAATGAAATCCAAGCACATTTTTAAAAACAGCATCGCAAAATAACAAGGACCTAGGATTAAATGTAACAAAAGACATACAAGACCACTGTGAAAAGTATCAGGCTGTATGAACACCCGCTGAAGGAGCCCTAACATTTGGAGAGACAGATACCATGTTCAGAGCTTGTAAAACCCAGTACTGCAAGTACGTCAATGATTCCCAAGTTGATCTACAGGTTCAACACAATCCCAAACAAAATCCCAACTCGACCGGCTAGTTCTAAAATGTATGAAACACAAAGGGTCAAAAACAGCCAAGACATCCTAACATAAGATGGAGGTACGCGCCCCAGAGTGTGTGGTATTGGCAGAGACAGACAAGGAGATGCAGAAACGGACACAGAGATCATCCTGACAAAGGAATCTTCAGCAGCCGGGACTGGGAAAACTGGGCTTATGTCTGCAACACAATGAAACTGGATCCTTAAGCTTCACAACAGGCGCAAAAATCAATTCTGGGTAGAATCTATATCTAAAATCCAAAATATACAAAACTATAAAATCCTTTGGAAGGTAACAGAGTATCTTTATGATCAAGGCAAAGTAAAGATTATTAAAAATTAGGATCCAAAATGCTTTAATCATAAAAGAAAATATTGATACATTGGGCCATATTAAAGTTTAAAATTTCTCTTAAAAGACACCATTGAAGTAAAAAGACAAGAAAAGCTATTTGCAAATGTAATTCACAAAGCACTACTACCCAGAATCATAAATAACACCTGCAAATAAATGAGACAGACCATCCAATAGAAAAGTAGGGAAAATACTTGAATAGGTACTTTACAAACAGGAAATCCCAATGAGCCGCAGACACATGAGAAGGTGCTGAACAAGGAGAAGCCAATGAAACCAGAAAGAGGTCTACCCCACACGTTCCACCACCCCGCGCCCTCCGCCACCCCGCGCCCTCCACCACCCCACTCCCTCCACTACCCCACACCCACCGGAGTGAAGGTGCTAACACTTCAGGCAATGGGTGCTGAAAACATGGACCGGCAGACGTGGTCATACACAACTAGCAGTCGGGCCTGCGGGTACCACCACTTTGGAACAGTTGGGAATTTCTAGTAAACCTGTTAAAAACATGGTTAAGCAGTTAATGGAAACGTGAACATAATGGGATATAAAACTAATGAAAAAAATCAAATGGAGTTTTTTTGTTTTTTTTTTGAGACGGAGTCTTGCTCTGTCGTCTAGGCTGGAGTGCAGTGCTGCAATCTTGGCTCACTGCAACCTCCGCCTCCCAGGTTCAAACGATTCTCCTGCCTCAGCCCCCCAAGAAGCTGGGACTACAGGTGCCCACCACCATGCCCAGCTAATTTTCATTTTTAGCAGAGATGGAGTTTCGCCATGTTGGCCAGGCTGGTCTCAAACTCCTGGCCTCAAGTGATCCTCCTGCCTCAGCCTCCCAAAGTGCTGGGATTACGGTGTGAGCCACCCCGCCTAGCCTCAAATGGAATTTTAGAACAAAAATATACCTAATTTCTGATATAAAAAATTCACTATACAAGCTTAACATCAAATTAGGCAAGTGGAAGAAAAGATTAGTAAGCCTCGCAACAGGACAATAAAACCACCTAAAGGAAAGGATGAGAGAACAAGGATGAAAAAGCATCACGTTTAGTGACCTGAGAGACAGTATCACAGTCTAACAGAAAGCTAACTAGAGTCCCAGATGGGGACAGGGAGGAAGAAGTGAGAGACGGGGTCAGACAAGAAATATGAGTAGTGGCTGCAACTTTGCCAAATCTGGTGAAAAATATGAACTCACAGGTCCAAGAAGCTCAATGAAACCCAAACGAGGTAAGCATCTATAAGCTTAAAGTGGATTAATATTAACATCTTCTAATACTCTTACATACATAAATTACGTGATGACAAATTAACCCCATCCCAACCCTACAGAAAATAAATTTGGTATGACACATTTTCCTGTTAGGACCACAACTGGACAGAGAGGTGACACAAGAGGGCAGCCTGAAGCCTAGCAAGTCCTCTTCGGGGAAGAGACAGCAGAGTCCCACCTCTGATTTCCCCAGGGATACAATCCACACGCACACACACACACACACAGAAGCACACACACACACAGCTAGCAGACACACACAGCTAGCACACAAGCACACACATAGCAAGTGCACATACACAACGCGTGCACACACAGCACACACACAGGGTGCGTGCGCGCACACACAGCGCACACACAAGCGTACACACAGCTAGCACACAGCAACTGCACACACACACAGCAAGCGCACAAGCACACACACACAGCAAGCATGCACACACAGCTAGCACACACACAGCAAGCGCACACACAGCTAGCATGCACACACAGCTAGTACACAGAGCAAGTGCACGCGCACAGAGCACACACAGCAAGCGCACACAGCTAGCACACACAGCACACACACACAGCTAGCACACACACAGCTAGCACACACACACTAGGCGCACACACAGCACACACACACAGCTAGCACACACACACAGCAAGCGCACACTAGCGCACACACAGCACACACACACAGCAAGGGCACACACACACACAGCAAGGGCACACACACACACAGAGCTAGCACAGAGCATTTTCTTCTTAGGCCTGCTCATTCTTCCCAAATCAGTTGAACGTCATTTAAAAAATGACCTTGTCTTACCAATCACAGCAAGTATGACATAAGATATGAAGTTTCCAAACTAAAAATCTAGTTTTGTGTCCTATTATGACATAATTTTCAGAACTACACTGCAAACAAGAGAGCGAGCCAGGGCTTGGGTAGATGTTTCCGCTGTGATATGTTAATATCATAAGACAATATTTTTAAGGTTTTTTCCCCCACATCTATAAGTGTCACTTGTGTTAAGTCTTTGAACTTAATTATTCCCACTCACCTATCATGGTGCACAGCTTGTTCTATAAAAAACTCAATGACAAACTCAGTTATAATTTGTATACAGCCACTGAAAAAGTTAACTTTTCAGAACAATGTATTTGTTTATTAAATAAAGATTGCTTGTTACACAGAAAATTATTTTCTTTAATTATCATACATAGCTCTCTTTCACATCAGGCAGTAGAACACTGCATTTACTTCATCTCAGGATACTGGATACAAGATTAATAGTCAGTTTGTCTCAAAATATGTCAATGTGTTCTGTCTGAAAACATGCAGAGGGCTTGGAGTAATCATATCATTTTACGAGGTGCTTTAGAAAACCAAGCTACAGGTCCTGAATACATTCCAAAAATCCTAAATAATTACCAACAGAAGAGAGAACTCTTGCCAGCCAGTACACTCAATAAAGAAGTACAAAGGTGCAGACAATGTAACTTTACCAGGAAGCTTAAGGGGTGGCCCAGCTTCTCGGCAGGAGTCAGCAGGCCTGGCAGCCTCCATGGCTGGCGCTGCTGTGTGGAAACAGGGCCATGGTCTTCTTGAGCTCCTGGTAGCTCCAGTGCATCTGCTCCACCTCGGCTCTGTGCTGCGCCCGCACCTGGCTCAGCTCCTGCAGCAGGTGTTCATTGGTGCTGACCAGGGAGCTGCAGAACAACAGGGAAGCGGCTGCTTGGCACTTCCGTCCTCTCCAGCGGTGTGGCCCTCACCTGCTGGGCCTGCCCACCTCCCTGCATGGGCACGAAGGTGCCCTGGCCCTGCACACAGACCTATCTCTGTGGCCCCATCACCTTCTGTGTCCCACTGGCTACCGCCCACCTGCCTCCTCCTTCCCAACCACTGTCCTGACCCCTGGGAGCAGCCTTGGAGGTGCGGCTCAGCACCTATGGAATGAATGAATGAGCTGAACAGGCTAATGAGTGACTGAATGGCGCCTTGGCTATTCCAGCTACGCATGGTTTTATGAGAAGATGATAAACTTCATGGCTAGCAAAACAATGTTCTAATTCTAGAAAATATACGGGGACTGAAATAGTTCTAATTCCCAGTCAAATATAATAATTTTGACATCATAATAGTGCAATAGAAGAGTCCTAGTCTTTAATGCTGTTGACCATTTTTATTTTAGAAGTAAAGTGCTATTACATTTTACCCACTTTGTCACCTCCAAATTGCCCTAATCACCCAGTCAGCGATGACCTGAGGACACTCAGGGCATTACAAGTATTAGACAAGGCAGGGCCCACTGACCTCGGTCACATTAGCCACAGAGATGGGCACCCCACTGACAGGGCCACTGTGCAGGCCCAGGCCCTGTTCACTTGGACAGCAAAGGAGCCGCAGGCCAGGACTGGATGAAGCCAGCATGAATCCTGGGGGCAGAAGCCCAATGCCACCATGTTTGGGAGCTGTGCACCCTGCCTTGTCCACATCCAGGCCACAGTGCTCAAGGAGAATGACCCCCAACTGTACCTTGACCTGCCACAGACAGGCCCACCAGGTTCCAGGGAGTCACATGGCCCTGCCCACGACTGGGCACTGCACCCGCGGCCGCCACAGTCCCCTTCCTTCTGCTCCGCTGCATCTCCTCTTGGCCCAGTCTCATCTTTCAGGACCCTTCCCCTCTGTAACTTACACCTGTGATGGGCCCCATGGGGGTCTGTGGCCTTTATCCTGTAAGGGGCAGAGCCTGGCTACGCCTATGACCAGACTGTGGTCGAACCCAGGTAAGTGTGGCAGCCTCAGCCTGAGGAGTGGGGGAGGGAGCGGGAATGGGAGGTCGGGGGAAAGGAAGAGGGAATGAAAGGGGGAGGGGAGGGGGAGGAACTGACCACAGACCAGCCTTCCCTGCTGAGGCCACAGCAACAGGGGTTCACACAGCAGCACCCACAAAACTGCCCAGAGCGACCTGTCCTTGCCTCCTCCAGCAGCTCGCCTCTTCCTTTCTGCACCCAGCCTCCAACCACGTCCCGGCACACAATTCTTAAAAGACAAACTAAGATTCTGCCTTGAAGATCCCCTCACACCCAGCCCCCTTCTCACCATCCCCCTATAGCCAGGGAGTAAAGGTGAAATCTCCGTGTTTCCAACTGAACACGCACTGCAGTGAAGGGGGAAGCACAGCTGCCGGACTACCGCCCAGGGGAACCAGGTTGCCCCGCCGTGCCCGACCATCTCTCATGCACCTCTCTCCCCTGGTCACACTGCACACAGGTCATATCTCACAGTCCACAACTCTCAGTCCACACCTCACATTCACAACTCACAGTCCATGCCTCAGTCACACCTCACAGTCACACCTCACAGTCCACGCCTCACAGTCACACCTCACAGTCACACCTCACAGTCACACCTCACAGTCCACGCCTCACAGTCACACCTCACAGTCCACGCCTCAGTCACACCTCACAGTCCACGCCTCACAGTCACACCTCACAGTCCACGCCTCACAGTAACACCTCACAGTCACACCTCACAGTCCACGCCTCAGTCACACCTCACAGTCCACGCCTCACAGTCACACCTCACAGTCCACGCCTCACAGTCCACGCCTCACAGTCACACCTCACAGTCCACACCTCACAGTCACACCTCACAGTCCACGCCTCACAGTCACACCTCACAGTCCACGCCTCACAGTCACACCTCACAGTCCACGCCTCACAGTCCACGCCTCACAGTCCACGCCTCACAGTCACACCTCACAGTCACACCTCACAGTCCACACCTCACAGTCCACGCCTCACAGTCCACGCCTCACAGTCCACGCCTCACAGTCCACGCCTCACAGTCCACGCCTCACAGTCACACCTCACAGTCACACCTCACAGTCCACGCCTCACAGTCACACCTCACAGTCACACCTCACAGTCCACGCCTCACAGTCACCCCTCACAGTCCACGCCTCACAGTCCACGCCTCACAGTCCACGCCTCACAGTCACACCTCACAGTCACACCTCACAGTCCACGCCTCACAGTCACACCTCACAGTCCACGCCTCACAGTCACACCTCAGTCCACGCCTCACAGTCACACCTCACACCCACAGTCACACCTCACAGTCACACCTCACAGTCCACGCCTCACAGTCACACCTCACAGTCCACGCCTCACAGTCACACCTCACAGTCACACCTCACAGTCCACACCTCACAGTCACACCTCACAGTCCACGCCTCACAGTCACACCTCAGTCCACGCCTCACAGTCACACCTCACACCCACAGTCACACCTCACAGTCACACCTCACAGTCCACGCCTCACAGTCACACCTCACAGTCCACGCCTCACAGTCACACCTCACAGTCCACGCCTCACAGTCACACCTCACAGTCACACCTCACAGTCACACCTCACAGTCCACGCCTCACAGTCACACCTCACAGTCCACGCCTCACAGTCCACGCCTCACAGTCACACCTCACAGTCCACGCCTCACAGTCACACCTCAGTCACACCTCAGTCACACCTCACAGTCCACGCCTCACAGTCACACCTCACAGTCCACGCCTCACAGTCACACCTCACAGTCCACACCTCACAGTCACGCCTCACAGTCACACCTCACAGTCACACCTCACAGTCCACGCCTCACAGTCACACCTCACAGTCACACCTCACAGTCCACGCCTCACAGTCCACGCCTCACAGTCACACCTCACAGTCCACGCCTCACAGTCACGCCTCACAGTCACGCCTCACAGTCCACACCTCACAGTCACACCTCAGTCACACCTCACAGTCCCACCTCACAGTCCACACCTCAGTCACGCCTCACAGTCACGCCTCACAGTCACGCCTCACAGTCCACACCTCACAGTCACACCTCACAGTCACACCTCAGTCACACCTCACAGTCCACGCCTCACAGTCACACCTCACAGTCCACGCCTCACAGTCCACGCCTCACGGTCACCCCTCACAGTCCACGCCTCACAGTCCACGCCTCACAGTCCACGCCTCACAGGCACACCTCACAGTCACACCTCACAGTCACACCTCACAGTCCACGCCTCACAGTCCACGCCTCACAGTCACGCCTCAGTCACGCCTCACAGTCCACGCCTCACAGTCACACCTCACAGTCACACCTCACAGTCCACACCTCACAGTCACACCTCACAGTCACACCTCACAGTCCACACCTCACAGTCACACCTCACAGTCACACCTCACAGTCCACACCTCACAGTCACCCCTCACAGTCCACGCCTCACAGTCCACGCCTCACAGGCACACCTCACAGTCACACCTCACAGTCACACCTCACAGTCCACGCCTCACAGTCCACGCCTCACAGTCACGCCTCACAGTCACGCCTCAGTCACGCCTCACAGTCCATGCCTCACAGTCACACCTCACAGTCACACCTCACAGTCCACACCTCACAGTCACACCTCACAGTCACACCTCACAGTCCACACCTCACAGTCACACCTCACAGTCACACCTCACAGTCCACACCTCACAGTCACGCCTCACAGTCACGCCTCACAGTCACGCCTCACATTCACACCTCACAGTCCACACCTCACAGTCACACCTCACAGTCACACCTCACAGTCCACACCTCACAGTCACACCTCACAGTCACACCTCACACTCAGGGTTGATACCTCACAGCCCACACCCCATGGTCACATACCTCACAGTCCCATCTCACAGTCCATGCCTCGTGGTCACACCTCACAGTCACACCTCACAGTCACACCTCACAGTCACCCCTCACAGTCCACGCCTCACAGTCACACCTCACAGTCACACCTCACAGTCACACCTCACAGTCCACACCTCACAGTCACACCTCACAGTCACACCTCACAGTCCACGCCTCACAGTCACACCTCACAGTCACACCTCACAGTCCACACCTCACAGTCCACACCTCACAGTCATGCCTCACAGTCACGCCTCACAGTCACGCCTCACATTCACGCCTCACAGTCACGCCTCACAGTCCACACCTCACAGTCACACCTCACAGTCACACCTCACAGTCCACGCCTCACAGTCCACGCCTCACAGTCCACGCCTCACAGTCACACCTCACAGTCACACCTCACAGTCCACACCTCACAGTCACACCTCACAGTCACACCTCACAGTCACACCTCACAGTCCACACCTCACAGTCACACCTCACAGTCATACCTCACAGTCACACCTCACAGTCACACCTCACACTCAGGGTTGATACCTCACAGCCCACACCCCATGGTCACATACCTCACAGTCCCATCTCACAGTCCATGCCTCGTGGTCACACCTCACAGTCACACCTCACAGTCACACCTCACAGTCCATGCCTCACAGTCATACCTCACAGTCACACCTCACAGTCCACACCTCACAGTCACATCTCACACTCAGGGTTGATACCTCACAGCCCACACCCCATGGTCACATACCTCACAGTCCCATCTCACAGTCCATGCCTCGTGGTCACACCTCATGGTCAGACCTCACATCCACACCTCATGGGTCACACTTCATGATCCACGCCTCACACATGCGACAGACAGCATGAAGGGCCTCCGTTTTCAGAGAGGAAAGTTTATGAAAGTTTCAAATCAGCAGTGGTCCTGGATATCATCGGCCAAGACTCATGAGGAGCTGCTCCTCTGTGCCTTCTGGGTGTGACCCAGTCCGGCCCAACCCTCCCTGTACCTGGGCCTCCTCCCCTCGGGGGCCCACCCAAGTCTCACGGGCAGGCACCTGTGGCTCTCCTGCAGCATCTGCGTGAGCTCCTGGATCTTGTCGTAGTGCTCCAGGTGCTGCTTCAGTTCCACAATCTCGCCACACAGCCTCTTCACACTTGTTTGAAGTCCTGAAAGAGAAAGAAAAAAAAAAGTACCATTAATGAGTAAAACTCATTAATACATTTTGAAAATGAAAACAATTCTACATTTAAACTGGATCTTGGTTACCAGAAAAAGAATATAGCTGGAAAAGATCAGTATTAATGAGACTCAAAGACAGGGCGAGCATGAATGCCACGGCCCCTCCCTGTGCTGTTTCTACCCTGGGCCCTCCCCAGGCTGCAGCTGTGTGGTCTGCCCTCCACAGGCCCCCATGGAGCCACATCCCTGTGTGAGGGCAGGGAGAGGCGGCACTGGCTGGCAGTCCCTCCACTGGGCCTGTCTGCTGGTTCCTCCTCCACAAGGAAGCACACTGTGCCCCTGAAGGGAGGGCCTGTGGGTTTCGGGAAAAGCACCAAGCAGCCCACAGTGGCCACAGGTCTCCAAAGTGCCCTCTGACTCTGCAACCATCAGTGATGGAATATGTGGCTGGTTTCCATCTACAAACTCCTGCCTGTTTCTGGATTTCCAGCACAAGAGGAGAAGAGAGATACTATTTAGTGGCTCCCCAAATCCAAACACGGGATACAAATAAACCCACATGTAGACACACTCTTGCAAAACCACACAGTGACAGAGGCAGTGAGAAAGCCAGAGGTGGGGAAGGTGGTGGGCAAAGGGTGATGGTGACACGGATGGCAGGCTCTTCTCACCCACAAGGCAGCAGTGCCGCAGGAGCATCCACAGTGTGAAGGCCACGCCGCGTGAAGTCTATGTCGATGGACATGTTCACGTAGGGCATGAATGAAGGAAGCGCAGGGCGGCACAGCTTCAGGACCTTCCAGTCCCCGTGCTGGCCAAACCAAGAGTCCTCAGACGGCAAAACCAGAACCCCAGGGACAACACTACAGCATCCCAGAGACAAGGAAGCCTTGGGACCCCAAACACAAGAGGCTGGGACAAACCCCCAGAGGCCACAAGTCACACATCATGTCCACCTCTGCGGGAGTGAGGCAGCCGTCAGCAGTGGGTGGCCGTCAGCTCTGAGAACGGGACAGCCCCCAAGTGTCCTTTGCTCCCTTGGGAAACCCAGTGGGCCAATCAGGGAACCACGGCCCTGCCCCTCCCATGAGGGTGAGGCCAGGGGCCCCCATGCAGTCTGCAAAAGCTGAGGCAGCCGTGCAATCCCTCAGAGCTGACCTGCCTGGTCTTCTAGAACAGAGCCTGCACCAAGAGGAACAGCTGGTGTGGGGTCAGGGTCAAGGTCAACCAGGATGACGGCATCAGAGAAGGGTGGAGGAGAGAACAGGGCCTGAGAATCCCCAGAAGGAGGCTGCCCTATCCTTGATCCATGAGGTCAGAAAACCTGCCCTGACCCTGCCTCCTCCCTGAAATCCAGAAGCACAATTTTCATGTAAAAAGCAGCAGAAAGTATTGAAGCCAAATCCCAGTTTCTGTAAGGCAAAGGGTTAGGGCGCAAGAACATCCCTACGAGACAAAAAGGAAATGACAGAAGAAACGAAAAAACAACGTAAGTCATAATTAGAAATGTCAGAAAAGAGGGTTCTGAACTCAGGGAAGAATTAGCAATAAAAGAAAAAATTCACACTGGAAGTGAAGGCTAAGAAGGAGTCTAACAGAAAGTCCAACAAGTCCTCGCTTCGCACTGATGGTTCTGGAAACAGCCACGAAGCAAAGCGACCGCCGTGGAAAGAAGCCGAATTCACCATCCACACAGGCCGCCAATGGGAGCAAGAGTGACGCTCACACAGTGTAACGAAGCCGAATTCACTGTCCACACAGGCCGCCGATGGGAGCAAGAGTGACGCTCCCACAGTGTAAGGAAGCCGAATTCACCATCCACACAGGGCGCCAACGGGAGCAGGAGTGACGCTCACACAGTGTAACGAAGCCGAATTCACCGTCCACACAGGCCGCCGACGGGAGCAGGAGTGACGCTCACACAGCAATTTCTAGTCACAAGAACATCACCAAACCACCAAAGACCAAGACACCTCTAACATTAAACACTAAAATAAATGGGAGCTATGCATACATTTAAGACCGAGTAACAAAGACAAGTTAGACTATTATTTACTCTGTTGTTCCAGTTCAGGGGCAGAGGTGGCTGCAGCCTATCCCAGCAGCTCAGGGCGTGGAGCGGGTACCAGTGCTGATCAGATGCCATCGCACAGCAGGGCGGCTGGTGCCTGCACTCACTCGAGATGGGACAGGTCAGACACAGCAACACCCTGGCGTGCACAGCTTTGGGGCATGGGGGAAAACAGCGCACCCAGAGAAAGCCCACAGAGCCGGGAGAGCAAACCACACACACAGTTCTCCCGGGCAGGGAACTGTTTTTTTTTTTTTTTCTCATCACCTTTACGACGAAATGATGTTGAATGGACACGGTTATTCAAGGACCCGTTGTAAATATAACAGTATCTTAAAGAAACAGAAGATAGAAAAGCAAAATTTATAAATAAAAAAGAAGACTCTAAGGAACTCTTACCGCTCGATAAAACAACCCAATAAAAACCAACGGGCGAAAGATCCAAGGAGACGCTGCCCCAAAGGAGACAGAGCGGCCACAGGCCTCATCCACAGCTGCCTCCCTGCCGCAAAGGCCACCGCTGGTTGGGACAGACATCGTGAGACCCACACGCCCTGAAACGGTTACTACCTGGCCTTTGAGGAAAAGTCCATGAGCCCCTGAGAGGCTAGACCAGGAAGAGATGCTCGACTTGTCAATCTCAGGGAAGTATGAGTTAAAACTTCCAAGAGACTCCACGCCACACCGAGAAGGTTACCGTGGACAGCAGACTCCATCAGCATTTCCTTATTTAAAATCCAGGTATCTGAACTTGAAATACTGAATACACTTTTGTAAAAATAGCAAAACAGAACAAAAAAAGTGAAGAGAGGGAAATGAGAAAGATCTGCATCTTGACCACAGCAGGCCTGCTCGGGAGAGACACGGGTTCACCAGAAATGCAACCTGAATCTGTAACGCTGAGACGCTGGGCAACAGGCTCATTCACCAAATTCGATGGCAGCATAACCATGGGAGGACGCCAGACAGGAGCAGCAAACCCCACAGTGACCAGGCCCCTCCAGCAGCTGCAGCCCTGACACCCTGTGCTGAGGGGAGGACGGTCGGGCAGGGTGAGGACAGGGGTGGCCTTGCCTCCTACATCCATGCCAGGACTGCCCCAGACACACGTGTGTGCCATAAACTCCGGCCGAGGCAGCCTCCACCCCAGCCAGTGAGGCAGGGGCTCGGCTCCCCACTTACCAACTGCGTCTGCTGCTGCTCACTTCCCTCAGTGAAGAATTTAAAACAAAGTCTACCTAGGCACATTTGAACACCTAAAGTTTACAAAGTGACCAAATACACGATCAACTTACCAGCGATCTGCAAATTTAACGTGGCTGCAGTGTCTGCACTCTTCACTTCCTTTTTCATACTCAACAAAAGCGATTTTAACCTACTGTTCTCTTCCAAAGATTTATCTAAATGTTGTCTCAAATCATCCTGCGGACACAGAAAATACACTTAAGTGCACAAGTCAAATTCAGTAAAATGCGTATAGAAAGTAAAACTGAAACCTGAGAATCCCCAGAGGGTTCCTTCTGCATACTTGGGAGTCACGATGTGAAAGGCAGTAATTCAGTTTCACGGTACATCTCCCTGCTCCCAGCCCGCCCTGCCCAGCCCTGCAGCACCCTCAGGGGAGGGGGGAAGTGAGGAGAGGGATGGAAAGGAGCGCCCCAGTCCTGTGAGAGCCCCACTCCTGAGTCTCCCTGAGGCATGTGCTCCAGCAGGACCTGCAGGCCTGATGCTGGGCAGGGCAGCTGGTGGCGGTTGGGGGAACCCTGTCTCTTCCAGGACGCCCTCACGGACACTGCGAGCCCCAGGCCTTGGTGCCAGTGTGAGGCACCGGTGGCCCTGCAGGAACCCCCTTCTGTTCTGGCTCCTTTCATATCCTCAAAGTATGGAGAAGACCTGGAGCACAGGACGAGCTGTCATCGAGGAGGGGAAAGGGCCACGCCTGCAGCTACACGGCAGCCTCTGCCCCTCCCTGGCCCCAGGGTGTCTGGTGAGGTGTGAGCCATCCAAGCCGCCAGCACCTGCGGCCAGGGTCCCCAGGGATCCCGTCTCACCTGGCTGCTGCTCTCTCAGGCACCAGCAGGCACATCCTGGGGCCGGGGGTGCTGAGCAGGCCCCAGCTCACTGCCACCAGGGGAGGGAGCGCCTGAGTCTGTGCAGCAGAAGCCTCGTGCTGGGGGTATCGCCGCTTCATCCTTCTCCGCTCAGTGAGCCCACCCGCCGACAGCCCCCTCAGCATGCATGCACCCGCCAGGCCCCCGACGCCCATGGTGAAAGCTGATCGCTGGGTCTGAGACCATTCCCCTCAGGCTTATCTTGGCCCGTTCTTCATTTCGCGGACTTCTCCCCAAGGTGTCTGCTGCAGTGGCGCCAACCAGCATGACCTGCCCTCCGCGCGGGGCTTTGGGTCGTCCAGAAAGCTCCTGGCAGTGCCACGTCTCATGGTTTTGCCTCCCAAGGATGCGGTGAGCTCTTAAGGCAGGGCTGTGAGCTCCCAGCTCTTTTTCATTTGTTTCTTTGAGGCAAAGTCTCCCTCTGTCGCACAAACTAGAGGGCAGTGGAGCAATCACAGCTCACTGCAGCCCCCAACTCCTGAGCCTCCTGCCTCTACCTCCCAAAATAGCTGGGATGACAGGAGTGTGCCACCACACCTAATTTTTTATTTTTTGGAGTCTAGGCCACGACAGGTGCAGGGAACAGAGGACCGACTGCACCCAAGCTGGGCGCAGCCCATCTGCCTCAGAGGCCGTGCCAGGCACAGCAGCTGGAAGTGGGGCCACCTTGCCTCAGGACACCCGACTGCAGCTTCCAAAGGAAGCAAGGTCTAGGTTCATGTGACCGAGGGATGAGCGTCCTCACGTGGCAGAGTAAACTTGGGTGCTTCTGGAGTGACAGATGTGGGCCTCCCTGGAAAGCAGTGCCCACCAGCCTGCACGGCTGCTCCCTCCGCGGGGTTCCTGACGGTGCTGACTGCTCCTTACCCGCGGGGCTCGGGCTGCCAGATTCTTCTGGATCACTCACCCTGACAGGGAACCAGGGCTGCTCTGTCCAGAGGCCCAGGGCTGCCTGCAAACTGCAGGGGTTAGGCAAACTGCAGAGGGCAAAAAAGCAGGCGTCCACGGCAGCCACAGCTGCATGTGACTCTCACCCCTGGCAGCACTGGTGCTCGGCACACCTTTGGGCTCCGCCTGTCAGCTCTGTCTCGTCCCAGGCTCAGAAGGGCAAGGGGTGTGCCTGACTGTGTCCCACAGAAAAGACATCATCAGTGACGGCGCCCAGCTCACTTTCCAGACAGCCGGTCACGTGTGTTTCAGTATAAAGGCTTCCAGACGGGGGGCCACACGTGTTTAAATATAGAGGCTTCCAGAGAAGGGGCCATGTGTGCTTAAATCCAGAGGCTTCCACCAGATGAGGGGCCATGTGTGTTTAAATACAGAGGCTTCCAGAGGAGGGGCCACGTTGGTTTAAAAGCAGAGGCTTCTGGACGGGGGACCACGTGTGCTTAAATGCAGAGGCTTCTAGATGGGGGACCACGTGTGTTTAAATGCAGAGGCTTCTAGACGGGGGACCACGTGTGTTCAAATGCAGAGGCTTCTGGACGGGGGACCACGTGTGTTTAAATGCACAGGCTTCTGGACGGGGGACCACGTGTGCTTAAATGCAGAGGCTTCTAGACGGGGGACCACGTGTGTTTAAATGCACAGGCTTCTAGACGGGGGACCACGTGTGCTTAAATGCACAGGCTTCTAGACGGGGGACCACGTGTGTTCAAATGCAGAGGCTTCTGGACGGGGGACCACGTGTGTTTAAATGCACAGGCTTCTGGACGGGGGACCACGTGTGTTTAAATGCACAGGCTTCTGGACGGGGGACCACGTGTGCTTAAATGCAGAGGCTTCTGGACCGGGGACCACGTGTGCTTAAATGCACAGGCTTCTAGACGGGGGACCACGTGTGCTTAAATGCACAGGCTTCTGGATGGGGGATGGGGGGCCATGTGTGTTTAAATGCAGAGACTTCTGGACGGGGGATGGGGACCCACGTGTGTTTAAATACAGAGGCTTCCAGATGGAGGAGGCCCACATGTGTTTAAATACAGAGGCTTCCAGATGAAGGCCACGTGCAGAGGCTTCCAGGCGGGGTGGGGGGGCCACGTGCGTTTAAACAGAGGCTGCCTGTGTTGTTTTGCTGTGTTTTTCTTCTCTAAAGAGGAAGCGTTGTGTGGGATCTCTGAGATGTTGGTTCCCATGAAACGGACAGTATGTACTTGTCAGACAAGTTCAGAGGCAGTTTTCGAAGCCGTCCCGGGCCGACTTCACTCGCAATTTAAAGATGCTGACAAGGCCCCTCTGGATGTGCACATCCTCACGTGGCTCTGCCCTCACACCAGGACTCCCGGAGGGCGGCTTCTGCCTGGGTGTGGCTCTCTGACCACCAGCTCCCTGTGCTAAGGATGCCAGCAGCCCGTGGGGAGGCCCTTGCAGCGTGGAGGGAGCCTGGGAGGATCCTGTCCCGTGAGGCCTCAGATGAGACGGTGGCCCCAGCCCACGGCTGAGACAGAGCCCCCATGAGGCCTCAGATGAGACGGCGGCCCCGGCCCACGGCTGAGACGGAAGGAGGGAGCCTGGCTGAGCTGAGCCTGAGGCCCAATACACAGAAATCCAAGGTGATAAATGCAGGTTTTCAGCTGCTGGTTTTGGGGTAACTTGCCCTGTAGCCCCAGCTCACCATGGGACACTGGCCGTCATCTCCTTCATAAAAGGAGAGTGGCCTCGGTTTTCCCCAGTTCGAGGCCCTGAGAGATGGGTCAGCAAGACAAAGTCACGTCCAGGCCTGGCTCCTGCAGCACCCGGCACTGCCCAGTGGTGGAGGGTCCCTTGGGCCCGGGGAGAGAAGGTGGCCAGCGCCACTGCTGTCTCCAAAGTGCTCCAGGCCTGTTGTGAGACAGGGCAGGCCGCGTTCCGGGGGTGGCCGGGTCCCGGGCAGGGAGTGGAGACATGGGGCTGCAGAGATGGCAGTTGGGACAGTGTGGCATCAAGGAGCTGCCCTCGTTCCTGGAAGTCAGAGCCATGTTTCCCCCAGTCACATGGACACAGACACAGCGCCAGGGCGGGCTCACCAGCTCCTTGTGTGTGTGGTGCAGCTCCGCCGTCACCTCGCTCATCTCCCGGGCGTGCTGCTGCTGCTGCTCAGCAAGGCGGCTTTGCAGGGACTTACTCTCCAGAGCCAGGGAGCCGACATCTTCACCCACCATCGCAGAGCTGTCCTGAGCTGCTGTGAATTCTTCAACAGATGACAAGATGTGTCTTGCCTGAGCTAGGAGTGAAAACCAAATATTACATTAGCACTTAGGCTTAAAGGATGAAATGTAAACAAAATCGGCTCAGTATGTTTTGAATCACACAGACGATGCCTCAAAAAGACGACAGGTAGGGAGAGGGGAAAGGGGTGTTGGCGCCACAAAACCACCTCAGGCTCTGTGCGTCCACACACGGGCAGGGTGGGAACTGAAGAAAGAGAAGAGGTGACCTCCAAGAAAAGGGGCAACCAGGGGCCGCCACGTCTCAAGGTTTCAGTGGCGCCGCCACAACTCGCTGCGCCTTCCACAAGCACCGACTGCCCTGTGTGGAAACCACCATGCAGACGACAGCTGGCAACTCCACACTGGGACAGTGGCCTGGGCCTGGGACAGTCCCCCCGCCACCGACGATGGCAAGCTCAGGAGGCTCCCACAGGACACCAGCCTAGGGAGAGGGGAGGTTTATGGGGCTGGGGTCCAGGTGGGCTGCGACTGCAGGGCGTCCTCATTCTAGGAGCTGAGGGGCTATAACACTGCAAGGCGCAGTCAGACAGCTCAGAGCCGTGCCCAGGGTCTGCGGGGAGAAGCACACTGGCTAGGCTCCTGAGGGACACACACAGCCACACCCCAGGATGCAGGACAAAGAGAAGGTGCCCCTGGGGACGCGGCATCTCCTGGTCTCCCAGTGTGATCCTGGATGAGGGAGGCCCCAGTGTGCTCATGTACGGGTTGCCTGGTAGAATCCAACAGACCCAAGTCCTCTCTGGGGAGGGACCACCCTCCTGGGTCCCACACCAACCAAAAGCTCTGCAATCCAGGCCCAGCACAGGCTACACGTCTGGGTCGGGGGAGAAGATGCTGAGCAGCTTCCAAACTCCAAATCCCCATGTGATCACAGCCATCAGAACCAAGCCCCTTTGGACAGCATTTTGAGCAAAATGAGGTGACAGGCCCCCCAACACCCCAGAGCACAGCGGGGGACCCACAGGCCCAGGCCCATGTGGTGTCTCCCGAGAGCCCTGGACACTGTGAGATGCAAAGACTGCCAGGGAGGGCCCAGGCGCGGGACCACCACACGCTCGTGGGAGGGGACATAGGAGACCTGGGGCTGAGATGACTCCTAGGTCACCACACGCAGAGGACCCCGGAACCCACACAGACGCTGCCTACAGGGCAAGAGCAGTGGCCGCCCTGACTCACCAAGGAATGCCTCGTTGCTGTGCAGGGACCTGCAGCCGCCCCAGCTCCTGTCCACCAGGTCCAAGAGCGTCTCCAGGAGCGCCGCCTGCAGGGCCGTCTTCTTCCCGGGTAGAGCCGAGTGTGACCCGGGAGACGGCTGTGATGGAAACAACAGCATGAGGCCAGCGAGTCAGTAACTGAGGTCCTGAATGCCAGCAGGTGCCCAAGCGCACCCTGGGATGCCCTCGCACCACGAAGGGGAGGACAGGTGCCCTGAGGCCCCAGCCCTGAGCCAGGTGGAGGGCGGCTCAGCAGTGCCTGCCCAGTGAGGCTTAGCCAGGTGCACCGGTCCTGGATGAGTGAGGTCTCGATGACAGGACAGGACGGGGCCCACACATTCCCAACTCAAGCAGGCCCCAGACTCCTCCCCTCAACCCAGACAGGGAAGCGGAAGACACATCCAGGCCGCAGTCAGAGCCTGTGTTCAAAAGGAGCTGCCCAGGAAGCAGCCTGCACCCACAGTCAGGCTGGTAGAGGGTGCCAGGCGCTGTCCCCAGCAATGGCCCGGAGTCAAACAATAACCCTGAAACAGACCGCCCACCTCCCCCATCTCTGCCTCCTTCCAGCTCAGGACCTGCCGGGGACGTCAAACACGCCCCACCCAGCTCTGGGACCCCCCCCCACCCCATGCTGCTACGGAGCTGCCTCTAGCTCCGGCCATGCCTCCCTTCCTGTCCCACAGTTCCGCACCTTCAAGCTCCTCTGCCTGCATGGGAGTCTGAAGCCCTCGTTGTGGCAAGTACCAAGTGAACAGCCCCTGCCTGTTCCCTTCTGGGTGGTCTGCACTCATGTCTACAGCAGGTGTGTCTCAACGCCTCTGACTGGGCCTGCGCCAGTTGTCCCCCTGACCTCTAGGTCACCCTGAGGGTGGAGTGACTCGGTCTCTCATCACAGCGACCTCCAGGATCCTCCCCTCACGAAAGGGTCATCAATGGCTCAGCCGGCCAAGATGCCCGATTCCAGCTTTGGAGACAAATGCCCTGTGCACCGTAAGGCAGAGTCCCCTCTCTCCACCACGGGGCTTCCACTCAGAACAGCAGCGCAGGACAGCGTGTGGCACAGAGGCACACGTCCAACAAAACGCAGCAGCAAGCACCCTGGAACCCTAAGTGTGATGATTCCCTTTATCCTGGGACACGGTCAGTGCCGTAGGCGTAATCACGGCACCGCCAAAGCCGTAACAGCCCCGCATCAGGGAGGGACACGGTCAGTGCCGTAGGCGTAATCACGGCACCGCCGTAACAGCCCTGCATCAGGGAGGGACACAGTCAGTGCCGCAGGCGTAATCACGGCCCCGCCAAAGCCGTAACAGCCCCACATTAGGGAGGCAGTGCCGTGGGCCTGCTGCTCCCCAGCCCTTCTCTCACCTCTCTGGTGTCGGTCACACCCCGAGACCTCTGCTCCTCAGTCTCCGAGGCCTCAGGCTGAGACAAGGTCCTCCCGTTCCTGCTTTCTGAGCTGTCCTGTCTGCTCAGGCTCTCCTTGGGCACGGAGGACCCATGAGTTCTCTCCGGGCAGCCCAAACCCTCCTGGTCCGAAAACGTCTGGAATCTTCCAACAGGCATTCTTCGCTTCCTGCACTTTCCGGGGGCTGGCAGGGGACCAGGCACCATTTCTCCTGACAAATCCAACTTCTGAGAAGAGGCCGAGTCCTCGGTATCCATGGAGTCTGAGATATAGAGAGGATGGGGCGCACGTCAGGCCAAATTCTCTGGGTGCAGTGTTCAGCACTGTAACTTTTAAAAGGCATGTGTGTGCCCATGTATATACACACATGGACACACACGCACACTTACATATGTACACGCACACCTATCCACGTGCATACATACATCCATACACCTGCACAAAGGCACATGCAGAGGGAGGGTGCCGAGGGAAGAAAGGGGCATACTGGGGCACACGTGCTAACACGCAAACTCTGGGGGAGTCTGGATGAAGCAGACACGGACCGCCCAGCTTCGCGTGTTCACCCCGTGATGACCGACGTGCAGTACGCTTCAACAACGCGTTCCAAACAACGTCTAAGCACACGCCCATCTCTGAAGACAGGTGAAGTGACAGACTCTGATGGTCCGTAAAGTGGTGGGTCCCGTGCACTGTACCGACCACTAAGCCCCCAGGACACACAAGACCCGGGGGAAGGCAAACTTGTCTGTGGAAGGACAATGAAGGCAGGAGAAGGCACAAAACGGGCACAGCCTTGGCCTCCACCACAGCCTGCTCAACTCAAGATGACCCATCACATCCTGCAGCGGCTGACAGACAACCTGGCTAGGTCCCCTGCCTCTCACCAGTTGGGCATGAGCAAGCTTCCAGGAGGCGCCAGGGTCACGCGAGACAAGGTTTCTCTTTTTCTTTTTTTTTTTTTTTTTTGAGTTGGAGTCTTGCTCTATTGCCCAGGCTGGAGTGTAGTGATGCCATCTAGGCTCATTGCAACCTCCACCTCCCAGGTTCAAGCGATTCTCATGCCTCAGCCTCCTGAGTAGCTGGGACTATAGGTGCCCGCCACCATGCCCAGATATTTTTGTATATTTAGTAGAGACCTGGTTTCACCATGTTGGCCAGGCTGGTCTTAAACTCCTGACCTCAAATGATCCGCCTGCCTCGGCCTCCCAAAATATTGGGATTATAGGCGTGAGCCACCGTGTCTGGCCTGCTCACGGCAGGAGGTTTTCTGATACTTATGCCACATAGGTGGCCATCACATGGTATCACGTGACACTCTTGGTTAACTTTTCTCGCCTTTGATTTTCAAAATGTAGCTATTGCCATAACCTGGGCCCATACACTTAAAAGTGTGTGTGCATTAGTGAGAGGGTGAGGGAGGGTGTGCACACACACACGTGCAGAGAAAAAGCACTTATTTACCAACCATGAATCTAAACCATGAATGGATTATAAATTTCAATGTGCTGCATTCTTTCCAAAGACATTTTGGAGAGTTCCACAAACAAATAAATACACAGAGAACAGGAGAAATTTCATAGTAAAAGCAAACGATGTGAAAAATATTTAACTACTTAAAAAGGAACTGAAGGGAGTAAAAGTTGACAGGGATTTCATGTTGCTGTAGTTCGAAGGAACCCCCCAAAGTTCCTAAGCTGGAAACTTATTGCCACTCTAACAGTATTAAGCGGAGGGCCTTTAAGAGGTGAACAGGTCACAGGGCCAGCCCTCAGGGAGGCAGGAATGCTGTAGCACAGGGCTGGGTTCCTGATAAAGGATGAGTCTGGAACAGGTCACAGGGCCAACCCTCAGGGAGGCGGGAATGCTGTATCGCAGGGCTGGGTTCCTGATAAAGGATGAGTCTGGAACAGGTCACAGGGCCAGCCCGCAGGGAGGCAGGAATGCTGTAGCGCAGGGCTGGGTTCCCGATAAAGGATGAGTCTAGCTCCATTTCTCTGTCTTGAGCTTGCTTCTGCCTGCACCATGCTTCTGCCTGTGCCATGGGAGGACCAGCACCAGGTGCCGGCACCGTGCTCTTGGACTTCCCAGCCTCCAGAACCATGAGCCACATAAGCTTCTGTTCTTTATAAATTACTCAGTCTGTGGTTTTCTGTTACAGCAACAGAAAACAGACTAAGACACGCGTAAGTACCTGGGTGTGGGGTGAAGTACGTGTGTGGCCTGGGGGCACGGGAGGCCTCTGGCTCCGCTCCGTACAGTGGCGGAAGCTCTCCACAGAGCTGGCTCCAAGGCATCTTCTCCAGACAGCACCCTCTGCAGCTGCTCCTCCTCGTCTCACGGCCCTGCTTCCCAGAGTCCCCACACTGGTACTGTACCAACTGCGGGCTCAACAGATGTCTGGATTCTATTAAAATATTGTAAATAAAATATTTCATAAAACATTGTAAAAGTTTTATTCCATCAAAAATTACATTTTAAGCTTCTGAATAGTGTATGGTATCTGTTAGACCGAGGGGTTAATCACGTGCTGGGTGACACTGAAATGAATCCACAGTGACTTCTAACAGCAAGAGAGCTTGGAACTGGGAACTGGCGCCACTCGCCTGCGAGACTCAGGACAAGGCTGCAAGAATCCAGCCGCATGAAGTGGAGCAAAGTCAGACAAAATGATGCACAAAACAGAAGAGAGAGTCCAGACAGTCTCAATACAAAATTAGCTGGGTGTGGTGGTGGGCGCCTGTAGTCCCAGCTACTTGGGAGGCTGAGGCAGGAGAATCACTTGAACCCGGGAGGCAAAGGCTGCAGCAAGCCAAGATTGCGCCACTGCACTCCAGCCTGGGCGGCAGAGCAAAACTCCATCTCAAAATAAACAAAACAAAAAACAAAATAAACTGTGCCCTTCATAAACTGGACTGTAATGAAATTAAAACTTGTGCTCTTCAAAGCACTGTTCAGATAATGAAAAGGCCAGCCACAGAAGGGAGGAAATGGGCAGCCCTTGTGCCTGAGAAAGGGCCTGTGTCAAAACCACCAAGATCTCTTAGGACTCAATACTAAGAGAAGCAACCCCAGAACAAAGGTGGGCAGACCTGGAGAGAAAAGAAGAGACAGGCACGGCCAGTATCTCAACAGCAGCGGATGCAAATTAAAGCCATAAACACAGACCACAACCCCCTGACAGAGCAGCTAGGATTAAAGGACTCAGCTCCCAGTGCCGGCAAGGACATGGCTCGAGCACCGCTGCCACAGGGCAGACATCTTTGCACAGATGAACCTAAGATTTCAGCCCAAACTCAGGTCTCCACCTGTTGTTTCCACGAAAAGTTCTCAGAAACTCACAGCGGAGGTGGAATAAATGAAGCTAAAGCCCATCAGCACATCCCAGTGGAGGGCAGTGCCACCGGGCAACGGAGTCTCCGAGACACCCTTGCTGGGATCTACAGGTCTGCACGTGGCGGCCTGAGCTCAGGGTTTCCTGCAAGTTCGGTGACTATGCCCCCCTGCAGCTGCCGCAGATGTCAGCCCCACTTGCCACAGGACACTAGGCTTCTTGTCTGTTTTAGACAGTTTGCCTTTTCCTGTGATCTCAGAAGGATACAATTTAAACCATCATGCAGTATGACTATACTCAAATATGTTAACTTTCTCATTTATAACTCTGTAGTCCAAATGGCTGGCATTCGAAAGCACACAAAGACACATCATGAAGATCCTATCCTTCAAGGTAAGTTCCACAAAAAGAGCAACTGTGGACTCCAAGCCCAGTAACGACTATATATATCCCAGAGCCAGCGGACCCACTGGCCTCCTGGCAGATGAGCAGCGCACCTTGGGAACCACGAGAGTCGGCCTCACGCCCCTTCTGGCTGAAGCTCGTGCTCCCGGGAGGCCTGCCGAGGTCCCACTCGCACTCTGCAATGAGGTTCAGGACTGCCTCGTCATCCGCATCCATGACCAGGCTCTGCTTGGCCAAGGCCTCGGTGCACTTGGCTCTGGGGTGGTGTGGTCTGTAAGGAAAAGCAAACTCATCAGCATCACTCAAGCCAGCCATATGCTCCGGCCCACGCAGACCAGGAGAAGGAAAATTCCTGCACGGTCTCTGAGAGAAGCAGCGTGCTGCAAACGTGGGGCAGCCGGGTCCTGTTGCTTCCACTGCAGTGATGCTAAAGAGTGACTCACCAAGGACAATCGGTGAGCAACAGCCAGGTTACGTGATAACATGACAGCATCCCGGCACTGGACAGAACCCCACCAGGACTGGGCCAAATCCCAGCACTGGACAGAACCCCACCAGGACTGGGCCAAACCCCGGCACTGAACAGAACCCCACCAGGACTGGTCTAAATCCCGGCACTGGACAGCACCCCACCAGGACTGGGTCAAATCCAGCACTGGACAGAACCCCACCAGGACGGGACTAAATCCTGGCACTGGACAGAACCCCACCAGGACTGGGCCAAATCCCGGCACTGAACAGAACCCCACCAGGACTGGTCTAAATCCCGGAACTGGACAGCACCCCACCAGGACTGGGTCAAATCCAGCACTGGACAGAACCCCACCAGGACTGGTCTAAATCCCGGCACTGGACAGAACCCCACCAGGACTGGGCCAAATCCCGGCACTGGACAGAACCCCACCAGGACTGGTCTAAATCCCGGCACTGGACAGCACCCCACCAGGACTGGGTCAAATCCCGGCACTGGACAGAACCCCACCAGGACTGGTCTAAATCCCGGCACTGGACAGAACCCCACCAGGACTGGGCCAAATCCCGGCACTGGACAGAACCCCACCAGGACTGGTCTAAATCCCGGCACTGGACAGAACCCCACCAGAACTGGTCCAAATCCCGGCACTGGACAGAACCCCACCAGAACTGGTCCAAATCCCGGCACTGGACAGAACCCCACCAGGACTGGTCCAAATCCCGGCGCTGGACAGAACCCCACCAGGACTGGGCCAAATCCCGGCGCTGGACAGAACCCCACCAGGACTGGGTCAAATCCCGGCACTGGATAGAACCCCACCAGGACTGGGCCAAATCCCGGCACTGGATAGAACCCCACCAGGACTGGGTCAAATCCCGGCACTGGACAGAACCCCACCAGGACTGGTCTAAATCCCGGCACTGGACAGAACCCCACCAGGACTGGGCCAAATCCCGGCACTGGACAGAACCCCACCAGGACTGGGTCAAATCCCGGCACTGGACAGAACCCCACCAGGACTGGGCCAAATCCCGGCGCTGGACAGAACCCCACCAGGACTGGGCCAAATCCCGGCGCTGGACAGAACCCCACCAGGACTGGGCCAAATCCCGGCACTGGACAGAACCCCACCAGGACTGGGTCAAATCCCAGCACTGGACAGAACCCCACCAGGACTGGTCTAAATCCCGGCACTGGACAGCACCCCACCAGGACTGGGTCAAATCCCGACACTGGACAGAACCCCACCAGGACTGGGTCAAATCCCAGCACTGGACAGAACCCCACCAGGACTGGTCTAAATCCCGGCACTGGACAGCACCCCACCAGGACTGGGTCAAATCCCGACACTGGACAGAACCCCACCAGGACTGGTCCAAATCCCGGCGCTGGACAGAACCCCACCAGGACTGGGCCAAATCCCGGCGCTGGACAGAACCCCACCAGGACTGGTCTAAATCCCGGCACTGGACAGAACCCCACCAGGACTGGGCCAAATCCCGGCACTGGACAGAACCCCACTAGGACTGGGTCAAATCCCAGCACTGGACAGAACCCCACCAGGACTGGGCCAAATCCCGGCGCTGGACAGAACCCCACCAGGACTGGGCCAAATCCCGGCGCTGGACAGAACCCCACCAGGACTGGGCCAAATCCCGGCACTGGACAGAACCCCACCAGGACTGGGTCAAATCCAGCACTGGACAGAACCCCACCAGGACTGGTCTAAATCCCGGCACTGGACAGAACCCCACCAGGACTGGGCCAAATCCCGGCACTGGACAGAACCCCACCAGGACTGGTCTAAATCCCGGCACTGGACAGCACCCCACCAGGACTGGGTCAAATCCAGCACTGGACAGAACCCCACCAGGACTGGTCTAAATCCCGGCACTGGACAGAACCCCACCAGGACTGGGCCAAATCCCGGCACTGGACAGAACCCCACCAGGACTGGTCCAAATCCCGGCACTGGACAGAACCCCACCAGAACTGGTCCAAATCCCGGCACTGGACAGAACCCCACCAGGACTGGTCCAAATCCCGGCGCTGGACAGAACCCCACCAGGACTGGTCCAAATCCCGGCGCTGGACAGAACCCCACCAGGACTGGTCCAAATCCCGGCGCTGGACAGAACCCCACCAGGACTGGGCCAAATCCCGGCGCTGGACAGAACCCCACCAGGACTGGGTCAAATCCCGGCACTGGATAGAACCCCACCAGGACTGGGCCAAATCCCGGCACTGGACAGAACCCCACCAGGACTGGGTCAAATCCCGGCACTGGACAGAACCCCACCAGGACTGGTCTAAATCCCGGCACTGGACAGAACCCCACCAGGACTGGGCCAAATCCCGGCACTGGACAGAACCCCACCAGGACTGGGTCAAATCCCGGCACTGGACAGAACCCCACCAGGACTGGGCCAAATCCCGGCGCTGGACAGAACCCCACCAGGACTGGGCCAAATCCCGGCGCTGGACAGAACCCCACCAGGACTGGGCCAAATCCCGGCGCTGGACAGAACCCCACCAGGACTGGGTCAAATCCAGCACTGGACAGAACCCCACCAGGACTGGGTCAAATCCCGGCACTGGACAGAACCCCACCAGGACTGGGCCAAATCCCGGCACTGGACAGAACCCCACCAGGACTGGTCTAAATCCCGGCACTGGACAGAACCCCACCAGGACTGGGTCAAATCCCGGCACTGGACAGAACCCCACCAGGACTGGGCCAAATCCCGGCACTGGATAGAACCCCACCAGGACTGGGTCAAATCCCGGCACTGGACAGAACCCCACCAGGACTGGTCTAAATCCCGGCACTGGACAGAACCCCACCAGGACTGGGCCAAATCCCGGCACTGGACAGAACCCCACCAGGACTGGGTCAAATCCCGGCACTGGACAGAACCCCACCAGGACTGGGCCAAATCCCGGCGCTGGACAGAACCCCACCAGGACTGGGCCAAATCCCGGCGCTGGACAGAACCCCACCAGGACTGGGCCAAATCCCGGCACTGGACAGAACCCCACCAGGACTGGGTCAAATCCCGGCACTGGACAGAACCCCACCAGGACTGGGCCAAATCCCGGCACTGGACAGAACCCCACCAGGACTGGGTCAAATCCCGGCACTGGACAGAACCCCACCAGGACTTGGGTCAAATCCCGGCACTGGACAGAACCCCACCAGGACTGGGCCAAATCCCGGCACTGGACAGAACCCCACCAGGACTGGGTCAAATCCCGGCACTGGACAGAACCCCACCAGGACTGGGCCAAATCCCGGCGCTGGACAGAACCCCACCAGGACTGGGCCAAATCCCGGCGCTGGACAGAACCCCACCAGGACTGGGCCAAATCCCGGCGCTGGACAGAACCCCACCAGGACTGGGCCAAATCCCGGCACTGGACAGAACCCCACCAGGACTGGGTCAAATCCCAGCACTGGACAGAACCCCACCAGGACTGGTCTAAATCCCGGCACTGGACAGCACCCCACCAGGACTGGGTCAAATCCCGACACTGGACAGAACCCCACCAGGACTGGGTCAAATCCCAGCACTGGACAGAACCCCACCAGGACTGGTCTAAATCCCGGCACTGGACAGCACCCCACCAGGACTGGGTCAAATCCCGACACTGGACAGAACCCCACCAGGACTGGGCCAAATCCCGGCGCTGGACAGAACCCCACCAGGACTGGGCCAAATCCCGGCGCTGGACAGAACCCCACCAGGACTGGGCCAAATCCCGGCACTGGACAGAACCCCACCAGGACTGGGCCAAATCCCGGCACTGGACAGAACCCCACCAGGACTGAGTCAAATCCCGGCACTGGACAGAACCCCACCAGGACTGGGCCAAATCCCGGCACTGGACAGAACCCCACCAGGACTGGGTCAAATCCCGGCACTGGACAGAACCCCACCAGGACTGGGCCAAATCCCGGCACTGGACAGAACCCCACCAGGACTGGGCCAAATCCCGGCACTGGACAGAACCCCACCAGGACTGGTCCAAATCCCGGCACTGGACAGAACCCCACCAGGACTGGTCCAAATCCCGGCACTGGACAGAACCCCACCAGGACTGGGTCAAATCCCGGCACTGGACAGAATCCCACCAGGACTGGTCCAAATCCCGGCACTGGACAGAACCCCACTAGGATTGGTTCAAAAATTAAAGTTCTGGAAGATTCTGTTCTGCTATGTGATTACACTTTTCCTAGCACATCCACAAGGAGATACACGTGATCAAGAAAGTTAAGTGTTCCAAATGTTCACTTTCACATTCAGGGAGAATGTTTTCATAATGGCTGAAATCAGAGGTGTGTCAGAATATGACCCACCTTAGCATGGTGACCCTCTATACAGAGAAGAATGTGCTCAAAGGGGACCTTGTTTCCAACAAAGGCAGTTAAGAGATATCTACACAAAACAAACCCAAGGGCAGTGACCAGGAACGCTGCTTTTGTGAGTGGCTCATGATACGACACCTGGTCCACCCGAGGACAGTCCCACTCCCCGGGGCCTGCGATCTGAGTTCTCCAGAACGCTGCACAAAGAAGGGGGCTGGGTCCTGGGAACACTCCCCGGGGCCTGTGACCTGAGTTCTCCAGAACGCTGCACAAAGAAGGGGGCTGGGTCCTGGGGCCACTCCCCAGGGACGGCAACCTGAGTTCTCCAGAACGCTGCACAAAGAAGGGCGCTGGGTCCTGGGGCCACTCCCTGGGGACGGCAACCTGAGTTCTCCAGAAGCTGCACAAAGAAGGGGGCTGGGTCGTGGGAACACTCCCCGGGGACTGCAACCTGAGTTCTCCAGAAGCTGCACAAAGAAGGGGGCTGGGTCCTGGGAACACTCCCCGGGGCCTGTGACCTGAGTTCTCCAGAAGCTGCACAAAGAAGGGGGCTGGGTCCTGGGGCCACTCCCCGGGGACTGCGACCTGAGTTCTCCAGAAGCTGCACAAAGAAGGGGGCTGGGTCCTGGGAACACTCCCCGGGGACTGCAACCTGAGTTCTCCAGAAGCTGCACAAAGAAGGGGGCTGGGTCCTGGGAACACTCCCCAGGGACGGCAACCTGAGTTCTCCAGAAGCTGCACAAAGAAGGGCGCTGGGTCCTGGGGCCAATCCCCGGGGCCTGTGACCTGAGTTCTCCAGAAGCTGCACAAAGAAGGGGGCTGGGTCCTGGGGCCAGGACCTCCCTGAAGCCTGACACTGAGCATAGTTCCTTGGGCGTCCCCCACCTCCTCTGTGCGGTATGGACATTGACCCACGTCATCTTCCACTCTCATCTCTGTGATAGTTCAGTCTTGAGATGATCAAAGACGGGAACTGTGGACAATCTCAACTGAGAAAATCCATGACTGAAGCTTTCACGCCGGGACACAATGAGTCTGAATGTCCACAAAGACGACCCGGCGGGCGTGTCAATCACTAACCCTCGTGTCTGTGCCACTGTGCTATGAAGCATATTCTGTTCTCATCATCTAGAGGTTAAAAGTCGCGTGTGGTATAAAGAGTAATCTTACGTGCAGTGGCGCTCCATGTCTGCACGCACCGAGTGACGCTCCGTGCCCGCGCGCACCCTGAGAAAGCAGGAAAGTGCATCCACACGTTGCCGCTGGTCACGGTCAGCAGCGTGAATGGCGGGGGAAGACTTTTACTCCCTTTCTTTTCATCAGTTTCTGTGATGTTTGTGACTTTTACACCAACCAAACACTACTGTAAAGTTTTAATATAAGTAAATGTGAAGCCAAGTAAAATACTATTTTTTGACTAGAATACAGCATTTCCAACCACGTGGAATAAGTGCTTCCTTTATTCCTATATGTATTAGAAGAGAAAAAATTTGAAACAATCTTGTAAATCAGAATAAAAATGTATTTGGAGTGGTGTCAGCAAAAAATGGCAGACAAAAGAGCTCCAAATTCTAGCCCTCCGTAAAAAAACAACTATATAAAAAATAAGAAAAGGTATCAGAATGAGCTTTTTTGGAACTCAGAACCCAGCTAGCAACTGTGCAGGAAAACAGCCAGTTTTCAGTACAGACAGTGACTGTGACACTCTAACCCACCAAGTCCGTTCCCCAATCCCAGCTCAAGGGTAGCTGTGGAAACGCCAGCCTGAGTTCCATGTACAGGGCAGCCCTAATCCAAAAGTTCAAAATTCGTAACATGCAAAGGAAATGTTAACTAAGAAAAAAGAAAACACGAATAACTGACATGAAAGAGGGGTTATCACCACAGATCCCAGAGACATTAAAAGGGAAACAAAAGAATGTGATGAACATCTATCTAGGCCCACCAACGTGACAACTCAGATGAGACGACCAATTCCTTGAAAGAAACAATCTGCCAAAACAGACAAACTGTAGAGATCTCTATTAAAGAAATCAAGTCAATAGTTAATAACCTTCCAAAACAGAAAGTACCAGGCCAGATGGGCTCACTGTACAGAAGAAAGTATATCAAATCTCTACAGTATCTGCCAGAAGATGGAAGCAGAGAGATGACTTCCTAACTCATTCTATGCGGTCAGCATGATCCTAAAACCAAAACCAGACAAAGGCAATATAAGAAAACCACAGGCCAGTATCTCTTATGAATAGACACAAAAATCCTCAATTTAAAAAATCAGCAAACTGAATCCAACAATCCAACAGAATTCCATACCACAATCAGGCAGGATTTATTCTAGGTATGCACGGCTGGCTCAATACTTACTTCTATTTCTCTTACAGACAGGGTCTCACTCTGTCACCCAGGTTAGAGTGCAGTGGTGCGATCATAGCTCACTGCAGCCTCCAACTCCCAGGCTCAGGGGGTCTTCCTGCCTCCCGAGTAGCTGGGACTACAGGCACGCACCACCATACCCAGTTAATTAAGAAAAAAAAAAGTTTTCTTACAGACAGAGTCTCACTATGTTGTCCAGGCTGGTCTCAAACTCTTGGCCTCAAGCAATCCTCCCACCTTGGCCTCCCAAAGCACTGAGATTACAGGTGTTAGCCACTGTGGCTGGCCCAGTTCAATGTTTGAAAATCCTTCACAGCAACAGGCTGAAGGAGAAAATCACAAGATCACATCATAGATGCAGAAAAAGCATTTGACAAAATCTAACACTCCTTCATGATGATTCCTTTCAGCAAACTGAGAGTGGAAGAGAGCCTTCTCCGCATGAAGACAACACCTATCATCCATGGCCAGCAGGCGCAAGGCTGCGCTGGAAACCAGATGCTCTCCCACCAAGACAGGAGGTGAGGCTAGGATGCTCCCTCTCACCAGACTTCCCAACATCATGCTGGAAGCCCCAGATAAGGCAGTAAGGTAAGAAAAGGAAATAAAAGGTATACCGATCTGGAAGGAAGGAATAAAACTGTTCACAGATGACATGATTTTCTATGTAAAAAATGACAAAGAATCCAAAAGAAAACCCCATGAAACTAACAAGTGATGACAGCCAGGGTGCAGGATTCCAGGTGTCAGGAGTGGCGCACTGTGCCGCCCCCCCCTGCCCCCCACCCAAAAGACATGTTGAAGTCCTTAACCCAGTGCCTCGGAATGCAACCTTTCTTGGAAACAGCGACTTACAGAGGCAATCAAATTACCATGAGGCCATTAAGGTGGGCCCTGATCCACGATCACTGGTGTCCTTCTAAGAAGGGGAAACCTGGCCCCGTAGAGAGACAGGCACGGAGGAGAGATTCTGTGAAGAGACACAGGGGAAGACGGCCTGTGAGAGCAGGGCTGGAGGGAGGCCCTCCGAGACAAACAACGCCAGCGGCTGCGTAGATCACCAGCAGCCAGGAGGGGCATGGAACAGCTTCTCCCGCACGGCTCACATGAGCAGAAGGTGCAGGTACCAGAGTGCTGCTGTCCACGCAGCAAGTAGTCTGGTTTGAAATGGGGTGATGGGGGCTGCAGGACAGGTATCTGAGGGAAGAGGCGATCCCAGGGATGCAGAGCCATTTCGGAGACACTGGAAGAGAAGTCAGCAAAAAACGGCTCAAATCGGGCCCCTGCCTGCGCTGTGCGTGGGCATCTTACGGGCACACCATCCTGGCTTCCGTGCTGCCAATGGCTGCCTCCGCCCTGCAAAGGCAGAGCTAAGAAGATGGGACAGAGGTCACGCAGCCTCCAGGGCCCAAAACATTCACACAAAAAAGCTGACTGATCCCTGCACTAGGAGTTTAAAATGAGTGGAGGCATCTCACACAAGAAAAAAAATGATTTGATTAAAAGCCTCAGACAAGACAAATGGTACTCAAGAAAGTGTACAATCCGACCACTTTCCACGGCTATGCAGACAGAGTCCACTGATTTCTGCCCCTTGAATCAACCCATAAACAAAGCACGAAGTCTCTCTAGGGTTTTGGGATACACGCAGATACTATCAACCGAACATAGACATGCAGGCAGCAGGGCTGGGGCTGCAAGGGGAAGCAGGCCCGGCTCACACACACGCCCACGGTCTCCGAAGGTGGCCTCACCAGCACCAGCCATGGGGAGGGAGACAGGAAGGCGCATCCCGGCACCGTCACAGAAAGGGTGGGGGAGGAAGAAGTCCTCCTCGATCCAGGAAGACGGGTCCTGCTGAATGTGCTCACGGCCAGAAGTGGGATTTGGCTGGATGGGCAGCTAAGAAAGTAGCTGAAGCGAGAGCTGGAAGCAGAGGCAGCCACAGACGTGAGAGCTGCCAGCCCCGGGAAAGGGACAGGACAAGCCCTTTGCTGAGTTGATTTTACACATATTACCTTAATCAACAGTTTCGATATTAAAAATAACTCCTAGGAATGTGGAGAACAGGAGAGAGGCCCCGTCCCACTGTCCACGGAGTCCCCGCCAGGCAGGCTCTGCCCTTCCTCCCTCCTGGTGTCCGCCCCTGGAGAGTGACCGGCACACAGTGAATGACGTTCGGTTAATCCTCCTGACAGCAGGCCAGTCAGAAACACTCTGGGTGTCCGTAGCACTTCCGTTCATACCTGCCCTCTTTCAAAGAAGCTGGGACGCTCTCTTTGGAGTCGAGTGAGTCCTCTGATGCAAAATGCAGTCGGGAAGCCTTCCGCTCGCTTGCTCTCACGGGGCGATCGTCTAGAAGAAAAGGCCACACAAGACTGTGCAGGTGGCAAGCGGCGGGCGGCTGCATCCACCCTGGGGCATCTACACGGGGCAGGGTGTCCATCCCCTCGGGGCCAGCCCTGCTCCCACTAACCTAGCACCGGAATGCTGGGCTCTGGTGGTCCCACAGCTTCCCGGCGATGCCCAGCGTGGTGCTGAGGCCGCCTGTCCCTCAGAGCTCACTGCTGCGCACGGGAGCAGCCGCACACAGATGAGGCTCACACACACACACGCACACCCTTTCTCTAAAGTGCACACCGGGTGCGGGGTGGGATTCTCAAGTCACACTCAGGTAACCCAGAGAAGCCTCCACGGAGGGAGCCTGCCCGGCCCGAGAGGCTGCAACTTCCAGGAGGCCTTTTGGGTCTGTGCTTAGGGCTGGGCCTCAGGGACGTGCGTACCTGGGGCCACCAGGCTCCCACCCAAGAACTCCTGGAGCTTCCTCATGTAAATCCCTGAAGATAAGAAGGTCCCCAGGCCTTCAACCTTGGCGCTTTGGAACTTACAACACATCTTAACCCCCATTTGTAATGTGAATTCTGTGACAAGTTCCCACGCTGCCTCCATTTAGCCTACAGCACGCCCCAAAAACTACAGAATCACTGTAAGAAATGAGTGAGTAATAGCATAATATAATGTTCAAAGCAGAAAAACGGAGGAGTTCTGATAATCACACAAAGATGCCGAGTCAGAGGCCTCTGCAACCTGGGGCACTCTCCACCCAGCACACAGGGCACCCTCAGGAGACACGTGCGCCAGGAGACCTGCACCCAATCCCACCCTCCCGCAACCTTTCCACCCCGGCCTTCACCAGCCCCGCACTAACGACGCATAGCTCTCTGCCCACCAAGACTCGCTTCCCTTCTGAGTCAGTTCCAAATCCCGTACTCCAAGAACATTTCTCTGGACTGTTGTGTAAATTCTAATGCAGCATGTCCGAAGCCAACTGCAAACTCACCTTCACCCCAAGCCCACCCTCTCCTGCTGGCAAGGTCTCTCCAGACGCCGCCTCCATCCCACACGCAGGCCCTTGCTATCTGCCTCCTCCACCACCGGGGCCTTTCCATGACCCACGCGGAGCCAAGGACCGAGCCCACTCCAGGAGGCACCACGCAGGGCAGCAGGCCGTCCCGGGGCCCCGCACCTCCGTGGTTCCCGCAGCGCCTCTGACTGCCAGCGCCACTGCAGGAAGCATCTCTCACATGCGGGGAGACGGTTGTGCTCCTTCTCTGTAGAAACACTAAGAGGGGAGACGGTCGCGCTCCTTCTCTGCAGAAACACTAAGAGGGAGACGGCTGCGCTCCTTCTCTGCAGAAACTCTCTGCAGAAACACTAAGAGGGAGACGGTCGCGCTCCTTCTCTGCAGAAACACTAAGAGGGAGACGGCCGCGCTCCTTCTCTACAGAAACACTAAGAGGGGAGACGGCTGCGCTCCTTCTCTGCAGAAACACTAAGATTCTGAATCTAAAACTTGGATTACAGAGGCAATGATTTAGAACTGAAGACTCCAAAAATTACCTAGAATAAGGACTGTAGCTCCTGAAACAGCCAAACTCAACTGTTTATGAGTTACTTGGTTAATTGGCCAAATAAACACTATAAAACAGGCGCCTATTCCTCCCAAACCTCTTATAATTAAACAGCGAAATCCTAATTGGGTTTGGAAACAGACACTGTGTCTTGGGGGGGTCCATTGTTAATGTCCACGGCCCCATCCCAGGGGGAAGAGTGTCAGGCACAGCAGCCAGGCTCTCAGGTGGCCAGCACCACGCATGCACGCCGCATGCTCCCAAGGAGGCGCTCCTCGCTGCCAAGAGCTGCAGCACAGAGCTCTATCCACACTGCTCAGGCTCTGGAAGCCCAGCCGCAGGGCCTGTCCAGGGCCCAGCACTTGCCACATGAGTGGGTGAGCCAGGGTCTTCCCTGTCAGTGATGCTGGGAGCTAGGTCTCACTTTGGCCACACAGACGCCCTGAGTGCCTCCCAGCCCTTGCAGAGCAGCAAATGCCACCCCAGTTGCTGCCCTCCCATCCGATGCTGCCACTGCCAACTGCCAGCCCCCAGTGCCCAGGGGAGCTGAGCTCCTGCAAGAGCAAAGTCCACCAGGACCCAGGGATACTGTCAGCTCCTCAAGTCACTTTTAGAAGGTCAGAGAAAAATTGTTTTGATCGTTAGTTACTGAAAAATGGTCAAACTGTGGCAGACTGGGGCATTCTTCCAAGAGGACTCCTTTAAACAGATTTCAATCCATACCACTAACCTACACTGTCACCAAACAGAGGGTGTGTGTGCTGCATGCTGACAGCTCTTTCCAGCATCTCCAGAAACTTCTCCAAGTAGCAAAGCAGTGCAGTTTAAAATGTTAGAATTTGGCCAGGCTCAGTGGCCCACGCCTGTATTCCCAGCACTTTGGGAGGCCAGAGTGGGCAGATGACTTGAGGCCAGGAGTTCGAAACCAGCCTGGCCAACATGGCAAAACCCTATCTCTACTAAAAAGACACAAATTAGCAGGGCACAGTGGCACGCACCTGTAATCTCAGCTACTTGGGAGGCTGCGGCAGGAGTATTGCTTGAACCCGGGAGGCGGAGGTTGCAGTGAGCTAAGATCACGCCACTGCACTCCAGCCTGGGCGATGAAGCGAGACTATGTCTCAAAAATAAAATAAAATGTGAGAATTCCATATACAAACACATGTGTGATCACATCACCATCAAGATACCGCAGGCCAGTCCTCCCTGTGATGAGGTGACACGGCCCCGCATGGCTCCACGATGGCCCCAGACAGCCTTCCCGGTCTACTCGCTGAGGCGCTTAGGTGCTCCTCCACCTGTTTTCCCACCTCTGGTGTGCAGCTTTGCTGACGTCACACGAACTTCATGGGGCTGACAGGGTGAGGGCTGCCGGGTGTTCATCTGGTGGGTGGCAAAACCCCAGCTGGCCCTCAGTCCCGACGCCCACAACGGGCAGTACCCAGGGGCCAGGCACATCACCCACCAACGTGCTTTAGCTGCTGTTTACTTGAAATTGACATACAAATCTCAGTTCTCTAAGAGAACCTGAATGCTCCCCACAGCCGTGGAAAACAGCCTGTTCAGGGCACTCGCAGTGGGGGAAAGTGCTCTGTCCTCTGTGATTCTGTTGGTCTTTTGTTCTAACAAGATAGTTGGGATTCTGTGATTCTTTTGTTTTTGATAAGGTCCTAGGTTCAGAAGGAGGGGCAGCTTTCGAACAGCGGTGCATGGTAGGTCTGACCCTAACAACAGAAGCAACCAGGGAACGTTTATAGGCCCCTGGCCATGCCGGGCAGTCTGGGAGCTTACAGATATTAACTCAGGTCTCCCCACCACGACATGTCAACACAGCATTCTTATCCCCCCACTTCACACAGGAGGACTGAGGTAAGAGACCCTGCACCCTCTTCTTCCCCATGGACTCTGGTCAGTGTGCCCCTGGGCTGAGGCCCCAGCTTTCTCTCCTGGATCTGTGACTCGGGGTAGGGTCAGCAGAGACACCACCAGGTGCTCACAGCAACAGCAACAGCAACAATGCCTCCGGGGAGGCAGGAGGCAGATGGGAAGGTGACCTGCGGCTGCCCCAACCCAGGGACCCTCCCTACTGGGCATCGCTGTGGGGGCCCTGGAAGTTCTGCCTACAAGACTGTCATGGAAAGCCTTTTCTTTCAGGAGCATGATCCAAAGGTCACTGCACATCCCCTCCCAACCCTGTCCCAGTGGTGGGGTGTGGGGGACAATGAGCTGCTTGTCCTGTGTGCTTCCAAGTGGGGCAAAACCAGGCAGCATCCTGCTGTTTAGCTGCACCTGAGATGATACCTGGGGGCTATGCGAGGAAACAGGACAGGAGATGTTCAGGAACGTGCCCAAGTCCAACAGCCATGACGCGGAGAGCCAGAACAGGACGTAGCAGCCTGGTCCGGGGCTGTGCTCCCACGGCCCCAGCCCTGCGCCCTCCCAGGGTGCTCAACTTCCAGCCCTGTCCTGTGCAGACACAGGGCCTCTCGAGCTGTGTGTCTGCAGGAACTCAAGCCACCAGCGTAGAAAACCAACTCCCCGTTCCAGAAGGAATCAAGCATGTGACGTTGAGCACACAGACACCCACTACGACTCCCCGACTCCCATACCCCACGGGGACAAAAGCATGAGCGTGGCCCTGCCTGATGCCTACCCAGCTGCTGGAGCTTGGGGAGCAGGTGCACAACAAAAAGGCGGTAGTCAGGCTCAACCTTCACCACGGGGTTCAGCCGGAAGTCCACATCCACGAGCTCGGTTAAGGCGTGGAGCCGAAACACTTCTGCCAACGAGGAGATGCAGTTGTAGTAGAGATTGAGACTCTCCAATGCAGTCAGGTACTGAATGCCCTGTCAACAGAAAACACAGTGAATTCATTCACACTTTAAACAAGAAATACACAGTGAAATAAGCCAGCAACACACACTGACCAACCAACTGTATAAACTTATTTGCAATAACTCCATGTCATTACCAGGAAAAGTAGAAAAATGAAACGTTCTCATCTGTGAAGTTCTCTGGGCCCCACGCGGTGAGACGGTCGTTTATGGAACCCACATGTGACGCAACTAAGCACAGCTAATATCTACCGAGGCCTCAGCGTGCAGCAAGCTGAGTGATGTGCACGCACAATTTCATTTAATCCACACGCCGCCCTACAGGGTGAGAACCATCAGCCCCCCCTTCACAGATGAGAAAGCTGAGGCCTGGGAACGGGGAAAGATGAGGCAGCACTGGGTGTAGCCTGGGCTAGGTCCGCATCTGACTTGGAGCAGACTCCCGAGCTGGTGTCAGACGTGGCCTCCATAATGCTCAGGCACCAGGCTCAGGGCAGGCGCATCCCACGGTTCTGTCCGGGCCAATCAGGCCATGCAGACGCAGCCTCCATAATGCTCAGGCATCGGGCTCAGGGCAGGCGCATCCCACGGTTCTGTCAGGGCCAATCAGGCCATGGTAGTTGTGCACAGCTCCCCTCACCACCACCTAGGCATCTCTCTCCAGGGTGACCCTGCCAGGAGCCCAGGAGGCAGCCCCAGGCCCACTGCACTGCCACTCAGTAAGTCTCTGGGGTCTCATTTCATTTCCTTTAAAGATATAATCATCGTCATCAGAGGGCGACAACACAACGTAACGTGATGTGTATGAAATGTAGCCCACGGTAAACACAAAAATACGCAACACAAAGTGTACCGTATACAGATGTAAGCAGAGGGTTACAAAACAGACTCCGTTTCTGCTGTGAATGGACTTTCCACTGATGTTGATAGCAATAAATTTTAAGAAAGAGACCTAAAACTTACCTCCAGACTAACCAAGGAGTTGCGCGAGAGATCCAAAGATTTCAGACCTGTTAAACTCATCAGAGAATGTCCCAGGTGGGTGATCTTCTCTTGGTAAGTTCCAGGAATAGACAATGACTGAAGCTCAGCTAAGAATAGAAAAATTGTAAGATTTTAATCTTTTATTTTGAAAACAATTATAATAACGGTCAAGTTCTTGGTGTTGGATATGGAGTAGAAACTGACACAGATTCTTGGTTTAATTCAACTTTACTCAGGCTCCTGAATCTTCTCCTCGGCCATCTGTGCCCTTCCTTGTAAAGTCCAGTTTAGTGCGGCCAAAACCCCCACCCTCAGTATCTGCTCAGGTTCCTCATCCCCAGATCCCATAGGTGGTGTCTGCTCACCCTGGCCTCTCTTTCGCAATAATCCTGTTCAGTTGGTTTAGCCCAAATCCCCTTACTCCTCATGTGTCCTCTCAGTCATTTTCCATCCACTGCCCCCACCCTGACCCTAGGCTATAAACTCCCCCCGGCCCCTGCTGTACTTGGAGTTGAGCTCCATCTCTCTCCCCCACTGCAAAATCCCAGCGCAGTGGCCCCAGGCCCACCTCAATGGTTCTGAATAAAGCCTTCCTCACTGTGCCTGACAAGGGTCATTCAAAACATTTCTTCCTCTAACAGTATATGTAAAAAGATTGAAAGACAAACTTTAACACATGTGTCCTATTGTGGAATAAATCCCTTTATTTTCCCTCTTACACATTTCTGTATTTTCAGCTTTTCTCAGAGAGATATGTATCCTCGTAATCTGAAAGAGGCACCTAGAACTCAGTGCAACTCCTTTGGAGTTGGAATATCAGCACTGACGAGCAAGGAACGTACCTGAAGTTTCGGCTTATGTTTATCTCTACAATACCTCCAAGCCCACACGCTTCTTCCCACCTTTACTGCCTCTCCCTCCAAAACCGTCTCTCCCCAGGAACACCCCTCTACTTCATCTCCCGCCTCCACTTCTGGCTGCTCAATTCTGTCACCCCTTGCAGCCATCACCATCTGAAACCCACTCGTCGGGTAACCTGTCTGCTGTCCTCCTGTTACAACTGTGGTCGGGCTGTGCAAGCTCCACGCACCCCATAAGCAGTCACTACATCAACATTAATTACAAGATGAAAGTTTCCGTAATCAAAAAGGCAGTTTAGATCCGAATACATCAATACTTTCCTGGGAACATTTATGTTTTAGAATATGTTTTGGTTTTTTTGTTTTTGTTTTCAGATGGAGTCTTACTCTGTTGCCCATGCTGGAGTACCGTGGTGCGATCTCGGCTCACTGCAACCTCCACCTCCTAGGTTCAAGTGATTCTCCCGCCTCAGTCTCCTGAGTAGCTGGGATTACAGGGACACGCCACCACATCCGGCTAAAACCCCACGTTTCCCTGTTTCCTCAGGTAGCCCTCAGGCATCGTCTCAGGTGCAGCTAAACAGCAGGATGCTGCCTGGTTTTGCCCCACTTGGAGGCACACAGACAAGCAGTTCATTGTCCCCCACACCCTGCCACCGGGACAGGGTCAGGAGGGGACAAGGTGCAGTGACCTTTGGCTCATGTTACTGAAAGAAAAGGGTTTCCGTGACAGTCTTGTGGTTTCCTGACCATGTTGGCCAGGCTGGTCTCGAACTCCTGACCTCAGGTGATCCATCCACCTCGGCCTCCCAAGACTACAGGCATGAGCCACCACACCCAACCAGAATATGTTCTGATTAAGTTTAAAATTTGGTTTGAGCTCTTCCAGTTCCAGGCAACATGGAGAGGACACATTTCAACCTGCTCCTCCCGCATATTAGACCCACTGCCCTGGAGGAAAATATACGGAACAAGCATTGGGGGACTGAAAGGAACAGAAGCCAACCAGCCAGGGGCCTCGGCACTCGAGAGAGAACCCAGCGCTGAGTCCCTGGCTTGACTCTGGGGTTTTGTTTATGCTTATTTACTACACATCCCACTCTGGGTGCCACAGAAGTCGGCAGCCCAGAAACACAAAAAGACCAAAAACCGTAAGCCTGCTCTCGATGGCCAAAGGACCAGGAGGGGCCTGGCAGGACAGACTCTCTGTACATCATCAGCCCTCCTGCAACCACACACACTGTTCACATCATCAGCCCTCCTGCAAGCAAACCCCCACCCACACACACAACAACACATACACACACGCACACACCCCTCGTCCACTTGGCACCAGGAGGGGCCTTGCAGGACAGACTCTCTTCACATCATCAGCCCTCCTGCAAGCAAACCCCCACTCGCGCGCACACACACACACACATACACACACACACACACACACCCCTCGTCCACCTGGCCTTGCGCAGCAGCCAGCACCGGGGTGTGAGAATGGATCCTGACTGCTGTCCCGGCCTGGCTAGAACGAGGTGGTGCCCTTCACTCTCCCAGCCAGTAGGGTCTGCCAGAGGCCGTGGGTGAGGCAGGAGCTCCATGACTGTCCCGGCAACAAGGTGGCACCCAGCAGGCTCGAGTGAGGAGTCTTCTCAAGTAAGGGGATTTAAACAGGAAGCAGAGTCTCATGACATCATACCCAGCATGTCCACAATATGATAAAAAATGACCAAGAACCAGAAAAATGGCAATTTGAATGAGAAAACACAGTCAATCAACAGATACCACCAAGAGAGAACACAGAACTTAGGTCTAACAAGGATTTTAAAGTGACTGTCATAAAAAATACTTCAATGAGCAATTACAAACACCTGAGACAAAGGAAAAACTAGTCTTAGCAAAGAAACAGGAGATATAAAGAAGAAACAAATAGAAATTTCAAAGAAAAATACAATAACAAAAAATCACAAGAGCAGTTTAATAGCAAAATGGAGATGACAGATGAAAACTGTAAAACCGTAGAGAAAAACTAAGAGAATCTGTCACAAGCAGACCTGCCCTAAGACAACTGCTGAAAAAATTTTTTCAAATATAAAGGAAAAACGAAAGAAACCTAGAGCATCGTGGAATGAAGAAAAAATAACAGAACAGATAAACATGCAGATAAATATGTTTCCTCCTGAGTTACTGAAAAGGCTAGGTATTTAAAAAAAATCATAATATTAATACGGTTCTCAAGGTATGCAGAGGAAATACTTAAGACAACTAAATTGTAAAGGGGAGAGGATAGAGACCTAAATGGTGATAAAGTTTCTATATTTCACTTAGAAGTAGTAAAATACCTGTACAAGTAAACTGTGTTGAATTACATAAATACATTGTAATTTGTATAGCCACCACTATGAAAACCATACAAGGAGATATACACCAAAACATAACAGATAAATCAAAATGAGATACTAAAAATATTCGAGTAAGTCACAGCAGGCAGGAAAAGGGAAACAGAAGAAAAAACACAGGAAACAATCAAAAAACAATAAAATGGCACACTTAAGTTCTAATATTTAACAATTAGATTAAATGTAAATGGCCTAAAACACTACTACAAGACAGAGATTAGCAGAGTGAATAAAAATAATGAACCAGGAAACTAATTTCAAATATAAAGATACAGGTAGGTTAAAAGTTCAAAGCAATGGATAGGAAAAGATACGCCATGCAAAAACCAATCAAAAGAAGCTACCGTAACAACAGTAATATCAAATAAGACAGATGTCTCAACAAAGAAAATTACCAGGAAAAAAGAGGAACAAGGCCCAGGCACCGTGGCTCACACTTGTAATCCCAGCACTTTGGGAGCCCAGCAGAGATCACCTGAGGTCAGGAGTTCGAGACTAGCCTGGCCAACATGGTGAAACCCCGTCTCTACTAAAAATACAAAAATTAGGCAGGCGTGATGGCAGGCGCCTGTAATCCCAGCTACTCGGGAAGCTGAAGCAGAGGAATCATGTGAACCCGGGAGGCAGAGGTTGCAGTGACCCAAGATCGTGCCACTGCACTCCAGCCTGGGGGACAAGAAGGAAACTCTGTCTCAAAAAAAAAAAAAAAAAAGAGGAAGACTACATATACTAAAAGGGTCAGTCCACTAAGAAGGTATAAAAATCCTAGCTATGTAATTCAACAAACAGAGCTTCAAAACATACAAAGTGAAAAAAAAAACAGACAAATCCACAATTACAGTTAAGGGTTCCAGACCCCTCTCTCAGTCATTAATAGAGTCACTAGACAGAAAATCAGCAAGGATACAGAAGAACTGAACAATATCACCAACCAACAGGATCTAATTGATATTTATGTATTTACATAACACTCCACTCAACAACAGAATACACACACACTCAAGTGCACCTGGAACATTCAACAACATAGACCAGATGCTGGATCATAAAACAAACCCTGACAAATTTAAAAGAATTAAAATCATACAGATTATGTTCTGGCCATAATGGAATCACACAGAAAAATAACAGGAAAATATCCACACATGGAACGTTAAAAACATACTCCTTAAAAATCCACAGGTCAGGCCGGGCGCGGTGGATCATGCCTGTAATCCCAGCACTTTGGGAGGCCGAGGTGGGCGGATCATGAGGTCAGGAGTTCCAGCTACTCGGGAGGCTGAGGCAGGAGAATGGCATGAACCCAGGAGGCAGAGCTTTCAATGAGCCAAGATTGCGTCACTGCACTCCAGCCTGGGTGACAGAGCGAGACTCCACCTCAAAAAAAAAAAAAAAAAAAAAATTCACAGGTCAAACAGGAAGTATCGAGGGAAATTCTTAAAATACGCTGAACTGGATGAAAATTAAAATACAACATAACAAAATTTGTGGATACAGCTAAAGCAGTGCTTACAGGGAAACTTGTGGCACTGTTTATAATAGAAAATAGGAAAGTCTCAAATCAATAATCTACAGTTTTGCCTCAAGGATTTAGAAAAGTATAAAATAAATGCAAAGCAAGCAGAAAGAAGGAAATAAAAAAAAGCAGAAATCAATGAAATTTGAAACTAGAAAAACACTGGAGAAAAATCAAACCCAAAGTCGGTTCTTTGAAACTATCAATAACATTCACAAGCCTCTAGCAAGACTAAAAAAGAAAGAATACACAGATTATCAACATCAGGAACAGAAAAGGGATATCCCTGTAAACCTTGTAGCACTAATCAGGGAAGAAGGGAGGACTCGGCATGTCCCGAGGTCAGCTGCCCTCTCACCTGCTTCCTCAGAGCCCTGTGGTGCCTACTGCCTCAGGATCACTTGGATTTTGTCACGAGGTTACAGTTCCCCTTAACCACTCTACAGATAATAACCTGGACATTATAAACCGTTAAGTTTTCCATTTGAGATATTCTTTCAGGACCTGGGGACTGATGCCAGCTGGTCTAAAGGGCCCCGCAAGCGGATTCACCAAAGAATGCAGTTTCCACACCCTGATAATTCCATGGCCCTTACCTCCACCAACTGACAACACCAATCTTCCAGCTCCTCACAGTCCTGTTCCTCTAAAACCCCCAGCTCAGGCTGGGTGTAGGTGGCTCATGCCTGTAATCCCAGCACTTTGGGAGGCCAAGGCAGGTGGATCACCTGAGATCAGGAGTTCAAGACCAGCCTGGCCAACATGGTGAAACCCCGTCTCTACTAAAAATATAAAAAATTAGCCGGGCATGGTGGCGCGTGCTTGTAATCCCAGCTACTCAGGAGGCTGAGTGAATCACTTGAACCTGGGAGGTGGAGGTTGCAGTGAGCTGAGATTGTGCCACTGCACTCCAACCTGGACGACAGAGTGAGACTCCGTCTAAAAAAAAAAAACCGCTCAGATCTCCTTGGGGAGATGGATTGAGGCCTCCTTCCACCTCCCTGCTGGGCCCCTGCCAGCCTTAAACTCTTTCTCTGCTGCAAACCCCACTGTCTCAGTGTATTGGCCTGTGGCCCCCACAGCACCTGACTGAACCTGTTGGTCCAGTAACACCTGCAGACCACACACAGACATTAACAGGCTAACAACAGAACACCAGAAACAACTCAACACACACACTCCACAAGTTAGCTCAAATAAGCCAATGCCACAAAACCCCACACAGCCAAGACTCGCGGTGAACTAATATGAACGGTTCTCTAACAACCAGAGATACAGAATTTGTCATTTAAAAGCTTCAAAAACAGAAATTGACATGTCCATATGGTTTCACTGGAAAATTCCAGGAAACATTCAAACAATGAGCACACACTCTACAGAACCTCTTCTAAATATAAGAGAAGGCAACACTTCTCAGCAGTTTATGAGCTCGGCTTCACCTTGACGCCAAAACCAGACAAAAATAAGCCAAAAAGAAGGAAACCGGCCACCAACATCCTCAAGAAGGCCGAGCGCAACAATCACCACAGAGTGGGCCCAGGAGAACCAGGGAGGTGATCCCCAGCGGGAGGGCGGGCTGCGCTCCTGGACAGCAAGGCCGGCTCCCTCTTCTCAGCGGATGTAACCCCCAGTCACGGAACCAGTGACCCGATAGACAGGCAGGGGCCGGGACGCCGGGACCCGAACGCGGGCAGGGGCCGCACCTGGGCACGGGGGGTGGGTCGCTCACCTGGACACGCGCGCCCCGCTCGCCCGCGACCGTTCCGGACGCCCGCGGCGCCTGCGTAGACGGGTCCCGCCTGCCCACGGTCCGCCGCCGCCCCGGGAAGCTCGGCACCCACCCCCCCGCCACCTCACGCTTGCACCCCCGCCCGCCCTCCGGCGCACCCAGGTCGCGGTGAGGCCCTAAGCCGCTCTTCGCCCGAACCGCCTCCTCGCTCAGCACCAGCCGAGGGCCAGCCCGCGCCATGTTTCAAACGGAGCCCTCGGACGGCGCCTGCGCGGCGGGCGGGGCGAGGCTACGAGAGGGGCGGGACCTGCGTCGGCAGAACCGAGAGCCTGGCGGGACGGGGCGGGGCCTGCGCGGCGGGGCGAGGGGCGTGGCTGGGGGAGGGGGCGGGACTGCGTGGGCGGAACCAAGAGCCTGGCGGGGGGTTCTCCTGAATGGCGGTTCTCCCAGGTACTGGCCACGCGACCCCAGCCCCCGCCCCAGATAGCTCCCTGTCAAGGCTTCCCTGGGCGCGGCCGCCTTCTAGGCCCCGGCCCTTGACACACGCGGTGTCCTCCCGGGGAAACCCCGAGTAGGCGCGGTGGAATCGCGGCTGGTGGTGGGCATGGGGACCCTGCCCCATCCACACTCCGCTCCCACCCTGAACCCAGCGCCCCCGGGGACCCCCGACTCACCTAGACTCCCCACCCAACCCGACCCCCCCGCGGGGACCCCTCCAGACACCCCAGCACCCGCCCGGAGCCTTGTCTGCTGCACCTCCCGTCCAGCCCCGGGCCTCCCAGAGGTGGGCGGGAGCTGAGCTTCTCCCCAGCCAGTCACTCCCCACGGCCGGTCCTTCTCCACCCCAGAACCTCCAGAGATGTCACAGGCCCAGCACTGTGGCTCGTGGCTGACCGCGCCCTGGAGGGTCTCGCTGTGTTTATCCTTGTGAGGTCCTTCTACAGAGCTTTCAAGGAAGACAGAGTTCAGCCTGTTTATTGGGAAGACTTTAATCCTGCTCAAGACATCTACTGTGTCACCGTACCACTGTGGCCCAGCGCCTGGTGGAGTGAATCCAGACCCCCAGGGGTGTCCCCTCCCCGCCTTTCTCCTGGTGTCTAGGGGCACCCAGAAACCCTCACCCCAGATTAGACCAGCTCGTTGGCAACATCCCTGGTATGTCACAGCCTGGGGGGTGATAGACAAGGCAGGGTAGTGGTGGGGGGTACGTATGGTGGTAGTAGACGAGGGTATACACAGACAGAGGGTGTACATGGGGAATGTGTGCAGGGGCTGTGTGCAGGGAGTGTGTGTGGATGGTGTAGGGGAGTGTGTAGGGGAGTGTGTAGGGGGTGTGTGCAGAGGTTGTACACGGGGTGTGCAGGAGGTGTACTCAGAATGTGTTCAGGGAGTGTGTGCAGAAGGTGTACATGGGGTGTATGCAGGAGGAGTGTGCAGAGGGTGTACATGTAGGGGGTGTGTGCAGACAGTATACAGAAGGGGTGTGTGCAGAGGATGCACACAGGGTCTCTGCAGGGAGTATGTGCAGTGCTGTACATAAGGAGTATGCAGGGGGTATATACAGGGTGTATGTGCAAGGGGTGTGTGCAACAGTGTGTGCAGGAGGTGTGTGCAGGGTCTATGTGTGGGGGTGTGTGCAACAGTGTGTGCAGGAGGTGTGTGCAGGAGGTGTGTGCAGGAGCTATGTGTGGGGGTGTGTGCAACAGTATGTGCAGAGGTGTGTGTAGGGGCTATGTGTGGGGGTGTGTGCAACAGTGTGTGCAGGAGGTGTGTGCAGGAGGTGTGTGCAACAGTGTGCAGGGGGTGTACACAAGGTGTGTGCAGGAGGTGTGTGTAGATGTGTGTGCAGGAGGTATACACAGGGTTTGTGCAGAGGATGTGTGTGGGAGGTGTGTGCAGGGGATCTGTGCAGGGAGTGTACACAGGCTGTGTGCAGAGGCTATGTGCAGGGGGTGTGTGCAACAGTGTGCAGGGAGTGTACACAAGGTGTGTGCAGGAGGTGTGTGCAGAGGTGTGTGCAGGAGGTATACATGGTGTGTGAAGGTATGTGTAGAGGTGTGTGCAGGGGGTATACACAGGGTTTGTGCAGAGGATGTGTGAGGGAGTTGTGTGCAGGGGATCTGTGCAGGGAGTGTACACAGGCTGTGTGCAGGGGGTATGTGCAACAGTGTGCAGGGGGGGTGTGTGCAGAGGTGTGTGCAGGGGGTGTACACAGAGGGTGGTGGCAGGCGGTGGATGCAAGGCTGCATCTGTTCAGCCCAAGACGTTCCATTGGTCCAGTGGTGTTAGAGCACATTTGGTCAGGTTGCCTTCATGGGATATTTGACAAGCTGCAAACCCGAGGGCATGCTGGTGCCCGAGGGCGCCTCCGTGCTGACCTCAGCATGTGCAGCAAGAGCCAGGGCACAGGGGCGGCCTGGCCCATTTCAGGCAGGTGCTCTGTGGGAGGGTGGCTGTCTCCACTGACAACCCAGGGAGGTCAGCAAGGAGGAGCCCTGAGGTGGACTCGAAAGCTGTGGGAGCTGATGGCCCTCCTGGTCTCTGCCACAGCCCTTAGGCTGTGGGACACACAGCGTCACATTTGATCACTGTTCATGGGGCCTGCCGAACACTCAGCATTCCTGAGTGCAGATCGTCACGTAACTTTCCAAAAATTGCAAACCCAGATATGGCTCCATGACCCCTCCTGCAAGACTGTGAAGGAGTTCAGGGCACAGCTGAGCCCTCACACCCCCAGCCCCATCACTGCCCCTGATATGCACTGAGTGGAATTCTGTCCCGCCAGGAGACAAACAGTGGACAGCATCCTGGCTCTTCAGAAGCACATGACGATGGCAAACTGAAGGCCTCATGGGCCCTCACCCAACAGCAGTGGCTTTTCAGGGCATAACACAGGCCCCAAACACTGAGCCTCTTCCTCCTGGGCAGGTACCCAGCTGGCCAGACAGGGCAGGGTAGGGGCGAGTGGGACCTCAGTGGGCAGCCGGTCCAGGACAGAACCACACGGGGATGTGATGGAAGTACCAATGGGAACTTTGAAAACAATGCCTCTGCTCACCAAAGTATCCCAGCTTCACTGTAGAAAATATAGACACTACAGAAGGGCACCGAGATTCGATATGCCGCCCTGCTGAGATAACCCACACTAACATGCCCACATGTATCCTGCAGGTGTTTTTCAAGCCTGTGCGTATTGACAGTCATGAGGCTATGCTAAGCATTGCCGGATGCATCTGCCACTAAGTAGTCTTTAACGTTGTTTATTAAACACTTTTAATGGTCACGTTAGATCATAAACCAAACCCAACTTTATTATCCTGTCTTCTGCTGCTGAAAGTTGTGTCTGTCTCCACTTCCTCACGGTGCTCACTCTGGTTGGCCAAATCATGAAGATCCATGGAGGCGCGGGAGCCTTCCGGCCTGGAATGGGGCAGCAAAAGCACAGAGCCGCAGAGAAGCCGGGAAAGCAAAGGCAGGGGCTGCTGGGCTGGGCCCCATCAGCCCCATGGCAGCGGCACCCGCACAGGCCTGGGGTCCCCAGCAGCAGGGATGCTGTCTGTGGGCCCAGGGCTCCTCCACAGCTTTGGGGGCTTCCTGCCAGAGGAGGGGGGTGGTTCTCCTGGGAGGGGCCCCAAGACAGGAGTCCCCAGACCTGGGCACGCCTCACCTCGGGTAGGGCCCCAACGCTTCAGCGGGTCTCACTGGCATCCCTAAACCTAGACCACAGGAGAGTGTGCTGTGCCATCATCACGATGACCCCTCCCCATCCCAGCGCACGCTCCCACGACGCACCGTGCTCACAGTGACCCCTCCCCATCCCAGCGCACGCTCCCACAATGTGCCGGGATCACAGTGACCCCATGGGCTACCTGCCGCTCCCAAGGACTAATGGAGGCCTCTGTCCCCAGGTTCTATCCCGGGTTCCTCACAGGGCACCAGCCCTCAGGCCCAGTTAAATTCCGGAGCGGCTCTTTAAGCCCACAGGCCCAGGCCGCTATGGTAGGACCCAGGTGGGAGAGGCTCTCCGTGTGCTGTCTCCCTGACAGGTGCCCCATCCATAGCTTTCTAGAACATCCCAGGGAGGCTCCCAGGCCCCGAGCCTCAATCCTCAAGCCTGTGGGTCCCAGACTGCAGGCTCAGTGAGCCCTACAGAGACCAGGCCAGCGGAAGGAAACAGGGAGACCCACATGGTCAGAGAAGAGGGCTGGAGGTTCAGCCTGAGGGGCCTCTGGGCTTTCTCTAAACAGAGCGGGGGTGGGAGGAGGCTGTGATGTACAGTGAGGGGACTTGAGAGGGAAATGGGGGCCTCCACCCACCCCAGGGACGAGCGCTCACCCCAGGCCCACCTGGCTCGCAGCATCCAAGCCAGGGCTACGCAGAGCAGCTGCTCCCAAACCCAGCTCCCTCTGGGTGCCTGAGCCAGGCTCAGAGATGCATCCTGCATCGTTCTTTCTCCATCCTGTGTCAACAAGACAACACAGGCAACCAGCGTGGCCATGCTGGAAATCCACAGCCTAGCGGAGCGGCCTCGCCTGCATTCATGTGGCCAGTGGAATTCGCGGCACACACATTCGCACTGTCACGCTCAGTTCACGTGTGCACACGCTCACAGCCACAGCACACTCACAGTTCACACACCTCACACGCATACATACACAGGTGTACGTGCACATGCACACTCACGTACACACCCACCCACACACAGTCTCACACCCAGGTTCACACCCACACATGGACCTCAATCCACCGGTACCTGCCACACACCCACACGCGGACCTCCATCCCACTCCAAGGCCTTTCCCCACATCCCCGGGCGGCAGGAGCCCAGCGGTCAGTGCAGAGGCATGGACGAGGGCCAGGGAGGCAGGTGGCACGAGCCACCTGCTCTCCACATCCTTCTCGAGAGGAAAGGAGGTGCCGGCCCACCCTGCCCACAGCTCCTCGGCGAAGCCGCGTCTGGTCCAGGGCCAGCCGCCCCTTTGCTGGTTTCAGTTCCTCCTTTATCCATTCATAAACGTTGAACAAAAGCGCTCTTTTCCCTCACGGTATCTCTAGCAGTTAAGATCAACACCAATATTTGAGAACTGTCAATACTGCATTTTACCCACTTCCCAAATGTGAAACCGGAAGGCACACGTAGCCCTTGCTGGGCTGTTTCCAGTGAACACAGTTGAGGGTGGGCTTGGGGGTTCTCCGCATCGTAATGTCTTAGGAGGGGGTGGGGCCACACCTTCCCACCTTGTCCGAGTAACAGGCCACGTGTGCGGTTTAGTTCACACCGTGGAGGAGGGGAGTGTGAGGGCAGCGGGTGGGCCGCTGTGTCCTGGTCTCTGTCCTGCTGTGTGGCCAGGGAGGGAGTGCGGCTGTCCGATTTAGGTTGAAACACCGTCCATCGGCATCTCTGGGGGATGTTGCCACTGCCCTTGACTCCTGCCCTTGTGTCTGGAAAGGGGAGGCTTCAGAGTGAGTGGCCCACAGCCTTCCAGTTGCAGGAGCTGGTGTGGGAAGGGGCATCCCCATGGCTGTGGGCCGGAGCCCTGTAATAATGGGAAGTTTCAGTGCCCTCATAGGAGTTTCACTGGAGCAGGTAAATCGGTCTGGGAGCTTGTGAACCGCTCTGGGCTGCTGGGGCTGCACTGACAACAAGCACAGAGCCCAGCTACAAGTGGCGTGGCTGCAGGAGACGCCCTGGAGACCTGAGACAGGCTGGGTGTCTCTGCTGTCCCAGGACAGAACCCAGCTACAAGTGGCGTGGCTGCAGGAGACACCCAGGAGCCCCCAGGCAGGGTGGGCGGCTCTGCTATCCCAGGACTGGGTCAGGACAGCTCAGCCCTCGCAGTCCTCAGCCAAGTGCTGCCCCGCTCTGCAAGGGGCCCAGAGGGCTCCCAGAGGCCTGCGGACCAGTGCTAGGCCTCACATCCCTGAACCACTCCCTGACCTCACATCCCTGAACACATGCAGGGGCCGGGCCTCAGCTGGGGGGCATGGCACTGGGTGAGGTCAGAGGTGCTCCAAGCATGTGGCCTAGAAGGTTTGTCCAAAACAAATTCTCTCCTGGACCCTGGAGGGGAAGCAGAAGCCGGCTGCTTCCTATAGTTCCCAACACCAGAAAGCCCAGGACTTCTCAGGGAAATCTTGGTTTCCAGCTTTTTCCGAAAGTGCCTGATGGGCAGGCATTCACTCCTTTCAGACAAGCCCCCCAGCCCTTCAGCCACTGAGCCGTGACCCTCTCCCCAGGAAGGACTGGTGGGGCTGGGGCACTGCCACCACCTGGAGCCCCATCTTCAGCCGCCTGGCAGGAGCTGCACCTGCACATGGCACCCGTGAACTCCGGCATCTTCCTCTGTCCTCCCAGGCACTCGGCATCTTCCAGGGCTGCTGCCTCCTGAGCCCACTCGATATGGTTTAGATGTTTGTCCCCACAGATCTCATGTTGAAATGTAATCACCAGTGCTGGAGGTGGGGGCTGGTAGGAGGTGTTTGGATCACAGGAGTGGGTCCTTCCTGAATGGCGTGGGTCATCCTGTTGGTGATAAGTGAGTTCTCACTCTGGTAGATCTGGTAGTTTAAAAGTGTGTGGTGGCTGGGCGCAGTGGCTCACACCTGTAATCCCAGCACTTTGGGTGACTGAGGAGGGTGGATCACTTGAGGTCAGGAGTTCAAGACCAGCCTGGCCAACATGGTGAAACCCTGTCTCTACTAAAAACACAAAAATAATTAGCTGGGTGTGGTGGTGCGCACCTGTTATCCCAGCTGCTTGGGAGGCTGAGGCAGGAGAATTGCTTGAACCTGGGAGACAGAGGTTGCAGTGAGCTGAGATTACGCCACTGCACTCCAGCCTGGGCGACAGAGTGAGACTCCATCTCAATTAAAAAAAAAAAAAGTGTGAGGCGCCTCCCCCTTCTGACTTGCCCCCCTCTCACAGCCCCCCTCTCACAATGTGAGGTGCCTCCCCCTCTGACTTGCCCCTCTCTCACAGCCCGCCTCTCACAATGTGAGGCGCCTCCCCCCTCTGGCTTGCTCTCCTCTCACAATGTGAAGCGCCTCCCCCCTCTGACTTGCTCTCCTCTCACAATGTGAGGCACCTCCCCCCTCTGGCTTGCTCTCCTCTCACAATGTGAGGCGCCTCCCCGCTCTGGCTTGCTCTCCTCTCACAATGTGAGGCGCCTCCCCCCTCTGGCTTGCTCTCCTCTCACAATGTGAGGCGCCTCCCCCCTCTGGCTTGCTCTCCTCTCACAATGTGAGGCGCCTCCCCCTCTGACTTGCTCTCCTCTCACAATGTGAGGTGCCTCCTCCCTCTGACTTGCTCTCCTCTCACAATGTGAGGTGCCTCCTCCCTCTGACTTGCCCCCCTCTTAAAGTGTCATGTATCTGCTCCCCCTTTACCTTCCACCACAACTGGAAGCTTCCTGAGGCCTCATCAGAAGCAGATCCTGGCACTACACTTCATGTACGGCCTACAAAACCATGAGCCAATTAACCCTCTTTTCTTTATAAATTACCCAGTCTCAGGTTTTCTTTATAGCAATGCAAGAACAGCCTAGTACACCACCTCTGCCTCTCTTTCCGCCATCTGCTGTTAAAAGCAGGCTGATCAGGACCAGGGGCCAGCATCAGATATAACCTGGCATCCCCTGCAAAGTCCCAGGCTTCCCCCACTATGGCTTGGGGACCTGCAGCTGCTTGCTCCTCATCTCTGAGGCTTCGGGGAGCCCAGAGCTCAGAGTCCCTTAGGGCCAGGGCAGAGTGTGGCCTGGGGGCCACCAGCCTCAGGAAGCCCAAGGCCTCCTCCAAGCAGGAGTTCTCTCAGAGCCAGAGCTGCCCCACCCCATATGGCCCAGTGACCATCACTCAAAGCTCACCTTCTCCTTGAGCCTCTGGTCAGCCGACCAGCCCTGACTGCTCCCGGGCCCCTGGCCCCTGGCCACGTCCCCCCTCCTGCCCCTGCACCCCATGCTGACCAAGCTCCACCGCCTCAACCCCGCAGGATCCAGCACTGCTCTCCACTGCCGCTGGGTGCATTCCGTCGGGCAAAGCTTTGTTGCATGAGGCCGGGGCTCAGCATCACAGCCTCTCTGTCGGTTCCTGCAGGCAGTGGACATGGTGGGTCCCCACTGTGAGGAGCCCAGCCTCTGGGGGCCCAGACGCAGGTTTCTGGCTGGGCACACACTGGGGTGAGCAGGCTCCCTGGCTGTGAGGCCGTGAGCAAGCCCATCTCCGAACTCCAGTTTTCTCATCCCTAAAAATTAAAAATAAGAAGGCCCTCAAGGGGACTGGCAGTTCCCAGCCCTCTTGGGCCTTGCCCATTTCTGGTGTAGAGGATGGAGCCATCTCTTACAGCTCGGGTTGGTGAGAAGCAAGCATGAGGCTACGGTGGCATTTTCAGGTAAAGTTTAGATTTTCCAGAAGAAGAAACGTGTAAGTGGCACATACCCTGTCCCCCTTCTCCTTTGCGCTGAACAAAGTTGTGATGTCTGAAACTGCAGCAGCCGCCTTGGGATGATGAGGGCAAAGAAAATTGGCATCACTGGGGTCCCCAACCCGGGCTCCAAACCAAGGTCACTGCTGCTAGGACTAGACTGTGGCTAAGAGAAAGAAAACACAACAGCTGAGTGACTGTTGCACCCAATGCCTTCCTGTGGACCCTGGCATCTGCCGAGGTGGCGGGCAGAGCTTAGGTGGCGCGGGCACAGCTTAGGTGGCACAGGCACGTGTGCAGGTGCCCGTAACAAGGCCTGGAAGGAGGCTGTGCCTGCCCAGCGGAGGGACCCCCTTTCTCTGTGGGGAGATAGAGCCCCGGGAGGGGGCAGGAGCTGGAGCATGGGAGTGGCTGGGGCTGCGGAGGGGAGCTCTGGAGGACCCCACCTTCCCAGGGCTAGGACAGAGGGAGCCGGCTGCTGGGGACGTCCCTCCATCTGCTCAGACAGAGGGAGCTGGCTGCTAGGGACGTCCCTCCGTCTGTTTGGACACAGGGAGCTGGCTGCTGGGGACGTCCCTCCGTCTGCTCGGACAGAGGGAGCTGGCTGCTGGGGACGTCCCTCCGTCTGCCTGGTGTCCAGCCTGGCCTGAGTCCAGGTCCGAGCAGTCTGTGTGGATGAAGGAGCGGGTTGGGATGGGGAATAAACAAAAGCCTGAAATGTAATCAGCCGGCTTCGCAGCTATGGCGAGCGGGCAGGCCTCCTGCATCCTGGTAGTCAGCACTGAGCCCGCTGGAGCCAGCCTTGTCCTCAGAGGCAGCACCGGGAGAATGCAGTGCAGGTGACAGGGGACCTTTGCTGCCCAGAGGCATGTGGTCTATTGGCTGCACGTTTGTGCTCCTGCAGGAGTCACGGGTGGAACCCCAACCCCAGTGCTGCGGTGTGTGGAGTGGGGTCCTCCCAGTGGGATCAGTGCCCTCATAGGAGAGGGCTGCCCTCCCCTTTCTCTGTCGCACCGGGAAACCAGGAAGGGCCCTCACTAGGAGGCCAGTCAGCTGGTGCCAGGATCTCCGGCTTCCACCCCAGAGTGGTGGGAGCTTCCTGTGTCTGCTGCTCAACAAACCTATGTCTGCTGCTCGGGTTGCCCGTGTGTGGTTTTCTGCTATGGCCACCTGAGCTGATTAAGACCTCCCCCAAAATCTGTGCAAAACCCCAGCGCTTCGAATGTCACCTCTGAGGCAAAAGCTGTGATAAACATAGGGATCTTAAGAGGTGCTTTTCCTGGGTTATCGGGGGGTGGGGCCTGGGGGTCTAAATGCATTCACCAATGTCCTTCTAAGAGACAGAAGAGAGACACAGAGAGAAGAGGCACAGAGGAGCCGGCCATGGAGCGATACAGCAGAAGCTGGAGGCGACGGGAGGATCCTGGCCCAGAGCCTCGGGAGGGAGTGGGGGCCGTGTTCCAGAAGCCTGAGAGTCCTGCGTGTTGTTCTGAGCCCCTAAGGCTGGGGTAGCTTGTTCCAGCAGTCATGGGAAACTGACACATCCCAAACACAGCAGCACGAGAACATAGGACTGAGACACCATCCCCATCACGCCCCAACACACGAAGACTGACGGTGGCGGGTGCTGCACATCTCAGCCGGAGCTCTGAAGGCATTTAGCTGAGCGCTGGCCTGCACCTGGAGAGAGTGAGAGACACCAGCCTCCACTGCCAGGAAGGCCCAGGGTCCTCAGGGACCAAGACGCAGGAGACGGCCGCTGCCAGGGTCCTCGGGACTTCTGTGTGGCCTTCGCTACCGGAGCCCTGAGGCGCCATCCCCATGTGCCCTTCGGGCTGGTCCAGGAGGAGGCCCTGCGGCGGCCACAGACTGGGGGGACAAAGCCCCAGGAACTCAGAACCTTGTGGGTTTTGGAAGAGGAGCCGCGCAGCAAGGTCCCGACGCCTGCAGGGAGCTGAACGGGGAGCCGCGCGAGGAAGGGAGTGCAGCAGACCCAGTACGCAAATGCTGACCCTACAAAACGCACCGCGGGTTCTCGAGCCGTGGGGATCCCGGCGGTGCTCTCCAGAGACCGCAGCTGCAGGAGCTGGGCGGTCCCCGGCAGGTGCCACGAGGGTGCGATCTCGGCCGAGAACCACCAGGCGTCCACGTCCACGGAGGGACTCATTCTCCGTGCCCATCTCACAGGGAGCAAAGGAGGCGGAGGGAGCCCCGGACTCACTGGGTTCTGACCCAGACCCTTCTCTTCTGCAGGGTGGAGTCCTCCTCCCAGAGAAGCCCAGACGTTCGTTTGGGAGACCCAGGGACACTCGGGGCCATCACCTGCCCCTCACTGGGGCTCCCAGGGGAGACTTCACGCAGTGCCCAGTGTCCTCCCGCTGGGATCCTCCTGCCCCCGAGGGGCGCCCGTGTCCCCCAGCACCCCAAGGAAGAGAATGAGCTGTCTTTGGCGGGTGCTGTGCTATTTTCTGTCCTTATTTCACCTAGAATGGCCATTTCCAGAACTCAATCCCTGCAAATGAATTTCTTCTAACGCCCCTTTTCAGTATCAAGGAGCAGGAAGCAATATCCTTTAAAAACCGATCGGCCATACATTTCTGCTCATTAAATAAATATTTTTACTTTGGACCCGATTGATTTTTCAGACACACGGAACAATGGGACTGACTCACCTGTGTGCAGCTGGGAGCCTCCTTCCTCCCCGGGGACCTTTGAAGTCACAGTGAGGCGGCCACACCTGGTGCACAGGTGGAGCCCGGCCGATAGGCACCTGAATTCTCACCAACTTCACAGGGTGTTCAGAAACGGGCTCGCACTCGGCCGACACGCCCCCTTCCTGGATCCCTGGGGTGGGATGCCCAGTGTGGCTGCACCGGAGAAAGGGTGAAAACCAGCGGAGAGAGGGCCGGGAAAGGCTCCCCCACAGGCATGTCAAGGAGAGAACCTGCAGTTCCACCACACCCTCCAGCCCCCTCCCAGGCAATCTCCCCACTCCAGCCCCTGACCCCTGACCACCTTGCTCCTTGGTATCCAGAGCCAGGCCGGAACTCAGGGAGGGCCGCGCCGTTCACTTCTGTAAGGGAGCCTCCGTTCAGTCAGTCATTCAACAAACATGAATCCAGAGCCGCATGCACTGCTGGTCCCGTCCCAGCTGCTGGTCACGGAGCGGAGAAAGCTTGAAGGCCGTGGTGTCTACTGAGAGGCAGATGACAAACCAGGAGCACGAGTCACAGCACACACTGGCGCAGCTGCAGGGAGCTGGGCAGAGCCGGGCCTGGCACATGGGGCAGGAGGCTGTGGCCCTAACGCCATGGTGGGCGCCACAGACCTTGTCAGAAGGGGTCTGAGCAGAGACATTGATTTGGTTTCATTATCATATAGAACAGAATAGAAAACTCAGACATGAAGCTGCACACATACACCCGTCTGGTCTTTGACAAGACCAACGAAAACAAGCCGCGGGGAAAGGACTCCCTGTCCGATAGATGGTGCTGGGATAAGCAGCTCAGTCACAGGCAGAAGAAGGAAACTGGACTCTTACCCTTCCGCATAGACGAAAATCAACTCTAGATGGATTAAAGACTCAAATGCAAGACGTCAAACTATAAACATCCTGGAAGACAACGTCTTCTTGACGTTGGCGTTGGCAAAGAACGCTGGCTAAGTCCTCAAAAGCAATTGCAACAAAAACAAAAATAGACAAGTGATACCTAATTAAACTGAAGAGCTTCTGCACAGCAGAAGAAACTGCCAACGGAGGAAACAGACACCCTACAGAATGGGAGAAAATGTCTGCAAACTATGCATCTGACAAAGGCCTAATATCCAGCATCTATAGGACGCTTACACAAATCAACAAGCAAAAAACAACCCCATTAAAAAATGGGCGGCCGGGCGCGGTGGCTCATGCCTGTAATCCGAGCACTTCGGGAAGCTGAGGCGGGCGGATCACAAGGTCAGGAGATCGAGACCATCCTGGCTAACACGGTGAAACTCCGTCTCTACTAAAAAATATTAAAAAATTAGCTGGGCGTGGTGGTGGCCGCCTGTAGTCCCAGCTACTCGGGAGGCTGAGGCAGGAGAATGGCGTGAACCAGGGAGGAGGAGCTTGCAGTGAGCCGAGATTGCGCCACTGCACTCCAGCGTGGGCTACAGAGTGAAACTCTGTCTCAAAAAAAAAAAAAAAAAGGCAAAGGACATGAACAGATACTTCTCAAAACAAGACATACAAGTGACCAACAAGTATAAGAAAAAATTCTCATTATCAGAGAAATGCAAATCAAAACCACAATGAGATGCCAGCTCAGCAGTCAGAATGGCGATTATTACAAAGTCAAAAAAACAACAGATGCTGGTGAAGCTGAAGAAAAAAGGTGATGCTCACGCACTGCTGGTGGGAACATAAATTAGCCCAGGCCCGTGGAGAGCAGTCTGGAGATTCCTCAAAGATCTTAAAACACAGCTACCATTCAACCTAGCAATCCCATTACTGGGTATATACCCAAAAGAAAATAAAGGATTCTGCCAAAAGGACACATATGTTCATCACAGCGTTATTCACGATAGCAAGACATGGAACAAACCTAGGTGCCCATCAGTGGTGGACTACATAAAGAAAACGTGGTACATATACACTGTGGAATACTACGTAGCCATAAAAAGAATGGAATCGTGTCCTTTGCAGCAACATGGATGCAGCTGGAGGCCATTCTCGTAAGCAAATTAATGCAGGAGCAAAAAACCAAATACCGCATGTTCTTACTTACAAGTGGGAGCTAAACATTGAGGACACGTGGACAAAAAGATGGGAACAAAAGTCACTGGGGCCTCCTGGAGGGTTGGGGATGGAGGATTAAAGAACTTCCTTCAGGTATGATGCTCGCCATCTGGGTGATGGCACCCGTCCTCCAAACCTCAGCATCACACAATATTCTCATGTAACAAATCTGCACGTGTGCCCCTAAATCTAAAATAAAAGTTGAGATTTTAAAAGTAAAGTAAGATAAATGTCATATCAGTTATTCGATCCGTCAAACGTTTCCTTTAACACCTTAAATAGAAACAGTCATAGGTATTGGAAGAATAAAGAATTGGAATGGAAGTCCACAGAGGCAAAATGGGCAAACAATTAACATATGTAAGCAGGTATTTGTTGTTTCTAGTAGGTCTCAATGTTGTTTACACATTTGGTTGGTTGTTTTTGGTGAATATTCACTGGATTCAAGTAAGTGGTTCATTTTCTAATCCCTGGAGTGAAGCCGCTACAAACAGTCGTGTGTAGATTTTCCCGTGAAATAAACTTTCATTTCTCCAGCATGCATGTCCAGGCAGGGGGTTGCTGGATCCCAAGGTAAGCATAGTTGTAACATTAAAATACACTGCCACCTTGTCGTCTGGAGCAGCTGCCGCACGTCACACCCCCAGCAGTGGCACAGGAGAGCCAGGGGCTCCGCGTCCTCGCCAGTGCTGGGTGTGACCACGCGTTTCCTTTTTCCTCGCGCTGTTCTCACAGGTGTGTGGTGGTTCCACACATCAGTGGTGTACATTTTTATTCCCTCGTGGCTGACGATGTCGAGCATCTCGTGTTCTTATCTGCCATCCAAATGTCCTTGGTGAATGAGTTCTTCCCTCTTTTGCCCATTATTCATCTACTCGTGTTGTGTTAAGTGTGTTTGTGTTTCATTCTCTTGGCAGGGCTGTCAGTGGGACTGAGACTTAAACTTCAATTCCCACGTGTTCACTGTTATTAGATAAAAACGCCATTGACACGTGTGTGCCAATCTTGTATCCTGTGACACTGCTGAACTCATGGACTAGTTATAGGTGAGGTTTTTGTGTCTTTTTTGGTAAATTCCTTGGAATGTTCTACATAAACAATTATGCTCTCTGTAAATAGAGATGGTTTTCTTTCTCCCTTTCTTGTCTGAATGCCTTTTATTTCCTTCTCTTGCTTTATTGCACTAGCTGGGACTTTCAGGATGATGTTGGCAAGGATGGGAGTGGGGACCGCCTATCCTCATTCCAGATTTTAGGGAGGAAGTATCCAGTTTTTCACCACTATGTGCGACGTCATCTGTGGGTTTTTAATGGATACATTCCATCCGGTTAAGGAAGTTCCTCACTGCTCCTAGTTTGCTGAGACTTTTTCCATGAATGATTCTTGAATTTTGACATTGTTTTTTGCGTCATTTGAGATGATCGTGTGTGTTTTCTTCTTTGGTCTGTCAATACAGTGGAGAGTGCTGATTGAATTTCAGATGTTTAGCCAGCCTTGCATGCTACTGTCACAATTTATACATTTGCATCTATGTTCATGGGAGATATTTGTACGTAGTTTTGTTTCTTGTACTGTCATTTATCTGGCATTGGCACTGGAGTAATGCTGTTTTCATAACATGAGTAGGAAAGCATTTCTCTTCTATTTTCTGGAGGAGATTGTGCAGAATTGGTAATATTTCTTCATTACCTGTTCATAAAATCTGCTAATGAAACCATCTGTGTCTGGAATTTTCATTTTCAGAAAGTTTTTCTGCTATGAATTCAATTACTTTAATACAAAAGGGTTGTTCAGGCCATCTATTTCTTGTTGAGTGAGTTTTGGTAGTTTGTGGCTTTTAAAGAATTGGCTTATTCCTTCAAAGTTGTCAGATGTATATGCAGGGAGTAGCTCATAATGTTCGTGCATTGCCCTCTTAATGTCTGTGGGTCAATAGTGATATATCCTCTTTCATTATTGATACTGGAAATTTATCTCTCTTTCTCCCTTGCTAATCAGTCTGGTTAAAGCTTTATCAATTTTACTGATCTTTTCAAAGAACCAGCCTCTAGTTTATTGATTTTTCTTTGTTGTCTTTCTGTTTTCTATTTCATTGGTTTCTCTTATCTTTATTCTTTCCTTCCTTCTGCCTGCTTTCAGTTTAATTTGCTCCTATTTTCGTAATTTCTTAAGGTGGAAGCTTAGATTGTTGATTTATAATTTTCTTCTGTTTTTAATATTAGCATTTCTTTTCTAACTAAATGCTTGTAGGGCTATAAGCATTTAGTTCTATAAATTTCTCTCTAAGCACTGTTTCATTTTGCTATATTTTTCATTTTCATTCAGTTCAAGTGATTTCCAGTTTTTCTGAGCCATTCTCCTCAACATTTGCATTGTCTAAGGAGTGTGTTGTTTAATTTCCACCTATTTGGAGGTTTTCTAGGCATTTTTATATTATTGATTTCTAGTTTAACACCATTGTAGGTTTTTTGTATTTTAAATTTTTTCACATGCATTTTATGACCAAAAAGAAAGTGTATGTAGATGTTGTTTGGCAGAACGTTTTATAAATGTTAGTTAGGTCCAGTTGGTTCCTGGAGCTGGTCAGTTCTTCCATATCCTGCTAATTTACTGTCCACTTTTCTATCAGCTACTGAGAGAGGAGTTGTTATGGACTGAATTGTGTCCCACAAAATTCACATGTTGAAGCCCTAACCCCCAATGTAACTGTATTTAGAGACAGGGCCTGTAAGGAGGTGATTATGGTTGCAAGAAGTCATATGAGGGGGTCCGATTCAATAGGACTTATGTCCTTACAAGAAGATGGAAAGAAGCCAGGAATCATTCACTCTCCACACCAGCACAAAAAAATACCATGTGAGAACACTGAGAAGTCAACCCCAACAGCCTTCATCTTGGTCCTCCAGCTTCCAGAATGGTGAGAAAACAAATTTTTGCCCTTTAAGGCCCCAGTCTGTGGTATTTTGACATGGCAGCCCTAACCAACTGAGATGGGAATGTTGGGGTCACCAATTCCAGTATGGAGCTGCCTGTTCCCTTTCAGGCAGCTCTATCGTCTTTGTCTTGTGTGTTTGGAAGCCCTATCGTTGGGTGCATATGTGTTTAGGATTACTAGGTCTTCTTGGGGAGTTGATCCTTTGTCATTATGCAACGTCCCTCTTTACTCTTAGGAATTTTCCTTGCTCTGAAATCTACTTTGTCACTCCAGTTTTTTTAATTGGTGTTTGCTTGGCATATCTTTTTCTATCCTTTTATGTTTAATCTGCCTATATTTTGTATTTAAAGAGGGTTTTTATAGACAGCCTGTAGATAAGACTTGCCTTTATCCAGTCTGATAATTTCTGCCTTTAATCAGTATGTTTAGATCATCTACATTTATATTCATTACTGATGTGTCTGAATTTAGGTCCAGCATTTCTTGCATGTCCTCTATTTGGCACCTCTGATTTTTTCTCCTTTTCCCCTTTGCATGTCTTCTTTTGGATTATTGGGATATTTTGTGGTATTTCATTTTGATTTATCTAATGGTTTCTTGAATTCTATCTCTGTGTATTGTCATTCTAAGGATTGCAATATACATTCTAACTCCTCCTCACCTTGCCAGTCTATGCAGAATTAATATTTTACCACTTCTGGCTGGAATGCTGGGACCTTGTCCCCACCAAGGCCCCTTCACTGTGCCCTTTGTCACAGTCATCGTATTGCACCTGCACATATTGAAAATTCAACCAAGCAATGTTGTTAATTGTTGCTTTCAACCATCATATGTACTTTAAAGACTCATCTACATGCTGTCTACAAGAAACTCATTTTCAATGTAATGATACAGACTGTTTCACAGTCAAAGGATGGGAAAAGAGCTATCAGGCCAACATCAGTTACACAAAAATCCTCAAACAGCTCTATTCATGTGAGACAAAATAGATTCAGAGCAAGAAAAGTCACTTGGGGTAAAGAGGAGAACAATAGTGTGCTGTGTTTCCTTGGACATTTACTGCTTGTCTTGCCCTTTCTTCCTTCTTGGGGTTGTGGGTTTTCCTCTGTATCTTCCCTCAAGCTGAAGAACTTGCTTTGGCATCTTTTAAAGCAGGTGTGCCGGCAACAAATTCTCTTAGTGCGTCCTCACTGGAGATCATCAATTTTTCTTTCATTTCCGAAGGGTGTTCTCGCGTCGATTTTTCCTTCGTTTCCGAAGGGTGTTCTCGCATCGATTTTTCTTTCGTTTCCGAAGGGTGTTCTCGCGTCGACTTTTCTTCATTTCTGAAGGGTGTTCTCGCGTCGATTTTTCCTTCATTTCCGAAGGGTGTTCTCACGTCGACTTTTCCTTCATTTCCGAAGGGTGTTCTCACGTTGATTTTTCATTTCTGAAGGGTGTTCTCGCATCGATTTTTCCTTCGTTTCCAAAGGGTGTTCTCGCATTGATTTTTCCTTCATTTCTGAAGGGTATTCTCGTGTTGATTTTTAATTCATTTCTGAAGGGTATTTTCGGTCGATTTTTTCATTTCTGAAGGGTATTCTTGCATCGATTTTTCCTCCATTTCTGAAATTCTCACAGATGCACAACTCTGGCTTGGTGCTTCCTTTGGTTTCTTGTTTTCAATGTTCTTCCACATCCTGGTCTGCACAGCATCTGATGAGAAACTGCAGCCGGGATTATTGTGCCCTGTAGGGGATGTGTCATTTCTGTCTGACTGCTTCTCTGGAACTAATTAAATAAGTTAAACCAGTGCTTTTTCTCCAGGAAACACTTGGACACCTGTCTTTTATCACCTACTTGTCACTGTGGGAAACTCAGCTCTCAGCCCAGGGGGTAAAGCAGATGTTGACAGGTGGTTGGAAATCAATTGCCCTCCTTGGCTGACATGAGCCCCAGGGAGCATGTTGACTAATCAGTGGCCTTTGGGGAAAGAGCAGTATCAGGTCCAGAGAGAGGGAACCATCCCCAGTGTATCCAAAAGAGGAAGCACACTGTTGTGGGTACGATTGAGTTCCCCCTCAGAAGGTATGTCCAAATCCCAACACCCAGTGCCTTATTTGGAAATCAGGTCTTTGCAGATGTCATTAAATAAGATGAGGTCACACTGGACTGGAGTGAGCCTAATGATGACACCCTTATAAGAGAGAGAAATTTGGACACACAGACACACAGAGAAGGAAGGCCAGCATAGTGTGATGTTGTCACAAGCCAGGGACAACCCAGAATTGTGGACAACACCAGAAAGGGAAAGAGGCAAGGAAAGTTCCTCCCTGGAGCCTTTGGAGGGTGCATGGTCCTGTGGACACCTTGAATTACACGTCTCATCTCTGAAACAGTGACAGAATACACTTCCAGTGTTTCCAGCCATGCGGTGTGCAATAATTTGTTACAGAAGTCCTAGGAAACACGTACACACACCTTTTCTTTGTGTATTTAGCCTCTTTGTCCTTAAATCCCATAAGTCTGCTTTGGCCAAAGATGCAGGTCCCCACTTCTTGGCCGTAAAGAGAAGGTTTCCCTGGCCTGGCCACATTGCTTTTTGGTTCAGCCTCATTGCTGACTTAGGGACAACAGGAACTTATCCCCAGGAGAGGTTCTGAGGGAAGCAAGAGGCTCTGTAGCCTCTTGCCAGGGGCCCGGCGTCTCTTCAGTATGGACAGAATTGAACAAGTGAATGGCCTGCTCCTGAGTCCCACTGGCTAAATTAGGGGTCGGGCTTTGCTTTCCACCCCGAGTGTGAGTGCAGCAGCCAGGCTCCCCATCACAGCACAGGGTGGCACATGGATGGGGCAGTGCCTCTTCCACAGGAATGCCAGCAAAGCCACATCCTGAGGCCATAAGGTGGCTCCAGTGGTCAGTAAAGATCTGGCCTCGGCAACGTGTGGGACTCGTGGGACATGTCACGGAACAGAGTGTCTAATGGCAACAGGCTGGGCTGTGACTTCTGCCCTGGGCCAGGGACATGCACAGTGTGTCTTTTTGTTTTTGTTGTTGTTTTTGAGACGGAGTCTCGCTGTCACCCAGGCTGGAGTGCAGTGGTGTAATCTCAGCTCACTACAAACTCCACCTACCTGGTTCAAGTGATCCTCCTGCCTCAGCCTCCTGAGTAGCTGGAATTACAGGCACACGCCACCACACCTGGCTAATTTTTGTATTTTTAGTAGAGACGGGGTTTCACCATGATGGCCAGGCTGGTCTCAAACTCCTGACCTCAGGTGATCCACCTACATCGGCCACCCAAAGTGCTGGGATTATAAGTGTGAGCCACCGCACATGGCCCACAGTGCATCTTTAAATATTAAACAGGAAAAGAAATCAACCCAGGAAATTCCACTTCCAAAAATGGAAGTCTAGATCACCTATACCCCCCCAGATGCCAAGGATAACTGGAAAACTTGGACAAAATAGAACCATATCTGCTTGAAGGCACTGGAAACCAACCAAGTAGTGTAGACACGCCTGGCTGGCACCCAAGAGAAATGCGACTGTAGGTGGGTGAGCCTGGGATCTGGGTGTAGACAAGCCCGGCTGGCAGCCAAGAGAAATGCGATTGTAGGTGGGTGAGCCTGGGATCTGGGGACATGCCTTCTGTGGGCCATGCCAATTTCAGGAGCAGTGGCTAAAAATCAGTGCCATCCTTTTGAAAGTACTTTGGGGTCGGGGGACAAGTGTTGGCACAAAGACCCAGGAGGAATAAAGTTTCTGCTCTGTATCCCCTGCTTGGGAAGAGAACCTATATAGCTCTTCATGGGGATAAAAGGTAAACTGAGGTCAACCAGCCTGCCAGGGGCCGCAGCCCAACTCCAAGTCATCTGGGAACTCCAGGACCCCCCTGTCCCTGATCCTGGGTTACAGTGTTCCCAGACCAATGGTGTGTCCAGGTGGGGAGGCACAAAGCCTTAAAACTCTGCTTACTTTCTCAGCTGGGAAGCAGATAGCCTGGGGCAGGTTTGCAGCCCTGCTCACCCACTGCCCGGAGACAGACTTTGTGCTGTTGGGAGTGGGGGCGAATGGCAGGAGTGAGACTGGCCTTGCTGGCTGTGTGGGAGTGGGGTGAAGCCTGTAACTGCCTGCTTCCCCACACTTCCCTGGCGACCTGTATGACACAGCAGAGGCAGCCATAATCCCTCTGGGAACATAACTCCATTGACCAGGGAACCACGCCCCATCTCCTACAGCAGCTGCAGCAAGCCCCACCCAAGGAGAGGCTGAGTTCGGACATGCCTAACCCTGCCCCCACCTGGTGGTCTTTCTCTACCTGTCCTGGTAGCTGAAGACAAAGGACATAATCTCCTGGGGGCTCTAGGGCAAGCTTGTATCTTCTCTATAAAACCTCAGCTGATGCACTCTTGAAAGCACCACCTCCTGGCTGGAGGCCAACCTATACCAAACCAGCGCACTTAACAACGCTACCACCAAGGACCCTCAGAGTCCACTTCACTCCCCTGACACCTCCACCAGAGCAGGTGCTGGTATCCATGGCTGAGAGACCTGAAGACAGAGCACGTCACAGGACTCTGTGCAGACACTCCCCTGTACCAGCCTGGAGCCCAGTAGCTCCACTGGGTGGCTAGACCAAGAAGAGCAAAACAATTACTGCAGTTCGGCCCTCAGGAAGCCCCATCGCTAGAGGAAGGGGGAGAGCACCACCTCAAGGGAACACCCTGTGGGACAAAAGAATCTGAACAGCAGCCCTTGAGACCCAGATCTTCCCTCTGACATAGTCTACCAAATGAGAAGGAAGCAGAAAAACAATTCCAGTAATATGACAAAACAACATTCTTTAGTACCCCCAAAAGTGCATGCTAGCTCACCAGCAATGGATCCAAACCAATAAGAAATCCCTGAAGTGCCAGAAAAAGAATTCAAAAGGTCTATTATTAAGCTAATCAAGGAGTTACTAGAGAAAGGTGAAGTCCAACTAATGAAATTTTTAAAAAATGATACAAGATTTGAAGGGAAAAATCTCCAGTGAAATAGATAACATAAATAGAAATCCACATGTTAGACACACTGTAGTGAACTACAGAAAACCAAAATAAAAATAAACATCATAAAAGCAACCAGCATACAAAGTAAGATTACTTTAGAAGGAGCAAAAATTTGATAGACATCCAACTTCTCAGCAGAAACAATGGAAGCCAGAGGACAATGCAATAAAATCTTTAAATGGTGTAAGAAACAAAAAATAACTCCCAGTCTAGGATATTACTCCAAGTAAAAATATCATTCAAGAACAAAGTTAAAATAAAGCTATTTTTATAACAAAGACAAAAGAAAACAAAACTGAGAGAACCACAAAGATGCTGGCAAAGCAGTAGGGGGAAGAAAACGATCTTTTCAGAAAATGGTCAGTTTTACGTCTCCTCCCGTGGAGACATGGATGAAATGCAACCTCCACCTGTCATGGGCCCCCCCTCTGAGCCCCAAGACAACAGCTAAAGCTGGCAGGTACCCCTCCTCAGAGGTCTTGATTTTAAAATAGTAGTAGTTCCAATATTTCCCCTTTGTTCCTCCAGCCACAGGTGTAGTAGCTTCCTCTAGTAGCCTCTACCTTCAAGATATCTTTCAGTTGCCTGCTAAACTCCAAGCCTGGTTAACAATCCTTCATTTCAGTTTTCTGTGTTTAAATAATTGCTGTGGTTTCTGTCTCTTGATTGTGCCCTCACTGGTATGTGGGGTTCATGACAACCTGTCATTGACTAAAATGGCAATCTATATTTTCCAATATAAATAATATATTCATGACAACACATCAACATTCTTAATAAGAAAATTCTTTTAGGATACCAGGGGAACATATCTAATTATACCTAACACTCCCTTGTTTGGTGACAGGAAACTCTGGAATTTTATGGAAAATACTATGACCATGATTCATTAACTTATTTAAAAAGCATTTATCACCCTAAGAATATTTTTGGACTCTTAAAGGCAAGGATTGTGCTTTTTCCTTTGGAATTTTGTGGACTAAAATAGAAATGGGAATTAGAGACAAAAATCCTGATAACAACTCTATCACTAGCTAATTATGTCTTGTATCTTGGGCAAGTCTCTGTCCCTCTCATTTAGGCAAGTTCCTTCCACAGCAAAATTGGAAAATTAAACAGTGTAATTGTTCAGGTCTTGTCAGATACATGACTTTTTGCTATAGCATTCAACACATTAGAAATACATCAGGCAGCCAGTAAATGTTTACAACAGAAGTGATATGGTTTGGCTGTGTCCCCACCTAAATCTCATCTTGAATTGTAGTTCCCATAATCCCCACATGTCATGGGAGGGACCTGGTGGGAAGTCATTGAATCATGGGGACAGTTACCCTCATGCTGTTCTCATGATAGTGAGTGATTTTCACAAGATCTGATGGTTTTACAAAGGGCTTCCCCCTTCACTCTGCACTTCTTCTTGCTGCTGCCATGTGAAGAAGGACATGTTTGCTTCCCCTTCCACCATGATTGTAAGTTTCCTGAGGCCTCCTCAGCCTTGTGAAACTGTGAGTCAATTAAACCTCTTTCCTTCATAAATTACCAAGTCTCAGGCAGTTCTTTATAGCAGCATGAGAACAAACCACTACAAGAGGAAGTGCATTTGAATATGCCCACTTTGGTGCTAGCAGCCTCCATGGTGCCACAACCTGACCATGCCTCCCTGGCTCCTGGTATTCACTTCTCATCACACTAGGTTGGACCCAGGCCAAATGACAGTGGCAGATGTTGTGGGTGTCACCTCTGAGATCAGGCTGTGGAAGACCACGGCTCCATTCCAAGTGCTCACTCTCACATCACTGGCTCTAGGAGATACTTAAGGAGAGCAACTATTAGGTTGGTGCAAAAGTAATTGCAGTTTTTGTGATTACTTTCAATATTTTAATAGCACCTCCTGCCAAACTCATTTGAGAGACCTTGAAAGCAGATCTGCAGCCCCAGTTGAGCCTTCAAATTACCACAGCCCCAGGCATGAGCTTGACAGCAGCCATGTGACAGCCCCTGAGACAGAACCACCCAACTCACCACTCCCAGCTTCCTCACCCACAGAAACTGTGAGATGATGAGTGCTTGTTGCTCAAGCTGCTAAGCTGTGGGGATTTGTTACACAGCCATGGATAATGGATACACTTCTCAATGGGATGGTTAGGGTGCAGCCAAGGTGGAGGCGTGAACTATGTGGGCAGCTGATGCCTTCCTCTCCCTCTTGCATTTGAATGATGGTTTGGGACCTTCTGTCTTCAAAGCCAAAATGTGTTCCTGATCACATTATTTATGGCTTAGCAAGGCAATGGTGTCACTGCAAGACAAGGACATAGATCACAGCGTCCTGAAATTGGGACAACACCTGGCTCGAATTCACGGTTGAGAAAGCATCTGCTGAGCCTGGCACTTCTGAGGATGCCTTCCTGGAAGCTTCAGTGTCAGACAGTGTGGAGTTATGCTTTTTCTCTTTCGGGGCAGAAAATTCCAGAGCTGGTGAGCTGCAGGATGAGCCCCCAATGTTCTGACGGTTGTGGGCATGGCAGGTGCCAAGAATAACGCACACCCTCCGCATTACAGCCTGGATGGGCTGTGGGTCCATTGCCACCCCAGAGCTGCTGCTCACAGAATGAGGCACAGCCTGGGCTCTGCTCTGCACCTGTGCCGGGAGCAGCCTGGGGCATTCTGTGGATTTGGGGATAGGTATGATTCCTTGTTCATTTTTATTTCAAGGTTATAGACTGAAAACATCATCATCATTTCTGACCCTAATGCCTCGACAGACACAGAAGGCCTCACACCTCTGCCCTCCCCCAAAGATGTCACGGGAAACGTCAACAGAACATCCTTGTCACCACTTCATTTTCACCCACACAGCATTTTGACGTGTTGCAGAAACACAGCACAGCACTGGCAGGTGTTCTGCAGGAAGACACGTGTGTGAATAATGTGTCCATAAAAACAATGTAAAACAATTGACAAAAATGACAATTAGTATCAGGAGGCTTGGCCGCTGGGGGAAGATGTAAAACCAGGCTAGAATCTCAGCTGTACCCACCGCTGTGCTCTGGGGCAACTCACGGGAGCATGTTCTCCACCAATTTGCGATGGAATGAGGTCATTACTGGACACGATGGCTGCAAGACAACGCTTCCATATTTCCCATAACAGCCATGTCTGCTGCCTGACAAATGTTGGAAGGACAGACAGGCCGAGACCGGAGGGGTCTGTGCCACACCCCGGACTCCCACCCTCTTAATAAATCCAGGGCTTGGTTTTCACTGCTTTGTCTGGATGAGCCAATCAGCAAGGGATGCACCTGAGCCTCTGTGTGAACTGTGCAGAGCTCTGCATGCAAGACCACTATGGAATACGCCACTTCCATGCATGGAACACACAACTTCCACATATGGAACACATCACCTCCAGGCATGGAACATGCCACCTCCAGGCATGGAACACACCACCTCCACATGTGGAACACAGATCCTCCACATATGGAACACACCACCTCCTGGCATGGAACATGCAACCTCCACATATAGAACACACCACCTCCTGGCATGGAACATGCAACCTCCACATATGGAACATGCCATCTCCACGTATGGAACACGCCATCTCCACACATAAAACACACCACCTCCACGCATGGAACATGCCACCTCCACGTATGGAACACACCAACTCCATGTGTCAGGGCCTGCTCTGTGCACTGCAAGGTGGCCTGGAAGGATCTGGAAGAGCAAGTTCACAAGCAGTTGTGGCCAGAGCTGGAGCCGGGCACCTGGCATCCTGATCGGGTGAGTCTGCTCAATGCTCCTGTCTCCATGTTCAAGGCACTCTTCCAGGAAGGTGGGTACTGAGAGGGCCCCACCCCACCCTGAGAAGCGGCAGCCTTGGGAGGCCCAGGAAGTAAGAGCACCCATTAGCCCAGAATAGTGTGTATTGTTGCACAATGTGCAATGTCTATTAGTAATAATTTACCAATATTGGCTCATCACGTGTAACCAGCATTCCATGCAAACGCAAGGTTTAATAAGGGAGGGAGGGGTACATGGGAACCTCTGCCTTCCTGCTCACCATAACCCTAAGACTGCTCTAAAAATAAAGTCTACTAATTTTTCTAAAAACACCTATGGAGTGATGTCATTGCCTTGTGGGTCTCAGGGGTGACAAAGCTGCAGCACCCAGAGGCCATACAGCAGCCCCAGGTGCCACAGACTCTGCACGGTGCTCAGCCAGTCTCCAGGGCTCTGACCCAGTCAGGCTGTCCAGGGCACCTCCTGTGGTCTGGTTGCCCAGGGATCAGGTCTCTTCAGGGATGGGCAGGACTCTGTCCCCGAAGGCCTGGCACCATACCAGCTTGAGGATGTTCAGCCAGCACCTGCACCACAAATGCCATCCACCAGGAGGGCCAGGGGGCCTGTTGGGCACCACTCGGCCAATGAGACCAGGATCTTTGGCAAAGAGACGCTGTCAAATGTGCAGCCCACAGTCAGCTCAGCATTTCTGGGGCTCTGTTGCCCCTGCAGAGCCAAAGCGTTCAGCAGCTTGTGGGGCGGGCACAGAGAGGGTGGTTGGACCAGCTGGAGCTGCAGAGAAGGGACAGGCGCCCACGGAGCTGCTACAGCTGGACATCAGGATGGACGCAGAAGGTGAGGGCCACCAGGCTCAGGTGTTGATGGAGAAATGATTCTAAACAGCAAGTCAGAGCTGCCCGCACCCTCACACGCTGCCCTCCACCCCCCATTCCCCCACTGCCACCTTGCAGCAGAAGCCCAGGGGGTGGTGCAAGGTCAGCCAGGAAAGGGCCCTGATCCCAGGGGCTCAGCGGAAAGTGCAGTGGACTGTGGCTCAGTGGGCTCAACCCCTGCTAACTGCTCCCTCAAATGGAAGATGCGTTGTTTTAATTTTCTTTGATTTTAACAAAAGGCAATGCATTTGTGTGGCTTGATAATCAAACAGTAAAAAGTTATGCAGTCAGCAGCCTAACTCCCACTGCCACCTCGTCCCCTGCCAGCTCTCACGCCCTCCGGACTCTGTGCCTGTTGCTTTCATGTTCGGGCTCCCAGAATTACTTTTGCAAATGCAAGTAAATGCCTGCGCAACTTCATCACCCTCCTCCCATCTTAAACAAAAGGTTTCATTCAACAAACTATGCTTCACCGTTTGTTTTCCTAATGATACTGCATGGAGCTTGCTTGCTTGCTTCTCTTTCTTTCTTTCTTTCTTTCATTCTTTCTCTTTTGTCTGTCTTTCTTTCATCTTTTTCTTCTTTCCTTCTCTTTCTCTCTTCCTTCCTTTCCCCTTCCCTCCCTTCCTCCCTCCCTCCCTTCCTTCCTTCTTCCCTTCCTACCCTCTCTTTCTTTCTTTCTTTATTTTCTTCTTTCTCCCTGAGACAGGGTCTCACTCTGTCACCCAGGCTGGAGGGCAGTGGTGCAGTCCTGGCTTACTGCAGCCTCAACGTCCTGGGCTCAAGCAATCCACCCACCTCAGCCTCCCAAAATGCTAGGATAACAGGCATGAGCCGCCGTGCCTGGCTGGAGTTCTTTCAGGATGAGATTTAAACCATATCTAACATTGACTTCCAGTATGTGTATCGTATGTGTATCTTCAGGGGCGCAGCCTCAGCACCTCTGGATGGAGGGTACCTCGGCCAAGGCTCTTTCCCTAGGGTTCTGTGTGATTGAGGGTCCTGTCTTTGAAGCTGTTGGGAGGAGCGGGGGCACACCCTGACCTCCCCCCCGTGCCCCACCCCCCAGTGCTGCGTTTGGAGCAGAGCACTCTCGGAGTGCCATGGTCCCCATGTTCAGTCACCTGCTGGGTGCCAGGCTCTGCATAACCCCATTACCTCTACATCAAGTCCTGCCAGGGCAGAAATATTATCTCCATTTTCCAGATGAGGAGATGGAGACCCAAGAGCTGCAGAGCTGTCTCAGATGGGACAGTGAGTGAGTGACAGAGCCAGGGTCAAATCAGCATGTTGTCAAAGTCTATGCTGTCCTCATGCCTCACTGCCTTCTCATCCATCCCTGAATCCATCCATTCAACCTGTTCATTCCCTCATCTATCCACCCACCCACTCCCTGACCTATCCAGCCACACACTCACCCTTCTAGCCACCCATCCATCCACTCACCCTTCTAGCCATCCATTCATCCACTCACCCTTCTAGCCACCCATCCATCCACCCACCCTTCTAGCCACCCATCCATCCAGCCACCCATCCATCCATCCATCCACTCACCCACCCATCCAGCCACCCATCCATCCACCCACTTATCCATCCATCCACCCACCCATCCAGCAACCCATCCATCCACCCACCCATCCATCCATCCACCCATCTATCCATCCATCCACCCACCCACACATCCAGCCACCCAACCACCCACCCATCCATCTATCCACTTATCCATCCATCCAGCCAGCCAGCCACCCACCCACCCATCCAGCGACCCATCCATCCACCTATCCATCCATCCACCTGCCCACCCACCCAGCCACCCACTTATCCATCCATCCATCCATCTACTCAGCCACCCATCCAGCGACCCACCCATCCACCCTTCCACCCATCCATCCACCCACACATCCAGTCACCCACTTATCTATCCATCCATCCACCCACCCATCCATCCACCCACCCATTTATCCATCCATCCACTCACCCACCCATCCAGCCACTCACCCATCCAGCCACTCACCCATCCAGCCACCCACCCATCCAGCCACCCATTCACCCACCCATCCACTCATCCACCCACCCATCCAGCCACCCACCCAACCAGCCAGCCACTCACCCATCCAGCCATCCACCCACCCATCCAGCCACCCATTCACCCACCCATCCACTCATCCACCCACCCATCCAGCCACCCACCCAACCAGCCAGCCACTCACCCATCCAGCCATCTATTCATCCACTCACCCATCCATCCATCCACCCATTCAACCTTCCAGCTGCCCATTTATCTACCAACCCACCCTCCTAGCCAGCCAGCGACTCACCCATCTAGCAACTCATCCATCCACCCACCCACTCAGCCAGCCACCCATCCATCTGGCCACCCACCCATCCACCCACCCATTCATCCACCCACACACCTATCCAGCCACCCATCCATCCACCTACCAAGCCAGCCATCCACTCACCCACCCACCCACCCAGCCAGCCGCTCATTCATCATCCATCCACCCATCCATCCACTCACCCACCCATTTATCTATCCATCCAGCCAGCCACCCATCCACCCACCCACTTACCCACTCAACCAACTACTCACCCATCCAGCCACCCATCCATCCACCCACCCACCCATCCGTCCACCCATCCACTCACCCACCCAGCCAACCACCCACCCAGCCACCCATCCATCCACCCACCCACTCACCCACCCATCCATCCACCCGCCCACCCATCCACTCACCCATCCATCCAGCTACCCAGCCATCTACCCACCCATCCATCCACCCACCCATTCTTCCATCCACCCAGCCACTCAACCACCCATCCAGCCACCAACCCACCCACCCATCTACTCGCTCACCCATTTATCCACCCATTTATCCAACCATCCATCCACCCACCCATTCATCCATTTATCAACCCATCCATTCATCTACCCACCCACCCATTTATTCATTCATTCATTCATCCATCCATCATCCATGCAATCCATGCATTCATTATCCACCCATTCATCACCATCCCACTCACCCACCCATTCACCTCTCTGTTCATCCATCTATTAAAGGTTTACTAGGAGCCAAGCCTTGCACACTTGCTGATGTTATAAACTTCTGGCAGCCAGAGTGACCTCCCCAGAATGTACATTTGACCCCTATCTTCTGTTTGCAAGCCTTCATCAGCTTCTACTACCTGCCTGCAGGGAAAGCTCCTGACACATTCCCTGCTTGTTCTACCTCGCACACACTGCCCCAGCCCCCCGCAGCCCTGCCCTCACTCGTGGGAGTTCTCGGATGATGTGCCTCACACTGGAGCGACTCCTCTTCACCCCTCACCATCACGACACGCATGCTGTGTCCGCCAGTCCAGCATCCATTTTCCTTTTCCTGGTGTCAGCACCTCAAATTTCCCTCAGGACTGCCTCTCCCACTCTCCGTCCACAGGTGTCCAAGGGCACCAGGAGTGGGCAACGCGAAGTGGTTGAGTGAGAGCCACAGTCTTGCTGGACCCCTCGGAAAATCTTTATAGCAAGACTGCTGGGTGGGGCGGCCTGAGGACGAAGCGGCACAGGAGAGCAGGGGTAAGAGATGGGCCAGGCAGCTTCGAGATTTTACCACTTCAACACCTGGAGCCTTTGCCGACCCCAAACAGGCGGGCTGCCCGCGGCCAGAGACACCTGTGCCGATGGCAGAGCGATCCCCAGTCACAGGTGCTTCTTGGGTAAAGCTGACATAGGAAACACATACTTTTGTGTCACTGTCAAAAGCATTTGAAGAGGCAAAATAAACACAGAACCGCACAATTAAAAAGGGAGTGCGGGTGAAGGAAAGTCAGCAGGAACGGCAGGGGATGAGATGTGGTGGTGGCCAGCCCTGGCTCTCTGCGGTCAACGTGCAGCCTTGCAGATGGTGGGGAAGTGCAGAAGGTAGTGAGTAGTGAAGCTGCCTGGGCTTCTGGGTTGGGTTGGGGACTTGGAGAACTTTTCTGTCTAGCTAAAGGATTGTAAATGCACTAATCAGCTCTCTGTGTCTAGCTAAAGGTTTGTAAATGCACCAATTAGCACTCTGTAAAATGGACCAATCAGCACTCTGTAAAATGGACCAATCAGTAGGATGTGGGTGGGTCCAAATAAGGGAATAAAAGCTGGCCACCAGCCTAGTCAGTGGCAACCTGTGCTGGTACGAGTCTGTACCTGGGCAGCATTGTTCTTTTGCTCTTTGCAATAAATCTTGCTGGTGCTCACTGTTTGAGTCTGCACTACCTTTATGAGCTGTATCACTCACCGTGAAGGTCTGCAGCTTCACTCCTGAAGCCAACGAGACCACGAATCCACCAGGAAGAATGAGCATCACCTTTAAGAGATGTAACACTCACTGTGAAGGTCTGTGGCTTCGCTCCTGAAGTCAGTGAGACTGCTAACCCACCGGAAAGAAAAAAAAACTCCAGACACGTCTAAACCTCTGAAGGAACAAACTCCGGACACCATCTTTAAGAACTGTAACACTTACTGCAAGGGTCCGCGGCTTCATTCTTGAAGTCAGCGAGACCAAGAACCCGGTGGAAGGAACCAATTCTGAACACAAGGGAACCAGGGGACAGAGGGAGACAGCCTCTCTGCCAGGGCCTGGCTGCATCTGCTGGGCAGAGGGCAAAAGAAAGTTGTGTTGTTTTGTTTTGAGATGGAGTCTGTGTTGCCCAGGCTGGAGTGCAGTGGCACCATTTCAGCTCACTGCAATCTCTGCTTCCCGGGTTCAAGTGATTCTCCCACCTCCGCCTCCCAAGTAGCTAGGATTACAGGTGCCCGCCACCAAGACTAGCTAATTTTTGTATTTTTAGTAGGGATGGGGTTTCACCATGTTGGTCAGGCTGGTCTTGAACTCCTGACCTCAGATGATCCACCCACCTCTGCCTCCCGAAGTGCTGGGATTACAGGCATGAGCCACTGCACCTGATCAGAAAGTTTTAATTATGGAACACTCCTAACGTACACGGAGGCAGAGAGAGTCAGCCGCCCCTCACCACCTTCTAACACACTCACATTTGGCCGTGTTTACTTCACCTATTATCTTGGTGGAGGGACTCGCGTTGGCTTATAGACATCACGCCATTAGACCCCTGGGGAACTCAGCAGAGCAGATGTCTCTAAGGAATAAGGCCTGTTTCCTATGGAGCCCAATACAGTAGGCCCCAAACAAGCACAATTCCCTCGCATCAGCCAATCCCCAGGCCACATCCACTTTTTCCCATCGTCTCAGAAATGCAGACTCCTGGCTGCTTCAAACATCCAGCCGAGGTGTGTGTTGCATTCAGCGTTTGTGGCGGTGCTGGCTCGACATGGATTCAGTGTGTATGGGGATGCTGGCTTGGTGTGCATTGAGTGTTTGTGGGGATACTGGCTTGGCATGCATTCAACCTTTGTGGGGATGCTGGCTCAGTGTGCATTCAGCCTTTGTGGGGATGCTGGCTCAGTGTGCATTCAGCCTTTGTGGGGATGCTGGCTCAATATACATACATTCAGCATTTGTGGGGATGCTGACTCAGTGTCCTTTACTCAGAGAAGTACAAAGAGAAAAGAAAGTAGACCAGCACCTCACTCTTTATAAAACTTCTGCTTATATCTTTAGAAAGTAATCAAGGGTAGGTGGGTGAGACCAGGAGATTCAACCTGGAGAGGCATGAAGAGAAACCGGCAGCACCTGCCCAGCCTCTGGCCAGGTTGGCCCTGCCAAGGTTTTGCTGTTCATTCCTCCTTTCAGAAACAGGTATGCGCGCATCTCTGTATTCATTTTGTTTTCCTTTTGCACCAAGCAGCATTTCCCTTTGTCTGTGGCTCGTTTTCCTCACCAACTGAAAATGGCAGAGGGTTTCGTCCCTGAGTTCCGGCTGCTTGTGCCTCCATCTAGAGCTTCAACAACAAAACGCCAGGTCCAACCAGCAGCTTGAAAATTTACCTCCAATAACAAAGTTACTAATTTACAAAGTGACTTTGGATGTAAACGTGCTGAAAACTTACAACTACTAATGGTGTGTGTGTGTTCACCCTCCTCAAATCCCATGCTTCCCCTCCCACCCATGTCCTCGCTGTGGCCGCAAAGGTCCGGAATCCTCTCGCCTTCTGCTGTGACTTGGGCGGCTCATGTCTACATCCCACAGACAGGCCCTGCCGTGCACAGCTGAAACTTGAACACTGAGGGTTGCCGAACCTGCCACGGAGATGCGTTACTTTGTTCATTCTCTTCCTGTTTTTCTAATTCTGTAGCAACCAGGAACACAAATGAATCTGATCTACATTAGTAAAGATACCCGTGTGAAGGTTTGGAAGTTGAAAATATTAAATACCAGCAGAATTTAAGAATTAAGAGCAAAGAAGGAAACGCCTTGGGCTTGGCATCACATGAATACCCTACCCGGGCAGAGCAAATGTAAAGAGATCTTTAAAACACACACTGGGAGGCAGGATGAAATTCAAAACACGGCAGAGCTTATTGGGGAAGGAAATTCTGCCACCAACTTAAGGATTATGTTAAAAGGATGCTCACACACTGAGTTAACACCTGGGCTCTCATGTGGTGGACCCCTGGCGGGCCCCTGCTGGGATCCTGGGGCTTTGCTGAAGATTCTTATTTGCAAAGTGAAGCCACCTTTGAGCACCTGCTGTGTACCCAGCTCTGCCTTGGGTGTGAGGGAACAACCGGGCTGTGGCCCCGCTGCTGTTAGGGAGCTCCAGACAGGGTCGAGGCCACCTACAAGCAAACGACTCTGCTCAGCCTGGAGGCACAGGGCGCACGGCGCTCCCCGGAACTGAGTGAGGAGTCCTGGGGCAGGGGAGGACTTGGAGGCCACTAGGTCAGATGTCCCTATCATAGCCGGCACAGGGATTACCCTGGAGCTCACGGGAAGCTGGGGCCAAACCCGGACGGGGCAGGTTGAAGCCACATCAAGAAGAGGGCTGTGGAGGGAGCACCCAGAACCACACCCCGAGCCAAGGCCAGGATCACCCCCGAGCCAAGGCCAGCATCTGAGGCAGCCCACACCAGGGCTGTCTCAGATGCTGCCACAGCCACCCCGAGGACCCTGGATCTTTACAGAGAGGCCACAGGTGGAGATCAGCCAGGCTTTCTCCACCCTGAGAGCTCAACACAGCTGCCTACCTATACTGCTATGAGCCTCCTTAAGGAACCTGTGCTGCTATGAGCCTCAAGTCCTTTGAGAAACAAGACAGTGACGGGGAAATAAAAATGTAAGTGGTGGCGTTTGTGTGTGTGGAGTCAGCACACTGTGGCATCCCCGCATAGCTCAGCCTCCATCTGGCTGTGCGGCTCTGGCCAGGTCACATGACCTCTCGGTGCCTCGGCGTCCTTATGTGAGGGTGGTGGCCACAGTCCTGATGTGCCAGGCTGAGCCGTGATGAGCTACAACGCTGCCTGGCACCATGAGCTGTTCTTCTCAAAGGACTGGTTTTTAAAAATCAAGGTCCCCTGACACTCCCCATCCTGGACTCAGCCCTTCTCTGCTCACCCTCACCCCAGCTTCATCTCAGACCTGCTGGGATCGGATTTGGGATTGCGTGGAAAATGTAATTGAATCTGGGCAGAACTTGACATCATAACCGTAATGAATGTTTTTATCCGTGAAGGCTGTCTCTCCATTTATTCAGCTCTTTAATTTCTTTCAGCGACATTTTATAGATAATGTCGTTTGCTAAATTCAGTCATAAGTATTTTATGGTTTTGATGGTATTATAAACTGAATAATTTAAATTTTTATTTTCAGATTATTTGCTGCTAGTATATAGATACAGAACTGATTTTTGTTTACTGATCTTATGTTCTGAGACCCTGTGAATCTCACATTCGTTCCAGTAGTTCTGAAGACTCCTTAAAATTTTCCTTGTAAATAATTGCATCATCTGTGATTAGAGATAATTTTACTTTCTCCCCACCAATCTTTCTTCTTTTTTCTCCCTTCCTTTGTTGTCCGGCTACAACCTGGGGTAAGAGGTGTTGTGGAGATGGAGTACACTTCCTTGCCTTCTCCCTGGTCTTAGGGGAGAAGTGCCTGGCATCTTACCATTGTGTATGATGTGGGTGTAGGTTTTACATGATGCCTTAGATTTCCAAGAGCTTCTATCTTACATGGATTTTGAATTTCGTTAGAAGCTCTTTCTGCTCCTATTGATGTTTCATATGGTTACTCCTTTATTCCATCAATATGGTGAGTTACATTGGTTTGGTTTTCAGACACCAAACTCATCTTGCATTCCTGGAAAAACCCTACTTTGTCATGATGTATTATCTTTTTTTATAAGTTTGTGGGTTCAGTTTGCTAGTAATTTGTTTACAGTTTTTTGGATCTATCTTTATGAGGGATGCTGATCTGTAATTTTCATATCTTATAATGTCTTTGCCAGGTTTTGACATCAGAGTTAAGCTGGCCTCATAAAAAAGCTAGGAATGGTTCTCTTCTGTTTCCTTCTCCCAAGTTTTGAAATGTTTTATTAAATATTTGCATTATGTTGTTTCATCGACTATTTGATAAAATTCATCATTGAAATCATCTAGCTCTGGAGTTGTCTTTCTGGAAAAGTTTTCAATAACAAGTTCATTTATTGAATAGATATGGGAATATTCAAGTTTTCTATTCCACTTTGTGTCAATTTTGGTAAGTTTTATTTTCAGAAAAATTTATTACATAAGCTCTCAAATTTATCAGCAGAAAATCATTTGTTATGTTATGATATTTCCTGTTAACATCTGTAGGGTCTGTAATGATGTCATCTCTTTTCTCCTGGCATTGATAATTGATTATTGCAGTTTTCCTTTGATCAGTCTTGTCAGAGTTTTATCAGTTTTATTAACCTTTTCAAAAAACAACTTTTGTCTTTATTGACTTCTCTATTTGTTTTATAATTCATTAGTATCTCATCTTTATAATTTTTTTCCTTCTAGTCCCCTCTTATTTTGGATTTAATTTGCTCACCTTTTTAAAACTTCTTAAAGTGGAATCTTAGATCGTTTCTTTGAAAATCTTTTTTCTAATGTGAGCACTTACAGCTATTATCTCCCCTCTAAACTTATTTTTAGCTCATCTTGAGAGGAGAAGCAGCTGGACTTCCTGGGTCGAGTAGGGACTTGGAGAACTTTTCTGTCTAGCTAGAGGATTGTAAACAAACACCAAATCAGTGCTCTGTGTCTAGCTAAAGGACTGTAAGTGCACCAATCAGCACTCTATAAAAATGCACCAATCAGCACTCTGTATCTAGCTAAAGGGTTGTAAATGCACCAATCAGCACTCTGTAAAAACACACCTGTCAGCCTTGTGTCTAGCTAAAGGACTGTAAATGCACCAATCAGCACTCTGTAAAAATGCACCAATCAGCACTGTGGGTCTAGCTAAAGGATTGTAAATGCACCAATCAACACTCTGTAAAATGGACCAATCAGCGCTCTGTAAAATGGACCAATCAGCGCTCTATAACATGGACCAATTAGCAGGATGTGGGCAGGGACAAACAAGGGAATAAAAGCTGGCCACCCCAGCCAGCAGCAACAACTCATTCGGGTCCCCTTCCACACTGTGGAAGCTTTGTTCTTTCACTCTTCACAATAAGTCTTGGTGCTGCTCACTCATTGGGTCCGCACCACCTTTAAGAGCTGTAACACTCACTGCAGAGGTCCGCAGCTTCATTATTGAAGTCAGCGAGACCATGAAGCCACCGGAAGGAAGAAACTCCAGACACATCTGAAGGAACAAATTCTGAACAAACCATCTTTAAGAGCGGTAACACTCACCGCAAAGGTCCGCAGCTTCATTCTTGAAGTCAGTGAGACAAAGACCCCACTGGAAGGAACCAACTCCAGACACAATCTTACAGATTTTTATATGTTTTGTGCTCACTATCATTTGTTTGAAATATTTTCAAATTTCTCCTGTGGTTCTTTTGACCCATAGGTTATTTAGATGTTTTCTTTAATTTGCAAATATTTGTGTTTTTCCCCAGATGTATGATTATTATTGATTTCTCTTTTAACTCCATTGTGATCAGAGAATGTCATCTCTGTGATTTCAATTATTGGAAACATTTGAGATTTATCTTATGACCCATTGTATGGTCTGTGGTGCTTTCCAGTTCCAGAATTTCCTTTTGGTTTGGGAAACCTGCCTGAGACAGGTCCCAATCAACTAGAGGTTTATTTAGCAAGGTTGAGGACATGCCCAGGAAAAAGAAACACGAGTCCCTCTGGGGTCTGTGTCCTGCGATGTTTATGAAGAGAGTTTGGGGAATTTCAGTATTGAAAGGGAAAGAGCAGACAGGACAGAAAGAAAAAAAGAGGGGGGTGGGTAGTGAGGCACATGGCTGTGTTCTGTGAGACTCTGATCAGTGCCCAGTGAGTCTGAGTTTTATGTGAGATAAAGAGAGCACAGGAAATCACCGCTGTCTCTCTGGGAACTAAAGGACAGTGGTTTCCATGAGAATCCACTCCCAAGCTTTACTTTCCCTTGAGCACCATGAGCTTCAGGTCCTGAGATTTTATTTTCCTCTCATGGGTTCTTTTAAAAGATGACTGCCATCTCTCTATTGAGATTCTCTGTTCATTCATTGTGACTATATTTTCCTTTAATTCCCTGAACATATTAAAGAGTCTGTCTTCTAATTTTATCATCTTTCATTATCTTGAGGCACACTTCTGTTGACTGCTGTTTCTTTCAGATGTAGGTCACATTTTCCTGTTTCTTTTCATGTTTGGATGCTTTTTTGTCAGCCACAGTATATGACTGTTGTTGTCAATACGACACAGAGACTCTGGCTTACATTTTCTGTGCTGGAAGATGTCACTCTCGCCCTTGCAGGCCACGTGCCTGTGCACTGTGACCACGTCCCACCTTCCCTTGTGGCAGTAGCTGCTGCCTCTCTGCAGGGACCCTCAACATCTCCCCCAGGGTGCTCAGTCCAGGACAGGATTGAGATGCAATTTACACACAATGCTGAGGGCCCTGTCATCTGTGGCTCCCTCCTTTTGGGGTTCCACCCTCCCTCCTTTTGGGGTTCTAACCTTCCTTCTCTGGCCTCCTATGTGTCCAGCCAGAGAGACTGCAGTGCTCTGCTGACAACACCCCCAGCTAGGTGACCAGGGCACACCCTCAGGTGTGAGCTGTGCGTGAAGCTCACCCATTGCAGTTCCTGCTTTCAAAGGCTACCACACTGAGTCTCTGCCATCTCTGTTTGCTCTCCATTCACTTCCAGTAGTGTTTTATAGTTTTTCCAGAGCTTATAATTATTGTTCACAGGAGGGTTGTTCTGATACAAGCCATCTTGCTGTTTCTAGGGGAAAACTCCCCATGCTGTTTTCCTGTGGCCCAAGTGTTCTTCATAAAATAACCAATGGCTGTTTATGTTTGCTGATCGCCTTGCTGGGTTTTCTCTGCATGTCTTTGCTCCTTTTGTTCCATGCCTTCCTCCTGGGGTCTCTTTCCTTGGTGAAGGGCATGTCTCGTACTTATTTCAGGGATGGTCTGTGAGTTTTGTGTCTCCTTTTTGGTCTGTATGTGTCCCAAGTGCCTTTATTTTACTGCACGCTGGAATGACGCTTTCACTGACAGTCCGGTGTTGGCGTCACCTGCCCTCCGCACTGACCGTCCGGTGTTGGCGTCACCTGCCCTCCGCACTGACCGTCCGGTGTTGGCGTCACCTGCCCTCTGCACTGACAGTCCGGTGTTGGTGTCACCTGCCCTTCACACGTGGAGGCTGCTGTTGCATTGCTTCCTGACCTCTGTTGCTGTGGGTGAGAAGTTGGCTGTCAGTCTGATCACCACGCAGACCCCAGGGTCTCCTTTTTTCAATGTTATTAGGCAAAAGCCAGGCCTCTTAAGGGGATACCCTACCTGTTCCTAAGACCAAAAATACACTATTTAGAATGCAGTTGGCCTAATATTTCTGGTTACTATTTTCCAGTCTAATCGGAATAACTGCTCATCTTGAAGGGATAAATAAAGGCCACTTAAGGCTGAATTAGTATCTTACTCCTTTTAGGTGAAACAACATTATGGGAAGGGGAAATTTTTTTTACGTGGCTGAGGAGAATAAATGCATCTTGGAGGAATGGAAGTCATCAATAGATTGTACAAAATCTACTCCTAAGTACACACCCATCAGCAATGAGTTCAAATTGGCTGGGGGCTGGGGAGGTGGGAGGAGGTGAATGCTGAGGCAGGGGGTGGGGGGCATGAAATGTTCTAAAATGCACTGTGGTGACAGATGCACACACCAGGAATATACTAGGAGCAAAACAAAAGAAAGAAAAAGAAGTCCTTGACGAGGAACAGGGGTCACCTTTATAGACCCTCCATAAAGCCCCGCGTGGGGGAGCTCTCTTGGAGGACGGTGCCCTCTGATGAAAGTGGAGCCCGGACTCATGAAGGATCTCAGCACTCAGGGTCAAACACCGCCGGGCTGCATGTGGCTCCACGCCAGCCCCCTCTGCTCCCTTCCCACCTGGGTAGACCCCGGGAGGTGGGGAGGGGCCTCTGGCCTCTCAGATCCTGGCCAGGATCTGGGCGTTTCAATAGCATCGTAAACACCATCTCACCAGCAGCAGCAGGGGCCCCGCCTGTCGCTGGACGATTTCCATGCCAGGCGCCAGGATTAGAAGCTGCAGGAGAAACTAGGGAGGCTCCTGCTCTGGAGGATGCACAGGGTCCGGGAGGGAGAACGGCCCCCCAGCCGCTGGCCGGCTCTGCAGCTCAGGGTCCTGCTGGGCACCCAGGCCCGGCTCTCCCTGGGGCTCTCAGGCCCAGCTTTAAAAAGTCACGTTGCACTTGTTTGTTGTTGTTGTTGTTGTTGTTTTGGGTTTTTTGTTTGTTCGTTTTTTAACGTGTAACAACGCACGCATGTAATAGAAAGGAGACATGAATGGGTCTCCTGGCCACACAGCTCCCTCCCAGAACAGTCGGCCCTGGGGTCGCCACGGGCCCTTCCAGAGCTGTCAGGAGTACACACGATTTCTCTTTGTTTTATACAAACAGAACAAACCCTGTCTCCCACCATGTCTTCTCAACTAACTTGAAATGATGCCTTGGTCATATCCCAAAGTCTTGGTGTTTTGGGGTCTTCCTCTAGACATTCATTCCCCTCTGCAGCCTGAACCAAGGAGGCACTTGTTTCCGTAACGGGCCTGAATGTGACAAGGCGGACCCCCACAGCTGCTTCTCTTCCGGGGCACCCTGCCTATGATCTGTTTAGCCAGAAACTCCTTTGTTTTGCCTATTTAAACATCAAAAAGAGTTGGTATAGTTTAAAAATATTCTTTTGGACCATTTATTGGGACCTTAAATCCACAGAATGAGTCAGCTGTAACTTGATCTTTCTGAAGAAAGTCTTTCTGTCCAGGTATTCTATACCCTTAGATTTGGTCACTTATTTCTGGCCCTCTCAGTCGCATTTTAAAGTTTCCTTCATGTAGATTTGAAGTCTTTAGTCATCCTAGCGATTCCTCACTAGCGTTACGGTGTCAGGGAAGACTAGCCGTGCCGGAGAGGATGGCTCACGCCCGTTCACCCTTCTACCATCTCTGCTGTTGGCATCGTACAAACGTCACATGACAACCCAGCACTGTCACTGAAGTTCCTTTAGCCCAGGGGTGTCCAATCTTTTGGCTTCCCTTGGCCACATTGGAAGAAGAAGAATTGTCTTGGGCCACACATAAAACACACTAACACGATAGCTGATGAGCTAAAAGAAAAAAAAAATCACAAAAAAAATCTCATTATGTTTTAAGGAAAGTTTACAAATGTGTCTTGGGCCGCATTCAAAGCCATCCTGGGCCACATGTGGCCCACAGGTCAAGAGGAGGACAAGCTCGCTTCAGCAAGTCAGTAATTGCCAGTGCTGAATTTGCCGCATAAGGACTCGGCCCTTCCCTGTTCCCAGCCCAAGGTCGTTCTCCTTCAGCTGAACATTTTCCTTTATGATTTCCACACTCGAATTCTGCTGGCAACAAATGCTTTTTATCGTCTGACAATATCTGTATTTACCCTTCATGTTTGAAGGACGTTTTTGTTCTGTATAAAATTCTGGGTTTGTGGATTTGGGTTTTGTTTATTGGTGGTGTCTGGTTTCGTCAGCTTGCAGAAGCCGCCTTTTCGTTTTCAGACCCCATTGTCTCCGGGCCAGTGATCAGCCACACCCTTCCCCTGGGGGCTCCTCACTTCTGGTGGCTTAATTCAATCGGGTGTCTATGTATCCTCAGCTTTCTGGCGGGTTTTTTTTTTTATTGTGAATTTATAGCTTATGTGGCTTGTTTAGGTTGTTGGTGAAAATAGGCTCTTGAGACTTTCTATATTGTAGCTGGAAGCAGAAGTTGTGTGTATTTTTTAATATAAACTTTTAATTTATTTAAGTAATGTATTATTTGAATTTTTTCTTTTACAGAAAGGTGTCAAGAGTAGCACGGGAATATCTCTCTGACCATCTAGGGGTCTGTTGCTGACTCGGTGCCTCCTTGTCCTGCGTACTCCCAGGTCAGGACATCGGCTTGACTGGTGGCCACCTGCTGACCTCAGAGCCCTCGGAGCGAATCCAGCTGTCCAATTGAAACCAAGCATGGTCCTCTGCGGCTTGGCCTCTTTTTCTCCCGAGATGGTTGCGGGGCACTTATTGGGTGAAGACCCTCATTCATTCTGGGGTGTGTCAGGAGTTTCTTCGAGACAGGACCAAGCTATGAGCCTGTGGCAGGAGCATCCGAGGCACAGCTCAGCCTCTCCCGTGCTGCACACCCCTGTGTGCAGGTGCCCTTGCCCGCAGCCGCGGCTCCAGGTCCGCGTGGAGTCAGCTGCTGCTGTCAAGCATTTTCACAGTACAGTTACTGGTCTACTCCAGCACAGTCACGAGGCACCTTGAGAGGCTGCAAAAGACCCCTAAAGTCTTCCGCATCTTTATCATGTAAGGATGGGCTTGTGGGTTCCAGCTTTATTCCAGGGTCTATGATTTGGGACTGTCATTGACACCCATATGTTTGTCTTTTGCAGTCCTCAAGGGATGGGTTCCAGGACCCCCGAGTTTAACCCACCTGCAGGAGCTCAAGTTCCTGATGTAAAATGATGTCGGATTTGCAAGTAACCTGCACACATCCTCCCGGTACTTTAAATCATCCCTGGATTATTCATTGTACCGAATACAATGGAAATGCTATGTAAATAGTTGTTACACTGTGTTGTTATTTTTATTTGTATTTTTTCTATATTGTTATTTTTTATTCTTTTCCAAGTATCTTTGATCCTCGGTTGAATCTGTGGTGCGGAACCTGAAGACGTGGAGGCAGGCCGTATTTATTTCTATACACTCCTATTCGTTTTGCAAATCCTAAATTCACACAGATGCCTCCAAACCGAATCCAAGTCAGAGTTTGTGACAGTTTTCTCTTTTCAAAATCTGAAACTCTGACAGTAAGACCAGCTCCCAAGGCCTCTGACACATTTGCATCGTGGATCAATCCCCTTAGGTGACCATCCCCTTAGGTGACCATCCCCTGCTGGAGATGCCCTTCCCTTCTGGCCTGGGCTCGGCTCCCCTGCTGTGTGGACAGCCCTTGCCGGCAAGGGCTCTGATTCCCCGCAAGGCCACACCAGGCCCCGGCCTCCTGCCCCAGGCTGGGGCTGACTATGCAGGACACCCCACCCCCACCAGCCTTGGGGTCTCCGATGCTAAGGTAGGGGCTTTGCACCTGCAGTGGGCAAGGCCACCTGGGCACAGGTGTGCGGGAGGAAGAGCCTCTCAGGAGCCAGTGGAGGTGAGGCTCAGGAGCCAGAGGAGACGTGGGAACAGCAGGAGGGTCCGGGGCAAAGGACCCAGTGCTGCCTTGAAGCCAGAGGGGGCTTTGTGGAGCACACGCCTGGGTGCAGACCCCACGGGGGCCGCACTGCTAATCTGCAGGTGAGCACACGCCTGGGTGCAGAGCACACGCCTGGGTGCAGACCCCACGGGGGCCGCACTGCTAATCTGCAGGTGAGCACACGCCTGGGTGCAGACCCCACGGGGGCCGCACTGCTGATCTGCAGATGAGCACACACCCGGGAGCAGACCCCACGGGGGCCGCACTGCTGATCTGCAGGTGAGCACATGCCCGGGAGCAGACCCCACGGGGGCCACACTGCTGATCTGCAGGTGAGCACACGCCTGGGTGCGGACCCCACGGGGGCCGCACTGCTGATCTGCAGGTGACCTTATTGGGTGTAATCCCATGGCTCCCCCATCCACACAGAATTCCAAACAAGGACGAAACACCTGATAAGAAACCAATTAAACCCTGTTTCTTCATCAGCTTTTATTTTACATGATAGGTAGAACCTAATCTCATAGAGGGGATGGGCGGGCCGCTTCTGTTCCCAGACCAGGAAAATGGGCAAGGGCTTTGAACTCCCGCTGGGGAGGTCCAGCTCCCAGGAAGGCCCTCTAGCCACACGGAATGCTTATCTGCTGACGGCCTGGAGGCCACAGGCTGCCCAGGACAAGGCTGGGCTGTGGTCAGCAGAGGGAAGGTGCTGGGGTGAGGCAGGAAGAACTGGCACAGCTCTAGGGCTCACCGGGGACCAACGAGGTGGCTCCCTGCAGATACCAGGTCCACGAAGTCGAGAAGAGCCCGGCGGATACACAGCGCCTTGTCGGCGGCACGTGCCCCCAGCATGCAGCCCCAGGGGTCTGGACTCTGTGCCTTCACGTTGCTGGCCTTGCTGGTGGGCACAGCCCATCCCTGCACACTCGTTGGCCGGGGCCCAGGGCCAGAGCCCCCCGTTGCCCGGAACAGCAGCGGGTTTCCAGTGGTCAGCCTGCGGTGGCTACCCGTGCACACCCCCTTCTTTGTGGCCATGTGGATCCTGGTGGCCCTGTCCTCTCTGCTGGGTAAGTGCCTGTGTCGGCTCAGGGTTTCCATGCCTGTTCGGCCTCTAGAAGGGGCGGCTCGGTCAGCAGGGCTTTTCTGGTTTGGTTTCACGGTTCCTTGTGTGTTTTAAATCTTCTTCGAGTAAGCGCTGGTCCTCTTGCGGCAAATGGATCACCGAGGCCATCGCTGGGCCTCCCTCCCCGATGCCCCTGAGAGACCAGACACCCTCAGCTCTCATTCCACACGGCCGGCCAGCGGGGTCTGGAGGAGGGAGGCTATGCCTCAAAACCTGTTGAGCCTTTGAAGGGACTTTGTGGTGAAATGGCCACCTAAGCCCACGCCGTCCAGGCTGCACTGCGCAGGCCCGAGGGAGCCCGTCGGCTGCCATCAGAGAGGGCCCCGGGGCCTGGCCCCACCTGGGTGTGCACAGATGGCCACCAGAGGTTGTGATCCCATGTGGGGGGTGGGTCAGCCGTTGCCTTGCAGCTCTTGGTACATTTGTTTCCATTTTTATTTTGAGTTTGCGGAGATTAATGTCAACCACTCACCATTCTCTAGTCCTAAGAAAGCCGCCCAGTAACTGCAGAGAAAATCATTCATCTCTTGGGGCAAATCAGATTTGGGGCTCAGTATCAACCTTAACAAAGAACTGACCACCCAGCAAGGGCTGCGACTACGATGAAGATAAACAAAGAGGGCATGACAGTTAGAGCTGATTCTGAGGACCTCCTCTTTACAAAAAGAATTCGCCCAGCTGGGATGTCCCTGTGGCACCGGTGTCTGCACTCAGGACTGGTCAGCCTGGGGCCAGGGTGGGAGGAGGAAGGGGTCTGGGGGCTGAGGACCTGGCTCCAGCCCCACCTGGACACTGGGCACCACGTGGCCCTTTCTAAATGTTAGGACCGCTGACCCTCAGGCAGCGGTGGGTCGACTGGGAATGCGGGTCAGTGGGAGGGGCGGGTATGGAAATGGAGGTGGGTGCTTTGCCATTGCAAAGACACCCACAGGTGAGCCTGTGCCATGCCTGAGAGGCCCCAACAGACCAAGGGTCTGTTTGCAAAAGGGCTGCTGACATGATGGAGAGGAGAAACGGGAGAGCAGCAGGCGCAGGAGGCACCAGGAGGGCCAGGGGCGGTAGGGCCAGCTCACGGTGCTGAGGGGGCAGAAGGCCCCCCCGGGGTGAGGGGGGTGCGGGAGCTGCCGCGATGTGTCTGGGCTGTGAATGTGGGGCAAGGGGCCGGGCAGGTGGAGGACAGGACCCCTGGAGGGGCTCAGAGATCTGAGAAGCCAAGTTCAAGGGGGGCTCTGTGCACATTTTGAAGTTGCCAGTAATCGAGGCACGGGTCGATGTGGAGAGCTGCTTTGAGCCAGGAACTGAAACCCTAGAGAGAGGAGGGGATGCCCTGTCACGGGGATGCGGGGGCAGTGTCGCGATGACCCAGGGTTTAGGAAAGAGGAAGGGAGGGTGGCCTGGAAGTGGTGAAAGAGCTTCGGGATAGGGAAAGGGGGAAAGGCTGTGGCTTCCAGGAGGGCTGCAGCCAGAGACAACAGCTTCAGGGCTGGGTGCAGATAGGAGGCCCCAGGGCTCTGCTGTGAGTGCAGGATGGTGGGGCTTGCCCGAGTACAGCTCTCTCGACCCCGAAAGACAGGCGGAAGACCCAGGGGGAAAAGGCCCCAGGAACCCCTGAACCATTGCTACGGGCGTGGCTGTTCAGACAACAGCAACCGCGGGAGGGGAGCGTAGGGCTCTGCCTGCAGCCACGCTCTCTCCGGGATGTACTCTCCAGGGGTCCAGCAGGGCTGCAGAGGCCTCCTGGCTGCTGGCGGAAGATAGCTGCAGCAACCTCGCTCCCAGGCCCCTCAGAGAGGCAGCCCCTCAGCCACAGGCGAGTGTTGCAGGGGTGCAGGCCCACACGGGCGGCAGCTGGAGGGCAGGTGGGCTGGGCAGGCACTGGTGCTGTCTCCTGGCTTCCCTGAGCCATGGAGCCATGTCCTGCCTCCTGCTAGCGGCCGTGGGGGCCATGGGTTCCTGTTTATGGCCTGTTGTGTGTGCGAGGGTCACTAGCAGCTGGGGTCGCTGGACGTGTGAGCCTTGGACCTGAGTAGATCCTGCCCAGCTCAAGGGGCATCACCGATTCCCGTCCTCAGTGTGGGAGCCTCCACACCACGCTGCACACTGCTCTTGGTGCCAGCAGGTCTGAATTGTGGGTATTCTATGGTGTCTCGTGGGTTTTACGTTTTAGTTTGCATCTTCCCATCACTAATGAACCCATTCTTGTCTTTACGGATGCTCCTGTGACTTGCCAGCTTGAGTCTTCCGTCCACTGCTCTCTCTCTCTCTTGTTCTGGGCATTCTCTGCATGGCCTGGGTGTTCATTCTCATCTTTACAGATGTTCCTGGGACTTGCCTGCTTGAGTCTTCTGTCCACTGCTCTCTCTCTCTCTCTCTTGTTCTGGGCATTCTCTGCATGGCCTGGGTGTTCATTCTTAGATTTTAAAATGTTTTCCAATATGATGAGTCTGAAGTGGTGGCTCATTAAGTGAGTTTGGCAGTTTATTATGGGGTTTTCCGTTAGACACCAAAACCAGAGAGAATACGATTGTGACCCCGAAGACCCTTCACTTCCCATTGGGATCTCCAGGCCCGTTCTATTTTCCCCATTGTCTCTAGTCTCTCTCCCTCCCTGTTTTGTGCCACTGGCTGTGACGATGATGGGGACGCCTGTCTCATGTCCCCATGGACTGAGGCGCTGCTTTATCGCGTGACGTCACCCACTCTCCCGCCCCTCGGCAGGCTCTTCTCTGTGGTTTCACCCGGGGCTGTTTCCTTCAGCCTAAGAATGCCCTGGTTATGTCTTGTGGTGCAGATCTGCCTTGGTTTCTCCAAAAATGCCTTCACTTTTCCTTCGTGTCTGGGGTGCTTCTGTGAGCACAGGACTGCGGGCTGGCTTTACTTCTTCTTCCTGTCTGGGGTGCTTCTGTGAGCACAGACTCGGGGCTGGCAGCTTTCTCTCCTTTCACCACTGCTGAGATGCCATTCAATCTTCTTTTGGCTCCCATGGTTTCACTGAAAGTCAGCTGTGAAACCTTTGTTGTTTCTTTGAAGATAAGTTCCAAAAATTATTTATAAATGTAATACAATTCCAATCAGAATCCCAATAGGATTTTTAAAAATAGAAATGAACAGGCTGTCCTGAATTTTACAAGGAGGTATAAACGATCAATAATGGCCAGGATGAGTGTGGTGAAGACCACAGCAGATGCCAGGATTTATTATCAACCATTTATTAAGACAGCATTACATTGGCTCAGGAATGGGCAAACAACCTTATATCCTTCTTCAAACAAAAAATATGGGTTGCTTGTCTTTTTCATATTGATTTACAGAGTTTTGTTTTTCTGGATACAATTTTTTGTAAGTTCTATGACTGGCAAATGCCTTCTAGTCAAGATCTTTTTTTCTCTCATTTTTACAGTATGCTTTCTTAAAGAGAAGTGTTGAAAACTGGAAACTATTTCACTGTTAGACCTATCCTTTCAGTTTTTAACTTTTATTGATGGTATTTTTCAGCGATTCCTCCTCCCCTGGAGACTACGTGGGTGATATTTAGTTATTGTCTTAGCAAACTTGTATGCTTTTAGTCAGCGAATTATAAGCTATTGGGTAATCTTTAAAGTATGTGAAATAAAGCCTCATCCTGGGAGGGGTCGCCTTGTTGCCTAAGGGCTCCTGGCCCAGCTCTGCTAGAGTAAGAGCTCAGTGTCTTGTTATCAGGGACAGAGAGGACCCTCCAGTCACACACTGCACCTCGGTGACTCGGGTCACAGAGGTGGCCCAGGGCTGTCCCCTCACCTGTAAAATAGTGCAGGAGCAGCACCTGCTTCACCGGGCATGCTGCAGGCAAGCGGACCTGGCACTCTGGGAGCCAAGCCCTGCACACGGGGCGCCCTCTGTTGTTGTTCTTCTTGTACGGGGCAGGCACACAAGAGTCTCGAGTCCTCCAACCCAGCCCGGGGCTGCTGGGGCCACATGGAAATGCGGCTGCGCCCCTCTGCGGGGGCCTGTGTCGGCGCCGTCCCCTCAGCTGAACCCCCCTGCGGGGGCCTGTGTCGGCGCCGTCCCCTCAGCCGCGCCCCTCTGCGGGGGCCTGTGTCGTCGCCGTCCCCTGAGCTGAACCCCTCTGCGGGGGCCTGTGTCGTCGCCGTCCCCTGAGCTGAACCCCTCTGCGGGGGCCTGTGTCGTCGCCGTCCCCTGAGCTGAACCCCTCTGCGGGGGCCTGTGTCGTCGCCGTCCCCTGAGCTGAACCCCTCTGCGGGGGCCTGTGTCGGCGCCGTCCCGTCAGCCGCGCCCCTCTGCGGGGGCCTGTGTCGTCGCCGTCCCGTCAGCCGAGCCCCTCTGCGGGGAGCCTGTGTCGTCGCCGTCCCCTGAGCTGAACCCCTCTGCGGGGGCCTGTGTCGTCGCCGTCCCGTCAGCCGAGCCCCTCTGCGGGGGCCTGTGTCGTCGCCGTCCCCTGAGCCGCGCCCCTCTGCGGGGAGCCTGTGTCGGCGCCGTCCCCTCAGCTGAACCCCTCTGCGGGGGCCTGTGTCGTCGCCGTCCCGTCAGCCGCGCCCCTCTGCGGGGGCCTGTGTCGTCGCCGTCCCGTCAGCCGAGCCCCTCTGCGGGGAGCCTGTGTCGTCGCCGTCCCCTGAGCTGAACCCCTCTGCGGGGGCCTGTGTCGTCGCCGTCCCGTCAGCCGAGCCCCTCTGCGGGGGCCTGTGTCGTCGCCGTCCCCTGAGCCGCGCCCCTCTGCGGGGAGCCTGTGTCGGCGCCGTCCCGTCAGCTGAACCCCTCTGCGGGGGCCTGTGTCGGCGCCGTCCCGTCAGCTGAACCCCTCTGCGGGGGCCTGTGTCGGCGCCGTCCCGTCAGCTGAACCCCTCTGCGGGGGCCTGTGTCGGCGCCGTCCCCTGAGCTGAACCCCTCTGCGGGGGCCTGTGTCGTCGCCGTCCCCTGAGCTGAACCCCTCTGCGGGGGCCTGTGTCGTCGCCGTCCCCTGAGCTGAACCCCTCTGCGGGGGCCTGTGTCGTCGCCGTCCCCTGAGCTGAACCCCTCTGCGGGGGCCTGTGTCGGCGCCGTCCCGTCAGCTGCGCCCCTCTGCGGGGGCCTGTGTCGGCGCCGTCCCCTGAGCTGAGCCCCTCTGCGGGGGCCTGTGTCGTCGCCGTCCCCTGAGCTGAGCCCCTCTGCGGGGGCCTGTGTCGTCGCCGTCCCCTGAGCTGAGCCCCTCTGCGGGGGCCTGTGTCGGCGCCGTCCCCTGAGCTGAGCCCCTCTGCGGGGGCCTGTGTCGGCGCCGTCCCCTGAGCTGAACCCCTCTGCGGGGGCCTGTGTCGGCGCCGTCCCCTGAGCTGAGCCCCTCTGCGGGGGCCTGTGTCGGCGCCGTCCCCTGAGCTGAACCCCTCTGCGGGGGCCTGTGTCGGCGCCGTCCCCTGAGCTGAGCCCCTCTGCGGGGGCCTGTGTCGGCGCCGTCCCCTGAGCTGAACCCCTCTGCGGGGGCCTGTGTCGGCGCCGTCCCCTGAGCTGAGCCCCTCTGCGGGGGCCTGTGTCGGCGCCGTCCCCTGAGCTGAACCCCTCTGCGGGGGCCTGTGTCGTCGCCGTCCCCTGAGCTGAGCCCCTCTGCGGGGGCCTGTGTCGGCGCTGTCCCCTGAGCTGAGCCCCTCTGCGGGGGCCTGTGTCGGCGCCGTCCCGTCAGCTGAGCCCCTCTGCGGGGGCCTGTGTCGGCGCCGTCCCCTGAGCTGAACCCCTCTGCGGGGGCCTGTGTCGTCGCCGTCCCCTGAGCTGAACCCCTCTGCGGGGGCCTGTGTCGGCGCCGTCCCCTGAGCTGAACCCCTCTGCGGGGGCCTGTGTCGGCGCCGTCCCCTGAGCTGAACCCCTCTGCGGGGGCCTGTGTCGGCGCCGTCCCCTGAGCTGAACCCCTCTGCGGGGGCCTGTGTCGGCGCCGTCCCCTGAGCTGAGCCCCTCTGCGGGGGCCTGTGTCGGCGCTGTCCCCTGAGCTGAGCCCCTCTGCGGGGGCCTGTGTCGGCGCCGTCCCGTCAGCTGAACCCCTCTGCGGGGGCCTGTGTCGGCGCCGTCCCCTGAGCTGAGCCCCTCTGCGGGGGCCTGTGTCGGCGCCGTCCCCTGAGCTGAACCCCTCTGCGGGGGCCTGTGTCGGCGCCGTCCCCTGAGCTGAACCCCTCTGCGGGGGCCTGTGTCGGCGCCGTCCCCTGAGCTGAGCCCCTCTGCGGGGGCCTGTGTCGGCGCCGTCCCCTGAGCTGAACCCCTCTGCGGGGGCCTGTGTCGGCGCCGTCCCGTCAGCTGCGCCCCTCTGCGGGGGCCTGTGTCGGCGCCGTCCCGTCAGCTGCGCCCCTCTGCGGGGGCCTGTGTCGTCGCCGTCCCCTGAGCTGAACCCCTCTGCGGGGGCCTGTGTTGTCGCCGTTCCCTGAGCTGAACCCCTCTGCGGGGGCCTGTGTCGGCGCCGTCCCGTCAGCTGCGCCCCTCTGCGGGGGCCTGTGTCGGCGCCGTCCCGTCAGCTGCGCCCCTCTGCGGGGGCCTGTGTTGTCGCCGTCCCCTGAGCTGAACCCCTCTGCGGGGGCCTGTGTCGGCGCCGTCCCCTGAGCTGAACCCCTCTGCGGGGAGCCTGTGTTGTCGCCCTCCCCTGAGCTGAACCCCTCTGCGGGGGCCTGTGTCGTCGCCGTCCCCTGAGCTGAACCCCTCTGCGGGGGCCTGTGTCGTCGCCGTCCCCTGAGCTGAACCCCTCTGCGGGGGCCTGTGTTGTCGCCGTTCCCTGAGCTGAACCCCTCTGCGGGGGCCTGTGTCGGCGCCGTCCCGTCAGCTGCGCCCCTCTGCGGGGGCCTGTGTCGGCGCCGTCCCGTCAGCTGCGCCCCTCTGCGGGGGCCTGTGTTGTCGCCGTCCCCTGAGCTGAACCCCTCTGCGGGGAGCCTGTGTTGTCGCCCTCCCCTGAGCTGAACCCCTCTGCGGGGGCCTGTGTCGTCGCCGTCCCCTGAGCTGAACCCCTCTGCGGGGGCCTGTGTCGTCGCCGTCCCCTGAGCTGAACCCCTCTGCGGGGGCCTGTGTTGTCGCCGTTCCCTGAGCTGAACCCCTCTGCGGGGGCCTGTGTCGGCGCCGTCCCGTCAGCTGCGCCCCTCTGCGGGGGCCTGTGTCGGCGCCGTCCCGTCAGCTGCGCCCCTCTGCGGGGGCCTGTGTTGTCGCCGTCCCCTGAGCTGAACCCCTCTGCGGGGAGCCTGTGTTGTCGCCCTCCCCTGAGCTGAACCCCTCTGCGGGGGCCTGTGTCGTCGCCGTCCCCTGAGCTGAACCCCTCTGCGGGGGCCTGTGTCGTCGCCGTCCCCTGAGCTGAACCCCTCTGCGGGGGCCTGTGTTGTCGCCGTTCCCTGAGCTGAACCCCTCTGCGGGGGCCTGTGTCGGCGCCGTCCCGTCAGCTGCGCCCCTCTGCGGGGGCCTGTGTCGGCGCCGTCCCGTCAGCTGCGCCCCTCTGCGGGGGCCTGTGTCGTCGCCGTCCCCTGAGCTGAACCCCTCTGCGGGGGCCTGTGTTGTCGCCGTTCCCTGAGCTGAACCCCTCTGCGGGGGCCTGTGTCGGCGCCGTCCCGTCAGCTGCGCCCCTCTGCGGGGGCCTGTGTCGGCGCCGTCCCGTCAGCTGCGCCCCTCTGCGGGGGCCTGTGTCGTCGCCGTCCCCTGAGCTGAGCCCCTCTGCGGGGGCCTGTGTTGTCGCCCTCCCGTCAGCTGCGCCCCTCTGCGGGGGCCTGTGTCGGCGCCGTCCCCTGAGCTGAGCCCCTCTGCGGGGGCCTGTGTCGGCGCCGTCCCCTGAGCTGAACCCCTCTGCGGGGGCCTGTGTCGTCGCCGTCCCCTGAGCTGAACCCCTCTGCGGGGGCCTGTGTCGTCGCCGTCCCCTGAGCTGAACCCCTCTGCGGGGGCCTGTGTCGGCGCCGTCCCCTGAGCTGAGCCCCTCTGCGGGGGCCTGTGTCGGCGCCGTCCCCTGAGCTGAACCCCTCTGCGGGGGCCTGTGTCGGCGCCGTCCCGTCAGCTGCGCCCCTCTGCGGGGGCCTGTGTTGTCGCCCTCCCGTCAGCTGAGCCCCTCTGCGGGGGCCTGTGTCGGCGCCGTCCCGTCAGCTGCGCCCCTCTGCGGGGGCCTGTGTTGGTGCTGTCCGGTCGTCCGTGTTGGGAGGGATCTGGTGCCCACCAGCGGTGCATATGCAGCCTGGCACCAGCGGCCGGGGCATCTCCACCCTGCCCCGCCTGCCTGGTGTTCTGGCCTCTCAGGATCCCGCACACCCGGGCTCTCCTCCATCTGGGGGAGGACTCCCTCCTGGGGACTGGTCTACAGGACCTCTGGGCAGCTGGTACATTTTCTTCACAGCGCCAGAACACTGAGCGCAAGGGTTTGCTTCCCTCCTGTCTTTCCCTTTCAACCCGCTAAAGGCAAACAGCACAGCCACAGCCGTAATGCTGGAAGGGACTCCAAGGACCACCATCTTGCTGATGGGGAAACTGAGGCTCTGAGTCTGCTCCCCCAGACCACAGAGGGGAAGAACTGGGGTTCAAGAACAGGGCTTCCGTCCCCCGGTTTGGGGACCCCCTCTGAGGACTTATGCTCATGCTGCCTTTCTTCCGGGGTCACTCAGAGACCCTGGACCTACAGCTGGGATGGCTTTCTCCCCTTTCTGGAACCTCACAGTTGAGCAGACAATACATTTTTTTCAAAGAATTATTGTTGTACCTTTTTAAAAGAGCCTGGTGAAAACAAAAATGAATAATATCCCTTAAACAGAGGTTTGGGCAAGAAGGAAACACACCTTCCACACCCAGGGTTTATGGAAGACACGTCGCCATTTGCCCGGGCCACACGACTCCTCTCCAGGCTGCATGCGCTGCGGGGCCAGCCGGGGGCCGCTCCACACAGACCTCGAGTTTCCACCACAGGAAGGTGCAGGACGCAGGCAGAGGCCGAGAGACTGGAACATCAACCGAAGCAGCAGCTCATGTCACAATGGAAACCTGGACAGCTGACAGGTCAGCCAAGGATGGAGGAATGGCTAAATAAGCCCAGTGCCTTCCAGAATGTTCCTGCCTCAGAAGATTATACAGCCAGTGAGGTACATGGATGATAGACAAACATACAGATGGAGAGACATAGAGATATAGAAAGGGAGAGAGAGGTAGATATAGGTAAAGATGAAGATACAGGTGATTCATGGATACAGAAATTGAGACGGATGATAGATGGATGGGTAAATGGACAGATGAATAGATGATAGATGGACAGACAGGAGGGAAATTGGTTGGGAGATGATCAGATAAGTGGTCGATAGAGGGAGGTAAACAGACAGATGACAGACATGGACAGATTGATACAGACAGGTGATAGATGATAGCTGATTGATAGAAAGTTGGGGACAGAGAGAGAGGGCTGGACACAGATGGCAGGCAGCTCTGGGTGAGGCCTTGCCGGGCAGACCCCAGCGTGGGCGCTGCCTCCCAGGGAGACCATAGACATGATCCATGAGAGTGCGGTGACCCTTCAAGGATGTTCACAGTCTTAATAGCTGCATGAGAAAATGAGAAGACCGTGTTAATAAGCAAAACAAGCAGCTTAAGAAGCTGGACAGGCCAGGTGCGGTGGCTCAGGCCTGTAATCCCAGCACTTTGGGAGGCCAAGGCGGGCGGATCAAGAGGTCAGGAGATTGAGACCATCCTGGCCAACATGGTGAAACCCCGTCTGTACTAAAAATACAAAAATTAGCTGGGTATGGTGGCGCATATCTGTAGTCCCAGCTACTCAGGAGGCTGAGGTAGGAGAATCGCTTGAACCTGGGAGGCAGAGGTTGCAGTGAGCCAAGATCGCGCCATTGCACTGCAGACTGGGCGACAGAGTGAGACACTGTCTCAAAAAAAAAAGAAGCTGGACAAGGCTGGGCATGATGGCTCACACCTGGAATCCCAGCACCTTAGGAGGCCAGGGTGGGAGGATCATTTGAGGCCAGGAGTTTAAGACCAGTCTGAGCAACATGGCAAAACCCTGTCTCTACAAAATAAATAATAAGAAGAATTAGCCAGGCATGGTGGCATGTGCCTGTGGTCCCAGCTACTGGGGAGGCTGAGGTGGGACAATGGCTTGAGCTCAGGGTGGTTGAGGCTGCAGTGAGCTGAGATTGCACCACGGCACTCCAGCCTGGGTGACAGAGTGAGACCCTGTCTCAAAAAAAAAAAAAAAAAAAAGGCAAAGGAAAGGAAATGCAAACCCACAGAGGAGTAATAAACATTCTACCAATTAAAATGCACCATGTGGCAGCCCCACAGAGGAAGAGATCTCTGTCTGCTGTGTTCCTTGAGCCTCAGGATGGTGAGAATCAATGGAGCCTTGTGGAGCCTTGCTGGTTTTTGAAATAATGAAACAGACAACACGACACGCTGGCACGAAAAAAGAGAAGCACAAATGGTTGATGTTGGAAACAGAAATGGGAGCAAAGGGACCCGGCGGAAACTCGGTATCTCCGTGTGCGTGTCCCGCGTGCATAACGCATGTACAGATGCACACATACAAAACGAACAATTTCCTCGCAAAACATAAGCTGTCAATCAAGGAGACGTGAAATCCGAACAGTTTTATAACCACCGAAGAACGGGATCCAGGATTAAAAACCTGCCACCCTCCAAGGAAACAAAGCCCCTCCTAAATTGTGCTGATGGCTGGGGCAGCCCATCCTCCGTGAGGACCACCAGAAAAGGGGCTGGAAAGGCAAAAGCACCTGCTCAGCGCCCCAGGCGGCGGCCCATCCTCCGTGAGGACCACAGGTAAAGGGGCTGGAAAGGCAAAAGCACCTGCTCAGCGCCCCGGGCGGCGGCCCATCCTCCGTGAGGACCACCAGAAAAGGGGCTGGAAAGGCAAAAGCAGTGGCTCAGCGCCCCAGGAGGCGGCCCATCCTCCGTGAGGACCATCAGAAAAGGGGCTGGAAAGGCAAAAGCACCTCCTCAGCGCCCCAGGAGGCGGCCCATCCTCCGTGAGGACCATCAGAAAAGGGGCTGGAAAGGCAAAAGCACCTGCTCAGCGCCCCGGGAGGCGGCCCATCCTCCGTGAGGACCATCAGAAAAGGGGCTGGAAAGGCAAAAGCACCTGCTCAGCGCCCCGGGAGGCGGCCCATCCTCCGTGAGGACCATCAGAAAAGGGGCTGGAAAGGCAAAAGCACCGCTCAGGGCCCCAGGCGCTGGAGAAAACAGACTAGAGGTGAAGCTGCTTCCAGGCTGCCCAACACTCAGCACCTCTGAGGGCCTTTGAGTCCTTGGTCCCTGACTCACACCCTTAAAGTGGCAGGAGGACCAGAGAGGCCTGCCCTCTCTGGGACCCAGGCCGCAGGGATCGCCTCCATCCTACCCAGACCGGGCCTCATGGCTCAGTGTGCCCCGGGGTCCAGCAGCAACGGTGTCCCAGGAGCTGTGGGAAGTGCAGAGTCTCAGGCCCACCTGGCCCTGCTGGGACGGAGACTGCATTTAAACAAGATCCCTGGGGTTCAAGGCATACCGTGTTTGATTATCACTGGATTTAGGGGTCTGCCCAGCCCATTCCCTGCCAGATGGAGAGGAAATTCTTTTCCAAGGAAGGTAAAATCACCCAGACCTCTCAAACCAACCCCCATTTACTACAGAAAGGGCCCTTGGGACTCCTGCACTTAGCATTGTGAGTGGCAATGCGGGTTGTCCAAGCTGTGTGGTGGTCCGGGCAGTGTGGTGGTCCAGGCATGATGAGTGGTCCAGGTAGGGTGGTGGTGAGTGGTCAGGGCAGTGTGGTGGTCTAAGCAGTGTGTGGCCTAGGTAGGGTGAGTGCTCCAGGCAGTGTGGTGGTCTGGGCAGGGTGAGTAGTCTAGGCAGTGTGGTGATCCGGGCAGTGTGAGTGCTCCAGGCAGTGTGGTGGTCTGGGCAGGGTGAGTAGTCTAGGCAGTGTGGTGATCCGGGCAGTGTGAGTGCTCCAGGCAGTGTGGTGGTCCGGGTAGGGTGGTAGTCTTAACAGGGTGAGTGGTCCGGGCAGTGTGGTGGTCCGGGCAGTGTGGTGGTCCGGGCAGGGTGAGTGGTCCGGACAGTGTGGTGGTTCGGGCAGTGTGAATGCTCCAGGCAGTGTGGTGGTCCGGGCAGGGTGAGTGGTCCGGACAGTGTGGTGGTTCGGGCAGTGTGAGTGCTCCAGGCAGTGTGGTGGTCTGGGCAGGGTGAGTAGTCTAGGCAGTGTGGTGATCCGGGCAGTGTGAGTGCTCCAGGCAGTGTGGTGGTCCGGGTAGGGTGGTAGTCTTAACAGGGTGAGTGGTCCGGGCAGTGTGGTGGTCCGGGCAGTGTGGTGGTCCGGGCAGGGTGAGTGGTCCGGACAGTGTGGTGGTTCGGGCAGTGTGGTGGTCTGGGCAGTGTGGTGGTCCAGGCAGGGTGAGTGGTCCGGGCAGTGTGGTGGTCCGGGCAGTGTGGTGGTCTGCGTAGGGTGTTGGTCCCAGTAGGGTGGTGAGCCTGGCAGGGTGAGTGATCTGAACAGTGTTTCGTCTGGGGCAGAGGTAAAGGTGCTGGCAGAGACATCAAGCTCCGTCCATTTTCCCGGCAGTGCTGTTGAGTGTGGCTGGAGGATCCGAGGGTGTGGTCTGAGCGACCTCAGTGGGGCCTTGATTGCTGGGTGTTGTCCAGAAACCCGCCGCTCCTCCCACTGGCCTTGACCTTGGCTGGGCTGGGGGTTGCTGGGCGGCAGGGGCAGGCAGCCACCTCTGCACACAGGGCCACCCTCGCCACTGCTCTCCCCATTGGATTCTGCAGAGCCGGGGACTTCACGGCCCTGACCGCTGCCCTGTATCTCGGTGACGTGATGTGCTCGTGTTGGTTTTTCCTGTCTTTTTTTAGACTTAATCAGAAATAAGGTAGAAGGTCAGAGTCCACAGCAAAGAGGCACAGAGGGGAACGGCAGCTCCTTGGGTCCCACGGGGCTGTGCCTGCTCCTTGGTGGGGACACTGGAGGCCCAGAGTGGCACAGACCCTGTCTTCACTGAGGGGAGAAAGAGGCAGCCCCGGGGCATGAGAGCCACCCCTGCTGATGCTGCCCCGGGCCCACAAGGGCCAAGCTCCAGGAACATGGAAGTCCTGCCCTGGGCAGCACAGCCTCCAGATTCCAAGAACCCAGCCTGGCACCCCAGGCTGGGCACAGCAAGGAGAGAGACTTCGACACTCTGCATTAAGATGGTAGCTCGTGGCCGGCGCGGTGGCTCATCCCTGTAATCCCAGCACTTTGGGAGGCCGAGGCGGGTGGATCACAAGGTCAGGAATCAAGACCATCTGGTTAACACCATGAAACCCTGTCTCTTAAAAATATGAAAACTTAGCCGGGCGTGGTGGCAGGCGCCTGTAGTCCCAGCTACTGGGGGGAGGCCGAGGCAGGAGAATGGCGTGAACCTGGGAGGCGGAGCTTGCAGTGAGCCGAGATCACATCACTGCACTCCAGCCTGCGCCACAGAGCAAAACTCCGTCACACACACACAAAAAAATGGTAGCTCCTGAGCCAACACTTTTCCGCTCCCCCACCCGCTGCGTCTCAGCATTCCTTAGGCTCTCCCCTTGGGAGACTCACATGTATGGGGCGGGGGAGCGGGGGTTTCCTAGGCCCTGACTCAGCTAGAGCGTCTGGCTGACCCGTCATTGTCCAGGGAAGCCATGGATCTGGTGGCCGCAGCCCAGCGCCGTCCTCACCACCCAGGCCTGCCTGGAGCCCAGTGGCTGTCAGGGCAGCCGAGACCAGAAGCGCAGGTGGAGCCAAGGCCCCGCTGCAGTCCGCAGAGTTGCAACTCTGGGAGCTGAGCCCTCACAAGCCTTGCTTTTCACCTCCTCCCAGTGCTACCAGCCAGACCCCGAGGGCCCGGGACCCTCCATGTACCCATCCACACTTCTCGGCCCACCCCTCCCTGACAGCCCCGGCACCCCGGGAGGGAGCAGGTGCGTCCCGCTTCGGGCCCTCTGAACCCCCTCCATTTCGGGCTGTTTCAGACTTCGGCCTCTCTGAAGCTCCTCCATTTCTGGCTGCTTTTCACTGCCGTCTGCCTGCCTGTGTTCTTGTCTTCACGCCGGCCTTTGGTACGGGAGGGAGCCATCCACGGCCCACACTGCAGCTCCCGTGACCTCCGCACGGCCCCGTGCGGACACTCATCTGGATTTTGTTTGTGCTCAGGAGAGGCTCTGCATTGAACGACCTTGCACTGGGCCGGTTTCTTTTCTAAAGGTTCCAGAGGGCATGGCTGTCAACTTCCCGCTTGTGTCCCCGTCGGGTTCCAGGGCACAGAGGTTTATGCGGAGGGCTCGAGGGACTCACACCTGGGGGCAGAGTTGGGCAGCGGCGACGGGCACTCTGGAGCCCATCACCCCCTTGGTGTCGAGGCCCAGGGGCCTGATGTGCCCACTGCTGGCCAGTTTTTGGGTCGGGCCCCTCCCCCAGGGGGGTGCTGGGCTACCCTCCTGAGGGCAGAAGCAATTGTTAAGAGCCTCATCACTGTGGTGTCAGCCACTAGCCCTCCCCAGCTGTGGAACAGGGGTTGGTCCCCATGCGGAGGGGTCCTGGTCCTGGGCGGCCCCACCACACCCTGAACCGCCTGAGCTTCTGACTGCATGGAATATTCACAGGACTGCAGTGTGAGAAGGCAGCACCGCCCCGGCGCCCGCGAGGAAGCCGAACTGCTCATAAGTTAAGCAGCCCCAGCCAGGTCACGGGGCAAGGAAGCCGCCTGCGACCTCGGAAACCCCTGGTTCATCCCATGACCCACCCCCGTTCATCCGGTGACCCACCCCTCACCCCGGTTCATCCCGTGACCCACCCCCCCGTTCATCCCATGACCCAGCCCCCCACCCCGGTTCATCCCATGACCCAGCCCCCCACCCCGGTTCATCCCATGACCCACCCCCCACCCCGGTTCATCCCGTGACCCACCCCCCGTTCATCCCATGACCCAGCCCCCCACCCCGGTTTATCCCGTGACCCACCCCCTGTTCATCCCGTGACCCACCCCCCGTTCATCCCGTGACCCAGCCCCCAACCCCGTTCATCCCGTGACCCACCCCCAACCCCGGTTTAGCCCGTGACCCACCCCCCCCCCGTTCATCCCGTGACCCACCCCCCGGTTCATCCCGTGACCCAGCCCCCAACCCCGTTCATCCCGTGACCCAGACCCCACCCTGGTTTATCCCATGACCCACCCACGGTTCATCCTGTGACCCGCCCCCCGTTCATCCCGTGACCCACCCCCCACCCCTGGTTTATCCCGTGACCCACCCCCGGGTCATCCTGTGACCCAGACCCCACCCTGGTTTATCCCATGACCCGCCCACGGTTCATCCTGTGACCCGCCCCCCGTTCATCCCGTGACCCAGCCCCCCACCCCTGGTTTATCCCGTGACCCACCCCCGGGTCATCCTGTGACCCAGACCCCACCCCTGGTTTATCCCGTGACCCACCCTCGGGTCATCCCGTGACCCAGACCCCACGCCTGGTTTATCCCGTGACCCACCCGCAGCACCAGCACCTCAGTGCTGCTTTTGTATTTATAGTCGCCTTGCTGTATGTTGAGCGTAATTTTACAATCTGCCCAAAATTCCTTTGAAGAGCAGATAGGTGTGTACACCCTAAATGAATAAAATACAGTGCGATTTGGTGAAAGGTAACGGCTCGTTTATTTTCCTTGCCATAAAAATGCTACAATCACCCTGAAGGTGAACCTGGCAAGCGGCATAGGGGCCAGGGCCTCACTCGGCTCTCCTGTGCACCCCGCCCCGGTGTGATGTTTGGAGATTTGCATACGAGGCTCTCAGCCAGGAAGGAAATGGCCAGGAATCCCAGAACGCGGCACTGATTTTCCCCATGTTATCTGACTCCTGATATTCCCCGAACTGTGTGACCACTGCCTGTAGTTCAGTCTGTAATCAAATACTTTGTAAAGACTGTACAAGTGATCCCAGACCCAAAAGGAAACGTCAGAAATGCGAGGCTGTAGGCTTGTTAGAGATGGGAGGCTGTTAGGTTTGTTAGAGAAGGGAGGCTGTAGGCTTGTTAGAGATGGGAGGCTGTTAGGTTTGTTAGAGAAGGGAGGCTGTAGGTTTGTTAGAGATGGGAGGCCGTAGGTTTGTTAGAGATGGGAGGCTGTAGGCTTGTTAGAGATGGGAGGCTGTAGGCTTGTTAGAGATGGGAGGCTGTAGGTTTGTTAGAGATGGGAGGCTGTTAGGTTTGTTAGAGATGGGAGGCTGTAGGTTTGTTAGAGATGGGAGGCTGTTAGGTTTGTTAGAGATGGGAGGCTGTAGGTTTGTTAGAGATGGGAGGCTGTTAGGTTTGTTAGAGAAGGGAGGCTGTAGGTTTGTTAGAGATGGGAGGCTGTTAGGTTTGTTAGAGATGGGAGGCTGTAGGTTTGTTAGAGATGGGAGGCTGTAGGCTTGTTAGAGATGGGAGGCTGTTAGGTTTGTTAGAGATGGGAGGCTGTTAGGTTTATTAGAGATGGGAGGCTGTTAGGTTTGTTAGAGAAGGGAGGCTGTAGGTTTGTTAGAGATGGGAGGCTGTTAGGTTTGTTAGAGATGGGAGGCTGTAGGCTTGTTAGAGATGGGAGGCTGTAGGCTTGTTAGAGATGGGAGGCTGTAGGCTTGTTAGAGATGGGAGGCTGTTAGGTTTGTTAGAGATGGGAGGCTGTTAGGTTTATTAGAGATGGGAGGCTGTTAGGTTTGTTAGAGAAGGGAGGCTGTAGGTTTGTTAGAGATGGGAGGTTGTTAGGTTTGTTAGAGATGGGAGGCTGTAGGTTTGTTAGAGATGGGAGGCTGTAGGCTTGTTAGAGATGGGAGGCTGTTAGGTTTGTTAGAGATGGGAGGCTGTTAGGTTTATTAGAGATGGGAGGCTGTTAGGTTTGTTAGAGAAGGGAGGCTGTAGGTTTGTTAGAGATGGGAGGCTGTTAGGTTTGTTAGAGATGGGAGGCTGTTAGGTTTATTAGAGATGGGAGGCTGTTAGGTTTGTTAGAGAAGGGAGGCTGTAGGTTTGTTAGAGATGGGAGGCTGTTAGGTTTGTTAGAGATGGGAGGCTGTAGGTTTGTTAGAGATGGGAGGCTGTAGGTTTGTTAGAGATGGGAGGCTGTAGGCTTGTTAGAGATGGGAGGCTGTTAGGTTTGTTAGAGATGGGAGGCTGTTAGGTTTATTAGAGATGGGAGGCTGTTAGGTTTGTTAGAGAAGGGAGGCTGTAGGTTTGTTAGAGATGGGAGGCTGTTAGGTTTGTTAGAGATGGGAGGCTGTAGGTTTGTTAGAGATGGGAGGCTGTAGGCTTGTTAGAGATGGGAGGCTGTTAGGTTTGTTAGAGATGGGAGGCTGTTAGGTTTATTAGAGATGGGAGGCTGTTAGGTTTGTTAGAGAAGGGAGGCTGTAGGTTTGTTAGAGATGGGAGGCTGTTAGGTTTGTTAGAGATGGGAGGCTGTAGGCTTGTTAGAGATGGGAGGCTGTAGGTTTGTTAGAGATGGGAGGCTGTAGGCTTGTTAGAGATGGGAGGCTGTAGGTTTGTTAGAGATGGGAGGCTGTTAGGTTTGTTAGAGATGGGAGGCTGTTAGGTTTGTTAGAGAAGGGAGGCTGTAGGTTTGTTAGAGATGGGAGGCTGTAGGCTTGTTAGAGATGGGAGGCTGTAGGCTTGTTAGAGATGGGAGGCTGTAGGCTTGTTAGAGATGGGAGGCTGTAGGCTTGTTAGAGATGGGAGGCTGGGCTGTAGGCTTGTTAGAGATGTGAGGTTGTAGCTGCAGTTTTCATTTTTCTCCAGCTGACGCTGTCACCTGTTGCCATCAGAAATCTCTCTGTCATCATCTGGTGTTTTCTTTACCTCTGAAGTTAACAGCCACTGTAGATGCTTCTCCTGGGTCCTCCACCCGGAGTCCCCTCACAGCCCACCCAGGGGACCCTTATTTCTCCTGGTCAAGCCTGGGTCCTGGATGTGACATCTTTTGATGAAAATCTTTTTTATATATTTTATTTATTTATTCATTTTTGAGATGAAGTTTCACTCTTATTGCCCAGGCTGGAGTGCAATGGCGTGACCTCGGCTCACTGCAACCTCCACCTCCTGGGATCAAGTGATTCTCCTGCCCCCACCTCCCAAGTAGCTGGGATGACGGGCATATATCACCATGCCCGGCTAATTTTGTATATTTAGTAGAGATGGGGTTTCACCACTTTGGTCAGGCTGGTCTCAAACTTTTGACCTCAGGTGATCCACCCGCCTCGGCCTCCCAAAGTTCTGGGATTACAAGTGTGAGCCACTGCGCCTGGCCTCTTGATGAAAATCTTCCAGCTTCTGGGGCTTGCTCTAGGACAGGAATGAAAAACCACGGATTCTGGTGCAGTAACCAACTGAGAGCCACTCAGAACTGAGAATCACCTAAATTTAGAGGTTGTTTTTTTTTTTTTAACAAGAGGTGCTATAAAACTTTCCATGCATCCACTTTTTATTTAACAGCTTTACTGAGGTATAATTGACATACAGTAAACTACATAAAGTGTCAATTTGATGGTTTGACATGTGTCCACACTGGTGAAACCACCACCATAAACAAGATAAAGAACAATCTCCATCCATCCAAAGATTTCTCCTTCGTCTTTGCAACACCTCTCTCCTCCCAACCCCCGGGCAGCCACTGATCTGCTTTCTGTCGCTATTGACTAGTTGGCATTTTCTATAAATTTCATAGAAATGTAATAATACACTAACTACCTTTCTTTGGTTTGCCTTATTTCACTCAGAAAACAATTTTGACATTTATCTATGGTTTTACATGTATCAATATTTCATTCCTTTTTAGATCTCAGCTGTCTACCATTGTATGGATGTACCACAATCTATTTATCCCCAGACCTGTTGAGGCACATTGAGTTGTTTCCAACTTTGATACTAATTTAACACCTCCAGATTTATTTGATAAGGATTAGCATGGTGTATTTTTGCCCAGTCTTCTATTTATTGCTTATCTGTGCCTTTGTATTTAACGTGTGTTTCTTAAAGGGGGCACACAGTTAGGTTTTGGTTTGTTTTTTTCAATCTGACAACTTTGCTTTTTAATTGGGATATTTAGATCATTTATATTTAATATGATTGATGATAAGGCTAAGTTTAAATATACCATTTTTCAGGCCAGGCACGGTGGCTCATGCCTGTAATCCCAGCACTTTGGGAGGCCGAGGTGGGCAGATCACTTGAGGCCAGGGGTTCAAGACCAGCCTGGCCAAACATGGTGAAACCCTGTCTCTACTCAAAATACAAAAATTAGCCAGGCGTGGTGGCACACGCCTGTAATCTCAGCTACTGAGGAGGCTGAGGCAGGAGAATCACTTGAACCTGGGAGGTAGAGGTTGCAGTGAGCCAAGATTGCACCATTGCACTCCAGCCTGGGCAACAGAGTGAGACTCTGTCTCAAAAAATAAAAATAAATCTACCATTTTTCTATTTGTTTCTATTTGTCCTATCTCTGTTCATTCTCTTTCTCCTTTTTTTCTGTTTTCCTTTGCATTATTTTTCTAAGATTCCATTTTATCTCTTTTGTTCAGTTTTTAGCTATTATTCTTTGTTGTGTTCAGTGATGGCTTTAGGGCTTATAATATACATCTTTGGTTTATCACCGTCTACCTTTATTGATATTATACCAGTTAACAACCTTACAGCAGCATCTTCCATATCTTTCCTCCCAGCCTTCCTGCTATTTAAGCCATGCATTCTTTTCACATATGCAAAAAACCGCAATTACTTTTTCACCAACCTAATATAATCCCATAGTACATTGTTAATTTGCTTCCCCCTGTCTTAGGGATGACTGTCCTATGTTGTCCAGTGTCCAGTGTCTTCAAAACCTTTGTTTCCCGTATTGTTTTCTAGTTTGTTTGTTTCAGGCAGGTGGTAAACCTGATCCAGTGACTCCATCACAGCTGGAGGAGGAAGTGAACTCACTTTTCTTTTTTTTTTTTTAGATGGAGTCTCGCTCTGTCACCCAGGCTGGAGTGCAGTGGCGTGATCTTGGCTCACTGCAAGCTCCACCTCCTGGGTTCATGCCATTCTCCTGCCTCAGCCTCCCGAGTAGCTGGGACTACAGGCATCTGCCACCACGCCTGGCTAATTTTTTTTATTTTTAGTAGAGATGGGATTTCACTGTGTTAGCCAGGATGGTCTCAATCTCCTGACCTCGTGATCTGCCCATCTCGGCCTCCCAAAGTGCTGGGATTAAAGGCATGAGCCACCATGCCCGGCCTCACTTTTCAAAATAACTCTTTATTCATTTGTGTGTATGCCATGTGTGTTCACTATTTAAAAACAATTAGAAGCTATAGAAAACTAAAAGTTAATAAAGTAAAACCCATCCCAAATCTTACTATCTAGAGCATTGTTAAGATCCAATTACATTTCAGCCCAGTCACTTTTCTGTGCATATAGAATATTCCTCAGACAATCACAATATGCATCAATTTGCATATGTAGATGTTGATTTTTTTCCCTCACATCACACAGAGAACATTTTTCCATATCATTAAAATTCAAATTGAAGCATCATTTATTTATGACTCTTCACTTGCTGGGTTTGCATAATCAACCATTTCGGCCAGTAGAGTTTCAGGTAGATTGGTACCAGAATGTGAAAACAGATCGAGGGAAGAGCATAATCAACCATTTCAGCCAGTAGAGTTTCAGGTAGATTGGTACCAGAATGTGAAGACGGATCAAGGGAAGAGCATAATCGACCATTTCAGCCAGTAGAGTTTCAGGTAGATCGGTACCAGAATGTGAAGACGGATCAAGGGAAGAGCATAATCGACCATTTCAGCCAGTAGAGTTTCAGGTAGATCGGTACCAGAACGTGAAGACGGATCGAGGGAAGAGCATAATCGACCATTTCAGCCAGTAGAGTTTCAGGTAGATCGGTACCAGAACGTGAAGACGGATCGAGGGAAGAGCATAATCGACCATTTCAGCCAGTAGAGTTTCAGGTAGATCGGTACCGGAACGTGAAGACGGATCAAGGGAAGAGCATAATCGACCATTTCAGCGAGTAGAGTTTCAGGTAGATTGGTACCAGAATGTGAAGATGGATTAAGGGAAAAGAAACTGGAATTCCAGAACTAGACTCAGGTGTATACGGAAATGGCATATCACAGAGACAGCATTGCCAACCCATGGGAAATGGATGATTCTACCCGAGGTTGCATGATGCCCTGCTAGGCATTTGGAGAATGTTAAGCTGGGACCACAGTTCATTCTTTCTGGCAGTGTGAGTGGTGCAGAAAAATGATTCACCATTTAAAATCAACGGATTGCTGGGCCACTTTCTTCCCTTCTCCTTTGCCTGCTAATCCCGCCCTCAGGACTCGCCCCCAGCATCACTTCCTCCAGGAAGACTCCCCTAAGCCGAGTGCCCTCTCTCTTTGGGGCCCACGGGAGCTGACGTGTCTCTGGTGTGTGGGGCAGAGGTCAGGAGCTCTCTGAGAGTGACGTCCTGTCTCCTTACTGCTGCGTCTCCGCACCCTCAAAAAGCAGAAGCCTGGCTGCTGCTCACACTGGCGTGGCCTTGCCTGGGGGTGAGAGGCCCTCACAGGTCCCCTGTCCAGGGCTCAGGGCAGTGGGAATCAGCACGGAGACACGCTGAGGTGGCCGTGTCTCAAACACAAGTAATAGATGGGCTCCTGTGAGAGAAAGGGAATGGCTTTGTGGCTCCCAGGGAGGTTTGTGATTTGGAGTCTCTGTTTGCTGGTTCAGAGCAGTCGGATCTGAAGCTACCGGAACTGAGAGAGACAGTTTTGACTTTACCAAGATGTCTCACGTCACTGCATCCCAATCCAAAGACAGATTATTGTGTGGCATATTAAAGTGGGACAAAAAGTGGTATTTATTCCTTGGAATCGAAGGACACCTATTTACTGTGCATTTCTGGCTACTGAGCACCAGCGAGTCGGCACCTGCAGAGACGGGAGGGAGGAGGTGCCACGTGCAGCATCCTGGTGAGGCTCTGCTCCCAGTGCGAGGCGGCCTGTTTGGGCAGAGCTGGACTCGTTTGCCTGCGCTAGGCAGACGCAGCATGAACCCACAGCGCACAGCCTATGTGGAATCCAGCACTGGCGGTTTGTCCTGCCACTGTCCAGCACGTCCAGCCCCCTTCTGGGCGGGAGGCTTGACACCAGCCCTGACACACAGCAGGCAGGTGAGGTGCCAGCTCCTGCATCCCCCCCACAGAGCCAGGGCTTCCTCCAACCTGGTGCCTCAGCGTCAGGCAAGCAAAGCAAAGGCAGCAGCAGGTGGGAGCCCCATCCCTGGCCAGCGAGCCCCACAAGCTGTGGGGTGGCCTCTCCTGCCTCAGTTATCTGGGAGCAGGGAGTGAGTGTCACAACAGCCTTGCATTGGATTCACGGTGGCAGGTGGCCCAGGGGTGGGCCGGTGTGGGAGGGTTGTCCTGGGCAGACCACACCCAAGGTCATGGGCCTGGCTGCCTGGCCCCTGTGGCCCTGACCATCTCCCGTGCCAAGACTCCCAGCGAAGGGGCAGTGGACCCAGGTCTGCAGCTTCTGAGGGCTGCACAGTTCGTACCCCCAGCCCCACCCTACCTGGACAGGCTGCAGCCCACTGGGTCTCTAGGAGGGGGCGGGCCTGCGATGAGGGTCCAGGGAAGAGCCATCCTTGGGCAGCTGCTCCTGAGGCCCCGGCACTGCCCTCGGTGCCCCCAGCACTCACCCTCTCCACTGCCCAGTCAGCCTGGCAGCCATTGTCTAGGCCTCCAGGCTACAGCCCCCACTTTGAAGCAACTCTGACTCCAAAGTGGCACGCCTTGTCCCTTGTTTAAAACTTGGACTCAGAGGGGTGAGGGTCCCTGCAGGGTGCACCTGGAGACCCTCTGAGTCCAAGTTTTAAACATGAGGCTTCCCAGTCCCCATCCTGGTCTTTGGACAGAGGCAGCAGCAGGTGGGAACCCCATTCCTGGCCATTCAAGCCCCACAAGCTGTGGGGTGGCCTCTCCTGCCTCAGTTATCCGGGAGCAGGAAGTGGGTGTCGCAACAGACATAATCAGGTGTCACAAAGTCCAAGCCCTGTAATTCTGTGAACTTTATTGGTAGGAGGGGCTGTCTCCCGAGCCGCTCGCCCCATCCTTAACCCGGTTTTGGCCCCAAGTATATGGCGCCCCAGCCGAGAACAAGGCCATTCAGGGATTAAGACAGCCAAGCCTCAGTCTCCAGTCGGGTAAAGGGCAAAGGACGGCAAAAGGCCATCCGGAGACCCCAGGGCTGGCCTCATAGGGCAGGGCAGCTGGTGTTGGGGTCACAGCCTGGCACTAGCACCACTTCTGAAAAAAGCTCCCGGGTGGCATGGTCATAGGACTGCCCAATGTCAGTGCTGGGACCACACAAGGACAGGTGTGACCTCGGGGTAGACTTTCCTCCTGATAAGCCCTGGCAGCTGCTCCAGACCCTGCAGGGACAAGCAAAGTCACTTTCCCTGACCTCCTCTTTCCCGGGCCTTCCCAGGGCTCCCAGAGCCACCGTGACCTGTAGGGGCCAGGACAGGAGGAGAGAAAGCTTGGGGCTGGAACAGGACCTAGCCTGCAGGGTAGCAGGTGCAATCCCAGGCTTCAGGGCTGGTTGTGCGGGGCTCTGCCCAGCGAGTGTGGTGGGCCAGGGTGGAGGCCCTGCCTGTGCTCCCTGCAGCCCCAGCAATCCCTCCTTGGACGCTGGCCTTGAGAAGAGCCAGGGAGGCTGCTGTGCTTTCAGCTGCTGGACCCTAGGGGAGCAAAACCCCATGGAAGAGCCTGTACGAGAAGAAGGCCTGAGACAGTTAAGTGACTGCTCTATGGAAGGCCCCAGCAAGGATGCTTCAGCAGGGTCCCATGAGCACCCAAGACCCACTTGCTGACACAGCACGGACACCCCCAGAGGCCATGGCAGAGTCAGCTTCCCTCTTCCCCCTCCACAAAGAGTTGGCCACATTCTGCAAAGTCAGTGGTCAGGGGCCCACTGTGGCCACCAGGAGCCTGCCGTCCGCCCTGTGGTATGTCCTGCAGCTCTCGACACCTCACAACCTCCAGCGGGCCTTGCCCACCCCATGGGAAGGGGCACCAGGATGCCTAAGGCCCCATAGAACTCAGGCCCTTGGCCACATCCAGCCTCTGGGCTCCATCCACTGAGGCGGTTGGCCCGTGCTGACCCACAGGTCATGGAGTCTCAGGCCTCAGGCCCTCAGTCCAGAAGGGGAGATGAGTCCGGCAGCATGTCCAGTGGAAAAGGGCCTCCAATTGGCTAGTTTAAGTGGCATTGACTAAGACCTGGCTAGCACTGGGCCCACAGGTCCCGGTAGGTCATCTGGTTGGGACCCCCACACCCAGCACTCCTATGTCCCACAGAGCTGCTTTTGTCACAGCACACACAGCTGCATTCATGCACAGACAGGTCCTCATGTGTCTGGAGTTTGTTCCTTCCGGTGGGTTCATGGTCTCGCTGACTTCAGGAATGAAGCCACGGACCCTTGCGGTGAGTGTTACAGCTCTTAAAGGTGGTGTGGACCCAAACAGTGAACAGCAGCAAGATTTATTGTGGAGAGGGAAAGAACATAGCTTCCACAGCATGGAAGGGGACCAGAGTAGGTTGCTGCTGCTGGCTGGGGGGTGGCCAGCTTTTGTTCCATTAGTTGTCACCACCCATGTCCTGCTGATTGGTCCATTTTACAGAGTGCTGATTCGAACATTTTACAGTGTGCTGATTGGTCCATTTTACAAACCTCTAGCTAGCTACAGAGTGCTGGTTGGTGCGTTTTTACAGAGCACTGATTGGTGCATTTTACAAACCTCTAGCTAGCTACAGAGTGCTGATTGGTGCATTTTACAATCCTCTTGTAAGACAGAAAAGTTCTTCAAGTCCCTACTCAACCCAGGAAGTCCAGCTGGCTTCGTCTCTCACTCAGAGACCCGGTGAGGAGACGCAGCTGAAGATGCCTGGGCAGGACCCGGGGCCGACCAGGCTTCTCAGAGCTGTCCTCAGCTGCTAATCCCCTCCAGTGGGTCAGGGAGTCCTGAGCAGCACAGGACCTGGAGGAAATACAGTGACAACCCCCTGGCCTGCAAGCAGGTGGCACGAGACAGGCACCCCAACATGGCCAGCAGGCGGGGACACCAGCTTCAGAGGCTTGGCCCCTCCAACCCACACCCCAAGAGCATTGGCCTCCCTGGTGGTCTCCTGGCCCTGTTTGGGTTTTGTGTCTCACCAGGCTCATGTGACACTTGGGACCCACCTCAGAGCCAAGCCAGACAAGGCCCCTGGGGAGCTTCAGGTCCCACAGCCTGACTGGAGGCAGGAAGGAGACCCCTGGGGGGCGTGCAGTGCCTTGAGTCCTACTGAGGGGATGCCTGGTGCGCAAAGGCCTGGCCCCGGCCCCTCAGCGTGTGAGAGCAGGAAGCTGCTGTGTCCTCGATGCCTCCTGTCCTGCTGTCCTCCTATCCCAAGGAATGGGCAGCCGGGCCCGGGGTGCTGTTTGTTCACTCTCGGGGACGAATGTGCCAGGCTCCACCTGTGAACCCACATCTGACCCAGCTCTCTGCTAGGGCAGCGCCTGCCCTCCCTACTCTGCCTGTGTGATTTTAAAGCCTATGAAAATTAAACAGGAAGTGGAAGTGGAAGTGAGACCAGCCCCTCCCACGGCCTCACGGGCAGAGCACTGGGCTGGGGCTTCGCGGCTGCGTTTACTTCCCCAAACCTTCACCTTCCTCCAATGAGCAAGGTTGGCTAAAGGTAATGCGGTCGTAAAATGATTTCCGGATCTTCTGAAATCCCCGACAGGAGCCTGTGGTCTGGAAAGCTGTTGCGCTGGCCTGGACCGTGGGCTTGGAGGATGGATGGGCTCCCACCCACGGTCCCATTTGCCAATTGTTCCTGGCAGTTAGTCACCCCCTGGCTGATGAGGACGTGGTAAACCACACGGGGTTGAGGAGAGGACGGAGCCTCGGCGTGACCTCGGGCCACCTCTGAGCCACTGAGGGATGCAGGGCCAGGCGGGGGTCACCACAGGTGATTTTTCCCAGTGTCTGTCCTGGACCCCTCACCCCAGGCTCCAGGCAACTCAGCCGTGGGCCCTGCCCAGAGCCCCCCAGGCTCCAAGGGCACTATAGCCTTTGTGGGCCAGAGCTGCTGTCCCAGGCGTGTGCTCAGGACCCTCAAAGACCTGGCTTTCCTGTCCTGCCATTGTCCTGGGGACCTCAAATGCCCACAGGGTGATGCCCCAGAACCCTTGCATCCTCCTCCATAGCCCAGCTCCCTCTGGCCTCCGCTGTAGCCTCAACCTCAGGCTCTTGGGTGTGTGGCTCCTGCCTGGGGCCCACTGAGCCCTCAGCTGCACCAGGCCTTGGGTGTCTCCAACTAAGCCCAGCACCAGCTCCGACACTGTTGTCCTATTTCCCCACTTTACCATCCTTGGGACCCCAGCATCCGGCCCTCAGCGGCTTTCCCCACTTTACCATCCTTGGGACCCCAGCATCCAGCCCCTCAGAGCTTTCCCCACTTTACCATTCTTGGGACCCCAGCATCCGGCCCCTCAGCGGCTTTCCCCACTTTACCATTCTTGGGACCCCAGCATCCAGGCCCTCAGCGGCTTTCCCCACTTTACCATTCTTGGGACCCCAGCATCCGGCCCCTCGAGTGGCGGCACCTTGGCTTCTGCTCAGCACTCTGCCAGTTCCCCTCCACGAGGCGGCTTGAGCACACTCACTGGACCCACCTGGCCCTGCAGCCCAGCCCTGGCCCCGGCTGCTGTGGTGCTGAGACCCTCCCCACCCGCCTGCAGCAGGCTCCTCCCCTGGACCTTCCTCCGCAGGTGACCCCAGACACATCAGGGCCCTCAGCTGACACCTTTCCATGTCCTCCGCAGGTCCCTGCACCCCGCACGCCCACCTGCCTCTCGCATGCTGGGGCCTCTGCCTGTCCCTCTGCCCTGATGGCTTTCATGTCACTGCCTAAGCACGTTCAGCGGTCCTCCACCGAGCACTAGAACACCAGACCCTCCCTCCCGCTGTCCCGCGCCTCTGCTTCCTGCTGCCAAAGCTTCCCCGTCGCACCCGAGCCCCTCGCACCTGGCTCTGCCATACGGAGCAGTCCTTGTCCCTGCAGCAGCGTCACCAAAGCCTTCCTCTTGATACAGCTGCTCCTTCTGGGGTCCAGGAGATTTGGCCTGAGGAGCTGGGATGTCACTTGTGGGGTCTGTGGGATACTCTGACCTGAGGTCTCCCAGACCCTCCCTGGGAGGATGACCCAGACCTCAGCTCCGAGGTCGAGGCCTGGTGCAGCTCAGGGCTCAGTGGGCCCCAGGCAGGAGCCACACACCCAAGCCCTGTGCACCCAAGCCTGAGAAGTGCCCTCGGCAGAAGGAAGGGCCCGTGGGGTCAGAGCCGGGCCACCCATGGGGCCTGTGCTCCCAGGGGACACACCGGGGCCACTGAGGGCTGTCAAGACAGGGCCTAGGCATGACCTTGGTGACAGTTTGTTACCTGAAAAAAAAAACAAAAACAAAAACAAAACTTTTCAAGAAAAGCACCTAAGAAGATGAAGTGGGAACGTCATGTGGTGGGCACGCCAGCTTTCAGAGACGCGGTGGGAACGTCAGCCTTTCAGAGATGCGGTGGGAACGTCAGCCTTTCAGAGACACGGTGGGCACCCCAGCTTTTCAGGGGCTTTTCAGGGTCGTCCTTGCCCTGCACGTGGGACCAGGACCGATGTTCACCTGCTGGAAACTTGGGTCTCAGCCAGTGCAGGCCCCTCCCATGCCCCAGAGATGGGAAAAGGGGCTTCTCCCGGACCTTGGGCTCCTTCGTCCTCTGCTCAGGGCTGGGAGCTGAGGTCGGTGCCTCAGATGCCCCACCTGCCCCTTCCACCTGAGAGCTTCAAACAGAGTGGACAGCACCGACTCCCACAGCACAGCCAGAGTCCTAGGAAGGCACCGCGGTTGTGCCATTTTCTCCCTGCCTCACTGAGGGCCTGTGCTTGAGCTTCTCACCAGCAGCCCCGTCCCTTGCCTGCAGCTGAGGGTGATGCTCCCTCCCGGGGTCAGCCTAGGGCCCCGGCCCCTCCCCAGCCCCACCCCAGTGTCATCCTCAAGAGGCTCCACCTGCTTACCACGCCCATCTCCCCCATGCCCCGCCCCAGGCCCTCTCCAGGCCCCGCCCCCTCAAAGCCTCTGCCTCAGGCCCTGTGATGGGCAGGGGGCATCTGTGAGGAGCAGGGGAAGGTGGAGGGGCCCAGAGGCGAAAGGGTCTCACCAGGGCACCTGCTTCCCACAGAGCTGTGTCTGTGCAGACATCAGAGGGCTGCAGGCCCTGAGCTCATCCCAGACCCTCAGGTCTTACCAGGCAGCCCAGGGTTGGGGACAAGAGCACTGTCACCTTCCCCCCCAGGTGGCCCCAACCAGCCCCAGGCATGAGAGCCCCTTCCTTGACCTGTCCGGGGCACCCCACGTGACCTGCCCCTGGGGGAAGGGCGGCACCCCATCCTCAGTGACCTGGAGGTCGGAGGGCAGCTGCCTCGCCCCAGCCCAAGGCGCACAGAGCCCCCCAGGCCAGCGCAGCCCTGTGGCCCCAGGCAAGCCCTGCAAGATGGATGAGAAGCCTCGCCCTTGCCAGCCCCCTCCCCAACCCCAGGCCAGAAGAGATGGCAAGGAGGGCGGTGGGCACAGCAGCCCCTCCAGAGGAGCCAGGACCCAACCCAGGAGGCGGGCAGCCCACTTGATGGGGAGGGAGGCAGAGGGGGTGGAGGAGGGGACCAAACCCTTCCTGGTCCCTCAACACCCCCCTGCTGCACCAAGAGGTTGTGCAAAAGAGCCGGCATGTCCTGCAGAGCCTGCGGGTCACGTGTGTTAACAGGAGCGGGATGCTTCCCTCCCGGCTGTGTCTGTCCAAGGCCGAGCATGGTCCAAGCCCCTGTGAGGCCCCGCAATGCATATCAGGACCCCTCAGCTGCACACATTGTTGCTTTTATTATTATTATTGGAGATGAAATCATAGCACATCTGGGATGGCTTCAAAGTCGTCCTGGAGAGAAGGACGGGGCAGCAGGCCAGGAGGGAGACGGGCATTAGGACAGAAGGTGCCTGAAGTGGGTGCAGCCGGGAGCCTTCTTGGAGGAGGTGGCTCCGAGCTGAGATCCCTGAGTCAGGAAGGACCCAAAGCCTGAGAGACCATGCCCAGAAAGTCAGGAGAAACAAGGCTGCCCCGCTCCAGGGCGAAGGGCTGGGAAGGAGGCAGAGGGCGAGAGCCACAGGCCCAAAATCCAGAGAGGCCATCCCAGCTCCAGCCCTGCCATGAGGCAGCACAGAGGCCTCGGTGACCCTGGCGGAGCTGTGTCTTGGGGACAGATCAGTGAGAAGATGGGAGGCGTGGGCATCCAGGCTGGACCTCTCTGGATGGAGGGAGTAGGGGCGGGCTACACAGGAGAGGAGCCGGGGACACAGGGGAGGGGCACAGAGCTGAGGCTGAGGCAGGGCCGTGGAGATGGGAGGGGAGGCCAGGGCTTGGCGTGGAGATCGCGAGCTGATTCAGGGGAAGGGAGTGCCCCCGTGCTCTCAGGGTGGGTGCTGAGGGGGCATCCGGGCAGCTCCCCAGAGCGGGTGAGGGGCCCAGAGGGGGAGCCTGGCCCGCCAGGGAGGCAGGGGGTCTGCAGAGGCAGCTGCCGACACAACTGGGACAGCCCTCTTGAATGGAAGCCTCTGGGTGGCTGTTGGCAGTGCGTGGCACACAACACAATGAATGTCTACATAAACATTAATTAGCACCAGTTAATGAATAATTACACACCCCACGGTGTCGCCCAGTGCGGAGCTGTCGCTTGATAAAGATTGAATGAGAAGGACAGCAAAGCACTGATTGATAAGAGCCTTCCCTTTTGTGATCGATGCCAAGGTCACGGGTGGGGAGGGGCTGGGGGGCACAGCAGACACACCTCGGCCGCACACCCAGGACCCGCTGCAGGGAGCCCCGGTGCCCTGGCCCCGGTGCAGCCCTGATGCCTGCACCCACCCCATTTGAGGAGGAGCTTTGGGACCGGGCTTTGGCTGCCGCCTCAGTGACAGCTCTGCCGGGGGTCACGTTACTGTCGCCGTTTTCTATTGATGTTTGGCGCAGAGTCCAGCTGTGGGGGGCTCATGCGCACAGCAACCTCAGGGCCAGCACCCCCGACATGGCAGCTTTTCTTTCTTGGCTCACAGACAGCACCGGGAGGCAAGGTCAGGGGGCCAGGGACAGGCAAAGTAAGGCAGTTCCCAGGCGTGGGCAGCTCCCTTCCTACAGGCTGGTTACTACAGCCAGAGAGGGTGGAGGCATCATCACTGGGCTCACCTCCCAGCCCATCTGAGAGGCCAGATGCGGCCGTCCACGTGTGGCCAGCAGGTAGGTAGGGGCACCAGGGGTGCGAGTCTGCCTTCCAGGGTGCAGAGGATTTCATTTCCGGAGAAGCTGCCAGCCGGAGAGCTCCTCTTCCCAGCCCGGCCCTCTGGCCTCTGGTCCCCGATCCATGCAACGACTTCTCCAAAGCCAGGAGTCCTGAGCTGCAGTTGCCGAGGCAGCAGACAGAGCCCCGAGGCCAGCTCTTCTGTGCACAGCCCCTCCCAGGCGAGCTGACGCAGGAAGAAGAGGGAAAGCTTTGTGTGGGCATAGCGCTTGTCCCAGCGAGCCCACGGGACAGGTGCCAGGCTCCCGGCCGAGGTCCCTGCTCTAGAGCTGCAGACACACAGAGCTGGTGTCCCTTCCGAGGACACACACATGCACACACACGCACACATGCCACCACGCTTTATTTCAATCACCTGGTCCCACCGAGGACACCTCGTCGTGCGTGTAGTTGGGACTCCTCGCCTGTTGCCTGTGTCTCCTGAGCTCCAGGCTGGCTGGGAGACGCATGTGGGGCTGGGCTTAGGAGGCACAAGTGCAGGCCAGATGCTGGTCCTGTGCCGGCTGCTTCCTTGACTCTCTCTGGCTGACTGCTGCCAGGCCTGTGCTAGCAGGGTCTTGGGAAGACCCTGGAGCGAACACCCAAGCACCCGTGCCCCTCCTGCCAGCCCAAACCGTGCCATCACACACAGACACAAGCTGGGGCAGGTGTGGCATGAAGGAAATGGCAACTGTGCTCCTCCGCAAATGTTCCAACAGTCCCCTGGCCAGCCTGGTGCCACAGCCAAGTCAGGGACGCCATCTCCCAGAGGCGCGGTTACTCCCTTGAGCCGTCGGTGCTTGGCGACGTTTTCCCTGAGGGAGCCCTGGGCGGCTGAGGCGGCATCGTCAGGCAGGCACAGGTGATGGGACAGAGCTGAGCATCCCCAGCCGCTGTCCTCTGTGCATCTCCTGAAACCCCCAAGATGGCTGCCCAAGGCCAGTGGGGTTCCGGGGTCCCCCATCCCGACAGCCGCCTGCCCACCTGGCCATCCAGGTGCCCTTTCAGCCCTGCTTCTGCCGTCGGTGACTCCAGGCTTTGGAGGAGAATCTGGGGGCTTCCCTGTGAAGGGGGTGAGACCCGCAGGAGCGGCACGCCAAGAACGTGGCTGATGATGCGCTGGCCACTAGCGGAACGCCTGCGACCCGGGGCCGTGGGTCAATCAGTGAACTGATGGAACGTCAGCATCCGTGACCTTCTTCTCCTCTCAAATCACCAGCCTTCCACGGGCCCACCAACCAACCCTGAGCTCGTGGGCTAGGTGGATTCCTTCTGGCTCAGCTCTGTGTTGACCTCACGCCTTATTCTCCTCTCAAATCACCAGCCTCCCACTGGCCCACCAACCAACCCTGAGCTCGTGGGCTGAGTGGATTCCTTCTGGCTCAGCTCTGTGTTGACCTCACGCCTGGGCAGTGGCTCAACTGTGACCATCACGACTTCCATCCACGCAGAGCCGCCTTCTCCTGTGCAGGGCAGCTGTGCCCACACTCACTGGCCCTGGGCCAGGGACCTCCCCGGCAGCAGTGGGCTGGCATGGTGTGACCCCCACCTGACAGATGAGAACGCTGGGCACAGAGAGGCCAAGTGACTCCCTAGAGGCAGCACAGCCAACCAGTGTGGGAACGGGATTCCCCCAGGCCCTCGGGCCAATGCAGACACGGCTGCCACTCGGTGAGAACGTCCACAGCGAGGCCAGCAGAGTGGGGCCTGGCAGGGAGCGGGGCCTGGCTCTGTGACTGCGTGACCCATGGCCGGCCACTGAAGCCTTCCGCTTCCTTGTTTTAAAATGGGATTAGGAGTGGAGGTGAATGCCAGGCTGGCCGCACCAGGTTCCCACAGGTATCAGATGAAACCCGGGTAGGGACCCGCAAGGGGCCAGCAGCCGTGAGCTGTTGTTATTTTTCTGAGTGTATAATACTCAGTCTCTAAATAGGGAAGTTAGAGACTGAGCAATGAGTGTATTCACGGTAGACAGGCATGGGGGACAGTCCATGGGCCTTGGTCTGGGAGCCCAGTGGTGGCCAGCACGGCTGGAGAACGGTGGGCAGCGCCGGACCCCACCTGCCTTCTCAGCGGCTTTCTGTAGACGCGAGGCCGTGCTAGGGAAGGTGTCTCAGCCCCGCGGTGGGGTGGGCAGTGCCCTGCAGATGCCGTTGAGCGGGCTTTCATCGGGGAGGTGAGCCGGCCGGAGCAAAGCATCGCCCACCTGTGCAGCGTCAGACTCACAGAATCGCTAACACACAACGCTCAGGGAGAAAAGCCAGAGTCACAGAATCGCTAATGCACAACGCTCAGGGAGAAAAGCCAGACTCATAGAATCACTAAGTCACAATGCTCAGGGAGAAAGGCAGAGTCACAGAATCACTAACACACAACGCTCAGGGAGAAAGTCAGACTCACAGAATCACTAACACACAACGCTCAGGGAGAAAGTCAGACTCACCGAATCACCAACACACAACGCTCAGGGAGAAAAGCCAGAGTCACAGAATCGCTAATGCACAACGCTCAGGGAGAAAAGCCAGACTCATAGAATCACTAAGTCACAATGCTCAGGGAGAAAGGCAGAGTCACAGAATCACTAACACACAACGCTCAGGGAGAAAGTCAGACTCACAGAATCACTAACACACAACGCTCAGGGAGAAAGTCAGACTCACCGAATCACCAACACACAACGCTCAGGGAGAAAGTCAGAGTCACAGAATCACTGACACACAACGCTCAGGGAGAAAGGCCAGACTCACAGAATCACTAACGCACAACGCTCAGGGAGAAAGAGTCACAGAATCACTAACACACAACGTTCAGGGAGAAAGTCAGACTCACCGAATCACTAACACACAACGCTCAGGGAGAAAGGCAGAGTCACAGAATCACTAACACACAACGTTCAGGGAGAAAGGCCAGACTCACAGAATCACTAACGCACAACGCTCAGGGAGAAAGGCAGAGTCACAGAATCACTAATACACAACGGACAGGGAGAAAAGCCAGACTCACAGAATCACTAACGCACAACGCTCAGGGAGAAAGGCAGAGTCACAGAATCACTAACACACAACACTCAGGGAGAAAGGCCCGGCTAGGAAGTGGCGAGCCAGCAGGTGGTCGGCTTGTTAGGGCTGTGACAGAGTCCACTTTGTCTCTGCCGAGGGCTTACTCTGCTGCAGGGAGCTGGGGGCCCTGTGCACACATCCAAGGAAAACACCCTTGTTGTCACAGCCGAAACAACAGACGCATGAGAGATTGATTTTTGAAAATATTATTCCCGAAATCTAAACATCCAGGGGGCATTTCCTGGCAAGCAAAGGCTGTTTGGGCCTCTGCATCTGCGGCTCTGGCGTCTGCCTGGGGCTTGGCTGAAGCCCTGTCAAGGAAGCACTTCTGAACCACGAGGAAAAATGTCCTGATTTGCATATTGTCTTCCACCCAAAGCTGTCGCCTGCGTCCCTGGCTCGCCCTGCCCAGGTGGGCTGCGGGTGGGGAGTGGCCACCCAACGGTGACTCAGAGCACTCCAGCATCCTGACTCTTGCTCCGTATTACATCCCATGAACCTGGTGGCTTCCTTTTCTGGGAGGAAGTTAGGGTTCACGTCCATCACAAGACAAGTCTCCCTCACAGCCCGATTGACCCCAGGACAGCCTGTGCCTGGGGGAGCACGTTGGGGGGCTATGGGCCCCATCCTACAAGGTCTCTGTGGGGTGGGCGGGGGGTAGCACATGAAGGGGCTGCGGGCTCGGTCCTGCAAGGTCTTGGTGGGGTGGGCGGGGTGGGGCCCCAGCGATGGCATCCGGGACGGTGCAGTCTGGGAGGGGCAGCGGGACCTCGGAAGGGGGCCTTGGCCGCAGGTGCCCCCGGAGCACATTTCAGGCCCCACAGTCCACACCTCTCACACAAGCCCCCCAAGCACGGCGAGCGGGCAGCACGGGGCTCTGTGTGCACACGGCAGACTGAGCACTGCTGGGCGCTGCCAGGGTCACGTTGCCCACAGGGGAGCACAGACACCCACGGGACCGAGCGCCGGCTGCAGGGCGCGTGCCAGCGGCCCGCAATGATGTCCGACTGCAAAGGGACAGGAGGCCTCAGGCTCACTGGCCTCTGGGTTCCCCACAACGACCCCCAACGGGGAGGCCTCTAGGTTCTCAACTGGGAGGAGGGGTCCTGCCCCTGGGGAGGCGGGGGCAAGGGTGAGGTGAGGGTCCCAGAAGGCAGGGGCCGGGGGCAGGAGGCGGCTGAAACCAGCGCTCTGCTGGGGTCCAGCCTGGTGGTCCCAGCTGTCCACACGGCCTTGCTGGTGGCTGGTTCAGGGCCCTCCCACAGGGAGATGTGGCTTGAAGACAAGGGCCCCGCCCCACTGCACATCTCCCAAGCCATCCTCAGGGCCCAGCTTACTACCATCTGTGGCCTCCGCACACCTAAAATCCAACACACACCCCAAGAAGACAGGGGCCCTGCCAGGGCTGGAGCCAGGGACAGCTGGGGGCCGGAAGTGAGCATGTGGGGTCCTGCTAGGTCCCAGGGGGATGCGGAGGGGGCTGCACCACCCACAGCACTGCTGAGGAATGCCATTCCCTCAGCTCCGCGTCCACCCCGGGTCCCCCTTCCTATGGGGGTGCTGACCTGAGTCCTCACTTCCGCTCTGGGTTTTCTCGCAGGAGTCTGGACAAGCAGCTGGACTCGGGCAGGTTGGGTCAACTCAGGATGTCCTCGTGCGTGAGCTACAGGGTCACAGGCCAGGGTCAGAGGCCAGGCCTGAAGGGGACACCTGGCCCCGCTCGGACAGGGAGGAGAGCACTGGTCCCCAGCAGTGTCCCAGCAGCCAGCCTCCCTCCAGGTGCCGTCTCAGGCCTGCCCTGTCTGCGCCCAAGTGCCTCTGCAGGGCCCCAGGGCTGGGAGGTCACAGAGCAGTGGCCAGGACAGGCTGGATGGGGCCGTGGTCCACCGGGCTGGGAGACGAATCCTGGATGGGGCCGTGGTGCACCGGGCTGGGAGACAAATCCTGCCCGGGCTCTGGCAAGTCACCCCCTACCCTGTGCTGAGCCAGCCCCGCCTGCAGGAGGTTGAGGTTTGTGCTGGGGTCGGCACAGGTGGGGTGAGTTCCCAAGCGGCTCCGTGAACAACTGCTCTTCCCGATTGCTGGCACTCGCGGAAGGGTTAGGTCAGAGACAGGGAAGGCCGCGGCTCAGCGTCAGGTGCAGACACTCCGTGAAGTCGGGAGTGATGAGGTGACGACGGCCCTGCACCTCCCTGTGGACCTGCCGGTGGGGTCCAGGGACTGTGAAGGAAGAGACTTCGGGACAGGAGGGAGCCGGGGGGGACCCCGAGTGCCAGGCCCTTGACTCTGAGCTCAGGGACACGGAGTCCTGCCCCAGCAGCTGTTCTGTGCCGACTGGGTCTGGCATGAGCGGTGTCCAGATCTGAAAGGCTAATGTGTGCAAATGAGCGCTGCGCTCTGCCTAGGAATTCCGCTTCCCCACCGGCTGCAGGCGTTCCTCTCTGTGGGAACTTTCCACTCTCAGCAGCAGTGCACCTGGGCATCCAGCACTGTCTCCAGGTTTAGGCAATGCCTCTTCCTTCTAGGCGGACAGAGCCAGGAGGGGGCTTGGGCCTGGCGACCCTGAGGAGGTCAGAACCCCCTGGCCACAAGATCACCAACCCCAGGGCCCTGGGTCCACTGTTTGTGCGTTGGTGAAGGGGTGACCACAGGGGTCTTGGTGCTGAGACTCGGGTCAGAGATTCTGCCTGTGAACGACCTTGGCCCCCGCCCAGCAGTGTGAACAGAACCCTGAGCGAGGCCACGCAGCCTCCCCAGGCAGGGAGAGCTCCACACAGGCCGAGACGGCTGTGACAAACCAGCCCTTCCCCCACCCGATGGCTCTGGGCCTCCAGGGTGACCGGGGCCAATTCTGGCTGCTCCGAGCCCTGCCAGTCTAGGCGGCTCCACGTTCAAAGCAAAACAGGTGGAGGTTCCACAGACGTGAGAGGAGCTGAGTGCCCCGCACATCCGGAGGCAGCAACCGGCCCTCCTCCTGCCGCCACAGGTGCCCACCTCTCAGGCTCTTTGAGGCTGCGTCAGGAGGGGGCCAGGCTGTGATCCAACCCAGCTGAAGGCATGGGCCTGCCCCTGCAGTGGGTCCCCAGCACCACTGGGCTCTGCTTCACCCCTGGGCTCAGCGTGGCCCCCAATTCCCCAAATGTCTGGAGGGACAGCAAGCCCAGCCTTTGCTCACACTCAAGAATGTGGCTATAACGGCAAATGCATGAGAACATGAATGACCAGTTTTCAGAGCACACCAGTAGGAGTTCTGAACTTATTCCCATGAACAAAGCTGCTGTTCTTTGGAGAAATCTCTTGGATTCTTTTGAGAAGAAATGCTGTCGGCAGTGAGTGCGCCAACAGAGCTGTGTTCGCCCCCACGGATGGGGGCAAATTCGCCAACCCCCGAGCCCTTTGCTCAGCCCATGAATGGGGGCCTCCGGGAGCACGATGCACTTTGAGCTGTGCCAGGAGGGGCCCTGGCTCTGAACTCGAGAGCCTCCCTAAGTCCCCGAGCGTCAGCTCAGACAAAGCCCAGCACGGCAGCCCGTTGTCACGGCTTTCAGGCCGTGTTTGCTCTGAGCCTGGCCTGATACCACTGAACTCCAGGCAAGGCGGGGCTCCCGGCCAGCTGAGATGGCGGCTGTTTTCAGGCCGAAGGGGACCTGGCCCCCAGTCCGGCAGCCTGAGCCATTCCACAGCTCCAGAGGCTTCTCGTCAGACTGCCCTGTGAGCTGAGTGTCCTCTCCATCCAGGAGGTCTGAGGTGCAAGGGCTGGGCGGTCACCGCCTGACACAGGTCACTCAGGTCACTCTGACAGTTTCAGGGACGCACTGAGGTACATGGCATGGGAAAGGCCCTGGTCCAGCTCAGAGCCACTCACAGCGTGTGCCAAAGCCACGTGGGGAAACTGAGGCCCTGGTCCAGCTCAGAGCTGCTCACAACATGTGCCCCAATCACATAGGGGAAACTGAGGCCCTGGTCGAGCTCAGAGCTGCTCACAACATGTGCCCCAACCACATAGGGGAAACTGAGGCCCTGGTCCAGCTCAGAGCTGCTCACAACATGTGCCCCAATCACATAGGGGAAACTGAGGCCCTGGTCCAGCTCAGAGCTGCTCACAACATGTGCCCCAACCACATAGGGGAAACTGAGGCCCTGGTCAAGCTCAGAGCTGCTCACAACATGTGCCCCAACCACATAGGGGAAACTGAGACCCTGGTCCAGCTCAGAGCCTTTCACAGCGTGCATCACCACAGCCGAATGGGGAAAGTGAGGCCCGTCGATGTCCAGGAGACCTTGCCCAAGCCTGGTGAGGACCTGGGCCTAGCCAGCTCCAGAGTTTTCTTCTTCTCCCCACGGCAGGCATCTGACCAGAAATACCAGGGATCTCCCGGCCTGTCTGAGTCAAAGCCGAAGCTGCAGGATGGGGCAGAGTGGAGAGCTGAGCGCTCCTGGGGAGGGACAGATCTGGGATCCAGCGTGAGCTAAGATTGACTGAACAGCTGCCTGAGAGAGCAATTCCGTCCATCTCCAGCTGTTTCTATGGAGGCAGAGTGGAAGGGCTGTGGGGCAGGCACAGAGGTGACCCCAGCCAGAGCCACCCCCACTGGCAGGTGGGAATGCCCGCCGGTGAATAGCGGCAAGTGTGATGGTGCCTGCCCACTGCACACCTGGTGCACACACGTGTCAACCACCTAGAGCGTGCCCAGCCCTGTAGCCAAGGGACTCACCACCCTTGCTCTGCGGGGGGTGCTCCAAGGCACAGTAAGACTGGTCCATGCCAAGTGAGGGCAGTGCCGGCTCGGCCAGCCACCTGCTCCAGGTCTCAGCTCCCGCAGCTCCACCTGACTTCCCGGTGTTTCTAGGGGTCTGAGGCCCCACACCAGCACCAGCCTCCAGCTAGTGGCGAGGGCTGTCGCTGTGTCTCCAGGCAGTGAACGAGCCTCTGGAGGGTCCCTGGAGGGGAGGAGAGGGAGGACAAGAGCGCATCTCGTGGAGGAGGGGCAAACACACCCTGGGGGTAGATGCAAGGCTGAGCCAGGCAGGCCAGGCAGTGTCTGCTGGGGACACACGCCGGAGCCCCTGGGGGGCCAGGGCCTCAAAGGAAGCCGGAGGAGGAGACCTGGATGATTACTCAAGTGTGAGAGACTCAAGGACACCCGCTGCAGCCAAATTCTGTGTGAACAATGATTTGGAACGCGGCCGCGCAGAGGTGAGCCGGCCTGGGTGGTGGAATGTGGCATCCAGTCCGGCCGCATCTCTCCTTCCTGGCGACTCCACGCTCACAAATTGCCTGCGCATCTCCTCTGACATTCGTCCCCCTCGAGGGTCTGCTTCCCGTGTGCTGCCTGCATTCAGAGGGTACGTCTGTGCCTCATGCAGAAACTAACACCGCTCAAGCAAACATTTGCTGAAGGGACGCAAATTATAAAGACGCCATGGGGAAATGAACCGAGTCCAGGAGGCAGAAGAAAACACATCCAAGGACCCAGAGCAGAGTGAGCTCGTTTTCCTCTGAGCAGGTCTGAAGCCGTGACGGGGCGCACAGGCCGCATCCCTGAGCATGGCGGGCACGGGGGCGATGAGAGGGAGAAACCTTGCTGCCCACACAGGTGGAGAGGCTCAGCTGCAGCGTGAGGATCCTGGGGGGCTGCCGTCAGCCGTCTGCATGTTATTAACTAAGAAAAGGTCTTGGAAGATAAAGATTTTCAGACCCAACTGGAACAAACCAGCACACCTAGAGCTCTGCGTCCCTGCATCCTACGAGTCCCGTTGAGTCTGAGCAGAGCACAGAACACAGAACTGCGTCAATGACTGAGGCAGATTCACCCACACAGACCAGGTTCCTCCTACAAAGCGCCTTTTGCCAAACATAAGAGGACTGAGGTCCAGGTTCCTCCCGCAAAGCGCCTTTCGCCAAACATAAGAGGACTGAGGTCCAGGTTCCTCCCGCAAAGCGCCTTTCGCCAAACATAAGAGGACTGAGGTCACACAGCCTGTGTTCTCTGGGCTGAGTGGAATTACAGTAGATTCAGTAAGAGAAAGATAAGAGGAGAATCTCCAAATGTTTAGAAATTAAGCAATTGTGGATTAAGCAACACACTTCTAAATAACCCATATGTCAAAGGAGCCACAGTAGAAATCAGAAAATGTCTTGAGCTGAATGAGGAACACACAGCATATAAAAGCGTCCAGGATACAATGTCTTGAGCTGAATGAGGAACACACAGCATATGAAAAAGCCTCCAGGATATGCAAAACTAGCCACCAAAGGGAAATCCACAGCTTATTGAAAAAGTTCCACATTTAAAAAGGGGAAATGCTGAAACCAATGACCTATGCTTTCAGCTCAAGAAACTAGAAAAAGGACATCAAAATAAAGGCAAAGCAGAAGGAAGGAAATCATAGTAAAATGTATGAAAGAGAAGACAGATATAAATCAGAGAAAATCAACAAGACCAAAATCTGGTTCTGTGAGAAGATGAATAAAGTTGATAAACCTCCCAGCAATGTTGATCATTAAAAAAGAGAAAACAAAAATCATCGCCAGGAGGTACAAAAGGGAGACATCACTGCAGAGTCTTATGGACACAGGGGAGATTACAATCACATTATGTGCTTTACATCAATAAACATGAATTTTTGATGCAATGAACACATTTCTTGAAAAGTACAATTTATCAGAATTAAGACAAAAAGTCAAAAAATATGATTTATCAAAATGGACACAAAAAGAAAAGTCCAAACAGCCTAATATTTATTAATTAAATCCATCATTTAAAACCTTTCCACAAAGAAAGCTCCATGTCCATTTGGTTTCACTGTTGAATTATCCTATAAATTTCCGCCACACCCCTTGCTAGATTTTTTTTTCCTAGGTATTTCATATTTTTGATGCTGCATGAATAGTACTGTTAAATTAGCTTTCATTTTCTAAAAAGTGTGTTGTTCGTGCATAGAAACCCAGTTCACGGTGGCTTGTTGGCTTTGTAGCCAGCAGCCTTGCTGAGCTAACTCTTGCCGGTTCTGAGAGTGTGCGAGGAAGACCTCTGTGCTGCCTACAGGCGGGAGCTGTCTTGCATCCTGAAGATGGGGCTGAGGGTGGGGGCCGGTGGCCGAGGTTCCTGCCTCAGAGGAGCCTTCCTGAGTGCCAGCACCTGCTCCAAAGATGAGGCTGAGGGTGGGGGCAGGTGGCAAACGTTCCTGCTTCAGAGGAGGCTTCCTGAGTGCCAGCACCTGCTCCTGCCGGCCTTACAGATGCTACCTATCAGCTTAAAGGAATCTGCTTCTATTCTACGTTTCCCAAGGGTTTCCCCTCCCGAAATGCGGGGGCCACAGGCGAGCGCCACCACTCGGCTACTGTTTTTTATTATGTTTTTTAGAGACAGGGTCTCACTATGTGGCCCAGGCTGGTCTCGAGCTCCCAGCCTCAAGTGATCCTTCTGCCTGGGCCTCCCAGAGCGCTGGGCTGGTCTCTGCACACGGTTGGATTCGGTTTTAGTGCTTCCAGTTGTGTTGGGCAACGGGGTGGGCGGGTTTGCCCGGGGCGGCGCGGTCCCTCCGGGTCTGTTGGTGCCCGGATCCCGGAGCCCCGGGCGGGGGGAGGCCACTGGCTTCGCGCGTGACCGCCAGGTCCGCAGCGCCTTTCGTGGCCGGAGACGGGGCGAGGCGACCGGAGGTCTCGGCCCAGGGGCGCGGGGGAGCGGGGCGCGGGGCGGGGCGGCGGCCGGGAGAGGGGCGTCCACGGGGGAGGTCGCCTGTCCGCGGACCGCTAAGACACCGCAGCAGAGGCGTCCGGGGCGGGCGGGGCGGGCGGGGCGGGAGGGACAGGAGCGAGAGGGTTCGTGCGCTCAGCGGGACGGAAGCGGTTGCGGATGCACATGCGGATGCGGAGAGAGGCCCATGGCGAGTTCGGCGGCGTGGCCGGCCGGGCTGTCCCCGAGGGCGGAAGGGAGGACGCGCGACCCCGACGGGCACTGACGGGCCGGCCGGGGACGGTGCTGGGAGGGCCTGCCGGGCCTTGCCAGGTCCCCCGCGCCATTGCCCTGGGGTGGACTGCGGGGCACAGAGACTCTCCTGCGGCGCCGTCCCCAGCCCTTCGCCCCTCCCGGCGCAGCCCCCGGCCCCTGAGCTCCCCACCCAACCCCGGGGCCCCTGAGCTCCCCACCCAACCCCGGGGCCCCTGAACTCCCCACCCAACCCACGGGGGGAGCTGCCGCTTCAGACACAGGCCCTGAGCTACCCCCGCAGGGGTGTCACAGTGGGGGGGTCTGACTCCAACCCGGGCTGGTGCCCTCAGGGAGCCAGGAAAGGTGAGTCTCCGCGGGTGAGGAGACCCCAGGCCCAACACGGACAGGACGGACCAGAGCGCGGGCCTCAAGTCCTGCAGGCCCTCCAGCTCCAGGCTGGTCAAGAGTCTGTCCATCTCTGAAGAAGAGGAAAGGTCCCACCTGAGGCCTCAGAGGCCACCCGGGAAGGGAAGGGCTGAGCTCTAATCTGCTTTTGAGAAAGACATTTGTATCCCCCGGATCCAACAACCAATAAGAGTGGCATTGACGGGAGGTGGCATGACGGGGGGGCGCGGTGGTCTCTTTCCTGGAAGGGCATCTCCCAGAGGGGCCTCTTGCCTGAAGCTGAGATGTGCCTGGCACACAGCAGGTGTGGACCAAGGGAAGGCCAGCAGGTGTGGCTCCCAGTGGAATAAAACCTTCCTTAAGAAGACCTGGCCCCTGACAACTTTGGGTTGAAAAATAAACTTAGAGTGGGCAGTGATGCCTGTCTCCTGCCTGGCTTCAAGCATTGGAAGTTACTTAAAAACTTAACTTTCTTCTCTTAAATATTGTTAACAACAGTATGAATGGATGCGCCTCTTCATCCACAAGACACTTTCACAAGCCGTATGTGGAATTCATGACAGGAAATTAATGTGACAGACTAGGTGTTTTCAGTTTTATTTTCTTAATCCTGAAGTTCAGATGCTGTGGCAGCTGGGTATAAGATTACAGTTGTTTTCCGACTGGCTTTTGCATTATTTCCACATTTTTGAATGTTTTACAGCCACGCCCCTTCCCCATACGTGCAGGGGGTCCCTGGACCACAAGGGGTCCAGGCCACGGTGGAAGGATCCAGAATGCTATGCGTGCCTGCCTGAGGCAGGAAGTGGTCGGGCAGTTATCAGATCGTCACCACCCACAGGACAGGAATGTTCTCAGGATACTTCCCAAGACCCCCTCACACACACACACAAGTCTCTGGGTCTTTTTGGCCATGAGGATGTGCAGGTTGTGCACTGTACAATTCCAAGGGGCACGGTTCATACAGTCTGCCTGATATGGATGGTGGCCCCTGCAGTGGTGGGGTGCCACGGCCCTGCCTAAAACCACGACCCAGTTAGAGGGAGGGTTTTGTGGCTCCAGTCCGAGGGTAGGGGAGTGGGTGTGCACACCCTGTATAATCCCCTAGACTGGCTTCTGCATGAGGCTGGCATCCTCAAGGCCATGCCCATCACAGGCTGGGGCAGCGCCCGTCTGCCCCGAGCCCTCCAGCAACCTTGGAGTGCAGACGCATTTCATCCTCCAAATGCTCACAGATTGAGATGCTGCCAAACAGCCACACTTCTCACCTGTGCAGGGACTCGTGGGCAGTGGGGTGTGCCCTGGCAGGACTCGTGGGCAGTGGGGTGTGCCTTGTTCTGGCCACGCCACTTCAGGGGCTCATTGCCTTTCTATTCTCCATGAGGCAGCCCTTCCTGCTGTGGGGGGCAGTGGAGGTGTGGGCAGCACACTACCTGATGGCCAGCGCCTGGCACTGGTGTCTGTTCTGGATTTGTCCTTCCAGGCAGTGACACTGCTCTTCTGCCCTTTGAACAGCTTTGTGGAGAAAGGTTGTCGGCTCTTAGGACAGGCTGGTTGGGGGGTGGGGTGGCCGGAGGTCCAGTGGGCATCATGGAACACACTGGTCTGGTGGAAATTTGGCCTTCCTGTGGAATGCAAGGGCAACATCTTCAGAGAGGACGTCGTTCCTAACGGCTCCACCCAGGAACCATAAGGAAAGAGCAGGGAAGCTCCGGACTGGAGGGAATCCTGTTCTTGTCCTGCTGGCTTTTTCTCTGGGACAAGAGGCTGGGAGTGGAGTGGGGGACAGAGACAGGTGGGGCAGGGACACAGGCCAAGAGCGACTCCGATGCTCCCACCTCGCAAGACCATACTAGTGGCCAGTCACACACTTCCACTCCCCCGGTGCCCTGTCCAGACCCTGCAGTGGCCCAGGCCAGGGCTGCCCTCCCTCCACGCCACTCAGCAGCCGAGTCACCAGGCGAGCACCATCTGAATGCACCTTCCCTGTGCTACACGGGCCACTTCCATTAGCATGAAACTGGGGCCCTTGCAGGGTGAAGTCATTGAACTCAGCACTGTCCTCCTCAGGCCTCCGCAGCCCCCACTCAGATGTCAGAAGACACATCCATCCTCCATCTGCACCCACCCCACCGCCCACCTGCCCTTTGTCCACCTATCTGTCCTTCCATCCATCTATCATCCATCCGCTCAGCCACTATCTTGCGAGTGCTATTGTGTGCCCAGCTATCTTCCAAGCTCCTGGGATGTATGCATGAGCCCCTTGCTCGTGGAGCAGACATTCCCAGGGTGAGGGCAGACAGCTCAAGGTCAAAGCCAGCAGCCCCCAGGGCTGGGAGGTGAGCTGATTCCCGGAGCCAACCGAGTAAGCAGGGGAGGCGGGAGCTTAGCTGCCACAGTTGTGAGCTGAGTGGGTATCGGGTGGGACCAGAAGGTGGCATTGGAGCCAAGCCCCTGGGGAGCTGAGGAAGGGAGCACACAAGAGCCGTCCAAACAGAGGGAGCAGGGCGTGCAAAGGCCCCGAGAGGCGCCGATTGCTGGTGTGGGCCGTGGAGTGCATGGGGGTGGGGGTCAGGCAGTGGCTGGGGTCTGAGCTCCCGGGAGACGTTGAGCCTTTCCTCTGAGAGGGAGGGTCCCAATAGGAGGGACTGAAGGGGCAGGTAGAGGGCCGAGCAGGAGCCTTTGCAGGTGGCTGCAGGCTCCCAGAAGCCGCTGGTTTTGTGCACATTTTGAAAGTAGAGCAGATATGCTAAGAGCTTGGAAACCTTGTGAGCGAAAGAAGTCCACCTGCGTCCCAGGTCTGGGGCTGGAAGGCTGCAGGGTGGGCTTGGAGGAAAACAGGGGTGTGGTTTGCACAGTGGAGCCTGAGATGCTTAAGAGAGCCAGTGCTGCCGGAGCGGGCTGTGGGCAGAGGCCCCGCATCCGTGTGAAGCCCTGGGGGTATCGAATTGTTTTGGGCGGAGGTCTAAAGGCAGGGGATGGGGCAGGGGAGACCACGGGGGCCCCTGGGCTCCCATCTCAGAGCCTGGGGTGGGGGATGCTGGCTGGCGATGGGAGGGGCAGAGAGACTTACCAGCGCACCACGCAAGGCCTGGGCGCCCCCGAGTTCTGGTAAGTGGCCGGTCCGGCTGTGGAATGCAGGTTCCTGCTGAAGACAATAGCGAGGGGCTGTGTGAAGACACACCTGGGGCCCCTGTGCACCCTTGGGCCGCCCTGTGGGGTCTGCGCAGCCCCAGGCCCTGCGTTTATGAAGGAGGGTTGGGGCGAGCGCACCCACAGCTGCCCGGGCATCCCAGGAGCTGCGCGGAACCGCCTGTCCCGCTGCCCCGCGCTGTGCTCCCCACGCCCCAGGAAGGCGGCCGCGCAGTCCCGGGCTCGCTCTTGCCGCGACCTCCCGGACCTCCAGGCCGCGGGCTCCGGGGGAGGGTGGGCACCAGGGAGCGCGGGGTGGGCGTGCGCGGGCGGGGCGGGCGTGCCGGGAGCTGCGGCGGTGTCTGCGCTCGCGAGTGCGCGGCGGGGGCGGGCAGGCTCCGCCCCGGGGCGGGAGGGGGCCGCGGGATTAAAGGCCACCCCGGCGGGCGGGGATCGGACTGTAGCCGGTACCGGCACCGGAGCGCGCCGGGTCCTCGCCGGGTCCCAGCCCCGCGCGTCGGCCCAGCCCAGCCGGGACCCCCCGCGACATGCGCGTCCCAGCCCTGCGCTGAGCAGGCGGCAATGTGGGGACTCGGGGCCCGGGGCCCCGACCGGGGGCTGCTGCTGGCGCTGGCGCTGGGCGGGCTGGCGCGGGCCGGGGGCGTCGAGGTGGAGCCCGGCGGCGCGCACGGCGAGAGCGGGGGCTTCCAGGTGGTCACCTTCGAGTGGGCCCACGTGCAGGATCCCTACGTCATCGCGCTCTGGATCCTCGTGGCCAGCTTGGCCAAGATCGGTAAGTGGCCCCGGGGTCTCCGGATCTGCCCGCGGGGTGTGCGGCCGCCTCTGCTGGGCCTGGGGGCTTCGTTGTGGCCGCGCGCATCAGGTCGGAGCCGCGCGGCGGCCGCCCGGGAGAGTCCGGCTCTCGGGTCCAGCAGAGCGAGACTCGGGAGCGACTCTGGCCGCGCTAAGCCGCCCCTGCGGGTCCCGAGGTCTCCCCTCCCCGGCGGGGGCACAGCCTCGGAGCCCCGGACTCCCGGCTCCCGGGTCCCTGTGGGGTCTCCGCCCCGCCTCCGCTCCGAGCCCCGCAGACTGCAGGCTGCTCGCGCCCAGGGAGTCCCCGGGGCCGGGTTTCCTTCGGGGTTCTCAGGCTTTTTAGAGAAACGTCCTTGGAGTGATGGCGTTTTTTCGTGAGTTACAAGGGCAGAAAAGAAAAGCGGTGCTACCCGCATGAAACCCAGCAGAATCCTCCCTACAGGCGCAGCGTTCCCATTGGCGGGCCTCCTTTTTTTTTTTTTTTTTTAGAAAATCCCGGTCGGTCAGATTTCTCTTCTTCTTAACCGGCGCCAATGAACCAGTAATGTGGGCACGGCAGGTAGCTCCTGGCAAGGTGACAGGAAGGTCAGCTTCCTGAGGAGCTCGTGGGGATCAAAGTTTCATGTGTTGGTCCACAGGGTAGGGTCTCTCCAGGGGTGGCAGGGAGGTGGTCACTCGTGTGGAGGGGGGATTAGGGGGCCCGAGTGGGGCCAGGAGAAGCAAGATCAGAGCAGCAGGCGCCGCGGCAGGTTTCCAGAGCAGCTTTGGACTGGGGCGAGAGGAGGTTTCGATGCTGGGGCCGAGGAGGGGCGCCCACGCAGGACAGGGGAGGGACAGGCTCCGGGGAGAACAGCTGAGAGGACCTTGGCCTTGGTGGAACCTGGTACGCCCAGCAGGCTTGATTGGAGAAGGCGCCTTTTCCTTCAGTGACGCCTGCCGCCTGCCCTATTTATGCCAGGGTCTCCCCTCCCCTTCAGGCCCCTTGTGTGTTTGCTTTCTGTCTCATAAGGGCTCTTCTGAGCCCTCCCGCCTCCTCCCTTCTCCGCAGCCTCCTCCTCGCCCTGGTGTCTTTCAGCTCCCCGCCGGGCTGCCTGCTCTCCAGGCTCAGGCTGTCCTCCCTGGGCTTTCCACTGGGGGCTTGGGATGCTGGCCGGGGGGGAGTCTCTGAGGCTGGCTGCCTCCTACAGTTGATTTCCTTGAGAAGGGCCCCTGGGGCATCAGGGAGGTCCAGACTCAACCTGGGCTCTGCGGCCGCCCAGTCCTAAAGCTCACCCTGCTTTCCTCTGACGGGAGTGCCCCCCTGGTGTAAACTGAAAAGGTAATTTCTTTTTTTTTCTTTTTTTTTTTTTTTTGAGATAGAATTTTGCTCTTGTTGCCCAGGCTGGAGTGCAATGACGCGATCTCGGCTCACTGCAACCTCCACATCCTGCCTCAGCCTCCCGAGTAGCTGGGATTACAGGCATGAGCCACCACGCCCAGCTAATTTGTATTTTTAGTACAGACAGGGTTTCTCCATGTTGGTCAGGCTGGTCTTGAACTCCAGACCTCAGGTGATCCACCCGCCTCGGCCTCCCAAAGTGCTGGGATGACAGGCGTGAGCCACCGCGCCCGGCCGTGAATATCTAATTTCTGTACAAGCTGGGGCCTCTCCCAGTTTAGCCCAGTGTACAGAGTCAGAATCTGGCATCTGAAGGTCCAATGACAGCCGCCAGGCACCAGCCAGCCCCGCCTGGGAGCCGGCAGATAAGGCACACTGACCAGGGCTTTGCCTGGCCTCAGAGTTTGTTATTCACAGGGAAAAGCCTTCAGGTCTCCCAAACACTTGGACTGGTTCTGGGAAGACGTCCTTGAGGGCGGGGAGGCTGCCGGCTCCAGCAGCAACTCCCCGGGGCAGGGCGGTCCTTTACAAAGGCCCACCCTGATAGCACTCAGCGGCTGTCTTTGTCTCGGATTGTTGGCTCCACCTGGGAAGGCGAGCCTTACCCTGTGCAGCTGTGGGAGCTCATCGCGGTATCCCACAGGCGCAGACCCTCTCCAGACCTGCCCTTTACGCTCCCTGTCGTCCCCTCAACCCACTGTGCACTCTGCAGCCCCGGCAGTGACAGCTGAGGTCTGCTCTGGGTCTGCCCGGATTGGCCCCCAGGGTGTCCCACCCTCCATCCCCTCTCTGCCAGCCACACCTCTTGAACACAGCCCCCAGCCCTCCCTGTGTGCTTCCTCCCCCAACCCCTTCCCTGTGAACTCTGGACTTCTCAGATTCCACTGGCCCAGACCGTCCTCCTTGTGCAGCCAGCCTCAGGTGCACGACCTGTGTTCCCAGAGGACCCTCAGGTCCAGGCCTTCACAGACACCGGGGCCCAAGCCTGCACCACAGCGGGAACTTCTCCAGTTTCACCCAGCCTCCTCCACATGCCCACAGCCCCCGGACTGGGGTCTGAACCTACTAAGCTGCTTGGCACATTTTGTTGTTTAAAATGGTCAGGGGTTGGCCACACTCTTTCAGTCTCAAGTTACACGAACAGAAATGTCTCTTCCAGCAGAAAAGAGCTGCCATTCCTGTTGCTTTTCCAAACATTTGTTGAATTTCTCACACATCCTGAGAGTTTCTAACTCACAGCCCCAGCCTTCTTCAAGCCATTTGTAACCTGGTTGGGGAAATAAGAGTCCGGGTACCCTGAAACCCACAGCAATGTTGATCCCAGGAGATTTCTACTCCAGGCAGCTTGGGACAGAGGATGGCCAGAGGGCCAGAGCTGCCTCAAGCAAACACTGGGGCTGGGGCCTCAGCAGGTGGCCCAGGAGCCTGGGCAAGGAACAGGTGCTGCTGTTGGCCCACCAGCCTCAGGCCGCGTGTCTGGCTCCGGCAAGGGCTCCCCACAAGCCCCCTATTTGTGTGCACTGGGGTTCCCCTGCCTTTTACAGCATCTTTTTAAAATGCAGAAGGGGAGGCAAGGGCCGAGGCCACGGAGCCACTCCACAGCGCAGACCTCCCAGACTGAGAGGACGAGGAAGTCTTTAGCAGTGGAGGCGGCAGGGCCTAGTGTCTGCCTCAGGCAGGGTGAGGGGGCTTCCTCCTGTGCCCCTTGGGGGCCCCCAGCCTGCAGCCACCCGCACCAGGGCCACTCTAGGCCTTAGGTGCCCACCAGAATCCCCGCCTCACCCTGCACCGTCCGTGTTGGGAACCCTGGGCCAGGCTTTCCTTCCTTCCTGGGCTTCCTCTGGGGGCTGAGGCTGTGCCTTGCAGAGACTGCCAGGCCTGGCAGCACTGGGTGGGGGCCCTGGGGTGGGATCCAGGCAGTGGCAGGTGTCAGGACTGCAAGCAATGGGCCCCTGGAAGGAGAGGGAGGCGGGGGTGTCAGAAGCCAGAGGAGGAGGCCTAGGGTGGGTCCCTGGGGAGGCAGAGGGAGGCCCGAGCAACTCAGCTACAGGCCTTGGAGGACTTTGGTCCCCACCTAGCGTCGTGGTGAGGAGTGGATGTGGTCAGATCTGAGTTCTCAGACGACTGCCTGGCCATGGGGCAGAGAATGGCACCGGGGAGATTCCGGGAGGATGGTGGGGAGCTTCCCTTGGGCATCAGGGCGGTGGACAGCAGGGCCTCCTTGAAGCAGGAGTGGGGATGTCACAGGGTCATCAGTGACACAGCAGGGGCCAGACCTCCTGGCCCCATCCTGTTCTCAACCCTTCGGGGGGCTCTGCTGCGCTGACCTCGCCCTGCAGCTCTGAGCCACACATGAGCGACAGGACCCGACCAAAAGGGAACTGGGGGAGTTACAATTTTGAGATGTCGGAAACCGGGGAGGGGCTGGGGCCGGGAGTGGATTCTAGGCCCAGCTGGGTCTATTTGTCCCCAGGCGTCTGGCCGTGGGTACCCCTTGGGTCGTGGACGCACAGGAGGTGTGGGAGCTGACATCCCATGGGGCCTGAACTCCAGAGCTGGGCAGCGCTGGCTCAGGGAGGTGGCGCCTTGAGGGTTAGGACCTGAGCAGCGGCAGTGACTGCCCACGGGGAAACCAGGACAGTGGGGCTGGGTGGGGGCGGTGGGGGCAGGCTCTCGAAGTGGAGCTTGTGTTGCTGAGGGATGTGATGGCGGAGGCCCAGGCCGCCCCACATCTTGGTGAACCCTGGCTGGAAGGGCAGGCAGGAGCGAGACGGGTATCTGGAGTCTGCAGTGCCTCGCGCAGCCGTAGGAGGGTCAGGAGGACGCTAGGGCACAGGGTCAGGAGTGCAGCCCCCTGCTCTGAGCGGCGCAGCCCCCCCACCCCCCTCTGAGCGGCGTTACCCCCACTGTGGGAGTGTGGGAATGCTTTTCTGCAGGAGCTTCAGCCTTGGGGTTCCAGCACCTCCTCCTTAACTGGACAGGGTCAAGACCCAGATCCCTGAGCGCCAGGTTCCCTGCTCCCGGCCCCAAATCTGAGGCACTGGGTGCTTCCTTGTTGTCTGGGTGGGTGCAGGAGGTCGTCCTCACCCGACACTTGACTCCCGGACCCCCGCTGTCTTACCCAGCGTGTCCCAGGGAGCCTCCGCCACTGGGGGTGTGACACTGCCTAGACCACCTGCCTAAGCTGTGGATTTCTCCCAGGTGCAGCCTTCCACCGGGCACTCAGTGCCCAGGCTGTGAGGGCAGCTGTGGGTCACCTTCACCTCCTGGGGTGAATGGTTTTATTGCATGTGCTCTGGTCCTGGAGGCAGGAATCCCTCAATGCGCACAGCACCTACCCCTTCACCATATCTGCTACCCACTCCAGCTGAACTGCCCTTAGGTTCTCCTTGAAGAAGCATAGGAAAGGAGGTTCTGGGGACAAGGATGGCCTAGAAGGCCAGGGTGGTCAGCAAAGTCCCCAGGGGACCCAGTCCTCCCAGGAGAGGACCAGTGAGTGGGCCCTGTGGACCCCAGTCCTGGCAGGAGAGGTATGCTCAGTGGGTTTGGAGTCAGGAGCCATCACGGGAGGCCTGGAAGCAAAGACTCTCCCAGGAGTCTCCACAGGGGAGGGTCTGGCCCTGAAGGGGTGAAGTTTCATTTTCCAGGAGCTGCCCACGGAGAATCAGCTGTAGGCTATAAAACAATCCATGGCGTTTGGAGCTAAGGTGTCGCCCGGGAGAATCCTGAGGAAAGGGGCAAAGGTTGGGAAGTGCTGATAGCATCGGGGCAGGGAAGGAACCACCAGGGCTCCCTGTGGGTACCTGGCAGCTCCGCCAGAGGCTGAGAGAGAGACAGGGATGGTGAGTCACTCTTGGCCGCCAGCCCCCCCAGCCCACTCCCTGCCACCCCAGGAGCTCCCCGCCTCTGGGCGTGTGTGGCGCTCCCTGTGACCACACAGGCTTGTTAAGATGCCTGTCTGGGCCCAAGCTCCAGCACCCAACCAGCCTCATGTCTACTGCAGAAATGGCTGAGCTCTCCCAGCGTGGCCACCCCCACTGCCGGCTTCTCCAGGAGCCAGGGGCTGCACTGGGGCATGTTTAGAGTTGGGGTTCCCATCCTGCACATCATCTGCCCAGCGTCTGGGCTGAGTCCCACAACCAGGAGTCTCAGTGCACGATGAAGCCACCAAGGCTTTCCTCACCCACCCTTGAGACAAGAGTCTCAGGATACCAGGTGTCAGGGTGCCAGGTGTTGGCGTGCCAGGTTTCTGGGTACCAGGTGTTGGGGTACCAGGTCTCAGGGTGCCAGGTCTCAGGATGCCAGATCTCCAAGTGCCAGGCCTCAGGGTGCCCGGTCGCGAAGTGCCATATCTCAGGGTGCTAGATCTCAGGGTATCAGGTCTCAGGGTGCCAGGTCTCAGGGTACCAGGTCCTGGGATGCCAGACTCCACCCTCCCCCAAATCATGCACTCACCCCAGCTTCATCCCTTCACACTCAGCATCTCTCCTGCTCCACCTTTCCTGAGCTCGGAGCCTTCCTCCTCTGAGCTCCTGAGGACACCTCCTCCTCCAAGGTCTTTTGGCTCAACCAGGTTGATGCCACAATGGCAGAGGTTGTCTGTCTTATTCCTCCTGTGTCCCCAGTGCCTGTCCCCAGCAGAGTCCTGCAGATCTGAGCACGTGAATGGACATGTGGATGGATGGATGGATGAGTGAATAGATAGATGGATGGATGCGTGGATTGATGAATGGATGAATGGATGAGTAAATGGATGGAAGGGTGGATGAGCGAATGGATGAATGGAGTGAATGGATGGATGGATGGATGATGGGTGGATGGATGGATAAGTGGATGGATGGATGGATGAGTGAATGGTCAGATGGGTGGATGAGTGGATGGATGGATGGATGGATGGATGGTTTGGATGGATGGATGGTTTCGGTGAATGGACGAGTGGATGGATGGGTGGATGGATGGATGGATGGGTGAATGGATGGATGGGTGGATGGCTGGATGGCTTGGGTGAATGGATGGATGGGTGGATGGATGGATGGATGGATAGATGGATGAATGAATGGATATATGAATGAGTGAATGGATAGATGGATGAGTGGATTGATAGATGGGTGAGTGAGTGGATGGATGGATAGGTGGATGGGTGAATGGATGGATGGGTGAATGGATGGATGAGTGGATTGATGGATGGATGAGTGAATGGATAGCTGGATGGATGAGTGGACTGATGGATGGATGAGTGGATGGATAGATGGCTTGGATGAATGGATGAGTGAATAGTTGGATGGGTGGATTGATGGATGGATGGATGAATGAATGGATATATGGATAAGTGAATGGATGGATGGATGAGTGGATTGATGGATGGGTGGGTGAGTGAACTCATGGATGGATGAGTGAATGAATGGATATATGGATGAGTGGATAGGTGGATGAGTGAATGGATGGATGAATGAGTGAGTGAGTGAATGGACAGATGGATGGATGGCTGATGCGTGAATGGTTGGTGGATGGATGAGTGGATTGATGGATGGATGAGTGAGTGGATGGGTGAATGGATGAGTAAATGGAGGGATGGGCGGAAGGATGGGTAGATATGTGGATGGATGGATGGATGGATGAGTGGATGGATGGATGCACCCACAGGTGGGTGAAGGAGGAATGAACGAATGAGTGGATGGACAAATGGATGGATGAATGCACACATGGGAGAGTGAAGGAGTGGAGGGATAAACATTGGCTTCCCATGTGTAAGCTTCATCCAAAACCATCTGGACACTGGGCCCAGGAAGAGGCTGTCTCAGCTCCTCGGCTGAATTATTTCCTTAAATTACTGCAGAGCCTCCAGTGAGCAGCACACCTACTTCTGGATGACAATGGCTTTAGAGGCGCCGCCTGCCAAGGAGTGGCAGACTTAACCTGCAAAGTGGGATCATTGACAAGCAATTGCAGCATCGGCTCAGAGCACTTTGGCAGATCTGGGCTCAGCATGGTGAGCACCATCTGCCCCACACAGAGCTCTCTCAGGAGTGGGTCATGTGCCCAGAGAGAAACCACGCTCACCTGGCCTAAAACATGCTCCACTGTCAGCTGAAATCTTAGCTATGCCTTAGCTATATGCCTTCTGGAATAAGACAGACAAACCCAGCCCCATCCTGATGTTGCCAGACCTCGGAAGATGCAGACACACCCTGGGCAGGCCCTGACTTGGTGCTGGAACTGCCCAACCTGGCACCCTCCTGGGACACAGAATAGAACTCGGGTCACAGGCAGCCAATACCCTTAGCATACCAACCACTTTTAGGAGCTTGAATGGTCTCATCCGTCTTATCGAGGTAGCCCAAAATGCTGGACTTTGCAGCAGCCAGCGCTCTGGGCAATGGAGGAGCTCTCTCCAGTTTAATATTCATTCAATAAACATTCAGTGCCCATCACGCCCTGTAGGCAGTGGGGATCCCACTTCAAATGAGACCCAAATATCCCATGGGGCAGCACTCCTGGGCACCAAGGACCAAAGACAGTCAGGAAGCCATCCCTGGGGCAGAGGGGGCAGCCAGCCCTGTGGGTTAGGGGGAAGCATGTCCAGGGAAGGGATAGCCAGAGCGAAGTGCCCGAGGCAAAAAGTGTGGATGAGGGTTAGGGGGAGAGTGTGTGTGTGTGTGAGGGGCAGGGGGAGTGTGTGTGTGTGAGGGGGCAGGGGGAGTGTGTGTGTGTGAGGGGCAGGGGGAGTGTGTGTGTGTGAGGGGCAGGGGGAGTGTGTGTGTGTGTGTGAGGGGCAGGGGGAGTGTGTGTGTGTGAGGGGCAGGGGGAGAGTGTGTGTGTGTGAGGGGCAGGGGGAGAGTGTGTGTGTGTGAGGGGCAGGGGGAGTGTGTGTGTGTGAGGGGCAGGGGGAGTGTGTGTGTGTGTGAGGGGCAGGGGGAGTGTGTGTGTGTGAGGGGCAGGGGGAGTGTGTGTGTGTGTGAGGGGCAGGGGGAGTGTGTGGGTGTGTGAGTGGCAGGGGTTGTGCATGGGTTTGTGAGTGGCAGGCGGTAATGTGTGGGTGTTTCAGGAGCAGCGGGATGTGTGTGTGTGTCTGAGGAGCAGGGGACCCTGTGGAGGATAAGCAGGAGCAGCAGGTGGTCCTTGCACTCTGGCCGTGTGATGACCATGTTCAGCTCTGGGTTGCTCCCTCACATTGGCGAGTGCCCTTACAAGCCTGAGCTCTGGGCTCCCTGTTCTATCCGACTGCCAGCCTTCCCTTGGGGCTGGCTGTGTGTCAAGTCCATTTCCAAAGTGTCGTGTCGTCAGTCTAGGAAGAATTGAGATGGAGCCTGGGGCCGTGTCCAGGTGGAGTCAGGAGAGCAGCCAGGGTGCCCAAGGGGTTCCCGTGTGTGCACCGTCCACAGGGGCCTGAAAGGAAGGAGGGAGGGGCGGGCAGAGCAGGAGGGGCTGTGGGAATTCCACAAATGGGGAGCGGCACATCCTGGGAATGGGCCTGGCCGTTTGTGCTGCTGTGCTGGGGGTGGTTAGGGCTGTGACAGAGACTCCAGGCTGATGGCATGGACTCTGGGGTGGGAGACCGAGAAATCTCCCCATGGACTCTGGGGTGAGGAGTGGGGGGCCGAGAAATCTCCCCATGTCTCCCCATGGAAGGCTCTGCCTTAGGGAAAGACCAGGTGACCTGTGCCAAGCTCCTGGTCCCTGGAGGGCGGCCTTTGAGTGCATCCCCGAGGGCTTTGTGCTGGACCATCCCAGCCGGGACCCCCTATCTGGCTCTGGGAGCCAGCCCTGGGGAGGGACAGAGCCAGGGTCCCCTTCTGGACTGTGCAGGGCTAGGGCAGAGGGAAGGAGCGGGAGCCAGGGACGCACTGGCAGCTTCCTCCTTTCTGGTGGATCGGGGAACCTGCAGGCTCACCGCCTGCTGAGCTGTCATGCCAAAGTCCAAGGGTTTGAGTTCTTTGTTGGGAAAGGGTTTCTTTAAGCCTGAATGGGAAAGTTGAAAATGCCTGTTTTTAAGAGCTTTGGGGGTGACACAAAGTGTGGAAGAACAGCAGCTACTGCGGGCTCCGTCCTCAGATTCAGCCCCAGATGTTTGGTGCAGAGGACACGGGGCTGACCAGACGGTGAAGGCAGATTCCCCTTAGAACCCGGCCCTCATGGGGCCCTCAGCGGGCCGTACCACTCCTTCCCCACCTACTGGATGTGGGAGCCACTGGGCAGGACTGCCTGAGGGGCCACAGTGAGCAAAGCCCCCGACAGGCAAGACCCGATGGGCCTCGGGGGGCAGGGTGGGCCCCAGGAAGGGGGAGCCAGCGGCCACTGGTCTTGGGTGACTCTGCAGAGGTGAGGAGGGAGGGCACAGGCCGGAGGCTGGGCCTCAGAGCCCCCTGAGGGACAGAGCCCCTGGAGGGACAGCCCTGGCGGCACAGAGCCTGGGAGACCTCAGGTCAGGGAGGAAGAGGGAGTGTGTGAAGCGTCTTGGAACCGGGACTGCCTGAGCACGCCTCCCCGAGGGCTCGCCCATGTGAGCGCCACTTCCAGGTTTCTGTCTTTAATCCTGGTTTTCTCAAGATCTGAAGGTTCATTTTAGGATTAGTTAGAGCCAACTGTGATTAGGGAAGTAATCTCTTCCCAGAAAGCAGGGTGCCCTCCCGAGCCGGGGCTGGGGCCTTGCCAGGCACCATTGTCTCTGCTTCTCTGGATTTTGCCCACCGCCCACACCCAGCACACAGTGGGGGAATCTCTTCAGGCGGAACTGGCTCGGGTTGGCTGAGTGCTGCTCCCAGGAGAAGCTCCAGTGGCTGTGCGTGGCCCGCCTGCCTTCAGAGGGAGAGGAGCCCTGGGGCGCAGCCCTGTCGCCAGAGGTGCTGACAAATGGGAGAGCTGCGTTCGACCTAAATCCGCAACACAAGGGCTGGCCGTGGGAAGTTAAAGCTTCCTGAGAAGGAGCTGTCAGGAACTACTTCCTCATTCTTACTGTGTACCATCACAGGGGGAGAAGGCGAGGGTGGCCCGGGGCTGCTGTCTGCCCACCAGAGCTGTCCCTGGGCCCCTGAGGAGCACGTGTGTCCCATGGAGGTGGCATGTGTGTGCTGTGAAGTCAGACGTGGCCGTCTCAGCATCCACTGTGTCTCAGGGACCCCGTGGCCAGGACCCACCCAACTGTCCATGGGGCTGACGCGTTCTCTGCCCTGCACACCCCAGTGGCACAGACCCTGGGTATCACTCGTGCACCTGGCGCTCTCCTCCCGCCCAACTCTGCATCCGCAGAGGGGCCACGTGCTTTTAGGGGGCACTTGAGCTCTGTTAGAGCAGGGGGTGGGGGCTCCCATGTGTGAAGGCCCATCTAGCACCTGCGTCCCGGCACAGCGGCTGTGCCATTTGCCAGCCTTCCTCCCGGCCTTTCTCCTTCCCAAAAAGCATCAACAAAATGAAGCTCCCAGATACTGCCCATGGTAAATGTTGCCAATCCAAAACTCCAAAGGGGATGCCACATCCCGGCTGTAACCAGTGCCACTATCATGTTCCAAAAGCACCCCTGGCTTTGTGGTCTGCTGGAGTCTGCAGCAGCTGGCATCTCAGTGGTCCCAGCCCACACCACGCAGCTCACAGTAGGTGCACGCCCCCCTCCCTCACCCTCCTGGTGCCCAGGTTCCTAAGTCTCAGTATCGCTGCAGGAGGCAATTCTCCAGCCCCAGTTTCTGCTGTCTCGGGTTTTGCTGCAGTGGAAACCTCTGTAACCGCCTTTCCCCCTCTTATCTTCCAGTGAAAAGTGGGACTGGTATTTGCTCTGATCTTGGTGACGCCGGACAGTAGTGTCAGCACCGTGGAGTCAGAATTGATAGGTGGGTCAGGATGAGACTGGCTGCTGGGCCTCTGCACGCCCAGCCCTTCCTCCAGGGGTGCCGCAGCCTGGGCTCCGCCAGGACTCAGCCTGCCCACCGTGCACGTTCTCTGCCTGGAATGCTGTCCTGGTCCCCTCAGCCTGGCCTTCTCCAGCTCACCCCAAAAGGAGTGCCCCCCCAACAGCTTCGGGGACACCCTTTCTTAGAAAACGAATAGACTTAAATTTCTTAGTAAAGTTGTAGATTTACAGAATATTGAGCTGATAGTATCAAGTTCCCTCCAGCCACACCCCAGCCGTTCCACCCCCCACTCCCCCTATTAACAGGTGGCATTGGTGTGATACATTTGTCATAGTTTAGCCACTCTTGATACATTATTATTAATTAAGGTCCACAGTTTATATTAGGGCTCATTCTTGATACATTATTATTAATTAAGGTCCACAGTTTATATTAGGGCTCATTCTTGATACATTATTATTAATTAAGGTCCACGGTTTACGTTAGGGCTCGTTCTTGATACATTATTATTAATTAAGGTCCACAGTTTATATTAGGGCTCATTCTTGATACATTATTAATTAAGGTCCACGGTTTACGTTAGGGCTCGTTCTTGGTACATTATTATTAATTAAGGTCCACAGTTTACATTAGGTCTCATTCTTGGTGTTACACTTCTGTGAGTTTGGACATGGGTACAACGACATGGATCCAGCATTACAGTCTCATCCAGAGGAGCTTCACTGCCCTAAAAATCTTCTGTGCTCTGCCTGTTCATCCCTCTCTCCCCCTAACCCGTGGCAACCACTGATCTTTCTACTGTCTCCATAGTTGTGCCTTTTCCAGAATGTCGTGTAGTTAGAAACCTATAGCGTGCAGCCTTCTCAAAGCGGCTTCTTTCACTTAGTCATTGCATCTGTGTTTCCTCCGTGTCTATTCATGGCTTGACAGCTCATTTCTTTTTAGCACTGAATGATATTCCACTGTCTGGATCTATCCATCTACTGAAGGACATCTCAGCTGCTTCCAGGTGATTTTGGTGATTATGAATAAAGCTGCTATAAACCTCCATGTGCAGGCTTTTGTGTAGACGGAGGATTTCAACTCCTGCGGGCCTGACCGTTGAGTTTTCTGGTCATGGCCTGCTTAGGTTTGTAGGAAACTGCCACGCTGTCTTCCAAGTGGCCGCGCCACCCTGTGCCTCCAGCAGTGCTGGGTGCACACTCCTGTGGCCACATCCTCGCCAGCCTTCGGTGCTATCCGTGTCCTGGGTTTCGGCCACGCTGACGGGTACGTGGTGGTGTCTCCGTGTGTTTTAATTTGCAGCTCCGCCATGACATGGGCTGTCGTGCATATTTCAGGGGCTTACTTGCCATCTGCCTGTCTTTGGTGTGGGGTCTGCCCAGATGTTTGGCTCATTTCTCACTGGGTTGTTTATTTTTCCTATGAGTTTTTAGAGTCCTTTGTATGTTTGAATGATAAACTCTTTAGGAGATATGTGTTTTGCAAATGTCTTCTTTTGCAGAGAAAAAGTTTTTAATTTTAATAAAGTCCAACTTACCAATTTTTTCTTTTATAGCTCATGCTTTTGGTGTTGATCTAAAAATTCATCACCAAACCCAAGGTTATGTAGCTTTTCTTCCATGCTATCTTCTAGAAATTTTATAGTTCTGTCTTTTACATTTAGGTCTTTTGTCCACTTAAATGCCGGCCTTGCCATCCGAGAACAGTGAGACACTCTTGCCCCTGCCCAGCAAGGCCAGTGGGACCAAAGTGCTCTCCTTGCGGCTCACAGTTTTGCTGGTGTGTGTTCGATATTTTGGGATCTCACATGTGGATGGGCAGGTATCTGAGCCCTTATTATGAGGCTGGAGGGAGTCGTGATGGGAGGTTACAAGAATGCAGGGTGGGACCTGCAGAGACAGGAAGAAGGGCTGTGGCCAGGGGAGACACAGGAAGACCTGGTGGGGCAGCAGGTGTCCAGGCACAGCTATGAGACAGTGGGAGCCACAGGAGGTCTTGGAGCACAGCAGTGCCTAGAGAAAGCTGCGTGTGCTGCTGGTGCATCTTCCCGCCCACCCCTGCACCCAGCAGCCCTGGCCTTTCCCACAGCTCCTCCACCTCCATTTCCCTCGCCTTCCCCCCGCAGGATTCCCCAGGCAGCTGACCCCATCGACTCACAGGAGATGGCATCCACGGCCGCCTGCCTGGGCCTTTCCGGGCTGAGTCTGTTCCAGCCTGTGGGTAGCGGGCCCTCAGCAAATGCCTGAAAATGCACTGGGCATGTTTGCCTGCCAGGCAGAGAGCTCATGCATCCATGGGCCTCATCTTTTCCTCTGTTAGCTTTGTCAGATGAAAAATCAAGTAGTTCTAGGGTTCACTCGAGAAAACAGCAGCCCCTGCCCACCTTGTCCCCTGGGCCCCGCTCCCCAGTGGTCACCACAGTAAAGCCCAGTGAGGTCTCCACCCCTGGGCTCAGAGAGAGCCTGACTGTGCTGGCCCCTGTCTCCAGGCCGGGACCAAGCGTGCTGCCGGCGGCTCTCGAGGGTGTGTCCCACGGGTTCTGGCCTTTCCACCAGTGCTTCCGTCCCACACGAACACCTTAGAGCTCCGTGGCAGCGTACGGCCACGTTTCCTTTCCCACACAGCATCTGGCTTTGCCTGGAGGGAACGATGGTCTCTGTCGCTGCTCTTGGCAGCCTCTCTGAGCTCACAGTAAGTGGCTCTGCTCCCAGCTCCCAACAAGCTGCCGCGCTCCGCCAGGGGCCCAAGCACCCACGGATCCTCCTGCTTCCAATGCCCCCAGGCCTCCAGCGGCTCCCCGGTCCAGCCCAGCACCTGTCTCCCCAACACATTCTCCTCCACATCGTTGGAGCCCCTCTTCTCCCGAAGCCTCCCCCATCCTTGCTCAGGCCCTGGGAAGCCAGCTGAGTGTGGGGCAGTGGAGCGCTGACTGCAGGAGGGACAACGCCGGCTGCCCGCAGGGCCCCTCTGAGATGCCTTTGCCTTGCTTGATTCGCGCCGCGGGAACTGGTTTCCCTTCCAAATCATCAGGCCCTGTGCCAGCTTCTTCTGGCATCCATGCGAGACACGGAGGCCTTCCTCATTCCTGGTTCTTTGCAGGAGGCCTCCTCCCCCTCCCCGCACCCCATTCTCCTCTCACTCCCTGACATGCTTTGGGGTACAGCTAACTTCACCTGCTGTGCCAGGTCCCTGGCAGTTCACTGAGTCTGGAACCGCAAGCTTGGTTTTGGGAATGGCTGTGGTGATGCCTGTCCGCGGTTCTCCATCTTCTGCCCACGCCTGAGTTCCAGGGTTCCACGTTCGGCCCACATGGGACCAGCCTACTCTGCCCTCAAACCCTTCCTTCCTCCCTCCCTCCCTCCCTTCCTTCCTTCTTTCCCTCCCTCCCTCCCTCCTTCCCTCCCTCCCTCCTTCCTTCCTTCCATCTCACTCTCTCGCCCAGGCTGCAGTGCAGTGGCATGAGCTCAGCTCACTGCAGCCTCCACCTCTTGGCTTCAAGCGATTCTTATGCCTCAGCCTTCTGAGTAGCTGGGATTACAGGCATGCGCCACGGTACCCAGCTAATTTTTGTAATTTACTTTAGTAGAGACAGAGTTTCACCATGCTGCCCAGGCTGGTCTTTAACTCCTGGCCTCAAGTGATCCGCTCCACCATTAGCCTCCCAAAGTGGTGGGATCACAGGTGTGGCCACTGTGCCTGGCCCTACATTTTCTTTATGTGTCTTTTTTTCTCTATCTTCTGAGATAATTTTTTTTTTTTTTGAGACAGGATCTGGCTCTATCACCCAGGCTGGAATGCAGTGGTGCGATCTCAGCTCACAGCAGCCTCCACCTCCCAGGCTCAAGTGATCCTACTGCCTCAGCCTCCCAAGTAGCTGGGACCACAGGCAAAGCACCACCATGCCTGGCTAGTTTTTGTATTTTGTAGAGACGGGGTCTCACTATGATGCCCAGGCTGGTCTGGAACTCCTGGGCTCAAGCGATTCTCCTGCGTTAGCCTCCCAAAGTGCTGGGATCACAGGTGTGAGCCACCACCTGTGGCCTGAGAGAAATTCTTAACCTCCTCTTTCAATCCTCTGTTGAGTTTTAAACTTTAGTTCTCATGTGTGACTCCCGGGAGGTCTTCCTCTCTAATGTCCTTGTCCTTTACGGCGTGGGGGCGATGGTGATGCTGAGGCCTGCGTCTCCCTGCGGCATCTCCATCCCGGGCGCGCTATGGGCTGTGTCTCCCCGCGGCATCTCCATCCCAGGCGCGCTATGGGCTGCGTCTCCCTGCGGCATCTCCATCCCCGGGCGCGCTGAGGCCTGAGTTTCCCTGCGGCATCTCCATCCCGGGCACACTATGGGCTGTGTCTCCCTGCGGCATCTCCATCCCGGGCACACTATGGGCTGTGTCTCCCTGCGGCATCTCCATCCCAGGCGCGCTATGGGCTGCGTCTCCCTGCGGCATCTCCATCCCCGGGCGCGCTGAGGCCTGAGTTTCCCTGCGGCATCTCCATCCCCGGGCGCGCTGAGGCCTGCGTCTCCCTGCGGCATCTCTATCCCCGGCAGACTGTGGGCTGCGTCTCCCTGCGGCATCTCCATCCCGGGCACACTATGGGCTGCGTCTCTCTGCGGCATCTCCATCCCTGGCGCGCTGAGGACTGCGTCTGCCTGCGGCTACTCCATCCTGAGGCCTGCGTCTCCCTGCGGCATCTCCATCCCGGGCGCGCTCTGGGCTGCTTGTGATTCCATAGCTGGGCTCCGCGCCTGAGCACTGGTCACCCCTTCCCCTGGCTCCACTGGTGTGAGGGGCGGGCGCCAAGAAGCCGAATGGGAACTGGAGCCACATGGGTGTGGGTGGGCATTTGGGTGTAGCGGGGAGATTCAGGCGTCTGTGGGGTGGAGATTCGGGCGTCTGTGGGGTGGGGATTCGGGCGTCTGTGGGGTGGAGATTCGGGCGTCTGTGGGGTGGGGATTCGGGCGTCTGTGGGGTGAGGATTCGGGCGTCTGTGGGGTGGAGATTCGGGCGTCTGTGGGGTGGGGATTTGGGCGTCTGTGGGGTGAGGATTCGGGCGTCTGTGGGGTGGGGATTCGGGCGTCTGTGGGGTGGGGATTCGGGCGTCTGTGGGGTGGGGATTCGGGCGTCTGTGGGGTGGGGATTCGGGCGTCTGCGGGGTGGAGATTCGGGCGTCTGCGGGGTGGGGATTCGGGCGTCTGTGGGGATTCGGGTGTCGACTGTGGGGTGGGGATTCGGGCGTCTGTGGGGCAGGGATTGGGGTGTTGGGGGTTGAGGATGGGGTGCCAGTGTCTTTGGATCCCCCCAGAATGGGCGCGGTGGCTCACACCTGTAATCCCAGCACTTTGGGAAGCCGCGGCTGGAGGATCACATGAGCCCAAGAGTTTTAGACCAGCATGGGCAACATGGTGAAAAAAATCTCTACAAAAAATAGTAAAATTAGCCAGGCCTGGTGGTGCTCGCCTGGGCAACAGAGCTAGACACTATTTAAGAAAAAAAAAACGGTGAAACCCCGTCTCTACTAAAAATACAAAAAATTAGCTGGGCGTGGTGGCGGGCGCCTGTAGTCCCAGCTACTCGGGAGGCTGAGGCAGGAGAATGGCGTGAACCCGGGAGCGGAGCTTGCAGTGAGCCCAGATCGCGCCACCGCACTCCAGCCTGGGCAACAGAGCCAGACTCCGTCTCAAAAAAAAAAAAAAAAAAAAGAAGCAGCAGCCGGATCCCTCCTTCTTACCTGACCCAATAACTTTATTTATTTATTTATTTATTTATTTATTTATTTATTTATTTATTTTTTGAGACAGTATCACTCTGTCTCCCAGGCTGGAGTGCAGTGGCCCAATCTCGATCTCGGCTCACCACAATCTCCACCTCCCGGGTTCAAGCGATTCTCCTGCCTCAGCCTCCCGAGTAGCTGGGACTACAGGTGTCTGCCACCACTCCTGGCTAATTTTTGTATTTTGTATTTTTTTTTTGTTTTGTTTCTCCATATTGGCCAGGCTGGTCTCGATCTCATGACCTTGTGATCCACCCACCTTGGCCTCCCAAAGTGCTGAGATTACAGGCGTGAGCCACCGCGCCCGGCCCCCAATAACTTTAAAACAAGGATAATAAATAACACGTTTTATCCTTCGTTTTCCTTGGGTTTGAGAACAAAGTCAACCCACTCTCTCTGAAGGAGTCTGATTTTCAGTCTTTACAACTGCCCAGAAAAGTCGAGATTATCATAGGAAACCAGCTCTGCACGGGTTAAAACAGCCTGCTGGGAAGTGGCCAGACAGGTCCCTGGGAGCAGCGCCCAGAAGGTGGGGAACCTGTGGGGTCTGGCTCTGGTTTGCTGCTGTCCCAGCTCTGGAGTGGTGCCCCGCTTGGCAGGGTGGCCCCACAGGACAGGGAGCAGCATGGGGCCCCTCGGGAGGACCCCGGGCCCTCCTGCATTTGGGGCAAATGATGGAGACACGGGGCACACCTCGCGTGAGAATGCGCCCTGTGCGGGCTGCCCTGGCCCTGCCGCGCACCCCAGCACCCTCTCCGCAGCCCGGGTTCCGCGCGTCTCCAGCCCCCGTCTCGGGCCCCTTTCGTGTGTCTTTCCACCTTTGTCCTCTCTGGGTGGCATCAATATCAAGAATCAATCCTCCCAACCGCTTCCGGCTGCTGCGTCCGGGCAAAGCTCGTGACAAAGTCCTGGCTTCGCGGGCAGGACCCAGAGCTCCTTGATAGTGGCGGCTGTGGCCACGTGAGCAGGCACAGGTGCAGTTAACAGGCTTGGGAAGCTGCCCTCACCGTCTACCTGCACAAAAGAATTCCCGGAGAGCACAGCCTCACTGGAGATCCTCTCCTGAGGGATAAAGGTCAGCGAGACCTGAAGTTGCTCCCCTGCAGGGCATTTGCAAACTCCTCAAAGCCTTTCAGAGGCTCCACCTGCACCCCAACCCTAACCCCACCCCAAAGTGAGGGGGCCTCATGCCTTTGCCTCAGTGGTTCACATTAATTTCATCTCCGTGGTAGTCACTCCCCTCCCAACATGGCCACTTTCCCCACCCCCACAATGGTCACTCTCCCCCCACATGGTCACTCCCCACCCACCCCCCACAGCCACTCTCCCCACCTTGGTCACTCCCCACCCCCCCACAGTCACTCTCCCCTCTCCGTGGTCACTCTCCACCCCACCCCCCAGTCACTCTCCCCCCGTGGTCACTCCCCACCCCCCCACAGTCACTCTCCCCTCTGTGGTCACTCTCCACCCCCCACAGTCACTCTCCCCCTTCCATGGTCACTCCCCACCCCCCCACAGTCACTCTCACCTCCGTGGTCACTCCCCACCCCACCCCCCCAGTCACTCTCCCCCCGTGGTCACTCCCCACCCCCCCACAGTCACTCTCCCCTCTGTGGTCACTCTCCACCCCCCAACAGTCACTCTCCCCCTTCCATGGTCACTCCCCACCCTCCTACAGTCACTCTTCACCCCGCGGTCACTCCCCACCCCCCAACAGTCACTCTCCCCCTTCCATGGTCACTCCCCACCCCCCTACAGTCACTCTCCCCTCTCCGTGGTCACTCCCCACCCTCCTACAGTCACTCTTCACCCCGTGGTCACTCCCCACCCCCCCACAGTCACTCTCCCCCCCCCATGGTCACTCTCCCCCACCCCCCTCGATGGTCACCCCCCAGCACACATCCAGATGCTCCTCCCACAGCAGCCTCCCTCCCTTAAGAGCCTCTGAAGCTAAAAATGGAGGAGGATGCTGTTTCTCATTTGTCCAGGTCTCCAGCCACCCGGGATTCCATCCCCTCATTCTGTTAAAGGGGTCACTGCGTCCACGCTGTTCTGAGGCCTTTTCCCATTTGCACAGGGAAAGCAGGGGAGGGGTGGCAGCTGCTGGCCCCTGCTTCTCAGCACTGGGCTCTGTGTGGCGCCCACGTGGCCACTGTGCCCTGCAGGCGTCTGCTGCTCTTCCAGGCACAGGCGTCCGGGTCTGGGAGCCACTTTGCTAGCCGAGGTGTGAGCCCCCGCTGTATGCCACTCAACCAGCCGCACCCCTGCCCTCCCCTTCTGAGCCTCTGGCCCGGCCCCCATGAAGGGGCCATGTCGGTGGCCGGCCAGGAGCTGGGCACGAACACCCCTTCCCCTTCAGCCCCCACGTTTAGAGACAGTGGCCTCACAGCGCTGAGGGGTGCAGGTCCCGGTGCCCATGGCCCCAGAGGGAGGCACTGCCCAGCAGCTGAGGGTTTGTCTGCTGTCCCCACCCCGAGCCCTCTGGGCTCACCCGGGGGTGACAGGAGGAGGCAGCGGGGCCGTGAGCCCGGGGAGCCTGAGATCTGGCCGCTTGCTGTGTGGTCTGAAGGTCCCGGCACCCTCCCTGGCTGCCGCCGCCGGACACACTGGAGGAGGCTGTGGAGTTCTCTCCCGAGGGCCAAATCCAACGGCCCCTGCAGCGGCTCAAGGTTCAGCCAGTCCTGGACCCTGCATGTCCACCGCCCTGGGCCCTGGCTGCAGCCCCGGGGGGCTATTTCCTCACTTTACAGAGGGGAGCCTGAAGCAAGGAGGGCAGGTCACACCTCCTGGGTGGGTCACGGGACGCGGGGGCTGCAAGAACACGGGGAGACGTGTGCCCCTTGGGTTCCCGGGGGTTCCGGAGCTGGCGGCAGCCCCACAGCGATGCCTTCCGGCACCTTCCCTCCCCAGGCGCCTCATATAGGACGCTGTCTCCTTGCTGGAAGCTTCTGCAGAAGCTTGTTCCCTTCCCTTGTTTAGTTGTTGATAAACCAAAGGCAAAAACACGGGGAATGCTAAACTTCCGTGATTGATGAAGACGGTTTCATAATTTCTACTTTGAAGTGAATGATTTTATAAGGGCAAGAGAGAAGAGAGGGTGAAGTGTGAGGAAGGTGGGGGTGGGTGGGACCCTGAGAATCCAGGCACCGGGTGAAGATGGGAACCCCCCAAGAGCTCTGGGGGCCCAGTCTTCTGTCCAGAGGCCCCAGCCTCGCGCAGACGATTCGCCGATTCAGGAGAAACCACAGCCGTGGATGAGATTTCCAGCAGACACGCCTTCCTTGCCCATTTCATGGAACAAGAAGAAAGTTCTTTATTGGTAACTCACACACATTATACAGATGGAAAGATTCTCCATTTGTTTTTGATTTTCAGCAGTCTGACTGTGCCGTGCCCACAGGCAGGATTTTCCCTGTACTTGCATTGCTTGGAGCTTGCAAAATTTCTCAAATCTATAAATGTGTGTCTTTCACCAAACTGGGGACATTTTTTACCATTCGCTCTTCAAGGTTTCCCCGCCCCATTCTCCCTTCCTTCCAGAGCTCCAGCTACACATATATCAGGCCTTTTTCTGGGCAAGGATGGGGGCCTCGCTCACTGTCACCCAGACTGGGGTGCAGCCTCAACCCGCCCAGGCTCAATGGACCCTCTGGCCTCAGCCCCCTGAGTAGCTGGGACTATGGGCACAAACCACCAGGCTCAGCTAATGTTTTAATTTATTTTGTCGAGAAGGGGTTTTGCTGTGTTGCCCAGGCTGGTCTTGAACTCCTGGGTTCAAGCGATCCTCCTGCCTTGGCCTCCCAAAGTGCTGCGGCTACAAGCTATTGATTTTGCCCCACAGGCCACTGAGGCTCTGGTTACTTTAAAAACCATTTTTTCTCCTTGGTCTTCCGATGGGATGATTTCTTCTGATCTGTCTTCCAGTTCACTCTCTTTACTGTCATTTCTGTCTGCTCGTAAGTCTATCCATTGAGTTTTTATGTCAGAGATTCTAGGGTTTCTGCTTGGTTCTCTTTGATAAGTTCTATTTTAGGCATCAGCAAACTACAGCCCGTGGGCCGGCCACTGGTTGTTGTAAATAAAGTTTCACTGGAACGCCCATCTGTGTCGTTACAGCGGCTTTCGGCCTCAGTGGTAGTGAGTGGTAAAGTTTCACTGGAACACAGCGCCCATCTGTGTCGTTACGGCGGCTTTCGGCCTCACTGGTAGTGAGTGGTAAAGTTTCACTGGAACACAGCGCCCATCTGTGTCATTACGGCGGCTTTCGGCGCCCGTCTGTGTCGTTACAGCGGCTTTCGGCCTCACTGGTAGTGAGTGGTTATGAAGTGATCCTCCTGTTGGCAGCTTGCAGGACCTAAAATACTCACAATCTGCCTTTAAGAAAAAATGTGCCAAGCCCTGTTCCACTCCACCGCTGCGGCTTGTCCTTTTTAAGTGGTTATGAGAACGTTTCTTTTCTATCCTTGAGCTGCTGTTTTAGGCCCTTGTCTGCTGATTCCAGGGTCTGACCATCTTGCGTTCTCCTCTGATTTGAGCTGGGCCACATTCCCACTTCACGTGTCTCGTGACTTCCGTTGCCCCAGGACGTTGCGACCGGTGTCTTGCCGGGGACTGTGCTCCGCTGCGGCCCCTGGTAGGCGCCGCTGGGTCTGCGGTAGCTGAAGCTTGTTGCTGCTTTGAGCAAAGCCCTGAGGTGGTGGCAGCTGGGATCTGCATCCAGGTCTTTCCTCTGCTGTGGGCAGCTTGGGACCTGCCTGTGTCTGTCTGTTCTCACGCTGCTAATAAGGGGGCCTGGGCCGTCTCTGGGGGTGGGGGGCCGGAGCGGCTGGGTCCCAGAGAGGAAGGGGTGTGGGGTCTGCCCAGCGTCCTGGACAGAGGCCGTGGCTGGCTCAGAGGCTGCGTTCATTTTGCCCCAGCGCGGTTGCTCAGGGTGGTTTGGAGTCGAAGGATCTCCTGATTCTCTAGGGAACCGTGGGCAACATTCATGTTTCAATTTAAAAACCGACCAGGTTTGCTCGAGTGTTGTAAATGTACAATGTGTAAAACGCCTTGTGACTTGAGCGCAGGGAGTCCAGTCCTGAACGGGCTGTTGTTCTTGGAGCTGTGTGAACTTCATCTGGCAGGAAGCAGCTTCCCGGCCCGGGGGCCCGGCCTCGCTCGGAGAGGGGCTTCCTGCGTGGCCCCCGGGAGCCGGCTCCCCTGTCCCACGCCAACCTGAGTACTCACGGGGAACTGCACCCGCAGGCAGGGACGCGTGGGGTCACGCAGGCACGTCTGCCAGGCCGCACGGCGGACCTCCGTGAGCACCTTTACCTCCGCCCTGGGCTTGACGGCCGACACATTTACCGTGATTCCTCGCCGGTGCCCCACAGGCGGGTAAAGTGATACTGAGGTCAGAGTGTGCTGGCGAGCTCTGCTGGACCTGCAGGGGCGGGTGGCAGAGAACTCAGACCCACAGCTGTGCTAGGAGAACAGGGTGGACCCTGTGCGTGTCTCCTCTGTGTGTCTCTGCACGTCTCTGCGTCTCTGCGAGTCTCTGTGTGCGTGCACGTGTTCCTGCATGTGTCTGCGCCTGCCTGTGGAATGCCCCGGCCCCTCGTCCCCCGGGAGGGTGGGTACCTGTGCTTCCGCCCTCCTTCCTGGCCTCACCGCCCCACCGCTCAGCCAGGCTGTTTCTGGGAGGCAGAGTTTAATCCTCCGGGACGTGTTCCTGTTAAAGTAAAACCACAGGATTGACTGCGCTGTTGCATTTTTGTGGACTCGGCTGAATCTCTGCCACCTTGAAAGGTCCTTGGAGGTGGCGGAGGCCCTGGGCCTGACCAAGCCCCGTCCCTCTGTGCTCCGAGGGGTGTGACATGCATTGGGCCGTGGCCTTCCTGAGCCCCCCGGGGCCCAGAGAGAAGCCCTTTCCGGCGCCCATCCGGAAATGTCTGGTTTGCCAGCGCCGGCCCTTCCTCCTCCAGGCACAGGGTTTGTAATTAGAACTAAAAGCGTCTGTCCCCTGTCGTAACCATCAGGCCACCAAGCCATTGTGTGCTTAATTAGCTGTGACTCTCCAGCCTCGGCAATCAGTTACCTGAGGGCCTGCGTGTCCCCAGGTTTGTCCCCTTGTGTGGAAGCCACACGGGCTGTGGCAGGCGGACTCAGGGCCTGGCCCTGTCCACACCGGCCCGTGTCCACACCAGCCTCGTCCACACCGACCCCATGTCCACACTGACTCTGTGTCCACACTGGCCCCATCCACACCAGCCCCGTCCACACCCACCAGCCCCATCCACGCCTGCCCCATCCACACCAGCCCCTTCCACACTGACCCCATGTCCACACTGGCCCTGTGTCCACACTGACCCCGTCCACACCAGCCCCGTCCACACCCACCAGCCCCATCCACACTGGCCCCATCCACACGGCCCCATCCACACCAGCCCCATCCATACTAGCCCCATGTCCACACCAGCCCCATCCACGCCTGCCCCATCCACACCGGCCCCTTCCACACTGACCCCATGTCCACACCGGCCCTGTGTCCACACTGACCCATCCACACCAGCCCCTCCCACACCAGCCCCGTCCACACTGGCCCCATCTACACTGGCCCCGTGTCCACACCGGCCCCCTGTCCACACCGGCCCGCCTGGCCTCTCCGTGCTTGGTGTGTGTTTCCTGTGTCCCTGGAGGGTCCCGTCCCCGTCTCCTGCCACCCCCCCTTCCATTCTCGCCAGGGATCCACGCCAGTCGCATGCCGTGTGTGCACCTAGCTGGGGGAGCCTCGTGGCGTGTCCCAGTGGTGCCGGAAGCCGGTTCCGTCTGTGGAGCTTCTCGTGGTTTGGCTTCTGCAGTTGTGTGGCTGAGCCCAGGCTCTGCATAGTGCGTCTCGGGAGGGTCCCACACCGCCTGGTTCCCTCACAGTGTGTGCCATGGGGCGAGTTCTATTCTCTTCATTTCCTTAAGGCCTCAGACACCCTCTGCCCTTTCAACCCACAGGGCCGGGGTTGCCGCAGTCAGTGCGGTGGACCTGAGGCTCTTCTGGTAGAAGGTTGAAGATGTCGCTGCCTGTTGCGTCCCAGCCACCCTGCAGCTCCTGCCCAACAGCTCTGGGCCGAGGAGGCTGTGCCCTGCGCCTGTGGTGGCTCCGACGGGGCCCAGGGCTGTGGGTTCCTTCTTCTTTGAGGTGCAGTGGCCCCTCCACACTCCCATGGTATCTCTGTAGCCATGCTGGCTTGAGCAGTGGCCCCTACAGAGGGGCTGGACCCTGGACTGGGAGTGGCTGGGCCTTCTGCTGATCTACGGAGACGTTATGCGCAGATGCAAGGTCTCTAGGAGCCACCTTGGCATTATCTCGGGCCCTGCCAGCCACCTCCCTCCCGTTCTAGAGCCTCGAGGGCCCACGTGTCCCCAGGGAGCAGGAGTGACTGGTTGTCAGACCAGAGGGAGCTGCAGACGGCATCAGGCACTGGGCGGTGTCTGGAGATGGCGGACAGAGGGCACAGGAAGGAAGGACGGCCCAGCATGTGGGGACGTTTCCACACAGGGACCCTGGAACCCAAGTGTCGTCATCCCATCCTAAAAACGTGCAGATTGTGGCAGTAAGTAAGCGCCTTGCCTGGAATGAGTCTGTGGAACAGGCCCTAACCACAGGCCCAGGCCTGGTTGGTGCCGGCAGATGCCCCCAGAAAGCGGGGTGGCCCCGGCTGTGTGCATGTGGACAGCACTGCCCGGGTCAGGCCCTCATGCCAGGCCAGTCCCTGGCACTCAATACCGACTGGCAGCAGGAACTGGACCCTGCAGGGCTCACAGCACAGGGACTTGGCTCCCAAACGTCCATTGTGTGCTTAATTGCCAAACTACTAGCAAATTGCCTCTTAAAACCAATTGAGTTCTTGGTTTCACCAGCTAATTACAATGCAGACTGCCGTTCAAGAGGAGGCCATGGGTCCTTGGGAAAAGCCGTGTGGAGCAGACCAGCCCCAGGCTGAGGACGCCCTCTGAGGACTTCCATCAACCGCAGAGCCCCTGGTTTCAGGAGAAGATGAGAACGAGACCCTTCCCCTCTCTTGGTCCCCAGTCCAGTGTCCCAAACCAGGGAGATGCAGGGTCACCAAGGAGAGGCCTGGCCTTGGCACCTCCTCAGGAGGAAGAAGCAGAAGCCCAGGAGACCCCCCACCCTGGCTGGGGCGAAACTGCCATCCGATACCAGAGGAGACGCTGCAGGACTCCTCTGCCACAGGAGAATGGGTAGAAAGCAGTGTCCCACCCAAAGCCAGCTCAGCAGGGAGACACACCCCAGGAGAGGCAGCCGAGGCCAGCAGGGGCACTCTTCCCAAAGCGGGGTTGTGCAGAGAATGTCCACAGAACCTTCCACGGCGGGCACAAGCAAGGGGAGAAGACACGGTTGGCCAGGCACGGTGGCTCACGCCTGTGATCCCAGCACTGTGGACGACCGAGGTGGGCGTGTCGCTTGACCCCAGGAGTTTAAGACCAGCCTGGCCAGCATGGTGAAACTCCATCTCTACAAAAAATACAAAAATTTGCTGGGCATGGTGGCGCACGCCTGTAATCCCAGCTACTCAGAGGCTGAGGCAGGAGAATCGCTTGAACCCAGGAGGCGGAGGTTGCAGTGAGCCGAGGTGGTGCCGCTGCACTCCAGTCCAGGTGACAGAACGAGATGATGTCTCAAAAGAAAAGGGCTCAGTGGCTGGACTGATGCTGGAAGGCAGGAAGTGGGGCTGGCGGGGAAGAGCCCAGCCCGGGACAAGTGTGACAAGAAGCAGAAGGAGTCCCGCCCGTACCTCACACCACGGAAATGGCCGGAATGTGAGTCACGGAAGCAGCAGCTCCAGGGTGGGAAGTGGAACGGGGGCGTTCATCGTGAGGACGTTCACAGAGAAGACACGGTTGGCAGCACCCCTCAGCGTCGGACCGAGACGTGGCCCCGAAGTAGCAGGGGCGGAAGTGGCGGCCGAGGCTCAAGCCACTGTCAGAGCGAAAGGTCCGAGAGACGTCCAGGAGTGCGGAGAAAAAAGATAAGATAGAGCGACCAGAGGCAAAACAGCATCCTTGAAGAGGAGGGCGGTGGCCGAGGCAGGAGGCCGGCATCCGTGAGGCAGGGACTCCCACAAGCGAGGCTAAGGCTTCATAGCTGACCAGCAGGTGCCTGAGTTGTCGGAGGGCAGAGGCTGGGGATGCGGCCGGGCGACCCCACCCGGGACAGGGGCAGAGGCTGGGGATGCGGCCGGGCGACCCCACCCGGGACAGGGGCAGAGGCTGGGGATGCGGCCGGGCGACCCCACCCGGGACAGGGGCAGAGGCTGGGGATGCGGCCGGGCGACCCCACCCGGGACAGGGGCAGAGGCTGGGGATGCGGCCGGGCGACCCCACCCAGGACAGGGGCAGATGAGGCTTCACTCCCAGGGGTCAGGGTCAGCGGCTCAGGGGGGCTGCAGGGGATCTGGAAGCTTCAGGAAGCTTCTTTGAAGTGGAGGAATAACCAAAGAATAGAACAATTGTGTTAAGAGATATCCTTGTTTCCTGGTTGGAAACAATTTATTCTGACAACCAGACAGAGATAAACGTGAACGAGTGGCTCCGACAGGTGAACTAAGCAAAGTCCGGCTGACTGTGTCCTTCACAGCAGTCCCGGTGCCCAGACAGGCTCAGACACAGGTGTCAGCCTGACATTCGCAAATGCTCGAGGGTGGACGCCAGCTGTCAAGGGAAGAACCCGGATTTGAGACCCGGGAGCAGAGAAACCAGGTTTCGAGGGCAGTGGGGGGCGTCGACTCCTGCACCTGGAGGGAATTCGGCCAGTGCACCGTGTCGCCCGAGGCAGAGCAGTGGTGTGACTTGAGGGGCACCTGCGGGGCAGCGGCCTGGGCACCGGGAGCACCCACCAGTGCCACCCAGATCCACTTCCAGGCTCGGGGATTTCAAGAACAGACATCTGTGTGGAAAGACTGTCTCTCTGAGGCTAGCAGGGCCTTCTGAGTTGCAACTATTTTTAACTATTTTCTCTGTTAAATTCAAGTAAAAAAAAAATTTTTTTTTTGAGACAAGGCCTCCGTCGCCCAGGCTGGAATGTAGTGGTGTGATCTTGGCTCACTGCAGCCTCAACCTCCCAGGCTCAGGTGATCCTCCCACCTCGGCCTCCTGAGTAGCTGGGACTACAGTTGTGTGCCACCATGCCCAGCAGAGTTTTTGTATTTTTTTTTGTAAAGATGGGGTTTCGCCATGTTGCCCAGGCTGGTCTCGAACTCCTGGGCTCAAGGGATCCACCTGCCTTGGCCTCCCAAACTGTTGTATTGGGATTACAGGTGTGAACCACTAAGTCCAGCCTTCAAGGAAAATTTAATTGAGTGCCTTTATTTTTCCTGCTAAAAAATTTAGCAGGAAACATGAGCAGGAATGGCTTTGTTAAGTATAACACAAAACTCAGAAGCCATAAAACAAAAGACCAATAAATTTAACTATAAAAAGAAAAGACGTTCGCATGGAGCAAAATGACAGAAGACAAAGTGGAAAGATGAGAGCAACATTTTTGAAAGTGAAAATCTACCTGCCGCTGAAGACATAAGCAAAGGCTGGATTTTCCAGCTTACGAAGAACCTCGTGTCAATAGGAAAGGATCAGTGCCCGGCAGGGGAGCAAGCCGACACTTTCACAGAACGGGGTCGTTCACGCGTCACCCACAGGTCGTCAGAGGCTGTTAGGTTGGGCCCCTCAGGAGATGTGGCTCACGCCTGCCTGGCCGGTGGGGATGGGTGCGGCTCCTCCCCCGTGGGCAGGTGGGACGGCATGTCCCATGCAGGAGGACACAGGTGAGCTCTCAACACACACACACCCTGAAGACTGCAGGAGCTGCCCTCGGACGCCACCGCACATGGGAAAGGCGTGTCCAACACCCTTTCCAACCCCGGATGGCAGAATGTTCCAAACCGCCGCCCTCCCACCTATGCGGCGTTTGTGCGTATATATGTATATTTTCTCAGTAACTACCAAGGTCAGAGGATGTTTTCTGTGGATTTTAAGGGCTTACTTCTGAGCAGGAGTGTTTGGTCTGAAGCCAGCCTGTCCCTCACCCACCAGTGTCCCAGTTAACAGGCTTTTACAGTAACCAGCGGCCTCACTGGAGCGTGGGGAGGGTCGGCGATGGCGCGGGGAGTGGAGCGTGGGGAGGGTCGGCGATGGCGCGGGGAGTGGAGCGTGGGGAGGGTCGGCGATGGCGCGGGGAGTGGAGCGTGGGGAGGGTCGGCGATGGCGCGGGGAGTGGAGCGTGGGGAGGGTCGGCGATGGCGCGGGGAGTGGAGCGTGGGGAGGGTCGGCGATGGCGCGGGGAGTGGAGCGTGGGGAGGGTCGGCGATGGCGCGGGGAGTGGAGCGTGGGGAGGGTCGGCGATGGCGCGGGGAGTGGAGCGTGGGGAGGGTCGGCGATGGCGCGGGGAGTGGAGCGTGGGGAGGGTCGGCGATGGCGCGGGGAGTGGAGCGTGGGGAGGGTCGGCGATGGCGCGGGGAGTGGAGCGTGGGGAGGGTCGGCGATGGCGCGGGGAGTGGAGCGTGGGGAGGGTCGGCGATGGCGCGGGGAGTGGAGCGTGGGGAGGGTCGGCGATGGCGCGGGGAGTGGAGCGTGGGGAGGGTCGGCGATGGCGCGGGGAGTGGAGCGTGGGGAGGGTCGGCGATGGCGCGGGGAGTGGAGCGTGGGGAGGGTCGGCGATGGCGCGGGGAGCACTGTGAGTCCCCAGGGCACAGAGTTGCGTTGTTGTTTTTAAAGACAAAGCTGGTCCCTGTGTCCCTGTGTCCCTGACTTGCTGGCCCGCGGTTGTCTGGGGTGGCTTCACAACGGTGGTGATCGCTGTGAACCTAATTTTGGAAGACTGTGGCTGAAAGACCCTAACCCTCAACAAAAAGACCCCGGGCCAAGTGTCGGCAGCCACCAAGGGTGAGGGCGTCCAGGAGCTCCGAGACTCCCGCTGCTTCCCAGGTCTGACCTGCGGCCACGGCGCCCCCCCACCTGGGGACACGCGGTCTCTGTGGTCGCTGGATTTTATCCTCAAAGCAGCCCACGTGCCGGCGGGCACCGAGGGGCCACACGTGCCCCGCTGGCTGCTCCACAAGCGCTATTGGACAAATACCATCTCCCAGGTCTTGTGACCCTGAAAAGAGGAGGACAGGTGAGCCGATTACCCCTCCAGGAGCCAGCCTGGGACGTGGGCAGAGGCAAAGAACGTGCATCGTGTAGAAAACAGCGGCCTGGGTGGGTCTTGCCAGCGGCTGGGCAGCCTCCAGGGGGTCACCATCACCACGGCTGTGCCCGGCTTTGCTAGGCACTCGTCGCCAGCAGCAGAGGTGACGACGTCGCCAAGGACAGATGTGAGAGGCGCGGGTCAGCCTGCGGGTGGGCAGGCGCCGGCACCGGGCACAGACCACCCTGGTCTTCCTAACACAGCTTGGGACACCAAGGCGGGGATTTACAGCCCTCAGGAAGAAAGGAAGGAAGTGGTAAACTCCACTTCTCTCTGGACATTATTAAAAAAATCAGGAGGCTGCAGAGGTGGGAACACCTGCCCCAGGCCTTCCTGCACCATAGGGACCCCCAGCAGGACTCCCAAAGGCCTCGGAGCCCTTAGTGTGCAGACTCCCATGCCAGCCTAGAACCTGCTGAGTCCCGGCTGTGGAGGGGGTCCCAGGCTGCCCTGAGCAGAGGCCACAGCCTTCCCCTCGCAGGCCCGGAAGGCCACCCATGTCTCTTCCCAAAGCTCTGCGAGGCCAGGTCTGTCCCTGGCCACCACAGGGACCAGGCCGTGGAGCCCAGAGAAGAGGGGCCCCTGTTTTCCTGCTGGGCTGCCAGCCCCGTGAGCCCAGATCTGGGGAGGGCGCTGCTGAGGACGGGGCTGTCGGGGCACGCGTTAGGGTCCCAGGACTTCTCACGTGCATCACAGCCACTCCCAGCTGGGGAGCACCTTCTAGAGAAGGGAGAGCTGTGGGGAGAGAGCAAGGTCAACCCTACGGATGCTCTCCTGCTGAAAGCTGGAGCAGACGGGACCCTGCAGGCCAGCTCTGAGCGGGGCCCCGAGGACTCCAGGGAGCTCACCCTCCGTGTTCCCCAGGGACAGCCTCCCTCCCTCATTCCAGGCCAGGCCCTCCCTCATTGCAGGCCATGCCCTCCCCTGGTTTGGTTATCACTGTCGCGTGGTTCCAGCCTCCCCGGGCCAACCCCCGCTGCCCTGCCTGACAGGTGTGGAGCTCAGATCTGTGCAGGATGTGCAGCCCGGAGTGGGGGAGCCGTCGGGGGGCTCAGAGAGCCTGTGGGGCACATGGTGGGGACGGGGCCCACAGCAGGACCTCCCATCCTGAAAGCAGGAGCCTCTGAACCCCGATCCCTCCCGGGGCTGGTGTTTTGGAATCTGGAGCAGCAGGCAGAGCCGCTGTCCTGGGGACAGGGTCGGGAGACCGCAGTGCAGTGCTGGTGGCCGGGCAGGTGCGGAGCTTGTGCCTGCCACCCTCCCTAGAGGGGCCCATGCCACCCGTGGTATTTGGTGTAAGACCATCCTCGGGGAAGGAACGGCAAATCCAGAACAGCACCTCCCTCCTCTGGGCCAGCACCCGGCCCTGCAAGAGCTCCGTAATTACAAGGGAGAAAACAGGCAGGGAGGGCCGAGCTCGTCAGGGCCACGCAGTCGGGAAGGGTGGGACGTGGCCACTGCCTCCACCGCCCCTCCAGCTGTGCTGACACATTCTTCGGGGGCGGGTGGTGTGGAGGGAGCCTCCCCGCTCCCGCTGCTCTGTGCTTAAATGGGGTCTTGGCCATCTCAGGAGACAACTTTCCTTTGAATTTCAAAGAAGACTTAATAACCAGCAGCTGAGGGAATGAAGAAGCTCATTATCCCTTACATCACCGAAGCCGGAGGACGCACCTCATTTGTCAGGCTTCCCGCTATTTTGAAATCAGGCCGAGCGCAGGAATTCTCATCACCTTTTTTTTTTTTTCTGAGTCCAACTAAAACACAGGAGACATGGCCCAGATAGGTTGGTGCCTGCACCCCCACCCACAGGGCCGGGCAGAGCCTCTGAGGTCCTGGCAGGGGCGATGGTGCTGGGGGACGGGGTGAAGCTCCACGGGGGGTCCCCAGGACCTGCTGTCCACCCTTAAGCTCACCCGTGCGGAGTGGAGTGGCGGGACCCAGAGACTCTTCCTAGAACACCCCACCCAGGGGCCGTGATCCCAGGAGAGGGGCACGAGGAGAGGGGGCCACAGCCTCCATGGGGCCCCTCCGGAGGGGTCTGAAACACAGCCAGCCTCAAGTGGGAGCAGGCTCTGGCCACAACGTCAGGGACAGGGTGAGCTCAGACCTTGGTCACCAAGGCAAAAGGCACAGAGCGAGTTGGGGGTCCGGGGGACCAGAACCAGCCGGGCGGTGGGGCGGCAGGTCAGAGGCCCCCCCCCGACCACCGTCCATCCAGCACGGGCCTCCACCCCATAGCACCGGCTCCCTCCTCCAACTGACTCCCTTCTGGGGGCTCCAGCAGCTGCCCCTGCACTCTCCTCGTTCCCAGCCCTCTTGGGCTCCCTGAAAAGTCGGGGGAGGTCTTAGATGCCTGCAGCTCTGAGCCCTGTGGGACCTGATCACCTGGACCTCCCTCCCCTCCCCCGAGGGCTCTGCCCTGACCTCCCTCCCCTCCCCCGCAGGTCCCACCCCGACCTCCCTCCCCTCCCCTGTGGGTTCCCCCCTACCTCCCTCCCCTCCCCCATGGGCTCCCCCCACCTACCTGCCCTCTCCCAAGGCCCCACCCTGACCTCCCTCCTCTGCCGCACGGGTCCCACCCCGACCTCCCTCCCCTCCCCTGTGAGTCCCCACACCTTCCTCCCTTCCTCCACGAGTCCCCGCTGACCTCCCTCCCCAACAGGCCCTGCCCCGACATCCCTCCCCTCCCCCACGAGTCCCCACACCTCCCTCCCCTCCCTCACAGCCCGGCCCTGACCTCCCTCCCCTCCCTCACAGCCCGGCCCTGACCTCCCTCCCTTCCCCCACAGGGTTCCACCTGTCCCACAAGGTCACCAGCGTGGTTCCCGAGAGCGCCCTGCTCATCGTGCTGGGCCTGGTGCTGGGCGGCATCGTCTGGGCGGCCGACCACATCGCGTCCTTCACACTGACGCCCACCGTCTTCTTCTTCTACCTGCTGCCCCCCATCGTGCTGGACGCCGGCTACTTCATGCCCAACCGCCTCTTCTTCGGCAACCTGGGGACCATCCTGTTGTACGCCGTCGTGGGTACCGTGTGGAACGCGGCCACCACCGGGCTGTCCCTCTACGGCGTCTTCCTCAGTGGGCTCATGGGTGAGTCTGCGCCACTGTTGCCCCGGCCGGGATCAGGGTGGGGTCCGGGAGGGGCGGCGCTGCCTCATCTCAGAAAGGTCGGGGTGCCGCACCCTGGCCTCCAGGCGGTAAGTGTCAGGTGAGAAACGTGGCTGGCAGCCCCGTAGGCCCTCGTGACCAAGGCCAGTCCCCTGCGCGTCCCCAGGTCCCAGCACGTGTTCTGCTTGGGGAGGAGTTCCCATCTCGGCAGCTCGGCTTGGGGGCTGCAGGTGGCCAGGGGCTGCCGCTCTTCCTCCGGCACTGGGCAGAGGTAGGGGTCCGTCCACACTCGCCGGCCACCAGGTCCCAGGGAGAGGAGGAGGACTGCAGAGCCTGGTGTATCGGGCACCGTCCCTCCCAGCCTGTGTGCCGGAGCCGCTCGGCCACCGCTGCAGCCACAGCCGGAGCCAGAACTGCTGCGCGGTTTTGGTCTTGGATGCTTCATCTCTCGGGCACTGCCTCCCGCCCCGGACCCAGACCACGCGTGGCTGGCGCCTCTCAACATGCCAGGTGCGGTGCAGCCCTGATGCCCGCCGCTGCTGCCGGGGATGCTACAGCTTTGACCAGGTGGGTCCAGGGACCTCAGGCAGAGCCTAGCTTTGACCAGCTGGGCCCCACGGCTGAGCGCAGGCCTCCGGCACCTGCCGCCCTCACCGGTCTGAGAACTCAGCCTCAAACAAATCCACCAGCTGAACCAGACTCACAAGAATTGGCGATTTTCCGTCTGGTTCAAGAGAGAGCACGGCCCGGCCTCTCCATGGGAATCAAGGGGCTGAAACCTGAGACCAAGGAGACGCATGGAGAAAGAGGAGCTCCCGGGTTGGGGCCGCCTCACCCAGCACGTGGTTCCTTGGCGCCTTCTCACCCCTCCCTGTAGTCCCTGCCGTCCAGCATCACCCACCAGGTGCAGCCCAGGGAAAGCTGCCGAGGGCACAGACAGGCTCATGGATGGCAGGCCCGTCACGTGGGCGATGCCATAGGTGGTCAGGACACACCTCGGATGGGGCAGCCGCCCTAGCCACCGCACCCAAGGGAAAGCCTCAGGGGTTGTAGCAGAGACTCCTGGACCCGCGGCCCCTCGAGGCTCACACCTACCTTGCCAGATGGCCCCTCGCCCATGAGATCCCAGCTTCCTCCCAGCTGTGTCGAGTGTGGGATGGAGTAGCCTGTGATCAGTCTGGCCGTCAGGGCCGCTCCTTTGAGAGCCGGGCACACTCCGTGGCTCTGTGGCCACGTCACAATGGTCCCCGCCTAGCATTGGCCAGAGACACTGCCGGATTTCCCTTGCACGAAGCAGAATGTCCTCGGTGCAACTGGCCGAGCCTGGAGGACGTCCTTGCTGCACCTGCACCATGAAGCCCTGGAGGACTCCCCACACCAGGACGTCACCCCTGGCCCTCCCCTGCCCCTCGCCACGCTGCACTCCACCCCTGCCCCTCGCCACGCTGGACTCTACCGTCCTCCAACAACGCTCCTCATGAGAAACACGTGTCCCAGGTATCGCTGTGCCCCCTGGGGCAGGCCGCTCCCCAGGTGACACGGATGCTGGAGGCCTGCGCTCAGCCTTGGGGCCCAGCTGGTCAAAGCTGGGTGCTGCCTGAGGTTCTGGAACAGAGATGCCCATGGCCGGCAGGTCCATCCCATTCCTGGGAGTCCAAGAGAGCTGGGAGGCTGCAACTGATCTCTGCAGACCAGAGGCCAAGCCCTGTGGAGCGTCTCAAGGCCAAACGTGCCCCATGGGAAAGGGTCGACATGGCAGTGCTGGCCCGGGGGCTGTCCGGGCAGTGTGGGGACAGGCCCTGCGAGAGCTTCAGGCATCAGAGGCCCTTGCACAGGCAAAGCACGTGGTGGAGAAAGGCCTGGAACATGCGGTCTGGTGGCATGAGCCCTCCTGGCACGGCCGTGGGCAACTGTCCAGACGGGAAGGCTGCCGGCCGGGGAGTCTGAACGCGGCCGACCCCAGGACATCCATGGGGGCCATCACTGCCCTGGGGGCGGCCGTGCCAGGAGGCCGCGTTTAAAGATGACCTTGAAGGGGATTCGTGTCCTGAGGCCTGAGTTTGGAAGAGGAGAAGGCTTGTGTGGTTCCCGTTCCAACATGGAACTTTAACTCCCTGAACGCTGGTTCTTCTGGCATCTGTCACTTCCTCGGGGTGTTGTGACACTGGCCAGAGGCTGCTGGGGCTTAGGAGCTCACAGCAAACTCGGGGTTTAGTCACCGCAGAGATGACCCTGATCTGTCCCCTCCCAGGCGCCAGCACAGAAACCCCTGGCCAGGCTGCTCTCTGCTGTCTCCTGGGGCCCGTCCGGCTCCAGGGACAAACCCCTCCTCAGCCCGAGCCTCAGCCCAGAGGGGTGGTGGGCTCCGCTCCAGCCCAGCAGAGAGGCAGCAGCTGTGCGGGGGGACTCGTCGGGGGCCTCCCCCTCCCTGGGTGGTCTCTCCCACACCCTCACGGCCCTGGCGTCTCCTGGTCCCTGGACCCTCACGGCCGGGAAGGCAGCAAGGAGGCCCAGTGTCCTCTGAGCCCTGCGGCCGTGAGAGAGGGCAGACTCTCGGGGCCACGTGGCCACACTCAGTTCCCTGAGGGTCCCCTGGAGCCTGGCACCCCCACGTGGCCTCCTCGAGGCCTGAACCCTGGGTTGAATGGCAAAGACTTGTGAAGGATAAGGCTGCATTTCAGTAAAACCTCCCCAGCGAGGGGCACCAGAGCCCACAGGCAGATGCGGGGAGGGAAGCCGGCCGGGAGCTAGGGACCACATGGACCCACGTCTTCCGGGCCCCCTTGCTCCCACCGCAGCCCTGCTCATCCCCACAATCTGCCCCCACACCCCCAACGGCCCTCCCACCTGCCCCTCCCTGGCCGCGCCCCTGGGTGCTGTGTGTCCCGGCTCCGGGCCCGTCCTGGGTCAGCCCCACTTGCTTCTCCTGGGCTGGGACGCCACTCCAGGCGATGGGCCCCCATCCCTCCCCAGCATGCGGTGCCCCTGCACCCACCTGCCTCCGTTCACCCAAAGATGAAGGAGAGGGCCAGGGCCAGGGTCAGTCTGTCTGTCTGTCTTGCTCAGATGGGGTGGCCCCCTCGGAAGACAGCAGCCTTCCCTGGAGGGGGCTGGGGGTCTGTGGGAGGGACGCAGGAAGCTGACCCAGCTCCCCACGCCACCGGCGCCAGCCAGACGGGCTCCGAACCCCGACCCGTAGGCGAGCGCCTCCCCAGGGCCCTCCTCCTCGGGTGGCAGGCCCTGCAGCTGCCCCGCGGCCCGGCTTGTCTTCCAGGCGACCTGCAGATTGGGCTGCTGGACTTCCTCCTGTTTGGCAGCCTCATGGCGGCTGTGGACCCGGTGGCCGTCCTGGCCGTGTTTGAGGAGGTCCATGTCAACGAGGTCCTGTTCATCATCGTCTTCGGGGAGTCGCTGCTGAACGACGCAGTCACCGTGGTGAGCAACGGAGCCACCGCTCCAGAGCGGGCGAGCCGTGGGAGGCCTGGGCCCCGTCTCACCCCCCATCGGTCAGTCAGCAAAGGAGGGCGTGAAACCCTGTCCTCAAACTCCCCTCCCGGGGGCGTCCCGTCCCTCCACCTCCTTCCTCCCAGCTCAGAACGACTGGCAGCTTTCGCGAGGCTTCTTTGTATCTTCCACAGTTCCCAGGCCCTGCCCGCCCACTCCATAGCTTCAGGGTTAATGATGGCGCTGTTGAAATCCCGCCCTCCTGGTCCCCAGAGCGTCTGTGACTTTGGACCCACAGTTACTGCCACCCATTCCTGAGTTCCTAAAAAATACATGAGTGGCCGGGTGCGGTGGCTCACGCCTGTAATCCCAGCACTTTGGGAGGCCGAGGCAGGTGGATCACCTGAGGTCAGCAGTTCGAGACCAGCCTGGCCAACATGGTGAAACCCCGTCTCTACTAAAAATACAAAAATTAGCCAGGGGTGGTGGCACGCGCCTGTAATCCCAGCTACTGGGGAGGCTGAGACAGGAGAATCACCTGAAACCAGGAGGCAGAGGTTGCAATGAGCCGAGATCGTGCCATCGCACTCCAGCCTGGGTGACAGAGTGAGACTCCATCTCAAATAAAATAAATACGTGAATAGCAAACAACAAAATCCCATAGGAACCACGTAATCTGCCAGGGCCGCCATGACAAAGTACCGCAGGTGCAGTGCCTTGAACGACGGTGGGTGTCAGTGTGGTGGGTGTCAGTGTGGTGGGTGTCAGTGCGGTGGGTGTCAGTGCGGTCTGGATCACGGTGTCAGTGTGGTGGGTGTCAGTGCGGTGGGTGTCAGTGTGGTGGGTGTCAGTGCGGTCTGGATCACGGTGTCAGTGTGGTGGGTGTCAGTGCGGTGGGTGTCAGTGTGGTGGGTGTCAGTGCGGTCTGGATCACGGTGTCAGTGTGGTGGGTGTCAGTGCGGTGGGTGTCAGTGTGGTGGGTGTCAGTGCGGTCTGGATCACGGTGTCAGTGTGGTGGGTGTCAGTGCGGTGGGTGTCAGTGTGGTGGGTGTCAGTGCGGTCTGGATCACGGTGTCAGTGTGGTGGGTGTCAGTGCGGTGGGTGTCAGTGTGGTGGGTGTCAGTGCGGTCTGGATCACGGTGTCAGTGTGGTGGGTGTCAGTGCGGTGGGTGTCAGTGTGGTGGGTGTCAGTGCGGTCTGGATCACGGTGTCAGTGTGGTGGGTGTCAGTGCGGTGGGTGTCAGTGTGGTGGGTGTCAGTGCGGTGGGTGTCAGTGTGGTGGGTGTCAGTGCGGTCTGGATCACGGTGTCAGTGCGGTGGGTGTCAGTGCGGTCTGGATCACGGTGTCAGTGTGGTGGGTGTCAGTGCGGTGGGTGTCAGTGTGGTGGGTGTCAGTGCGGTCTGGATCACGGTGTCAGTGCGGTGGGTGTCAGTGCGGTCTGGATCACGGTGTCAGTGTGGTGGGCTCCTGCGGGACCCCGGTCCTGGACTTGCAGACGGTGCCTTCCCGTGTCCTCACGTGGCCGTCCCTGCGTGAATGTGCCCGAGTCGCCTCCTCTCACAGGGACACGGGTCCTATTGGATCAGGGTCCACCCCGGTGACCTGACTGTGCCATACTCCCCTTTTTCACGCTCACATGCCCAGGTCCTGGGGACTTTAACATGGGAATTTCGGGGGCACAATTTGGCCCATGACAGAGGTGAAGGGAGGGAAACTGAACTGGTGCTAACGGCAGAGCCCGGACGGTGTGTGGGTGTCCCTGGAGGAGATGGTGTTCCGGGAGGCGGGGACGGTGCCTCCACAGAGGCCCAAAGGCCACATCAGCGCTCAGTAAGGCCAGGAGAAGATTCAGGAACCCCAAGGAACATGGTTACTACTTCACAGTGACAATCGTGACGTTTCAAAGCCAATCCCATCAAATGGGGCCACTGCCTCCCGGAAGTGAGTCATGGGGCCATCCGAGGGGCACGTGCAGAGTGGCCCTCCTAGGAACCGTCAGTGAGGCCAGCCCTGGGCCCGGCCCCGACACCATCCCAGCCCCCACACTGCCCCCGCCCCGTGCTGCCCCTGCCCATCCTCCCCCAGCCCCGAGGACCCTGCAGACGCAGCCGGAGGGAAGGGTGGGGTCAGCTTCCTCTCCCCTCTGAAAGTGCCTGTGGTTTGAAAGGTTTGAAACCCGTCAGCCTCTCATGTTCCCTTAGGGGTTTTGGAAAGAGGAAAGTCCTGTGGGTGTCGCACACCAGACGGCAAGATATTCTCGGGGGAATTTGGGAAGTGAGACTTAATCGGGAATAGAGTGACAGCCCCGTGTGCCCCGCAGCCCTGCGGCTCCCGTCCCTGGAGAAGCAAGAGTCTCCCAAGAGGTTGTCTTCCCTCCCAGCTGGATTTTCATTAAAAAGCCCAGCTCCGAGAAGGCCCCAAGAGACCCCGGGACCCTCATGGGCCCCCCACCCCAGCCTGCATTTGCAAACCCAACTTACACGCCTGCCCCAGGGTCCTCTCCCACCTTGGCCAGAGCCAGAGACACAGAGCTGGGTGCAGAGCCAGGTTCTCCCCAGGGGCCTCGGCCCACCCAGGACGGCCCTCGGCCGGTCTCACCTGCGTCACCACTTTGCTGGGCGTGGAGCCCAGGGCGTGGATAAGGTTTCCCCGCATTTTATCTCTGGGTTTTGCCGGGCTAAGGTTTAAAAACATGCAAAGACGGCAGGGGCTAGAGCCAGCACAGCAGGGAAGTCACTCAAACTGACACCCTGGGTTTGTCTCCGTAGATGAGACTCAGAATTCAAGTGGCAGGGAGCTTTGCAGCTGCCCCTGTTTTGCAGAGGATAGGAAGAGGCCAGCTTTGCTCCCAAAGCTTCTGGTCCCCTCCAGAACATTCTTTTGCCCCATGTCTTGCTGGCTGCTGGGCTCTGGGCTTCTCCCCTTTGGGGGCCATTGCCCTGTGATGATTTTCCTTCCAACGGCCTCGGGTGCCATGGGCTCCACACTCGGGCCAAGTCCAGCGAGGCCCGGGCCCCGGAGAGGGGGTGGCACTAACCAAGGACCACCCAACGCCCTGCCCGTTTTCCCTGCAGGTTCTGTACAATGTGTTTGAATCTTTCGTGGCGCTGGGAGGTGACAACGTGACTGGCGTGGACTGCGTGAAGGGCATAGGTGTGTAGCTGTGGGTCAGGGGGAGTGGGCGGCCGTGTCTCCTCTGGGGCCAACTGTCTTCTCTGGCCTGCAGCCCATGCAGGAAAAAGCTTTGCACTCAAAGCTGCTACACTGGGCCCTTCTGTCCACGTCACGTCCCCGTCCAGAGCGATTCACACACGATTTGACATGGTCCTGGGGGTTCCTGGGTGTTTCCCAGAACAGGGATGAGGGCAGCCAGGTCTTCCTGAGACAGACGGCCGGATAGGGCCTGGGGCCAGGCTCCCAGGGGCACGGGAGGGTCCTCCCCACTTGCTGAACCAAGGCTGGTGCTGAGACCAGGCCCGATCTCCAAGAGAGTGAGGGATCCACCCCCGTTTCCCGGGCTCCCGGCACTTCCGCGGGGTCACCAGGCGGCCCCTGGCAAGGAAGGGCCCGGAAGGCCGGCACGGCCACAAAGGGCGTCCTCTACCCAGTGTCCTTCTTCGTGGTGAGCCTGGGGGGCACGCTGGTGGGGGTGGTCTTCGCCTTCCTGCTGTCGCTGGTGACGCGCTTCACCAAGCATGTGCGTATCATCGAGCCCGGCTTCGTGTTCATCATCTCCTACCTGTCCTACCTGACGTCCGAGATGCTGTCGCTGTCGGCCATCCTCGCGTGAGTCCCTCCCACACACGCGAGCTTCTCCACGCCCTCCTCCCGAGCTTCTCCACACCCTCCTGGGTCCGGCAGGGCGAGCCAGCCAGGGGGACCCCAACCCGAGCTTCTCCACACCCTCCTGGGTCCGGCGGGGCGAGCCAGCCAGGGGGACCCCAACCCGAGCTTCTCCACACCCTCCTGGGTCCGGCGGGGCGAGCCAGCCAGGGGGACCCCAACCCGAGCTTCTCCACACCCTCCTGGGTCCGGCGGGGCGAGCCAGCCAGGGGGACCCCAACCCGAGCTTCTCCACACCCTCCTGGGTCCGGCGGGGCGAGCCAGCCAGGGGGACCCCAACCCGAGCTTCTCCACACCCTCCTGGGTCCGGCGGGGCGAGCCAGCCAGGGGGACCCCAACCCGAGCTTCTCCACACCCTCCTGGGTCCGGCGGGGTGAGCCAGCCAGGGGGACCCCAACTCGGAGGGAGGTGCCAGCCGCATGGACACCGGGGGTGTGTGTGGCAGAAGCTCCGGGCTCTGCATCACCAAGTTCCCCGTGAACCCCCGTGAGGGGAAGTACAGGAAGTGGAGGGCCTCCCCTGCCCTCTGTCCTAGCGCGGGACCTTCAGAGCAGTGTCCCGTCACCTCGCCCGCTCCGCTGGCGCTCCCAGGCTGGGTGGGAATTCAGTGTGGGGCAAAGAATTTATTTAAATTTTAAAATAAGGAGTTGGCGTTTCCACTGAATTGTCTGTGGGCCGACAGCAGTGCCCACCCTGAGACAGGTCAGGTGGGGAGGGACTTTGGAACCCTTTGTTGCCCTCCCTGCTGGCAGGCAGCCCCGGTGCCCATTATCTGCATGACGGTGATGCCGCCTGTGGCCCCCGCAGGGCTGTGGGCAGGAACCCTGGCGGCCCAGCCTGGCTCGGGAGGAAGAGGCCCCCGTAACCACACAACTGTGACTCTGGGCCTACAGGCGCCAGGCCGTGGGGGGCTGGGCGGACACGGGGGCCTCGGGCGCCAGGCCAGGTGGCCGTGTCCTGAGGCGCGTCTGTCCCTGCAGCATCACCTTCTGTGGCATCTGCTGTCAGAAGTATGTGAAGGCCAACATCTCGGAGCAGTCGGCCACCACCGTGCGCTACACCATGAAGATGCTGGCCAGCAGCGCCGAGACCATCATCTTCATGTTCCTGGGTATCTCGGCCGTGAACCCGTTCATCTGGACCTGGAACACGGCCTTCGTGCTCCTGACGCTGGTCTTCATCTCCGTGTACCGGGCCATCGGTGAGGCGGGGCCGGGTTGCGGCCGTGGGACCACCGATGGGCCGGCACCGTCTCCGGGAAGGCGCAGGCTTTCTACTGGGCCCAGGGAGATGGAGGTGCAGCCCCGTGCAAGGCAGAGGAGAGGACCTGATGGTGGCGGCCTCGGGGCTGGGGTGGGAGGCTCTGGAACCCCAAGGGAAACCACTTGGTTTCCCACTGACTCCACTGGATGTGCCTCAAGACAGGGTCAGTGGCACGAGAGATGGAACGGGAAGCAAGACAGCCCCGCCCCCGCCCAGCCCCATCCCCCAGCACCCGTGTGTGTGATGCACGGAGCGTGGGGGGGAGACGCCAGGCCGCGTGTGGCTCCGGGTGGATGGTGACGAGGGACGTGGCGTGGGGACGCCGTATCTAGGGTGCCGCTGTTCTTCGTCAGCACATGCTTGGCCGCCAAGACGCTGTCCCGGAGGGGCTGGGGTCCCGCGGCTGGGAGGGCGGCCGGGGAGCTGAGTGCCCGCCCCATCATCCGCAGGTGTGGTCCTGCAGACCTGGCTTCTGAACCGCTACCGCATGGTGCAGCTGGAGCCCATTGACCAGGTGGTCCTGTCCTACGGGGGCCTGCGCGGGGCCGTGGCCTTTGCCCTGGTGGTGCTTCTGGATGGAGACAAGGTCAAGGAGAAGAACCTGTTCGTCAGCACCACCATCATCGTAGTGTTCTTCACCGTCATCTTCCAGGTGAGGCCCAGCCCAGCCAGCCCTGGGGTCTCGGCCCCGCCCGCGAGGGGAGCCTGGGCCCGCACTTCAGGACAAGCATTTCCAGGCTCCAGACCCTAATTGGGTTTCATAATTTTAGTAACTAGGAGCCGTTTTGTAGGTTTTCACGTGGCCCCACTGGGGAGGAAGCATAATTGTCCTAAAAATGTTCTTCCCGGGCCTTCGCTGGTGGATGAGGCCCCGGGTGCTGCTTCCTCCTCTGCAAAGCAGGGGCGCGGGTTGCTGGGTGCCCGGAGAGCAGGGAGGGCGCCTGTGGGCCCCGGGGCAGGTGGCTCTGTGTGGTGCACCTGGCCGGGCCAGCGGGATGTGGGGGGCTGCCTGGCACCAGGGTCACGAGACCCTGTCCTCCAGGGCCTGACCATCAAGCCTCTGGTGCAGTGGCTGAAGGTGAAGAGGAGCGAGCACCGGGAACCTCGGCTCAACGAGAAGCTGCACGGGCGCGTAAGTGCGGGGCTGGGGGGCGGGGGGGGGGCACTGCGTGTTCCTCGGGGCTGGGCTGAGAGGGGAGAGGAGGCTGCGTTGGTCTGGGGCTTGGGGGGTGGCGGAGGGCACCGTGTGTTCCTTGGGGCTGGGCCAGGAGGGGAGAGGAGGCCGCCATACGTGCGGGGCTGGGGGGCGGGGGGGGGCACTGCGTGTTCCTCGGGGCTGGGCTGAGAGGGGAGAGGAGGCTGCGTTGGTCTGGGGCTTGGGGGGTGGCGGAGGGCACCGTGTGTTCCTTGGGGCTGGGCCAGGAGGGGAGAGGAGGCTGCGTCCAGGCCAGGGGCGTGGTGAGGGGGGCTGGTGGGTTCCTCGGGGCTGGGCCAGGAGTGGAGGGGCACCTCATGTTCCCCGGTTGGCCGCCCCGAGACGCTCATGTCTTTCTTCCCTTGAAAGGCTTTCGACCACATCCTCTCGGCCATCGAGGACATATCCGGACAGATCGGGCACAATTATCTCAGAGACAAGTAAGTGGCTGGGACGGCCCCGGCGGTGTCGCACAGCCCGGCTTCTGGAAACATCCTCCACTCGGAAGAACCAGAAGCCACATGCATAACAACTGTTTGAGTCCAGGCTTGGTCAGGGCTCCGGTGCCCCATGAGGCCAGGTGCCAGGTGTGCCCCGAGACACGCAGGTGCTGCGGAAAGGAGTTGGCGGCAGCAGTTGGGGCCACCGAGTGAGGGGACAGGAGCTGAATTCTCTGTGCTCCTTCCAGGGAATAGAGATGCCCTCTCATGTGGCCCAATTAATTCCAAATTGTTATGTAGGAATTGAAAATAAGGCAAATAGATTATTTCCTCCACGTCATAAACAGGGTTAGTATCAGTCAACATTTAAAATGATTTTGTCTGGCAGGGCTCAAGCCTGTAATCCCAGCACTTTGGGAGACTGAGGTGGTCAGCTCACTTGAGGTCAGGAGTTTGAGACCAGCCTAGCCAACATGGTGAAACCCCGTCTCTACTAAAAATACAAACATTAGCCAGGGGTGGTGGCGTGGGCCTGTAATCCCAGCTACTCAGGAGGCTAAGGCACAAGAATCGCTTGAACCCGGGAGGTGGAGGCTGCGGTGAGCCGAGATTGCGCCATTACATTCCAGCCTGGTGACAGAGCGAGACTTCGTCCCAAAATAAAAAAAAGAGTTTGTCCATTAAGGTGAAATCACCTATGTTTTATTATAAAAAACATGTGACACTTATAATAAACCCAGTAAGGAGCACATACAATTTGCCCTGGGTTCCCATTTTCTGAGCGATCTGTGTTTGCTTGGGGTGGAGGCACCGGGAGGTGTGGCCACGTGGCTTCATAAAGCTCAGCTGCGGTTCTCCGTGGCCACAGTGACTCTGCTCCGGGTACCCAGTCCCCGACTCCTTGGCCTCCCAGGGGCCATCCCGGGGGTCTCGGAAGGCACAGCCTCGGTTAGCTTTGACTTCTTGGTGTGGCTGAAACTCAGCCTGTACAGGAGAGCTGCCATTGCTGCCGCGGGGCCTGCCCAGGTGTGAGCACACAAGCTCACCCGGGCCCACCCTGTGCCCTGGAGGGCGGCTCTGGCGGCTGCACCCATGTCCAAGTGACAGGCATCACCTCCTTGTGCCCCAGAGTTTCCTCTAAGTCCGGCCAGGCCACCGTCCCTTCTGATCTGGATAACCAGCGAATACTCTAATTCCGTTAGGCTAAAAAAAACCTCACTCTGGTCAGCTTGGCTCCCACAAGTCTAAGGGCTCAGGGTGTCTGTCCGCCCCTGCCCTTCCTCCTGTGCACCTGAAGGTGCCCCCCATGTGGCCAAAGCCCCCTTGCCTGACCAGGCCTGACACCCACCGTGTCCTGAGCCACCCTCTGGAGGAGGCGGCATGCAGTTTCATATGCGTCTAACGGCCTCCATCCAACAGGACAGGCGGGAGAACGGCGGACGGCCTGGGCGTGTGGCAGGGGCTGCTTCCCTCATTTTAAACGCGCCTACAGGGTCACTATAGCAAACAAAATTCAGGAGAGAAGGGGCCGGGCCACGCGTCCGGCGGGCTCTAGGGCGCCTGTCACCTGAGGCTCACACCCAAGGTCTGTCCCTACAGGTGGTCCCACTTCGACAGGAAGTTCCTCAGCAGGGTCCTCATGAGACGGTCGGCCCAGAAGTCTCGAGACCGGATCCTGAATGTCTTCCACGAGCTGAACCTGAAGGATGCCATCAGCTACGTGGCTGAGGTAGCAGAGCCGCTTGCTCTGCCGGGTCGGGGCTGCAGCAGGCTCTGGCACTGGCTGTGGGTGCCATGGGGCAGTGAGGAGAGGCCCCTGCACCCGCGTCCCAAGGCCAGGCCCACCCCAGCAGTTCACGGGAGGCTGATGGGCCTTCTGATGCCCTGGGAATCCCAGGGGCTCTCGTGGGGTAAACTGAGTCACAGAGTCCTGGTGACTGTGGTGCTGGTGGGGGTGAGCGCTGAGGTCAGGTCCTAGGACCCCGAGCTCCCTTGCTTTCCCCAGGGATGGGAGCAGACGGTAAGCAGGCAGGCTGTTACGGGACCTGGTCCCAATACAGCCCTGCCTGCCCCAGCACACGCAGGTGCCCACAGGTGCACACGCACAGGCAGAGGGGCAGCAGCAGGGCCGTCTCCCGCTGTGGGCCGGCCATGGCTCTGAGGCTGCTCCAGCATCTCCCAGTCCACTATGAGCAGGCCTCTCAGCGTCTGCAGAGCCCCTGACTGCTCCAGAGACCAGAGGCCAGGCGCCCCACCCAGCCCCGAGGCCACTGCCGCCCTGGCTCCCGCACCTGCCCACTATGGCAGGTGGGCCTCAGCCTCCCCGGCCTGCCCTGACCTCCCCAGGGGCGCCCTGGCTGCAGGAAGTGTGCAAGGCAGGGCCTGGGGGCACAGCTGCAGGGATTCCGCAGCTCCTCCCTAAGGACAGAGCCCTCCCTAGCGAGCTTTGGTGCCCTCATCCAGCAGCCGGTCAGGGTGGGTGCTCTCGCCGGAGAGAAAGACCTGTCCTGCCAAACCCTGCAGACCCTCACACAGAGGGCCAGTGGGGGCCTGGAAACTCCATTCATTCAGACAGAATGATTCTGCCTCCACTGACGTGCATTCACCCCAGATGTGCCACCCGTGACTGGGGCCATGCCAAGTGGCAAGGCACCTCCTGGCAGAGGGCACGGGGGCCTGGGGCTGTCAGGAGGGCCAGCCAGTGCAGATCAGGAAGGAGGGCTCCTGGACCAGGCTCCACACAAACCCCCAAACCACAGGCCCGGCAAGCGAGAGAAAGCTCAGATACTCTGGCCCTAGGAGGCCTGGAGCCTGGCTGGAGGGTGGGAAGGGACAGTGGGGGCTCTGGCCTCTGGCGGGCTCCCCTCACCCCCACATAGGTGACAAGGTTGGCAGGCGGGCCTTGAGCCTCTCCCCCAACCACACCAGCCACCATCCTTGACCCACGACCCACGACCACAACCCTGGGCTCAGCTGCATGTGGGGAGCCTGTGGGCTCCTCCCGGCCACTCAGTAGCGGGGGTCCCCACACCTGGGGTGGCATCTGCCTGCCCAGTGTCCCTCCTGGCTCTCACCCAGGGCGGCTGCTTTCTCTCCCTGCGCCCCCCCACCCCACGGCAGGGCTCGGCAGGGGCAGGGGAAGTGGTGTGGGGAGCAGCCCCTCCGAAGACCCCACGTGCCCGGGTGCTGCACAGCCCTCGCCTGTGCCCGCCCAGAGTGGCAGTTAGCACCGTGGCTCCCCTGACCCTCACGTCTGTCTTCGTGGGGTGGCAGGAGCGGGACAAAGGTCATACAGAAGATGCTGGATTTAGAAGCAAAAGAGCAGGCGGAGGGCCCTCAGAACCAATGACCCTCAAATCCCCCCCGAGTGGGCAGTGAACTGGGGGCCGCATCTTCAGTGGGAACAGCGGCACCCACCTGACCCCGGGGGCTTCCCTGGGAGCATCCTGCACACTGAAGGCGGCACGGGTGCCCACCTGGCGAGGTCTGAGTGCAGTGAGCTGACGTTCCCTCCACACCCGTGCCCCTGCCGGCCCTGGGGACCCTGACTCCAGCCATAAGCCCACTCTGCCCTGTGCTCCTGCACAACCTCATGCTCTCCAGGCCCTGCCATCAGGCGGGTGGGGTCTGAGGACACATAGGCGGCCCCACTTCCATCCTCTGGCACTCAGCTGTGTGGCTTCTGTGCCCCATCGGGCTCTGCTCCGTTCTCTACCTGATTCAGTTCTGGACATGAGGCCAATGGAGTTTTAGGGTCTCCTGCAGGGACAGAGACCACTTCAATGATTCTGCAGTATCAACACTTTCCCCAGACACATCCCAAGTCCCAGGCAGCTTTACCCCTTCACACTCAGACCACTGTGTCCTCCCACAAGCATGACCTCTGCCCAGTTCAGGCAGCAGCCTGGCTGTGGCCTCAGACGGACAGGGGCTCAAAATCTGATCTCCTGGTTTTGGCATTTCCACCCCTCCCTCTGCAGCTGTGAGGCGTGAACCCGGGGCTCAGGTCTCAAGGCTTTCCCCGGGCCCCGAGCTCTGGGCGCTTCCCCCCAGGGCACACAATGGCAGCAGCTAGGGCTTGGCTGCTCAGGCCACTGACCGGGCTGCTTCCTGACCACAGGGAGAGCGCCGCGGGTCCCTGGCCTTCATCCGCTCCCCCAGCACCGACAACGTGGTCAACGTGGACTTCACGCCACGATCGTCCACCGTGGAGGCCTCTGTCTCCTACCTCCTGTATGTGGCCATGGTCATGCAGCTTCCCTGGGGAAGAGCCCAGCCTCGGGAGCTGAGAGTCACAGACAGGGCTGTGGTGGCTCCTGGCCTGGGGGTGGCATGGAAGAGGGGAGAGGTGCAGAAAGAGGGGGTGGGTGTCTCCTTCCACAAGCCCTCCTATATTAGGCCGTGGCCAGACTCCCTTAGTGCTGGATGGAAGGTGAAAGGGAGGGGCAGCAGCGGACTGGGGGCCAGGCCTGACGTGTTTGCCCCTGGCCCGCAGCAGCCTGTCCTGGTCCCCATGCCACCCTTACTGCTCCTCCGGCCCTGGGCTCCACAGCTCACAGCCAGTTCTCATAGGAGGTCCACTCTGCCAGATGTGCAGATGCTGGGGTCCCCGAGTCTTACAGCCAGGGCTTTGGAGAGGGACCAGTAAGGAAAGGGACCCACTTCAGACAGGAGGCCAGGAAGGCCTCGTGGGGAGTCAGCCTAAGCCCCGAGGGGAGAAGGGGCTGGCCAGATGGCAGATGTCCCCGTGCCCCAGCCGGGTGCCCACCATGGGAAGGCGAGGGGCACGCAGGAGGCAGCCAGGGCCAGATGCCCGCCGTGGGAAGGCGAGGGGCGCGCAAGAGACCCCACCCTGAGGGAGCCTGTATGGCTCAGCGCTGGTCCCCACGCAGGAGAGAAAATGTCAGCGCTGTCTGCCTGGACATGCAGTCTCTGGAGCAGCGACGGCGGAGCATCCGGGACGCGGAGGACATGGTCACGCACCACACGCTACAGCAGTACCTGTACAAGCCGCGGCAGGAGGTGGGCACTGCGGGCTGGGGGCTGGAGGACCCCGCAGGGACCCCGTGGGGCGGCTTCCTCGTCCCCTCCTGGGACCACGGGGGATCCGTGCTCAGCTCCTGCGGCAGGAGGGCGAGAATGTCCGGCGGTGGGCACAGCTGTGACCTCCGTGCCTGATCCCGCAGTACAAGCATCTGTACAGCCGACACGAGCTCACGCCCACGGAGGACGAGAAACAGGACCGGGAAATCTTCCACAGGACCATGCGGAAGCGCCTGGAGTCCTTCAAGTCGACCAAGCTGGGGCTCAACCAGAACAAGAAGGCGGCCAAGCTGTACAAGCGGGAGCGTGCCCAGAAGCGGGTAAGGCTGGGTCACCAGGAGGCTTGGCGGGGCTGGGGCCTGGAGCGGGGGCAGTCAGGGCTGGGTGTGGCTGTGTCGGGGTGTGAGCAGCTTCACGTTTGCTCCGCAGAGAAACAGCAGCATCCCCAATGGGAAGCTGCCCATGGAGAGCCCTGCGCAGAATTTCACCATCAAGGAGAAAGGTGCGCTGGGGGCCCTGCAGGAACGCTGGGACTGGGAGCCACCACCTCCCAGCCCCAGCCCTCCCGGCTCGGGAACCTCCCCTCTCAGGACCTTCCCCTCTGGGGACCCTCCAGCCACCCAGGCAGGGGAGGCATGGTCAGGGCCCCAGCTGCAGACCCACCCAGGATGGGGTTCCAGGGACACTGCCCTCTAAGTGGGGTCCCTCCTCCAGCCCTGCGGTTTAGCCCTCCTCTCTGTGGGTCCCGACTGCCTGCACCTCTGTGCACAGAGCTGATGGACACTGCTGACTGGGCTGTGAGGACAGCCCCCCAGTGACCCCAGTCCTCACCCCAACCTGTCTTCCCCAGACTTGGAACTTTCAGACACCGAGGAGCCCCCCAACTATGATGAGGAGATGAGTGGGGGGATCGAGTTCCTGGCTAGTGTCACCAAGGACACAGCGTCCGACTCCCCTGCAGGTGGGGACGGGGCACAGGCGTCGTGGCTAAGGGAGGGGTGGCTCCTGCCGCCCCAGGAGGGAGCTCGGTCATTGGACCAGGGGCACTGGGACCTGGGGGGGTGGGGTCTCCTGTGGGTTCTCAAGGGCCCTGCTTGGCACCCACTGAGTGCCCCCTCAACCAACTCGGAGGCTGCTGTCCGGGGAGACGTGGGCCGGGCAGGGAGCAGGTGGGGTATGTCTTGAGGGAAGCGAGACGTTACCTGTGCTGCCTGTGGCGTGTGGGGTCATGGATGTGGGGGAAGGGCCCGCAACCTGAAAGGCACGTGACCCTAACCTTCCCGGTGACCCTAACTTTCCAAGGCACCCAGCAGGTGACGGCCCCGGCGAGGTCTCCCCTGCCGCCGTGGGGCTCTCCGAAGGCTGACTAGCCGCTGCCCTCTCTCCTAGGAATTGACAACCCTGTGTTTTCTCCGGACGAGGCCCTGGACCGCAGCCTCCTGGCCAGGCTGCCGCCCTGGCTGTCTCCCGGGGAGACGGTGGTCCCCTCGCAGAGGGCCCGCACGCAGATTCCCTACTCTCCCGGCACCTTCTGCCGCCTGATGCCCTTCCGCCTCAGCAGCAAGTCCGTGGACTCCTTCCTGCAGGCAGACGGCCCCGAGGAGCGGCCCCCCGCCGCCCTCCCCGAGTCCACACACATGTAACGCTCCCGGGCCTCCCGCCGCCTAACCCCTCTCCGCAGCTCCTCTCCCTCCAGGTCTCCGCCTCGCGCGCGCTGTCTCTCTCCCTCCCCGCCTAACCCCTCTCCGCAGCTCCTCTCCCTCCAGGTCTCCGCCTCGCGCGCGCTGTCTCTCTCCTCCCTGGACCTGAACCTGGCTCGCTCTCTCTCTCCCCGCCTAACCCCTCTCCGCAGCTCCTCTCCCTCCAGGTCTCCGCCTCGCGCGCGCTGTCTCTCTCCTCCCTGGACCTGAACCTGGCTCTCTCCCTCCCCGCCTAACCCCTCTCCGCAGCTCCTCTCCCTCCAGGTCTCCGCCTCGCGCGCGCTGTCTCTCTCCTCCCTGGACCTGAACCTGGCTCGCTCTCTCTCTCTCCCCGCCTAACCCCTCTCCGCAGCTCCTCTCCTCCAGGTCTCCGCCTCGCGCGCGCTGTCTCTCTCCTCCCTGGACCTGAACCTGGTTCTCTCTCTCCCTCCCCGCCTAACCCCTCTCCGCAGCTCCTCTCCCTCCAGGTCTCCGCCTCGCGCGCGCTGTCTCTCTCCTCCCTGGACCTGAACCTGGCTCGCTCTCTCTCTCTCCCCGCCTAACCCCTCTCCGCAGCTCCTCTCCTCCAGGTCTCCGCCTCGCGCGCGCTGTCTCTCTCCTCCCTGGACCGGAACCTGGTTCTCTCTCTCCCTCCCCGCCTAACCCCTCTCCGCAGCTCCTCTCCCTCCAGGTCTCCGCCTCGCGCGCTCGCTCTCTCTCCTCCCTGGACCTGAACCTGGCGCGCTCTCTCTCTCCAGCAGCCCCTCTTCCTCCTCTAGCGCCCTGCTGGCCGCACCTCCCTCAGGAGCCCGGACAGAGATACTCTGGCGTCTCTGCTGCTCCCACGGAGCTGAGGGCACTAGGGCCGCCTGAGATTTCCTTTAGGTGGCTCCGAAAGCTAGTCCGCGAGTCCAAATCCTGCGCTCCCAGGGAGCTGAGAGCAGGGCTGGGGGAAGCCAGACAGACGCCCCGGGTCCCCGACCCTCTCACAGGGATACAGGGAGGGCCGGCCCCGCAGACCCGGACTCTGCCTCCAGCTCAGAGCAGGGAGAGGGGCGGGCCGTGGGGTCTGGGCTTTCTGAGCTCCCTCTGGGGGCCTGGGAGGCACCCGGGGGACGCCAGGGCGGTTTGAGATGGAGGAAGCAGGTCCCCTTGGGGACCTTGACCTCCCGCGCTGCAGGGCCTGGGGCGGGACCTTCCTGCGCCGAGGAGGCCGCTGTCCCGGGACCCCCGGCGGGGGGACGTGGCGGGGCCGGGCTGGGGCTTCGCTGTTGCTGCTTCCGCCTCTGCCCCGCGAACCCGGGTCCTGGGAGGAGGCCCCAGCGGACGCCGAGCCTGGGGTGCGCCGCGGGAGGGGAGGCGAGAGCCGCCGGGCTCGGGGACAGCTGAGGCCCCCGGGGACGCCCCTCCCGCCCCAGCGCCCGGGCTCCGCGCGCCGCTCACGCCTTCCTCTCCCGCAGGTGACACCGGCTCCGACACGCCGCTAACCGGCCGCTCGTCCCCGCGCCACGGTCCGCCCACCGCCGCCGCCGCTGTCCCAGAGAAACCCCAGATCCCCGCGCGGCTACAGCGACCGCGAGCCCCGAGCCCCGCCTCGCCCACGCCAGCGCCTGCGCAGAACTCCGAGAGTGCCGCGCCTGCGCCCGCAGAGCCGCCCGAGGGCGAGCCGGGGGCGGGGCCTGCGCCGGGGGCGGGGCCGGAGCGCCGAGGGCTGCCGAGTGCGCACGCGCGTTCGGCGGCGGCGCGCCGCGTGCACAGCCGGCGCTCGTTCCAGCGGCCTCGCGCGCGCCGCCGCCCCGCGCTGCTGAAGCTGGCGTCGCTGCCGCCCTCGTGCCACGCACCGCCGCACGCGCTGGAGCAGGAGGAGACGCCGCTGTGACGCCGCCGGCGGGAAGGGTCCGCGCGCCATGGCTGGCCGCTCGCGCCCTTTCCCACCGCTGCCGGGAAACCGAGGCTCGCCCCAAACGGATTTGCGTGAAACCAGCCCAAGGTTCCGGGCCCCCCCAACCGAGCCCCGCGCCCGGGGACTGACTCGGGGACCGACTCAGGGACCTCCCGAGCGCCAGGACTCAGGGCCCGACCTGCAGCGGCTGCAGGCCCAGCGCCCGCAAGCGGCCTGGGCCGAGCGCCGTTTCCAGGCCCTCGCCAGGTCTTTGAACTGCAGGTAAAGTGGCAGGAACGTCTTCCGTCTGCTCAGCGTTTGGGGATTTAGACTCCTAAAGCCAGTACCTGCCCCGTTTCCCCCCCAGGTTCCGTCCTGCCCGCGCCCGGTCTCAGGGTGGCGGCCCCGGACACGGCCCGTCCCCACAGACGAGGTCTCCGGCCTGAGCTGTCGCACCTGGCGCGGAGGTCGCCCGGGGTGCCCTGGCTGGGTGAGAGGTGGCCTGGCGGGCGGAGCTTGCCAAGAATCACGGCCAGTCCTTAAGTGGATGGTGGGGCCCAGCAGCTGCTCTGTCCCCCTTAACAAACCAGGGGGCATGGAGGGGCCCAGGGCACCGCCCCCCTACCAGGCTCAGGCCCTCCAAGGAGAACCTGCTGAGACCCCTGAGCCTGTCCTAGACCCCGGACCCCTGACCCTTCCCACCCCTTCCAGCGTCCCAGGGCGAGGCCTTGGACAGAGCTCCTGGTCCTCTGCAGGGAGACCATCCAGCCCAAGCTCTGGGAGGCACAGTCCATTGAGTGGGCGGAGGCCGCGGGTGCTGAGCCGGGGAGGGTGCTCGGAGTCCATCCATCCCTCAGACGGCAAGTCCCACAGGGTCCAACCCACCTGAAACCTGCCTGCACGGTGGAAGTGGTGGAGGTGGACACTCCTAGGGGCTTTTCTAAAGCTAGACTCGCAGCTCCTTGCTCAGGAAAATTAAACTATTCACGTTTCAGATCAAGTGTTGACAGTCACCAGTCAGGAGGAGTTCTTAAAGAGTTTTATGTTGACTGAATATTGCACATTGAGTCCCCATTGAGTCCCTGGTGGGAAAAGTCCACAATTTCCCATTGATAGCTTTTTACTGTTGTGAAAAAGGGAAGCGTCAGCCACACAAAAGCCTGCATGACCGCTGCTTCGGAGAAGCTCTCGACCCTAACTGCAGTCACTGTTACTTGGATCAGATCAAGCGCAGTGACTTTTTGGGATTCAGTGGTTATTCTCCACACTTCGTAGCCATTTCAACCAACTCTGAGCACAAAATGCAGCCATCCTCTATGCAGCAAGCCCTGCCCAGTCAGTGACCCTACTGGACAGATCCAAGGCCAGCCCTGGTTCCCTGCTGCAGCCACCGTCCTGACGTTCATCGGAGCAGGCCGGGGCCTGGCCTTCCCGGCACAAGTGGCTGTTCTGACAGGCCCCCAGTTTGTCCCATCTGAACTGCTGGGAGGTTTCCGGGTGGCCAGAGGAGCAAAGCTGCCTTCCAAGTGCCTGTCTGTGCCTGGGAGAACAGAGCAGGAGCGTCGTGCGGTCCACCGCGCAATGCATGGCGATTCCAGGCGCTGAACAACTCCCCTGGACCCTTGGGCCTGCATCTGACTCCCAGCTGCAGAGTCAGAAGCTGAGTCCAGGCAACTGCTTGGCCACTCCCGATCGCTCCTCCCTGGACACCCGGTTACCAAAGTCAGCAAAGAAGATGCGGTAATCGCCGCCTGATCTCCACATGGTGAACACAACACTCCCACCAACACCTCCTTGACTGGTCGGTCTTCAGCACCGGGGGTGGGCAGGCAGGTGTTCTGTGTTGACGAGAATTGCACAGGCTAAACACAAACACGGAACCAGAGTGAGAACACCTCACTCACGGCAGCCCAGGCTGCTCCCTACCAGGTGACGGAGCGCGCCGGGGCTGTGGGTGCCAGGGGCTGAGTGCTAGGGACTCGTCATGAGTGGGGATCCCCACGTTCCTGTCACTGCTGTCAAACAGAAGGTAAACAGTCTTATGAATGTATTTCCTTAGGAAAACTTGTAAAAACTTTTATTAGGATATCTATTTAATACTGAACTTTGGCCTACTTTGTGATAGACTATAAACAAATTGAGGAAATCACTATTTCTCACTTCTGTATTTTCTCAAAAATAATTTTGTTACAGAGTTCAATATACTGTGTACCATTGATCTTCTATTGTGAAAGCAAAGAATTTCATCAAAATATTTTAAATTATGAGTGAAAATTGTGTATGTTAATTTTGCAGCTATAATATTAATCAAATTTCGTGTAATTCTAATCACAAAATGACGTGCCTTAAGTGCCCCTCCAGCTGTGGGTTGGCAGTGTCCAGACAGGGAGGGCCCATCACCGAAATCCTGAACGATTACTAGACCAATTCTATTAAAAACATTTCAAGGCATTTTGGGTGCAAACTTTGTTTATAAAAGAGAAATATCCACCTATGAGAATTTAAGGAGACGTCTCCTGTAGGCAGACATCGCTCTGCCCAAAAATTAGCACTGACACATGCGTGTGTGTGCGCGTTGTGTGCGTGTGTGCGTGCACGTGCTGTTGCTGCCCTTCCTAGCTGGTGTGAGGAAGCCACTGGACACAGCTGTGGCGCGACCCCTGGATCTGAGCACAGCCCCTCCGGTGCAGACAGATGGGGTCAGAGCCCCCTGCGGAGGCCTGTCATTGCAGGCACCCGTGAGGAGGATGTGACCAGTGACCGTGGGTCCCAGCGGTGACCCTCACACAGAATCAGAGCAAAACACCAGTGAGGGCTGCACACTCACCACCATTCGCCCTGGGCACTCATTCCAGAAGTAACAAGAATTCCCTCTCAGTGGGAAAATAAATGCATTTTTCATTCTTATAAGGGACACTCTAATGACTGTGAACACTACGAATTCTAATTCATATGCATTTACTGAGCACTTACTGTATGCCAGGTGCACTCAAGACCTGCTGCTAAGTGGGAAGCTGGGTTCAGAGGCACATGGAACAGCTCGCCCGCTGGATGCCCTGGGAAGAGCTACCTCTTCTGAGCCCCTGATGCTTGTTAAGAGCTGCTTCTACTTCTCAGTTACTTCTCAAGTTTTGATTCTTTCAAGAAGTCCCATTTGTGAATTTTTCACATCTTGTGAGGATGAAATAAAAGCAAAATGTCAACTCTGCCATCTCAAAAACGTCTTGAGAGCAAAGCGTGTCCTCAGGCTGGAGTACCTGCGGCCCATGGGCAGCCATGGGAGGCCCTCACAGGAACAGATGGCCCCGCTGACACCCCCACCTCTCCCACCTGCACTGCACGGGGCCCACGGGCCAGCCTTGTGGGGTACTCACAGGAACAGATGGGTCTGCTGACACTCCCACCTCTCCCACCTGCACTGCATGGGGCCCGTGGGCCAGCCTTGTGAGGTCCTCACAGGGACAGAAGGGCCCGCTGACACCCCCGCCTCTCCCACCTGCACTGCCTGGGGCCCATGGGCCAGTCTTGTGGGGTCCTCACAGGGACAGAAGGGCCCGCTGACACCCCCACCTCGCCCATCTGCGAGTCCCTGGGGCTCTGAGACAGACAGGGATGGAGGGAACGAAGCGCTGTATACACAGGCGAGAGGAGGAATGAAGGTCAATGCCTTTCACTCACTCAACCAAATCAATACTTTTCTGTAAATTAAGAGAGCACAGGGGTCTGCCCCTCTGAGCACCAGGACCCAGGACTCCCTGCTCATCCTGGGTAATTCCCCCCTTCCTTTGAGACGGAGTCTCGCTCCGTTGCCCAGGCTGGAGTGCAGTGGTGAAATCTCGGCTCACTGCAACCTCCGCCTCCGGGGTTCAAGCAATTCTGCCTCAGCCTCCCAAGTAGCTGGAATTACAGGCATGCACCACCACACCTGGCTAATTTTTGTATTTTTAGTAGAGATGGGGTTTCACCATGTTGGCCAGGCTGGTCTTTGCAAACTCCTGATCTCAAATGATCCACCCACCTTGGCCTCCCAAAGTGTTGGGATTACAGGCGTGAGCCACTGCGCCCGGCCTCCGGGGTAATGCCTTGATTAGCTTTGGAAAAAAATTAAAGATTAACGTGCAAAATGATGCTACCATTGAAGGCAGATGCTGTAGAGAGATGGGTACATTTTAGAAAAGAGAATTTAAAGGATTCTCTATCAGGGAAAGCATGATTCGCGGGTCTTGAAGTGTACTCCAAGTAAATATTCACTTTCATATTTACTTTTACCAAAATTTACACTCCTGCCATTGCTCGTCTACCAGGTATGGCTGACTTGGCTGGCAACACCCGGTGCCAGAGGTCTGCTCACCTGGGGGTGGGGACAGGGCTTGCTGGGTGCAGCTGGTGTCTCATCTCTCAAAGGACCCAAGGAGTAACTCTGGGGATGTCAAACAGGAGGGGACCAGGAGGGCACCCTCCAGGCTGAGGGGATGTCAGACAGGAGGGGACCAGGAGGGCGCCCTCCAGGCTGAGGGGATGTCAGACAGGAGGGGACCAGGAGGGCGCCCTCCAGGCTGAGGGGATGTCAGACAGGAGGGGACCAGGAGGGCGCCCTCCAGGCTGAGGGGATGTCAGACAGGAGGGGACCAGGAGGGCGCCCTCCAGGCTGAGGGGATGTCAGATACGAGGGGACCAGGAGGGCGCCCTCCAGGCTGAGGGGATGTCAGATACGAGGGGACCAGGAGGGCGCCCTCCAGGCTGAGGGGATGTCAGATACGAGGGGACCAGGAGGGCGCCCTCCAGGCTGAGGGGATGTCAGACAGGAGGGGATCAGGAGGGCGCCCTCCAGGCTGAGGGGATGTCAGACAGGAGGGGACCAGGAGGGCGCCCTCCAGGCTGAGGGGATGTCAGATACGAGGGGACCAGGAGGGCGCCCTCCAGGCTGAGGGGATGTCAGACAGGAGGGGATCAGGAGGGCGCCCTCCAGGCTGAGGGGATGTCAGACAGGAGGGGACCAGGAGGGCGCCCTCCAGGCTGAGGGGATGTCAGATACGAGGGGACCAGGAGGGCGCCCTCCAGGCTGAGGGGATGTCAGACATGAGGGGATCAGGAGGGCGCCCTCTAGGCTGAGGGGATGTCAGACATGAGGGGACCAGGAGGGCACCCTCTAGGCTGAGGGGATGTCAGACAGGAGGGGACCAGGAGGGCGCCATCCAGGCTGAGGGGATGTCAGACATGAGGGGATCAGGAGGGCACCCTCTAGGCTGAGGGGATGTCAGACAGGAGGGGACCAGGAGGGCGCCATCCAGGCTGAGGGGATGTCAGACAGGAGGGGACCAGGAGGGCGCCCTCTAGGCTGAGGGGATGTCAGACAGGAGGGGACCAGGAGGGCGCCATCCAGGCTGAGGGGATGTCAGACAGGAGGGGACCAGGAGGGCGCCCTCCAGGCTGAGGGGATGTCAGACATGAGGGGATCAGGAAGGCACCCTCTAGGCTGAGGGGATGTCAGACAGGAGGGGACCAGGAGGGCGCCCTCTAGGCTGAGGGGATGTCAGACAGGAGGGGACCAGGAGGGCGCCCTCCAGGCTGAGCGGAGACTTTTACTCTGTGATTGACAACAGTTCCTGGGCAATCCTAGATCAGTAGTCAGAAAACCTTAACTGGAAAAGAGAATGCATGGCGTTTTCATTTCTCTGAGGAAGCCGAGAAACTTTAATTAGGTGACGGGGTTCCGAGCACTTAAGCAGATGGGGTGCGGTGAAGGCCCAGGGAGGAGGAGGGCAGGGAGGTGCACGTCCTCTGTGCCCCACACACTTTCAACCACTGCAACAAACAAGCACCCAAGAGAGGCTGTGCGGCAGAGCCCTGCACCCACAGGCCTTTGACAGCACAGTGAGGGGCCTCCGCACGTGGCCTCGGGACGCTCACTCGACGCACACCCGGTGCATCACACTGGCACCTAAAGACAGGCCGTGCAGCTAAAAGGAGCACGTGTGGCCAAGGAGAGCAATCAGCTGTCCCGCGTTTCTAAAGGCAGGGACCGAGGCTGTGGAGGGGCGAGCAGGGCAGGCCGGCGGAGGCTACTTGAGCAGCTTGGCCACGTTCAGGCTGGGCACCACAATGTCCTTGAAGAGGGGCACGTAGCTGGGGCTGGCCTGTGCTGGGCCCTGCTCCAGGGTCTCCATGATGGTCTGCTTCATGTCACGGCTGGCGTCCCCACGCACAGCCAGCAGCGCACCGATGTGGTCATCCCTGGGGATGGGGAGATGTCAGCCCATGCCCACTTAGCAGCCCTGTGATGCACCACGCTGCCAGGGACTCACGGCTTCACCACCCCAGCTGACAGAACACAGGGGGTGAGGACCGCTGCAGACAAATTGCACCTTTCCCTTTTCAGCGGGAGACAAGCCTGCATTTTCATCTTACTCTGTCTTTTCTCAATCCAATTGCAGAAAGATTTTTCAACACTGCTTTTATAAATCTTTGTTCCGGCCCAACCAGAGGGGAGACCGTGGAGAGCTCAAGACCCCGTTTTTCCACGTTTAACCAGCGAGATGATGGGACGGAGGTGACGCGGCTGCAGCCATGGAGGTGGCCCCTTGGGGAAGTGGCAGGTGCCCTGAGACAGGGGCCGCAAAGGCTGGCCTGGGGCCTGGAGCCAGCATGGTGGAGGGGGGACGTGCGTGGGTCCCCTTCCCTGGACCTGGTACTGGGGACTCCCTGTAATCACGTCCTCGGAAGGTGTCTGGTCCAAGCTGCACTTGGGCCCTCCCGAGTCCACCATGAGCACAGAGGAAACTTCCTAAACTCGCCCCACTGAGGCCACTCCACAGCCCAAATCTTCCCCACCACACACAGCAGAGCTGTCACAGCCCCGCCCCCACCCCACTGTCCCCACCCGGGATGTGCCCCTCGAGCTCCACCCACCCACACTGTAGCCCAGGCCAGGTGGAAGGCAGCACAGAAGCAGCTCTGCTCCCTGCGCCTGGGCCCCGCTGTGCCGCACCTGAACCCTTGCCGTGCTGCAGGGCTGAACTTGCGAACCAGGAGCCCCACCCGCCCCAGACAGAAGGAGGGACCTGCCGCTCCACTCCAGGATTCTAAGGCAGGATTCTAAGACGTGCATCCCTTACCTGATGTCTGGATACTTGCTGACCAGAGTGGAGACCTCCAGGTAGAGCAGAGAAGGGTCTGTCAGCTTGATCACTTCGGCCACAGCCACGATGGTGTCGCAGTATCCGTCCACGTCTTCCCCGAAACCCTGGAAGGCAGCAGCAATGTGAGGAGCCGCCCTCGGCTGTCCCGCGGCGCTGGGAGCAGCTGGATTCTGGCTGAGCCCCTTCCTGACTGGGAACCTCCCTCTTCACCTGACTCCTCAGGATCTACTCTGAAAGCTCAGTGACAGGGCCAGGGGTCTGGGGTGAGGGCGAGACCGTGGGAGGCAGCCAGCACCTCGCAGCGCAGGACAGACTGGGAAGCGTCCGTCAGGGAGCTGTGGGCGGCCTCGGGAAGCCGGCGGGGCCGGCGCGTCTACCTCTGTGGACATTCGTGTCCAACCACAAGGTCAGGCAGGACCTGGACCCAGGCTCCCCCCGCCTGACAAACACACGACACACTCCCATCTACTGGCCCGAGTCCCGGGGTGGAGGCTGAACAGGGCCGCGGAGCGACAGGCCTTCTCCAGCCCGGACCTGCGCGACACTCACGGACGCCAGCTTCCGGAACAGGAAGCGCAGCTGCTCTGCCTCCCTAACCATCTTCTCGGCACCCTCCTTGCGCTCCTCCGGGCTCCGGAAGGAAATGCGCTTCTGCATGACCGCCCGCAGGTACTCCACCACCACGCGCCGGTGCGCCTCGGCCGTCATCCTCTGGGGAGACACGCGCGGTCAGCGGCAGGCTCCACGGCTCTGGCGGCCAGGAGCACCCTCATTGAAACCCAGGCTGGGGCTCCCGGTGGCTCCCCGGAGGCTCTGAGCCCACTCCTCCTCGCTCCGCCACGGCTCTGGCATCTCACCGCAGAGGAGGAGCGGGGGCTCAGTGGGGGAACAGTGACGGTGACCTGGACCCCCGCACCAGGCCAGCTCCGGCCCCCAGCAGGACAGACGCGGGCGAGGCAGTGCCGCGCATGAGCACTCGGTCCACAGACAGGCCCGTGTCAGTGGCTGCTGCTGTCCTTTGATAACGACCGCAGCATCTGGAAAACGCGGCAGGCACTTTGGAGGAAAGAGGAACCTGGGTCCTGCAGGAAGGAGGGTCTGAAGCGGAAAGAAATCCCTGGGGCCTCAGGGAGTGAGTGGAAGGCAAGGAGCTAAGACGGGGCACGCGGGCCTCTCCGGGAACCATGGCTCCCTCCACCTCGAGGGCCATGCCACAGGGCCCCGGCCATTCTCACCAGAGCCCCGTCCCAGGGAGGTGGCGTCCGCAGAGCCTATTGCCTCCCTTGGGCTGATAGGACAACAAGTGAACGTTCACTCACGGAGGGACTCGCTGGATGCTGAATTCTGAGCAGGGTGAGAGGTGAGCCCTAGCGTCAAGGTGATGAGGGAACTAGGTCCCACCTTCTTACCTTCTTATACGGCTTTTTAATTTTGGCAAAATCGTTGAAATAGTCTTCCACGGTGACACAGATAATGTCTACAGCGTTTGACCCTAATAGCCACTTCTTCGTCATCAATTCATTCAGATGTTGCTGAAAAGCAGAAACAGATCATAGAAATCATCACCTCAACGTCCCACGAGAGCCGAGTGCATGTGGGAGGGAGGCACTTCCTCACCTCAACGCCCCACGAGAGCTGCGTGCAGTGTGGGAGGGAGGCACTTCCTCACCTCAACGCCCCACGAGAGCTGCGTGCAGCGTGGGAGGGAGGCACTTCCTCACCTCAACGTCCCACGAGCACTGAGTGCGTGTGGGAGGGAGGCACTTCCGTGCATCTTTGCTACGTCACACTGCTTTTCTAATTACAACAGCAATGCGCACTCAGGTAAAAATTTGATTATATAATCTGCAAATGTGTACTTTAAGTATAGGAGATTTATACTACAATTTCTGTGATGAGCTTCCCAAAATGACATGTTAAAGATGGAAATATCTGTGCATGTATACATTTTACCTTTAGTGGCTACATATATTTATCGTATTTATTTGCCCAATTCTCTATTGATGGACATTTAAATTTTTTTCACATTTTGCAATAATGCAACAGTGAATCTGTATAATTCTGATGAAATTCCTTAAAGTTGAATTTTTCAGTCAAAAAGTATACACATTAAAACCAATAAAAGTATACAAATTAAAACTCCAATAAAAGTATACAAATTAAAACTCCAATAGAAGTGTACAAATTAAAACTCCAGTAAAAGTTACAGATTAAAACTACAATGGCTGTATTTCCAAGCTGCCCTCAAAAACCCAACCCAGTTCAGGCCCACACAGAATACAAACAGCCCCTTTTTCCCACACCCTCAACAAGCCTGAACAGCATCCACGTCTCCGGCTCCTGCCATCCTGCTGAGCAGCAGGTCCTGTTGAGCATTCATTGCTTCGAGGATAAGATCGGGCGTCTAGTTTCACGATGAGGACACTGGTGTTGCTTTTAATGTGAGGTGGCCGTTCATGTCTTTTGCCCATTTTTCTATATATTCTTTTTAAATTTTGAAATAATTTCAAATGTAAATATTTTCTTCTTGCTAAGTCATATTTGCGAAAGTTACAAGTGTCTGCCTCTTTGGGGACACTTCCACACACATTTCTGTTCTCTTGCACAACCAGACACTGATGAATCAGCAACCAATCCCACCCCTCATCCCAGGAACCCCTTTCCAGCAGGACCACCAGATGGCCATGGTCTTATTATTTTGTTGTTGTTGTTGTTTTGAAATGGAGTTTGCTCTTGTTGCCCAGGCTGGAGTGCAATGGCGCGATCTCTGCTCACTGCAACCTCCACCTCCCGGGTTCAAGCAATTCTCCTGCCTCAGCCTCCCAAGCAGCTGGGATTACAGGTATGCGCCACCACACCCAGGTAATTTTGTATTTTGAGTAGAGATGGGGTTTCTCCATGTTGGTCAGGCTGGTCTCGAACTCCCAACCTCAGGTGATCCGCCTACCTTGGCCTCCCAAAGTGCTGGGATTAAAGGCGTAAGCCACCACACCCGGCCTACAAGGTCTTATTTTTTAAATATATCCTGATTTCTGCCAATACCTCTAAATAATGTTAAGCCATCTTTATGTTTCTGAAATAACCCCTACATTTCATGGTAGGTTATGCCTTTGATACAATATTAAATTCATTTTATTAATGATTTTTGCGTGTGTACCTATATTCAAAAGCGAAACTGATCTATGTGAGGATGTGTGTGTGTGTGCACTCTCAATTTGACTTTTTGACAGGTCCCTACATATCGGTTTCTATTTTGTAATCCACTAAATTGTCTGATGTCTTTAATACTTACAGGGTGAATCTACTGAATTGTGCGTAAGAAGGACCCTGCATCATACGAAGCAGCGTCACCGAAAACGGAGGCGCTTTAAGCGATCTGACCGGAATGCAAGTGCACAGCCCGGCTCCCCAGACGGCATCCGCACGGTACAGTTCACAGCCTGTGTCCCAGAGGGCAGTGAGGAAGCACTGGGCTTCGGCCCAGAAAACGGCAGGAGGAAAGAGCCAGGCCCACCTCCAGGTCCAGGAAGACCTCCTCCAGCAAACCGCTGCAGCCCTCCTTCGCGATGGCGTCTAAAATCCCGTCCATGCTGGGCTGGCTCGGAGACACACCCTCTTCCACTTCATTCTTTAAATACTTTCTTTTTAAACTGACTATGGATTCCCTGCAAGGAAAGGGTTCAGGTTCAACACAGCGGCTGGGCAGGCCGGCCTCCACCGCTCCCCCGCCACAGCGCCCGGCCACACTCACTTGAAGGTCTGGCAGTTGTTGATGATGGCGATCATGTACTGAACGTAGCAGTGAGGGTGCTGCCGATTCCTCAGGTGCTCTTCTTTATACAGCTGCGCTTCATCTTTATATCTGAGGACAGACAGGCTTCGGTCAGACAGCACTAAGGGCAACATGGAGCTGTTTCAAATGCCACGCTGACGTCACGCCTGGCCTGAAATTTCACATCACTAACATCTGACCGGATGAGCCTCTAAAAATAAAACAATCTTTAGACGATCCAGACTAATGGAAGGACAGAGAGGTTGATTACTTTAAATGGATCAAAAAATAACTTCACCTCAGGCTTTAAAATATGGCTCATTAGGAGGCTGAGGCAGGGAGACCACCTGAGCCCAGGAGTTAAAGGCTGCTGGCTGCGCTGCAGTGAGCTACCCGTCGGGGTAACCTAATCAGACCTTGTCTCTTTTTTTTTTTTTGAGATAGAGTCTTGCTCTGTCACCCAGGCTGGAGTGCAGTGGTGAGACCTTGGCTCACTGCAACCTCCACCTCCTGGGTTCAAGTGATTCTCCTGCCTCAGCCTCCTGAGCAGGTGGGACTACAGGTGTGCCCCACCATGCCCAGCTAATTTTTGTATTTTTAGTAGAGACAGGGTTTCACCACATTGGCCAGGCTGGTCTCGAACTCCTGACCTCATGATCCACCCGCCTCAGCCTCCCAAAGTGCTGGGATTACAGGCGTAAGCCACCGTGCCTGACCGACCTTGTTTCTTAAAAACAATTAAAAAATATAAAAATTTTGAGGAGTTGGTAAAAAATAATAACTGAAAAAAGGAAAAAAAATATGGTTCAGCATTCTGATTGTAAAAATATACTACATAGTTGATTGTGAGGAATTGGGAAAGCATTATCTTATTTTATTTATTTTATTTACTATACACTTCACCTAGAAACTCATAGTGTTAGGAACCTCATCAAATGTCAGGTAAAATGTCCCTTTCAGAAACTGTCCCTGAAATCATCCAATTAAAAACAGACACTTGAAATGTCAAGAAAACAAACAGAGGTAGTGACACGCTCTATTTTTAAACTTACTGTGGGGATGCTCAAGCACCTATGGGAGTGGAAGAATCATACAACAAATACCGTTTCTATTTTTAAGAGATGTTAAGAAAGGAGCACACTGAAAGCTGGCAATTAAAGGGAAAGAAGTTAGCATTTCTGTCCAAAGTGTGGTTCAGGTCATCAAAAAGCTGAGGGTGATCAAGGAACGGTCTCTTTATAGAAGAATCTAACCTCATAAATGACAATGACCTCCAAAGAAACAAACTCAGGCCAAGATCCCCATGGACAGATGGCCAATAGGGATTTGGCCATGCCTCTGTGGATAGAAGGCCAATGGGGACTTGGCTAAGACTTGGCCAGTGGGGACTTGGCTAAGACCTCTATGGATAGAGGGCCAATGGGAACTTGGCTAAGACTTGGCCAGTGGGGACTCGGCTAAGACCTCTATGGAAGAGGGCCAGTGGGGACTCAGCTGTGACCCCTGTGGATGGGCGGCCAGTGGGGACTTGGGCATTACCCCTATCGATGGATGGCAAATGGGAACTCTGAGTGGGCGGCGTGGCTGTAGTACCTAAGCCACCAGGACAGGACCTATGGACGCCATGTCTCCTGATGTGCCACATCGTGGAAGGCACACTCACCAATAAGTGGGATCCAAGCCTGCAGAGCCAGCATCTGGCTCGGGAGCTGACAGTAGACTGAGGAGGAGGCTGAGGGACATCTCTCTACAGAGATCTACAAGCCAGCAGCTGAAGGAGGGAAGGGGCTATTCGGCTTACCAGAGGCCTAGGAACCCTAAGCCCTCATGCGATGCAGTCCAATCTGATTCACAACTATCAAAAGACACACTTGAGATACAACCCAAACGCAGACTTGGCATCGGATGACCCCACGGAGTCACCGTGCATGTGTCTCTGACTTGATGGCACTGCAGTGGCTTCAGAGAGGGTCGCAAATACCATGCCACAGCGCCCGGGGTTTGCCTGAAGGTACTTCAGCAGAGAGAGTGGAATGGGCAGGGGAGAACAGATTAGGCAAGGGGGCTTTGGAGGGGATGGCTTCTGGACTGCACGATGGGTGAACACAGTTTTTTAAACTCTTTTCCACATCTGTATAGGTTTGAAAATTATCAACAACTCATGGGGAGGGTGGCGTGCCAGGTCATGGCTGCCTGGAGCCCTTCTGAGGAGGGCCGGCTCAGCCGAGGACGCCCTCCCCACTACGAAGTAGGCACTGCGGCAGGAGTCGCCACCCCCACCCCAAGGAAGTTCAGAACAGGCAACAGGAGGAGCCTGACTCCAACAGAGTTGGTGTCATCCGGCGCATCGCTAAGGACGTCACAACACATCAGCTCTGGGAGCCCAAGGGGGTGTGTGGTCCACTCAAGGGGAAGATGATCCAGAAGCTCCGCTCCCTCCCTTTGCTTTTGAAGAACACAGGAGTGACACGTGGGGAATCTACCGGCTTAATTTCTTCTTAGTAACAGGCATAGTAGGATCAAAAAATTTTTGCTTCTAATTTTTAAAAACATTCAATGTGTACATTAGCACACTGGCAGAAAGACATACCTGCTTAGGAAAGAATTCATCTGCTGAAGACATAAAACTAGTACCTTTGTTTTCAAATCTTCACTTATCTGAGCAGCAACTTGAAGATTCTGTTCAAACATCTAAAAATCAGAGAACTTATGAATTCTGGTATAATCTTACAGGAGTATACTAAGAGTGCAGGTTTGCTGTTATATGAAACCTCCATCTGCTAACTGGCATTTAGGATAGTCCAAATTCAGAGAAAAAAAAAATGAAACCACGTGAAAAATAACAAAGTTAGTTTAAAAAAAAAAAAAACAACTTTCTCACCTGGGAAAGTACCAAGTGACTCATTTCTTAATTCCTGGCAAACTGGTTTCTCCCACGGGGGCCATGTCTGTCCTCACACTACGTGACTGGAGTTTTAATGTGTGGAGTGAGGCCCCACCCGGGATGGCGCCCCTCAGGCACCTGACTCACCCTCCCTGGCCCCATGACTGTCATGATGCAGAGTTCCTAAGAATCTGGACCTGGGGTGTGCCAGGCCCTGCCAGGAGCTGACCCAGGCAGAGGAAGGGCAAGGGGACAGAGCTCTCCTCACAGTTTCTCACGGCATCTGTTTCCAAACAAAGGAAAGGGTTTGGACTAGCCTGTCAATAACTAACGGTATCATTCAGAGAGAAATGTCACCCGCCAGCCCTCACTCCTGCCTAACTAGAGTCCTGAGTGAGGATTCTAACACAACGGGGCTCCATCCCTCAGCAATGCCACTCAAATTAAAACACATGATGTGCCAAAAGAAAAAAAGAGCAGGAAAAACGGGACACAGGGCGGTCGGACACTGGAAAGTGAATCCGTGGTAAGAACACACCGGTTCTAACACCTAGTGAGGCTTGGGCGTTGGAAAGTGAATCCGTGGTAAAAATGCAGGTCGGTCTAATACTTAGAACCTTAACCAATGAACAGGAAAGCAACTTTAAAAGCTAATGGACGCCTTGACCCAGGAGGTAGAGATTGCAGTAAGCCAAGATTGTGCTACCGCACTCCAGCCTGGGCAACAGAGTGAGACTCCGTCTCAAAAAAAATAATGGACGCTCCCAAAATCCACCTGTTTAAACTCAATCATGTGCCATTTTTTAGGACAAATCCTGGATATCGACCAAACAAACTCACATTTGAAAGTCGCACATAAATAACATACAATTAGGCTGTAGTCCAAACCCATAAAGACCAGGTCAGAAAAGTAAAGTGACCTTGGGCAAAACTATTTGGTAAGTATCATCCCAGGTTTCTGCAGCTCCAGAGAGTAAGAGACAGAGAGAGGAGAGGACTTAGATGCACCAGGCAGGGCTCTCAATATTTTTACTACACTCTGTGGATGAAGATCCCAGGTATCTGTGTCACTTTGTAAAACCTACAGGTCCCACTATCCACCTAGGAAACGGAACTGTGCCAGTCCCCTGCAGGTGGTACCTGGAAGACAATGGCAGGGAGTGTGGTCTGGTAGTACCCGTCCTGGTCGGCTTCTGGCTCTGTCTCTTTGACCCAGTCTTTCTTGTCTGTCTCCAGCGCTTTCCGCAGCCAGGCGATGATGTTTGACTAAAGAAAGTTCAGCATCATGGAGAAGAGAAGAGAGAAGAGCAGGTGCCTGAGGGTCATGCCAATTACCTGGTCAGTTGCATGCACAAGCTCCACAAACCAGACACAGGGCACCAGCGTCCTCTTTCTCAAATGAGGACTCCAGAGCAGGGACCCAGGAGCCACCCCCATGGGAGGCAGTGACCACAGCAGCCCGCAGGGGTTTAACTGGAACCCTTGGTACAGATAAAGAGGGAGAAGAAACTAGATGCCCTTTTGGCTGCACCTCATGCTGGAGGACAAGGCCGCTGAATCCCAGGTGCACAGAGAATGAGGCCGACCAGGTCCGGTCAGGCCTGTTCCCATGCCCAGACTCAGCAACCACAGCAGCTCACGTCCCAAGAGAAGACAGCGCTCCTTCCCCAGCTCCTGAGGACACCTCGGCTTCTGGTCATAATGCTGCCTTGCTAGGTGGACGCACCCTTGTCTAAGAAGCAGACCCTGCTGACCTCCTCTTCTCACTCTGAGACCACCTGGTGGTCACCAGGCTGCAAATGGACTCGCCCTTTGGTCCTTGACGGACCCCCCCAACCATGGGACTCAGAGCCGAGAGCCTGGCAGGTGCTGCCACACACGGTTCAGACGTTCTGGGCCCTGGCCAGCCTGCCGAGTAGGGCACAGGCTCACGTCTCCAGCAGAGGACAAGCTTCAGATCCAGGCCCAGAGAAGGGGCCATTCTCCTCTTCTAGCAAACTGACCTGTCAAGGCCTGGAAGCAGAGCCCGGGCAACTGAGCAATGCATCCTAGGAAGTCAACGCTAAGGCATTTCCCCCCTGCCTCCTGCCTGCTGCCAAGCCCTAGTTACTCATATAACCAGCACGGTGGTCTGTGGCACGCAGGCCAGCCCTACTCACAGTGAGCGTGGACATGTACGTGTCAAGCAGCTCAGAGACCACGTGTGGAGAAAGCAATGGCTCCAGGGTGCCGACATCCACTTCCGGGGCCAGCTCCACGTTCCTCATCATCTCAGTACTATGGGGGAACCAGGAATGTGAGTGACAAACCACGACAGACACAGAAGAGCATGCCCAAGTGTGCCGAGACTGTTTCACTTGACACATGAATGTCCACCACCCTGGAGACTTCCTGGTCACAGCCGGCCCACAGCTCAGGGGAAAGTGCAGGGCAGGGGCCGAGGGCTTTGGGGTCTCTGTGGCATCACCCCACTGGCTCCCAGACTGCGTGAGTCCCTCCAACCGGGGAAAGTGCAGGGCAGGGGCCGAGGGCTTTGGGGTCTCTGTGGCATCACCCACTGGCTCCGAGACCACTTGAGTCCCTCCAACCCCAGCTTCACCCTGCTGCGCCAGCTTCATGAGGTGCTGGGGCTCAAATGTGGAAGAGCCTTTCCTGTGGGGAAGACGTGTGTTCTATTCACTGCACCTGCAGAGCCGAGGCAGGGCCTGGCAAACAGGAGGCGCTGAATAAACAAACGTACTCAGTCAAAACGACAAGCACAGCCGCCCCCACAGCCACGGGCGCCACGTCCACTGACTCAACCAAACACAAACTGAAAGTATTTGGGAAAAACAACAATAAAAAATAATAAAAATTTCAAAAAATATAGAACAACTATTTCCATAGCATTCACATTGTATTTAGTCTTATAAGTAATCTAGAAATGATTTAGAGCATGAAGGAGAATGTACGCAGGTTACGTGCAAACACTATACCCTTTTATAAAGGGGACTTGGGCTACGGAGGATTTTGATAGCCAAGGGGGGTCCTGGAATCCCTCCCCATTGAGTATGGAGGGGCAGCTGTGCTGTCCTTTGGAAACAAGCCACTGCAGTCCACATCAATATGCTCTGCAGACGGTGATGACTGGAACGTACAATACAGGACATTACTGATAAAAACGCATCCGCAAGAACAGGCAAAACTACGTGAGGTCTACTGTCCAGAAGACAGGAAACACATGCTACATTTCAGGAAAAGTTTTCATTAGAAAGTTATTATCAGCCGGGCATGGTGGCTCACGCCTGTAATCCCAGCACTTTGGGAAGCCGAGACGGGCGGATCATGAGGTCAGGAGATTGAGACCATCCTGGCTAACACAGTGAAACCCCATCTCTATTAAAAATACAAAAAAATTAGCGGGGCATGGTGGCACGCGCCTGTAGTCCCAGGTACTCGGGAGGCTGAGGCAGGAGAATGGCGTGAAGCCGGGATACACCTACTATGTACCCACAAAAATTAAAATTAAAAAGTTTTTTTAAGTCTAAGGTTTGACCACTCAGAAAATTCTTTCAACTCACACGCCTCATGCTATGTTCCGTAAATACGTTCTCAGAGTAACACTGAATAAAATGATTAAGAGCCAGTCCACTATAAGAAATCCGAGAGCTTCCTAAGTGAAAAAGTACTTCCTAAAATTCTGCACATTTTAAAAGACTTTTATTTAATCTGGATTATTTTTCCCAAGAACCTCAATTCCGTGTGAGAATGTTTCTAGTGGAGCACTTCAACCTCCCCTGAGAAAGGCCGGGGTGATGGAACTCACGAGACTCCCCAAGGACAGAAAAACACTCACAACGTGGAAAGACAAAATCAAGACACAAACTGTGCAAGGTGCACACATGCACAGCCCAGCCTAGTGGCCATGGCCCGGGAGGGCCCAGGGATGGGACTGGAATCCAGCTTCCCACTCACTGGCCGTGTCCCCTGCCTCCTGCCTCATGGGCTGCTGACACACACCAGGCACGGAGGGGGAGACCTGCACTGTCAAGGCTACAGAATGGGCGGCCATGAGGATGAGCGGCAGCCAGGGGAGGTGAGTCCAGGGCTGTGCACAGAGAGCCACAGTTGCACAGAGCGCCACGGTTGCACAGAGAGCCACCATTGCACAGAGCGTCACGGTGACCATTCTCTGCAGGGGGCGCTTCCTTTCTCTTCTGTCCTTCTGTATTGAAATGCAAATTCTCTATAAGCAGATACCAGTAAACAAAGCACACAAAAAAATATGCCTTACTGCTAAAAAAAAAAAAAAAAAAAATGAGGTTTATTCAATTTCTCCACTGCAGTGACAAGATGGGCGGAAGAAAAAAAAGAAGAAGAAGAAATTCCAATACATTACTTAATATTATTTTCTAACCATGAAACCATGGAAAATTGAAATAAATTTTCATTTCGGCTACCTAATCTTAAAGAATTTCAGAATACCCCCACCACTGCACCATTTTTCAACACTACTTCAAATTAATCCACGCACAGAGTGGTTCATGGTCCCTTAAGTGAAGTGACAAAACCTCGTACTAGGATACAAAAAGGATGATGGAGTTTCCTCGAACTATCTAGACTTGTAACTGTTTATTTTTGAAAGACTCACTGCTATAGGATATTGGTGAAGAGAAACCAAACCCGGGATGCTGGAAGCCAGGGAGGTGATGTAGTGGTCTCCTCCCCAGTGGGGTGGCCATGTGCCAGTCCCAGCCCCGCCTGGGACCATGTGTCCTCACCTGTAAAATGGGGTAACAACACACCTGCCTCAGGGTGTCACTGCAAGGAAGCAAGTCAGCACACGGTGAGCACAGGAAACAGGCCCAGCCCAGAGCTGCACCCTGTCAAGCTCAACGGGGGCTGGAGGCCAAGAGCAGAGATCCCTCCCAAGCACAACAGTGTTCAAACACCAGAGGCTGGGCACCAGCAGGCAGAGCAGAAAGAAGACACCCCTGGGCTGGAAACCAAGGCTGTGGGCTCGGAGCACCTGCCCAGAGCAACACCCTGAGGTCGGCTCTCCAGCAAGCAGCTGCAGGCCCCTCTCACACACGGCTTCTACCTAAGAGCCAACACAGGCGCCAGGTTAGCTTTACCTTGTGTAGGTGTTTAAGACCCACGTCAAGAGGCTCACGATCTCATTGGCTTCCAGGTCTTCCGATGCGAGGTCCTGCATCCGCGTGCTCAGGGCTTGGTGGTACATGTTCAGGAGGTTCTTAAAGATCTCATAGTGGGGAGGAAAGCACTGAACCATCAGGTTTTTGGCGACAATGAGGTCATCCAGGACGTACTTCCTTATAATTTCCAGGTGGCGGACAAGCCACATCTTGTCAGACTCTCTGGTATCTGCCTGTGTGCCCTCAATTCTGGTGGTCACAGTCCTCTCCAAGATGGTGAACATTTTCTCCTTCCAATTCTTGGGCCTCCCAGGAGGAACAAAGCCAGTTTGCTTTTTCCGGTCAAGTATGCGCCTGTCAATTTTCTCTTCCCTTTCAATGATCCTGACAACTGAGACCAGCAAGGTGGGGTCACGGCGGACAGTGACCAGTGACCTCTGCAGCACCATCCACAGCTGCTTAGCCAGCTCATCAGAGAGCCCCTGCGTGCTGCCAAAGTAGCCATGGATGAGGGTCATGTCACGCGTGTTCCCACTGTCCATGCGGTACTGCTCGTACATCAGCCCGTCCCGGGAGCACTCCAGGTCCATCAGCTTCCGGTGGGCTTGCAGGAGTGCCCCTTGTTCAATTAGGTCCTGGGTCTCCCTCACAATCTCAGGCACTAGGGAGAAGGCACAAGACACAACATAAACAACCACCACCACATAAAAGGCTGCCTGCATGCGGTGTTCTGGGAACACGGCAGAGCAGGAAGCCACATCTCCCTAGCTAACAACAACTGCAATGGCAGGATGTGTCTGAGGTAACTATCTTTGGAACTCTGGAGTCTATTAAAGGCATAAATGGTAAACTGTGGTTAACTGTGGTCATTTGCAGCTCTCAGCTGGGCAGTGGCTACCGAGGCCCCACCTCCCACCCCGCAGGCAGCTGTGCATGTGCTGATGTGTTCCTAAAGCTGCCTGCACACAGCCTGCAGCCTGGCTGGGCAAAAAGAACCCTGTCCTCCACACCGGAGATCTGTACTCAGATCACTGACTGCTGCTTCTGACCACAGAGGTGCGAAGAGGTAAGTGGCCACTGTTGCATCTTCCCCTGTTCACAGGTCCCTCCTCACCCCCACAGAGCTCCAGGGAATTTAAAGGGCCAATGTCTTCACCACCCCCTTCATCTGTTCCCCTTCTTGAAAGCCAGATATTTATGAATGAAGACATTCAAAAGTAACTGCATTTATAGGAAAAATTCGGAAGTGGCCAATGCATGCCCAGGCAAAGGCATAGGCTCAGAAAAGACTTGACACGACCTTGAAGTTCACACCTCAGGCTGTGCCTTGGCACAGAGAGCCTACAACAACCAAAAACAAGAATCATCAACCTGGGAAGGGGATCTGATTTCCAGAGTTATCACATTATTCGATTCAAGTGTCCATTTTTCAACAACAAAAACATCACAAGGCACCCAAAGAAAGAAGAAAGTATGGCCCATTCAAAGGAAAACATAAGAAACTGTTCCTGTAAAAGATCTGATGGCAGATCTACTAGAGAAAGACTTTAAAACAACGATTTAAAGATGCCTAAGGAACTTAAAGATGTGAAGAAAGACATGTATGAGCAAAATGGAAATACCAATAATGAGACAGAAAATCCAAAAGGAAACCAAACAGAAAATATGAAGCTGAAAAGTACAATAAATGAAATGAAAAATTCACTAAAGGGATTCAAAGGCAGATCTGCACAGGCGCAAGAAAGAATCAGTGAATGTGAAGACAGGACAATGGGAAATATCAAGTATCCGGAACAGAAAGAAAAAAGATTGAAGAAAAGTGAACAGAGCCTCAGGGACCTTGTGGACATCATCAAGCAGGCCAACATATGCTTAGTGGGACTTTTAGAAGGAGAAGAGAGAAATGGGCAAGACATTATTTGAAGAAATAATAGGTGAAAACTCCCCACATTTGATGAAAGACATGAATATGAAGATCCAAGAAGCTCAATGACCTCCAAGCAAGAGGAACTCAGAGGTCCACACTAAGATACAACTTAATCAAACTTTTGAAAGAATTCTGAAAGCAGCAACTTGTCAGAAACAAGGGCTCCAAAATAAGATTATGAGCAGATCAGATTTCTCACCAGAAACTTTGGAGGCCAGAGGCAGTGGGATGACATATTCAAAGTGCTAAAAGAAAAATACTGTCAACCAAGAACCTTAAATCTAGCAAAATGGTCATTCAAAAGTGAGAGCGATATTAAGACATCCCCAGATAAACAAAAGCTGAAAAGCTTGTTACCACAAGATCTGCCCTGCAAGAAATGCTTAAATAGAGTCCCACTGGTTGAGAAGAAAGAATGCTAGAGAGCAACTGGAAGCCACGTGAAGAAGCAAAGGCCTCAAAAAAGGTAAATTCATGGACAATCGTAAAATCTAGTATCATTAACACTTCAGTTTTTAACTCATCACTCTGTTTCGTACATGACTTAAGAGACTAATATTTGTTCTGGTTAAAAGGGACAAATAAAAAAGAAACTAATACATTAAAAAATAGTCTAAAAGCTACTAATACTGTAACTTTGGATTCTAACTCCACATTGTTTTCTACCTAATTTTTAAAAATGAATGCATTAAAAAACAATTATTAGTCTATGATTTTGGACACATGATATATAAAGATGTAATTTTGTGAAATGAACAACCCAAAGGGAGTGGAGATGAAGCCATATAGGGACGGTTTTTGTGTGTTATTGAAGTTAAGTTGATATAAATTCAAACTGAAGCGAGATAATGTTAGATGTTAAGTGTAATCTTTATGGTAGGCACAAAGAAAACAGCTATAGAATATACGCAAAAGAAACAAGGGAATTAAAATGTTTACTACCAAAATAATCAAAAGCACAAAAAAAATGCAGAAATAAGAGACAAAAATGTTATACCGCATATAGAAAACAAACAGCAAAATGACAGAAGTCCCTTCTTATCAGTAATCACTTAAATGTAAGCTCTTCCATCAAAAGAGGTAGGCAAAATTAATTAAAATCTTCAATCAAAAGAGGTAGACAAAATAGATTTAAAAAATAAAACATGATTCAACTCTATGTGTTCACCAGAGACTGACCTTAGAGCCCAAGACACAAATAGGTTGAAAGTAAAAGGGTGGAAAAAGATATTCCATATAAATAATAACCAAAAGAGAACAGGAGTGGTTATACTAATAAATATGAAATATACTTTAAATTAAAAAAAAAAAAACTAGTCACAAAGAAGGCCATATGTATTAATAGAAGGTTCAGCAAGAAGATGTAACAATTATAAATATTTCTGCATTTACTAACAGACCGTCAAAATACATGAAGCAAAAATGGATAGAACTGAAGGGAAAAACATTCAGTTCTGTAATAGTCGGAGGCTTCAATATCTCTCTCTCAATAATGGACAGAACAAGCAGACAGAAGCTAAACAAGGAAAGAGAGGACTTGAACAATGCAACCAACCAACCAGACTGAACAGACACAGAAAGAACACCCAACAACAGAACACACACTATTCTCACGTGCACATGGGACAGTCTTCAGGAAAGACCATGGATTAGGCCTCAAATTAAGACTCAGGTTTTTAAAAGATAAATATCATACAAAGTATCTTCTCCAAACTCAACAGATGACATTAGAAATCAGTATCAGAAGGAAAACTGTAAAATTCACCAATTTGTGGAAATTAAACAACATACTCTTAAACAATTAATGGGGCAAAAAAGGAAACATAAGGGACTTTTGTTTTGTTTTGTTTTGTTTTTCAGATGAAGTCTCGCTCTTGTCCCCCTGGCTGGAGTGCAGTGGTGCGATCTCGGCTCACTGTGACCTCTGCCTCCTGGGTTCAAGTGATTCTCCTGCCTCAGCCTCCTGAGTAGCTGGGATTACAGGCGCCTGCCACCACGCCCGGCTAATTTTTATATTTTTAGTAGAGACGGGGTTTCACCATGTTGGCCGGGCTGGTCTCAAACTCCTGACCTCAGGTGATCCGCCTGCCTCAGCCTTCCAAAGTGCTGGGATGACGGGCGTGAGCCACCGCACCCAGCCATAAGGGATATTTTTAAAAACCTAAGAGAAGAATGAAAATGCAGACGAATCAGAAACCTCACACACTCATGGTGGAAAATGCTGCAGCCACCGGAGGAAACAGTCTGGCAGCTGCTCAAAGATTTAAACATAAATTACCACATGGTCCAGCAATTACACTTGTGTGTATATACCAGAAAGAAATAAAAGTAAAACATCTGTACACCCATGTTCACTACAGCATTATTCACAATAGCTAAAACGTGGAAGCAATTCAAATGTCCACCAACAGACAAACGGATAAGCAAAATGTGGTCCATCCATACAATGGAATATTATTCAGCCTTAAAAGTGAAGGAAATTCTACAATACCACAGCATAGAAGACCCCTGAGGACATCATGCTGAGTGAAATAAGCATGTCACAGAAAGACAGATAATGTGTGATGCCACTTCTATGAGGTCTTCAGAGTCATCCAATTCACAGAGACAGAAGGCAGAATGGTGGTGACCAGGAGCTGGGGCAGAGGGTGCGAAGTCAGTGTTTAATGGGTACAGATTTTCATGTCTGCAAGATGAAAAGAGTTCTGAAGACGGATGTGGCAATGGTTGCACAACAATATGAATGTTCTTAATAGTCCCCAACTGTACACTTAAAAATGGTTAAGACGGCAAACTGTACATATGCATTTTAGAAGAAGAAAAAATGGGGGAGGGGAGCTGTGTACACAGCATTGCTGAGTTATAGGCAATGAGACAAGTCTGAAGGCAACCAAACCAATCTTCTCAATGAAAATTTATCCGTAACAAAAAACATGCATACCACGCAGGCTCATTTGTTCACCAAGGAAAGGAAATTATTTTCAACTGCTGTGGATAAACTAATTCCAGTAATGCACCTTTTTGGTCATCAGGCATTAGTTTAAAAGACCGGAAGGAAATGTAGCCAGCCAATACGAAATAAGAGGAAATTAACTAGAAAGCTGCCAGCTGAGCATCACCAAGGAGACTCCGTCGAGAGGACTTTATTCCTGTTCCAGGCGGCCCACAGTCACCAAGAAGAGCTGCTTTCTGAGTTGGCAGCACAGTGGCGTTCGTGTTGGGCATGCACAAAGAGACACGGACTGCAGCCACACATGTGACCCTACGGATCATGCCCTGGAAGAAGGGCACACACAAAGCAACGGGACAAGGTGCTCGGCAATGCTGCAGCCGCAAGCACGAGAGGAGGGCAGAGAGGACAGGGTGGACGGGACACGGATTACCAAGGTGCGCTGTGGGCAGCTGGGGAGAACCGCGCCAATTCACACGTGGCCTCAGGAGCCGAGCAGCGTCACAGATGATGCAGCACAGCCACTGTGAAGGGTGAGCTGGGGCACGTGACGGCTGGGGATGGGGAAGTGTCATACAGACATCAGGGCAGAGACGTCTGGTAGAGGAACAGGAAGAACTTGCCAAGAGGCCAGAGACAGGAACAAAGAAAGGGAAGGAATCAGACCCTGCCAAGGCTTCTGAGTTGGGGACTGGAAGGATGCTGCTGACCTTGACACAGAGCGGGGACCAAGGGGAGGGATGAGGCTGTGGAAGCAGCTCCTGTCACAGCAAGCAGGAGGAGACTGTGAACACAAATGCTGGGAGCCACCACCCAGGGCCAGCTGGCACCGTTCAGGGACAGGTTACAGGGCCCTTGGCATCCTTCTAACTGAGGCATTCAGGGAGAAGACTGAAAGGGTCACTCCCCCACGGCGCTCAGCCCCGCCTCTGCCCTGGCCTGTGCACACACGCTTCTCCTCCTGCCTGGGAGCTGCTGCTCGCCTCAACCCTTCTGCTCTGGGATCTGCTTGCTCTGTCCCATGCACAGGGTGGCTTCTCCTGCAGCTCCTTTTAAGCATGGGCCACGGCGTCTTCATTCTTCTGCACTCACAGAGTCTAACAGCCACATCGCAAGCAAGGGAACGACACTCAGCCAGGGAATCCCTCCACACTGCATTTGCTGGGCAGCCCGCTTCTGGGCCTCTGTCCTGACACTGAACTACAAGCCTTCTCCTAGCCTTTACATGCTCAGCTGATCACTTCCATCCACGTTCAAAAAAAGACGCTGAGCAGACAAGAATCACACTTACCGTCTACAGGTCTACAGTGCGGGCTGCAAAGCACACTGCACACAGAGCACTCAGTGAGTCATGCAAAGACAGCGTGAGTGGGGGCAAGTGCCTCGGCGTCTGGCTGGTACCTGAGAAGATGTTCTTGAGGTTCTCCACGGCTGCGGCGAGCTGGCTGTGCTGCACCACGGCGTCTTTGACGTCCTTGAGGCTCTCAATGGTGTTGATGCTCTGCCTCCAGTCCTTGCTGACGTCTGCCAGCGACTGCTGGATGTCTTTGACGTCATTCAGGGCGTTGTGGAGCTGGCTGAGGCCTGTGCGCACCCCGTCCAACTGTGACTGGATGGCGGCCTAAAGAGAGACGCCACACGGGTGAGCAGAGCCAATGATAGCCATGCGCTGCCTCCTGAAGAACAAATCTTCCCCAGGAGGGTCAAGTTCAGGAAAGAGCCACTGAGTAGCAGGAAACAGTCAATACCCAGAAAAGAAAATAAAATCAACAAGGATTTAATTGATTCACAGTGTACCTTTTTCTTCATTGCTGCCTGGGAACAGAACAATGATGCATTTTAAAGCCTTGATGAGAAAAGGTCAGGACACTCCTCATCTAGCCTCACACCTGGTGATCCTGGACACTACCACGGGTCTGCCCTGGGCCGTGGCCTGCTACGGTACCTTCAGAAGGATGTCACCCATGCTCTCCCAGGCATCCTAGGTTCCTAAAAGGTCTTGTCTAGGCAGAGAGAACGGTCAGGACTTCACTGGCTTGGGGTGGGGGAGTTCCTGCTGTTCAGCCAGCACCACACTTGGCCCCAGGACGGCTGACCCACAGGACAGAATCGGCACCTGAGCTTCAGATCCGCTCTCTGTCAAATGTGAGTTAAAACAATCTGAACAAAATGCCCTCTAGTGGTGCTCTGTAGAAGAGCTTTAAATAAGACTACTTCTCCTTCCTCCAGTATTGTTTAAAAACTTAATAGACACTTTCAGGGTGTTGTTTTTGTTTCTGTGTTTTTTTTTTCTTTTTGAGACAGAGTCTCACTCTGTTGCCCAGGCTGGAATGCAATGGCACCATCTCGGCTCACCGCAACCTCTGCCTCCTGGGTTCAAGCGATTCTCTTGCCTCAGCCTCCCAAGTAGCTGGGATTACAGGCGTCAACCATCATGCCTGGCTAATTTTTGTATTTTCATAGAGACAGGGTTTCACCATGTTGACCAGGCTGGTCTTGAACTCCTGACCTCAGGTGATCCGCCTGCCTCGGCCTCCCCGAGGTGCTGGGATTACAGGCATGAGTCACCGCACCCGGCCTCAGGGTGTTTAAAAGCTTGTTCCTTTGGTGTTTTCACCATTCCCACTGTCTTCTAAGCAAAGCTACTGAGTGGTAATACACTGCTGAAAGTAACTGCTCAAGAAAGTCCAGCTCTGCCTCCTTGCACATTACCATAAAGGCTAGTTTAGCAAAATCATCATGGTGATGTCAAGCAAGAACCTGAAGCCCAAGACAGATCCTGGGAGTGGGGCAGGTGGCCTCACCTTCAATCTGGCCTCCACGGAGGCCTTCTTCCGCGCTTCTCTCCTGCGATACTGCTCCACCTTGTCCAGCTGGTCCGGGCGCTGGAGCATCCCAGCAACCCTTTGCACTGCTGTCGCAACGGCCTCCCGGTCTGTCTCCTTCATGGTGAAAAAGCTGGTGGAATCCTCACACTGTTCATGCTAGGGGTGTTCTCTGTGCACTGCAGGAGTTGTTAGGACGGTAGAAATGTTAGGTACAAAACCTCCCCCAAACTATCAGGTGATCACAGTGGAGCTACAAGCAGAGCCTCTGAGATCATTAATCCAGGAAACCTCAAAGAAAGCTGAACTAGGATGAGGAACTCCTTGATAAGATAAACAAACCTTCGTAACACAAACATGCAGAAGTTATACCTTTAAGGGGAGAGCAGGGGCGTTTCACAGGCATGAGAGACATGGACATTGCGAAGATTCTAGATGTGGGTCCCAGACCACCCAGCATGTAGATGTCAGCCTCAAAGGCACATCTCTCCCCAAGACAGGGCTGGTTTCTCATTTCGGGAGCTTTCCCCCAGCACCTTGGCCAGGCCTGTGGGCAGCTGCACCAGGACCCTCAGTGAAGACAAATACAGCGTGGACAACTCCCCCGACCAGGTACCACAGCTGGAGGCCCAGCACAAGCCCCACAATTCCCACCCTATAAAAGTGACAATAGTCAGCCAGGCCCGGTGGCTCACGCCTGTAATCCCAGCACTTTGGCAGGCCGAGGCGGGTGGATCACGAGGTCAGGAGATCGAGACCATCCTGGCTAACATGGTGAAACCCTGTATCTACTAAAAATACACACAAAAAAATTAGCTGGGCATGTTGGTGGGTGCCTGTAGTCCCAGCTACTCGGGAGGCTGAGGCAGGAGACTGGCGTGAACCCCGGAGGCGGAGCTTGCAGTCAGCCGAGATCGCGCCACTGCACTCCAGCCTGGGCGACAGAGCGAGACTCCGTCTCAAAAAAAAAAAAAAGAAAAAAAAAGAAAAAGTCATTATTGTCTTGGGTATCCAAAACCCCATTTCCCCCTTTTTTAACTGTCCTAGAAAACATCATGCTTCCCTCCTTTATGCAGGCCCCGTGCAGACCACAGGTGCTCAGATGCCAGGCAAGCCTGCCTTCCATGCTCCCTCCACCATCGTCCTCCTCGGGGAGCTAACACAGCTGCTTGGTGAGCATCAGTCAATGAGGGAATCCGATACACCTGTTCCCCTTGACTTCAGCTGTCTGATTTTCATCTTCATGAATATTAAAAAGATTCACCTTCTCCTGGAATTTTTCATTCTCCATGCCCACATGCTTTCAGACACCTCTCTTCTCCTTTTTCATCTGGACCTACATTGCAACCTTTCCTTTCTCTTTATTTTCTGATTATGAAATTTGGCATACCAACGTAGAAAATCTGGACAGGACAAAAATACAAAGATGCCAGAGGCAACTCCCCTTAAATCCCATCATCTATGGGCAACTCCTCTTAAATCTTGCTACCCAGGGGCAACTTCCCTTAAATCTCACAATCCAGGGACAACTTCCCGTAAATCCCACCACTCAGGGGTAACCCCCGCTATATCCCACCACTCAGGGGCAACTCCCCTTAAATCCCGCCACCCAGGGACAACTCCCCTTAAATCCCGACACTCAGGGGCAACTCCCTCCAACAGGGCTTGTTTCCTTCCAGTTTTTTCCCTTTGAGTTTCTTTTAAAGCTAAGATTCCACTGCTTATATGACTTTGTAGGTGCACACTTTTGTTTTCTTATTTTGTTTGGACATTATCATCAGCATTTCCATTGACATTAAAGCCTGTATGATTTTGATTATAGGGCTGGATAATAACCCAAGAAGTGGACCCCCAGCCGCTCTGCTGGGGCACGCGGTGAGGTGGCTGCGCCCATCTTAAGGCTGGAGTGAAGTCTGTCACGCTGTGGGTGGAAGCCAAGGCAATGTGAGTGGAGAGCTGTGAAGCAGGGCTCGCCTTGGAGTCAGAATAAAGCTACTCATGTGGAAAAGGGGAAAATCTGGAGTTAAAAAACGCACCGCAGAGGCTTCCATCCCAGCCTGAAGACTAAAGATTTTGGGTCACAGAAGCCAAAGAGGAACTCAGAGACCATAAACAGAGACCCAGGTCCAGCCCCTACCAGGGCCTTTCTGACTGCCTTCCCCTGGCGCTGGCTCCGCTGTGAGCCTCTCCGCCGAGCGGGGGGACACCCTACTGCGGGGAACATCAGCACCCACGGAGACACCTGCGCCAGGGAGACACCTCTGCCGGGCAGACACCTCTGCCAGGAGGGACCCTTTACCGGGGGGACGCCTGCGCCGAGGGGAACACCTGTGCTGGGAGGCACCTCACGGAGGGGACACTCCGCTGGAGGACACCTGCACCTTGGAGGACACCTGCACCTTGAAAGCTTCCTAAAGGCCAGGAAGGACGCTTGTGCCCAGAAGGACACCTGCTCCGACGAGGGACACCTGGTCCGAGGGGGGACACCTGTGCCAGGAAGGACAACTGCGCCTGGGGGGGGACACCGTCAAGAGGACACCTGCACCAGGAAGTACACTTGTGCCTGGGAGGGACACCTGTGCTTGAGGGGACACTTGCACCTTGGAGAACTCCTGCGCCGAGGGGACACCTGCGCCAGGAAGGACACTTGTGCCTGGAGGGACATCTGCCCCAAGGAGGGACACCTGCTCCGAGGGGGGACACCTGTGCCAGGAAGGACACCAGCGCCTGGGGCGTGGGGGAAGACACTGTTAAGGGGACACCTGCACCAGGAAGGACCTTGTGCCTGTGGGGACACATGTGCCAAGGGGACACCTACGCCTGGGGGGGACACATGTGCCGGGGAGGACACCTGCGCCGAGGACACTCGCACGAGCGGGATACTCCACGGGGTCCGGAACGGCCTCCCCGCCCTCCAGGTCCCGGTCCGGCCTCCCCCTACGCGCCCCCGCGGAAGCCAGAGACAGGGAGAGCAAGGATGAAAGACGGCGACCACCTCCCAAGGACCCGCCGGCCGTCAGGACCTGCCACCGACTCACCCTCTACGGCTACGCCGCCGCCGCCGCCGCCGCCGCCGCCGCCGCCGCCGCCGCCGCCGCCCCCGCCGCCCCCTCCGCCTTCGCTGCCTCCGCCTCCGGGGTCCCGGCCGGAAGTGGACAGCGCGCGGGCACTTCCGCTTCCGGCAACGGCGCCGGAAGCACGGGTCCGGGCCCTCCCGCGGGGCGGGTACTCGTCTCCCGGCCGAGCGACTTCAGCTCGGGGACCTGCCCCATGGCCGCTCCCCAGCAGGACAGGGAAACCGCCGAGGTGGGGGGCTTCTTGTCCGTCCCAGCCCCCCCAACTCAGGCCCTCTCGCTGCCCCTGGCGACCACCGCGTGCGCCCTTCCCCAGGGCGGGCGCAGTCCTGGACGCCTCCGCCGAGCGTGACTGCGTGCATTTTCTCTCCTTTCCCTTCCCAACCTGCGGAGAGAAGACAGCCCCAGAGCCGCTGTCTCCATCCTCTGCTGATGCCTGCTGTCTTTATGTTGGCCTCGTCGTCCGCACTGCAGTGTGGCAGGGGCGTCCCTCGTTTCCCGCGGACTGAGGTGGGCGCCGGGCATTCAGTAAACGAAGAAACCAAAGCGGAGAAGGTTGGGAATCAAACGTCTGTCATACCTGCCACCAGCAGACAAGCGGCTTTGGGTACCTCCTGGACCCAAAGACGAACTCAGCCCCTCCAGGAGCGCAGTCATTGGCACCCTCGTGGGAACAATGCCAGTGGGATGGGTGGCCACCGGATGTTTCCGGGGCCCCTCAGAGGCCCAGCAGCGCAGGTCTTGGAGAATGAATGTGGGTCACTGGGCCGCGCTGCAGAGGGCCGGTCCTGAGTCGCTTCCTGGAGGAGAGGCCCATGGCCAGCACTTGGCTTCGCCTGGAGGAAGAAGCACGTGCTAAACCACGAGCGTTCAGGGTTTGTCTGTTTGATAAAAGATGCTGGCTTTGACACACCAACTGACAAAGTCTTTCATAGGTTGGAGCTGCTAGGTTGTGCCCCTGCCCCTCCTGAAAATTAGCCACACGAAAGGAAGGGTCTGGAAGGTGGCAGGGAAGCCAGCAGAGACCAGGGAAGTGGCAGCAGCATGGGGCAGGGGCACACAGGAAGGAGATGGAGCTTGCGGGAGCCCCCACTGCCACTCCGACAGGGAGCCCTGCCCCGTGCCCTGCTGATGTTGACACTGACCCCGGCTCTATTATTTCAGTTTTTCCTTGTAATTTCTGAAAATCTAGCAACAAGTTGAGCAATGAAAAAAAGTAAAAAAGTTAAAATTGTGTTAGAAATTATGACTGTAAAGAAATTTTGAAACTAATGAAGAAAAAATTGCCAAAATTGCCAAAGCTTTTAGGACTCTTAAAAATATAGTAACATTGAGTATTATGAACTAAAGACTCATACTATTATATCAGTGTCTGGTAGTGAATTTGGATGGAGGACTGTCTAGTAACTTCTTAACAAAACATTGATTAGAAGTCTTTCTTGGCGGGGCGCCGTGGCTCACGCCTGTAATCCCAGCACTTTGGGAGGCGAGGCAGGTAGATCATGAGGTCAGGAGATCGAGACCATCCTGGCTAACATGGTGAAACCCCGTCTCTACTAAAAAAAATACAAAAAAACTAGGCAGGTGTGGTGGTGGGCCCCTGGAGTCCCAGCTACTCGGGAGGCTGAGGCAGGAGAATGGCGTGAACCCGGGAGGCGGAGCTTGCAGTGAGCCAAGATCGCGCCACTGTACTCCAGCCTGGGCAACAGAGCGAGGCTCCGTCTCAAAAAAAAAAAAAAAAAAAAAAAAAAAAAAAAGGTATTTATTGGCTGGGCGCAGTGGCTCCTAACTGTAATCCCAGCACTTTGGGAGGCTGAGATGGGCAGACCCCTTGAGCCCAGGAGTTTGAGACCAGCCTGGGCAACATGGTCTTTTTGGTAGGAACCCCATCTCTACCAAAAAAAACCCCACAAAAATTAGCCAGGCATGGTGGTGCATGCCTGTAATCTCAGCTCCCTGGGAGGCTGAGGCAGGAGAATGGCTTCAACCCGGGAGGAGGAGGTTGCAGTGAACTGAGATGGCACCACTACACTCCAGCCTGGGTGACAGAGGGAGAATCTGTCTCAAAAAAAAAAGTTTCTTGACTTCTGTTTTTGGCAGACCATGTTCTGCGAACACCCAGGAGCACTGCTGAGTGCAAGCATCATGTCGATTGCACAAGTGGATTCACGAACAGGCAAGGACGTGACCAGGGACAAATGTGGGAAGGGGAGAGGACGTGAATCAGAAGCAGAGATGCTTGCCGTCCTACAGCAGGCAGGTGGGTGGGTAGGGTGCGAGTTCTGCGGCCCAGGGGTTGGGTTTTACACTGAAGCAGGACAGATGATGAAGCTAAGGCTCCCAGCAGGTGGGAGGTGGACGGCGACTCCCATGTGAAGCACAGATGTGCAAGGGATGCATCCTCAGTGAAAGCGTGGACTAGGAAAACAGCAACAGCCTGGAGACTGTTCCTAAACTCAGCCCTCGGCGGAAGCCAACCCAGGGTCATTGCTAGAGGGATCCTCCTCCACCTTGACAGGAGCAAACTCGAGGGGGAGGGAGGGGAGGGCACTGAAGCACCCACAGTCCTGACCCTGCTCTGGGAGAATAGAGACCGTGCTTAGCTCCTGCTTAGACCTTGTTAAATGCCCACATTAAGGTTAGCCACTACAGAAATAGAAACAGGAAGAGAGAAAATGCAGGCAACAGCACAGAGACTGCAGGCAAGGAGAAGATGAGGACCCTGTGTTGAAATGTATCAGTAATGAGAACACAAGTAAGTGGATTAGAAACAGTGAAACATTCATAGGCGAACATCTAAAGCATCAAGAAACAACGATTAGAACTGGAGGCTTTTCACACGTGGGTCAGCCAGGCCCGAGAAGCTGGTGTGGGGATATGAATATCAAACAACATGGGTTTTTGGTCAAAAGCCACTGTCAAAGATAGTTATTTTCCTAAGATGCAAAATGCATAAGCCATAAAGAATAAAATAGAAAAGTTGCTATATTAAAATCTTAAACTCTTGTGGGATATAATTTTTAAATCCTTAAGTGAAAAGCCAAGCCACAGACTGAGGGAAAACATTGTCAGCATCTGTAACTGACAAGAAAATTGCTATCCAGAATAAAAACAGAACTCCTGCAAATTGATCTAAAAGGGCAAACAAGTGCAGCAAGAAACGGGTAAAGGACAAGAGCCACTGGCTCCGGGGAATAAGCTGCTTCCCTCGGCCTTCAGGGAGACCTTGTCCCCACACCCTCCCCACGGGGCCCTGCTGAAGCCTCTGAGCCATGACTAGGGTGTCCGTTGACCTGACCAGACCATGAGCCATGACCCAGGCCCTGCTCTATTGTCAGCCAGACCTCACTGCGGCCATGCAGCCTCCCCCACTCGCTATTCAGCTCCAGCCGTCCATACGTCCTGCATAAAACTGCCCCCAAAGACCTGGGCCACCCCCAGCCCCAGCTCTGTGCACCTGCAAAGCACCGGTCCCCTCCATGCCCCGCAGAGTTTACGGGGTTCTCATGGTCACGTTCAGCTGCCTGCACCCCTTCCCCCTGCACACGCACACACCGCACATCACACATGTTCAGACGCCAGCTCTGGGACAGCACTGATGTCTGCATCGTTTTCTCCTGAATGCGTCCCCAGCACTGGTGCAGGGCCTGATACTCAACAAGGACTAAAAATATGCCGAATGAATAAACAAAATGCACATAAAACAGCTGCCGTTTCATCCCTTCAGAAGCCCAAGACTGAAAAAGTCTGTCCACACAGGTGCCAGTGTGGGGTGAGGATGGGAGCCCAGGAGGTGTGGCTGGTAGAAGGGAGGCCAAGTGGGTGCAGCCCCTCTGGAGGACGCTGGGCAGCGCCTGGTGAGATGAAATTGTGTGCGTCCAGCTGGGCGTGGTGGCTCACATCTGTAATTCCAGCATTTTGGGAGGCCGAGGTAGGCTGATCATGTGAGGCCAGGAGTTTTAGACCAGCCAGGCCAACAAGGTGAAACCCAGTCTCTACTAAAAATACAAAAATTAGCTGGGCGTGGTGGTGGATGCCTGTAGTCCCAGCTACTCTGGAGGCTGAGGTGGGAGAATCACTTAAACCTGAGAAGTGGAGGCTGCAGTGAGCCGAGACTGCACCACTGCACTCCAGCCTAGGCAGCAGAGTGAGACTCCATCTCAGGAAAAAAAAAGAAAAGAAAAGAAAAAAGAATTGTATGCGTTCCAACTCCACACAGGCACACTCAGCAGAAGCCAGACTGGGGGTGAGGAGTGAAAATGCGGGAACTCCATCTGCCTGAGGCCACAGAGGAGAGGGCATGGGGGGCAGGGTGGGTCAAGTTGTGGGGCCACAGATGGGAGGGCTGGCCTGGTCCTGGGGGAGGACACGGGAGTCTTACACGAGTGACCAGGACGGGTTTGCTGATGGGCTGCAGGGTGCGAAGGAGGCCTGGCAGGGGCTGCGCAGGCTCTAAAGATGCCTGAAAGGAAACAAAAGCGCAGCTCCCTGGGCCTTGGACTGCCGTTTGTGCTTAAGGAGACCCCAGCACTTTTTTCGATGGCATTGAGGGGTCTGGCCGTAATCTGCCTGGGCCCTTCCCCCTTCCCATGGGCTTGTCGTGCAGGCCCTGTGCCAGGCAGGGTGGACCCCGCATGGCCCCGGACCCACAGTGCCCTCAGCTCTACCCTCCTCACTTCTTACAGGACGGGTCAGGTCTGGGACGTCCTGAGAGCACCCAGGAGGGGCCCTGACCCTCAGTGACAGGGGAGGGGGGCCTAGGCCCTCTCTAGATGCCACTGGTCAGGAGCAGGGAGATGGCAGGCATTTTCTCCTCCTTCACGAGGCTTGCGGCTCTAGAGTTTTTATTTTTATTGCTGCCTTATATTTAGTGGTGAAAGGCTGTCTTAGAATGTAGATTAACCAGCACACTCTTTAAAGGAAATAAAGTGACTTTGGAAAATCACGCAGACTTCCGCAAACATTTAAATTTTTGTTAAACATGTACTAGCATGTCATGTATTTTACATCAATATTGCAAATTTAATACAAACCACAGTACAAAAAAATTTGAAAGCTTCCTAAAGGCACTGAGAAAGCAGTAGAGAAAGTTGCATTTATAGTGCATAAGTTTTAAAAATTCAACAAGTTGGTCTAGGTATTGAAAACTTTTTTCTTCCAGTAGAAACTGCAAAAATATAAGTTGTATTGATCTCCTCCCTTCCATCCCATTCCCACCTTATATTTGACTTTAATACTTTTTCAGCTATATAGGGAAAAGCTACATACACAGAAAAACATGAACCTGTAATTAGTGCTAACAATGACATTTTAGAGAGAAGTGATACATCCACACTTTCTATGTTCCATAGTCTTCCCCACTGTTTTCCAAGAGGGTTGTGGCTATAAAATAACCAAAGTGCTGACTTGGGGAGTTTTTGTTGCCGTTGAGGAAGGGATGTCGGACACCTCGCTGATCCCAGGCTCTCAGGGCCGCAGCCTCCTGTAGGGTCCCCACACCACAAAACCGGCAGAGCCAACACCCACGTGCTGAGTGCAGCGTCAACACAGCGTGGCCTGCCTGGCAGCAACCCACCACTCAATCTGGCACCTGTCACCAGGAGGGCCTTGGGCAGGGGCGCATCTAAAGGTCTGGGAGGCTGCAGGGCAGGACGTGGTGAAGAAGCCTCCTGGGCAGGGGCTGCCGTCTGTGCTTAAGGAGGCCCCAGTGCTCCTTTGATGACACTGAAGGGCCTGGCTACAATCGCAAACACGCAGCCACGTCTCTGATTCGATCTTTGGGGCCTGGTGTTTTTCCCAGTGACAGCCGTTGGCTCCAGGACACTCAAGACATGTGATACACAAGACTCTCAGTCACTGAGCTCCCTGCCCTCCTCGGCCCCGAGACTGGAAGAGCAGCTGCCACGTTTGGGACCCAGGCGGCGCCCAGGCTGAAGGGAGCTGCTGAGGGCTAAGCTCCAGGACACAGGACGTGGCTGGCCCTCAGAACAGGGAACTCCAAGAGTGGAACATGCATGTTGATTGAGACTTTTTCAGGGATACAGCAGATCTGATTTTTAATTATTTTTTGTAGAGACACATTCTTCCTGTGTTGCCCAGGCTGGTCTTGAACTCCTGGGCTTAAGCGATCCTCCTACCTTGACCTCCTAAAGTGCTGGGATTATAGGCATGAGCCACTGCGCCTGGCCTGCAGGCCTAATTATTAAGGGTCTTTCCATGATCAGCAAAGGAGCTGGGCACTCGGTTAGAATAGGAAGGAAGTGGGAAGCTTCTGAAATACCATCCTGGTCTTAAATCCATAAATGCCCAGAGGCCAGAAGTGTGCCATGCTCAGCATGAGAAATGAATAAAGAGGGGCTCTGTGCCAGTGTAGGGCCAAAGTGGGAAGTAGGCGCCAGTCCTCAGGTGCCTGGTCTTCACAGGTGCCTGCTCTCCACAGGTGACTGACCCTCAGGTGGCTGGTCACCCCATGGCTGGCCCCTGGGTAGCTCTGTCCCCATCGTGACTTTAGGCATCAGATAAGGGAGAGATGGCAGTGGAAGGCCATGAGCACGTCTCACACCCACGACAGCACAGCATGGAGGTCACCTTTTGAAAGACGCCCCCTGGCTAAGCAGAGAGTGAGTGCCCCCTCGGTAGGGCTTGGGGGTCATAGGGGGCCACGATGGATCTGTGACTCTGGGCTCAGATGGTTGGCTGTTCTCTTCCAGTACTGAGAGGAGATCCTTATCCCTATCCCTGCCACATGGGGGCAAACTGTCCAAGAACCAGGCCACTGAGAGGCGCAGGCACCTGGCATTGGGCAGAAGACCCAGTCCTGCCAACCAAACCTGGGTTTTGACAAAGTGAAGGTGCGTTTAACAAATGGGTCCAGCATTAAACCAGCATCTAAGTAAGCACTGACACCTCAAAGCCACTGACAACAGAGAGGGCGTCCACACAGGAGGCAGAATGCACAGTGCGGCGGGGTGGTGGGTCCCTAGGGGTGGTGGGTCCCTCACCCGCGGGCCAACAACAGAGAGGGCGTCCACACGGGAGGCACAATGCACAGTGCAGCGGGGTGGTGGGTCCCTCACCCATGGGCTCCCACAGCTCCTGCCACTCCCAGTGGAGCTGACGTCAGGGCGCCGATGCCCTCTCCCTGAGGATGGGGCCTTCCCACCCCCGCACAGGTGGGCCCAGCTGCAGCCACACCCCAGGGCCTCACTGCCTGGCTTCCTCTTGCTTGGGGTGACTTCTACACCCTGATCTGATGCCTGCACCAGCCGGGTGGGGTTCCAGGCCAGACCGTGGAAGAAGCCTGAAATGCACCATCAGCTGTAGGTTCTCGGGTTGGTGGATTGGTGACCTTCACTTTCTGACTTATGCTTTTGTATCCAAATTTCCTACTCTCAGAAAATATCGCCTTTACAACTGTTTTAATGCTATTAATACTTGTCTGTCTTGTCCCTAATTATTCTCCTAGGATGGCAATGGGAACCCTCATTTGAGTGAACTGTACAGCCAGCCAGAGAGAAACCCCCACAGGCAGCGCAGTTTCCTGTGTCTTCTCTCTACGTTGTGTGTTTCTCTGTACTTCCAAACCCGGAGTCTGTGAACTCTGTATTACGTGATGTACCAAGAGGCAGATTAGGAAGAACCGTCCGCAGAGACCCACTGAGAACTCGGGAGATGTCCAGAAGGAACAGGGGTTATGCTGTCAATTCCAGTCCAGGTCTGGCCTCAGACTCTGTCATGGCGCCATGGAGCACCTGCCGCACGGTGTGGGGCAGTGTGGGACCCACGCTGCCAGCCTCTGCTGCCTGGAACGTTCTAGATTCCTCTATGAGTGGGCTCACGGACCCCTTTCTCCGCGTGTTGTATTTCTAATTTGCCGTGTGCTGGCCTCTACAGTGCACTGTGGCGATGGGCTGACCCTGCCTGCACAGCACAGGCTGGGAGCTGCAGGTGGCCTGGGAGGGCTGAGCTAGGTGTGTCACCCGACCGCTTCATCCCCGACTGCGGACTTGGGAGCATCACCCGACCGCTTCATCCCCGACTGCGGACTTGGGAGCATCACCCGACTGCTTCATCCCCGACTGTGGACTTGGCAGCCATGGGACGGGTGCTCGCTGCCTCTGGGGCATGAAGCTGTCCAGCCATGATCACTTTCCTAAAGATTTTAATTCCTCAAAGAGAAATGCTGTCATGCTTGAATAGACTTAAGGCCAGTTTTCATTTAAGAACTGTTGGGATATTTTACAAAATTCAGGATAGGCTCCTGCGTATGCTGCACACACACACTAGCAGACTGCGCATGCACAGCTCTGCAAAGCGTGTGTCTTAGGACGGGCTCCGGCCTGACCAGGAGCAGGGCAGCCCAGCCACCGACGCATCTGAGCGTAGACACACAGATCTGAGCTTGGATGGTGGTCACTGCGCTATGGCAGGAATGTGCACCCCGAAGCTTGGGGCGGGACCAGCGTGGCCAAGGCACTTTTGGGCAACATCCCGGGCACCATTCCCTGGCTGTGAGTAGCCCACTGGGGTGAGTCCAAGGGCTCCCGCTTGACCACAGGGGCGGCCTCAGCAGCTCTGCAGGTGCAGGACTGTTCACCTCGGCCCCGTGCACAGAGCTGGTGGGGAGGCTCCGACTGGGGAAGGCCGTCTGTGGGCTCCAGGCAGGCACAGTGTGCAGGGTGGAAAGGGGTCAGCTCCCTGCTGCGCCCAGCAGTGGCCCTCCCATGGGGCTGAGCCCCCCGCACGCCGTGCCCCAGGTGCGAGATGTACACCTGTTGCCGAGAGTCTGGCTCTGTTTTCAGGTGCATCCTGGTAGGGAAGGTGGCTGGGTGGCTCCTGTCACTGGCCCCCAGCCACACCTGGCTGGGCACACAGCCGTCTGCAGCACCCTCACACCCAGAGTCCTTCTCCATCTTGATGGACACATCTAGCAGCAGCGTCGGACCACACAGGTCCCCCGGAGGCATCGGTACACCTTGCAGCTTCATGTCCTCCATGGGATAGCCCCTCGTGGCAAAACGCTGAGCTCCAGGCTGAGGGAGCTGGTGCTGCAGGCTCCTCTGGGGAAAGTGGCAGAGGGGAGGGTGCACCTGGTCCTCACCGACATCCCGCATGGGTCTGCTGGTCCGGCTGGAGTAGGCACTGGGGGACGGGCTCGGCGGGTGAGAGATGGGCGAGTTCCTGAAAGTGCCCTGGACACACGGGCAGGGCAGGCAGGAGCCGCGGGGCATGGGGCGCAGGGAGGGCGGGTCATTCTTGCTGGGCTGCAGCCTCGGCCTGGCACCATCCTCACTGTGCTTTCCCGCTGTCCAGGGCAGGGGCTTTGTGGGTCCTGGAGTCTCCCTCCGCCCTGTCACTCCAGAGGCCCTGCTCAGCATCCTGTGCTGCTCCTCCTCCCTGTCCCTGCAGAGAAAAGACGGGGCCCATTTGACAGCAGCTGAAGACACCAGGTCTGGCTGCCCTGGGTGGGGGTCTCTAAGGGAGGCTACGAAATCAGGACGATGCTAAATCTGCCAAGGCTGCTACACCGACCCCTCACTGCGCTGTGCCTTCTAACCCCCCCAGCAGCCCAGGAGGCTGTGCCAGCACCCCACCCCCACTGCGTGCCTGGGGCGAGTGAGGAAGGCCCAGGGTGGGGCGAGGGTGCAGGCTTCAGGGAGATGTCTCTGTGAGGCCTATGCCAGCTGTCCAGTGTCAGCCACACCAGTCACTAGCGTTAGGGGTGGGGAAGGGCGGTGCAAATGGTCCCAGGGAACTGCAAAGCAGAAAACACCATGTCCAGCAGTTTCTGTGGCCAAGCTCTGCTGCTGACCAACAGGACACCACGTGCCTTGGGACTGGCACTGCATGACTGTGAGATGGTGACCTGGAGAGTGGGGAGGGGCCTGTGGGGCACAGCTGGGCTGGTCAGGAAAGGGGAGGAGGCCCACCTGGGTGGCAGGCAGGCCCTGGGGAGGGAGAGGGGGGAGAGAGGGCTCTGAGCAAAGGCAAGATGAGGTTGGAGCCGGGTGACCCAGGGTCCGAGTGACAGGTGAGGGCGGGTCCCAGAGCCCACGGGGCATCCTCGCTCCCAACATCCCTGGACCACTGCTTCCCGGGGTCAGTCCCCAGCGACACACGTGACTTCCAGTCCGGGAAGCTGTGTGGACAGCTCCACAGAGAGTAAGGTTAGCTGTGGCTCGTGTGGTGGCCAAGGCTGCTGTCGTCTTTTTTATTTTTCTTCTTAATCACTCCCCCACCCGCTCTTTGGCCTCCACGGTGACTTAGGGAGCTGCCAGGGCTGGGGGAGGCTGCCTGGCACCACTTACCCTGAGCCCCCCTTGGGGTCAAGGACAAGGTCAGGGCCACCCCGGAGGCACAGGCATGGGGCCCTGGCGGGAACCTGTGCCCATCGGCCAGCGTCAGTCTGTTCCCTGAGCACCAAAACGCCGCTCTCTCTGCTGCTCCTTCCTGTTGGGGTTTAGAGGGGGGGGAAGCCGTCACGGTGCGAGCTGAGGAGCTCCTGGAAGACGGTTGCTTGTTCTCAGCAAGGCAGGACCCATCGGCTCCTCAGAAATGCACAGACCAGAGCCCAGGAACGGCACTTGTCCACAGCAGGACAGACACCAAGTCTCTGCAAAATGGCTTTTCCATGGAATACGCCAACATCTCCACTGGGCGGGGAAGCTCTCCAAGGGCAGAAACACATTTTACCCATGTGGAAAAGATCAGATAAGAAATGTTCTAAGTACCTGCTGAGTAATTGGGTTTTCCATGCAGTTCCGATTCGCACAGACTGGTGGTGGCTTTTACTCTGTGAAGAACACAGATGAACATGTGACATGTGACGGATGAACAAGATGACATGTGGATGAAACATGTTTTGATGGTAGAAATTAATAATGACAGGTATTGCTGTCACACCTGAGCAGTGAAGACAGAAACAATAGTTCACTCTTGTTTAATTCTTTATAGTGTGGAAAGTTATTTTCTCAGTTACAGGTTTACTGAAAATATTGTCACGTCACTTTTCAGGCCAATGAAGGGCTAATGAATTTGCTTCAGAAAGTAGAAGGATAAAATCATAGGATGATTTTTAGAGCTTATATTTTTTTCCTGGAAGGCCAGAAAGAAAATACGGTCCATTCTCATGACTCCAGGTAGTTATGTTCCAGGAAGTGAACACTGAGGTGAGTTGGAGACCAACTCACACGGGACATGTGTGTGTACCCACACACGCATCACACTGATCTGAATCTTAAATCCCAACAACTCACCCTGGTAGATTCTATTTTCTTTTGCTTTTCAAAAGAGAAACAGTAAGTAGCGCTGCCCCACCAGCAGGTCCCAGAGTTGAGTTCAAACCCATCTGACTGGCCCCACAGCCACAGCTCCGGTGCTGCCCTCCTCTCTGTCCTCTGGGCACCTCCAGGAGGCCCATGACTAACACAAGACTCACAATGCCCCATCTATGTCCATGAATGGCTGCAAAGCACAGGGTGTGTTGACATGGGGGTCCCAGTGAATTATGGCGAGCAGAGGAATTCACAGAATGGGCTTCAGGAAGAGGCAGATCAAGATCATGTCACAAAACCCCTGTGGGAAAAGCTGTGGAAGACTGGGGGGCTGTTGGGGGCTGCTAGGGGCCGCTGCTGGGGGCCATGGGGGCTGCTGTTGGGGGCCGCTGGAGGCTGCTGCCACTGCCTCAGGGCTCTGATTCTGCAGAATGCACCTTGCATCTTGCACCACTGTGGTGCCCTGGACCACAGTCCTGCGGCTCAGGACTGGTGGACCACAAGGTGTATCCTGAAAGCCGGCTTCTGAATCCAGCTCAGAGCAGGGTGGGGAGAATTCCAAAAGCCTTCGGCTCATGGGAGTCAGTATTCTTGGTTTGGCAAGTTTTCTTCCCCCTTCTGAGTTTGAATAACATGTTTGTTGAGCTGAAGTTGTGTGCCAGCTTTATGTGCCTTGGGCTCCACCCCACCCTCACAGCCCCACAGGGGGTCTCGTCCAGGCCGCAGGAGGAGCGCTGTGACCTTCGGCCCCACACCTGAGCTTGTGATCCCACACCTACGCTCCACCCCAGGGCCGGGACAGGGCTGTGCGCACACAGGGCCAGGCCTGCCCTGCCCTGCTCTGACACCAGGGGGCTGCGTCCCCTCTGCTTCTAGGGTTGGGAACTCCCAGGGAAGACCGGGCTTGCCATGTGCAGTGGAAACTCCACGGTGACGGTAAGCGGAGGACAGTGTTCCAGGGTTTGCGTGGTCCCTGTAGGTGCCGGAAGACCTGGGCCCGAGCCCTGCAGAGACCCCAGGTCCTTTTCTGTGCACCTATGTAGCATTTACTTCTTTTCCCTTTAGAATTCTATGTTCCTCCCTTGCACTCTACATTTCCATCCTTTAAAATAAGGTACATACATTTAATTTAAAACCTTCCAGAGATGTGTGGGCCTCAGCAGGCTGACCCGTGTCCTGGCCGTCCCTGGAGCTGCCCTCTGTCCACCCTCAGACAGCAGCAGTGAGGTGGGGCTAGCAGGGCCCAGGCAGAAGCTGCTCATAAGCAGAAATGAGTAACGAACGTGGAAACCAACACAGCATGAAAACCTTCAAATAACCGCTGCTGCTGTCAGACTGTAGAGCTGTCTAAACGGTTATCTGAAAGAGGTCAAAGGTGAGGATGGAACTCACGCCCACAACAGAGACCACCGTGAGTGCCGGCAAGGTGGCCTTGGGGCCTGCAGACAGAAGCCCTTCACAGTCAACCCTGGACACTGAGCAGGGCGTCCCAGAGCCTCCAAGGTCCTCCTTTGCAGGTCCCCTGGGGCGAAAGGGCCCTCGGCCGTATCCTCTGCATCGGGAAGCCAGCAGGCGTGTGACGGGGTCCTCCCAGAGGGGGCTCAGTGGCGGGTCCTGGTGCTCCCACGGAGGGCACGGGTGTGAATACAGAAGATGTGCTGCCCGTCAAAGGCGCCAAAGAACAGGAGGGACGGCAGCGTGCCGGGTGCTGCTGAGTCCCAGATCTCAAACTAGTTCGGGAGCCTGGACTCTGACAAGGTCAGTCAAGACCGCATCTAAAAAATGAAATTGAATACTAATGGAAGTTAAGGAATGCAGCTAGAATTCAAAGTCGGACCACAAGGCAACACACGTGACTGCAACTTAAGATCACCCCAACGCGCCTGCCACAGCAGGTACAGCAGTAAAGGCAGCGCCCAGAACAGGGCGGGGACGTCTGCTCCGGTCTGCACAGCTCCATCTGCTGTGAACATCCCCGGGGCTGTCCATGCACAGAGGAGGAGCATCGGAATCAGGACATATCTGGAAACCGTAACCCGGGGCAAGGCAAACAGAGCAGAGAGCGCTCAGCCAACACAGGGCCGTGGCAACCCCAGGCAGTGAGATTCGAGTCACACCACGAAGAATCTGCTCTCAAGGTTCTGTCTGAACCCAGCAATGTTTTCCGTGTGGGGTTTGTGCAGCCTCAGCCAATCACTCCTGGGCGCTATGCCAGAGATTCCCACTGGGCTGGCTGGGGAGCTGAATTCGACGCCTGCTAAGATTCCTTTCCCACTCAGTATTTGCTACCCACAGAGTGGGGAGGCCACGAACAAAGCGGGCTGCCCAGTGGCGGCTGCAGGATCGCGCGGCAAGGCTGAGCTGCACTTGGTTACCAGGGCCTGGGCCTGCAGCGCCGAGGGGCCGAGGACAAGTCGGGTGGGTCTCGGAGTCACAGAGCAGGAGCACCTCACCGACAGCCAAGGACCCGGGGGCTGAGGGCCAGGGGGCAGGGGCAGGGCCGGCCCAGACCACCCCTCTGCCCTGCGCTCAGCCCCGCCCCATCAGGCTGTCCCAGGAGGAAGTGGCAGGAGCGGCAACTCGCCCAGGTGGCCGGGGAAGGGGTCCTGCACGATTCTCTGAGAGGAAGTTGGATCTCCGGCATCCTGGCGGCCCCGGCCCTACCTCACTCCTGCAAGATTCTCTGAGAGGAAGTTGGATCTCTGGCATCCTGGCGGCCCAGCCCTACCTCACTCCTGCACGATTCTCTGAGAGGAAGTTGGATCTCTGGCATCCTGGCAGCCCCGGCCCTACCTCACTGGTGTGTTCCCAGCAGGTGGAACACAGTTTCTATAGGCACAGCATTTGCATCTCTCCCAGCACGCAAGGCAGACTTAACACATTCTAGGAAACTATAGACACGAATCCCCAAGGGCAGGGGTCCCCAGCCCCCAGCCACAGATTGGTACCCGTCCATGGCCTCTAGGAGCCAAGCTGCATGGCAGGAGGTGGGCCCTGCGCAAGCGAGTGAAGCTTCATCTATATTTACAGCCACTCCCCACTGCTCGCGTGACCGCCAGAGCTCCACTGCCTGTCAGCTCAGCTGGGGCATGATTCTCACAGGACTGTGAACCCTGTTGTGAACTGTGCATGTGAGGGAGAGCCCTAGGTTCGAGCTCATGAGAATCTAATGCCTGATGATCTGTCACTGTCTCCCATCACCCCCACCCCCGCCATGGGGCCGCCTAGTTACAGGAAAACAAGCTCAGAGCTACCACTGGTTCTACATTATGCCAAGTTGTATAATTATTTCATTATATATTACAATGTAATAAAACAGAAATGAAATGCATAGTGAGTAAACGTAATGTGCTTGAATCATCCTGAAACCATCCCCCCACTCCCAGTCTGTGGAAAAATTGTCTTCCACCAAACTGGTCCCTAGTACCAACAAGCTCGGGGACCAACAGGGTGTTTTCTACTTCTGAAAGGCTGAGGGAGCTGTGGGTAGGCCTGGGTTGGCCAGGGACGAGGACCAGCTGGAGGGGCAGCTGTGCCGTTCACCCTCCATCTGCCCACCAGGGACGCATCTCTCCGGCATGTCCTGCAGCCGGGAACTACCTCCACTTGTCCATAGACAGACGGTGTGAAGGGCGGGCAGCCAAGAGATGGAGAAAGGCAGGGGCCACAGCCAGCTCCGCATTTTCTTGAGGACACGGGGTCAGGACACTTATTCTGAAACTGGTTCTGTAACAGGATGATTTAGGAATGAATCGATACAGGCAACGTTTGGTGCCAGTTTGCAAATACGAGTTTGAAAAACATTGTTTCATCTAATCGCTGCTGCCTATGTTGTGTAATGACTTTTACGACACGAAACTGACTTATTACTGGCTGGAAATGAAGAAAGAAGACACAGAAAACACTGAGTGTGGAGGTGTTTTGTGGGGGCCGCCAGCAGGCACCATGTGGCTGTGAAGGGCGAGTCTTACTCACTTTGCATCCGCGGTGGCTGCGGTGTCTGCTCTGGGTTTTGCCCTCAGGAGCGCGCTCCTCATTTTCATCTCCGCTGCGGAGGGGAGGAGAACGGGTGCCGCAATGCAGAACAGCGACAGCCGCGGCGGGAGCATGGCTCCTGACGGCGCCTTCTTCTTCTGTCCAAACAGGAATTTTAGTTTTCCTTGAAACTGCATCGTCTGGTGTTTTAAAGACAGAGAGGAAGGCGTGTTCACCAAGTGGCCTGGCAAGGTGGTCACAGGACACAGAACTCAAGGGCGCGACAGCGGCTGGAATTCGTAGGGAGGCAGCTCACCATGAGTGGCTCGGGACAGCAGAGCCGCAGCTGCCAAGCCTGTGACCCCCGGGCCTGCAGAGTGATTCGATGTGCTTGAATCATCCTGAAACCATCCCCCACTCCCAGTTTCTCTGGAGCCGCGGCGACGGCCTTTGACAGGTTCATTCCCGCGTGTGTGCCTGTTCATGTGTGCCACCCCATGCGCAGGTGGCACGAACTGCGCCTGTGGGACCTGCCACCTGCCCACAGCCGGGCCAGCGGCAAACCCCTGGCAAGAATTCGCAGGAGTGGATGATCTCCAAGGATTGTTTCAGCTTTAACACTCCATTTCCAAATTATCAATTCTTCATTTGTAATTATGAAATTTAGGCACGACTTGATTTTATTTATCTAGGGTGTACAGTGAGACTTTAAAAGCCAGCAAGTAAGCTAGGAGTTTGTTATATAAGAAAATAAAATATCTCTCTACAAAGGGAAGGCTGATGTATAATTTAGTTGTTTACCAAGGGCCTTCAGGGGTACTCCTGCCTTGTATGGAAGAATCACCCCACAATGTGGCTCCACCCTCTATCCTTATTTCATCCATCTATCTTTCTATCCATCCATCCATCCACCAATCTATCTTTCCATCCATCCATCCATCCACCCATCCATCCACCCACCCATCCATCCATCATCTTCCCATCCATCCATCCACCCACCCATCCATCTTCACATCCACCCATCCATCCATCCATCCATGTTTCCATCCATCATCTTCCCATCCATCCAGCCATGTTTCCATCCATCCATCTTCCCATACATTCATCTACCCAGCCACCCACCCACCCATCCATCCATCCATCCACCCATCCATCCATCTATCCATGTTTCCACCCATCCATCATATTCCCATCTATCCATCCATCCATCCATCTTCCTATCCATTCATCCATCTGTCCATGCATCCATCATCTTCCCATCCATCCATCCATCCACCCATCTATCTGTCCATCTAGCCATCCATCCACCCATCCATCTATCCATCCATCCGTCCACCCATCCACCCATCCATCTTTCTATCTATCCATCCATCCATCCACCCATCCGTCCATCCATCCATCTTTCCATTTGTCCATCTATGCACCTACCCATCCATCTTCCCATTCATCCATCCATCTGTCCATCTATCCATCCGTCATCTTCCCATTCATCCATTCACTCATCCATCCATCCATCCATCTTCCCATCTATCCAACCATCCATCCATCCATTCACCCATCTTTCCATCTGTCCATCCATCTTCCCATCTATCCAACCATCCATCCATCCATTCATCCATCTTTCCATCTGTCCATCCATCCATCCACCCATCCATCTTCCCATCCATCCATCCATCATCTTCCTATCCAACCATCCATCATCTTCTCATCCATCCATCCACTCATCCATCCACTCATCCATCCATCCATCCATCCATCTTCCCATCTATCCAACCATCCATTCATCCATTCATCCATCTTTCCATCTGTCCATGGATATATTAAACAAATAATAAACACCTGCTGTGTAGCAGTCACATAATTGGTGGGGATTCAAGGCAGCGGTGTGCTGGGAAATGTTTAACATCTAGCTCTCCAGGGGGAAAAATTCCCAGATATGCAGTGTTTGCCAATTTTTTTAGTATAAATATTCCCAACACAGCTGATTTCAAGCTCCCAAGTTAATTTCAGCCGAATCTCAAAAACTACCATTTTCAGTTGGCCCTGTGGGTGGCATGAGGGAGCTTCCATGACACCCGCATTGCCAAGACTGCACCACTCAGGGTGAAAGCCGGGAAGAGCCGTGAGGTCCTGCAGGGTCTTGGTGTATTCTGTGTCAATACAGGAGCCCTTTATGGTGCTGTGGATGAATGGATTTTAATGGGAAAACAGAATCAGACACGTATTTGTGTAAACCTTATTGCAATATTTTAGCATCAATCTAATTTCTCTGGCTTGTTTCCTCCATTCAGTTCTTTGTTTGACAATTCCATTTTAAACTATATTCCAGTGGCTGCACAGTAAAATCCTTCCAATTTTGGGTCACCTAGAAATAAGAGTTTTTAATTAACCAGGAATTGGTTATACAATTTTAAAAAACGAACAACATTCCTTAGCCAATAAAAGTAAGTATCTTAATTTCCTCAAAATTTAGAACAAAATACCAACAGTGAAACACTGTCTCTACTAAAAATACAAAAAAATTAGCCGGGCGTGGTGGCAGGCGCCTGTAGTCCCAGCTACTCAGGAGGCTGAGGCAGGAGAATGGCGTGAACCCAGGAGGCGGAGCTTGCAGTGAGCCGAGATTGCACCAGGCACTCCAGCCTGGGTGACAGAGCGAGACTCCATCAAAAATAAATAAATAAATAAATAAAACTTTATTGTCCCTAGCTACCTAAATGAAAGATGTGCCCTGGGGCGTGTGCGTGGCAACAGATCTGGGGCCTGTGGAGAGCTGGTCCTTCCACCAGGCACCCAGTGGGTGGGAAAGACACAGAAACAGGCAGACCCACAGGTACCTCTGCCATGGGGACCGTCTGCACCCAAGGTCCCCAGGAGGTCATGGGTCCACAAATGGGTGGAAAGCTGAGCCCAGGGGGCCTGCCCAGCTACAGTGCTGGAGTCAGAGGGCCTTGTGGGGTGCTGGGGTCTGAGGGCCTTGTGGCATTGAATTGCAGCCAGGAGACAGCAAGGGCCACCACTGGGGCTCTGAGGGGCCATGACCCAGGGCTGACTGTGCTGTGGCCAGGGGGACCACAGTGCCTGGAGGGTCTGCAAGGTGGGCAGGGCTCTGGGACAGGGTGGGAGGCCTTTGCCCTGACATGTCCGATGGGGAGGAGTTCTCTGATTCAATGAGGAGCTGGAAGAAGAAATGGTCAAATAGCAGAAGTGAAAACCCCAAGTATCTGTTTGCAAGAGAAGAGGGTGAAACCAAAAAGCTCAGCAGATGCCATGGGCTCAGCCACTCACGCCAGCCACAGCCAGAGGCTCTCCCAGTTTGCCAGCCCTTGGCAGATGTGGGGCACATTTTAAAAAATATTTTAATAAGTTTTAAATAAAGGTACAACTAGAGTATAAACCTACTGCAGAGTTTTACATTCTCATCGACCTGGCTTGTCCACCACAGCAGGCCTCACGGTTGACTCATCACGCATGCCCAGAGGCGTCACAGCCCCACACCATCGCCGGGTGCACAGAGCTCAGTGCCCAGCCCTCTCCCACCCACCAGAGACACATGGGTTAACACCCCCATACCATCACAGGGTGCACAGAGCTCAGCACCGGCCCTCGCCCCCCCACCAGGGACACATGGGTTAACACCCCCACACCATCACAGGGTGCACAGAGCTCAGTGCCCAGCCCTCTCCCACCCACCAGAGACACGTGGGTTAAAGCCCCCACACCATCACAGGGTGCACAGAGCTCAGCACCGGCCCTCGCCCCCCCACCAGAGACACATGGGTTAACACCCCCACACCATCACAGGGTGCACAGAGCTCAGTGCCCAGCCCTCTCCCACCCACCAGAGACACATGGGTTAACACCCCCACACCATCACAGGGTACACAGAGCTCAGCACCGGCCCCCGTCCCTCCACCAGGGACATGTGGTTTAACGCCCCCACCCCCTCTTGCCCTCTGTTTCCTTCCACACCAGGGTAGAATGCATCCCAGATGTCGGGAGCCCCCTGCCAGGGACCCACGCACTCACCAGGAAGCCCGAGGTGCTGTCCAGCAGGCAGCGCACACGGCAGATGAAGCAGCGGGTCAGGAAGGCCGAGTACTCGGTGGGCGTGCCTGTGCCCCACTCCTGGGCCCTGAGCAGCCTCCCCAGGATAGCATCATCTCCTGCAGACCATAGGGGCCAAGGGGCGTGGCGGTGGGAGAAGCCAAAACACACGTGTCACACGCACAACCACGCCCACGGCTCTCACGCGCCAGGTCATGTAAACCCTATCACTGTGCCATCCTCCCGCCCCCAGCATCCCTCTAGATGTCACTCAAATTTTGCCTTCATCATCCTTTGCCTTTAAAAACATCGTTTTTAGTACATGTGCATGCATGACGATGGACCAATGGTTTCATCTTGCTTGTTTTTAGCTTTACAGAAGGGTCTTGCATGTAGGTGCCTGGGCTTTGCTGTTTTAAGGTCAATCATACTGTCATGGTGGAAACTTTCCGTGAATTATTTCAGGCTTCTGCGGATACGTGCGAGAGAACCCAGGAGCCACCCTCTGCACAGGACCGCGGGCAGGTGTCGCCTCTCCTCAGAGCCCAGATGCAACTGTCCCAGCACAGCCCCCGCCTGTCATTGCCTGTCAAGGAGCTCCACACCTGCCAGGCTTATCTCATCAGTCAGCGCCACAGGGAGGTTGAGAGCAAGCCCTGTGCAGGGGTCTTCTGTGAAAAGGGGCAACCAACTCTGAATGGCAACAATCTTTCAGGGACTTTTATTGGATAACTCTAGTATGAAGCAAACTGTATGAAACTTCCTGGCAGACGTGAGACTTGAGGGGAGTTTGCAAAACAAGAGGCCAGGACTGCAGCTCGTGGTGAGGTGACAAGAATGGCGGTGACCTCAAGCCTGGCAGAGCCCAGGAAAGCAACCAGGAGTGAAGCACACTCGAGCCACACGGAGCTGTGGCAGCCGAATCAGAGGACAGGGAGGGACATGGGAGGAGGCCTCTGAAGAAAGGTGAGATTTGGCGCTAAGGTCAATGTGTAAGGCAAAGCACACCAAGAAGGTGCGACAGGGTCATTTCCAGAGGCAGCGATGTGTTATGGGACCTGCTTTAGGTTTTGCTGACTCACTTGGACCCCAGACACCCACCTGTCTCCAAGGGCGGGGGCTGCCCAAACACCACCTGGGGAGGGTCCATGGCCCAGTGGAGCTGCCGGCAGAAGTCCTGGCGGTCGTCCACGTGGATGTAGTCATAAATGTTCTGGTGCATTACATCCGTCTGAAATAGCGCAACAAGATTATTTCAGCCTTACCCCAAGTGGCTTTAGACACTTTATTCCACCGACGAGTAACCGAAAAATTTCCACTCCACTTGTCAAAGCAAGTCACAGCCACAGGGAGAGAATCCCACCGAAGAGACGGCGCTTGGCCCCGGTTCCCCACTCCCTCCTGAGAAGATGTCTAAGTTGCCTGGAGCACCCGCCCACCCGTCTGCCCGCCAAGTGGTGCCCACATCCAGCCTTTCGGGGCAAGCGGGAGGCTAAGAGACGGGCATCTTCTGGGCCGCAGACACTCTGGGGCCAAGACATCCACTTTCCTGTCGACTTGGACTCTTTGTGACTCGGTTTCCCATCACTTCACATCTTATGGCCTGTGATTTCCTTCTTCCTGACACCCAGGCCTCAACCTTCACCCACTTTCACGATGCCTCAAGGACCTGCCAGTTCACAGGCCTCTCTCTAGTCCTCTCTCCTTCCACCTGCTCAGAAGCTAATCTGGGCCCTGACACAGAGGCTGACCCTCACAGGCACCCAGGGTCCATGTCTGGCGACAGAGGCTGACACTGCGGGCCACGAAGACTGACTTCAAGGGGTACTCAGCTGTCACCACTGCCAGTGAGCGTGTCGGCGCCTGAGGAAGGCCGGCCATCCCACCGTCCTCTCCCTTCTCCTAACTGAAGAAAGTCAGGCATCTGCACCTGGAGCCTGGCCCGCCACCCGCCAGCCCCGAATAATTAACCGTGCCAGGGACTGCTAGAACCTTAGGACTCTTTCTGGGTGACCTAATTCTAAATGGCATTTATTATCGTGATAATAACCAAGTGGTTCTTCCTAACTGGAGGAGGAGCTCCTTAAGAGTCAAGACTTCAGAGGAATGTAACTAACAAACTCACCCTAAAGGGACGAGCATCTTCAAGCAACCCAATGGCAAGGACCTGCGGGGCTCCCCGAACAAGATGAGACACAGCCTCAGGAGAGCAGAAGGAGGAGGTGGCCCTCACTAAAGGGGCTGGACTCTGTCTGTGCCTCCGCAGTTCCCTTCTGTGAATGCGCTGTCACAGAAAGCGGTGAACAGAGGAACAGAGACCCCTCGAGGTGAAAAGGGCGGCGCCAGCATCCCCGCGGTGCACTCCTCCGCGGCTCTGCCATGGTGCCTTCCTAAGGACTTGTAACTGGAGGGTAACCTAGGCCAAAATGCGCCCAATCACGAACACACCGTTGGGTGAGTCACCTTCAAGAAAACACCCCGCGGGACCCCACCCAGATGAGGCCACAGGGCATCGCCGGCACCCGCGAGGCTGCTTCTGCCTGTGCCTCTGAGTCCGGGCCGCCCTCCGTGTGGGGGCTGGTACTGTGCGCGGACTCCACGTGGAGGGATGATACCCACCGGCATCCCCCTGCCCCGCATCGCGACCGTGGGGGCACCTGCAGCGCAACAGCCTCGCCCGTTCCGTGCCTGCACACGGCATCCGCTCCGTGGCTGAACCGCGGGGTGGGCGTTGCCGACGAGGAGGCCGCTGGGTCCGCAAGGGCCTCCTGCCCGGCACCAGCCGGGCGCCAGAGCGGCCTCCCAGGCGGGGCGGCTCCTCTTCCAGTTAAGGCGCGAACGCTCCAGCCGCTGCACCTTCTGGCCAATGTTTGTCCTTTTCCCTCTTTATCTTTTAGTCGCTGCGGTGGATAGGCCACGTTTCTTGCTATGGTTTCAACTTTCCACCTCCTGAACCATAAGAAGAACCATCGTGTATATTTTGGCTGTTCAGCGGTGCCAGCGTATGTGCGCCTGTGTGGGTGGGTGGCTGCGTGTGCGTGCCTGGATGCGTGCGTGCTGCGTGCGTGGGTCTGTGCGTGCTGCGTGGGTGGGTGGCTGCGTGCGTGGGTCTGTGCGTGCTGCGTGGGTGGGTGGCTGCGTGGGTGGGTGGCTGCGTGGCTGCGTGCGTGCAGCGCGGAGGTGTCTCTTTCTGGAATCCCCACTGAGCCGTCCAGCTGCCTTGCCCAGTCCCTTCTGGGCCGCCTTCCATGCAAGGTGTCCCCGCTGCCATCCCGCCCTCCTGGTGGACACCACAAGGCCCAACCCTTCCATCCTCTCCACATGGGGAAGGCTTTTGTCCTGAGAAATGTTTCCTCATGGGTCTAGCTCTGCCCTGTTATCTTCTGGAAACTTCCATCATGCCCTGAAGCTGTCTGTGGTGTGAGCCAGGACTCAAGACTGGCTTCCTCCTGCAGGGAAGCAGCTTGCCCAGCATCTGCAGGCCCCACCTCCGTTCAACTGCAAAGGCCCCCCAGCTAGTGTTTGGTGAGCAGTGGGGGGTCACTCCTCCTTTGCTCGGGGAGTCCGCACTCCTCCCAGCCTGGGGCTCCTTCTTTCTCCCTTGACTTCCTGTTGCCAGGGGATTGTCTTCGTTGGGCTCTGTTAATTCAGGGGCTAGTAAGGAATGCTGGGTTTAGGCTTCCATCCCATCCTGTTCTATGAAAACAGGTTTTCCCAAATCCAGGACTTCACAGCTCTCTTACCAAGTAGCCAACGGCTCCTCCTTCAGTGTTCACTCTGGATACTGGAACATTTCGCAATCAAAACCCCCTTCTCCTCCAGGAACTGCACGGTTCTGCCGCTCTATGGCGGCAGCCTCAGGGCCCGTCAGAGGGAAGCTTAGCTGAATAACTACCGTGGCGTCACCTCGTGTTTCCAAAGGGTCTCCAGGCTGAAGGATGCAGCGTGTGAGAAGTTTAACAAATGCACATCCACATCCCGATGGCCAGAAAAGGGGATCCACAAGGAACCTTTCGGAGTTCTTATTCTAAACCACTCTACCTCCCAATTCCACATCTTAAAATCCACTTTACACCCTGGCACACATAACACAAAACCAAGGAAACAAAGACCCAGAAACCTGGGTCTTCCCCCTTCTAAATTAGAGACCTTATGACATTTGTTTCACAGCTTATGGAAAATGGTGTGGGGACACTTCCGGTAAACAGGGGTTGGCAACAAACAGAAATACCAACCCCATCAGCTCTTATGGGCCGGCCTGTTGGTCCCTGTGCAGTAAGAGCCGGGCACCATGGAGGGCCCCGGCTTTGCCAGGACAATGGGAAATATGGCTCCAAACACTCCTGTGCGAGCTCTTGACACGTTTTAGGGCCAGTTTTTTAGAAGTGAAACGCAGAGGAACCAGCATCCAGAGGCAAGCAACATTCCCCTTACACTTGCTGCCATCCCTAATTTCTTCATTTATAAATGTTGCTTAAAAGACTAAAACTCTCAGCCGGGCACAGTGGTTCACGCCTGTAATCCCAGCACTTTAGGAGGCCAAGGCGGGCAGATCACTTGAGGTTGGGAGTTTGAGATCAGCCTGGCTTCAACATGGTGAAGCCCCGTCTCTTCTAAAAATACAAAATTTAGCCAGGCTTGGTGGCACACACCTGTAATCTCAGCTACTCAGGAGGCTGAGGCAGGAGACTTGCTTGAACCCAGGAGGCAGAGGTTGCAGTGAGCCGAGATTGTGCCACTGCACTCCAGCCTGGACAACAGAGCAAGACTGTCTCAAAAAAAAAAAAAAAATCCCATTCCTTTTAAAAAATAGATTCTTGCCCTCAGCCCCAACGACCACAGGCAAAGACTTATTTCCCAATAGAAGAGAGAGACTCCTTCAGCTTTGTGGTCACGGTCAGGATGAGGCATACAAGGTCATCTGCACCCATGGTCACATGGCCAGCAGCTGCTGCTTCACCTGGAGCCCTCACTCCCCGCATCTAGGGAATCTGGCTTTGTCACTGTAATGCCTGGTGCCCCCAGTCAGGCGGTCCTGGGACTTCTCCAACTCACCAGTCACCAAGACCTGCGCTTGCGCCAGAGGCACATGGCAGTGCTGGAGGCCTGGGTGCACCTGCTGCATGGGCACCCGGCTGTCCTCACAGTAGCTGGTGCTGCGCCAGATCATGAGGCCCTGCATCTTCTGGAGCTCTCTCTCTCCAGTTCTTCAGCATGGAGTCTGCCGCCTCCTGCGCCAGAGCAGCTGCAGTCCCGCCCTGCTGACCTACACCAAAATGGCCCTCGCATGAGTTTCCACAGGCAACCCTGAGCTTTGTAGACCCCTGGAAGGTGACCCCCACCCCAAGTGCCCTCCCTGAGCAGCCGCAGGCCTCCCCGAGTGCCTCATCCATCATCTCCAACCCCGCAGTCAGGTAACAAAAGGGAATCAACAGGCGAGAAAGGGTCTGCTGCTGAACCGAGGCCAGATGGCACATGTGGAGGAGGGTGCAGGAGAGCTGGAAAGACTTCTCCAACTGAGGCAAATCTGAAGACAGGGTGAGATGTAAGTCCTGTTTGGGTTGAGGGAACAAAGTTCTGTGTTTTAATCATCAGTGTGGCATGTCTGCCCTAAGTCTTTCTTAATCTTTTAAAGTCTAATTCCTACAAAGTGACATCAAGAGACATGGTGGGAGAAATGGGAGGGGGAGAGCATGATGTTAAAATTATCCAAACCGTACAAAAACAAACCCTCCTTTCGTCAACTAAAGACAGTCTTTACTTTAGTTTTACACTACCACTTAGGGAGTTTAGAATAAAATCATTTCCAATTTCAATATGCTGCTCACTCTAGCAGCTAACATTTTTACCTTTTTGTGCAAAAGCTTGCACACATCTGCTAACCATGCCTGTGGGATTCTAACTGCTCTGATCGACGAGCTCTAATCTTTGAGAGAACGAACAACTTATTGAATCAACAAATGTCAATGGCAACTAAAATATACGCCTAAAGCCGTTTATTCATCACTAAGCATGCTGAGCTTGAAGACACTGAAATCATGCACTCATGCTGTGACTGGGAATAATTGGTTCCTGACTTTTTGTAAAGCATTTTGCACAATAAGCTCACACAAGCACAAAGCTGCTCTAATTTTTTCATGAGATATTTTGCATAAACTAGAGGCAATGCCTGATTTAATGGCATTTGGAACCAATTTCCTCATAATCAAGGCAAAACTTTTTTTTTTTAACTTCTCATGCTTGGGGAAAAATGACCAAGTGCCAAGAAAACAAAAAGTCCAATTAGCAAGTTCTGACCTGGAATCAAAGCTGCTCTGCACAGCACCTGCCCCAGTCCCCAAAGCCAAACCCTGGGGTGAGACCATCGAGCCATGGCTAAAGGCAGCGGCTCTGGGTGCATCTGGAGAACTCAGGGCAGCTCAAGATGCAGTAACTAGAGTTGACAGTGATTCTGAGCATGCAGAAGGCAGACCAAGCGGCCTTCTCTAGACTCGGGCCCTGCACATACAGACCAAGCCACCTTCTCCAGACTCAGGCCCTGCACATACAGACCAAGCCACCTTCTCTAAACTCGGGCCCTGCACATACGGACCAAGCCGCCTTCTCTAAACTCAGGCCCTGCACATACAGACCAAGCGGCCTTCTCTAGACTCGGGACCTGCACATATGGACCAAGCCGCCTTCTCCAGACTCAGGCCCTGCACATACAGACCAAGCCGCCTTCTCTAGACTCGGGCCCTGCACATACAGACCAAGCCACCTTCTCTAGACATGGGCCCTGCACATACACACCAAGCGGCCTTCTCCAGACTCAGGCCCTGCACATACAGACCCCGCCTTCTCTAAACTCGGGCCCTGCACATACGGACCAAGCGGCCTTCTCTAGACTCGGGCCCTGCACATACAGACCAAGCCACCTTCTCTAGACATGGGCCCTGCACATAAAGACCAAGCCGCCTTCTCTAGACTCGGGCCCTGCACATACAGACCAAGCGGCCTTCTCTAGACTCGGGCCCTGCACATAAAGACCAAGCCGCCTTCTCTAGACTCGGGACCTGCACATATGGACCAAGCCACCTTCTCTAGACATGGGCCCTGCACAAAAAGACCAAGCCGAAGCTGCTCTGTTTAAGTTGACAAAGTCATCGAGCCACACCGTCATGTCCGCCCATGTCCTGTACTGTGAGTGCTCCCCCGTTCACGGCACCCCACAGTGAAGGATGCACCAAACCCCAGCAAACGCCTACGGACCCAACGGACCCACTCCACTACTCTCCACACGTGTAAAGGAAGCATCCCACGGCAGCTCCATGGGATCTGAGCACAGAAGATGGAGATGAAGAGGATGCCGGGTGGCCACCCAGACGCTGATGCCATCTGTGGGAACGAGGGACCCACCAGGCGTCACTTCAGGTCCCCTCTCACAGGGCGCATCAGGAGATGACAGTGCCCCAACCACAGATACCAGGGCACACTCAGCAAAGCCTGTGGTCACGTGGTGTCAACAGCAGCCGCCTAGAGCGATGTCACTCTGTGGTAGGAGACGCCGTGCCGGGCACCAGGGCTTTTCCCAGCACTCCCCTGCTCAGTGGCCCCGTGGTCTGGCCACAGCCTGGCAGGCAAACACCGCTGCTGGCCATTGTGTGGGCACAGGAAATGAGGCTCAGAGCCATCAAGGTCGCTGCTGGGACAGCAGAGCTGTGTCTCCACCCTGCACTGCGTTCCCAACAGGGCAGTGGCCTGGACACCCCTTGGCAGCCATGTCCACTGCACGGTGTTCCCTCTCCCTGCACACAGCCATGTCCCCCTGCGTCCTCCACCAGGGCCAGCCCAGGCGTGCTGACGAGCTGCACCTTCACGTGGATGCTGGGGGAGAGGCCATCCCAAGGAGGCATCCAGTGTGCAGACACAGCCACGGTGCAGAAAACAAGCTCACTGCAATGGGCCCGGCAGTCACGTGGTCCTTGCAGTTCACAGGGAGACTGGCCTTGGGCTCAGGGGCAGGAGATTGAACTTAGAGGCGGACTAGAGGAGTTTTTTTGCAGAATCACCAGCAAGGCAGCAGCAATTTCAGCTGTGGGAAAAAATTCAAAAGCCCAGCTCTTATGGAAATTGGATAAAACTGTGCAGCCTCAGGGCCTGCGCAGACGTGAATTCTAATGACTTGTCAGGGACTAGTGTGGGCGAGCGGGGTGGTTCGTGGCTTCCACTGCCTGCTGCTCTGCACAGCCCCTAGGCCTCCCAGCCGACCAGGCAGACTCCGCCCCTAGGCCTCCCGCCCGACCAGGCAGATTCGGCCCCTAGGCCTCCCGCCCCACCAGGCAGATTCGGCCCCTAGGCCTCCCGCCCCACCAGGCAGATTCGGCCCCTAGGCCTCCCAGCAGACCAGGCAGATTCGGCCCCTAGGCCTCCCACCCGACCAGGCAGACTCGGCCCCTAGGCCTCCCACCCGACCAGGGAGACTCGGCCCCTAGGCCTCCCACCCGACCAGGCAGACTCGGCCCCTAGGCCTCCCGCCCGACCAGGCAGATTCGGCCCCTAGGCCTCCCACCCGACCAGGCAGACTCGGCCCCTAGGCCTCCCACCCGACCAGGGAGACTCGGCCCCTAGGCCTCCCGCCCCACCAGGCAGATTCGGCCCCTAGGCCTCCCACCCGACCAGGCAGATTTTTGCTTTAATCACCGTGTGCTGCCTCTGGCTCAGCGTGAATGCTGGCTCTGGGACCCTTTCCTCGTAGGCAGAGGTGCTGGGTAGTGCAGGGGTAGGGCTTCCCCTGGGGCCGGTGTGCACCCCGCAGTGTCACAGCTTCCCCCAGCGCCTAGCGGCCTCCAGGTGCGCATCTCACCTGGGTCCCAAAGGGAGGTTTCCTACCAGCCCTGGCCTGAACGTCTTGGGAACTTCTCCACTGCCCCGGCCATGGCCCCACCCCGTGCCACTGAGGGTCTGGCTCTCAGCCTCAGTGGGGCTGGGGTTTCCAACGGCCCCCGCCTGGGCCCTGTGGGCACTGCTGCCCCTCTGTTGCTGTATCTGTGTCCTCAGAGTCCCTTTAGTCCTTCGTTGCTGAGCCGGTGCTACTGGTTAACACTGCCTTACACTAAACCCGTCATAAGTCTTTCTATAAAACTGTTCAAATTTCTGCACAGTTTCTGTCTCCAGACTGAACCCTAATATACTACTCTCTATTTTTCAAAGTTTTGTTTTGATCTTTCTCAAACATACCTGTTCTTTTTTCATCATATGCTGTGCTTTCTTTATATTGCTGCTGTTATCTTTTATTGTTTTAAATCTATTTGTTTGCCAGTTTCCTTTGGACGGCTTTGCTCCTTAAGTTCTTCCAGGAAGCACGGTTTGTTTACCTGTCAGCTGGCTCCTGCTCACCATCTATGGCTTCCTTGGGTTTATAACTTGCATTGTGAGCTCATTTGCAGGGCGGGTATTTTTGTGGGAGTGGCTTGTGGAAGTGCAGATAAAGGGCCCCATTTTTGCTTCTTTGGGTTCTCCAGAAATCTATCAGTCTGCAGTACGCCTGATTTCCAGATCCTGGGGGTCCTCGCCGTGCAATGGGAGAAATCTTAATTCTACAACCAGCATCTGATTTTCCATGAGGGACCCCAGCTCCTCCCCAGACAAAAAAAACAGCTCCGTTGCTCCCCTCCTGGCCTTGAGTGGGATTTTTTTATTTTTTATTTTTATTTTTGAGATGGAGTCTCGCTCTGTCACCCAGGCTGGAGTGCAGTGACTCGATCTCACCTCACTGCAACCTACACCTCCCAGGTTCACGCTATTCTCCTGCCTCAGCCTCCCTAGTAGCTGGGACTACGGGTGCACGCCACCACACCCAGCTAATTTTTGTATTTTTAGTAGAGACAGGGTTTCACCATGTTGGCCAGCCTGGTCTCAATCTCCTGACCTCGTGATCCACCCGCCTCGGCCTCCCAAAGTGCTGGGATTACAGGCGTGAGCCACCGCGCCCGGCTGGGTGGGATTTTTTATTGCACCTTTTCCCGGGTGAGTTGCCCTTCCAGGGCTTGGTATCTGACGAGGCCTCAACCCCATTCTCTGCCTGGAAGTCTGGAGTCATCCACCTGGGGCTGGCTGGGCAGCATTCCAAATGAACCACTCGCACGTCAGGAAGGGCATTTCCACAACAAGCTGTGTCCTGAGTGCACCAAGAAGCTGAGGCTTAAGACGTTGCCTGGGAGCGGCTGAATGGGATGGTGCTGGTGGGGCAGGGGACCTAGCGGAGTGCCTGAGCCAGAGGAGACCATGCTGCCGTCCGCACGCCACGGCTGCCTTAGACCAGAACACCCCTAACACTGAGAAGCCTCTTGCCGAGACCCCGAACCCAGGCTGGAAGAAACACTGCCCTAGACAAAGCTGGGGTGTGGAGATCTTTATCTGATAAGAGCTCAGTGATAGGAAAAGCCTGATTTTACACATTATCAAACCTTGACGACAACAAACATTTACAAAGGGAAGACAACATAGCACTTAACAGACTGGAGGGCTATTCTGGTTTCATTTACCTGATGGAAGCCCAGATAGTCCACGATCGTTGCTGATGCATAAAATATCGTCCCTTCTGCACTCACGACCAGAGCAAAGCCATTAAGAGACTAGAAGAAAAAACAAAACAAAAAAAAAAATCGAATTGGCTCACCCAAAATGAAAAAGTGCAAGAATCCTTTGCTTAAATTTTCAACAATTTCCTCCTGTTTTGTAGTCCATATTCATAACCTCTAGAAATGCCCACTTTTTATTTATTACCATTTTGTCACAGGCTCCAAGTTAACAGGCAACATGAGAAGGCAGCCATGGTTTACAAGGCCCCTTTTCTAATAAATATAAAATTATGTGCACCTTGTCTTGACGCGACAGTGAGACTTGGTACCTAAGACGAGGCAGGAGCTCTCTGTTTTCCTCTGCAGACGTTTCTGCCCACGTACCTCCTCCTACACACTGTCTGGGATATCCTTTGGCTTTTCTAAGGATTTTTATTATGAAAAATATTGAAGTCCATTGACCAGCCTGGCTAACATGGTGAAACCCTGTCTCTACTAAAAATACAAAAATTAGCCGGGTGTGGTGGTGTGCGACTGTAGTCCCAGCTACTTGGAAGGCTGAGGCAGGAGAATCGCTTGAACCCAGGAGGTGGAGGTTGCAGCGAGCCGAGGTCGCACCACTGCCCTCCAGCCTATGCAATGGAGTGAGACTCTGTCTCAGAAAAAAAAAAAAAAAAAAAAAGAGAGAGAGAGAAAAATGTTGAACTCATCAAGTGTTTTTCTGTATCTGCTGAAAGAATCACAGTTTTTCTTTAGTGTGTGATTGATAGATTTTCTGATGATGCATCATTCTTGTACTTCATGTGGTAAGCCCCTTTGATCATGACTTTTTAATATGCCTTGGAATTGATTAACCTCACTTAACCATCTATGTTTAAACTTGGCCTGTAGTTTCTCTCCATATTTTGCATACAGTATACACAACCATCAAGACACGAGTCACTCCTGCTCCTTTCCTTCCATTTTCTGGAGCTGCTTAAGATGAGGGTGACGTGCTTCTGGAAGGCCTGGTCCGCCTCACCCTGAAGACCCTCTAGTGCGGGCACATTTTGTGGAGATGGTGGATGAAACAGGGCAGATTTTAATACTATGTTGATTTATTTATTGTTCGTGTGTGCAAGTTATTTATTTTTTTTACATTAACTATGGCATCTTAAAATATTTTCTAGAAATTCATTTCATCTTGATGTTAAATTCATTCGTGTATGTTATTCACAATATTTGCATGATTATTAAATCCTAGTCACAGCCGTAATCATCGTGGGATTTTGGAGGGAGCAGATGGAGAAGGCAAGGATGTGGCTGTGTTGTGCTTGATGTGGCGTTTTCCTTTATTTGAGCAGCGAGCCTCGCAGCCCCACCCTGCAGCAGCTTCCCGGGGCCATCACCGGTGAGGATGCGCGAAAGACGGTGGCCTCTGAGTCGCAGGATCTGTCCATGGCAGCAATGGCCACTGACGCTGAGCAAGCACAGGCTACCAGGTGGAATATCTCGCCCAGTCTCACATCCCACACGAGGTAGAAGCTGGGGGTGAGGGGGCTGAGTCACCTGGACACAGCTTTCATAAATGTTTCCATTTGTGTCTTTAAAACACAGACATTCGGAGACTTTAACTCCCATGATGTTTGTGGCTGTCAGCAGTATACTATATACTAATTTCCCTTAAATCTGGACCATGCTGGGTACTTTTATTTTCCTTTTTTCTTTTTTTGAAATCTTTGCCAATTTGAAAACAGATATATTATTTCTGAAAAGAGATAAATTATTTTACCATTATAGTTTTCATTTCTTTGATTACTAATGACATTGAAAAACATTTCCTGCATTCACTGGTAACTTGTATTTCTTCTTTGGAAAACTGCCCTATGTATGTCATGTGCTAATTTTTCTATTAGGGTTTATAAGTATCAATTTCTAAGAGCTTTTGAAATACTGGTATTGAAGACTCCTAGGCAGCCAAGGATAATGGCAGTTACCTAAATCCAAATCCCCCACAACATTCCACAAAATGACGGAGAATGGTAAGAACAGGTGCAGCTACACAGACCCAAAATTGCATCATAATGAGGACACAGGAAGTGTAATAAACCTCCAATTACACACAAGCAGAAGGGTCAGCATCAAATGCCAGTGAGCTTAAAATGACTGTTTCAAAAGTATGTATGTAGTCCCTCCTCAAGAAACTGGAGAGAGAAGAGTCAGTTAAATCTAAGGTAAGTAAAAGGAAAGAAAAAATAAAGGTAAGAGTCAAAAATCCATGAAAATGGTTTAGAACAGTCAAATAATAAAGGCCATTAACAGAGTCAAAATTTGAATTTTTGAAAATTTTGAAAAGATTAATAAAACGGATAATCTGCTAGCAAGACTCATCAAGAAAAAAAAAACAAATCACTGACACCAGGAGTTTAAAAGTACATCACTACAGGTCCTACAAATATTAAAAGGATAATAAGAAAATACTAAAAGTGATAGTCAATACATTAAACAATTTAAGTGAAACAGGAAAATTCCTTGAAATATGCAAATTAACAAAAGTGATATAAGAAGAACTAGAAAATCTAAATAACCTTATACTAAATAAATTGAATTTCTAATCAAAACTTTCCTACAAAGAAAACTCCAGGCTCCAATCAAAAAACATAAAATACCTAGGAATAAATCTAATAAAAGATGTGCACGACTGGTATATTGAAAACAAAGCAACATCACTGAGAAAATACCTGAATAAACTGAGAGATACACAGTGTTCCTGGATTGAAAGGCTCAATGTAGTTAGGATTGTCCTGTCTCCCTAAATTGATCTGTAGATATAATGCAATCCCAATCATCATTTTAAAGTTTTTTTTCTTTTTATAGAAAGCGACAAGCTGATTCTAAAATTTTTATGGCTGGGCATGGTGGCTTATGCTTGTAATCCCAGCACTTTGGGAGGCCAAGGTGAGAGGATTGCTTGAGCCCAGCAGTTCAAGACCAGCCTGGGCAGCATAGTGAGACCCCGTCTCTACAAAAAACAAGCAAACAAAAACTTTAAAAACTAGCTGGGCATGGTGGTGCATGCCTGTAGTCCCAGCTACTTGGGAGGCTGAGGTGGGAGGATTGCTTGAGCCTGGGAAATCGAGGCTGTAGTGAGTTGAGATCACGCCACTGCACTTCAGCCTGGGTGACAGAGACTCTGTCTCTACAATAATAAAATAATAAAATAGTTATGGAATTGCAAAAGACCTAGCCTTGCTAAAGAAATCTTGTTAAAAAAGAACGAAATTGTGGAACTTATTTTGACTTCATGGCTTCCTATAAAGCTCTGGTCACAGCAGGACAAGGTCAGGATAGACAAGCTGACCCTCAGCCAAGGCACTAGGTCAATCAGTGGGGAAGGAAGGTCTGAAACAGCGTGGCTGGGACAGCTGGAGATTTGTATGGAAAAATGAACCCCAACTCCTATTTCACGCCACACACAAATTAACTCAAGACCTACAACAGACACAAACACAAAGCCCAGAGCCACAAAGCTTCCAGAAGAAACCCAGGAAAATGCCCTAATGAGTCTGAGGTAGGTAGATTTGGGTAGCATACAAAAACACTAACCCGTAAAGAAAAAACTTGATAAATTGGGCTTTATTTTAAAATGCCAGTAAAAAATGAAGAGATAAGCCACAGAGAAAAAATATGCACAGCACATTGATAAAGGACTTTATCCAGAATCTGTAAGAACTGCTACAAATCAACAATTAAAAAAAAAAACAATTTTAAACCATGGGACAAACGTTTGCACAGATACTTTACCAAAAGAGATAGAGTAACGCCCATCATACACATGAAAATATACTCAGCATCCTTAGCCATCAGGGATGTGCAAGTTAAAACCTCACAGAGCTGCTGCTCCACACTCCAGGGTGGCCGCTGTCAGAAAGACCGACAGCACTGAATACTGGCGAGGAAGAGAGTGTGATTGGTGGGAATGTAAAATGCTACAGTCACTTTGGAAGACTGTCCTGCCGTTCCACATAAAGGCAAGTGTACATCTGCCCTACAACCCAGAAGTTCCAGCCTTAGTATTTCATCAAGGGAAATGGGTATGTTCACAAAAAGGCTGGAAAAAGGATGTTCACACTGGCCTTGCTCATAATAATCAAAAGCTACAAATAACCCAAATAACTATCAATCGGATAATGGATAAACAAATTGCAGAATAATTATAAAATGGAATACTGTTAGACAATTTAAAAAATTGAAACCTACCAAATATGCAAAAACATTGATGAATTGCAAAAACACTACGTTAAATAAAAATCAGATGCAAAAGCTCATAAACTTAAGAGTCTGTTTATATGACATCTAAGAACAGGCCAAACTAATCTACAGTAATAAATATCAGAAAGTGGTTCCCTGGGTGTGGCAGAGGGCAAGTGATTGAATAAAAGTGGGAGAAAGACCTATGTACAAATACATTTGAAAACCTAAAGTATATATTTCTGTAGGAAAATGTAATTTATAAAAATCGACCCCATTAGAGATACCAAGCTTAAAAGATCAACTCCTGTAGAAGGAATAAAGTTATCAAGGAATTACCCCACAAAAATGCACCTGGCCCAGACGGCTTTAACATGGAATTCTACCAGATCTTCACAGGTCAGATCATTTCAATGCCCCATAAATTGTTCCAGAGCATAGAAAGTGAAGGAAAATTTGTAGTCCTTTTTAAGAAGTATAACATTGACACTTAACTCTGATATGGAGAGTAAAATAAAAAAGAAAATGACACACCAATATCAGCTTTGAATATTGATGCAAATGTGCTAAATGAAATATTAAGAAATAGACTCCAGTTTCACATTAGGAAAATAATACACCAATAGCCAAGCAGATATAATCCAAGGATGAAAGGCTAGTTCAATATTAGGAAGTCCCTTAACATAAAAGACCATATTTACAGATCTGAGGGGGAAAATGATTATCTCCATATATGGTGAAAAAGCCCTCAATGAAATTCAACAATTATTCCTGAAAAAAAAAAAGGCTCAGGAAAATAGGAATTACTGAATACCTTCTTCACAGGTAACATGTATGTGTGTGCACCTCATTCCTAAGGCAGCGACTTCATAGGGAAACACTCAAGGTGTTTCCAGTAAGATCAAGGAACAGGGTAGGGAGGCCCACCACCACCCATACAAGGGGTGCAACCCTGGCCCCCAGGATGGCGCCCAATATGGCCTGCCACTTGCTTTTGTAAACAGAGCCTCGCTGGAACACAGCCATGCTCACACATTTATTCATTGCCTGTGGCTGCTTTCGTACTACAACCACAAAGCAGAGTGCCAGGGGTGGAGACAGCCCAGCCCAAAATGCCTAAAACATTCTCCATGTGAGCCTTTAAAGAAGAAACCTGCCAACTCCCTCCCATGGTATCGGACATTGTATTGCAGGTATGGATTGATGCAATTCGGTATGAAAAATCAACAGGATGTACAACAATTGGGGAAAAGTGAAACTCTCTCTTTGCAGACGACATCATAGTACATCAGGAAAACCCAGGAGAATCCATGATAAAATAACCCAAGTAAGGCCGGGCTCAGTGGCTCACGCCTGTAATCCCAGCATTTTGAGAGGCCGAGGCAGGTGGATCACGAGGTCAGGAGTTCGAGACCAGCCTGGCCAACATGGTGAAACCCTGTCTTTACTAAAAATACAAAATTAGCTGGGTGTGGTGGCGCATGCCTGTGGTCCCAGCTACTCGGGAGGCTGAGGCGGGAGAATGGCTTGAGCCCGGGAGGCAGAGGTTGCAGTGAGCTGAGATCGTGACATTACACTCCAGCCTGGGCAACAAGAGTGAAACTCTGTCTCAAAAATAAAATAAAATAAAATAACCCAAATAAAATAATTCAGTACAAAATTAACATACAGATACCCATAACCTTTACAAACTGGAAAAATGACCAGATTAGGGTACATAATTGTAGAGAAAGCCCCGTTTACAAAAACATCAAAGAAGCTAAAGTACTTATAAATAAACTTAAGACGTGTGCAAAACCTATATGAAGAAAACTTCAAAACATCTCGAGACACAAAAAATTGTATTTGAACAAATAGGAAGACACACCTCAGTCTTGCATGAGTCAACATCCTAAAGATGCCTGCTCCTCCTGAGTCAATTTATCAACACGCTGTAATACTAATAAACATAGCACCAAACTGATTACGCAGCTGGCAGGTTTATACTAAATATGAAAATAAATATGCAATGATAGCTACAAAAGCACAGGAAAGAAAAAAGTCAGGAGACAGAAGCATCTTATTAAACATCTAAGAAATACTGTCAGGCCTCTATAATTAAATCATGGCGCATGAACAGACACATAAATCAATGGACTAGAATGGAACATCCAGAAATGGGTCCAAGCGCAAATGGAAATTTGATGCATGAAAAAGGTGTCACCTCAAATCACTGGGACAGAGATAGGCTTTTCAATAACTGGTGCCCTATTAAGAAACTTTGTTATTATTGCCTGTTTGATCAGGATCATCTGCAAGCTGACACTCTCCTCCTTTAGTATATTAAGTTGGTAAGTTAACTTTATGAGTATTTCCCAATGTCGGGGTCTCACCTTACTCCTGGATCACCGTGACTGCAGTGGCCCATGCTTTTATAACACAGATGGAAGTTAATTGCTATTATTTTATCTGGAATTGTTTTGTGCAGTTTCACAGGGGAGAAGGGGCTGCGTTTCTCCTTTGAGCTGCCTGCATCGTATTTTTGCACCAGCGTTTTCCTAACCTCTGTGAATTAACTAAACAGCTTTCTATCCCTTTCTATGTTCTTGAATAGCCTAACCAGCTTGAGTATTTTCTGTTTCTTAACGTTTTCCTGAAATTTCCTTCTAAGAACAAGTGGACCAGCCACCTGATCCCCCTTTATTTTGAGACAACTTCCTGTTCTTCCTTACCAATGCAATTATGATTATGTTCAGAGTAGCTAGCTCACACAAAAATGTTTGCCTCCCAGCCTCCCACATGGAGTGATTTGGCCTATGAGGTAGGGGCTGGGGATTGGGGACTCTTTCTCCTGACGTGGGGCCATTCTGGACTGGTCCCTCCATGTTCCGGTCCCTCCATGTTCCTGCAAGAAATGCAGACAAGAGGCGGCTCACAGAGCCACTGGCTGGAAGGAAGGGGGGCTGGGGGCAGCAGAAGTCCCCAGCGACACCGTGGGCCCCTCGCCCAAGCCCAGCTGTGGCAGGTTCCCATCCACACTGCAAGAGGCTTCTTCCGGACAATGCCTTTCCTTTCCCGTTTTCTCCCTAGTTTTTTTTTCCCCAGTTAATTTTGTTGCAGAATTTCTACCTTTTTCGGGTGGCTGTAGAGCGTTTCATACATCTGTGTCTATCTTGTTGGGTGTCACAGGTGTGGGGAAGGTTGAACTGCTACCCAGGGTCCAGTTCAAACCAGAGGCTGCGTGTTCTTCCCTGGACGCTGCCACACCACGCCTAATTCAGGAGGAAAGCCACACCAGAAGGACGCAGCCTCAGACCGAGAGCCTTGCTAGGCTGCAAAGCCATATTTTTCAATCAGTAAAGTATCCAAAAAGAAAAGTCACACGTGCCGTGAAAATATAAAAGAAACACTTGTCAAAGACCAACTCAACAGTCTGCGAGGGGAGCAGTAAGATGTTACGACCGATGGAGAGAGCGGAGGAGCTGGTGGTCGCAGGCGGTGGGACAAGGCTGCTGGGTCAGGTGCCGGCGACCCGAAGGCCCTCACTCCCACCGACCTGAAGGGTGTGCCGCCCACTTGGTTCTGGATACAGAGGTGCAGGCGCCAGGTGATGACTTCACAGTGGGATTTGAACTCTGTGTTGAGCGTCTGAGCAAGAAACCCAAGTCTCACAAAGCACCTCCCACTCGGAGGAAGATGTCAGGGAGCCCCTGCCCAGCTGTCACAACAAAACAGCGGGCAACACCATAGGCTGCTCCACGGTGACAAAATAGGCCAATGCTTTATACGGTTTGGCATCAGTAAAGAAGCCCATCGTTATCACCCTGAACTCCACCACGTTTCTAGAGAAAGGGAAACGGACCCCGCAGGACATCTGCATCCACGGGAGCATCTGAGGAGCTACCATGAACCATGGTATTTGTACATTTTCATTCCCGTGCAGCTCCGAGGAAGAGGGTTGGTTCCATGCTAACCTCTTTGGGTCGTGAGCAGAAAGTCTGGTGAATCTGCCTGGACCCATCGGGGCTGTTCACAAGCTCTCGGTTTGCCCAGATTTCCCCAAGAGAAATGGGGAAATGTCAGACCTGCTGCATTTCTTTGGGGGAGGGGGCCATGGAACACTTGGGACTTAGTTGTTTATGTCACTGAATAAAGGATCCAATGTGCCCATGGGATGATCCACAGAAAGGAAATCACTATTTTCCTCTCAGTAGCTGGATTAATCAGCAGGACATGAAATGGACCCCGCGGGGAGTGTGAAGACAGCCTCGTGCCAGCCTCCTCAAAATGGACTGAGCCTGCTACTCGAAGGCACGAAGGAGGAATGGCAGGTGGTGCCCGCTGGCAGATTAGCAAGCTGGATAATCATCTCACCATGTCCTGCGCCACCTCCGATTTTCACCTAAAAACATAACACCTTCTCATCCAGCCTCCCACCAGCTGGAAGAAATCTTTCTTGGAGGATTCTTAGGGACTTTAGTTTTAGCTCATGTGACAAGACTGGGACGCCCCCCAAGGCCAGACTTCCATGTCCCTCGTATTACTGACTCAACCAAGAGAGTGAATTTTTATGACAGTTTTTTCCAAACCGTCATAACATAAAAATTACCATTTTAGTACCAATCGCCTGCCCCGGCCCAGGACGCCTGCTCTTTTTCTGAAGAGGTTATCACTACAAACCGTAAAGTCTGAAAATAGTTGCGTTAGATGTTTTGGTGAACACACCGTGCACGACAGCACCAGCACAGTGGTCCCCTGTTGCTTCTGCCCCAAGACTCTCCTTCCTAAATCATGCAAAAGGCTTTAGGACCACTGAAGACACCCAGAATGAAGGAAAAAAGAAAAAAAAAAGAGTGAAACAGCTTTTAGTAACACTGGAAGAAAAATTAGCGAATTATTCACATGTTTGATGAGAAGGGCAATGATTTGGGAACATGCATGGAGCAGATGTGATTAGACTCATGGATGAGCGAGAGCTGCGACGGGTTCAAAGGCTGCAGAAGACCAGCTCGTGACAGGAATGCAGACCCACCAGGAACGGCTGAGGCTGAGAGAGACGGAGAAGGGTAACCCCAAACCTGGACCAACCCTGACAACGGAACTGACTTTTTCTTCAAACGCTGGACAACATGATTTGGATGCAAAGACTAAACAGATTCAGCCGTGGATTAAGAAAAAACACCAAGTTCGAATTACTGTAAAGAAAGCAGAAAATGTAGACGAGTCAGAAAATAAAGTGGAGGAGATATTTCATCAAATACTCCAGACTGTGCCTGGAATAGCTACATTCTCATCTAGGCCACAAGCTGTTCAAGGAGGAAAAGCTTTAATGTGGGTTCTTTGTCCTTTGAGCAAAAAGGAAGAGAAGGCATATCGAGAAACTCAAGAGACCCAGGAAAGAGACCCTTTGAACAAAGACCATGGAAATGATAAGGAATCAAATGTTCTGCATCAGTAATTTTAATACGGAAAAATATGCCTCTGAGAGAAAGTAAAAAAAAAAAAATACCATTTTAACTATTTAAAGTGGTTACTTTTTTTTTTTTTTTCTGAAACGGAGTCTCATTCTGTCACCTAGGCTGGAGTACAGTGTGGTGCGATCTCGGCTCACTGCAACCTCCGCCTCCCAGGTTCAAGCAGTTCTCCTGCTGCAGCCTCCCGAGTAGCTGGGATTACAGGCATGCGCCACCACACCCAGCTAATTTTTGCATTTTTAGTAGAGACAGCGTTTCACCATGTTGGCCAGGCTGGTCTCGAACTCCTGACCTCAGGTGATCCACCCGCCTTGGCCTCCCAAAGTGCTGGGATTACAGGGTGAGCCACTGCACCCGACCTAAGTGGTTAAATTTCAGTCATTTTGAGCTCAGTGGCATTAAGCACGTCCACATTGTTGTGCAACCATCATGACCGTCCATCTTCAGAACATTCCCACCCTCCCAAACTGAAACTCTGACCACATTAAACACTCACCCCCACTCCCCTCCTCAGCCCGGTACGTCCCACCCGCTTTCTGCCTCCGAATTTGCCTACACTGGGGACCTCATCTGAGCGAATCAAGCAGGCTTTGACTTTGTTTCACTCCGCAGAGTCGTCAAGGTGGATCCGAGCCACAGTGCGTGTCCATTTCCTTCCTTCCTTCTTTATCCCCCTCCCACACCCCCGGCCCCTGGTAACCACTGACTCTCTGTTTCGATGAGTTCCACTTTTTTAGATTCCACATATGAGTGAGATCACGCAGAACTGTCTGTGCATGACTTATTTCACTGAGCACCATGTCCTCCAGGTTCATCCGTGGTTTGCAAATACCAGGATTCCCTTCTTTTTCTGGTTGAACAGGATTCCATGGTGTATACACAGAGCATTTTCTTTATCTGTGCATTCACTGGTGGACATGCAGGTTGTCTCCATGTCTTGGCTACTGGTGTCTCTGATTCTGGTTTCAGCTCCTTTGGGTAAATGCCCGGCAGGGGGACTGCTGCGTTGCATGGAAGTTCCATTTTTAATTTGGGTAAATGCCCAGCAGGGGGGCTGCTGCGTTGCATGGAAGTTCCGTTTTCCATTTTGAATTTTTTGAGGAAGCTCCATGTAGCCTTCCAACACATCTACACTAATCTACCTTCCCGCCAACAGTGCACGAGGGTCCCCTTCTCTCCACACCCTCATCAACGACTGCCTTCCCGCCAACAGTGCACGAGGGTCCCCTTCTCTCCACACCCTCAACAACGACTGCCTTCCCGCCAACAGTGCACGAGGGTCCCCTTCTCTCCACACCCTCAACAACGACTGCCTTCCCGCCAACAGTGCACGAGGGTCCCCTTCTCTCCACACCCTCATCAACGACTGCCTTCCCGCCAACAGTGCACGAGGGTCCCCTTCTCTCCACACCCTCATCAACGACTGCCTTCCATCTTTTTGAAACAGCTGTCCTGATGGTGTGAGAGGAGCTCGCTGACGGTTTCCATTTGCACTTCCCTGTGCCTGGCGATGCCGAGCACCTTTCCACCTACAAACTGGCCATTTTGTGTCTCCTTTGGAGAAGCGTCTATCAGGTCCTTTTCCTGGTTTTTAATGGGGTTTTTTCTTCCTCTTGAGTTGGCTGGGTTCCTTATGTATGTGGGGTCTTTCCCGCCAGTGAGATGTATGGTTGGCAAATGCGTCCTCCCATTCCATAGGCTGCCTCTTCATTGTGTTGACGGTTTCCTTTGCTGGGCAAAAGTTTTTCAGTTTGGTGCAGGCCTGTCTGCGTATTTCTCTTTTGCTGCCCCGCTCTTTTTAAGGCTGAATACTCCTCCTCTGTAGGTAGATACCTCTTGCTAACCCACCCACCTGTCAACGGAGGCTTGGTTGCCCCCTTGCTTTGGTTGGGAACATGGCTGCTGTGGCTGCATTTCCAGAAGGAAGGTAGCTCAGGCTGAAATCACTTCACGACACTTTGCTCTTCTCTGCAATCCCTACCTGGGAGAAACGGTGACTCAGAAGCTGCGGCGAGGGTTAAATCACACTCTGTGCCCCGCAGAGCTGGCATCCTGTGGAACGATGGTGCCAGGAGCACTTGACCTGCCTTTCGCCGCCGCATCCGCCTGCCCTGGCTTCACAGCTTCACCCTGGAACTCCTGGAGTTCTTGTCCTGCCTGGAGTTGACCGTGGGGAGTACCCACGAGGGCCCAGGATCGTCCCTGCCTGTGCTCAGCAAGATCTAGGCCCTGGGCTGGCGCCAATGGAGGTCAGGGACTTTGTGGCCATGGAGGGACCATGGGCCAATCCCACCCCCTTCGCAAGTGGTGATGCAGACAGGGAGCAACCCAGAAAGCCTGGCCCAGAGCCGGCACCTGTGGCATCGAGGCCCTTTCTCTACAGCGGCTCCCATCTTAGGGGCCAGCAGCTGTGTCTGGAACTAGGGGACCCAAACTACCACTGTGCCTCAGGCTGGCCCCTCAGGCTGGCATCCACCCCTCAGACTCCTGCAGCCCCTCCCTCCCCTTGGATTTAGGCAGAGACAGGGTGAGATGACGTGGGGTGCACCCCAAGGGGTTGTTAGAAAACAGGTGAGAACGTGAAGCAGCCGGGGGCCATGTGGCCTGGGGGGCATCTGCTGAAAGGGAACAGAGTTGCCATCCAACTGCCCGCTCTGAGCCGGGCAGTGGTGACACTGAGGGGCCTCACTCCCGCCCCACACGGGCTGGAGGGGTGTGCACCAGGGCCTCGGGTCCTCAGCCCCCAGCCCTTCCTGGCACTGCTGGGAGAGGTCTGTGCCCGCCGGCTCCTGCCACAGCTTTTCCCAATTCAGCGGTTGCCACATACTGATGATGTCCTACTAATAATAGTTCAAAGACCAAAGAAATTTTCAAGGCTTGAGTATATAAAATGTCTTCTTAAAAAAGATTTTATGAGATTAGTCACAACCAAAAGCAACCTTAATTTTAACTCACAAGGCAGAATTTTTTTTTAAAGACCATAAAATGCTGTTTGCCGTGTCATATGGATTCAATATCAGATTGACTTCTGGTCCAGCATTGTCATGCCAAATACTTTTACACATGTGGGCCCATCTTTCAAATATGCATCTCGAACGTCTGTTTGTTTTCTCTCCCTCTGCCTTTCTAATCCTACAAAAGTTTTGTTTTTTTTTTAAACGTGGTCCATGGAAAATGAGATCACTTTTCCAAACGGAAAAAGGATTTGGCTCTAAGGTTAAGGCTCTACTTTTTTTAAGGGGAAAAAGATCACATCCATGTGCTGTTACTGAACGTCAGGAAACGGCGCACCTGCCACTTCGCAAGGACAACGGAGGTCGGGGCAGGTGAGGGCCGAGGCAGGTGAGGGCTGGAGCCACGCTCTCCCCCAGGGACCGCAGGGAATGGGGCAAACGTTCTGAGAAAGCCGGAACTTCCTCTGTCAAACCCTTTAAATATCCTGATCTCTTCCAGTTCCAGGGCAGAAAAAATAGCCGGCAAGTACTTCAAAGATTATTTTTGTCAAGGTCATGGCAGAGGGAAAATGAGGGAAAAAGGAACAACCCTCCACATCCCCCTGGCTGCCCCTCCTCGGAGTAAAGGGAAGTTGGGAGTATTGTGCTCCCCTGAGAGCCGTTGCCACGGTTACGGAGCCACAACACGGCGGCTAGTCACGCGAGCGGGCACCGGGCGGGCGTCGGGGCAGCTGGCCCGGCCTCCTGGAGGCAGATCACTCACAGGGGCCGCTCCATGGGGCTTGCGTGCGTGCGAGGCAGCGCTCTTGCTTGGGGAGCTGAATAACTGGCTGTTTATAGATCCCACAAACAGTAAACGCAGGCTTGACTCTCTTCCACGGAGCAGCTCCGACATTTGAAAACAGTTCTTGAGAATGCAGCTGGCCGGATGGCCACAGAGTGGGAGGCTGACTGAAGCCCCGGGGCCCTAGAAGAGCAGGCAGATGGCGGCCCCCAGGCAGTCCCTCCTGACGCCCACTGCAGCCCCGCTCGGTTAACCCGGTGTCCTGGGCCCCCTTCTGGCTGAGAGACCAGCCAGTGCTGACGCCGCCTCCGCCCTCACCTTTGCTGCGAACCCTTGGCGAGTTAATTCACCTCTCTGGGCCTTGGTTTCCTCCTGCGAAAGATGGGACGGCAACAGTGAGCGTCTGTGAGGGCGGCGGTGAGCAGCAGCACCAGGCACCCTCCAGTGATCAGGGCAGCACCCGCTGTCTCTGTGACTGGAGGGCAAATGGCTGTGCTGGACAGGCAATCTGACGTCTAAAGTTGATGTCATTTTCTAGAGAACAAAACTTATGCTTTTAAAACCAGGACCCGCTTTCTGAGTGCAAACACCCTGAGTGTGAAACGCACTTCACAAGAAGCAGACTTACAACTCATAAACAAAGGCAGCTGACGGTTACCACAGTGAATCTCCCTCCAGAAGCGCCAGGCCCATCCTGCCGGGGTCCTGGTGGTTGGGGAGCCACCCCTGCCGATCCCTAAGCCTGGGACCCCACGCCCTGGGTGTGTCCTGCACCACCAGCCCCGGCCTCAGAGACCCTGGGGCTAGAGTTGGCCTGGGCCGTCCCTCTGCACCTGCGGCTCCACACCCAGGAGAGCCCGAGGGAGCTCCGCGCTGACCCAGCTGCTTCAGAGCAGACAAGGAAGGTGGCATGGGGATAAGAACCACCCGGTAGGAAACCAATGGCAGGGAAGCAGCCATGAGGCCGAGAGGTGGGCATTGAGCGGGAGCTGCGGCTGCTTGGTCCTCGAGAGGAATGAGGTGCGCCACGGTGGTGCTGGGCATGTTGGCAGGGGGGTCCCAGGTGCACCAGTGACCTCGGGTGGGGAAAATCCACCCAGAACAGACGGGGGCGGCTGCTGGAGCCAGGGCCACACACAGACCCACAGTTTGCTGAGGGCCACTCACGGCCTCCGGAGCCCGCAGGACCCAGGCCTGGCGGCAGAAGGCCCTGCCAGCCCAGCCCTTCTCACAGAAGCCCATCGGTGACAACGGCAATGCCTCCTCCCAGTGTCGGCAGCTTAAAACGGAGTAACAGCCAAGGGGGGTGGGGCACGCACGGCGCCTGAAACCCGGTTTGGCACAAACACACTCCTTCCACCAGGGGCAGGCCCAGGACCCTCACCTGTGCTGACACTGCCTGCTGGGGAGAGCCTGGGATGCAAGGGTCCAAGCCCAGCTGAGCCGAGGGCAGAGCAGGGGCCGAGTGAACACCACTGAATAGAACTCTGTGCACCCGGCTCAGTGACCACAGATGGTCAGAGGCTAACTGGACAGTCAGGGGCTTATGTGGATGGTCAGGGGCTAAGGTGGACAGTCAGGGGCTAACCAGACAGTCGGGGCTAATGCGGACAATCAGGGGCTAAGGTGTACGGTTGGGGCTAACGCGGAATGTCGGGGCTAACGCGGAAGGTCAGGGGCTAACACGGATGGTCAGGGGCTACGTGGATGGTCAGGAGCTACGTGGATGGTCAGGGGCTAACATGGATGGTCAGGAGCTACGTGGATGGTCAGGAGCTACGTGGATGGTCAGGAGCTACGTGGATGGTCAGGGGCTACGTGGATGGTCAGGGGCTAACATGGACGGTCAGGAGCTACGTGGATGGTCAGGAGCTACGTGGATGGTCAGGGGCTACGTGGATGGTCAGGAGCTACGTGGATGGTCAGGGGCTAACATGGATGGTCAGGAGCTACGTGGATGGTCAGGGGCTACGTGGATGGTCAGGGGCTACGTGGATGGTCAGGAGCTATGTGGATGGTCAGGGGCTACGTGGATGGTCAGGGGCTACGTGGATGGTCAGGGGCTAACATGGATGGTCAGGAGCTACGTGGATGGTCAGGGGCTAACAGGGATGGTCAGGGGCTAACATGGTCAGGGGCTAACATGGACGGTCAGGAGCTACGTGGACGGTCAGGGGCTACGTGGATGGTCAGGGGCTACGTGGACGGTCAGGGGCTAACATGGACGGTCAGGAGCTACGTGGACGGTCAGGAGCTACGTGGACGGTCAGGGGCTACGTGGATGGTCAGGGGCTACATGGATGGTCAGGGGCTACGTGGATGGTCAGGGGCTATGTGGATGGTCAGGGGCTAACATGGATGGTCAGGAGCTACGTGGATGGTCAGGGGCTAACAGGGATGGTCAGGGGCTAACATGGTCAGGGGCTAACATGGACGGTCAGGAGCTACGTGGACGGTCAGGGGCTACGTGGATGGTCAGGGGCTACGTGGATGGTCAGGGGCTATGTGGATGGTCAGGGGCTAACATGGATGGTCAGGAGCTACGTGGATGGTCAGGGGCTAACAGGGATGGTCAGGGGCTAACATGGATGGTCAGGGGCTACGTGGATGGTCAGGGGCTAACATGGATGGTCAGGGGCTACATGGATGGTCAGGGGCTAACAGGGATGGTCAGGGGCTAACATGGTCAGGGGCTAACATGGACGGTCAGGAGCTACGTGGATGGTCAGGGGCTACGTGGATGGTCAGGGGCTACGTGGATGGTCAGGGGCTATGTGGATGGTCAGGGGCTAACATGGATGGTCAGGAGCTACGTGGATGGTCAGGGGCTAACATGGATGGTCAGGGGCTAACATGGATGGTCAGGGGCTACGTGGATGGTCAGGGGCTACGTGGATGGTCAGGGGCTACGTGGATGGTCAGGGGCTAACATGGATGGTCAGGGGCTACATGGATGGTCAGGGGCTAACGTGGATGGTCAGGGGCTAACATGGACAGTAGGGGTAAATGGTGGAGAGTCCTGGAGATCTAAAAGTCACAGAGAGGCCGGTGTGGGCCCCAGACACCTGCAGCAGCCTCTGAGGTGGGCAAGGAGCCGGGCACTCTGACCCAGCTGGGCGGGGGTCCCCAGCCTCCTGGAACTGGCCTGGGATGTGGATGGGCGGGTGGGGGTCGGGGAGAGGGCGGGCAGGCGAATGCAGGGGGAGCTGGACTACCTTCCTGCTGTGCCCACTCTCAGGCCAGCTGCAGGGCCGGCATGCTTCCTCCCTGGTGAAACCTCTGGCCATACCTTTATTTATTACATACATCTGATGGACTCCTGAAATGAAAGCCACTTGAAAGGAGTTTCGGAACAGCAGGCCCAGCAGCTACAACAGACGGTAAAACGTGGATTTCTCTTAGCAGAAAGGCCGAAGAAGCGGCAGAAAATGCCAGGCCAGGAGATGAGGCCAAGTGTGTTCTGTGGGGCTTGTGGGAAAGTGCCCAGAACAGAGGCAGGAGCAGGCTTGGGCATCATGGAGCTCTCTCCACGGTGGCCGGCGTATGCCAGGGTGAGGCTGGGGCCGCCCGCCTCAGTACCCCCAGACACACAGACCCCAGCCATGGTATGCGGGGCTTGGTTCTCCACCCCCATCACCTCTAAAGTCAGGGACAAAGGGGGGTGTGGGATGCCCCCTCCCAGCCTGCTGTCCCCACACGGCCGTCCTTTCCAGCCCCCATGCCTCCCCTGAGGATGGGGGTGCCAGGCCCAGAAGGAGGGCAGGAGGGCATACCCTGCATTTGTCCTGGCCAGGACAGGCCCAAGGCCCGGGGCCCCTCTGTCTGGGTTGCCGCCTTGTCATGGGGGCTGGGACCCTCCCGCTCCTGGGCTGCAGGCCCCCACTGCCCCATCCCTCTCTTACCCTCCCGGGCTCGTTTCCCCGGTACCCCCACTTTGTGCTCCCAGAGCCTCCTGAGTTGTGGTCCTGTGTTACCATCTGGTGTTTTATACCTTCGCTTCTGGCCTGAGTTTCTGGACGACCCATGGCCTCCTAATCCTCGTACCAGGAGCCCCTTAGAGCCAGGCAACATCACTGCATGGAGGAAGCTGGAGGAAGGGGACGCTCATCCCTTTTGCTTCACCTCCTGTTCCCCTCACTCAATCCTCTCCCAAAGGGTCCCTCACAGGAACGTGTGCGCAGCCCCAGCTGGGAGGGCTTCTAGGCCTTTCTTTAGGACAGCAGCCTGTGGCGGAGGAGTGTCTCCCCACTTGTTAAATTTCAACTGCTGGACACTTTGGTTCCTGGGGACTTCTCAGGAATTTTCCAGAAACCACACCAGAGCAGCAGCGCGGCCCGATGACCGTCTGCCGAGCGGCTTGGGGCTTCCAGACACGCAAGGCTGTTCTCACAGCTGTTTTTGTGAGGCCCTGCTCGGCTGCCACTGGGCACAGGCAGGGTGGGAGCTGGAGCAGGCGCTTCTGATGACCTGGCCTGCAGTGGCCTCTGGGAAGCTGCCTGTCCAGTCCTGGAGCTGAGAAGCTCTGTTTCAGGGAACTGGTGAGATTCCCCTGCTCTGGGCTGGTGAGTCAGCTGCCCTTCCTGTTTGCCACCTTGTCCTCTCCCGGGACTTTTATTCCCCTAATTTTCGGACCCTGCTCAGCCTGGCGTTCAGCTAACTGCATCCCACCACCGGGGCTCGTGTCTCCCAGGCCCCCTCTGTCTGCATTCCGCACCAGTGTCATTCAGGGAATGGGGACGCAGGGCAGCCAGTGTCGGCCACCTGGCAGGAGGGGGACTTGAGGACAGGATCCCCAGAAAAGCTGAGGGAACCCCAGAAGTCTTGGGCTATCTGGGGTTAGGTGTGGAGGAGATTGGGAGCCACGGCCCAGGGCAGGGGCTTTGGGGTCACAGTCAAAATACAGGTGGGAGAAATCACTTTCCCGTCCTGCCTTTGCCCTCCCAAGATGCCTCGAGACAGCCCTGCCTGGGGGGCGACAGCAGGAGGCTGGGGCCGGGGCCTGAGGGGCAAGATCCGGAGACGCAAGAGCTTGACACGGCCGCACCGCCAGCTCCAGCACCCACCCTCCCTCCTCTTGTGCAAACCCCCAGGCTGGGGAGGACTCGGGGCAAAAGTGCTCCCTCCCACGGTGCTCCCTTCAAAGGTAAACTCCTCACCCAGGAGCTGGCCCTGCCCACCTGCCCTCCCCTCTGCCCTCCACGCAACCAGGGCCAGCCCTGTCCGGCCCCACACAGGCCCAATCGGAGCCAGCGCACACGGGGACCAGAGACAGGAGGCACAGCCAGGAAAGTGGAGCCAAGCAACGGGCGAAGACAAGCAGGGTTCCAGCACACAGGGAGGAAAGGGGAGAGACAAGAGGGCTCCAGCACACAGGGAGGAAAGGGGAGAGACAAGAGGGCTCCAGCACACAGGGAGGAAAGGGGAGAGACAAGAGGGCTCCAGCACACAGGGAGGAAAGGGGAGAGACAAGAGGGCTCCAGCACACAGGGAGGAAAGGGGAGAGACAAGAGGGCTCCAGCACACAGGGAGGAAAGGGGAGAGACAAGAGGGCTCCAGCACACAGGGAGGAAAGGGGAGAGACAAGAGGGCTCCAGCACACAGGGAGGAAAGGGGAGAGACAAGAGGGCTCCAGCACACAGGGAGGAAAGGGGAGAGACAAGAGGGCTCCAGCACACAGGGAGGAAAGGGGAGAGACAAGAGGGTTCCAGCACACAGGGAGGAAAGGGGAGGCCCTGGAGCAGAGAAAACATTCGCCAGCAGGAATGCAGCTGAGCACAAAGCTGCAGCCTGGAGGCTCCTTGTAGGGCCTCCCTCCTGCCACCCAGACAGAGCCAGCAAGAAACCCAGAGCCAGCAGGGTGGCTGCAGAAGGGCCCTGCCTGGATAACAGCAGGTCCAGAAGATAAAAGCAAGAATGGAGAGGGACACCACCAGTGCAGCGACAGACACAGAATGTCCAGAACCAAAGATGAGAGACCTCGGCTGGGAAGAACTCACAGAGGACACGTCGCCACAAAACTCTCGACCACCAGAAAGAAAACACTGCAATAGGCCGGGCGCAGCGGCTCACGCCTGTCATCCCAGCACTTTGGGAGGCTGATCACTTAAGGTCAGGAGTTGGAGACCAGCCTGGCCAACATGGTGAAACCCCATCTCTACTAAAAATACAAAAATTAGCCGGGCATTGTGGCATACGCCTATAATCCCAGCTACTTGGGAGGCTGAGGCAGGAGAATCACTTGAACTCAGGAGGCAGAGGTTGCAGTGAGCCAAGATCGTACCACTGCACTCCAGCCTGGGAAACAGAGTGAGACTCTGTCTCAAAAAAAAAACCAAAGAAAACAAATAAAACAATAAAACATTGCAATAGCTCCCAGAAGAGCAAGAGCACAGCCTCCAGGAAAGAGCAGACCCACCAGGCTCAGCAGCAAGGCCACGTGGCCCTGCAGACACTGGGACAGGCTTCAGCCTGGAGCTCTGCGTGCAGCCTGGCTACCGTCCACGCACGAAGACACAGCAGTGTTCTCCCACTCGTGGAGGTGCCCAGAAGGTTTCACAGCAAGGCCCACAGCAGACTGCTAGAGGAACACTCGGGAGGAGGAAGGATCGGTTAGTGAGCGACGTGATCGGGTGCCCTGGGCTGGATGAGACACGTAACGTTAGGTGCAAAGACAAGAATCTGTGACATCGGGATTAAGCTTCAGACACAGTCAACGTGCTGCCAACGTGGGGAGGGCCGGAGGACGCGTCTGTGCCGGCACAGGCCCTGCTGGGGGAACATCACCGCAGAAGAGCCTGAGAAACAGCAAATCAACCTGAAAGCTCTCATTTCAAAGGCATCCCCATGAGAACAAAAGCAGAATGTGCACCTTCAGTTCAAGAAAGCTCAATTTATCTAACAGAGGGTTAGGGGAGGAAAAAACCCAAAGGATGTGCAGTGAATGGAAAATACAAAATAGGATGACAGAAATCAGCTCCTAAAGAATCACAAGAAGTAGGTGGGCCCCAGTGAAAGACGGCGCTTGGTGTGGGGGGAGATCCCTTGACCCGTCACCTGCAAGAGGCACCTACACCGAGAAGGAAACGCAGAAAATGAAGGCATGGGGGAGACAGTCCAAGCAGCCAAGAACCAAAGTAAGCCTGGGGCGGCCACGGTAAGGCCTGAGGCAGTCGCGGTAAGGCCTGATGAAATGACGTAATGGGCAAGAAGAGTCGACGTGAAATGAGCCAGGTCTGAAGAGTCACACAGCATGCAAGCCTCCACCGAAACTCAGCCGTTGTCCCTAAAACCAGCCTTCCCGCCACATCACTTCCTGCTGCTTTGAGCGACTGCTTTGAGCCCTTCTCACCGGCGGTTTGGGCATTTTCCTCTGTCTTGCTAAGTCACACGCTTACATAACGAGTCACTGTTGGGTTTCCCCAGCTTCAGACACCGTCTTTAGGCCTGGCTGTGGACGCCGCGTCTGCACCTGCCACATCTGCACCCACCTCGCCCTGCGCCCGTGCACACTCTGGCCCTGCCTCGCCCTGCGCCTGCCTCGCCCTGCACCCGTGTGTTCGTGCACGCTCTGGCCCTGCCTCACCCTGCGCCCTCCTCGCCCTGCGCCCGTGCACGCTCTGGCCCTGCCTCGCCCTGCGCCCTCCTCGCCCTGCGCCCGTGCACGCTCTGGCCCTGCCTCGCCCTGCGCCCTCCTCGCCCTGCGCCCGTGCACGCTCTGGCCCTGCCTCGCCCTGCGCCCTCATCGCCCTGCGCCCGTGCACGCTCTGGCCCTGCCTCGCCCTGCGCCCTCCTCGCCCTGCGCCCGTGCACGCTCTGGCCCTGCCTCGCCCTGCGCCCTCCTCGCCCTGCGTCCGTGCACGCTCTGGCCCTGCCTCGCCCTGCGCCTGCCTCGCCCTGCACCCGTGTGTTCGTGCACGCTCTGGCCCTGCCTCACCCTGCGCCCTCCTCGCCCTGCGCCCGTGCACGCTCTGGCCCTGCCTCGCCCTGCGCCCTCCTCGCCCTGCGTCCGTGCACGCTCTGGCCCTGCCTCGCCCTGCGCCTGCCTCGCCCTGCACCCGTGTGTTCGTGCACGCTCTGGCCCTGCCTCACCCTGCGCCCTCCTCGCCCTGCGCCCGTGCACGCTCTGGCCCTGCCTCACCCTGCGCCCTCCTCGCCCTGTGTCCGTGCACGCTCTGGCCCTGCCTCGCCCTGCGCCCTCCTCGCCCTGCCCCCGTGCACGCTCTGGCCCTGCCTCGCCCTGCGCCCTCCTCGCCCTGCCCCCATGCACGCTCTGGCCCTGCCTCACCCTGCGCCCTCCTCGCCCTGCCCCCATGCACGCTCTGGCCCTGCCTCACCCTGCGCCCTCCTCGCCCTGTGTCCGTGCACGCTCTGGCCCTGCCTCGCCCTGCGCCCTCCTCGCCCTGCCCCCGTGCACGCTCTGGCCCTGCCTCGCCCTGCGCCCTCCTCGCCCTGCCCCCATGCACGCTCTGGCCCTGCCTCACCCTGCGCCCGCCTCGCCCTGCCCCCGTGCACGCTCTGGCCCTGCCTCGCCCTGCGCCCGCCTCGCCCTGCCCCCGTGCACGCTCTGGCCCTGCCTCGCCCTGCGCCCTCCTCGCCCTGCGCCCATGCACGCTCTGGCCCTGCCTCGCCCTGCGCCCGCCTCGCCCTGCGCCCGTGCACGCTCTGGCCCACCTTCCTAATCTGGCTGTGTCATGACTGCCCTCAGCTCCCCCCGCAGAGCTCCTGTCACCCAGGTGTGTGCAGCCTCTGAATCCTCCACTCTGCCTGAGCAGCCCTGTTGGCCTGGAGTTGCTTGCATCTTTGCTGACTTAGTTTTCCCAGGTACTCACTCACACCACCGCTGATGGAGCCCCCAAGTCTCAGTTGAATGCACCTTCCCTGCACTGGTTCCTGTCCATCCCAGCCTCTCTGGGGCCTCTCCCGTCTGTCTGAGGATGTTCTGCCTGGGTGGTAGTTCCCATCTCTGCCACTGCCTCCTGGAGGGGCTCCCATCCCCACCCAGACCCCTTCTGTGGCTGGTTCTGGTGGAGAAGCCCTCCAGGGGCTTTCCGAGAAACAACTTGAAAGAAGAAAACCTCAGACCCTGCCCCCGGGTGTGCGTGAACTCCAGGTTGGAAGGCGTTTGTGCGTTTCCTCCCGGCCTCCTGCATCCAGGTCTCTGTCTCTGGATCATTTCCATGAAACCCGCCCCTCCTCTCTGGGAGCATTTAGGATCTTCTCCTTGTCCACGAGGGTGTGGAATCTCACAGAGATCCCAGCAGGAACTTCCAACCCGGAAACTCATGCCCTGGGCTCTGGGAAGCCAGCTCAACCTCCCCTTGAAGACTCCCTGCCCTCCGATCTTCCTGGAGCTCTGACCCCCGGCGTCTCTCAGGCTCTGCTCATTTTCCTGACTTTATTATTTCCACCTCTTTTTCCTTTACTCATGGAAAGACCTCTTCAGCGTTAACGTCAAATGCTTCTCCGGGATCGTTAGGGCTTTTGCTCTCATGCTTTTAATTGTTGAGCCGTTTTCATGTCTGAATTTTCTTTCTGCAGCGACTGATTTTCATTTGGTCGGTGCGGTGCTTTCACTGGTCTCCGAGGATCCTGATGACAGCTGCCTTTGTCTTTCTTTTAAGAAATTTTTTTATTTTAATGCTTGTGGGTACACAGTAGGTGTATATATTTATGGCGTGTCTGAGATGTTTTGATGCAGGCGTGTGATGCATAACGGTCACATGGAGGATGGGGTGTCCATCCCTCAGCACTTACCCTTTGTGTTACAAGCAATCCAATCACACTCTTCGTTATTTTTAAATGTACGATTAAGTTACCGTTGACTGCAGTCCCCGCGTTGTGCCACAGATGCCGGGCCTCTGTCTTTTCTTCATTCCGTGTGTTTCTGTCCTTTCCGGCCTCTGTCTTTTCTTCGTCCCGCGCATCTTTGTCCTTTCTGGCCTCTGTCTTTCCTTTCCTTTCCTGTCCTGTCCTGTCTGCATTCTGCGCATCACTGTCCTTTCCAGCCTCTGTCCTGTCTCCCCTCCCCCTCCCTCCCTTCCCCTCCCCCTCCCCCTCCCTCCCTTCCCCTCCCCCCACCCTTTCCTTTCCTGCCTCTGTCTTTTCTTCATTCTGTGCATCTCTGTTCCCTCCAGCTCGTCTTCTCAGGTTGGGTCTCACTCCTGTCTTTCACGGTGGCCTCTTTCCTTAAGAACCCAGCAATGCTGGCGCAGGTGCCAGAGCGGGCCTGTGCCGTGTGTCCTGGGGGCCGCCATATCTGCGCCCTGGTCCTTTCTCTGGGCCGTCAGACCCCCCAGAGGCCTTGTGGTGGAGGCGTGCAGTGCTCTGACGCTGGTCTGGGGGAAGGGCCCGGGCTCGGTGTCCAGGGCTCCCAGCTGCCACCTCTGCAGGGCCGAGGAAGAGCCCCTCGAGCTTTTCCACAGAATGGGGGGACCTGGGTGGCTAAGGGCTCCTCGACTGTTCAGCAGCATCTGAAGCACGTCCAGCTGCATCACGCATTGGGATTTCCGGCTACGCAGCACGTGGCTCCCTCGCGTTGAATGTGGCTTGATGTTGGTGTCGTTGATTCACTTTGAGAATGTGATCCGAGTCGCTCGGGCACCGGTGGCCACTGTGCCACTTCCCAGCGATCTCTCTGGTTTTCAGGGCTTTACGTGGACTCACGCACTGTGGATGCTGCCTGGTTCACAGCCTCTTCCCTTAAAGTTTGTTCCTTCAGCCGCATCTGCTGGAGCCTCGGCTCACTGTCCAGCCCCAGCTCACCCCCCTCCCTCACCCCCGCCTTCGACACCCCCACAACCCCACTGGGCCCCCGGGCTCCCCTCCGCCAGGGCATCGTCAGCATGGCCACCTGGCTCATGGGGCGGCTGGTCCCTGCCGCAGATGGTCTCCCTGAGGAGAGAGAATCGTGCCCAGACTGTGACCATGTGGCTCATGGGGCGTCTGGCCCAGCAGGGCCCCCAGGACAGCCCTGAGCCCCAGCCAGCCCTCCCGTTCAGGTGACAACTGCTTGGGGCCCTTTGCTCTTGGGTCCTCACTCGGCTCCATCTTCTCTCCTGTGCGAGGCACCGGCGGAAACCCTCCGCACCTGCTGCTTTTGTCATGAGCATTGTGTCCTCAGGCATCTGGCCCAGCCACACTGTCCTCCTGCCAGCTTCCTGTTTCCATCCAGCCAGCGGGACGGAACCTCTGCCCAGTGGCTTTGAGGTTTGAAACTGAAGTCCCCCGAGATGCTCTTCAGGGCCCAGAGGGGTCACAGCTTAGTCCTCGTCCTGGCCAATGGGAGGACGGTGCCCCTGGCTCTGACACCCCCGCTCCTCATGTCACCAAGCCCCATGCCAGGCTGTGCCCCTCCAGTCGGCTCGGCCCCTCAGGGCTGCCTGGCATGAAGCAGCCTCGGCTCAGGGCCACCGCAGACGCCCTGGTTTGGAAGAGACCTGCCGGGTGTCCAAACCCCACTCCTCCAGGCTCCCCCTGGGAGAAAAGCAGCAGTGGGGACCCCGGCTCCCTCCTTACAAGGGTGTGACAGATACAACCTCACAGCACCTCAGTTTCCCCAAGCATAAACAGAGGTAATGGCAGGTACCCTCCCCATAGCCATCGATGGATGGCTGCGTGAGTCCATGAGCTTCACAGTCTTGGGGCAGCCCCAGGCGCAGTCGCACTGAGCCCTGTGTACGACAGCAGTTCAGGGCTTGGGTTCGGGACGGGGGGAGGCCTGAGTTTCTGCCCCAACCCTGAGCTCTTCCAACCTGAGCTTTCCCCTGTCTGGTACGATAGAGCTGTGAGGTAAGCACAGTGGTACTGGGCTGAGTGGTGTCCTCCAAAATTCATTTCCTTCCAAACCCATGAATGTGACCTTCCTGTATTGGGACATAGGACAGTGGCGGATGTCACGAAGCTGAGATGAGGTCACACTGGATTAGGGTGGGCCCTAAATCCAGTATGACTGCTGTCCTTACAAGAGGGAGATTTGTACCCAGACACACTGACAGAGATGCAGATTCACAAGAAGAACATTCCAGAAGCGAGGGGGTGTGGAGTACACTCTCCCCAAGAGCCTTTGTCAAGGGGCCCGTCCTGCCAACACCTCGCTTGCAGCCCATCGGCGCTGGTTTTGGCTCCTGGCCTCCAGGCTGTGAAGAATAACCCCTGTTGTTCGAGCCACACAGTTTGCAGTCATTCATTAAGGCTGCCCCAGGAAGCTGACATGGTGTCGCCAAGTTCCGGCAGGTACAGCGTATGGACACACGATCACACTCAGAAAACACGAGCGTCCACCACCATCACCACTATGTGTTACCGGTATTACCACTGCTGCTGTCAGAAGCCACAGAAGAGGCTGAGGAGGTCAGGCCCCTGTCCCAGGACCTCCAACAGTGCCTCATCCCTCAGCAGACAGGGTGAAAGGCAGGTGGAGGGACGTGCTGCATGGCTGTTGTGTGCCTGTTGCGTGGCTGCTGTGGCAAAGGTTTGTGTGCACATAAGCACCTGGAGAGAAAATCCGTCCCTGTGGATGGAGGACCCCCACAATGGGGTCCCTGCTGTACAAGAAGAGGGCAATCCTCATTATTTTTTCCTCCCTTTCTCTCACCACTTTGTCCTGGCAGCAAGCCTGTTTGCACAGAACCATGCAGCAGGAATGGCAGCTATGACCCCAAGAGAAACATCGTCTTTCTCATCAGAAGACCAGGAGTCATCCCCAGGAGGCAGCAGGGTGGGGGACGTAAGCAGAGGAGAGAGCAGGAGACAGGACCCCGCTTCTGTGTACGAACTGACACGTGTCCTGGCTCATCCCAAGCTGCAGGTGTGGAACACACCAGAGACACAGCGTAAAGCACTTTGAGCTGCACTGACGTGAACCTGTGCCCAAGGCCCCAAGGACTGCCTGTCAGGGGCAGACCCACCCCGTGCAGCAGAGGCTTTGACAATCAAACGGATATGGAAACAAGGCTCCCAGAAGGAGAGAGAACCTGCGAGCTGAGCCTCACTACTGGGCTGCCTGTGACTAAGACAAAACAAAAAATAATCCACATTCCCTAGATGGTGCCTCAGGACCCAGAGCCTCAGGGCACAGGTGAAAAGTGTCCGGGATGAAGTCTGGGTTAGTTCCAGGACCCAGAGCCTCAGGGCACAGGTGAAAAGTGTCCGGGATGAAGTCTGGGTTAGTTCCAGGACCCAGAGCCTCAGGGCACAGGTGAAAAGTGTCCGGGATGACGTCTGGGTTAGCTCCCTGTTACTGCTGTAGCACATTACCACACACTCATGGCTTCCAACAACACAAACACATTCCCTACAGACCCGTGGCTGAAGCCTGGAATGATCTCCGTGGGCTAAAGCGAGGAGCCCCATGGCTGTGCTCCAGAATCTGCAGGCCTAGGGGGAACCATCTTGCTGCTTTTCCCAGCTTCAAGAGGCTGCCTGCGCTCCACACCTTGGCTCAGGGCCAAGGCCAGCTATGCAGCATCACTCTGACCCTTCTTCTGTTGCCACATCTCTTTCTCTGGCCCAGTGAGAAAGATTCTCTACTTTTAAGGATTCTTGTGATTACGGTGAACCTGCTTGGATAATCTCCCCACCTCAAGACCTGCTTAATCACATCTGCATGATCCCTTTTACCACGTAAAGTGACATATTCACAGACTCTGGGAATCAGCATGTGAACAGCTTTGGGCCCATTATCCTGTCTATCACACAATCCTAAATTACTGTACATCCTAAGAACCAGAATATGGGACTAATATTCAAGGGAAAAGATGATAAACAGAGAATAAACTCCGAAATGACACAGATGATATAATGATAGATAAGGATCTTAAACAGCCAATATAACCATACTCCATGAGGGAAAGGTAAAGACTCTTGAAATTTAAAAAAAAGCTAAAAAGTCCCAGCAGATACACAGACACTGAAAAAAAGAATGAAATTGAAATTTTAGAACTGAGAAATAAAATACATGAAGTAAACATTTCATTGGATGAGTTTAATAGCAAATGGAGGCGACAGAGAAAAGAATCAGTGAAGTTAAAGGCAGTTCAACAGAAATTATCTAGTCTGAGAAAGAAAACATTGAAAAAAATGAACACAGCCTCAGAGGTCTGTGAGGAAATATTAAAAAGTCTAACATTTTCATCAACTGAGTCTCTGAAATGGAGGGGAAGAAAAAGATGGGTGCCATAAAGAATAATTTCCCAAATTTGGTGAAATAAATGAACAGGTTCAAGAAGATCAGCGAACCCTAAACAGGAAAATCTCTAATATCTAAGCTCAGATACATCATAATTAAGCATCAAAATTAAAATTAAAGATAAAGAAATAGTCATAAAGGTAACCAGAGAAAAATGACACATAACACACAGGGAACAATAATTTGAATGACTGTGAATTTCTCATCAGAAACCACAGAGGCCAGAAGATAGTGGACAACAAATTTAAAGTGCTAGACAAAAAATAACTACCCAGAATTCTATACCCAGCAAAAGTATTCACCACAAATGGAGGCGAAGCTGGGCATGGTGGTTTATACCTGTAATCCTAGCACTTTGGGAGGCTGAGGCAGGAGAACTGCTTCAGGTCAGGAGTTTATGACTGGCCTGGGCAACATAGCAACCCTGTATCTCTACAGAAAATTTAAAAAGTAGCTGAGCATGGTGGTGTGCACCTGTAGTCCTAATTATTTGGGAGGCTGAGGCAAAAGGATTTCTTGAGTCCAAGAGTTCAAGGTTACAGTAAGGTATGATCATGCCACTGCACTCCAGCCTGGGCAACAGGTTGAGACCCTGTCTCAAAAGAAAAAAAAAAACGATAAATAAAAGACACATCACCAGCAGACCTGCACCATAAGAAGTGCTAAAGAGAGTTTTGTTTGTTTGTTTGTTTTTGTTTTTTCTCACTGCAATGTCCACCTCCCGGGTACAAGCAATTCTCCTGCCTCAGCCTCCTGAGTAGCTGGGATTACAGGCATGTGCCACCACGCCCGGATAATTTTTGTATTTTTAGTAGAGACAGGGTTTCACTATGTTGGCCAGGCTGATCTTGAACTCCTGACCTTGTGATCCGCCTGCCTCAGCCTCCCAAAGTGCTGGGATAACAGGCATGAGCCACCGCGCCCGGCCTAAAGAGAGTTCTTAAACAGAACTGATACCACAGGGAAATGCAAAACCTCAGGAACCAAAGGAGAACAACAGACGTGGCAAGTATCTGGGAAAATATGTATACTATTTTAAACTCAAGTTCTTTAAAATATTTATGACTATATTGTCTGGGCCGGGTGCGGTGGCTGTAATCCCAGCACTTTGCAAGGCCTAGGCAGGCAGATCACCTGAGGTCAGGGGTTCAAGACCAGCCTGGCAAACATGGTGAAACCCCATCTACTAAAAATATGAAAGTTAGCTGGGCATGGTGGTGCACGCCTGTAATCCCAGCCACTCGGGAGACTGAGGCAGGAGAATCGCTTGAACCCAGGAGGTGGAGGTTGCAGTGAATCGAGATCATGCCATTGCACTCCAGTCTGGGTGATAAGAGCAAAACTCCATCTCAAAAAAATTATATTGTCTGGAGGGTTTAATGTATGTAGATATAATACATATGACAAATATAAAGCAAAAGTGTAAGAGGATTTATGTGGCTTAAGGTTTTGAGGTTTTACTTGAAGTAGTAAAATTTCAACTTTGTAAAGTAGGATTTATATATTATAATCCTTACAACAACTACTAAAAAATAAGAAAATATACACCCAAAAGCGAATAGATAAGCTAAAATGTAATACCAATACATATTCCCATAATCAAAGAGAGGGCAGAAAAGATGAAAGAGGAGAACAAAAAATAGAAAAATAATAAAGCAGTAGACTTAAATCCAATAATATCAATGATTACCAAGGGAAACTATCAGGAATAAGGAGGCATTTTACATACAGGGTCAACATACATGACACATGACCCAAACACACCAATTAGAAGACAGAGATTGTCAGACTTGATTGAAAAAAAATCAAGGCCCAACTTACATACTGCCAACAAAACACACACTTTTAATATAATGACATAAATTGATTAAAAGTAAAAAGATGGAGTAAGATATTCCAAGCAAACATTAATCAAAAGAAAGCTGGGGGCTGGGTGTGGTGGCTCACACCTGTAATCTCAACACTTTGGGAGGCCGGGGGTGGGAGGACAGCTTGAGGCCAAGAGTTCTAGACTATCCTGAGCAACGAGGGACATCCCCATCTCTATAAAAAAGAATTTTAATTAGCTGGGTATGGTGGCACATGCTTGTAGTCCCAGCTACTCAAGAAGCTGAAGCGGGAGGATCTCTTGAGCTCAGGAGTTCAAGGTTACAGTGAGCTATGATCACATTGCTGCACTTCAGCCTGGGTGACAGAGCAAGACCCTGTCTGTATTAAAAAAAAAAAAAGAAAAGAAAGCTGGAATGCTATATTAGTACCAGACAAAGTGGATTTCAGAACAAGAGAAACTACCAGGAATAAGGAGGCATTTTACATACAGGGTCAATTCATGAAGAAAACACAGTAATATCCTAAATGAGTATGTACCCTAAAACAGAATTCCAAAATACATAATGCAAAATCTGAAAGGACCAAAAAGAGAAATATAAAAATCCACAATTGTACTTTAAGATGTTGACATTCTTCTCTCAGGTTGAGACTAGATAGGAAATCAAGAATAACCTGAACACAACAAGTCAACTGGATATAATTAATGTTTACAGAACAACTCACACAATGACAGTGGAATACCCCTATTTTCCCAGTGCAGTGAACAGTCATCAAGACAGACCATATTAAAATTGTCTTTAACAAATATAAAAGAATAGAAATCATTAAAAAGTATATTCTCTGACCATAACAAAATTGAGCCAGAATTCAATAGCATCAGGATACCTGGAAAATGTCCAAATATTTGTAAGTTAAACAACATACTTCTAAATAACACAAGTTGAAGAGAAAGTTCCAAGTAAAATTAGAAACCATTTTGAACTAAATGAAAATGAAAACGGAGCATACCAAAATTTGTGTAATACAGGTAAAGGTGCTTAAAGAAGCTCATAGCATTAAATGCTTATATTACAGAGTAAGAATGGTTAGTTAAAAAAATCAGTGATTTAAACTTCCATCTTAAGTATCTAAAGAAAAATAAAATATTTAAAACTAGAGCAAGTAGAAGGAAATAAATTACAAACAAGAAGAGTGGAAATTAATGAAATGGAAAATAGACAAATAGACAAATTCAATAATCTAAGCTTCCACCTTAAAACTCTAGAAAAAGAAGAGGAAATTAAATCCAAACCAAGCAAAGAAAAGAAAATAATAAAGATAAGAACAGGTACCAATAAAATTGGAAACAGAAAATAAAACCAATAGCTGCTTCTTTGAAAAAAAATCAGTAAAATTGATAAGCCTGTAACTCAACTGACCAAGAAAAAGTGAGAAGACACAAATTACCAATGAAATGAAAGAGGAGACATCACCATGGAACCTACAGACATTAAAAGATCAACATGGTAATGTCATGAACAACTCTGATATCACAAATTCAATAAAGTAGATGAAATGAACCAATTCCTTGAAAGACACAAACTAGTACAATTCACCTAAGAAAAACTTCAACAGTCCAAGGAAATTGAATTCATGGTTTAAAAATCTTCTAACAAAGAAATCTCCCAGACAAGATGTTTTAACTAATGAATTCTACCAAACATTTCAAGAGAAAATAATACCAATTCTACACAATGTCTTCCAGAAAACAGAAGAGAAGGGAATACCCTCAATTAATTTTAAGAAGCCAGCGTTACCATGATATTCAAACCCATCAAAATCAAACAAAAACATTACAAGAAAACCACAAAAAGTATTTCTCATGAACATAGGCATAAAAGTCCCCACAGAGTATTAGCAAATTGAATTGGGCAAAATAGAAATGAGATCTATCTTAAGAATGCAAGGTTAGTTCAACATTTTAAAATCAATGTAATGTACAACATTGACAGTCTAAAGAAGAAAAACCATAATCATCTCAATAAATGCAGAAAAAGTATTTTACAAGATTTAACATCCATTCACAATAAGAGCTCTCAGAAAACAAGGAATAAAAGGGAAATTTCTTAATCTGATATGAGGCATTTACAAAACAAACAAAAAAAAGCAGGCTGGGTACGGTGGCTCACGCCTGTAATCCCAGCACTTTGGGAGGCCAAGGCAGGTGGATCACGAGGTCAGGAGTTCGAGACCAGCCTGGCCAACATGGTGAAACCCCGTCTCTACTAAAAATACAAAAAGTTAGCTGGGCATGGTGGTGGATGCCTGTAATCCCAGCTACTTGGGAGGCTGAGGCAGAGAATTGCTTGATCCCGGGAGGCAGAGATTGCAGTGAACCGAGATTGCACCACTGCACTCCAGCCTGGGTGACAGAGTGAGGCTCTGTCTCAAAAAAAAAAAAAAAAAAAAAAAAAAAGCAAACCTAAGCTAATATATTTAATGTTGAAAGACTAAAGGTCTCCCCCTAAAATCAGGAACAAGGCAGATAGCCTCTTTGACCACTCCTAATCTATACTGTACTGGACATCCTAGAAGTGCAATAAGGAAGGAAAATGAGGCACATAGATTGAAAAAGTAAATATAAAACCAACTCTATTCTCAGACAACAATTATAATCTATGTGATGGTTCATTTCAAGTGTCGATTGGATTGGATTGAGAGATGCCTAGACAGCTGGTGGAGAATTGTTTCTGAGAGTGTTTCCAGAGGAGATTGGCATGTGATTCGGTGGACTGAGAGAGGAAGAATCAGCCTTAATGTGGGTCAGTTCCACTGGCTGGAGGCCCAGCTGGGAAAAACAGGCACAAGAAGAGGAGAATTTGCTTTCTGTTCTCTCTTTCTCTCCCTTCCAGGGAATGATGCCTTTTTCTCCTCTTGCCCTTGGACATCAGAATCCAGGTTCCTCAGCTCTTAGACTCCAGGACTTGCACCAGTGGCCTCCTGGGGGCTCTCAGGCCTTTGGCCTTGAGCTAGGAGCTGCATCATCAGCTTCTCTAGTTCTGGGGCTTCCAGACTTGGACTGAGCCACACTACCAGCTTCTCTGGTTCTCCAGCTTGCAGACAGCCTATTGTGAAACTTGTCTGTCTCTGTGATCATGTAAGCCAATTCCTCTAATAAGGCTCCTCACATATAACCTATTGGTTTTGTATCTCTGGAGACTCCTGACTAATAAAATCTATGTTTTAAAAAATCCCATGGAATCTATTTTAAAAAGCTCCCATGACTACTAATGAGTTTAGCAAGGTCATAGGATACAAAGTCAACCTAGAAAAATAAATTGTACTTCTATATACTAGGAATGAACTAAAAATTGAAATTAAAAAAGTCTCATTTACATTAAGAACAAAAATATAAAACTTAAACATGAATCTAACATAAATATGCAGGATATGTATGCTGAAAACTACAAAACACCGATGAACATAATTAAAGAAAACCTAAATAGAGACACATACCATGTTCATGGATTGGGAGAGTCAGTATTGTTCAAATGCCAATGCTCCCCAAATTGATTTACTGATATGTCACAATCTCAATCAAAATCCCAGCAGGGATTTTTGTAGATATCGGTCAATAAGCTAATTCTAAAATTTATATGGAAAAAAAAGAACTAGAATAGCCAGAACAATTCTGAGGAAGAATAAAATTGAAAGATTCACATTATTTGATATCAAGTCTTATTTTAAAGCTATAGTAGGTAAGATAATGTGGTATTGTTAAAAGGTTAAAAATACAGATATATAGAACAGAATACAGAGTCCAGAAACAGATCCACAAAAATACAGCCAATTGATTTTTCACAAAGGTATAAACGCCATTCAGTATAAAAAGATAGTCTTTCTAATACATGGTGCTGAGACATCTGGATAGTCACATGCAAAAACAATAAATCTTGACCCCTACCTCACACATCTCATACCAAAGTTAACAAAAAGTGGATCATAGACCAGAATGTAACATATGAAACTATACAACTTTAGAAGAAAGCATAAAAGAAAAATCTTTGTAACCTTAGGTTAGGTAATGAGATGTGGCAACAAAATCAATCTACAAAAAGAGAAATTGATAAATTAAACTTAATCAAAATGGAATACTTTCACTATCTGTAATATCCTGTCAAAAGAATAAAAAGACAAGCCACAGACTACGAGAAAATATTTATAAATCATACATATGAGAAAGGACATGTTTCCAGAATATATAAAGAGATCTCTAAACTGAATAGTAAACAAGCAAATGAGCTGGTTTTCTTAATGCACAAAAGATCTGAAAGACCATTCACCAAAGATGACACACGGATGCAAATAACCACATGAAAAGATATGCAGCATTGTTAGTCACAGGGAAATCCAAACTAAAACCCTAACAAGATTCCAGTATTAAAATGGCTTTGAAAAAAGTAATACCAAGTGCAAACCCAAAGATGCTGAGCAACTGAAACACTCATTCACTGCTGGGGGATAAGAGTTAAAAACACGCTTACTATTCATGAAACGAAGACCTACGCTCATAGAAACACCTGTATGTGAACGTCTATTGACTGCAGCTCCATTCATAAACACCAAAACCTAAAAACAACCCAAATATCCCTCAACAGTTGAATGACACATGGGGTTGGTCCATACCTCATCAATAACAAGAAACAAACCAGCGGCCCGCAGCACCGTGGATGAGCCCAAATCCTAACCGGCAGCAACAACAAGAAACCAGCTGGTGACCCGCAGCACCGTGAGCAAATCTCAACAGCACTGTGCTGACTGAAGCTGGCCTCCAAAGGCCATGCGTGTGACTCCGTGTGGAAGACATCCAGAGAAAGGCAAGGGACAGGCTGCAGGGATAGAGCACACATCGGCCGTGGCTGGGGGCAGGGGGCTGTGACTGCAAACAGCAGCAGAGGAGAAATGTTTGGGGAGGGGATGGCTCTGAATCTTCATGACGGTGGCAGTCACATCCCACTGAATGCCGAAAAGAATGAACTTTAGTGTATGTAAATTTTTAAATAAGTGTTAGAAAATGTATCCTGCAGTAACCATACACTTGAATTCTAGCTGAACTTAAGCAGTCAGTGAGACAGCATCCTAGCCCGAGACAGGCCACATCCGTGGCTCCAGTGAGTCATGCTAAACCCAACAGCCCTGTAGCCCACCTAAAAGACAGAATGAAAACCTAGAAGCTCTGACTCGTATTGTGCAGGGAGCTCAGGGCCTCCTCTGTGTGCTCACATGTCTTTGGAGCCCTCCTCCTTGTTTCCCTCTCCAGTCTCCCACCTCTCCCCACTCCTCCATCCTCCCACTCTTAGCACCTGCACCAAGATGTGCACCAGGGGAAGCCACGGGCTGTGGCCCATCTGTCTTGGCTTCCCTGGGGAAGGCCGGAGGCTTGGAGGACAAGCCAGTGAACTCAGGACAAAGAAACACCAGGTCCAGACTACACTCTCAGGGGTCATTTCTAGATCATTACTAAAGCCTCTCTGAACGTGTGGAGCATCTTAAATAAATAAATAAACAGAAGCGCTGGGTCCAGCTCAGCCCCAAAGGGCACCTGGTGGCTCCAAGCCTTACTTCCTCACCTTAAATCAACAGACCATGGCCACAGCACTCTGAAGCCTGTGCCGGCTCAAGGCGGTTTATGGATTTAGGGTGCCCTGCCATAAACCTCCCCTTTTTTTCAGTTTATTGTGAAGAGATTGAAGATTAGAAATAAAAGCTGGGATTTGCTGCTGTTGTTGCTTGCTTTGCTTATTTTGCCCTGTTGGAATATTTTTAAGCTTCAAAAAGAGCATATAACCCCTTTCACTGCCCTGGCAATCAGTGAGGAACCCTCACCATACAACCTACCAGATGCAATCTAAGCAAACTTCCAGAAATTTCCGTGGGCCAGAGGACATGAACCAGATGCAGTGGACTGAGACTTCGGGAACTGCTCAACCTCCCCCAGAACAGAGTGGGTGTGACCAGCACTCTGGCCAGGTAGGGGAGTCAGGCCAGGCAGCAGGAGGGCCACAGTGTCAGGAGCAGACGGGCGGACCCTGACCCCCAGCCTCCATGCCTCTTCCAAAGTCTTCTTGGAGAGTCCCCCTGAAGGTAGCTCCAAAATATCCCACGCTGCTGGGAGCAGGGTGGGAAGTCCAGCAGCAGGGAACCAGGCCCAGGCCTCCCTCCCGCAGGCTCCAGGCTTCCCAGGCCCCAGGAGCTGGGACCCATTCACTAGCGGGGACAGAGTAGAGCGAGCTGGGGGTTGTGAACTGACCTGGAGACACACAGGAGGATCTGGGGCAGGGGGTTGAGCAGCCCCTCCCAGGCACTGGGGGTGCACAGCTCCATGGGAGACTAGTGGCTGCTGGCTGTGGGGCAGCCTGCCACCAGGGCCCCAGTACCCTCTCATCTGGAGCGGGTTGGCTGGTGCCCTCCTGCCCCACCCAGGGGTCCTGAGTTCCGGCTGGAGCCCACCCTGTTACCCAGGAAATGTCATGTTGTCCCCGCCTCCTCCCTGCAAGCCCACTCAACCCCATCCTGGGACCACCCAGGGCCCATGTCTCTCCAGCCACTGGTGGAGGCAGCAACCCCCTTCATCTTCAAAATGGCGAATGGATTCACCCCGGAGGCTCCATGCCACCATCTTATCTTGTTTAGGAAAATGGTCCACAGTCTCCTCTCCCAGAGGGGTAACAGGCCCCGCGTTACAGCACAGGACAACTCAGCACTTCAGAGTCGCAGGGATGGGGGAGATGGGGTGAAAAGCCCCCTCACCACAGAGCTTCCTGCCCAGGCCCACAGCTTCCAGGGTGTCACACAGGCCACCCCAAGATTGAAACCACACCAGGGAAGCCCAGTGTAGACTTTGCCAAATCCTTCATTTTGGGGGAAAAAAGGCTTAATTTTGTACAAGGTTCTCTCACCGACAAGCAAAAGCAGACGGTGCAGAATGAGGATGATTTCCTGATGTAGCACACAAGGCCGAGAGCTCTCGGGCTGCCTTCTCTGTCCCAGCCTACGAGGCTCACACCCAAGGCTGACCCCGACCCAGGGACACCCTTCTTCAACAGATTTTGGAGCCTACGCTTCCTGACAGTTATAAACCTCACAACCTAAGGGCCTCCTGGGTGAGGGCCTGAACATGCGTGACACGGAGTATGACTGAGCCTGAACACGCGTGACACGGAGAACCAAGTGTCAAGTGTTCGAGGTACCAAGGGTGGCACTCACCTCCAACAGCAGCCTTCCCTCCAGCACGGCAGACCCTGCAAGAGGACAGCTGTCTCCGGGCGAGGGGGCGCCGGCCGCAGGCTGCCGTGAGCTCTGCTCCTGCACGACTGTCAGAGAAGAAAAGACACATTAGGCACCCCCAACCCTTGGCCTGGCCACTCTTCTTCATTCACATCTTTCCTGTGTTTCCCCGCGTTCACCCCACGGTTCTCACCTGACATCTGGCCTGGGCTGCACTGACCCCTCTGCAGGCCACGCAGCATTCCACAGCCCTGAGAGTCCAAGGTGGGGCAGGAGGAGCTGAGACACAGGCCTCAGATCAGCCAGGAGAGGCAGGGGGACACCAGGACATGGAGGCAGAGCCTGGCCTGAGGACGCCCCCACACCCGCTCTGCTCTGCAGAAACTGCTCTCTGTCCCCTCCTGCCCAACCCCCCAGGGCCCCCACCCAGTCTTGGGACAAAGTCTGGCTTCCTGCCAGATCCCCCTGAAGCCACCCAGGAGGTCCCTACGGCCCCTCCCCTGAGACCCACGGCACTGTTGGGCTGCACCCCTTTGAGGGCTGGGCCAAGGTCCCCTGCGTCCACCTGGGTCTTCTGTGCCCTGCACACCCGCATCGCCTCTCCCTCCTGGAACCCACGCAGCCCCCTCCCTAGTGAGAAGCAGGCCAGGCCCCACGCCCCCAGGGGCCGCACAGAACACCGCAGGGCAGGAAAAGGCAGGTCCAGGACAGTCGCCAGTGCTACCCCCTTCCCAGTGACTGCGCACAGCCCCCAAGGACACTCCCACTCCTGAGGATGGTGCATTCTCCATTTTTGGGTGCAGAAGGGGACAGATGACACGTTCACCTTCCAGACTGACCAAGGGCTGAGTTCCGGACCCAGCACAGGTGCTCACTGCCCACTCAGTGTCCTCATGGGCACTGGAGACATGGGAGGGACACCCCTCCCCAGCTTCTGAGAGGACTGAGGGGCAAGGGTGTCCCAGCAAGCAGCTGGCCCCAGTGCGTGGACCAAAGCGCACCCCAGCAAGGCCGGGGGGGCATCTGCTGCTCCCGCGTCTCCCGGATCCTCAGCTGAAGTCACAGGTGGTGTCCGCTCAGGCAGATGCTACCTTGCCACCAGTTCTGACCTTGAGATGGCATAAAAACTGTCATCACGCATGGCACCTTAAGGCCAGCACACCGTCCTTCACGGTGGGCAGCCTGTGCCGGGGTCCCGGCGTGGCACAGCCCAGGCGGCCATGCTTCACCGGATCTGCCCACTTCCGCGGGTTAGGGAGACACAGCCCTTTCCAAAGCAGCCCCCCACCACCCTCACTCCCCACTGGGCCGAGCTTAGACTCCTGGCTGCCTCCACCCCACTGCTCAGCAAGAGCCCGACCCAGACAGAAAATCAAGTTTGAGGGGCACCGCCTCATCGAAAAGCGCACGTGTCTATTTGTAGCCCATCACAGTCCCAAAATGATGTGAGGCTGCTGGATATTTTAAGAACTAGAATAACCACTTGAATAAAAGCATAATGTCTCACTCAGGGTGGGCTGGACTCCCAGTCTCCAGCCCCAGGGGCACTGTGTCTGTCACCTGAGAGTGCTCTGAAATGTGTGTGGCCTGAACCTCATTGTGGGTCACTGGCTCCTGCTCCCAGGAATCCTCCTGGACTTCCAGGAAGGCATCCACCTGCTAGTCAAAGTGGTTCACACTTTGCTCTGAGCTCTCCTCACCCCACAGTCCCTGGGCCGGCAGCCCCCAGACCCACAGGACCAGCGTCTGTGGTGTCCCCAGGCCGTGGTGAGCACAGGTGGGGTCCGGACGCTGGGTTAACCTGCTCCCCATCAGGCCAGGACCCCGGAACCGGCTGCTGGACTGGGCTAGCACCCCACCCTCCACCAGAAAGGCCATACTGGGAGCCATTGATTCAGAATCTGAGGTACCAGCTGCAGGGATGCTGACGAGCTAAGGTGTCCGTGGGGGGCGAGGGCCCGAGTGAGGAGGTGAGGCAGCCAGAAGCCCGGAGACGGTGGCACCGGGTGGCCTTGGGACTCGGCCTCTCTGTTCCCCTCCCTCCCTGGTCTCTGAGCCCTCATTTCTCCCTCAACTCCCATAGCTGGTAAAAACTGGATGTTTGTTCACTGCACTAAATGTAACAAAAACTGCCCCATTTCTTCTGCCACAAAGCAGGACTATTCCGAGGAAGCATGAACAGTCCACCGAGGTGGGGGCATCCCTTGGGCAAGGGCGGCCTCTTCCCACCTGGAAACCCCAGCATCCTAGCCTCCTGCCCTCCAGGCTCAGCCAGAGACGCCACAGTTCACACAATACGCGTGTTCAGAAAGCTGAAGGTTTTTAACAGTGAAAATCAAGATCTTTCTCCCAAGTGCAGACCCAGGAGAAGCCAGGGCAAGAGGCGCCCCGGGTGTCCCAGCAGCTGACCCCGAGCCCGAGGAGAGACCCGGGCAGGAGCGGCCCCACACAGACGCTGCTGGGGTCGCCCCGTGAGACCCCCGTGCTGGCCCTGGGCGCTCCCCGCCGAGGTCCGCGGGCTGGGGCAGCGCGGGTGGGGGCACACGCCTGGGTCACCCGCACACAGACCGACCACCCAGGCGGCCGGTGCAGCCAAGCCCCATTGCAGGGGTCGCTCCCGCAGCGGAGCCGACCCCGTCCCACCCGCAATGCGCCCCGCGGACCCGGCAGCCCCGGCCTTTTCCCCGAGAAGCGCGTAGGTGCGGCGGCAGGGGCGCGCCCCTCCCGGCATCGCGTGCCCCCCGCGGGCGCCCGCCCACTTCCCCCCTACTTCCCCCGCAGCCGCCGGCGCCGTCACGCGATGGGGCCAGCCAGGCCTCGCGTGCGAGCAGCGCTCCCGCCCCCGCCCGCCCGGGCAGGGCGCCAGGAGCCCCAGGAGCGCGGGGAGCGCCAGGCGCGTGGCGGGGAATGGGGCTCGGGGTCCGCGCGGGCGCTCCGGGTGCACACGGGGCGGGCGGACCCGGCCACGGCCTCCCCAGGTCCCCCCGCCCTCCCTGAGCCTGGGGGTCCCACCTGAGGGTCCGCCCCGGGAGGGAGCCCCCATCCCCCACCTCTCCAGCCCCAGTCTCCTCCTCTGTGATGTGGAGAGAGACCCCCCCTCCGCCCAGCCACCGCAGTTGCCCATGGTGAGTGGATGGGGAGGAAGGGAGCTGGGAGCGCGGTGTCCTTCCTGGGCATTGGTGAGAAAGGTGGGCCATCACCGTGGCCCTTACAAGGCACAGCTGGGCCAGCAGGAGGGGGCCACAGGCCCAGGGCGGGAGGAGCTCTGTGCCTCCAAGACCGCAGAGGCCAACCTGTCCCCTGCCTCCCAGCCACCGCCCGGCCTGCTGGTCCCGCAGGGTCTGCAGAGAGGGGCCCTGCCAGGACCACTCCCAGGGCCCACCCCTCGGGCAATGAGAGGCTGGAAGGCTGCGTGTCAGATGAGACCCAGCCGGGTGCAGGGCAGGGCCAGGGCCGCGGGGCAGGGCTGCCCTCTCAGAGGTGAACAGTCCCCACGGCTGGGCCTGAACCCGGATCTGTAGCCTGGGCAACCCCTGTGTCCTGCCAGCACTCTGCCAACCGCGCAGAACCTCAGCCACCTTGGAGAGTCTCAGGGCCATTACCAGCCGTCCGCCCACGGCTGCAGAGTTCACTGCAACCAAGAAGGGGCTCATTTGGAACAGCGAGAATGTGAAGTCAGCACCAAGGCCTCGGGCGACCCTGTGCCCACAGCAAGGGCTGGAGCAGAGTGGCTCCCTTGGGGGCTCAGGCTTCCCATGGGGTCCTGCTAAGGGCCCTCTGTTTCTTCACACAGAGGAGACTCAGAGCAAGGTGTCACCGGGAACCCAAGGCCACCCCATCTGGCCCCCACCACGAGCACCTGGGCCTGTGACTCGGTCTGACCCACAGTCCCTGGTGGAGGAGGAGCCAGAAGGCAGGTCCAGCTGTGCGTCTGGGTGATGCCGTGATGCCCAGAAACGAAGCCACATTGCTCCCAGTCCCCTGAAGCCAATTCCCTGGTAGGGGCGGGGGAGGCGGTGCAGACGGAGGGTGGGAGGTCAGCCCTGCCATTGGAGATCACGCACCCCTGCCACTGGAGATCACGCACCCCAGCCCTGTGCAGCGACTGCGGCTGAAGTTTCCTGCTCTGTGCAGGGCTGAGTAAGGTCCATTTCAGGTCTTCAGTGCTGGACAGGGAGCTGGGCCCAGGGGGAGCTGAAAAGAAGGCGAGATGAAGAAACAGAAGAAGCAGAACAGGCAAAGCGAGCAGAAGAGGACGTCCCTTTGTCCTTCACCCAAACCGCAGCCTGGACCTGGTTCTCAGGCCTCCTGTGACCCATCCCAGGGTGCACAGGGCCCAGGCTGGATTTGGGGCAGGTGACAGTCAGGATCCCAGCACCTTGGCTGGGAAGGAGGACATGCCTCCATGAGGCCCCAGCCCACAGCTCCACAGTCCCCTCTGTGCAGTCAGGGGAGCTGGGCCCAGAAGCCAAGGGATGGATCAGCAGGGGTGGCCCCGCCAGCCCACCCCAGCCCTGGGGGAGGAGGGAAGGCACTGAGGGGCTGTGTGCTGAGCAGCACCACTGCTTCCTATCCAGGAAGCCTGGAGGAGGAGCTCAACCAGCAGAAACCCTGCTGCTTCCTTCCTGTGAGGGGAGAAGGTGGTAAGGAATGTGGGTGCTTCATGAAGGTCCCTATTGGCAGGACTGCCTGCCTCTCTGCAGAGCCCTCGGCGGGGCCTGAGTGGTGCAAGCAGCCAGATGAGAGGAAGGCCCAGGATCCCTTTCTTCTCCATCGTTTTCACTCAGCCCTTAACAGGCACATCGACCCTAAGCATCCTCGTTGGAAGGGACAGAACTCCACAGACAGGGGCGTAAGGGAGAGAGGAGCAGGCGGCCCCCAAGCTGACTCGGTTTAGGACTCCCTCTAGGGAATCATCCTAAGTAAAGCTGTCTGGCAGTCTGCAGCTCCTGGGAGCATTTCACCATAGAGGGCTTCAACAGCGACCACGGGAGTCGGTTCCACAGGCCTGGAAGGACAGTCAGAGCCACCTTGTGAGTCCAGGACTGGTCAGCCCAGGACAGGTGGGCCCAGGACAGGTGGGTCTAGGACAGGTGGGCCCAGATGCTCAGTCCTACTATGGGACACACAGGGGCTTACCCGTGCATGAGGCAGCCTGCCAGCCCCTGCTGCACCTGCCCAGGGAATGGGACGCAGGATTCCTGTCACCTGCAAGCTCATCACTTCAGAGCCCCAGAGACTCACTCAGAAAGCCTAGAGCAGGGCTGGGCTGAAATCCTGACTCAGATGGGAAGCTACTGTTGGCAGTCACAGCCGGCCCTCGAACTAATGAGGACACAGGCCTAGTGTGCTGACCGATGTCACACATCAACCACCTGCAGCACTGGGTGCTGCGATTAAACATCGTGCCTGCTGTGTTGGGAGGTGTTTCCAGATGGCGGTCCCATTTGAATCCGTGGGCTCGGTGAAGCCAGTGGTCTTCCCCAGTGTGGCTGGGCAGTCCATGGGGGGCTGGAGAGAACTAGACAGGAGGAGTCACCCCTTTTTCCTGACTCATGGCTTGAGCCAGATCAGCTCATCTCCCATTCTCCGGCCACAGGCGGGAATTTACCCCAGCGCCCCTGGCCCTCAGGCCTCTGGGCTTGGACTGAACTACACCTCGGCTCTCCTGGGTCTCCAGCTTGCAGCTGTCTGAGACACCTGCTCATAATAAGCCTCCCCATATCTGTCTCCGGTCGGTTCTGTTTTTCTGCAGAGCCCTAACTGACATGCCCTGTAAAGCCCGGCCCGAGGTCGGCCGAGAGCTCCACACCAGGCCCAGCCTCTGTGCTCTGGGTGCCTCCAAGGCAGGCCTCCTCTGGATCACTTCCTCCTCCAGCCACCCAGGGAGGTCGGACAAGCATGATGGGAACGTGCCCCCCTCCCCCCACCAACACCTGCACCTTCCCATGGGCTGCCCCCCTCCACCCCACACTGTCACCTGTGCCTTCCCGAGACCTGTCCCCAACCCCATCACCTGTGCCTTCCCATGGACTGTCCCCCCATCACCCACACCTTCCCATGGGCTGTCCACCCCACCCCTGTCACCTGCATCTTCCTGGGGGCTGTCCCCTATGGACCACCACCTGCCTGGGGCTGCACCCACTGTGAGACTCTCAGGGTCCTGGGGGTGGCGGATGACCTTGGTGAAAATTTCCCTTGAACCTGATTTCACTCACCCCTGCTTCCAGCTCAAGCTCCCTCCTGAGGGACCCTTACGACACCTCTCCCGTCCAGGAGTTGGATGGGATGCTCTGAGAAGCCTGGGACGCCCATCCAACCCTTCCCCGACGCCTGCTCGCCCCAGAATTGCCTGACCTGACTGTGGATCCAGGAAATGCTGCACAACCGTAACACGGGGAGTAAATGAGCAGAGCTTCCAGCGAGGGCCCAGGAGGTCGGGGCACCAGCGAGGGCCCGGGAGGACGGGGCTTCCAGCGAGGGCCCGGGAGGACGGGGCACCAGCGAGGGCCCGGGAGGACGGGGCTTCCAGCGAGGGCCCGGGAGGACGGGGCACCAGCGAGGGCCCGGGAGGACGGGGCTTCCAGCGAGGGCCCGGGAGGACGGGGCTTCCAGCGAGGGCCCGGGAGGATGGGGCACCAGCAAGAGCCCGGGAGGGCAGGGCAGTGCTCTCAGAGCCAAGACATTCCCAGGAGGGCACCTCTGACCCCTGCTCTCACACCCCAACCATTCCTACAAATGCCTTTGCAAGTTTTACGTCAAATGAGGGGACCAGAGCCTCAAGGCTTTCGAACATTCAAACTCTCCCTTCCTTCCCTTCTCAAGAACTGGATGAGAAACCGTTTTGCCTTTTGAAGATGAATTGTAATATGTACATTCCGGAAGAAAATGTCATTTAGTGATTCTTGATGGCCACAAATGGTATTTGCAAAGGAAACTTCTCACCACCCAGTTACTTTCTGAACAGGTGTGTTCTGCACCAGGATGCACAGAATTTGTCCCAGCTTCTGCACAGGAAAGGTTTAGAGGAAGCACTCGGGACAGACACTCTGTGCCAGAGCGTGGGACAAGCACAGCTCTCCCCAGTGGCCTAGGAGGCATCAGGAGCATTCAGGCAGGTGACAAAGACTCAGAGCGAAGCAAGTGACACAGAGGGAGCCCGGGCTCGTGCAGCGGGAGGCCTCAGCTCCTGAGTCGGGCTGTGCTGCATGCTCGCCTAGCTGTAGGTCTGTTCATCTGCAAGGAGCATGTGCCTCAGCCTTGCAAAGCAGGCAAGTCCACCCTGTGGGACAAAGCTGCCCCTTCAGGCTGTGGGCAGGAGGGGACCAGGACTGTGCCCGGAGAGCCCTCAGGTGTCCCAGAAAACAGCTGGTACCAGGTTAGGGGGTTAAGACAGAATGCCCAGGAAGAGGGAGGGTGTGAGGAAGTGTGAGAAGCGGATGACTGTGCCGTGCTGCTCTTGACACATGGGCGGGTGTATTAACAGAGTGTGAGGGAATGCATTCGAGGTGCTCACTGAGGGCAAAGAGAAGCAGCAAGTCAGAAGGGGGTCCCAGCAAGTGGGTGCTGGATGGGCGAGTGTGCTTCCAAAACCCTTAGTTACAGCTTGTGGGGCAGAGGGGTTTAAAAATGTCCTTCAAAGTCCCAAATTCCCCTAAGCTAGAAAAAGCATCAGGAGTATAAATAAACACACTCATTTCACAGACACGATATTTACAAAACGGGGGGCACCCCAAGACACATACTGCATCAAGTTGCTGAATTTCCTATGGCAAGAATTTCCCGATTTTTCAAAAAGCACCAGAGAGCTTCAGAGATTTCACACTTCCTCACAGTGCAAAATGAACCGCAAAGAAATGCACTTCCTCTGAGCCAGCGAAGACTGGGGTGGCTGCAGCTGGCAGTGCCCACGCGTTTCTCTGGTCAAGAGAATGCGCCTCTAACCACTTTCTGAGATCACAGAACCCGGGGGCCTCAGGGGGGCTCTGCGGTCACCAGAGTCACACGCTCGTCCTGCAGAGGAAACACACCCTGGCCTTGGAACCCCACGTTATCGTGGAAGATGCAACCAAAAATAGCTCTTTGGGGAAAAAAAGAATACTTGCACACATTGCAAATCCATATTCTCTTCATGATGTGAAACATCTGGTATAAGCAAACTATTTGGGCATTCTTGTTACATTTCAACGTATCAAAGAAAAGCACAGCAGGGACAAGCCAAGGGTTCAAGAAACATTTTGTAAAACAAAACCCAAAACACTGTGCTGGTGCTGTTTAACAACCAAATATTCAGTGAATCAGCGTGCGGTGCACAGGTGTACAGATGAGTGAGCGGTCAACACTGCAGGCCACTAACCCCACGCGGCCACAGCCAGGGAGCGCCCTGGCCCACACCCTCAGGCAGGATACAGTGCGCGGTGCACGCCCAGGGAGTCTTCCTGAGCAGCCCCACTGGCCTCTCCTACTGCGGAAGAGGGCACCGAGCCCTCACTGAGTCCTCTGCCCTCTACCCACAGGTATGGATGCTGCCTCGCTTGTCAACTTTCACATCAACGAGGAGTGCCAGCTCAGCTGTCAGAGTCTCCATTTGTTTATAAATAATGAATTCGTAGGTAAATTTATTATGTTATGTAACCATGAATTTACAACTAACACCCATATGGGGCTGGCCTGCCTGTGAATCACCATTGCCTTCATTGTCCTCACACATCACTACAGGCGGTCAGTGGCTATCAGTCCTGCAATATTCACCATCAACAGATGCAGACCGAACTGAGTACGTCTCAGGGCCTGGGTGTCCAATGCTCGGGGCCTCCTGAACGACATGGGCCTTCGTTCGCCCGTGTGGTCATCCACATCTTCGGCATCTGCCACTGCCAACCCCTGTCCTGGGCATACAACAGAGAAGGAGGGGGACAGAACCCAGCAACACACGAGTTAAGCACTAGGAGAGAACGAGCAGCAGAGGGGGTGGTGTCAGGGCAGAGGGGCAGAGGCTGTGATGTTAAAAGTGAGGCTGGGGAAGGCCTCCTGAGGGGTGAAGACAAGAGACCCAGCAGGAGGGCATGGCCTTCAAAAGCTACAGGTGTGCTGAGCCTCGGATGCCGCCCCCAGCAAGGCCCACGTGGCATCACTGCCTGGCGCTGCCATATTCAGGCCCCACCAGGCTGGCTCATCCGGTCCCCACGGCCACCGCTGCCCACTCCTCTGTGCCCTTGACCACGCACTGCAGCTCAGACCCGTGTCTGTGGGGCAGGGTGGTCATGATGGGCGGTGAGGAAGGTGTTGGTTATTCTTATATTTCTCTTTGCAAAAGGCCCAGCTGCCCAAAATGACAAGTGCTCCTAAAAGACGTGACTTGCCTCACAAACATACAAATGCACACGATGCTGTCCCACATCTGGCTACGCTGAGGGCCCACCACGTGCCCACGAACTCCCGTTCTCCCCCTGCCTCCCTGGGCACTTGCTCTTCCCCCCAGCTCCTCCAGGGTGGGAGCAGCTGGGGATCTGCGGCGACCCCCCAGGGACTCACTTTAGAGCTCATATAAACACCCTGCAACTTCTCCATTTTAGTTTTCCTTGTTCCTCCTGCTTATGCTTTGAGATGATATCAAACTTACAGAAAAGCTATAAGAATCATATAAAGCACCCAGATACCCCTTGTCCACAGATGCCACTGAGTTTCACCAGTGTCCCAATAACATCCTTTCAGCCAAGGTGGTGCTGGACTGCGGCAGCAGCCATCGCCACACTGCCTTAGTCCCTGCCACCTCTCCATCCCTTCCAGTAACTCCTTGGCTTTCATGGCCTGCTGGGTTTTTTGGAGATTACAGGTGAGTTATTTTGCAGACTGCCCTTCAATTTGGGTCTGTCTGGTGTTTCCTCGTGATTAGACCGAAGTTATGCACCTCCAGCCGAGTATCAGCAAAGCAATGCTGTGCTCCACCCACTCATCCTGTTGCGGGGTGCACAATGCCGGCTTATTCCACTATTGGCGGGTAAGATCGATCACTTAGGACAGTGAATGCTGGGCTTTTCGGCTTCATAATTAATAGATATTTTGTTCAAGACTACAAAAATCCTGTCTCATCCCATTTTCACCACCAATTTTAGCACCAATTGATATTTCTTGCCTGAATTATGACTGTAGTGGTTACCAAATTTGATTTGTAATTCACCTTTTCTTTCTATAGTCATCTCTCTTCTTATAGCCATTAATTAGCCTGTTGTGAGGAAAAACTTATTTACTTATTCATTCATTTATATAAATGTGACCCTATAAAATCATATTTTATTCACTGGGGTATAGCCCATTACTATCATTATTCATTTTAATGCTGAAATTGTCCCAGACTTGGCCAGCGGGAGCCCCTTCAAGACGGCTTCTGTGTCCTGTGACACGTCTTCATCCCTGGTGACCACTGCCTTGCTTTCTGGCATGAGGTAAGTACAAAGTACCTTGTACTTTGTCTGCTCCAGCTCTTGAAAGAGCCCCAAAAGCCCTAGTCCTTTTAATGGCAGGAAGCATTTAGAAACCAACATCTGAATGTTAGGTGTGATTGCTGCTGCTAGGGTGTCACTGTTCCGAGGCTCTCTCAGTGGACAGTGTGTGTGTGGGGCAGGGGGTGGGGGGGGAAGGTGAGTGTACACACATTTTACGTACATATTCATGTCTCTCTTTATATATTGAAAACCATGAGCTCACACCAATACCTCCAATTCCAATTCAACATCCCAGGATTCAATATAATGGAATTATTTTTTTCTTTACTATTTGGTAGAAATTGCTTTGAAGCTATCTGAGCCTAGATTTTCTCTGTGTGAAGATGTTAAACAAATCAATTTCTTTAATGGTCCTACGACATTCAGGTTTTCTATTTCTTCTTGAGTCAGTTTTAATAAGTTATATTTTCTAGGAATTTTTTCATTTATGTTTTCAAACTTCAAATTTATTGGCATTAATTTGTTCATAATAGCTCCTCTTTATATTCCTAATACTGCTTATTCTTTTCTCCTTGATCAGTTTCACCAGATCTTTGTAAAGTTTATCATTTTAAAAGAACTCTGTTGTATGTTTCTTTTCTATTTCATCAATATCTTCTATTATTTTCTTTGACTCTCTTATTTTACTGTTCTTTATCAGAACTACTTAATTAAATGCTTAGCTCATTAATATTTAGCCTTCTTTTATACATAAACACTTAAGATTATTTATTTCTAAGTGTTTCTTTGGCTACATCCCACACATTTTAAATATTTCTAAATTACATCTTCTTTTCTTCTTTGACCTATGCGTTATATACAAGTGTGTTTATTTATTTCCAACTATACGGGTTTTCAAGTTATCTTGTTATTATCGATTTCTAGTTTATTTGCATTGAGGTCCCACCTCATTATTCTTCAATATTTTATCTTTTGAAATTTACTGAGACTTGCTTTATTGGCCAGTAAGTTTTCCATATATTTACCAGTTCCATGCGGGCTTTGAAAATACGTGAATTCTGTAGTTTGGGGGTATACTGCTTTATGTATGTCCACTAAATTAACCTTTTTTTTTTCTTTGCATTGTTCAAATGTTCTATAACCTTTACTGGCTTTTATTTACTTCTTCTATAAAATACTGAGTTACAGTATTTAAAATATTTCTCTCTGATGATGAATTTATATATTCTTCCTTATAGTTCTGTCAATATTTGCTTTACAGATTTTGAAATTATGTTATGGAAAGAATAAAATTCAAAATTATATTATCTGCTTGATGAAATGAATTGTTTAATCATTACATAGTGATTCTCTCTATCTCCAGTGATGCTTTTTACCCCAAAATCAATTTTTTTACATTAATATAGATTCATCATATTTCCTTCAGTTATATTTCCCCAGTATACCCTTTCCCATCCTTTTACTTTCATCCTTTCTGTACCCTTAGAGTGTAGATGTGTTTTCTGTAAACAGCATATAGTAATCCACTTTAATAATCTTTATCTTTTAGTTGTTATGTTTATTCCATTTATGTTTATTGTAGTTACTGATATATTTGGACTTTTGTTCCACCTCTTTTGTGTTTCTTTTTTCCTTTCCCTTTCTAGTCTTTTCCTTTTGATTGATTATATTTTCTCATTCTTTTTTCTTTCCATTAGTTTGAAATTTCAACCCCATTTCTACGGTTGATGATTATCCTGAAAATTTTATTACAAATTAGATAACCATCCTCCAAAGTTAACACAAGAATCTTAGAACTTTTTAACTCATCACCCTCTTCAAATTTGTATCATATTATGACTATATACTTATTTCTCTTTTTAAAATTCTTATATCACCATTATTATTTTACACAAGGTGTTTGATTTGATTTGATTTACCCATATAGTCACCACCTTCTTGTTTTTCATTCCCCCTTGCATCTCAAATCTTCCACCTGGAATTCTCTTCCTTCTGCGTGAAGTATATGTTTAATATTCTCCTTTAATAAAGTTATCTCTGGGTTCTCAGCTTCACTTAGTTTTTGGTCTCTGATTATTCCTTAATTTCCTACCAGCCCACAAATGTATTTTTAAAGGCTTAAAATATTTTTTCTTGAAGTTTTGGCTGTTATCAGTAGAAGGATGCCTCAGTTACATATTGAAAATGGAAGAGACTGCATTAAGTAGCCAATATTCTCCCACTAGACTCTAAATACCAAGAAGCAAAGACCATAGCAGCTCTTTTTTTACTTGCATTAGAACAGGATGTTAATATGGAGCTTTTCCAGTCTGAATTTTAGCTGAGGCCCCAAGACAAGAAGTGCCAATTGTTCCCATGTGAAATTCTGGGTGATCTAGGTAGAGGAGGTGTTGAAGATGAGAGAAGCTCAAGTTTGACAGGAGGGCTTCCTTGGGAGAGGGGGGCAGTGCTCTCAGTCTGTCCCCACCCAACCTGTACCATGAGAGGGATGGGCAGCTTTCTCCTTACTTCATTCCAAGAGGGGTTTCACGAGGCCTGCAAGTGCCTACTGTGTGCCTTCTGAGGCTGGTGGTGGGCAGAGACCTGGTATCCCTCTTACACTCAAGAAATCTAAAGGGCAAAAGTTGACTCCTGGAGCTCCCAGTAGGCAACTAGGCTGCATGTGGAAATAACCCTAACCCAGTGGATCAAAGGTGCACATTTCCTGTGGACCAGGTGGGGTCATAGTGCCTGAACACTGGCCTGGGATGTCTTAAATCCTGCCCAGAAGGGTTCCTGGAGATGTGAGGGCAGACCTTGGCAAGAGGCTAGAGGTACCACGGCCACCTAGGGCTAAGGAAGTGAGTGTAAGGGACCAGCTGGAGAGGATACACCTCCTGAGTTGGCCAGTTGTGGCAGAGACACCCCAGGGTAGTGTGGTCACTTAGGAGACCATGAGAATGCCCCCAGAGCCCTCTGGATTTCCTGCCAGCCTCATGTGCCAGCTCTCTGCCATGCCAGCCATACAGAACCTCTCCTGTCCTTACCTCTTATCCCTCTTGTTCCTCCCACTGGAGGGTTGGAAGCCATAGCTACCAGCTGGGCAGAACCCAGGGGGCAGCAGCCAGCCTGACACCCAGCCTCCCACCTGCCACAGCACCAGGTGAGGTTGGGAAGAGGTTCACATGCGGAAGACATGTAGAGTTTTAACTGTTTTGCTGGACCTATACTAATCAACAAGCCCAGCCTGTGTGGGGCCACATTAGTGGAAGACACTGAATTACCTAGAAGGGACCAGAAAAGTCCTGGGATTATCCCAGTTTCTTCCAGGCACAGAAGGAGAATCAGTCCACAAAGGAGGTTTGCTGGGGCAGACATGAGAAAAATCAAAGTTGTTTTCTCTCAACCCTTGGTCAGCTTCCTTCAGGAATAAACTCAAGCACCAGGAATGAGTGAGTAAATGAGTGAATGAGCCCCTGCTCTTCTTGGCCAGATTCATCTTTTGGAAGCAGTTAAAAGAGGTAGGAAAAGTAAAATCAGCTCCTAAAATAATCAAGAGTGATCTTGCCATACAACTACAACAGTACTTGGGAAACCATTCCTGAGGACCTCAGGGTCTGAGACAGGAGTGGCCTTACAGCATCAGGGCAGGACCAACTCTCATCCTATCCTGGCTCTCAAGTACAGAGAAATATCCTAAATTATTTTAAACTTGTGAGTCTTTGCAGGAAATGCTCCCCAAGGGGAAGCCATCTTCCAGAAGGCACCAGTGACAGAGAGGAAGGGGGTGAGGGAAAGGGTTGGAGCACAGCCTGGAGAGCTGGAAGGCACTCGACCCACATGTGCCCATGCCCACCGCAGGATGAGAAAAATCGAGTCCCAGACCTGCGGCCCTGCCATGGGGGCTTGCCTTAGCCTCTAGGGCTGCTGTAACAAAATGATTTAAACAACAGAAAGTTATTTTCTTGCAGTTCTGGAAGCTGGAAGCCCATGATCAAGGTGCCACCAAATTCAGTTTCTGGTGAGGGCTCTCTTCTTGGCTTGTGGACAGCCACCTTCTCACTGCATCTTCACATGAATTTCCTGCTGTGCTTGTGGACAGAGTGAGCCCTCCGATGTCTCTCCTTATACGTGTGCTAATCCCATCAGATCAGAGCTCTGCCCTTATGACCGCATTTAACCTTAAACTTAACTTCCTTAGAGGCCCCTTCTCCAAATACAGCCAAACTAGGGGCTAGGGCTTCAACATATGAGTTTTAGGGGACACAAACATTCAGCTTATAACATTCAATCCTTGCCTCCAAAATTTATGTCCTCACATGCAAAATACATTAACTCCATCCCAACAGCCCCAAACGTCTTAACCCATTCCAGCATCAACTCTAAAGTCTAAGCCAAAGTTTCATTTAACTACCATCTAAATCAGAAATGGGTAAGACTCAAGGTACAATTTCTCCTAAAGCAGACCTGCTCTCCAGCCAAGAACCTGTGAGACCAGACAAGCCACGTCCTTCTAAAATACAACAGTGAACAGGCATGGGATGGAACTCCCCATTGCAAAAGGCAGGACCCAGTAGGAAGAGAGGGGAGACGGGTCCCAAGCAAGTCACACGTCTAGCAAGGCAAAGCGCCTGAGACCTGGAGGCCTCAGGACAATCCTCTTTGACTCCATGCTCTGCCCAGAGGCCCGGCCTCTTTCCCAGCTCTGCAGTGGCCCCACTCTCCGAAATCCAGGAAGAGACAGCCCTGCCCTGTGCCTGTGGTGGAAGTGGCACCTGGTTACCTCTGAATCACCCCCAGGCACACTCTCCCCTTTCTGGAAAGATGAAACATGCCAGCCACTGGCAAGCACTACCTCCCGTCCTGTTCTCCTTAGGCCAAGCTGATAGTGTCTCTGCGGGCGTGGTGCCATCCCACTCCTGGCCTCTGCTGAGGAGGCTTCCCGGCTGGGCTCCTGGCTCACACCCAGTCTCCCTATCCAATGGCTGTTTCACCACGTGCAAGTCCGTCCAGAACACTTTCTCTGTTTCTTGAGATGGAGTCTTGCTCTGTCGCCCAGGCTGGAGTGCAGTGGCAAGATCTCGGCTCACTGCAACCTCGGGTTCAAGCAATTCTCTGCCTCAGCCTCCCAAGTAGCTGTGATTACAGACGCCCACCACCATGCCTGGCTAATTTTTATATTTTTAGTAGAGATGGGGTTTCACCATCTTGGCCAGGCTGGTCTTGAACTCCTGACCTTGTGATCACCCGCCTCAGCCTCCCAAAGTGCTGGTATTACAGGTGTGCGCCACCGTACCCGGCCCACCTTCTCATTTTTTGCAATGTGGATAGGCTGAGAATTTTCCAAACCTTCAAGTTCTGGTTCCTTTTCTTTTGGCAATTCCTTCCATGTATCTCTCTCCTCTGACGTTTCACTATAAGCAGTAAGGAGAAGCAAGGGTTTCAACACTTTGCTTAGAAATCTCACCAGCAAAACACCCCATTTCATCACTTGCAAGTTCCACTTTCCACAAAATGCTAGAATTCAGTCCAGCCAAGTCCTTGCCACTTTATAACAAGAATCACTTTCCTCGCGTTCCACGGGCACATTCCTCACCAGAATCTGCCTTAATGCTCACATTTCTATCAGTGTTCTGTTCATGGGGTACGTGTGTTCTCTACGACCACAGCTCTCCCTACAATGCTCTCCTCTCTGAGCCCTCACCAACAACACCTTTAACACCCATAGTTCTACCAACAACTGCTTCACAGCCATCAGGGCTCTTTCTAGCACACACCTCAAAACTCGTCCAGCCTCCACCCACCAGCCAGCTGCAAGTCACTTCCACATTCTTAGGTATGTGGCATGTAGTGCAGGGCACCCCACTTCTCTGCCTGGGCTGCTTATAATAAACACCCCCGTCCGGGGGCTTAAACAACAGGAATGGGCTTTCCCACATTTCTGGAGCTAAAAGCCCGTCATCAGGGTGCAGCTGATTTGGCTCTGGTGAGGGCTCTCTTTCCAGCCTGCAGACAGCTGCCTTCCCCCTGTGTTCTCTCACAGCCTTTCTTTGGGGGGTGTTCAGCACAGAGAGGGACAGAGGGTTCTTTTGGGTCTCCTTTTTAAGGACACTGGTCCTATCAGTTCAGGCCACCCCCCACCCCCACTTATGAAGTTGTTTAACCTTAATTTCTTCCTAAGCGGACCCACCTACAAATACGGCCACACTGGGAATTAGGGTTTCACTATATGAATAGGTGAAGGGATGAGACAAACATCCAGTCCATAAAAAGATCATCAAGGAAAAGGTAAATCTTCAGTGAAAGCTGAAAATCAGCATGATTTACCTTAATAAAGTATAACTTCAGGCCTGGGTTTACACAATCACTCGTAATCTCAAGGAGCATGGAACTTTTGACCTGCTAGCAAGTGTGGGATTCCAGAGTTCAAGAACCCAGGACACCTCGTGGCGCTGTGGGGCCTCTGTTCTTGCCCACCTAGGGTGGGGTGAAGCGGATGTGCCCGTTCAGCCCGGGTGGGCTTCAGAGCCAGGACTGACCCCAGGAGGGGCTCCAGGATGGACACAGGTGTGTGTTCAGGCCCCACAGTGGAGCACGGTGGATGCAAAGGAACAAGAGGACTCCGATGCTGCTGCGGGTGATGAGTGAAGGGAGCAGGGAGCAGCATCATCCTGACAGGAAAATCCCCAGGCTTTCAGAGTGAGGCTGTGCCACCTTCTCTCCTCCCTACTTTGTTTTTGGTACTAATCTACTCCACACTTCTCTACACAGCAACAAGAACACACACCTCTGTGCCCCGTCAGCACTCCGGCCCTACGCATAGAGGTGGACACAGCCACATGCCAGGCCTGGGTGGACTCCGTGACTGACGGCCTCCACTCGCGGGCGCTCTTCCTCAGTCGCTGACTGCCCGGGTGGACTCCGTGACTGAGGGCCTCCCCTCGCGGGCGCTCTTCCCCAGTCGCTGACTGCCCGGGTGGACTCCGTGACTGAGGGCCTCCACTCGCGGGCGCTCTTCCTCAGTCGCTGACTGCCCGGGTGGACTCCGTGACTGAGGGCCTCCACTCCCGGGCGCTCTTCCTCAGTCGCTGACTGCCCGGGTGGACTCCGTGACTGAGGGCCTCCACTCGCGGGCGCTCTTCCTCAGTCGCTGACTGCCCGGGTGGACTCCGTGACTGAGGGCCTCCACTCGCGGGCGCTCTTCCTCAGTCGCTGACTGCCCGGGTGGACTCCGTGACTGACGGCCTCCACTCGCGGGCGCTCTTCCTCAGTCGCTGACTGCCCGGGTGGACTCCGTGACTGAGGGCCTCCACTCGCGGGCGCTCTTCCCCAGTCGCTGACTGCCCGGGTGGACTCCGTGACTGAGGGCCTCCACTCCCGGGCGCTCTTCCCCAGTCGCTGACTGCCCGGGTGGACTCCGTGACTGAGGGCCTCCACTCCCGGGCGCTCTTCCCCAGTCGCTGACTGCCCGGGTGGACTCCGTGACTGAGGGCCTCCACTCGCGGGCGCTCTTCCTCAGTCGCTGACTGCCCGGGTGGACTCCGTGACTGAGGGCCTCCACTCGCGGGCGCTCTTCCTCAGTCGCTGACTGCCCGGGTGGACTCCGTGACTGAGGGCCTCCACTTGCGGGCGCTCTTCCTCAGTCGCTGACTGCCCGGGTGGACTCCGTGACTGACGGCCTCCACTCCCGGGCGCTCTTCCTCAGTCGCTGACTGCCCGGGTGGACTCCGTGACTGAGGGCCTCCACTCGCGGGCGCTCTTCCTCAGTCGCTGACTGCCCGGGTGGACTCCGTGACTGAGGGCCTCCACTCCCGGGCGCTCTTCCCCAGTCGCTGACTGCCCGGGTGGACTCCGTGTCTGAGGGCCTCCACTCGCGGGCGCTCTTCCCCAGTCGCTGACTGCCCGGGTGGACTCCGTGACTGAGGGCCTCCACTCCCGGGCGCTCTTCCTCAGTCGCTGACTGCCCGGGTGGACTCCGTGACTGAGGGCCTCCACTCGCGGGCGCTCTTCCTCAGTCGCTGACTGCCCGGGTGGACTCCGTGACTGACGGCCTCCACTCGCGGGCGCTCTTCCTCAGTCGCTGACTGCCCGGGTGGACTCCGTGACTGAGGGCCTCCACTCGCGGGCGCTCTTCCCCAGTCGCTGACTGCCCGGGTGGACTCCGTGACTGAGGGCCTCCACTCGCGGGCGCTCTTCCTCAGTCGCTGACTGCCCGGGTGGACTCCGTGACTGAGGGCCTCCACTCCCGGGCGCTCTTCCCCAGTCGCTGACTGCCCGGGTGGACTCCGTGTCTGAGGGCCTCCACTCGCGGGCGCTCTTCCCCAGTCGCTGACTGCCCGGGTGGACTCCGTGACTGAGGGCCTCCACTCCCGGGCGCTCTTCCTCAGTCGCTGACTGCCCGGGTGGACTCCGTGACTGAGGGCCTCCACTCGCGGGCGCTCTTCCTCAGTCGCTGACTGCCCGGGTGGACTCCGTGACTGACGGCCTCCACTCGCGGGCGCTCTTCCTCAGTCGCTGACTGCCCGGGTGGACTCCGTGACTGAGGGCCTCCACTCGCGGGCGCTCTTCCCCAGTCGCTGACTGCCCGGGTGGACTCCGTGACTGAGGGCCTCCACTCGCGGGCGCTCTTCCTCAGTCGCTGACTGCCCGGGTGGACTCCGTGACTGAGGGCCTCCACTCCCGGGCGCTCTTCCCCAGTCGCTGACTGCCCGGGTGGACTCCGTGTCTGAGGGCCTCCACTCGCGGGCGCTCTTCCCCAGTCGCTGACTGCCCGGGTGGACTCCGTGACTGAGGGCCTCCACTCCCGGGCGCTCTTCCTCAGTCGCTGACTGCCCGGGTGGACTCCGTGACTGAGGGCCTCCACTCGCGGGCGCTCTTCCTCAGTCGCTGACTGCCCGGGTGGACTCCGTGACTGAGGGCCTCCACTCGCGGGCGCTCTTCCTCAGTCGCTGACTGCCCGGGTGGACTCCGTGACTGAGGGCCTCCACTCGCGGGCGCTCTTCCTCAGTCGCTGACTGCCCGGGTGGACTCCGTGACTGAGGGCCTCCACTCCCGGGCGCTCTTCCTCAGTCGCTGACTGCCCGGGTGGACTCCGTGACTGAGGGCCTCCACTCGCGGGCGCTCTTCCTCAGTCGCTGACTGCCCGGGTGGACTCCGTGACTGAGGGCCTCCACTCCCGGGCGCTCTTCCTCAGTCGCTGACTGCCCGGGTGGACTCCGTGACTGAGGGCCTCCACTCGCGGGCGCTCTTCCTCAGTCGCTGACTGCCCGGGTGGACTCCGTGACTGAGGGCCTCCACTCCCGGGCGCTCTTCCTCAGTCGCTGACTGCCCGGGTGGACTCCGTGACTGAGGGCCTCCACTCGCGGGCGCTCTTCCTCAGTCGCTGACTGCCCGGGTGGACTCCGTGACTGAGGGCCTCCACTCCCGGGCGCTCTTCCTCAGTCGCTGACTGCCCGGGTGGACTCCGTGACTGAGGGCCTCCACTCCCGGGCGCTCTTCCTCAGTCGCTGACTGCCCGGGTGGACTCCGTGACTGAGGGCCTCCACTCCCGGGCGCTCTTCCTCAGTCGCTGACTGCCCGGGTGGACTCCGTGACTGAGGGCCTCCACTCGCGGGCGCTCTTCCTCAGTCGCTGACTGCCCGGGTGGACTCCGTGTCTGAGGGCCTCCACTCGCGGGCGCTCTTCCTCAGTCGCTGACTGCCCGGGTGGACTCCGTGACTGAGGGCCTCCACTCCCGGGCGCTCTTCCTCAGTCGCTGACTGCCCGGGTGGACTCCGTGACTGAGGGCCTCCACTCGCGGGCGCTCTTCCTCAGTCGCTGACTGCAGGGGTCCTGGCAAACACAGGCACCCCCAAGGAGTTCTGGGAGGGTGGCCTGACCCACAACTGGGCTTCAGCAACAGAGCCGGGGCTTCTGGACCCTTCCTGGTCAGTGTTAGGGTCCCACGTCCCAGGCTGTGACCAGGGTTCAGCCTAGAAGGGGCCCAGCTCCCCTCCATGCCCCGCAGCAGGAGGGCAGAGAGCTCTCTCAAGGCAGCAGCAGACTGTCTCCTCCTCACCACCTCCTTCCCTCTTATTTTGTGCCTGACTTCCCCTGGTGTGAATAGTAAAATCACCAAGAGTGGAAAATCCCGACCTTAACAGTCACATTAACATTAAACATCACAAGCAAATGCTCAGGCCATCATCACCCTGGTTCATGTCCTTCCCAAAGGCAACTTTTTATGGCAGCCGTAATGAAATTAGCTTACCCATCTCTAAGTCAAGAGGCATAGTTTAAGATCTAACTTTTATAGCTTGACTTGTTTCTAATTATACGTGGAAATGACTTCAGAAAAGTTTTTAGAATTTCCTCTAAAATGTACAGCCTGAAGGGGATCACAAAATTCACAATCCTTGGTAGAAAAATCAGGAAGTTTATTCCTGAAAGCTGCAGCACTCTCGTAAGCCGGTGGCCCCTGAGAGTCACTGCAGCTGCGGCAGAGGTGGGCACCTCCCAGCAGGGCAGCAGGAGGCACGCAGGGTGCCCCTGCACAGGATGGCCATCCAGTGCCATTGCCCCGGCTTGGGGCAGGCAGCAGGATGGGAAGCTCACTCGCTGGCAGTTTAAGAAGAGCCAGGTGTCCAAACTTGCTGGAAACACCAGAATCGAAGACTTTCTGAGGCCGTCAAGCCCTGGCCTGGCTGGACACAGTGGGACCTGTGCGGAGAGGAAATGACCTGGCCTCTCCTCCAACCTCCCAGCGAGAGGGTGAGGCTGTGCGGTGTCGGTGGGAGGAAGCCGATGTGACAGGTCTTCAGCTCGGGACAAAGCCTCCCTGCCGGCTGCCCCAGCCCTTCCTGCGCTGTCCAGACACGGGGACTGCCCTCTGCCATTGGCGCTGCTGAGCCGCACTGCGCCATCCATGAAAGGCGTGTCCCAGAAGGCAAACCTGGGAGCCTGCCCTCAATTCCATGCTGGTGCCCATGCCCAGGTGCATGCAGGGTGGTGCCCACTCCACCACACCAGACCACACCAACTGCACCACATCTTAACCCTCCTGGAAAAGCTGCCATCCTGCACATACGGCAAACCCCAGGTCTCTCAGGTAAACTGAGTCCAACACCACCCAGCAGCCCTGGGCACCAGGAGGCCCAGGCTGGGAACAGAGATAAATATAAAATTAATAGTTTTCAACATAAAATTAGAAAACCTGGAATGTAAAACTAAAACTTGCTGTGACCTCACCACTCAGATAAGCTCTGTTAACATTTTGTGGGATTTGATTTCCATGGAGGCTGCGGCCAGCCGGGACCCGGGGAAGACCCTCAGTGTGGGGCCGGCACTGGCAGGACACGGCGCGTGATGCTGGGCATCACCGTGACTTTCCTTCCCGCAGCCCATGGGCCACGTCCTTCCCTGGGGGTGTCTGAGGGTGCGCAGAGGTCTGCAGGGGCCCAGGCACTGACAGCCTCTTGCACCCTGAGACAGACGCCCCCCGCCCAGGGGAGGCCCCCACCCTGACTCAAACTCAGGAGTGCAGGCACCGGGCACAACTGCCACATGCTGCTGGTCACGGGGTTTTTAATTCTAAAAGTGCTGCAATCAAACCACGTGCAGGCACGTCACCCAACACAGAAGCTGAAAGCAGCTTCTCTCCCACCCTCCCGCAACAGCAAAGGCCCCACGGTCTACACCTGCGAGTTCTCTGGAGCGATCCCAGCTCCCAGGGCAGCAATAACCTGAAATCTAAGGAAACGCCATGCTTCCAAGGACAGACAGGGCACAGGCCTGGGGAGGCCCCACCTGAGATGCAGGAGCCCCAGAAGCCCCTCCCCACGAGAGGGCAGCCCCAGCAGCTGTGTCCGGGCACGGCCTGGCGTGGGCAGGGGGAGGCGCCCGGCACCCCAGGGCAGCCCCCGGGTCCCACCTAGTCAGCTGCCTCAGCCTCCTGACCATGCCCAGCCCTGCTCATCCACAAAGCCGATCCCTCATTCCCTGGAGCCGGGGTCTGTGGGGAAGCCCCAGTGAGGCCCAGCACGGGGAGGAACAGCCCCAGCCCCTCCCTCAGCAGCTGCGCAGCTTCAGCAAACCCAGGACCCCAGGCGCAAACTGGCCCATCCCAGCAAACTGAGGTGAGGCCCCCACCCTGAGAGTGTCGAGGACAGCTAGGGCCAGACCTGGCCCCAGGGAAAATCCACAGCCCAGCCAGCTCCCATCCAGGGGCCAAGTCTCCAGGTTCTGGGGGCAGCGTGGGGGAAGAAGGGAGTGCACATGGTGCAACCCACCAGACACACTTCACCTGGCCACAAGGCCCCAGATGGACTCAGGGGAGACACAGCCTGACTCAAGTGAACAGGTGGGAGCAGGTGAGAGTCCTACCTTGGAAGAAGCTCTTCACCCGGAGGTAACTGACACTGAGGCGCAGGACAGAAAGCTTGTCCAGCTTGGAGATGATGTCAGGCGGGAACGGCAGCAGGCTGGCCAGGTGGTCCAACTCGGCGTTGAGGCGGTCCCGGTGTCGCTTGGAGGGGTTGGACTTCTCTGCCCCCACGGCGGGCCTCCTGTGGGGAGATGGTCTGGGTCAGGTGGGCTTCTCCACCAGAAGCCACAGGCCCCCTGGGGCGGAAACCGTCCTCTGCAGTGACCTTACTAGGAGCATCTACGCTGCTGCCAGGACAAAAGACGGGAAGAGGACTAAAGCTCACCCATGCCTCAAGACATAGACACTAAAAACCACAGCGCACAACAGCCAAGCACAGCTCAGTATCTGGAGGGGATGTAGAGAGAAGAAGCAAACCAGCCGGAGAACCGCAGCTCAGAGCACGGAGACAGGGCACGGCCCCCAGCTGCGGGACAGGCACATTTCTCCACCTCTCCACTACGGATCCCTGAGGAGGGAGGAGGACGCCTGGCCCCAGGCTGGCGGGGCAGGAGTGAGCATAGAAAATGCCACATTCATTCAGCATCCTTAGGGGACTCCTCGGTGTCTAAACAAAACCTAACACATTCCAGGAAACATGAAAAGGTCCTCCTGGCATCAGCCGGGCCGTGCCCAAGGCCGCTCCGAGCTTGGTTTCTCCTGTACATGCTGGGGCTGAGGGGAGAGTACCCAGGGCAAATGAGACCAGGTGCCTGCCACTCTGGGGCCCCACAAAGGGGCAGTGAGGGCCATCACCCAATTCTCCTAATAAGCCAGAGCAGGCCTGCTCTACCCACAAAAAGGGGCCACCTGTGGGGCTTCCACACCACAGAGCCCAGAGAGGGAGGGAGCTGACCCCTCTCACCCAACCTACCTTAAAATGACAGGAGCTTGGCGTGACCCTCTCACCTCAGAGTGACCATCCCCTACAGCTGACCCATTTAACCTCAGAGTGACCGTCCCCTACGGCTGACCCATTTAACCTCACAGTGACCATCCCCTACAGCTGACCCATTTAACCTCACAGTGACCGTCCCCTACGGCTGACCCATTTAACCTCAGAGTGACCATCCCCTACGGCTGACCCATTTAACCTCACAGTGACCATCCCCTACAGCTGACCCATTTAACCTCACAGTGACCATCCCCTACAGCTGACCCATTTAACCTCACAGTGACCATCCCCTACAGCTGACCCATTTAACCTCACAGTGACCGTCCCCTACAGCTGACCTATTTAACCTCAGAGTGACCATCCCCTACAGCTGACCCATTTAAACTCAGAGTGACCATCCCCTACAGCTGACCTATTTAACCTCAGAGTGACCATCCCCTACAGCTGACCCATTTAACCTCACAGTGACCATCCCCTACAGCTGACCTATTTAACCTCAGAGTGACCATCCCCTACAGCTGACCCATTTAACCTCACAGTGACCATCCCCTACAGCTGACCCATTTAACCTCAGAGTGACCATCCCCTACAGCTGACCCATTTAACCTCACAGTGACCGTCCCCTACAGCTGACCCATTTAACCTCAGAGTGACCATCCCCTACAGCTGACCCATTTAACCTCACAGTGACCGTCCCCTACAGCTGACCTATTTAACCTCAGAGTGACCATCCCCTACGGCTAACCCATTTAACCTCACAGTGACTGTCCCCTACAGCTGACCTATTTAACCATCACTGCACTGAAGCCACTTCAACTGCCATCTCGTTCTAGATATCATTTCCACATGCAATCATGCGAAAGAAAAGATGGCAGCCAGTATGGAGTCCACTGGGAATGCATGGGGAGACTGAGCAGGGGCCAGTTACTGGCAGGACCACAGGAACGAGGCCACCTGACTTTCCACACTAACCCTTCCTGGGACCTTGGCACATACAGGAGTGAGCCTGCTGTTTCCAGGGGTTTGGGTCTCTTTTGTCAAGAAGTTCCTTATTTTTCTAAGGTGTTTGCATTTATGAGTGAGCTGACACGTGCAAGCTGTAAGTCTGAAACAATCTGTTCTGTCAGGAACTCTGCGGCACAAACTCCATTTCTCACTGTCTAACAACCTAGGCCGTAAACCAGTCACAGAGCAGCCTGACAGCGCCAAACCCAGAGCAGTTGTTTTCAGTTGAGATATAATCCACATAACATGAAACTAACTGTTTAAAAGTGAACAGTTCAATGTCACTTAGGGCCGTCGCTAAGCCGTGCAAACCTCACCTCTATTTAGTTCCAACCTTGAAGGAAACCCTTACCCATCAGCCGTCTCTCTAGATTCCCCTTCTGTTAGCCCTGGCAGCCCTCAGTCAGCTCTCAGCATGGACCCTCCTACTAAAGGCATGTGGTAGAAATGGAATCAAGACGTGGCCTTCTGTGGCCGGCTTCTTTCTCACAGCCTCGTGTTTTCAAGGTTCATCCACACTGCTGCAGCTCTCTGTGCTTCCTTCCTTTTCAGGGCTGAGTAATATTCCCGTGTATGGAGAGGCCACATTGCTTTATCCGTCTATCTGCTGATGGACGTTTGCGTTGTCTCCTCTGTTTGGCTGCCGTGAGTATCGGTGCAGTGAACACTCATCTAGAAGATTCTGTTTGAATATATACTTTCAATTCTCTTGAGCATGTACTTAGCAGTAGAGTTGCTGGGTCATATGTTAATTCTGTTTCATTTTCTGGGGCACCACCAAACTGCTTTCCATGGTGGCTGCGCTATTTTACTTTCCCATCGGCAATGTAGCAGGCCTCCAGTTTCTCCACATCCTCACCTACACTTATTATTTTCTGTTTTTTTGATTACAGCCATTCTGGTGTGTGTGAAGTGGTATTTTGTTACGGTTTTGATTTGCATTTTTCTAATGACTTATGATGTTGAGCATCTTTTCAAATGCTTGTTGTCCATTTTTATATTTTCTTTGGAGAAATGGCTATTCAAGTCTTTTGCCCAGTTTTAAATTGGGTTGTTTTTCTTTTTGTTTTTGAGTTGTGAGGATTCTTTAACTACTCTGGATACCAGGCCCTTATTGAGTACACGATTTCTATTTATTTTCTCCCATTCTTTGTCTTATCTTTGGTTACCTTTCCACTTCTTTTTTTTTTTTTTTTAATGTTGCACCCACCAAAAATTACTGAAGCTGCTAGCCAAGATGTAAATAGGCGGGAGAATTGGGGATGACCTGGACCTGCTCTCGTGTGCACTGGCATCCCCTGGCTGGAGGGGCCCACCTGTCAGTGAAGGACACCCAAGACCTCCCCAGAAAACAAGGGGAGCACCTAGTGGGCAGACAGCAGCTGGGAGAGGCCACAGAATGGGGGCGCCAGAGAGATGGGAGAGATGGCCGAAGGCAGTGGGGAGAGGACAGCCAGGAGGACACAGGCCACGGACAGGATACGAGAAGCCTAGAAGCCCTGAGGGCGTGCAGGAGAAGCTCCAGTTCACTCCAGGGCAGAGGAGACTCGCAGGAGGATTCATCAACGCCCATCAGCACAGAAACAGGTGTGGGAGGTGCACCAAGCCAGCTCAGGCGGAAAGAGACGCCCCAAAATATGCAATGCCTGTGAACAAACCTAACAAAAGACACTCAAACCAGAGCTGAGAAAAATTTAAAGACCAAATACGCAGGAAGATATACCATGTTCTTTGATTGGATGATTCAATATTGTTGATGGCAATTCTCCCCAAAACTGATCTATAGATTCAATGTAATCATATTAAAATCCCAACAGGAATTTCTACAGAAATTGACAAGCTGATTCTAAAATTTACATGGAAATGCAAAGGACCTAGAATAGCCAATTAAAGAGAAGGGCACAGCTGGGGACCTACATTACTGAGTTTAAGCCCTCTCTAAAGCTATAATATTAAAGATGATTTGGTTATTAGAGAAAACATAGAAGTATAAATGAATAGAAAAGAATGGTGTGAGTCTAGAAATAGACACACTGGTTTTCCTTGGGTCTTCATTGGACAATTTACTTCACAAAGATACTAAGGCAATTAAACAGGGAAAGGAAAATCTTTTCAATAAATTGTGTTGGATCAACCGTATATCCAAGAAAACAAACGGACACCAGCTCTACCCTCATGCAATATCCAAAAATTAACTCAAAAAAGGAGTATAGACTTCAAGGTGCTTTAAACTACTGTAAAACTTTACAAGAAAATGTGCAAAAATCAATCCTTCAGACCTTGGGGGTAGTTACAGGACTCTCAGAACACAAAAAGACAAAAAGCTCACAAGTTGGTCTTCATCAAAAGGTTTTCTTTTTTTAAAATTTTCTTTCTTCTTTTTTTTTTTTTTGAGACGGAGTCTCACTCTGTCACCCAGGCTGGAATGCAGTGGCGTGATCTTGGCTCACTGCAAGCTCTGCCTCCGGAGTTCACGCCATTCTCCTGCCTCAGCCTCCCGAGTAGCTGGGACTACAGGCGCCCGCCACCGTGCCCGGCTAATTTTTTTTTGTATTTTTAGTGGAGACGGGGTTTCACCGTGTTAGCCAGGATGGTCTCGATCTCCTGACCTTGTGGTCCTCCCGCCTCGGCCTCCCAAAGTGCTGGGATTACAGGCGTGAGCCACCGCGCCCAGCCAAAAGGTTTTCAAATGTCTTTTGAAAGTCAATATTAAGAAAATTGAAAAGATAAGCTTTAGGTTGGAAGAAAATATTCACAACAAGGGTTTATATCCAGAATATGTAAAGAACTCTTACAACTCAATAGTAAGAAAACAAGACAATAAGAACACGGGCAATTATTTAAACAGACACCACCAGACAAGATATATGGATGGTGAAGAAGCACATAAAGTTATCCTCAACACCATTAGTCACTAGGGAAATGCACATTAAAACTCTGATGAGATACCACCAACCCATGAGGATGGTCAAAACCAAGAAGGCTGAGCACACCACGCACCGGCGGGGATGCAGAGAAACTGGGATTCTCACACACAGTGTCTGGGAATGGGAAATGACACCACTGCTTTGGAAACAGTTAAACGTGCACCTGCTGTGTCACCCAGCAACTGCATGCCTAAGTATTTATCCAACAGAAATAAAAACCTACAGACTTGTACAAAAATGTTCATGGTAGCTTTATTTGTAACAGTCTAAAACAGAGAACGACCTGAACTTCCATCCACAGGTAAATAAACAGACTTGGTCTATCCATACAACAGAACATTTCGCAGCAATAAAAGAGAACAAATGGCTGGTGCTAGAAACATGGATGAATCTCAGAACTTTTATACCAAGTGCAGACAGACAAAATGCTGTGTGATTCCATTTGCACAAAATGCCAGGACAAGCAAACCATCTGCAGTGACAGGAAACAGATCGGAGGTTGCCTGGGGCAGAGCTAGAGGGAGGAATTACGAGGGGCCACAAAGAAGCTCGTGGAGTGATAGAAACGCTTCCTCTCGATTTTGGTGATAGCTTCACGGATGTACACAAATGTCAAAATGGACCCGCTGCACACCTTAAACGTGCAGTTCAGCTGAAATACGTATACTTCAATTATACTCAATAAACATCAAAATGCAAAAAAAAAAAAAAGGAGGGGGGGAATCCCTGTGGCTTCCACAGTGTCATGAGCTGAAGGCACTGTCCCTGCTGAGGACTCCGGGGAATCCCAGAAGACAAGGAGCATCAAACAGGCTCCTGGTGGCACAGGGCATTCACTCCTGGGAGAGCACTGTGGATTCAGGATCACCCATGTCATCCAAAGGATACCGAGGCTGGGTGGGAGTCAAGGGCACTGCCAAGGGGAGGGCTGTCCCAGCCGGCCGCCCGGCTTCCCCCACATCAGCTGCCCCCTGCACTCAGTGCTTGTGGGGGCCTCTCAGGGGCAGGTTCTAGACCAACTCCACCTCCGATGGCATGCTCCACAGCCTTTACCAGCCACCCCTTCCAGACAAAATTTAGGGCACACACAGACCCATCCCCCATCACCACAGAGGAGCTGGGCAGACCAGAGCACTGGACACGGCCCTCAGGTGCATCAAGGGCCACAGCTGGGATGGCCAGAGCGGAGGGGGCCCCCACCGCAGGAGAGGGTGCAGGATGGGCACCCAGACTCAACATCAAAACAGTGTTTTGGCCTCCAGTTTCCCAGAGTGGGTCCCTAGAGGGGTTCCCAGGACCCCTGCACGTGCCAGCAGCCCCTCCATGGAGAAAGACACGGCAGCCTTCACAGATGCCCATGCTTGGACACACCAGCCTCCATCACCTTGCCTACTGTATGTGTGCAGTGGGGGTGTGTGTCTGAGTTGGAAAACATTTCACGACTATTCAAGTCATTCACTGTCTTTCATTGCCCCTCAAATCACAACTGGTTTTCTTTTTTCCCTCTTTTTTCCTCTTTCTTCCCCAAGTGCTTAAAAGTTTTAAACATAAATACATATATTTTAAGGAATGTATTCGAAGAACTAATGGGAATATTCTCCTATAAACTTGAAGTAAGGGAGATCTTCCTAATCGTGATGTAAAATTAGCCACAAAAGTAAAGATCGACAAATTCAACTCATACAAATTTAATTTTTTCTGCATGGCAAAGAACACTATATGTAAAATCAAAACTGGGGTAAAGTATTTGAAACCCATTCAAAAATTAATTTCCCTAGTTTCCAAGTTCTTACAAATCAAGAGGCACAAAACATAAACAATCTACTAGAAAAATGAGCAAAAGGCGTAAACACGGTTCACAGAAAAGGAAATGCAAATCGCTCTTAAACCTCACTTATGATACAAGAATGCAAATTAAAATCACCAATATCTGAAATACACTATGTGCTGGGGCGTGGGGAGGAGGAACTGATGAGGGACTCTAACCCTAATGCTGGGAGGTTTGGGAACAACTATTGAAATTACAAACGCCCGTGCTTTGGCTGAGCAATTCCACATCTAGGTTTTCATCCTCCCAATACACGAGTGTGGGGGATTTGATTTTAACTCTTGCAAGCTAACAACTCGTTCCTGTTTCGTGGACCCTGGAAGAAGACATGAGACCCCGGAGGCGGAGACAAAGGGCTTACTACTCACGGCACAGCAAGCTACGTGAGCTTCCGCGTGTTCATCATTCACCCAGGTCCCCAGGTCCCGCGGGGGGATGTGGAAGCATCCTGGCTGATGCTGCATCTGCAGTGGGTTCTTGTAGCAGCAGAGGAAGACAGAGCTTTATACAGGGTGAGGCTGAGGTCTGCAGGTGAAGGGCCGCCGTCCCTGGGGGCCAAGGATGAAGCCGGGTGCACGTAGGGGGCCAGGAAGGGTTGAGACACTTCCATAGCTGGGTCCCCCGGGGGTGGGCGACGGAATGTGCTCCTGAGCCTGTGCACTTGAGAGATTTGGGTAGCAGACGTATTTGTCACATTAAATAAGGAGAGGAAATAGCTTTGTCACACAGCTGCAAATGCAGTCCCTGTGGTGGGGCCGTCTGGGGAAGAATCAGAACGAAATTTCCTGCTTTTATTGTGTTTTTATTCCACTGCAAAGACCTGAGAAAGGAGTTTCTGGGCCTTTGCGTTTTATGTATTGGTGTTTTGAATAGCTAGTGTGCTCACCTATTTCAAAACTCAGAGGAAAGTGTCTTCAGGCTGGCTCCCTGCCTGGAGGCAGCTGATTTTAAGTTTTCTGTGATTCCGTCGGGAGACATTTTACGAATAAACTAGAAAATGTGCATGCACCGTATTTATGTTTCCTCCCTTTATATATGAATTGCAGCATCCGTATCTACTGCCGTCCCCCGCTAGAGCTTGTTCGCAAGCAGCGCAGGGCTGTGCTGTTTCTTCTGCAGCCCTTGGTCCCGGCCTCGGCTGTGTGCCTGGCCCCAGGCATGGTTTTGCGCATGTGCTCACCGCTGGGCCAGCGTCAGCCTGGGCACTGAGCCTACTGCATGCTGGTGTTCGATGCACAGAGAGTGCGAGGCCTTGGCCGCAAACTGCAGCCTTGAGGGACAAGGTAAGGTCTCCCTGCGGGACATGGGATCTCTTTACTGTTTACCATAACAAGACACCTAAACAAGATGTAAACAGTAAACAGGATCCTTCCTTCCCAAGGGAGGCCTTACCTCCCCTTGTTTCCCAGCCCCAGCTCCTCCTGGGGCCCCGCAGTGCTTGGAGGCACCACGGCCACACACTAAGGCCAAGCATTTGACACGTCCAGGCGCCAAGGGGCCTTACCTCATTATCACAGCAGGTGTTAGGGCAGTGAGGGTGGCATTGCTGTGAATCTACACAGAATCCTACAGCCCCTGCAGCGGGGGACATCATCCGACACACACACCCACACACACAGACACACCCCCACACACCCACACACACCCACACATCCCCACACACACATCCCCACACACAGCCAGAGACATCATCTGACACACACACCCCCTCCCCCCCACATACACACATCCCCACACACAGCCAGGGACATCATCCGACACACACACACACACACCCACACACGCACACCCACACACACACACAGCCAGGGACATCATCCGACACACACACACATCCCCACACACAGCCAGGGACATCATCCGACACACACACACACACATCCCCACACACACACACACACACATCCCCACACACAGCCAGGGACATCATCCGACACACACACCCACCCACCCCTCTCCCCACACACACATCCCCACACACAGCCAGGGACATCATCCGACACACACACACACACACACACACACACACACACATCCCCACACACAGCCAGGGACATCATCCGACACACACACACACACACACACACACATCCCCACACACAGCCAGGGACATCATCTGACACACACACACACACACACACACACATCCCCACACACAGCCAGGGACATCATCCGACACACATAGTCCCCCTCGCACACACACAGCCTCACACTCCCCACACACAGCCTCACACACACCCCACACAGCCCCCAACCTCACACACACACCCCCCCCACACACAGCTCCCCACAGCCCTCCACACACACCTGCACACGCAGTCTCACACAGCTTCGCACACCTGCACACCTGCACAGTCTCACACACCCCACACACACAGCTCCCTACAGTCCCCCACACACACCCGCACACACAGTCTCACACAGCCTCGCACACCCGCACAGTCACACACACACCCACACACACACAGCTCCCCCCGCACACACACAGCCTCACACACACACCCCACACACAGCCCCCCACAGCCTCACACACACACACCCACACACACACAGCTCCCCCCGCGCACACACAGCCTCACACACACACACCCCACACACAGCCCCCCACAGCCTCACACACACACACCCACACACACACAGCTCCCCCCGCGCACACACAGCCTCACACACACACACCCCACACACAGCCCCCCACAGCCTCACACACACACACCCACACACACACAGCTCCCCCCGCGCACACACAGCCTCACACACACACACCCCACACACAGCCCCCCACAGCCTCACACATACCGCACACACCCCCGCAGCCCTCCCCACCCGCAGACACACAGCCTCGCATAGCCTCGCCACACACGCACACACCCGGCCGTGCCACACCCTCCGTCCCAGCGGGTGGCGGTCTCGCCTGCGGAGCCTGGGAAGCTGCCGTGGCCCCGCCGCCTCCGCCTCTGCCGCCCGGAGCTCCGCCCGCGTCCTTGGCCTCAGCGCCTCACGGTGCCCGCCGCCTCGCTCCACCGCTCAGGGCCCCGAGGGCGCAGGGACGAGCCTCGCCGGGGGCTCCGGGCACCGGGGCGCTGCGGGGAGACGACTCCTGCGCCGCCCGCGCCGGAGCTCAGCCCCGGCCCGCCCGGCTCCCGAAGCCTTCCTCGCTCGCCCTGTTCCTAAAACTCCGTTTTCAAGGCAAACCCCAACCCTCCCCTTCCATGGGTGCAACAACCCACACAAGCAGAAGGCGGGATACTTTACTGTTTCTGCAGGGGCCTCCTCCGCTTCCGGCCCGCGTACGTGCACTCCCCCGGCGGGATCATCGTCCTCGGCCTGGAAGACAAGGGGGCACCCGGTCACCGGAACGCGCCACGTGCGCCCTGTTCCCGCCGCGATGCCCCGGGCCCCTCAGCGCGGTCCTGGCGCCCCCACACCCGCGACCCCGCGAGGCCCCCACCTCCTGCTCCTCCTCGTGGGACCCCCTGGCCCGGGACCCCTGCTCTCCAGCACCCCGCACCGAGGAGCCACCGGGGCCGGGTCACGCCTGGGCCTCCCCTCGGTGTCAGGCGGGTCCCGGCCTCCCCCAGAGAAGCCGCCTGCTCTGGAGCCTGGCTCAGGGCGCCGTGGCGGGAGACCGGCGTCCTGAGGAGGAAGCCATCGAGGAAGCCAGGAACGGGCGGGGCGGGGCGCAGCCAAGGCCTGGGCAGCCTGCAGCCTCCAAACACTCGTCACGCGGGATCCCGTGTTCCCGTCACCCCCGAGAAGGTACGCGGGGTCCCGTGTTCCCGTCACCCCCGAGAAGGTATGTGGGGTCCCGTGTTCCCGTCACCCCCAAGAGGGTACGCGGGTCCCGTGTTCCCATCACCCCGAGAAGGTACGTGGGGTCCCACGTTCCTGTCACCCCTGAGAGGGTATGTGGGGTTCTGTGTTCACGTCACCCCGAAAAGGTATGTGGGGTCCCGTGTTCCTGTCACCCCGAGAAGGTATGTGGGGTCCCGTGTTTCTGTCACCTCTGAGAGGGTACTCAGGTCCCATGTTCCTGTCACTCCGAGAGGACACACGGGGCCACATGATCCCATCACCCCCAAGAGCGCATGCAGGGCAACAGCATAATCTCCTCTCTGTGGTGTGATCTCCCTGTGCGGTTTGTGGCAGGTCTTGCTCTTCTCATCTCTGCCCTTGATAGCCTTGTGCTTTGGGCCAACAGGCTTCCTCTTTTCTATGTAAAATTCTACTCCACTCTACAGTCCTGGGATTCCACTTAAGTCACTAGCTCACAGCGCCCTGAGTCCAGCTGACTACACCCACCAGCTGCCACCAACAGTGCTGGACACAGGCATGTGCCTCCCAGCGGGGCCCCTGAGGAGCAGCCCAGTATCTGTGCCCAGGCTGGTCAGCTTGCCTGCCACCCACCTCAGAGAGGGCATCACCCTTCTTCTCACAGAATCTTGATTTTCCTTGCAATGGGTGCAGCTGAGCCCTCACAAACGTTCTGCAGACCTGTGTGCAGTAACCATCCCGTGCCAGGCTCTGGGCCAGAAGCCTTGGGGAGGAAGTTAAGGAGCCCTCACCTGACCTGAAGTGAGTGTAGCCTGGAAGAGGAGGCAGACTCACGCAATATCCACCTTGTGTGGAAAGTGCCATAAAAATGTCAGAAATGTGTCATGGATCCACTTGGACTGTAAAGACTTAGGTAGATAAAGTAAATGGATAGAAAAAGATACAACATGCAAACGTTAATCAAATGAAGCAGCTGTATGAGTCCCAGACAAAGAAGACTTCAGAACAAGGAATATCACCAGAGACAAAAAGGTATATTCTTTAATAATAAAGAGGTCAATTTTCCAAGAAGATCTGACAATCCTAAAGGTAAATGTACCTAGCAATGGAGCTTCAAAACACATGAAGCAAAAACTAATAAAATCAAAAAGGATAATTCATGGGAGACATTAACATTCCTATCTCAGTGATCAATAGAACAAGTAAATAAAATCAGTAAGGATACAGAATATCCAAACGACAACAGACTTGAATTAATGGAAATTTATAAAACACTCCATCCAACAACCGAAGAGTATCTGGTTTTTACACATGTAACATTCGCCAAGACAGACCATATTCTGGGACTTAAAACTATCCTTAACAATTTTTTTAAAAACAGAAATCAAAGTATGTTATTTGACATAATGGAATTAAACTATAAAGATATCTAGAAATTTTCCAAATATTTGGAAAGCAACCCACTTTTAAATAAGCAAGGATCAAAGATGCCTCTTTGATTCACAAAGAAATTTAAAAATATTTTGAACTAAACAAAAATGAAAATGCAAACATATCAGACTTTGTGGGATGCAGCTAACCAGTACTTTGATGGAAACTGATAGCATTAAGTGCTTATATTTGAGAAAATAAAAGGTCTAAAATAAGATCTAAGCTTCTAACAAGTAACTAGAAGAGAAGATAAACCCAAATTGAACAGAAGAATGGAAATAATAAAAATAAGTCGATAAGAGATAAAACATAAAAATAAAGAAAAATTGGCAGGGCGTGGTGGCTCATGCCTATAATCCCAGCTACTCTGGAGACTGAGGCAGGAGAATTGCTTGAGCCTGGAAGATGGAGGTTGCAGTGAGCCAACACCGCTGCACTCCAGCCTGGGCGACAGAGTGAGGCTCTGTCAAAAAAAAAAAAAAGAAGGAAAAGGAAAGGAAAGGAAAGGAGGGGAGGGGAGGGGAGGGGAAGGAAAGTGATTAAACCAAAAGTTGGTTCTTTGAAAAAAATCAACAAAACTGATAAACTTCTAGCCATACTGATCAAGAAACAGAGAAGACACAAATTGCCAATATCAGGAATGAAAGAGAGGACATCACTGCAGATCCCACAGACATTAAAAGAAAAATTATAGAGCTGAGGCCAGGCGCAGTGGCTTAGGCCTATAATCCCAGCACTTTGGGAGGGCGAGGCAGGTGGATCACCTGAGGTTAGGAGTTCGAGACCAGCCTGACCAATATGGTGAAACCCCGTCTGTACTAAAATTACAAAAATTAGCTAGGCATGGTGGCGTGCACCTGTAGTCCCAGCTACTTGGGAGGCTGAGACAGGAGAATCATTTGAACTTGGGAGGCGGAGTTTGCAGTGAGCCAAGATCATGCCACTGCACTCCAGCCTGGGCGACATAGCGAGATTTGGCCTAAAAAAAAGAAAAGAAAAGAAAAAGAAAAATTATAGAGCTGGGTGCAGTGGCTCATGCCTATAATCCCAGCACTTTGGAAGGCTGAGGCAGGAGGATCACCTGAGGTCAGGAGTTCAAGACCAGCCTGGCCAACATGGTGAAACCCTGTCTCTACTAAAAATACAAAAAATTAGCCAGGCATGGTGGCGCATGCCTGTAATCCCAGCTACTTGGGAGGCTGAGGTAGGAGAATTGCTTGAACCTGGGAGGCAGAGGTTGCAGTGAGCCAAGATCACATCATTGCACTCCAACCTGAGCAACAAGAGCAAAACTCCAACTCAAAAAAAAAAAAAAAAAAAAAAAAATATATATATATATATATATATATAATATTGCTGTGAACATAATTGCGTCCACCCAAAATTCCTATGTTGAGCCCTAACTCTCCATGTGACTGTATTGGAGATAGAGCCCCTACCCTCATAGGTGATTAAGGTAATAAGGCTGGAGCCCTAATCCTGTAGAACTGGTGCCCTATAAAAAGAGAAGCAACATCAGAGCTCTCTCTCTCCACCATGTGAGGATGCAGCAACAAGGCAGCCATCTGTAAGGCAGGAAGAGAGGCCTCACCAGAAACCAAATCAGCCAGCACCTTGATCTTGGACTTCCCAGCCTCCAGAACAGTGTGAAATAAATTTCTGTTGTTTAAGCTATCCAGTCTATGGTAGTTTGTTATGGCAGCCCAAGCAGAGTAAGACAAATACTATCCCAAAAATTCAACGATTTAGATGAAATAGAGGAATTCCTAGAAAGGCACAATCTATCAAAACTCAAGAAAAAACAGATAATCTGGATAGCTCTATATCTATTCCAACAACATCAAAAAACCCAGGTCTAAATGGTTTCACTGGTATATCTACCAATGTAAAGAAATAATACCAATTCTCTCTTGGCAAAAAATATCAAAGAAAAAATTTAAAATTGTCGACTTATTTACGAATTCAGCATTACTCTGATGCCACACCAAAGGCATTGCACGAAAAGAAAACTAAAGACCAGCATCCCACATGAACATAGACACAAAAATCCTCACTTAAATATAGGTATTGGCAAATAGAATCTACCAATATATAAAAAGGATGATACATCACAGCTAAGTGGGATTTATCCAAGGAATTCAGGGCAGCTTCAACATCCAAACACCAATCACTGTAATTCACTATAATAATAAACTAAAAAGAAAATGCACATCATCATCTCAATCTTTCAGAAAAGCATTTGACAAAATCCAAATCCATTCATAACAATTTTTCCAAAAAAACCTCTCATCAAACTAGGAACAGAAGGAAACTTAATTAACGTGATAAAGAACATCTACAAAAGCCTATAGCTAACATCACAGCTAATGGTGAAAGACTAAATGCTTCCCCCCAAGACCATGAACAAGGCAAAGCTGTGGTGTACCCCCATTCCCACTAAAATTATTTGTGTACTAGCCAGGGCAATAAGTCAGTAAAGTAAGTAAAAGTCTCAAAACTGGGAAATAAATAAAAGTCATAAAACTGGGAAATAAAAATAAAAGAAAACTCTATCTGTTCGCAGACATGATTGTACATGTAGAAAATTCCAAAAAGGCTGAGTGAAGTGGCTCACACCTATAATCCCAGCACTTTGGGAGGCCAAGGTGGGAGAATCACTTGAGCCCAGGAGTTTGAGACCAGCCTGGGCAATGTAGCAAGACCCTATCTCTACAAAACATACTTTTAAAAAAAATTAGCCAGTGTGGTGGCACACACCTGTAGTCTCAGCTACTGAGGAGTCTGAGGCTGGAGGATCACTTGAGCCCAGGACATTGAGGCTGCGGTGACAGTGAGCTGTGTTTGTACCACTGCACTCCAGCCTGAGTGACAGAATAAGACCCTGTCTCTTAAAAAGAGAGAGAGAGAATTCCAAAAATTTTACTAAAACCAATTACCTATAACTAATTACTGAGACCAGCAAGGTCACACAGTAAAAGGATAATAACATACAAAAATAAATTGTGTTTCTAGATACTAGCAATGAACAACTGGAATTCAGATTTTTAAAAACTAGTATCATTTACAATAGCACCCCAATAAAAATAAAATAGGTATTTCAAGAGACCTAATATATGTGTAACTGGACCCCTAATGAATAGGAGGGGAAAGGAGTTAGGAGAAAATGTAAGAAACAGCAGAAATTTTTTCCAAATGTAATGAGAATTGTAAACCTACAGACCCAAGAAGCTCAGTGAGCTCCAAGCACAAGAAACAGGAAAATTACACCAAGGCATATCATAATCAAATTGCTCATAACCAGTAATAAGTAGAATAATATTTATTTTTGTATTTTTTGTAGAGATGGGGTTTCATCATGTTGCCCAGTCTGGCCTTGAACTCCTGGGTTCAAGCAATTCACCCACCTTGGCCTCCAAGAGTGCTGGGATTACAGGTATGAGCCACGTACCTGGCCTAGAATAATATTAAAAGCCAGAGAAAATAGGCACTGGGTACAAAGGATCAAAAATAAGATGACAGCAGATTCCTCATCAGAAACAAGAAGGTAGTGGAGCAACATCTTTAAAGCTGAAAGAAAAAACCCTGAAACCTAGAATTCTACATCTTATGAAAACATCATTCACAAGTGAAGGTGAAATAAAGAGCTTTCAGATGCACAAAAACTGAAAGAAATCATCACTAGCTGACCCACACTATAAGAAACATTACAGGCCAAAGGAAAATGATACCAGATTGTAGTATGGGTCTACAACATGGCACAAAAAGCGCAAGAACTGACTACTAGAGGGTGAAATATGCATAATTTGTTCTTATTGCTTAGATATCTTTAAAAGATAAGTGACTAAGCAATAACAACAGTGTGTTGTGGGGTTCACAACAAACGTGGACATCAAGTATATGGCGGCTACACAGACCCGGGAGGGGAGACATGTATTCGCAAAGTGAGGTGACAGTACTCAGAAGCTGTGCCAGCTACCTGTTTGTTGCCTGTAGGCTCCAGACTCTCCATCCTGCCTGATCTGCATTAATAAGCCGCAGTCTTTCAGCATTTCTTCCTATAGAGGGCATGATGTTGCACTGGCCTGAATACGGTCCTAGAGGAGCCCAGCAGGAAGAAGGAGCCTCTCCTGGTTCCAGTGCTTCCTATTTTTTCGTGTTCCTGCTCACCACTGCCATAGACAGGGCAACTCAGCAAACTTCTCTGCCCTCCAGGGGACGGAACCTACACCTCCTCCAATGAGGCCCGAGCCCCAGCTTTGGGAAGGGAGCCCCCTTCCAAGCGCACTCCTTAGGGGCCTCCCGCAGCCCCGGAGCACCATCCAGAGTTCTCCTCTCCCCTCCATAGCTGCATCACTGTTGCTATCTAGACTTCCTAACATTAAAGTTTCTCAATTCAAATAAAAAAAAATTTAAAATATAAAACGCCAACACAGTGAGACCTCATCTCTACAGAAAATAATTTTTAAAAATTAGCCAAGCATGGTGGCGCATGTCTGTAGTCTCAGCTACTCAGGAGACTAAGGCAGGAGTATCGCTTGAGCCTGGGAGGTCAAGGCTGCAGTGAGCCCAGATCACACCACTGCACTCCAGCCTGGGTGACAGAACAAGACCCTGTATGTATGTGTGTGTATATACATACACATAAAGAAAAACAGAGAGCTGATTTTTTAAAATCCACGTTTTAGACATACACATTAAAACACATATGAAATAAATGGCATGTTAGGGATTTGCTTCTCTATAAAGTGGGGAGGACAGTGGAGTCTAAGTGGGCTGGGGTTGGCAGGCTGGACTTTAAATGAAACTGGATCAGCCAATATTGATAGTTGATTACCTATGCTAGCTGATGAAAAAATTGAGCTCTTTGTATAATTTTCTCTATTTTTGTAAAATATTTCAAAAGTGCCATAATAAAATGTTTGGCTTTAAAAAAAAACATTAAAAAGAAAGAAACTGTGGCATAAGAATAGAGATACTAATTGATTATGACCAATGACCAATTGATTTTCCACAAGGGCACCAAGGCTGTTCAGCAGGGAAAGAACAATCTCTTCAACAAATGGTGTTGAGATAACTGGCCAGCCTGAGCAAGGTAGCAAGCAAGGCCTTGTCTCTAAGAGGAAAAAAAAACAAAGCCACACACCAAAGAATGAGGTTGGATCCCTACCTCACACAATATGAAAAAAATTAACCTAAAATTGACTAAAGACTTTAATGTAAGAGCTAAAAATATAACACTCCGAAGAATACATAAGAATTCATCTTTAATGGCTTTGATTGGATAATGACCTTAAATGTGGCAATGGATTCTTAGATTTGTCACAAAAAGCACGGGTAATAAGAGAAAAAAATTGATAAATTGGACTTCATCAAAACTAAAAATTTTTGTGTCACAAGACACTACCAAGAAAGTGAAGAGGCAACCCACAGAATGGCAATAAACATTTACAAATCATGTTATCTGATAAGGGTCTAGTGTCCAGCATAGACAAAGAACTCTTACAATTCAACAACAAAAAGACAACCCAATTTTAAAATGGGCAAAGGCTTTTTTTAAAAGGTGGTTGACTAGAAGCATTTCAAGCACACCTCATCCACTTAGAAGAACCAAAATAATGTGTCGATGATCACACTTTGAATCTATTTTCCAAGAGACAACATGGGAGTTCAGCAGGAAAGTGACAGGAAACAGCAAAACTTAGGAAGAAGGAAAACAGGCAGGATGTGTGGCCAAGAGTGGCTGGGAACTGGGAGTGACTCCCCAGTATGAGAGGGTGAGGGTGGGTCTTCCCGCAGTCCACTTTCCCACTGGAGAATCATGCAGTCCCTGACACAGGAGACTAAATCTGCATCGGATTTAGGGAGACTGAGAAGGAAGTGCTCCAGGAGGGAACATGCCCTGGGTCTCATACCCTTTCTGAAATTTAAGCAGCTAGAGCAAGACACCATTCTCCATCCTAGTTCTTAGCAGACGGTGCATGTTCCTGGTACAAGCAGTGCCAGTCCGAGGCATTAGGGAAACTTGGACTTGGACTGCTGCTTGCGGAACTGAGGTGTGAGAGTGGACCAGGACTAAGAGGCAAGTGTAGCATGGGCTGCAGCTCCCAGCACTGGAAGCAGGCACCACCCCCAGGACTTGAGCAAGATGAGAGTTGCCATGGGGGCCTGGTCTTGAGCTGTGCAGGGCCTACAGCCTGGAGCTGAGTTGCGGGCCAGGCACAAACTGCCAAGGCTGATGGATCAGCTTTTGTCTCCAACAGCCAGGATGGGGGAGCATGCCACATGGGGATTGGGGCATGAAAGGGATGCAGGTCTTCCATCCATGGCCAAGGCTCTGGCTGCTAGGACTGGCCCCACCCTCCCTGTGGCAGCTGCCCCTCATCCAGGCATTCTGCCATGGGCCCTGAAAATCACCCAGTGGCACCTGTCACAGTTGGTGCATGCACTCAGGGGGCTAGAGCAAGCTTGCCTGGTCCAGCTCTGCCCAGCATCCCCCTTCCCCAGCCTGCCCACAAGACAGAGTGTGGGATCCAGCGACCTGGAGGACCCACAACACAGTCCACCACCTGGGACACTGAGCCCTTCTCCCAGGGGACACCCTGCCACTACCACCTCAGCTGGCACCTACCTGCAAGTGCCAGCTGCTGGTCTGGAGGCTGGCCAGCACAGCCGATTGCAACCACTGCCAACACATGCACACAGAGCTTGGGACCCAAAAGTGCATCTCACCACCACTGCCACCACCATTGCCCACACCACTCTGGCTGCCCAAAAACTAGGAAGCCTGCTCACTCGCATGGTACACTGCTACTACAACTAGCTTCTGAGAAAGCCACCCAGAGGCCCAAGAATCAGCCTGCCTGGTACTGCCAACACAGGTGCCAGTGTGTGCCACCCTGGGGCACAAGGATAGACATGGTTAACCCACAGCTGCTACCACTGAAGCCTGAAGATGGGCCCACCCAGCATCCCAGTCCCCAGCACAACTTCACCACAGCCGCCACCAATAACTGCACCCTAACCAAGGAAGCCGCAGATACCACTAACACTGCTAATAGCCAAATAAAACATACAGAGGCTTCACTGCTGCATGCCTCAGAAGTAAATCCAAAGGGCCCTACCCAACCAACATCCCAGTCACATCTCCAGTAAAAGGTGCCCCCCAACAACAAAAGTAAACCCCAAAACAAGAAAAAGCAACTATTACACCAGATGTGCAGAAAGCAACATAAAGACACAAGAAACATGAAAAAGCAGGGTAATATGACAATCCCAGAGAAACACAATTCTCCAGCAGTAGATAAATCTCAACCAAAAGAAATCCTCAAAATCCCAGATAAAGAATTCAAAATATTGATTTTAAAGAAGTTCAATGAGATGTGTGAGGAATCTGAAAATCAATACAAAGAACTCAGAAGATTAATTCAGAATATGAATGAGATATTTACCAAGGAGATAGATACATTTTTTAAAAAAAACCAGAAATACAAAATACATTTGAAAGCTCCAACAATAGACTAGACCAAGCAGAAGAAAGAATTTCAGAACTTAAAAGACAGGCTTTTTGAAACTATCCAATCAAACAAAAACAAAGCAAAAAGAATGAGAAAGAATGAGCAAAGCCTGTGAGATACCTGGGACTACATACAGCGACTGAATTTACAAGTTATTGGTCTTCCTGAGGATGAAGAGATATTGAGAGGCTTAGAAAACCTATTTAATGAAGGAATATATGAAAACCTGCCAAGTTTAGCAAGAGATCTAAGCATCCAGACACAGGAGGCTCAGCAATCCCCAGGAAAACATCGTGCAAAAAAGACACTACCACAGTGCACCATGAATCAGTCCAAAGTCAAAGTGAAAGAGCAAATTCTAAAATCAAGAGAAAAGCATCTAGTCACCTATAAAGGAAACTTCATCAGACTAAGAGTGGAGTTCTCAGCAAAAACCTTGCAGGCCAGAAGAGAATAAGGTGACATATTCAAACTGCTGCAAGAAAAAAACTTTCGGCCAACAATTTGATATCCAGCAAGACTAACCTTCATAAATGAAGGAGAAATAAAGTCTTTCCCAGAAAAGCCGATCTGAGGGAATTCATCACCACTAGTCCCACAAGAACTGCTCAAGGAAGCCCTAACTTGGAAGTGAAAAGACGACATTCACCATTATGGAAACACACAAAAGTATATATAAAACTCACTCATAAAGCAATCACAGACGAAGAGAAAGGAATCAAATGGCACTGCTACAGAATTCAGCCAAACCACAATGACAAACAGCCAGAGGAAAAGAAAGAAACAAATAACTTATAAAACAACTAGGAAACAAATAACAATACAACAGGAATCAAACCTTACATACCAATATTAACCTTGAAGGTAAACAGGTTAACAGTCCGGTTTTTTGTTTTGTTTTTTTTGAGATGGAGTCTCACTCTGTCACCCAGGCTGGAGTGCAGTGGTGCAATCTCAGTTCACTGCAACCTCCGCCTCCCAGGTTCAAGTGACTCTCCTGCCCCAGCCTCCTGAGTAGCTAGAACTATAGCCCTCCACCACCACTCCTGGCTAATTTTTGTATTTTTAGTAGAGATGGGGTTTCACCATGTTGGCCAGGCTGATCTTGAACTCCTGACCTCAAGTGATCCACCTGCCTCTGCCTCCCAAAGTGCTGGGATTACAGGCGTAAGCTACCATGCCCAGGCAAATGTTCCACTTTAAAGACACTGATTGGCAGAATGGATTTTTAAAAGCATGATTCAACTATATGCTGCATACAAGAAACTCACTTTACCACTAAAGGCACACATAGGCTGGGCATTGTTCCTCAAGCCTGTAATCTCAGCACTTTGGGAGGTCAAGATGGGAGGATTGCTTGAGGCCAGGAGTTTGAGACCAGCCTAGGCAACATAGCGAGATCCTGTCTCTATTTTTTTAAAAAGACACATACAGATTGAAAGTAAAGGCGGGGGGTGGGGTGGGGAAATACATTCCACACAGACGGAAACCAAAAGCGAACAGCAGTAGCTATACTCATATCAGATAAAACAGACTTTACGCCAAAAACAGTAAAAAAAAAAAAAAAAAAAGACAAAGGTCATTTATTATATAATGATAAAGGGATCAATTAGGCAAGAGGATAAAACAATTCTACATACATATGCATCCAACATTGGTGCACCCAGATTTATAAAACAAATATTCCTAGAACTAAAGAGAGAGAGAGAGCAATACAGTAATAGTGGGGACTTCAACACACTACTCATGGCATTAGACAGATCAGCTAAATGGAAAATCAGCAAAGAAACATGGGATTTCAACTGGACTTTAGGCCTCCACATACATTTACATTATAGAATATTCTCCCCAACAACTGCAGAAGATACGTTCTTTTCATCAGCACATGGGACATTCTCCAAGACAGACCATATATTATGCCACAAAACAAGTATTGGCCAGGTGCAGTGGCTCACACCTGTAATCCCAGCACTTTGGGAGGCCGAGGCGGGTGGATCATGAGGTCAGGAGTTCGAGACCAGCCTGGCCAACATGGTGAAACACCATCTCTACTAAAAATACAAAAATTAGCTGGGCATGGTGGTGCACACCCGTAGTCCCAGCTACTCAGGAGGCTGAGGCAGGAGAATCACTTGAACCCAGGAGGCGGAGGTTGTGGTGAGCCGAGATCATGCCACTGCACTCCAGCCTGGGCAACAGAGTGAGACTCTGCCTTAAAAAAAAAAAAAAAAAAAAAAGTCTTAACAGATTTTTCTTTCTTCTTTTTTTCCTCTTCTTCCTCCTGCTTCTCCTCCTCTTCCTCTCAACAAATGTTTAAAAATTAAAATTATATTAAGTATCTTCTCAAACCACAGTGGAATAAAATCATAAATAAATACCAAGAGCAACTCTGGAAACTATACATACATGGAAATTAAACAATATGCTCCTGGGTCAACAAAGAGATTAAGATGGAAATTTAAAAATTGCTGAAACAAATGAAAATTAAACACGACATACTTTAAAAACCTATGGGATATAGCAAAAGCAGTGCTAAGAGGGAAGTTTATAGTGGTGGTCCCCAACCTTTTTGGCATCATGTACTGGTTTTGTGGAAGACAATTTTTCCACTGACTGCAGATGTCGGTAGGGATGGTTTTGGGATGAAACTGTTCCATCTCAGATTATTAGGCATTAGATTATCATAAGGAACGTGCAACCTAGATCCTTCGTAAGCACAGTTCACAATAGGGTTTGTGCTCCTATGAGAATCTAATGCTGCTGCTGATCTGACAGGAGGAAGAGCTCAGGTGGTAATGCTCACCCGTCCACCACTCACTCCTGCTGTTTGGCCTGGTTCCTAGCGAGCCATGGACAGGTACCGGTCCGAGGCCTGGGGGTTGAGGACCCCTGGTTTATAGTATTAAATGTCTATATCAAAAAAGTAGAAAGATTACAAGTTAACAATCTAATTATGTGCCTCAAAGAACTAGAAAAGCGAGAACAAACCAAACCAAAATTAGCAGAAGAAAAGAAATAACAAAGACCAGAGCAGTGCTAAACGAAATAGAGACTGCTAGACTAACAGAGAGAAGACCCAAATAAACAAAATCAGAAATGAAAAAGGAAAACACTAATACCACAGAAATACAAAAGATCATCAGAGACTATTATGAACAACTATATGCTCACAGATTAGAAAACCTAGAGGAAATGGATAAATTCCTGGAAACATACAATCTCCCAAGACTGAACCAGGAATAAATAGAAAACCTGAACAGATAAGTAATGAAAAGTGGGATTTAATCAGTAATTAAAAACCTCCCCCAAAAGAAAAGCTCACAACTGGCCAGGCGCAGTGGCTCACGCCTGTAATCCCAGCACTTTGGGAGGCCGAGGCGGGTGGATCACGTGGTCAAGAGATCAAGATCATCCTGGCCAACATGGTGAAAGCCCGTCTCTACTAAAAATACAAAAATTAGCTGGGCATGGTGGCACGCGCCTGTAGTCCCAGCTACTCGGGAGGCTGAGGCAGGAGAACGGCATGAACCCGGGAGGAGACGGAGCTTGCAGTGAGCCGAGATCACACCATTGCACTCCAGCCTGGGTGACAGACCGAGACTCTGTCTCAAAAAAAAAAAAAAAAAAAAAATGCTGAATTATACCAAACATGCAAAAAAAGAACTAAGACCAATCTTCCTGAAACTGTTCCAAAAAATTGAGTAGGAGAGAATGCTCCCTAACTCATTCTAGAAGGCCCATATCACGCAGATACCAAAATCAGACAAAGACACAACAGAAAAAGAAAACTACAGACCAATATCCCTGATGAACATAGACTCAAAAATCCTCCGCGGCGCACAGTGGCTCACACTGTAATCCCACTTTGGGAGGCCAAGGCAGGTGGATCACTTGAGGCCAGGAATTTGAGGCCAGCCTGCCCAACACGGCAAAATGCTGTCTCTACTAAAAATGCAAAAATTATCAGGGCATGGTGGTGTGCACCTGTAAGCCTAGCTACTCGGGAGGCTGAGGCATGAGAATTGCTTGAACTTAGGAGGCAGAGGTTACAGTGAGCCAAGATGGTGCCACTGTAGTCCAGCCTGGGTGACAGAGTGAGACCCTGTCTCAAAAAAAATCTTCAACAAAATATTAACTAACTGAATCCAACAGCCCATCAGAAAGATAATATACCACAATCAAGTAGGCTTTGTATCAGGGATACAAGGATGGTTCAACATATGCAAATTAATAAATGTAATACATCACATAAACAGAATCAAGGACAAAAACCATACGATCAACTCAATAGATGCAGAAAATGCCTTTAATAAATTTCAGATCCCTTAATGATAAAAATCCTCAAAAAACTAGGCACAGAAGGAACATACCACAAAATAATAAAGGCTATTTATTACAGACCCACAGCTAACATCATACTGAATGAGGAAAAGTTGAAAGCATTTCCCCTAAGAACTGGAACATGACAAGAATGCCCACTTTCACCACTCCTATTCAATATAATACTGAAAGTCCTATCCAGAGCGATCAGGCAGGAGAAAGTACATAAAAGGCATTCAGACTGGAAAAGAGGAAGTCAAATTATTCCTATCTGCCAATATGATTTTATATCTAAAAAAACCTAAAGATTCTACCAAAAAAACTCTTAGATTTGATAAGTGAATTCAGTAAAGTTGTAGAATACAAAAGCAACATATAAAAATCAGTAGCATTTCTTTACACCAATAATGATCTAGCTGAGAAAGAAATCAAGAAGACAATCTCATTTACAATAACCATTAAAAAATACCTGAGAATAAAACTCTACAAGGAAAATTACAAAACACTGATGAAAGAAAATTGTAGATGACACAAACACGAAAACATCCATGTTCATAGATCAGAAGAATTCACATTGTTAAAATGACCACACTGCCCAAGGCAATCTATAGATTCAGTATAATCCCTATCAAAATACCAAAGTAATTTTTCACAGAATTAGAAAAAACAATCTCAGGCTGGGCATGGTAGCTCACACTTGTAATCCTAGCACTTTGGGAGGCCAAAGCAAGAAGACTGCTTGAGGCCAGGAGTTTGAGACCAGCCTGAACAACACAGTGAGACCTCATCTCTACAAAAACATATTTTAATTTAAAATTAGTCAGGCATGGTGGCACACACCCATAGTCCAGTTACTCAGGAGGCAGAGGCCAGACAATCTCTTGGGCCCAGGAATTCGAGGTTGCAGTGAGCTATGCGCCAATGCACTCTAGCCTGGGTGACAAAGCAAGATCCCATCTCGAAGCAAAAAAGAGAGAAGAAGGAGGAGGAGAAGAAAAGAGAAAAAGAAAAATAATCCTAAAATTCATAAGGACCAAAAAAGACAGAGGTGTGTGTGTCAGCGCAGGAAAAACTACCATTTATCAAACCATCAGATCTTATGAGAATTCACTCACTGTCATGAGAACAGCATGGAGGAAACTGCCCCCATAATCCAATCACTTCCCACCAGGTCTCTCCCTAAACACCTGAGGATTATAATTCAGGATGAGATTTGGGTGGGGACACAAAACCTAACCATATCACTACATGATTTCAAATTACACCACAGACTATAGTATGGGTCTTAAACTAAAAACCTTCTGCACAGCAAAAGAAATAATAAACAGAGTGACAATATAACCTGTTAAACGGGAGAAAATATTTGCAAACTATTCATCCAACAGGGGAGTAGTAACCAGAATATACGAGGAACTCAAACAATTGAACGATGGCAACAACAAAAAAACCCAAGTGATCCCATTAAAAAGTAAGCAAAGGACATGAATAGACAGTTTTTAAAAGAAGAGATACAAATGGCCAACAGGTATATGAAAAAATACCCCACATCACTAATCATCAGAGAAATGCAAAATAAAACAACAATGAGATATCATCTTACACCAGTCAGAATGGCTATTATTAAAAAGACGGCCAGGTGCAGTGGCTCATGCCTGTAATCCCAGAACTTTGGGAGGCCGAGGTGGGTGGATCACTTGAGGTCAGGGGTTGGAGACCAGCCTGACCAACATGGTGAAACTGCATCTCTACTAGAAATACAAAAATTAGCTGGCATGGTGATGGGTGCCTCTGAGGCTGAGGCAGGAGAATTGCTTGAACCCAGGAGGCAGAGGTTGCAGTGAGCTGAGATTGCACCACTGCACTCCAGCCTGGGCGACAGAGGGAGACTCTGTCTCAAAAAAAAAAAAAAAAAAAAAAAAAAAAAATCAGATGTTGGTGAGGATGCAGAGAAAAGGGAACTCATACACTATTGGCGGGAATGTAAACTAGTACAGCCTCTATGGAAAACAGCATGGAGATTTCTCAAAGAATCAAAAATAGAACTGCCACAGCCATCAAAAATGATGAGTTCATGTCCTTTGTAGGGACATGGATGAAACTGGAAACCATCATTCTCAGCAAACTATCACAAGGACAAAAAAACAAACACCGCATGTTCTCACTCATAGGTGGGAATTGAACAATGAGAACGCATGGACACAGGGAGGGGAACATCACACTCTGGGGACTGTTGTAGGGTAGGGGGAGCGGGGAGGGATAGCATTAGGAGATATACCTAATGCTAAATGACGAGTTAATGGGTGCAGCACACCAACATGGCACATGTATACATATGTAACAAACCTGCACGTTGTGCACATGTACCCTAGAACTTAAAGTATAGTAATAATAAAATAAAATAAAATAAAATAGAACTGCTATTTAATCCAGCAGTCCCACTACTAGGTCTATACCCAATGGAAAAGAAATCAATATATCAAAAAGACGCCTGCACTCATATGTTTATTGCAGCACTATTCACAATCGCAAAGAGATGGAATAAACCTAAGTTCCCATCAGTGGATTAATCAAAAGAAAATGTGGTATATATACACAATTGAATATTATTCAGCCATAAAAAAAGAATGAAATCATGTCTTTTGCAGCAACATGGATGGAACTGGAGGTCATTAAGCGAAACAAGCCAGGCACAGAAAGTCAAATGTCACGTGTTCTCACTCACAAGTAGGTGCTGAATTTGTATACACACGGACGTAGTGAGTGGAATGATGGATGACAGAGACCTGGAAGGGTGAGGGGGTGACAAGGGCCCGGCTGATGAGATTTTAGTTAAGGAGTACAATGTACATTATTTGGGTAATGGGCGCCCTAAAAACTTTGACTTGATCACTATGCAATCTATGCATGTAACAAAATTACACATGAACCCATAAATGTGTACAATTTAAAAAATGGGCAAAGGACTTGAGGAGACATTTCTCCAAAGAAGATACACAATGTTCAACGCATGAAAACATGCTCAGCCCTGTAAATCATTAGGGAAATGCAAGTAAACAAAAATCCATAATTCAATACCATTTATACGACTAGGATGGCTTCTTGTTGCTGTTGCCGTTGTTGTTGAGACAGAGTCTCGCTCTGTTGCCATGGCTGGAGTGCAATGGCTCAATCTCAGCTCACTGCAACCTCCACCTCCTGGGTTCAAGAGATTCTCCTGCCTCAGCCTCCTGAGTAGCTGGGACTACAGGCGCGTGCCACCACGCCTGGCTAATTTTTGTATTTTTGGTAGAGATGGGGTTTCACCATATTGGTCAGGCTGGTCTCGAACTCCCGACCTCAAGTGATCCGCCTGCCTCAGCCTCCCAAAGTGCAGGGATTACAGGCGTGAACCATGCGCCGGGCCAGCTATCATTTTTTTTAATGGAACATAACAAGGGTCAGTGGGGCTATGGAGAAATTGGAACTGTTTCTGGTGCATTGCTGGTGAAAATGTAAAATGGTGCACCTGCTGTGGAAAAGTGTGGTGTTTCCTCAAAAAGTTAAACACAGAATCACTATATGATCCAGTAACTCCACTCCTAGGTACACACCTAACAGAAGTAAAAGCATTTGTTCTAACAGAAACCTGCATACAAATGCCCATCATAATTCACAGTAGCCAAAAAATGTAAACAACCTAAATGTCCATCAGCTGAGGGATCAGTAAACAGAATGTGGTATCTTCATAAGATGAAATATTATTCAGCCATGAAAAGGAAGGAAGCCCTGGCACGTGCTGCCACATGGATGGACCCTAAAAACGCTGTGATGCGTGAAAGAAGCTGGACACAGAAGGACACACACTGACCCCATTGCATGATATATCCTGAGTAGGCAAACTCAGATAAAAAGGTTCGTGGTGGCCAGGACCTGGGAGCAGGGACTGGGGAGTGACTGCCTGGTGGGTGAGCACTGCCGGAGGCGATGAAGAGGTTTTGGAGCTAGAGAGAGGCAGTGGCTGCACAACTTCGTCAATGTACTAAATGCCCCTGAACTGTTCACTTTTAAATGGTTAGTTTGATGTTATGTGCATTTTGCCTCAACGAGAAAATACAAAGAGGCCGGCCGCAGTGGCTCACGCCTGTAATCCCAGCACTTAGGGAGGCTGAGGCAGGGGAATCGCCTGAGGTCAGGAGTTCAAGACCAGCCTGGCCAACATGGCGAAACCCCGTCTCTACTAAAAATACAAAAATTAGCCAGGCGTGGTGGCTGGTGCCTGTAATCCCAGCTACTCGGGAGGCTAAGGCAGGAGAATCGCTTGAACCCAGGAGGTGGAGGTAGAAGTAAGCCAAGATCACGCCACTGCACTCCAGCCTGGGCAACAAGAGCTGGACTCCATCTCAAAAAAAGAAAAGAAAGAAAACAAGAAACAAAAAACAAACACCATGTAACACATAGGACACAAATTTACAAATAAATATAAGCAAAATATGTGGAATGTTAAGAAAGAAAGCAAATGGCAGATTGGAGCAGGGACAGATGCCGGTGGGTGGGTGGAGGTGGTGCGGAGGGTGGGACGGATGCTTCGGAAGGGTCCAGCCCTCCCCCCGAGGTGCTGTGGGATGCCCAGCCTCGTCTCCATCATGGTCACGTGTCTGGCCCAGTGCACTTCTCCCAGAAACCAGGTTGGGCACTTGGTGGCTGGAGGCCAGCCTGCAAGGACATCCCATCAGAACTGCAAGGCCTTTCGACTCAAACAGGAAACTCCCAAGCCGCACCCAAGCCTGGCCCCAGTCTGGTGGGGAGAACAGGCCAGAGACGGTTCCCAGCACCCCAAGGTGGGCCGGGCATAGAGCAAACCCACTCGACCACCCCTTGAGGTCAAGGAAGGTAAAGGGGATAGGGTGACCTACACCAGCCCCAGAAGACCCTGAGCCCAGGCACCACCAGCCTGACCAACCCTCGTCCCCAAATGAGTGCAGAGCCACAGGGCAAGAGCGGGTCGGGGGGTGGTGGGACAGCTGGGAAGATGAAGCGGGGCAGGGGATGTTGTCAGAGGTGGGGCTAGTGCAGATCCTTCTTGTCCCCAAAATCCCAAACTCCCTTCCGAGTAGCCGGAATTGAGACGGAAGCCTCGTTGCCCTCCTCAGCCTCACATACCAGTGACTACTCGCCCTGCAACGCCTGGGCAAAGCCACGTTCTCCCAGGTGTCTCCAGCTCAGTGCTGTGGAACGGTTCTAAAATCAAGGGTTCTGGTAAAAATCACCAGAAGCAGATAAATATTCCCTGTGGGCGGTGTGGGGGAGGGGCCCCGAGGAAATCCAAGGAGCTGGCCTGCCTACCCCCTCCCCACAGCCAGTGCCCCCTGAATAACCAGTTTTGGGTTTTTCGTTTTTTGTTTTTGTTTTTTTGAGACGGAGTTTCACTCTTGTTGCCCAGGCTGGAGTGCAATGGTGTGACTTTGGCTCACCACAACCTCCACCTCCCAGGTTCAAGCAATTCTCCTGCCTCAGCCTCTCGAGTAGCTGGGATTACAGGCATAGGCCACCACACCCGGCTAATTTTTGTATTTTTTTAAGTAAAGACAGGATTTCTCCATGTTGGTCAGGCTGGTCTCGAACTCCCGACCTCAGGTGATCCACCCGCCTCAGCCTCCCAAGGTGCTGGGATTATAGGTGTGAGCCACCACACCTGGCCCAGTTTCAGGTTTTGCTTGTGCCTCAGTTCTTTTTTTTTTTAATTTTTTTATATAAATGAATATATTTTTATTAAAAAAAAAATTCCAAGTGGAAGCACCTTTGGCTATAACTCATCGCATTGAAACAGCTAGGCGGCTGGGCGTGGTGGCTCATGTCTGTAATCCCAGCACTTTGGGAGGCCGAGGTGGGGAGAGCATGACGTCAGGAGTTCGAGACCAGCCTGGCCAACATTTAGTAGAGACAGTGAAACCCTGTCTCTACCAAAAATACAAAAATTAGCCAAGTGTGGTGGCTCACACCTGTAGTCCCAGCTACTTGGGAGGCTGAGGCAGGAGAATTGCTTGAACCTGGGAGGCAGAGGTTGCAGTGAGCCAAGAAAGCGCCATTGCACTCCAGCCTGGGTGACAGAACAAGACTCTGTCTCGAAAGAAAAGGAAAGAAAGAGAGAGAGAGAGAAAGAGAGACAGAGAGAGAGAGAGAAAGAAAGAAAGAAAGAGAAAAAAAGAAAGGAAGGTAGGAAGGAAGGAGGGAAGGAAGAGCGAGCTAGGCAAGGTGTTTCAGGGCCGCCAAGTCTTTCCTACCCGAGTCATCAGCCCCTAGCAGATCGGCCTGTTCATTCCTGCCTGTCTGTGAGCCGACTCTCCTCCGCAAGGAGCTCCGTTGAGTCTCCTTCAATGCCTGATCACCCCAGACCACATGGCGCTTTCCCGCTTCTGTGTCGTATTAACCACTTAACACTGGTCAGGGCCACCCGGCGGCATCTCTCCAACTGCATTGCAAATGACGACGGCTGGAACCACAGCTGCCTCCCCCTCCCCCGGCGTCTCAGCACCCAGCACGGGTGAACGAGGTGGGAAGACCCTGTTAAGCCACAAGCCGTCTCCCTCTGATCACAAGGCCTGCTCCCGGGAACACCAGGCCACATGAAGGAGGGGCCTCACAGTTGCAGGAAATAAATAATTTGGCACAAGGATCAAGATAAAGTAGTTTGAGAAACAGTTGCTGATAATACTTTAGAGAAAAGCCTCGCGGAGTTCAGGTGGTCACCTGAGCATATCTGAACTTCCTGGCCCTACTGGCAGAGATGCGAGGGGGTGGCAGGGAAGTGTGTCTCAGTTCTTGCCATACCTAGCCTAAATACAGGAGGAGGGATGCTATTACAATAGGTTGTTCCATTTTACAAAATACTCATGAACTCACCTCAACAGATGGAGCCTCCTTTGGACTGGACCAAACTCCCCACAGAAATGCCCCTGTGAGGCAAGACTCAGCTGTCCCCGGCCTCCTGACGGCAGCGTTCTTCTCTGCCTGGGACACAGGTCGAAGCTGCCTCATAGGTAATTGGGGGACAGGGGAGGACCCTACCCACTGCAGCCAGGGGCTCAGCCGGGGACCACGGGTGGGGCCTCGACAGACTCCTGGGTGCTGCTCACGGGCAGGTCCCACACGGGACAGAGGGGTCGGCCAGGGCCATCTGGGGCCTCCCAACCCCACCAGGCTGTGAGCTGACAGCACTCCTCTGAGAAATCTGAATTTTTCTAAGAACCTTTCTCCCGTGGTAAAACTCGTGTCTGTTCATTTTAGAGAATACAGATAAGTAAGAAAACGAAAATAAAAGCCGTTCCCCAGGCGGTGGCGTCCCCCCCGTCGAAGCGGCTCCCCAGGCGGCGGCGTCCGCCGGGTCAGCATCCTACGTTCTCCAGTTCTTGTTACTCGTGGCTTTTCAGCGACTCTGGGGCCGCATCGAGCCCCGGCTTTGTGCGGGATGGGTATGGCACACTCGGCCCGAGTCCAAACGCCGCCAGTCACTTGCTCTGAGAGGCTGGATGAGCGACCTACCTTGATGTCCTCGTTCGTAAAATGGGTGACGGTTGCCAGGCCGGGGCGGCTGTGAGGCCCCGTGGGGGTGGCGTTTGGAGAACGCGCGCACACGCCCACCCTTCTGCAAGAACCCCGCAGACGAGAGCCTGTGCGCGCGCACAGGAGGCCCAGGGAGGAAGCCCCTCCCCGCCTGCCCTTGCCATCCCGGAGGCCACAGCCGGACAGGCCCGTGGGACAGGCCCGTGGGACGCTTCTGCACAAGGTCTCTGACCTCCGGCCTCGCAGAAGAGGTCAGAGGGTGGCCCCTGCCTGTCACGCGCCCATGGCGACCCCTCCCCAGAAGGGGTCCCAGCGTGGACTCCAGGCGCCACATCGCTCTCTCAGGGCATCCGGTCTGGGAATTCTGGCCGCTCAAAATAAGACTTCAGCGCTACTGGGTGCTACTGAAACCAAGCCTGAACATGGGCCTTTCCCGGGGGTGAGGCCCCCCGGACCTGGCGCCCTCGGCCCGACAGCGGGGCCCCGCTCCGCCGCCCGCACCCGCCCAGCCCCAGGGAGCGCGGCCCGCACGGAACGCCCGGGGAGTGAAGGCTCAGAACACTCTCGAGGGGACGCTGAGGACCACGAACCGTGGACGCGCCGCGGCTTCCCTCCGAGGTCCGAGTTTTAAGTGAGACCAGCCAGCCGCACCCCAGAGTGTCCGCCCCGTCCCGGGGCCGCCGGGCCTGGCGACGCGAGGATGCGGCGTGAGGAGGGTCCCGACGCCGGCGCCCGTCCCTCAGCCCCACACCCGGGAGCGCATCCCGTCTCCACCGCGGGCGGCACGCGGCGGGGGCCTGCGGGGGCGCCCAGGACACTTACCCAGGGCCTGCGGGGCGCGGAGGCTCAGGCACACCCGCGGGGCAGCGCGCCCTGGCCAGGAGCTGTGGCGGCGGGTGCCGGCGCTCGCATCCCGGGAACCCGCGGCGGCTCCAGGGACTGCCCCACCCCGGCACGCGAGCCGCCCGCCCCGCCCCGCAGCATCCAGGGCCGGGAGGCGGCAGAGGGCGCCCGCGGGTCCGGCTGTCTCGGGTCCGGCTGCCCCAGCTGCCCTGGCGAACCGGAGACGCCATCCGGTTCCCCTGGGGTCCGCCCTGCGCCCTTCGCGTCCCAGTGATCCCCCGGAGTCTCCGTGCCCCGAGGCGGGGGTCGCGCGCTGAGCCCCTCCAGGCCCTGCGTTCCCCCTGGGGTCTGTGTGCGCCCAGGGTCCCCCGGTTCTCCCTGCGCCCCCGTCCCCTCCCCAGCGCTCGCGGCCGGCTGTGCTGAGCTGCCGGCCCTAGAGCCGGGCGGTGTAGACCCGAACAGGTAAAGTGAGGAGAGCGTGTGCCCCCTCGCCTGCCCCATGAGGTCGTTTCGAAAATGTAAAAGGAGTCATGGTTTTTGGCGAATTATAGAGAATATTAAGATGCTTTTGGATCCTGAGCTTCCCAGGAAGCGGACGCGCGCCAGGCACGGCAGGGTCGTCCGTGCGACGTTCTTCGTCCTGGGCATTTCAGGGTCCCACGCGGCAGGTGTGCGGCCCTGGGTGCCCCTGCCCCGCCCACCCCGCCGGTCGGCACCCGGGACCGCGCGGCCGAGAGCAGGGTCCTGCCTGCAGGTCCTTAGGGCTCACCCCGCGCCCTCTGCGCGCCCGCCGGCCCCTCCGACCTCGGGCTGCGCCTTCTCCTTCCCCCTCCCGGTGGTCCTTGGCCCCCTCTAGTCCTCCGTCCGGGCGCGCAGGCCCTGGCTGAATTCCCTGTACCCTCAGGGGATCCCTGGGGACACCTCAGCCTGGCCTCGCACCCTGACGTCTCCACAGACCCTGGCCGGCTTCCACCCGTTCTCGCCCTCGCTGGGGCCGGCCATGGAGTCGGTGGTCCCTGGAGTCCGCTCCTCAGCATCCGCGGTCCTCATCCCAGCCGGGGGAACCGCGCCCTCTTCATCCCGCAAGGTCGGTTTTCAGCAACGCGGCCGAGGCTGTCACTGGCGCCCCCAGGTTCTCAGTCAAACCCCGTCTCCCTGACGCCCCCAACCCGCCCCGCGCCTCCTGCTGTTCTCTGAATAAGGCGTGCGGGCCTTGGGGCCTTTGCACTCGCTGTCTGCTGTCGGCTCAGGAAAAGTCTCTTTTCCAGACACAGCTCCCAAGGTGGGGTGGGCGCAGCTGAGAAGCCCACCCTGCCCCCAAGTGGCCACCGCCCCTCCCCGGGTGTAGCTCCTGCAGGGCAGCCCAGAATTGCTGAGTTCTGCCGCTCTGTCCCCAGGGGTCACCAAGTCGGCTCTGCTCACCTCTGGTTCCTGTCGAATAGCAGAGGCTCAAAAATGTGAGCTGAGTAAATGGGCTTTTTTGGGACAGAGTCTTGCTTTGTCACCCAGGCCTGAGAGCAGTGGTGCGATCTCAGTTCACTGCAGCCTCTGCCTCCAGGGCTCAAGCGATTCTCGTGCCTCAGCCTCCCAAGTAGCTGGGATTACAGTCGCGCGCCACCACACCTGGCTAATTTTTTTTTTTTTTTAAGTAGATAGTGGTTTTGCCATCTTGGCCAGGCTGGTCTCGAACTCCTGACCTCAGGTGATCCACCCACCTCGGCTTGCCAAAGTGTTGGGATTACAGGCATGAGCCACTATGCCACTGAGACAGCCAGGAGCCCTGGGTGCACACATTTATTTTTTGATATGGAACAATGTGCAACTATATTGCTGTATTTTTAAAAATCATTAGTTTTATCTTGATCCAATTTTTGTAAAGTGAATTATGCACAGAAAATGTGTAGCTGGATAACTCTGAGGTAACAGGTGAACTTTAATTTCTTTTTACTTTTTGAAAAGTCTACAATTCCTGTAAATTTTTGCAAGAAGCACATAGTACCTTTGTGATCTGTTAAAATAAGAACCTGTGGGTAGAATGTGATGGTGGTGAGCCGCAGTCCCCCTGCATGGGAAGACAGCACCCCCATGTCTCAGGGCAAGCACGGGTTCCCTTCCACCTACCCTGTCCCACCAGAACCAACTGGAATGAGACACTTTGTTACTCTATTTCCTGGGTACAGAAGGAAACTGCTCCTCCTTCCTTCCCACTGCCCTTGACCGGCACAGGCCATCCACGCCCACCTGTCCCCTGTGCTTGTCCCCAAAGTCTCAGGTCTCTGCAGGACCTGGGGCAGCCAGTGGGACTGTGCAGAAAAAGGATGACCCTGCCGTGGGAGCCACTGCCCCTAAAGTCTCAGGGTTTAGCAGGCAGAGCCCCACGTGGAGTCCTGGAGTCTCTGGGCACCCCACCAGCACAATGGGGGATCCCTGAGCCACCTCCCGTTCAGACGGGCTATTGGGCGTGCCTCCCTCCCCACCACGAAGGTCCAGATGCAGCTGACACCCCCAGTCACAGAGTCTCCTTTCTGCCTCTGTGCTGGGGACCCTGTTCAGGAGGTCTCCTCCCTCCAGTCCGGACTTGCTGTCCCCAGTGTCATTGAACCCTCTGGCTCCCACCCACACTCCCAGCAGCTGGAGACACACCCCTTTCTCCTGGGCCACTGGTCCTCTCGGGACTCTGAACCAGAGGCGCTAACACCTGGCAGGGATGGCAGCTGGGGCAGGACTGGAAGCCTCCGAGGACCCACCCCCAGCTCCGGGTACCCCCACACTGGAGTCTGGTGCGGTGGGTCCCCAGAGCCATATGAGCTGGACTTGGCCTCCAGTGGACCGCCACATGGCAGGTGCCCACGGCCGGCTGCAGCGCCAGGCCCCTCCCAAACAGGCCCAAGTTGGCTTCACAGAAGTGTGGGGGCAAAGCTGCTCTTCATGGGCCTCCAGGAGTGGTGACTGTGACTGCCCCCTCCTGTCCTCTCCTGGCCACACCTTTGCCTCCCACAGGCAGGCCAGGTCAGGAGCCCCCAGGGCCCTGACCTCAGAGGCAGACAGGGGTGTGCTGACCCCTCGGGCCAGGCCAGGACCCCGCACAGGCGCCTGCGGCTCTCTGGCTCTCTGATGGCGGCTGGGTTTCCCGGGTTCCCCGGGTTCCCCATGACTGCTGTGTCTCCAGCGTTGATGCCTCACAGGGAGCCGCTTGGGCAGCCCTGGTCACGCCTGGGTTCCCTCTCTCTCCCACACCAGTTTCTCCCTGGTCACGCCTGGGTTCCCTCTCCCACACCAGTTTCTCCTGTAGCACAGAGAAGGACCTGGGGAATTTTGTCTTTTGTTAAAAACCACAAGGGAGCTCCCTGCTGGGCACAGTCACGGTGGCGCCCGTCAGAGCTGCTTCCAGGGTGCATTCCATCATTCCAAGTTCACTGTGCTGGAGTCAGCTCTCTGCTTGCCGCAGGGTGAGGGGGGGAGGTGGAGGGTGAGGGGGGAGGTGAAGGATTGGGGGAGGTGCAGGGTTGGGGGGAGATGCAGGGTGGGGGGAGGTAAAGGATGGGGGGAGGTGCAGGGTTGGGGGGAGATGCAGGGTGGGGGGAAATAAAGGATGGGGGGAGGTGCAGGGTTGGGGGGAGATGCAGGGTGGGAGGGAGGTAAAAGATGGGGAGAGGTGCAGGGTAAGGGTGGGAGGTGCAGGGTGCGGGGGGGAGGTGGAGGGTGAGGGGGGAGATGAAGGGAGGGGGGAGGTGAAGGATTGGGGGAGGGAAAGGATGGGGGGAGGTGCCAGGTGAGGAGGGAGGTGAAGGATGTGGGGAGGTGCAGGGTTGGGGGGAGATGCAGGGTTGGGAGTAGGTGGAGGGTGAAGGGGGGAGGTACAGGATGGGGGGAGGTGCAGGGTGAGGGGCAGGTGCAAGGTGAGAGGGGAGTTGAAGGGTTGTTGGGGGAGGTGCAGGGTTGTGGCGGGGAGGTGCAGGGTGGCTGTTGGGGGAGGTGCAGGGTTGTCCGGGGAGGTGTAGGGTTGTGGGGGGAGATCAGGGTAGGGAGGGTGGGGAGGCATGGGCCAGGGGCCCCAGGTGAGGGTGTACGGCGTGCACCTGCACCTCCATGTCTGCACTGATGACTGAGGACCCAGAGCGGGGGGAAGGAGAGGCCCCCAGAGATGGCTGTGCCCCCATGTCCTGCTGTCTTGGGTCTTGGGACCGGGGTCGTGACGCTGAGGGTCCCTGGTGGGTGGTCGTGGCCGCTGGCCTGGCCTGGCCTCCGCGACCCAGCCTCACCACACTGGGCCTGCGCCAGGCACCTGGTCAGCTGTCCACCCCCTCCACCCCCAAACCCAGGCTCTGAAGGGTCACAGGGCACAGCCTGCCTGACAAGGGAGAGCTGAAAGGGCGAAGGCCCGTCTCTCTGTAGTCTTCTCTCTGCGGCTATAAATCCCATGGCTGTGTCGGGCAGGTCCTCCCGGTCAGTCAGCAGCTCCCGAGAGCTCCGTGGTGCAGCCGCACTGCCCCCACGTGGCCCAGGCTGTGTGCAGCTGCCTGGCCCTTGGGGCCTCAGAGTGCAGTGAGGTTTAGCTCAGGGGCTTCCCTCACCCAGGAAGGCGTGGGTGGCCTCCCTGCAGGCGCCTGAGGATGGGGTCTGTGCTGGCAGTGTGGCTGGGCAGGGGGCACGGCAGCCCTGCTTCCCTGCGGGTTGGCACCCCCTCCACAAGGAATCCACCACAACTCGTGAGCTCACTGCCCTCCAGGGACCCCCAGTTTTGTATCAGTGACTCCGGCCAGGAGAGCAGGGGAGTCCCCCCTCCACACCTTCTGCTTCGAGAGGCTCCTCACCGCCTCCCTCCCTTGACTTCTGATGGCTGGGAGCTCCCCGGGGAAATGTCCCTCCCAACAGCCACAGCCCACCAGCCCAACAGGCTCTCTGCATCCAGGGGTTCCTTTGCCAGCAGGCCGGCCTGACATGCGTTTGTCCAGCGCTCTACCCCTGCTGGTCCTCCAAGCGTGTGGTGCAGCGGCCCCACCGCCCTCCTCACCCTCTGCTGAAGAACTTCTGCTCTGGAATTTTCAGCGGCTTTTGTTCTTGTGAGTCTTCATGGAGGCCCCTCTCCAAGGCAGCCTCCCCGAGCTGCCTGCAAACAGGAGCCCCCATGGCAGCCACGTGCAGAGTACCTGAGGGTACCTGCACCACACACCTGAGTGTACCTCACACCTGTGAACCTGCCACACCTGAGCATACCAGAGACCTGAGAAACACACTTTATCTCCATCAGAGGAACCTCTCATTGCTGTGAAAAGGAAGGAAGGAAAATCATCCACAATCTGACCTTTTCTCTATGAAAGTCTCCGTCTCACCTGGCCTTCGCCTGCTTTCTAGGAGTATGGAGCTAACCGCCACACACAACATTCCTTCCCCGGCAGCTGATCCACAGGATGAGCACATCGGCCTTGGTATCAACTGTTGGCCCGTATCATCCATGGAGACATGTGCTGGGGGCAGGTGTCTCACCAGGGCTGACAGCTCCTCCAGAGTAGCAGGCTTCCCTGACCCAGGTAGGAATCCAGAGGCCAGAGAAGCTGCAGGTGTGGGGTGGGGGTTGCCCACTGCACAGGGGACAGCACGGGCAAGGGCCTGGAGACGTGGCTGGGAGGGCTGCAGGGTGGCCGCAGCAGCTGCCCTCACCCCAAGCACAGAGACCTCACAGGCCTAAGGCTGAAGGAGGAGTGAGGGCAGCTCCCAGGGTGGGGTGGGTGCAGCTACTGGACACTGAGTCCAGGTGCCCATGAGGCGAGGGAGAAGTCGCTGGGCGCCTGGCCGTGGAGGCCTGGGTGAGGAAGGCCTCATGGAATTGGGAGCTTGCGGCCTGGACAAGGAAGTTGACCTCATGGAGTAGAACTTGGGGTCATCTGCTGCAGAGTCATGGGGGTGTCAAGGTCTAGGGAGGCACCCGGCGTGGATTGCTGGGGATCCTCAGAGACTGCCCTGGGATCCCCATGACTGAGGTCATGAGGGAGCAGCCAGACCCCCAAGCCCACATCCCTCCCCCTCCCATCCCCAGGGAGCCTGGAGTGCCTGCTCCAGAGGGATTCGTATCCAGAGGGCCCCAGGCCAAGTGCAGTTGGGCAGTGGGGGAGGTCTCATCTGGAGCACAGAAGCAGCCCCAGTCCCCACCCCCCACAGCACACCTGCCCAGCTTAAGAGACTGGGGGCTTTTTCCAGGAAACCATGCTCCCTGCCCCTCACCCCTCAACACACCGAGCAGAGGTTTGAACAGATCCCAAGAGACCAAAACGAACAGAGAAAAGTCGTGCACAACTGGGTGGAAGGAGCAGGCTTTCTGAGACCAGAGGCTGCAGCCCCAAAACCAGACGCATCACTGTGGAAGGGAAGCGTCTGGAGAATGAGGCTGGGCCTCGGGAGTGTCAACCCAGGAGGGCCGGCGCTGCACAGTGAGGCAGGGAGGCGGACCGGGCAGCGCTGGCAGTGGACCGAGGTGAGCAGGATGCGCTGGGTGGACAAACGCTGCAGGCCACGTGCAGAGACTGCAGGGCACAGCATGGCTAAATCATTAATGATGGAAATGCACAACCTGCTATACCAAATTGGATTTCTTCATCCAAAAGGAGCAGTCTTATGAAATTTAACCTCCTGAACAGAGGGTGAGACAGTCCCTCTGGATTTTCACAAGCAGAGCTGTGCACGCTGGGCTGGACAATGTTCCAGAAGGTGCCCGGTACCCTGGGAGGTCCCAGGCAAGCCAGAACATCTGACACTGACTGTCTGGAGGACCAGGGCACGGGGCCTGGTTCTTGGACCTATTTGATTTGAAAAGCTGAAGGCAGACCACACGTCTAACATTCCCTTTATTGCTTACGTCACATATTCCAATGAATACAATAAACTCCTTTTTAAAAAAGTAAGGCACATGAAAAGCCTTTTGTGTAAGTTCCATGTTATTTTAAAATTCCTATTGGCTAATAAAAGCATTTGCACTATAGAACCAGAGACATCTAGAAAAGCACATGATAGATTTTTTTGCAAGCAGAATGCCTGAAACATTACATTTACCTCATGGCACAATGAGACAGTCACCAAATCCAATGTCTGCATTAGAACGATACAGCTACTATTACAGTTGCAAAACCATTAATCAGCTTATCCACATATGTACAGCTGGGTCCCCACGTGACAAAATCTAAAGGAAGAACAGCATCTAACTGCACCTGTGCTCCATTCCCTCACAGATAGGAACTGTGACATTTTGGCTCTTTCCATGTTGTGCTGCTCTTCACGAGAGGCCAGGGTCATACGATACTGAAGACCATGGACAGGTACTGTTCGTACGACACCTGAATCCAGCCGTCCTGATCCGTGTCGTAACGTCTGAATATATCCGTCAACCTCTGGGGAGAAAACAGGCATTTAAATCTCGATAGTAAATGGAAGGAGCAAGGTGCACTGGGACAAAGGCATGTAGGGACCCAATTTCAGAAGCACACACGTCTTCTGGGCTCCCTGATGGAGCCCAGCACAGGGAGGCGCAGGTGGGGCTGGAGCTGTTCACACGGACGGTGGGAGTGCGAAGAACGAAGAACACAGGGCTGCGGGGCTGGCTCCGGACATCCAGCCCTGGCTGAGCCCCTGGCTGAGCCCCTGACCCCAGGCTCTGGTCTCCTGAGTCTCCTGGGGGCCTGGGCCCTTCCTTCTCCCCCTGAAGACCGTCCCGTGGAAGCCCTCCACCCTCCAGTGGCTCGCCTCTGCTGTGGGGGCCACCTGGGGCATGTGCAGCGCAGGGGATGCCCAGCCAGATGGGCTTGTGACATCACGAGGGCTTCAGGTTCCTCCAGCCCAGCCCACCCCTCCCTCTCACAGCCGAGGGTCCAGGCCAGGTCAGCGGCAGAGACAGGGTGACCACCTACACTCCTGAAACAGGGATGGTTAAGTAAGTGACACTTCAACCGTAAAATACCCTGAAGATTCAGGCCAGCATGGTGACTCTCGCCTGTGATCCCAGCACTTTGGGGGTCCGAGGCGTGAGGATCGCTTGAGCCTGAGGGTCGAGGCTGCAGTGAGCCGTGTTCGCACCACCACACTCTGGCCTGGGTGATGGAGCAAGGGTCTGTCTCAAGAAAGAAGAAGAAAATGTGGCAGGGAAGACACAGCGTCCTCGCACATCAAGACCTGCAGGAACATGGACAGGGTGTGGTGACTCTCGCCTGGGATCCCAGCTACTCAGGAGGCCAAGGCAGAAGGATCGCTTGAGCCTCAGGGTCAAGGCTGCAGTGAGCTGTTTACACCACCACATTCCAGCTGGGGTGACAAGAGTGAGACTCCATCTCAAAGAAAAAAAAACAACCCTGCAGGAATGCCACAGCCACCACCGGGCTCCTTGACTTGGCAGAGGCTACGGCCTCACCCAACTCCAAAAGCACCGCAATGGATAATGCTGGCTTAAAGAGTAATGGGTAATTTTTCTTTCTATTTTGAATACTTTGTGTTTTTCTAGGGTTTCTAGAAGTGTTCATGTTATTTGTTAGAAAATAATTTTCAAAAAGCCTTTATCCTTTCAGAAAAAGCAGATAAATAAAAACGTTTTTGAGGGAATTTTAACTTGAGGTCTGCAGCTTTCTTTTCTTTCCCATTCCCCATCTGTCTAGCGTTTAGGGTCACTCTCCAAGGGTGGGGACAGCCTGGGAATTGGCTGTCAGGCCCTCCCCACGTGGTCTGGAGCAGGGCCTTGAGGAGGCATCTCCCAGGAGGAGCTACGCTGGCTGCAGATGTGCCTTGGAAGGCGCTGGAGAGGTCGCTGTGAGGCCGCCTGTGTTACTCCAGCTACCGAAAGCTCACACAAGATCAACGTTAACTTATAGAACATAACCTCAAATGAAGATCTGAGCCCTACGGCAATTCAGACACAGAACCTCAAATGAAGATCTGAGCCCTACGGCAATTCAGACACAGAACGAGATTTTACACGGCATCTTTTCCCTTTTTCTTTTCTTTCTTTTTTAAGACAGGGTCTGGCTCTGTCACCCAGGCTGGAGTGCAGTGGTGTGATCTCGGCTCACTGAAACCTCCACCTCCCGGGTTCAAGTGATTCTCCTGCCTCAGCCTCCTGAGTAGCTGGGACTACAGGCATGCGACACCAGGCCCAGCCTACACTTTTTTGAAAGTGTTCAGAGAACATTGTAAAAATGTCATCCAACCTGGCAGGAACCCCGAGAGGCAGGGGCAGGAAAGGGTCCCCAACCGTAGAGTTTTGAAGCTTCCATGTTCACAGACCTGGTTCTCCAACAAATCCCTGAAGAACAGGGACTGATGCATCCATGCCAAATCAGAGGAAACTCACTTTTACAGATCTAGCATCTTAATTATTATACAGAATAAACAATTTGGGAACGTTTTCCAAATTTCCACATTATTTCTAAAAACCCCATGCTGTTCCTATCTCTCACTGAATTCCAAGGCCAACAAGACAGGACCTTGAGGAACCTGGGTAGAGACCTGGATCACCACCTGCAAACAGCAGCAGAGGTCTGTGTGGAGCTCCCAGGCGGGTCCCCTGAGCCCTGCTCTCCATCTCCCGTGGGTCTCAAAGAGAGCCCAGCAGGAGAGACACCACCAAGGAGCTTGCCTTGCAGGTCAGGGTGCATTACCAGCTCCTGCAGACACTGGAGTGCACGGGAAGAGCTCGGAGACCCCACTGAGGGCGGCCTGAGCGACCACAGGCTCCACAGCTGACCTCACACACAGACGGCAGGACACAGTGATGACCACAACAGAAAACGTGCCCATTTTCTCAGAATAAAAGTTTTTGTAAAAATACACCATAGTTGGCCAGGCATGGTGGCTCATGTCTGTAATCCTAGCACTTTGGGAGGCTAAGGTGGGCGGATTACTTGAGGTCAGGAGTTTGAGATCAGCCTGGCCAACATGGCAAAATCCCGTCTCTACTAAAAATACAAAAATTAGCTGGGTGTCACCTGTAATCCCAGCTACTGGGGAGGCTGAGGCAGGAGAATTGCTTAAACCCGGGACGCAGAGGTGGGAGTGAGCCGGGATCGTGCCACTGCACTCCCGTCTGGGTGACAGAGCGAGACTCGGTCTCAAAACAAAACAAAACAAAACAAAAAACAAAAAAAACCACAACACCAGAACATACATGTAAATAACCCACCGGATACTGAAAAACCACGTCTTGCAGATGGGCTGCTCTGTGCCATTTCCAAGGGGAGGAAAACATGTTTGTCCACACTTCACTAACCGGCTACTTCTCCAAAGATGAGACTCACTTTTATAAGCTCCAAAAACTAATTCTACACATGCCCAGCTCCTTAGATTGAAGGTCAGGTGCATCACGCTGGCAAGCAAGCCCCTCCCACCACCACCACAAACCCACGTGAAGCCATTCCGTCACCTGCAGGACGATGCAGCCCTGGATGAAGTCGTCGAAGGCAATCTGCCCCCGTCCCTGCCTGTCAAACTTTCGAATGAGGATGTCGTGGAACTGGTCAGAGAGCCGGTAGCCTTCAAGAGGGAAAGTCAGAGTCAGAGAAGGCTGGGAGAGACGGGAGGTATGTGCCAACACTCACCCCTCCTGCCCAAGGCCCACAGCCTCTAACACACACAATGCAAGGCTGTGTGGGAACGGAAGTGCAAATTCCCTCAAAGGCACTCAGAACTGAGACACTTCCCGAATATATCATTCTGTAATGAGCTGACATCCCCAGTGCATGGAGTGACCCCTTGAGACCATGACCCCGGAAGGAGGAGTGAGTGGGACGCTGCCATTAGTCACTCCTGTGAATTAACTACTCACCTCCGGGAAGCACTCACCAAACACCACCCCACAGGGCGGCCACACTCAGTTTCCTGAACCCAGTGGAGTTACTTTCAAAGTCCTTATTGATTTTATTATGTTTATTAGCCTAGATAAGAAAATTCTGAATGATTCGCTGCCCTGGGTTGCCCATCACCAGATAATGCTTTGAAAACTAAAATTTCACAGAAGGCTTCCAGTTATACAAAGTGACAATGTCAGGAAATGGGAGTGGCTGGGGGATGTGCCCCCACCTGCCAGGAGGGACTGAAGGGCACGCAGTGGCAGGGTGACCTCGGAAAGGTCCAAGTCACTGCAGGGCCACCAAGGGCTGGGATTCCGTTTCCAGTTCACCAAGGCTGTCCTGAAAAAGGCCTCCCACAGGGAGAGGGCTCTGAAGACATGTGGATGCAGCAGGTGTGTTCGGGCACCCCGGAGGGCATGCCCCGCCTGCCGCCTTCCCTTCCCTCCCTCGAAATCCCACTGCCTTCGTGACTGTGGCATATCCTTACTGACTCAGGAGGCAAGATCCAGGTGCTGATATATTTCTACTGGTTTTCAGTCCTGCTGGAATCTCTGCAGGGACGTGTGCACCTACTCTCTGAATCTCACAGTTAATGACCTGCACAAACAGCCATTTTACGGATCAAGAGTCAAGCACACAAACATGAACACAGTGCCTTCCAGAGTGGTCAGGGCATTCTGTCATTTAAGTTCAGGGGTCCCTAAATGTGCAACAGCGGAGTTGCCTCGGACCCTCCTTCCTTGCAAGCTGAAAAGACAGGACCTCCCATTACATTCAGAAAGAGATGGCAGAGTTGTCAACAGCTGCCACTTTTTCTGGTCCCTACTACTCCCACCTCCTCACTCCCTGCACCAGGGCTGAGCCCAGCCTGCTGAGAACAGAGCCTGGGACAGGCCCACAGGGACATTGCCTGTCTGGGAGTGCATGGGGGACAGAGGCCATCACTGGTGTGCACGGGGACGGCGGCCATCACTGGGGTGCACGGGCACGGCGGCCATCACTGGTGTGCACGGGGACGGCGGCCATCACTGGGGTGCACGGGGACGGCGGCCATCACTGGGGTGCACGGGGACGGCGGCCATCACTGGGGTGCACGGGGACGGCGGCCATCACTGGGGTGCACGGGGACGGCGGCCATCACTGGGGTGCACGGGGACGGCGGCCATCACTGGGGTGCACGGGGACGGCGGCCATCACTGGGGTGCACGGGGACGGCGGCCATCACTGGGGTGCACGGGGACGGCGGCCATCACTGGGGTGCACGGGGACGGCGGCCCTCACTGGGGTGCACGGGGACGGCGGCCCTCACTGGTGTGCACGGGGACGGCGGCCCTCACTGGTGTGCACGGGGACGGCGGCCATCACTGGGGTGCACGGGGACGGCGGCCATCACTGGGGTGCACGGGGACAGAGGTCATTACTGGTCTCCTGCCAAGGCTGGGGAAGGACAGAGGAGATGCTGACAGAGGCAGAGGAACTCCAGTCTGCACAGACAACAGGAGCAACCCCACTGCCTCTGGAATTAACTTCCAGTTTCCTTGGTCATCAGTAATAGTGAAGGGAAAAGAAAGGCAAAGTCAGACAGCAAAATGAGGGATGAACAAACGAACTACAAAAAGAATGTTTATCTGAGAAGCCAAAATCCAGAAGCAACTGTTTCTGAGTTTCTGTTCATGAAAGTCAGTCCACATGAGGCCACCAGCGTCCCTGGGCCCACCCCTGACACACCCCTTGCCAAGGTCTTTCTCCTCTTTCGGACTCTCTGAAATGCTGTGAACGAGCCAAGCGGAGCATGACCTCCTCAGAAATCACCTCTTCCACCTCGGAGGACAAACCAGCTGCCCCCACTCAACAGGCTGAGGCTCCCTGGGGCTCCCCCCAGCTCTTGGGGGCCTGGTACAGTGGCAAAGGACCACAGCGGAGGAACTGTTCTCCGCCCGACTGCCTTTGTCAGACACGCACTGCCCACCAGAGGGGAGAATCTCACCGGCTGTTTACAGCAACCTAAACGGCACGTGCTGAGTCAGCTGTCCCGGTGCCGGGTGGTGAGTGCTGGAATGTGAGCACGCCTTCCTCACCTTTTCACTTCAGGTCTCTGAGCATGGCACACAGTTGATGTTAACAATAAAGGCTTAAAAAAACGAATCGGTGGATTATGAAATCCACCATGTGGCCCCATCAGAGACACCCGGGGAGAAATCTCGCAGGCTTCACCACCCTGGTGATTCCCTCCTGCTGGCCACCAAGCTCCAGTGCAGCCTCCCTGCTTCATCTGAGAGCAGAACACTTGTTCACAGGGGCCAAGACAAAAGAAGAATTTTTGCTTCTGAGGCCAACTTCCTAACAGTTACTATGGGAAATCTTTCAAAATCATCAAAATACAAAAAGGATGACAATGCCCCTTTCCAAGGAAGACGTGGGAGATGGCCCTGGAGATCAAGAACCAAACGCAGGAGGAAACTCGTGAGGGTAACCAGAGAAAATGCTGCGATGGGATGCCGCACCCCAGGAAAAACCTGGAAGTCAGGAAGGGTTCTGCCGCTGCACAACACAAGCAGGCCTGCCCACTCCAGGGCGGGAGGAAGGCTGCGTGACCGGCCGTGCCTCCCGCCACAGCTAAGCACAGTTTTCTGGGAAGTCCTTGGCCAGACCAGGACGAAGAGGGCCTCAGAGACCAGGGAGCACTGTCCACAGCAACTTCCACTGCACATTCTGAGGACCGATGGTCACTGGCATGGACAAAGGGAGCTCCAGGGCCTGACAAGGTTAGGAAAAGATGTCCGTGGCGCCAGAGGTCGCTTATCTAAAAATAACTTCAGGCCGGTCCTGAAGTCCACGTGGCCCTGGCCGCAATCGGCAGCACTGGCCTCCCTGGCCCCCAGGACCACTCTCTGTGGAGGGTGGCATCCTTCCCTCCCAGCCCTTCCGTACCTGCCCCAGGGAAGAGGAGCCGGCCAGCGTTCCCTCCAGTTCCCCCACCCAAGGGCACAGCAAGGTCAGCTGCATTCCAAGTACCAATTCAGAGCCATCCAGCCCAAATCCTGGCTCGCAGCTGGTCAGCTCAGAACTGCTTCTTGAGGAGACCCAGTGTCCACCCCCGGCCCTGTGGACAAGCTCGTAAGGTGAGAAAGAAAAGAGAAAGAAAGGCAGCCACAAAGTGCATGCTGGGAGGAAACACGAGGAGAGGCGACGTGCTTAGATAAGTGAGACTCCAGGGATCTCGGAGGTACTCAAGTAGAATCGAATTTTCCTCACTGTTTCTAAGGAGCCTTTTAAGCAAATCACGGAAGCGGCTTCACAACAGGGGCCAGATGAGATCCGCATGGATTAGAATCTCGGTGCAGCCACCAACAGCCTCAGGCTGGCCCCAAACATGCCCGTTGTTCCTCTGTAAATAAAACCCCTGCTTCCTCTCAGCCCTGAGAGCAGCACGGGAAGCCCCGTGGACAGGCCCTATGGACGCACTCTGGACAGGCACTGTGAACACTCCTAGACCCACGGCACACCGTCACATGTGTGTGTGCACACGCGTCAAGCACACACACGCTGAGCGCACCTGAGAATGGGCACGCGTTCTGCCTAACGCCCCTTCTGAGGCGCACGGCACACGTGTGCACACACACGCCGAGCACACACACGCCGAGCACACCTGAGAATGGGCACGCGTTCTGCCTAACGCCCCTTCTGAGGCGCACGGCACACGTGTGCACACACACGCCGAGCACACACACGCCGAGCACACACACGCCGAGCACACCTGAGAATGGGCACGCGTTCTGCCTAACGCCCCTTCTGAGGCGCACGGTTTGGACCTGGTGACTGACAGCTGTTTCTTAGGTGACTGTTGCCTTTTCAACGTGCTTTGATCTATCATGAAATATAAGCTGCCCTGCCCCACGGTATTTTCATGGATCCACTTTTAAATGATTTCAAAAGCCACATTCTCAGTTTTGCTCACGACATCATTCCACTTCAGAAAAGATGAACGGCTTGCATAGCCCTTATCTCATTTTGGATAAAAACCTGAATAAACGTATCCATGTCGAGGATCGCCTTCCGACATGAGCAATATCAAATATGAACCTGCATGACGTCAACAAAAACTTTACGTAGCCTGGTTAGACAATCAGTTAAGTCCAACAAGGTTTAAAGAACTTCAACGGCTCCAAGGTTCCAAAATGAAACACGCTACACAAGCCAGAGTGAGTGAGTTACCGAAACCTGAGAGGGCCTGCTTCAGCTCGTTCTTATCGATCATCCCGGAGTTGTCCCGGTCGTACGTGCGGAAGACGTTCTGCCAGTCCGTGATGTACTTCCACACACCCGTGAACTCGCTGAAGTTCACGCCGGCCTTGTTCTCACGGTCAAACATGGCTGAGACAGAGAGGAACGGTCAAGCAGCAAAAGATCAGTTGCAGCAAACTCACTTGAGGCTTCCCACCAGACCTCAGCCCTCAGAGCCTGGCGGGGCCCCACTGCTGACCACTAACCAGGGACTGGGCAATGCATGCCTGTCTGTGAATGGGGTGAAATCCCTTAAAGTCTTGTCACCTTCGCCCTGGGTGGGGGTGTGGGGGATTGTCCCCCAGCCCTGACCCCCTAAGTCCCAGGAGAAGGTGCACTTGCAGCTGTGAGGCAGGCCGTGCAATGGGATGTGTGAGGAAATCCAGCCGCAGCCACGACAGAAAGAAGAGCAGAGCTTCACACTCAGCTTCCGAGGCACGGGGAAGGTAAGTGGCCCCAGCTCCCCTGGCTCCTGGGTCTCGGCCTAGAACGCGAATCTAATTCCCAGAGCTGACCCTCTGACTCTCCAGGGCCCACAGCACTGGTGGAGTCTTGGAACAGCCCTGTCAGGAAAACCTGCTTTAATTAGAAACAGACCCTCGCCTATGTCCTATTTGCTTTCAGTCTAACTCCAGGTCCAAATACAAAAGAATCTATAACTACCTTTATATGTAGTTGCAATATGGCTAAAAAACATAGAAAAATTCAGTGTGAATTACTGCTGCAGAGAAAATGATAAATCACGTGGTCTCTTTTCAAGAACAGAGGTTAATACAGGACTGCAATAAGACTACTCCTGGTTTGATCAGAAATATGTTACAATTAAATGAAAATCCACAGGATGAAAAATCATGTGAGAAACAGCATCGATGTTTCTTCCCAACAGTCCACAACCCTGTGTGCAACCAGTGGCTGTTTTTCACACAACCGTTCCACGACGTGCACCGTTCCACGACGTGTGTGGTGTGTGGACCAGGGGCTGTTTTTCATACGACCATTCCACGATGTGTGCAGTGTGTGTGGACGATGCTGTTGCGTGCAGGACCCACTGCGCACCACACACCAGCAGGGAAGGATGCTGGGTGAGCTGCACCCCAGGGTAAGGGCTCCGCAGAGGAGTGGCTCCCAGGCCATTCCTCTCCGGTGGGGAGGTAGCTCCCCATGTATCAACACCTTTTCTAGCACTAAAGGCTGAGCCCTGCCACTACTACACTTCCAAGTTTTCTCTCCCTCCATCAGTGTGACGTAGCAACATATGCACGACCAGCAGGGCACAGTCATCTGGAAAAGCCCCCAGCTACACCCACACTAGGACTCAGACACCTCACCACACACAGGCTCCGCAAGGAACTCAGGGAATCCTCACAAGACTAAAACACGTGCATGGATGGGAGGCGAGGGAATGAGCCCCAGGCCGCTCTGGGAAACCTCGAGACACAATGCCATGGTCCCTGTGAGGCAGAACTGAACCTGGGATTCCATATTAAAGAGGTCTGAAGGGGGCTGCACCTCCCAGCAAAGGGAACCTTCCAGAAATCAAGTCGGGTAGGGATGGAAACATGACTCTCCTGAACACCTGCCTCCCAGGCCTGCCTGCCCCTGGAGCTGCAGCTCCCACCTGGCTACGGGGGATGGAGACACAGCACGACTCTCCTGAACACCTGCCTGCGCCTGGAGCCTCAGCTCACACCCCGGCTACCGTCTGGGCATGGGGGTGCACACCTGTAATCCCCACTTTTTGGGAGGCTGAGGCAGGAGGATTGCGTGAGCCCAGGAATTCCAGACCAGGCCTGGGCAGCACAGGGACACCCTGTCTCTTAAAAGAAACAAACAAAAACCCAGCTGCCTATACAGCTGGGGAGACCCTGGACCCAAAGAAATGATGCAGACCCTCACATTAAGGCTACACATGAACCCACAAAACAAACAAAAATTACAGAAGCATCAAGGAAGTTGGTCACTCTGTGTGGGCTTGAGCAGGAAAAATATCTGGCTGTAGACCACCCTCCCAAGGACTTCAAACACAGTCAAGGAGCTCCATGTCACAAATATCTAGCGCTTTTCAAAAAAGCATGTTCTTAAAACTGAAGACTATCATATGAAATATTTGAATAAAGAATGGAATCACAAAAATAAATAAGCAATGTCTATCAAAAACACCCAGATAAGATGTGAAAGTAACTAATAATTTAGAAATTTTAAATATATGTCATCTTTAGAATTAGAAACTGAAAGGACAGGTTACACCGTACATTAAAAATAAACAGAATCAAGAATAGAGCAAACATACACGGAGAGATGTGAAAAGGTACAGAGACGGAGGGAGAGGGATGAAAGGGCCGACGCTCATCTAAGTGGAATTCCAGAAGGGAGCAAAGTGATACGGACCCACAGACAAAGGAAACACAAGCGGGTACCCAAGCGGGTCGGATACAAAGCAGCCCAGGTTGGTCCGTCTGCCGATACTTACATATGATCGACCTGACAGTCACTGGATTAAAGGGAGTCCACGTGCCTGAAAACAAACAACAACAGGAGTTAAAGTAAAAGGAAAATCTTTCTGGGACACTGAGTTTGTGATCTATACCTGGAGGCACCAGGAAAAGCAGTGGGGGCTCTAAGGTAGTGGTTTTCTAGACACTCCAGGTGACGTGTCGGCTGCCATGACTCCTGGGAGGGGGCCAAAGCACTGCCTGGTGGGTTCACACCCTGCTGTGTGTGGGAGTCCTTCGTGGCCTCCCAGACCTCCAAGGCCGTCCACAGTCATCGCGGCTGGACATGCACTCTTATTTAACAGATAACCAAGAAATGGTTCTGTATCATTTTACACACAGAATTTTTCAAGGATGCAGTCACCAGCTAAGTTGAGAAGTTCGCACTTAGTTTTGTTAGAGGACTTCACGAATTCCCATTTCAGAAAATCCATCATCAAGGCCACCACTGCCTGCAGACACCTGAACATAGCTTGGTCGCTGTGGCATTCACACTAATTCTACTGAAAGGTGCAAGTACCAGACCCCTTCCTTCCGTTCTCCCTCAGTAATCATCCTAAAGCACGGTGAAGACATCCATCACACCACACTTCAAACATTCCTGACAAATTACGGTCTGGGCTTTATATGATTTTCCTTGAAACTGAATAGGAAAGCTGTACTATCCTCAGACTCATCGTTGAATCTGATACCCTTGAGCGCTCACAACCATTTATCAACTCTGAGAATGAAGATTCACTGATGACCTTCGCACACAAGAACCTATCTTCAGAGTGATTTGTACCTTCAGTAATTTCCATACTCACTAAAAATGAACTAAAAAAATATTTTTAAGGTCAGGAGAGACCAGTGGCTCTCCTCATACCCCGTCTGTGTTAGACACACAGTTTTTTTTTTTTTTTATGCACAAAAATGCCACAGTCCTGGGCAGTACACAGAGACAGCCCCCTGATCTCAGAGAACAATGTCAGGCTCCTGGTGGAGCACGGGCGGTGGGGTCTGCTGGCATGGTCCCTTAGGCCTCTACGTGCCACCACTCTGGGCTCATGGGGCTCCTCCTAGTGCCATGCCCGCTCTCACCTGAAGTGCGTCCCCTCCTAAGACACACACACCCTCCCTCCAGCTCCTTCCTTTCCTTCCTCAGGGAGACTTCCACGGGGGTACCACATTCTCCCAGCCCAGAAGTTAAATCCATTTGCTCCGCCTGAGCACCTCCCAACTTCCCCTTGGGAAGATCCCGCCCTCCAGCAGTTATGCAGGGAAGCTGTGCTCTTCCCACAAAGGCAGGTGCACCTGAACCTGAGGCATACACACAGAGCAGCACTCAATGATCCGCCCTCCAGCAGTTATGCAGGGAAGCTGTGCTCTCCCCACAAAGGCAGGTGCACCTGAACCTGTGGCCCACACACACAGCACTCGATGACCCACCCTCCAGCAGTTATGCAGGGAAGCTGTGCTCTCCCCACAAAGGCAGGTGCACCTGAACCCGTGGCCCACACACACAGCAGCACTCGATGACCCACCCTCCAGCAGTTATGCGGGGAAGCTGTGCTCTTCCCACAAAGGCAGGTGCACCTGAACCCATGGCATACACACAGAGCAGCACTCGATGACCCGCCCTCCAGCAGTTATGCAGGGAAGCTGTGCTCTCCCCACTAAGGCAGGTGCACCTGAACCCGAGGCATACACACACACACACACACACACAGCAGCAGCACTCCATGACCCGCCCTCCAGCAGTTATGCAGGGAAGCTGTGCTCTCCCCACAAAGGCAGGTGCACCTGAACCTGAGGCATACACACAGAGCAGCACTCCACGACCCACCCTCCAGCAGTTATGCAGGGAAGCTGTGCCCTTCCCACAAAGGCAGGTGCACCTGAACCTGAGGCCCACACACACAGCAGCACTCGATGACCCGCCCTCCAGCAGTTATGCAGGGAAGCTGTGCTCTTACCACAAAGGCAGGTGCACCTGAACCCGAGGCATACACACACACACACACACACAGCAGCACTCCACGACCCGCCCTCCAGCAGTTATGCAGGGAAGCTGTGCTATTCCCACAAAGGCAGGTGCACCTGAACCCAAGGCACACACACACACACACACACACACACACACACACACAGAGCAGCACTCAATGATCCGCCCTCCAGCAGTTATGCAGGGAAGCTGTGCTCTTCCCACAAAGGCAGGTGCACCTGAACCCGAGGCATACACACACAGCAGCACTCGATGACCCGCCCTCCAGCAGTTATGCAGGGAAGCTGTGCTCTTCCCACAAAGGCAGGTGCACCTGAACCTGAGGCATACACACACAGCAGCACTGGACGACCCACCCTCCAGCAGTTATGCAGAGAAGCTGTGCTCTTCCCACAAAGGCAGGTGCACCTGAACCCGAGGCATACACACAGAGCAGCACTCCACGACCCACCCTCCAGCAGTTATGCAGGGAAGCTGTGCTCTCCCCACAAAGGCAGGTGCACCTGAACCTGAGGCCCACACACACAGCAGCACTCGACGACCCACCCTCCAGCAGTTATGCAGGGAAGCTGTGCTCTCCCCACAAAGGCAGGTGCACCTGAACCTGAGGCATACACACACAGCAGCACTCGACGAGCATCTGTTAAGCTGAATAGAGTGATAATCTGCAGGATTACCTTTCTGTAGGCTTTACAAGTATCTGAAAGGAGAGTAGACAGGTATATGTATATAGAGGTATTCAGAAAGGTCGGAATTACTGAAAACTAGTGTTACAAAAAGCAAAGATAGGCTACAGAAAACCCACAAGGCAAAGAAAGAGGAAAACTCTAAACACCAAGGAGCATCCCTGCCTCACCCAATTCCATCTGGTCTCCCCCGTTCTTCACCGCTGTGTGCGGCAACCTAGTGTCTGCACACAAGGGTGACCTGCTCTGACCCAGCGCTGACAGAAGCCCCAGGAGCCAAAGCCCCTGGAAGCCTCCTGGGCAATCAATCCTCTGTCTTCATGCCATGAGCTTCTTCTCCTCTGTCTTCTGCGTCCGTGGCCCTGGATTGACTGTGTGGAGCTGGATGAGACCTAAGTCCTCAAGTGAAGGCTGCACTGTGACGTGTCCTGATCATAAGCAGAAGCTTCTCTGGGCCATCTCAGCAAATAACACGGTCAAACAAGTTTTAAACCAAAGCAACACAGGTTAAAACACAAGCGAGATGTTAACGCCGCAGCGCAGGCACAGGGAGGCTCAGGTGCCATCTGGACGGGCACGCATGGAGTGTGCCGTGATGGTGCATTCCTGAGAGCTGGGGCCCAGGAGGAACCGGACGGCCATACTGGGGTCTTCTGGAGTATTCTAAGGATTGCCCAGGAGAGCAGAGGTTGTCCCGGGATTAATCAAGGATGAGAGAGGCAGCCACCCCACTAGAAAGGGCCGCTGAGGGATGGACACTCCTGATGTCTCCACTCGCCTTCCTTGCCAACCACAGCGGGGTCTGGCTTCTCCACAGAAACCAAGAGAGAACCACCACAAGGCCTAACGGCCCGTAACGAGCTGAAGCACCGTGGCGCACAGGCATTTCACGCCTCGGTTACATTAGGTGCTAGACATACCTGGGCAACCGCCTGAAAACCTAAGTAGATGCTGTGCTTTGCCCAAGGCCATGGAGTCACTTGTCACCAAATCCCAAGCCTTCCCCTGAAGCCCTGCCAAGGTGAGTTTCTGGTGAAAGCACGAAAGACTGCATGGGGGTCCCTGAGACCACCCTCCAACTTGAAAGGGTACAGAGTAAACCAGCCAAGGGAAAGGGCTGCCAGGGAAGCCAGGCGCTTCCAGAGTCCCTCCCAGCGGAGTCACACAGGGTGCGCCGGATTCCTCCAGCAAGAAGCTGGGACAGCTAGTGCCGTGGTGCGGACCAGGGAGGCTCTCCTGAACCTGGGGGTCAGTCAGGGAAGTTCCAGCCACCCACAGCGAAAGCAGGTGTTTGCCATCCATCACCTTGTTGGTCAACTACCCAGGCAAAGTAGTGCAACATGGCTCAAGTCTCTCTCATCAGTCAGAACACTGCAGGAGCTCAGCTCCCAGGAGCCAGCCAAGGGCCCCTCCTGGGAACGTGCAGGGTTTGAGCAATCCACACCCGCTGAGTTAACCCCTTCCCACATAGGCAGATCAAATCTGCTCCATCACCAGGGGCAATAAATACCATCACCCACATCCCTGGGCCCATGTGAGAGAAGGACAGTGATGGGACTGGACATGTACTTTACAGGGCACTGTACTGCTTCTGAGGTCTGATTTTTCTCAGTTCTCTTTAATATGTGATCTCCAAGAGAGCCTCAACTGTATTTGATAAAAAAATAAAAAAAAAAATACCAGCTGGGCGCGGTGGCTGGCGCCTGTAATCCCAGCACTTTGGGAGGCCAAGGCGGGCGGATCACCAGGTGAGGAGATCGAGACCATCCTGGCTAATATGGTGAAACCCCATCTCTACTAAAAATACAAAAAATTAGCCAGGCATGGCGGCGTGTGCCTGTAGTCCCAGCTACTCGGGGGGCTGAGGCAGGAGAATGGCGTGAACCCGGGAGGTGGAGCTTGCAGTGAGCTGAGATTGCACCACTGGACTCCAGCCTGGGCGACAAAGTGAGACTCTGTCTTAAAGAAAAAAAAAAAACCTTCAAAAGAACGTAAGAATTATTTCTTAAAAGTACAGCTTCAGAAGCACAGAGACTTGAAAAAAGTTAATTTCTTATAATTCCAAGATGTTTTGGGAACGAGAGATCAGCACAGAAATTGGGCTAGGAGGATAATGGATGAAACCGATGGGCTGATCACGGTTCCAGCATGGTCTCGCCAGGGAGGTGACGGGGTTTGAGTGCTGCAGTGCAGGACTGGGGATGCCACAGGAACGGGTGCCCCAGGTAGGGCGTCATCCAGGAAGGATGAGAAACCTGAGAACAGCTGGGGGGGAACAGCTGGGGGGGAGCAGCGGAGGGGGAACAGCTGGGGGGAGCAGCTGGGGGGAACAGCTTGTGGGGAGCAACTGGGTGAGAACAGCTGGGGGGAGCAGTTGGGGGGGAGCAGCTGGGTGAGAGCAGCTGGGGGGGAGCAGCTGGGGGGGAGCAGCTGGGGGGGAGCAGCTGGGTGAGAACAGCTGGGGGGGAGCAGCTGGGGGGAGCAGCTGGGGGGAGCGGCTGGGGGGGAGCAGCTGGGGAGGAGCAGCTAGTGGGGAGCAGCTGGGTGGGAGTAGCTGGGGGGAGCAGCTAGTGGGGAGCAGCTGGGTGGGAGTAGCTGAGGGGGAGCAGCTGGGGGGAACAGCTGGGTGAGAGCAGCTGGGTGAGAACAGCTGAGTGGGAGCAGCTGGGGGAGCAGCTGGGGGGAGCAGCTGCGGGGGAGCAGCTGGGGGGGAGCAGCTAGGGGGGAGCAGCTGGGGGAGCAGCTGGGGGGGAGCAGCTGGGGGGGAGCAGTTGGGGGTGAGCAGCTGGGGGGAGCAGCTGGGTGGGAGCAGCTGGGTGGGAGCAGCTGAGTGGGAGCAGCTGAGTGGGAGCAGCTGAGTGGGAGCAGCTGAGTGGGAGCAGCTGGGGGGAGCAGCTGGGTGGGGGCAGGGTCCGCTGGCTGCACGGGGGTGGTGAGAGGAGCCCTTGAGGGCCTGAGAGCAGCGAGGCCGGGAGGAACCCTAATCCCTCATCTGCACATGACATGGGGCCTGCCGGAGCCCCACAGAGCTTGGAACGGAGCTGGGGAGGAGAGTTTGCCAGGCCTCCCGTCCCCTCCTTCTTCCCACTGGGATTGCTCTGCAGGAAGAAGAACCCATCATGTCCTTGTAAATGTGCTGGGGAGAGAACCCCTGACAGTGCCTGGTGCTCACTCCTGGGGAGCCACTGTCTCGGGTGGTCCTGGTACCGTGAAGTTTCTGGGCTCAGGTCCATGGCACCTGGAAAATGTGTTTAAGTGAAATGATCTTCAAAGCCCAAGAGGAAATGTTCCAGGCACCCCTCAGAGACCCCATGAGGCAGGAAGGACAGTGGGGCTATGGGGGCCCCCAGCTTCTCCAGCTCGACCCGTGCCTGGGAATTACCCCTGAAATCATGAGCAGAGCTGGATGCTGGGTCAGTTCTGTGTGCCTGGAAATTACTCCCTGATATCGATAGCAGAGCTGGACGCTGTGGTCTGTGGGACTCTACCCTTAATGGCTTCATTTATTTACGTGGATCTAACCTTATATTTATCTATGTAAAGAAATAAATTTGTCATTTGTTAGATTCACCTGTGCTTGAGATCTCTTTTTAAGAATATTTTCCTAGCCATTAAAGAACATAAGTCGATTTTCTTTTTTCATTTCCCTATTGCTATGTGACAAAAGGTCATATTCTATACTTTTTGTATTAAAGGACTTCAAATTACTGATACTTTGGATGACTTCTAAAGTCTTTGCCATATTCTGAATGAAGAATGTGAGCCCCAGGTTAAAAAGATCAACAATTAAATCACAGGGTGTGTGTTCACCAGGAGGCCTGGTGTCATTTTCTTGTGGGCCGTTTGCGATTGGCTGAGAGGGAAGATCTCGTGCTGTGTTCTCACCACGGGCACAGGTGCAAGGAAGCCCCCAGCAAGTGTGGAATTCCTCGATTGCTTTGATTTGGTGATGGTTTCATGGGTGTTTGCTCAGGTCAAGTCTCACCAAAGTGCACACATGAAATGTGTGCAGCTCTTTGTGTAGCAATTATACCTCAAAAAAGCTGAAACACTTTTACACTTGAAATAATCGAAGTGACATTTTAATCTAAAGGTATACAAATCTATCGCCTACATGGCTGATTTTTCCATGAGAGTCTCATTTACAAGAGAAACACAATTATGAAATCCGTACCCTTTACTTTTTAAGGGTAACGGAAGAAGCATAAGTTTCTGCTAGGACAGCGCTTACGCTCTCCCCCATGTTTATTCCGTGGTTAACCACATGGTAGATCCACAGTGATTCAGGAAGATGAATTATCTGCAACACGCAGAAGTTCAGTCCTCTGGCATGTACGAATCCTGGTGTGGTTTTTGCACAACATTCTGCCTGGGATGCGTGGGGAGAAGCTGTGATAACAGGATCGGGATTCATTCATGCTTCATTCATCTGGGAGGCCTGCGACTGCCCGGCACAGTGTGGGCTGAGCCTCCAGCGCCGAGCACCAGACACTCCACCCTCCTGAGGCACTTGTGCGGATGCAGGTGAGATGCCCAGACCAGCACGGTGTGCGTGGGGGGTCGGGCACCAGAGAACTTGAGATGAGATTCAACTGTGTGGATGGGTCTGGTGGAGGTGGTGGCTCCCGGGCTGGGGAGGCATAAAGACGAATCCCGGTGACCCTTGCCCTGAAAAGCTGCTATGTACATTTAGTAGAAGACTGTCGATGAAAACAGACTCTCAGAAGCAAAGAGGGGCCTCGACGGGCCCCCCCACCCATGTGCAATGCCAGTCTTACTCTCTCCACCCTCGAAGGGAGCGTCCTCCTCACCTTTCTGGTCCACCTTCCCTTGCCTTGCCTGCAATTATCCACTGAATTCCTGCAGCCCCAAACAGTCTTTTTGATGTGGACTACTTTGAGCTCGACATAAATCAATTAATTAGCAGCGTGTGTTTTTGCTGCTTCATCCACTCACACACTATCTGAGACCCATTCATGTCTCTGGGGGTCCCTCACTCGCCTTGCACTGGCTGACTCCACTGAGGGACTTGCTGGGATGTCCTCATCCACCTGCAGTGAACGAGCATTTGGATCTCTTCCCACTTAGGTCTGTGCAAACAGTGACACCAGGTGCATCTGAAATATGCCACGTGCCCAGGTGCACGTGGGGCGTGAACAGCTCCCTGACCCCTCTGTGGCGAGAGAGCAGAGGCCCAGGGTGAAGTGGGGAGGTGTGGGTGTGGGGCCAGGCTGGGGTGGGGGAGAGGACACTGGATTCTGGGCCTTATCTGAGGGTCGAGCAGCAGGTGTCGTGGCCGATCAGATCTGGTGTTGAACTGGCCTGATTGTCCCAGAGAATTGATGTTCATGGTTTCTCTGAATAACATAGAAATGGATCCTTTTGGTCTTAAAACTTGAGAAAGTGACATTTGTCTTATTTGAGTTCCTTTCTTAGGAAACTGACCATCAGGCCTCCCAGGTAGTGTGAAGGAAGAGAGACTCACCAGATCACGCCATCTGGACAGTAAGACGCCAAACCCCTCACCCATCATGAGTGCCTGACCAGCCACCTGCCTCCTCCTGACCAACTCCTCTTCCTCACTCTCCCTAATTCCTGTTTTCCTTACACACAGTCACACTTCTTCCCTGCTATATAGTCAGTCAGGAAGATGGATTTGAAGCTGACCTCCCATCTCCTGGCCTGTAGCTTCTGATGCATGCCTTCTTCATTGGCAGTAACTATCGTCTTAGTGATTGGCTTTCTGTGTGGAGAGCAGCGGGATCTGGAACAAACCCCTGCATTCCGGGAACAGGGAGAGCAGCCTCAGCAGGCCCCGGGCCCTGAGTGCGGTCATGACCACCAGGGACCACCCACCGAAGGTGAATGTGGACAAGAAAAAAAAGGCTCCTGAGGACCCAGCCAGAATTCCTGCAACATCACGGAGAATCATGGCCACCCGGCCCATGCCCCCTTGAAGGGCAGCTGCAAGATTCATCTCATTTGTCTTTCTTTCCTGGACATCTTCAAATTTCCTTCACCACAACCTTGTGATCCTGAGATTCCATCAATATGTGCATTGTTTTACTATATTGCTTTAATTTACTCTGCCGGTTATCTGGAGAAATGCAACCTCATCAGCAGAAATTATTTCCACCCTGCCGCTTTTTAAATGTTATTTCCTATAGCCAGGTACTGAGCCCTTCAATGGAGGTCTAAACCCTCCACTCTCTCCCTCTGGGATTGCCAAGCCTGTGGTTTCAGTTCCATGCTCCCAGGTAGATGATGTCAACTCAAAGTCCAATACGCTTATGAAATACTTTTTGTGGTTTTTTTATTTTAAGAGTTTTTTTTAATATGTTTTTGTTTCATGGAGGTGACACCCTCTGTCTTTGACTTGTGGCAGCCTTCCTCCTTCAGTCTGCGTGTACTGAAGCTAGTGTTTGCTGTACAGCCCCTCAGCCGCAGCAGCCCACAGTGAGGTGCAGGTGCTCACGCCACCGCCCCAGAGAGCTCCTCCATTCGCCCCTCCACCCGTAGCCCCTCGAAACCACTGCCCTGCTCCCCAACACGGTAGCACTGTCTTCTCCAAGATGTCACGTGGCGGCATCCCTCGGCCTGTGCGCACCGAAACTAGCTTCCTTCACTGGGCATGTGGCCTGGGAGACCTGGGGCATTTGGGTGCATCCTTCCACTGCTGGTTGGTGCCCCCTGTGTGGAAGCATCCGCGTTGGTTCCCGCCTCCTCCTGCCGATGGACATTTTGTTTTCTTCCAGTTATTGGCAATGAGGAATGAGGCCTAAACACTTGTGTGCAGGTTTGTGCATGCACGTTTAAGTTTTCTCTTGGGGGACGTTTCAGGAGCGGGGTTGCTGGATGACAGGGTAAGGATGTGCTTAACTTCGTAAGAAACTCCCGGACCACTTTCCAGCATGGCGGGACCCCTCCCATTCCCACTGCAGCTTATGAGGGTCCCAGTTCCTCTGCATCATCACTAGAACCTGGGTCGGCCTGTGGTTTTTGTCTGTTTTTAGCCATTTTAATAGATTTGCAGAGGTACTGTTGACTGGCATTTCTCCAGCATCTCTACGACGTTGAGCCTCTTTCTCGGGCAATATGCCCTCCTTATACCTTCTTTGATGAGGCCTCTGTTCCAATATCTGCCCTCTCTTTAATACTGGGGCTTTTACTTTCTTATGGTTAAGTTTTGATGGTTCTTCACATATCCTGCGTGCCAGTACGTTGTGAGACGTGTGATTCACAAATGTTTATTTCTAGACCATGGTTTGTGTTTCATTCTCTTTAGATTTTTATATTGCTTTATAGCATTATAATTTTAAATTTATGACAATTTAATTTGTCAATCTTTTATGAATCATGCTTTTGGTGTCATGTCTAAGAACTTTTCGCCCAACCCCAGGCCATACAAATTTTCCTGTGTTTTTATCTAAGGGTTTTATAGCGTTATGTTCTCCATTTAGGCCTGTGATAAATGTTGAGTAACATTTTGTGTCAGCCATGGCCATACCTTTCTCCGTCTCTGACAGTATCGCGGGCGTTTGCAGCTCCCAGTGCCTCGTGCTGTTCCCGTCTTCTTGATCTGCTCTTCCTGTCATACCTTTCTCCGTCTCTGACAGTATCGCGGGCGTTTGCAGCTCCCAGTGCCTCGTGCTGTTCCCGTCTTCTTGATCTGCTCTTCCTGTCATACCTTTCTCCGTCTCTGACAGTATCGCGGGCGTTTGCAGCTCCCAGTGCCTCGTGCTGTTCCCGTCTTCTTGATCTGCTCTTCCTGTCATACCTTTCTCCGTCTCTGACAGTATCGCGGGCGTTTGCAGCTCCCAGTGCCTCGTGCTGTTCCCGTCTTCTTGATCTGCTCTTCCTGTCATACCTTTCTCCGTCTCTGACAGTATCGCGGGCGTTTGCAGCTCCCAGTGCCTCGTGCTGTTCCCGTCTTCTTGATCTGCTCTTCCTGTCATACCTTTCTCCGTCTCTGACAGTATCGCGGGCGTTTGCAGCTCCCAGTGCCTCGTGCTGTTCCCGTCTTCTTGATCTGCTCTTCCTGTCATACCTTTCTCCATCTCTGACAGTATCGCGGGCGTTTGCAGCTCCCAGTGCCTCGTGCTGTTCCCGTCTTCTTGATCTGCTCTTCCTGTCATACCTTTCTCCATCTCTGACATTATCGCAGGCGTTTGCAGCTCCCAGTGCCTCGTGCTGTTCCCGTCTTCTTGATCTGCTCTTCCTGTCATACCTTTCTCCATCTCTGACAGTATCGTGGGTGTTTGCAGCTCCCAGTGCCCTGTGCTGTTCCCGTCTTCTTGATCAGGTCTTCCTGTGAGTTTCAGGGCATGTCTTAGTGCTGGCGCTGTCCTGGTCCATCAGGGGGTCCTGTGGGCTTGTCCATATGGGAAAGTCGGGACTGTGATGTTGACGGGATGCCCTGTGAGTCAGGGGGAGGTGCTGATGGGGGTTTCCATGTAGGAGAGAGAGGTGTTTGGTTTTCCGGATGGTGCAGACTTGAGAGGGGACAAACTTGAGAAATGCCACCAATGAGAAGCCCAGGCAGAGCAGGTCTTGGGGCCGCCCAGCTGTGTGGGAGCCAAACGTGGATGTGTCAGTGGCCACGCCAGGAGGTAAACCCTCAACCAAGGGCCTCTAGGTGTCCAAGGCCAAGTCTTGTTCAAGAGGTGCGTTCAGCTGAGCCAACCATGGCAGAAATGCATAAGGGAGATCCCATGGTTCCTCTGTTTAAATCCTCTGCTAATCCCCACCCGACTCAGAGACGGAGCCAAGTCCTCACAGCAGCCTGCCACCCCTGCCTGACTCGGCCTCCTCTCGGCTCTGTTCTCCATACCCTTCTATCCCTCTCTGTCTCTTCTCCCACCAGAGAGGAGATCCTGCACATTTATCCTGGTGGATTCAAACCCATCTTTGCCATACAGATAGTCACCGGAATGAACAGGTATAAAGAGTCCTTTTGAAAAAGAAAAAGGCAGGCCAGGCATGGTGGCTCATGCCTGTAATCCCAGCACTTTGGGAGGCTGAGGTGGGAGAATCACCTGAGGTCAGGAGTTTCAGACCAGTCTGGACAACATGGTGAAACCCCATCTCTAGTAAAAATACAAAAATTAGCCAGGGGTGGTGGCGGGCGCCTGTAATCCCAGCTACTTGGGAGGCTGAGGCAGGAGAATCACTTGAACCCAGAAGGTGGAGGTTGCAGTGAGCTGAGATCACACCACTGCATTCCAGCCTGGGCAACAGAGTGAGACTCTGTCTCAAAAACATAACAATAGGAATAATAAAAGAAAAGTGCAAAAATTCAAACAACTTAACAGAAACTGGGGAAAAGAGCTGAACTGGCCCTCCACAGAAGAGGAAATGTGGAGGAATGGCTAATGAAAACATGAAGAGGGGCTCAGCCTAACAGTGGGAGATATCACGTGACACCCACCAGATGGGCAAAAATCCCACCACCAACAACCCAATCCATGCCAGTGTTGGGGAGAATGGAGAGAAGCAGGAACACCACGCCCTGCTAAGAACGGTTGTGAAGTCTATTTTTGTTATGCTTGTATATGAAAGAGTATGTTGTGGGTTATGAGGAAAGTTACATTTCTTACCTGGGATGAAATTTTAAAACTTGAAAGCTACTGACCAGAAGCAACTTGCACTTGTGTACAAAAGAAACGCCCAAGAACGTTCCCAACAAAACACAGTCCTCAGGGCCCCAACCTGGCCAAACACTCATCCACAGGAAGATGGAAGACATTTCCCATGCTCCCCTCAGACGATGGGAGATCACGCAGCAATGAAAATGAACCATGTCAGTGTGGGTGGGTCTCAGGGAGAGAATGGAGACGGGAGATCACGCAGCAATGAAAATGAGCCATGTCAGTGTGGGTGGGTCTCAGGGAGAGAATGGAGACGGGAGATCACGCAGTAATGAAAAGGAGCCACGTCAGTGTGGGTGGGTCTCAGGGAGAGAATGGAGACGGGAGATCACGCAGCAATGAAAATGAGCCATGTCAGTGTGGGTGGGTCTCAGGGAGAGAATGGAGATGGGAGATCACGCAGCAATGAAAATGAACCATGTCAGTGTGGGTGGGTCTCAGGCAGAGAATGGAGACGGGAGATCACGCAGCAATGAAAATGAACCATGTCAGTGTGGGTGGGTCTCAGGGAGAGAATGGAGGACAGAAATAGACAGAGCAGATGCTCAGAGCCATGCAGGGCAGGAGCAGCCACGCAGGAGAACTTCCTTACATCAAAGTTCAAAACTACAGCCGAGGCAACAGAGCAAGACCCTGCCTCAAAAAGAAAACAGAAAGTTCAAAAACTAAATGGCATATTTTTTAGGGATGTGCAGATACGTGGTGAAAGAAACGTACTATGAAGAAAAGTGTGGGAATAATAAAGACTAAAGCAGGAACTGATTCCCTCTGCAGGAGAAGGGAAGGGACCCGGGACTCAGGCAGGGCCTCCAGGGAGCATCCACAGTTATGTTTCTTGAGATTCTACTCCCTAAACTTGGTGGAGGTCCTCTGTGTCCAATGTGTCAATATTCTTTATACCTTACCCATCCTGTACAAATGCTTTATTTCTATTCAATACTTAGAAGGCAGTTATAAACAAGATGCATTCAATAGCAAGGTGGCAGATGAACATCAGGAAGGAACATTCATGAGCTTCCATCCACGGAACCTCACCATGGATACGCTTGTGATCAAGGGCCTGGTCTCCCCTCAAGACACGGTCAGAGATCAGAGGCCACACCATCATAGCAGTGGAGCAGGACCAGCTGGGACAGGGTCCTTCTGTGACACCTGCTGCATCACCAGGCTGTGTGAACGGACTCAATTGCCAGAACTCACAGAATAGCAGTATCAGCGCCGAAACCTCACAGGAAAAATGGTAAGTTCTAAGTTTCTCCACTAATAGTAACTCTCAGATTAATCTCTGTCATCCATTGCTTCTCCAAGAAATAACTTTTTAGGGTGACGTGCCAGGCGCCATGTTGGAGGGTTGGTGGTAGTGGCTTGGGGAGATGCTCGCTCTGTTGGTCTCACTCTCTCACATGCTTCCCCTGGCTCCCTTCGTTCCCCCCACCCAACTTGGCCTGCATGCGGGAGTGTGTGCGAGGGAGTGGGAGGACGTCGGGGGGTGGGGGGAGGCATTCCGGTCCCCAAGAGACCTGCGGAGGGAGGCGGAGGCTGTGAGGGACTCCAGGAAGCCATGGACGTTGAGAGTCTCCAGGAGGCGCTGAAAGATTTTGAGAAGAGGGGAAAAAGGAAGTTTGTCCTGTCCTGGATCAGTTTCTTTGTCATATAGCCAAGACTGGAGAAACAGATTCAGTGGTCCCAATTTAAAGGCTATTTTATTTTCAAACTGGAGAAAGTGATGGATGATTTCAGAACTTCAGCTCCTGAGCCAAGAGGTCCTCCCAACCCTAATGTCGAATATATTCCCTTTGATGAAATGAAGGAAAGAATACTGAGAATTGTCACTGGATTTAACAGTATCCCTTTTACTATTCAGCGACTATGTGAATTGTTAACAGATCCAAGGAGAAACTATACAGGAACAGACAAATTTCTCAGAGGAGTAGAAAAGGATGTGATGGTTGTTAGCTGTGTTTATCCTTCTTCAGAGAAAAACAATTCCAATAGTTTAAATCGAATGAATGGTGTTATGTTTCCTGGAAATTCACCAAGCTATCCTGAGAGGTCTAATGTAAATGGGCCTGGGACACCCAGACCACGTAATCGACCAAAGGTTTCTTTGTCAGCCCCCATGACAACAAATGGGTCGCCTGACAGCACAGACAGCAAAGAGGTAAATTTGCAGCAAAATGAAGAGAAAAATCACAGTGACTCTTCGACATCTGAATCAGAAGTTTGCTCAGTGAGCCCTTTGAAAAATAAACATCCAGATGAAGATGCTGTGGAAGCTGAGGGGCATGAGGTAAAAAGACTCATGTTTGACAAAAAAGGCGAAGTCAGAGAAACAGCCATTCAAGCGACTTGCAGCGAAATTTCTTCGGTTATGGTAGAAGAAACAGAAGCATCACCTTCATCTCAGGATAAAGACAAAGAAAGCCGTTGTACCCGGCAGCGCGTACAGAAGAGGATGAAGAGGAAGAAGAAGGTATTGAGAGACCATCTGTAAAAGGGAGGAGTAAGAAGATCCTCAAATTCTTGTATTCATTGCTTTCGTGAAAGAATTGTACATAATAGAACTCCTTGTAATGCCGACATTGGGCTTTTCTCCCACCTGTATGTAGTTGTTGCTGAATTTCAGGGAATGTGATTTGAATTATAGAACATCAGAATTCATGAAACTTAACTGTGGAGGTATTCTGAAAATAAAATTTAAGTACAACAACATTTGCTTATTTTTAGAGTCTTTTATGACATCAAGAGAAATGATCCCGGAAAGAAAAAATCAAGAAAAATAATCTGATGATGCCTCAACTGTGAATGAAGAGACTTTTGAGGAAAATAATCAAATGGAGGAATCTGATGTGTCTCAAGCTGAGAAAGATTTACTACATTCCGAAGGTAATGAAAACGAAGGCCCTGAAAGTAGTGGTTCTTCTGACTGCCGTGAAACAGAAGAATTAGTAGGATCTAATTCCAGTAAAACTGGAGAGATTCTTTCAGAATCATCCATGGAAAATGATGACGAAGCCACAGAAGTCACCGATGAACCAATGGAACAAGACTATTTAGAAACATTTAGATGCAGTATTTTACATACAGTTCTGGTTTTAACGCCGTATAAAACTTTTATGTAAAAAAGTCCACGTTTAGTTTTACAAGAAAAGCAGGTTGTAAAACAATAAAGTACTTTATGGATAATTCCTGGAAGAGTTGTACACGTAAGAACTGTGAATATCAGCTCCTCTGGGTCCTGTTTACCTTACCGCTGATCTTTCTTTCTTTCTTTCTTTTGGTCTGGGCAAATCAGTGGTTTGTGTATAGATTTTTTTTTTTTAATTTAGGATTAAAGTTTTTAAACTGGAAGGTAATCATAATTTTGAAAAGTTTTTTGAGATTATCACATTTAGTTTATACATATGAAAGAAGGTTTTTGTCTTGTCTCTTTCTGATAGCTCTAGCAGTTTTCACATTTTGGTCATAGTTTCAACATTTTAACATGTGAATAACAGGGTTTCATGCTGGTTTCCAGATTTTATTGTCCGGCTACGTACAATGGAACTTTAAGTTATATATACATATGTGTATATATATATATATATATAATATATATATTATTTTAAGGGGGGAAATGTTATATTTTTCTGTTTCCATAAGAGATGAATACAGTGGATACTTTTTCTATTGGTAGTGATTGAGTTCACCTCTTTCAGAAGACATTTTCTTTCTCTTCTGAGTAACTGAAATAAAATCTGGCCTTTGTGAAACCCTAGAAATCTTAAGTCTGTTGAAATACCAGGTTAAACACATTCCAAGAGATCTGTTCAAACTCAAATTCTTTTGTATACTTCTGAGGTGCCTGAGAAACAGACTTCATTATTTATGAGAAAATATTCTTTATTTTTGGAAATTGTGTTCAAATGTTAGCTTACTATTTTGTAGAATGAATGTTTATGAAGCTGATATGAGGCCATCTCAGAACCAAGCAGGTTCCTTGAACTTTTGCTTGCTTTTCTGAACATTGCGAATATTACACGTCTTTCCAAATTATTCTAGAGTATGCAAGTGTCAATGGTATGAAACACCATTGTACTGGAAGAATTAATATATTACTTTAATATGTACCTGAGCTAAATGACTGAAGCTTTAGGGGTGCATAGAAACCACCATAATTTGTATGACATTTTGAAGTGAATTAAATATTTTTGAACATGAAGAAAAAAAGTAACTTTTTATAGCTTTGCATGGGTCTATTTTTCAATTTATATTTTATTTGACTAACTGATTGAAAAGATGTATATTGTGTGTGGTGTGTGATTTTGTCTGTCAGGATAATCATAGCTTAATTTCTATTATTATTATACCAATATCATTTAGTTTTTTTTAAGCTTTTCAATTCCTGAGGGTATTAATCAGGGTCTTTCTGTCTCATTAGACAGAAAACAAATCCAAACTGTGTAAGAGAAAAAGGAATGCATTGATCCCGAGGACTGAGAAGCTCCCAGGCTTAACTTGCTTGGGATTCAGCTACATGTACAGTTTCAAGTGGCGTCCTGAAACTCTCTCTCTCTACTTCCCTAACATCGGCTCCGTGTTTAGCTCCACGAACTTCAGACTTAAACAGCATCACTGGCTCCTGACCAGGATTCCAGCTCCAGGAACCTCAAACTAGAACACCAGCCTGGCTTGTCCACAGGTCTCCAGCTCCAAAACCTAAGACATCAGTGGCAGTACCTACTCCTCCCGGGCGCTCCAGCTCTGAGACCCTCAGACTTGAACCGCAGCACCAGCTCTTCCCCAGATCTCCAGCTCCACGACCCTCAACTAGAACATACCAGCTCCTCCGTGGGTCTCCAGCTCCATGACCCTCAACTAGAAACACACCAGCTCCTCCCTGGGTCTCCAGCTCCACGACCCACAAACTAGAACACTGCTCCCCACTGTATCTCCAGATCCACAACCCTCAACTAGAAACACTAATACCGACTCCTCCGCGAGTTTCCAGCTCCACAACCTAAGACATCAGAGGCAGCATTGGCTCCTCACATAGACTCCAGCTCCGGGACCCTCATATTTGAACCGCAGGACCATCTCATCCCTGGATCTGCAGCTGCACAACACACAAACTAGAACAACATCAGCTCCTCCCCAGGTCTCCACCTGCACGGCCCTCAAACGGGAACATCAGCTCCTCCCCAGGTCTCCAGCTGCACGGCTCTCCAACGGGAACATCAGTACCTCCCCGAGTCTCAAGATGCATGGCCCTGAAACTGGAACATCAGATCCCCGCAGGCTCTCCAGTGGCACGGTCCTCTAAAGGGAACATCAGCTCCCCCACGGGTCTCCAGCTGCACAGCTCTCAAATGGGAACATCAGCACATCCCCGGGTCTCCGGCTGGAAGGCCCTCAAACAAGAACATCAGCTCCTCCCCAGGTCTCCAGCTGCAAGGACCTCAAACAGGAACATTAGCTCCTCGCTAGGCCTCCAGCTGCACAGCCCTCAAACGGGAACATCAGCTCACCCCCGGATCTCCAGCTGCACGGCTCTCAAAACAACATCAGCTCCCCCATGGGTCTCCAGCTGCATGGCCCTCAAACTGCAACATCAGCTCCCCGCTGGGTCTCCAGCTGCACAGTCCTCAAACTAGAACATCAGCTCCCGCCCAGGTCGCCAGCTGCACCACCCTCAAACCGGAACATCAGCTCCCACCTGGGTCTCCAGCTGCACGGCCCTCAAACGGAACATCAACTCCCCCCGGGTCTCCAGCTGCACAGCACTCAAAGGAGAACATCAGCTCCCCCCTGGGTCCTCAGCTGCATGGCCCTCAAACTGCACCATCAGCTCCCCCCACTCCCCGGGTCTCCAGCTGCATGGCCCTAAAACTAGAACAACAGCTCCCACCTGGGTCTCCAGCTGCACGGCCCTCAAACTGGAACATCAGCTACCCGCCGGGTCTCAAGCTGCACAGCCCTCAAAGTAGAACATCAGCTCACCCCTGGGTCTCCAGCTGCACAGCCTTAAACTGGAACATCAGCTCCTGGGCCCTCAAACTGGAACATCAGCTTCTGGGCCCTCAAACTGGAACATCAGCTCCCCCACTGGGTCTCCATCTGCACATCTCTCAAACTGGAAATTCAGCTCACCCCAGGGTTTCCAAATGCACGGCCTTCAAACTGGAACATCAGCCCGCCCCCGGGTCGCCAGCTGCACGGCCCTCAAACTAGAACATCAGCTCCCACCCGGGTCGCCAGCTGCACCAACCTGAAACTGGAACATCAGATCCCCATGGGTCTCCAGCTGCAGGGCCCTCAAACTGGAACATCAGCTCCCTGCCGGGTCTCCAGTTGCACGGCCCTCAAACTGGAACATCAGCTCCCCACCAGGTCTCCAGCTGCACGGCCTGCAAACTGGAATATGAGCTCCCCGCCGGGTCTCCAGCTGCATGGCCCTCAAACTGGAACATCGGCTCCCATCAGGTCTCCAGCTGCACGGCCCTCAAACTGGAATATCAGCTCCGCCCCAGGGCTCCAGGCGCACAGCCCTCAAACTGCAACATCAGCTCCCAGCCGGGTATCCAGCTGCATGGCCCTCAAACTGCAGCATCAGTTCCCCCCCGGGTCTCCAGCTGCACAGCTCTCAAACTGGAACATCAGCTTCCTCCTGAGTCTACAGCTTCACGGCCCTAAAACTAGAACGTCTGCTCCCCTCTGGGTCTCCAGCTGCACGGCCCTCCAATTGCAACATCAGCTCCCCCACCAGGTTCAAACTGTTCCAGGTTAAGGGCTGTGCAGCTGGAGACCTGGTGGGGAGCTGATGTTCCAGTCTGAGGGTCTTGCAGCTGGAGACTCGGGGGTAGCCGATGTTGCAGTTTGAGGGCTGTGCAGCTGGAGACCCGGATGGGAACCGATGTTCCAGTTTGAGAGCTGTGCAGCTGGAGACACTGTGGGGAGCAGATGTTCGAGTTTGATATTCCTCCCCGGGTCTCCAGCTGCAAGACCCTCAGACTGGAACATCAGCTTCCCGCGGGGTCTCCAGCTGCACGGCCCTGAAACTGGAATATCTTCTCCCCCCCGGGTCTCCAGTTGTATGGCCCTCAAACTGGTACATCAGCTCCCCGGCCCTCAAACTGGAACATGAGCTCCCCGCGGTGTCTCCAGCTGCACGGCCCTGAAACTGGAACATCAGCTCCCTCCTGGGTCTCCAGCTGCATGGACCTCAAACTGGAACATCAGCTCCCGCCCGGTCTCCAGCTGCACGGTCCTCAACCTGGAACATCACCTCCCAACCAGGTCTCTAGCTTCATGGCCCTCATACCGGAACATCAGCTTCCCGCTGGGTCTCAAACTGCATGGCCCTCAAACTGGAACATCTTCTCCCCCGCACAGGTCTCCAGTTGCATGACCTTCAAACTGTTACATCAGCTACCCGGCCCTCAAACTGGAACATCAGCTCCTGCCAGATCTCCAGCTGCATGACCCTCAAATTGGAACATCAGCTCCTCCTGGAGTATTCAGCTACGCGACCCTCAAACCAGAACAGCTCCTCCCCGAGTCTTCAGCTGAACGACCCTCAAGCTAGAACATCAGCTCCTCCTCAAGTCTTCAGTTGCAAGACCCTCAACTTAGAACATCAGCTCCTCCCCGAGTCTTCAGCTGCAAGATCCTCAATCCAGAACATCAGCTCCTCTCCCGGTCTGCAGCTGCAAGACCTTCAAACTACATCAGCTCCTCTCCAGGCCTGCAGCTGCAAGATACTCAAATTAGAACATCAGCTCCTCTCTAGGTCTCCAGCTCCAAGACCCTCAATCTAGAACATCAGCTCCTCCCTGAACATCCAGCTGAAAGACTTTCAATGCAAACAACATAAGCTCCACCCCGAGTCTTCAGCTGCAACACCCTTAAACTAGAACATCAGCTTCTCTCCAAGTCTTCAGCTGTAGGTCCCTCAAGCTAGAACATCAGCTCCTCCCTGGCTCTTCAGCTGCATGACCCTCAAACTAGAACATCAGCTCCTCCCCGAGTCTTCAGCTGCAGGACCCTCAAAATCTAGAACATCAGCTCCTCTCCGGGTCTGCAGCTGCAAGACCTTCAAACTGAACATTAGCTTTTCTATGGGTCTGCAGCTGCAAGACACTCAAACTAGAACATCAGCTCCTCTCCAGTTCTCCAGCTGTAGGGCCCTCAAACTAGAACATCAGCTCCTCCCTGAGGCTTCAGCTGCACAACCCTCAAACTAGAACATCAGCTCCTCTCCGAGTCTTCAGCTGCATGACCCTCAATCTAGAACATCAGCTCCTTCCCGAGTCTTCAGCTGCACGACCCTCAAACTAGAACATCAGCTCCTCCCCGAGTCTTCAGCTGCATGACCCTCAATCTAGAACATCAGCTCCTCTACGGGTCTGTAGCTACAAGATCCTCAATCTAGAACATCAGCTCCTCTCTGGGTCTGCAGCTACAAGATCCTCAAACTAGAACATCAGCTCCTCTCTGGGTCTGCAGCTGCAAGACATTCAAACTAGAACATCAGCTCCTCTCCGGGTTTTCACCTCCATGATCCTCAATCTAGAACATCAGCTCCTGCCTGAGTCTCCAGCTGAAAGACCCTCAAAGTGAACAACATAAGCTCCTCACCAAGTCTTCAGCTGCATGACCCTCAAACTACAACATCAGCTCCTCCCCGAGTCTTCAGCTGCATGACCCTGAATCTAGATCATCAGCTCCTCTATGGGTCTGTAGCTACAAGATCCTCAATCTAGAACATCAGCTCCTCTCTGATTCTGCAGCTACGAGATCCTCAAACTAGAACATCAGCTCCTGCCTGAGTCTCCAGCTGAAAGACCCTCAAAGTGAACAACATAAGCTCCTCCCCAAGTCTTCAGCTGTACGATGCTCAATCTAGAACATCAGCTCCTGTCCAGTTCTCCAGGTGCACGACCCTCAAACTAGAACCTCAGCTCCTCCCCGAGTCTTCTGCTGCACGACCCTCAAACTAGAACCTCAGCTCATCCCCGAGACTTCAGCTGCACGACCCTCAAACTAGAAGATCAGCTCTTCTCCACGTCTGCAGCTGCAAGATCCTCAAACTAGAACATCAGCTCCTCTCCGGGTCTGCAGCAGCAAGACCCTCAAACTAGAACATCAGCTTCTCTCCAGGTCTCCAGTTCCATGACCCTAAATCTAGAACATCAGCTCCTCCCTGAGTCTCCAACTGAAAGACTCAATGCAAACAACATCAGCTACTCCCCAAGTCTTCAGCTGTGCGACCCTCAATCTAGAACATCAGCTCCTCTCCAGGTCTGCAGCTGCAAGACCCTCAAACTAGAACATCAGCTCCTCCCCGAGTCTTCAGCTGCATGACCCTCAAGTTAGAACATCAGCTCCTCCCAGAGTCTTCAGCTGCATGATCCTCAATCTAGAACATCAGTTCCTCTCTGGGTCTGCAGCTGCAAGACCCTCAAACTACATCAGCTTCTCTCCGGGTTTGCAGCTGGCAAGATGCTCAAACTACAACATCAGCTCCTCTCCAGGCCTCCAACTCCATGACCCTCAATCTAGAACATCAGCTCCTCCCCGAGTCTCCAGCTGAAAGACCCTCAACGCGAACAACATCAGCTCCCCCCCCCCCGATTTTTCCGCTGCACCACCCTTAAATTAGAACATCAGCTCCTCTCCAGGTCTCCAGCTGTAGGTTCCTCAAGTTAGAACCTCAGCTGCTCCCCGAGTCTTCAGCTGCAGAACCCTCAATCTATAAGATCAGCTCCTCTCTGGGTTTCCAGTTCCATGACCCTCAAACTACATGAGCAGTTCCTCCCTGAATCTTCAACTGCAAGACCCTCAAACTACAACATCAGCTCCTATCTGTATCTCCAGCTGCAGGGCCCTCAAACTAGAATATCAGCTCCTCCCCGAGTCTTCAGCTGCATGACCCTCAAACTAGAAGATCAGCTCCTCCCCAAGTCTTTAGCTGCATGACCCTCAATCTAGAACATCAGCTCCTCCCCGAGTCTTCAGCTGAAAGACCCTCAAAGCGAACAACATCAGCTCATCCCCGAGTCTTCAGCTGCACAATGCTCAATCTATAACATCAGCTCCTGTCTGGTTCTCCAGCTGCACGACCCTCAATCTAAAACATCAGCTCCTCTCCGGATCTCCAGCTGTAGGGCCCTCAAACTAGAACCTCAGCCCCTCCCCGAGTCTTCAGCTGCACAACCATCAAACTAGAACCTCAGCTCCTCCCTGTGTCTCCAGCTCCACAACCCTCAAACTAGAACCACACCAGTTCCTCCCTGGTCTCCAGCTCTACGACCCACCAATTAAAATAACATCAGCTCCTCACAGATCTCCATCTGCATGACCCTCAAACTAGAACACCTCTCCCACCTGGATCTCCAGCTCCACGACCCTCACAGAACAGCCAAACCAGCTCCTTCACTGTCTTCAGCTCCACAACCTAAGACATCAGTGGCAGCACCAGCTCTTCCCTGGACCTCCAGCTCAACGACTCTCATAGACTTAAAAGGCAGCACCGGCTCCTCCCCAAGGCTCCATCTCCACCACCTTCAGATTTGAACAGCGATAGCACCAGCTCCTCTCCAGGTCTTCAGCCCCAAGACCCTCCCTGACCAATCCCTTCTTACGAAATTCAGCAGTCAAGAAAACTGCAGCAGAAGTAAATGAATAAATGTTTTGTTTTCAAATCGATGTCTCTTTTATGTTCATGAGTTAACTTTTCTACTTTCCATTAGCCTTGCAATCTACTTATGTCCAATGTGAAACAGAAACACACCATTTGAAATCACGTTTAAAAACTTAGTAGTATTTTTAAAGAAAATCACCACACAGCTGTAGATGCGATCTTATTTCTCTCTGCCTGTGCAGAAGTCTTATGAAAATTCGAACTATGAATTTACTTTGTTGAGATTCCCAGAATACACATTAATCCCAACTGTTACTCCCCTCCTTAAAATCTTTTAACATATTCCCATCACTTGAGCATAAATGCCAGCTCCCATCCACAGCCCAAAGTGCCCAGCACGGCCCTGCCCTCTACCCTGGTCTATGGTCTCCCCTCTTAAATGCCAGCTCCCATCCACAGCCCAAAGTGCCCAGCACGGCCCTGCCCTCTGCCCTGGTCTATGGACTCCCCTCTTAAATGCCAGCTCCCATCCACAGCCTACAGTGCCCTCACAGCCCTGCCCTCTGCCCTGGTCTATGGACTCCCCTCTTAAATGCCAGCTCCCATCCACAGCCTACAGTGCCCTCACAGCCCTGCCCTCTGCCCTGGCCTGTGGTCTCCACTCTGGTGCCTGGCCCAGCCCTCCCCACCCCTCTGCCCTGGCTTATGGTCTCCCCTCTTAAATGCCAGCTCCCATCCACAGCCCACAGTGCCCAGCACAGCCCTGCCCTCTACTTCGGTCTATGGTCTCCCCTCTTAAATTCCAGCACCATCCACAGCCCACAGTGCCCGGCACAGCCCTGCCCTCTGCCCTGGTCTATGGTCTCCCCTCTTAAATGCCAGCACCATCCACAGCCCACAGTGCCCAGCACAGCCCTGCCCTCTGCTCTGGCCTAAGGTCTCTCCCCTGTGCTGTTCCCTTCCTGCCGGACAGGCCTCTATCCGTTCCTCAAACCACACAGGCTCAGGCCTGACTCCAGGCCTTTGCCCTGCTGTGCCCTCTGCCTAGGGTGCCTTTCCCGGGCTCTGCATCCTCCTCTCAACCCGCTGAGCTCCAGCCTGCTGGTCGCCCCTCAGGTGGATGAACACATGGTGTCCTCTCGCCCCGCTGGCTTTTGCACAGGCTCTTCTCTGTGCCAGACACAAACCCTCTCTATCGGGGTTTACTCTCTAAATACCATTCGTCCTTGGAGTCTCCACTGAAATATCGCTCCCTGCCCACCCCCCTCCCTTGGACTTAACCTTGGTTAGGTTGCCAACCCCCGTCTCCTGACTCCGGGAAGCTAGATGCTCTCCTAGCACTCGGAACTTGCCCATCGCCACATTTTGCACACCCGTGATTACTGGGTTAGGTTGGCGCACAAGTCATCGCAGTTTTTGCCATTACTATTAATGAACTGCAGCACCGGCTCCTCGTTTTTTTTTTTTTTTTTTTTTTTGCCATTACTTTTAATGACTGCTGCACCAACCTATTAGAATCATTTATATTTATTCATCCATCATCTGCCTTCCCCTCTAGAAAGGAAGCTCCATGAGAATAGAGGCCAAATCTACTCAAATAACTCCACCTTCCCACACATTGTCAATAATCATTTACCAACTGACTGATAGAGAAATGCCTTCCCTGTTGCTGGGATGAGGCACATGACACGCCCCTTTGAAAGTCACTGTCATGGACAGTTGGCATTTGCTCTTCACTGCTGCACCCGTGGCGTGGCTGGGCTTAGGCTGATCTAGTCTGGCCTTGACTCTAGGCTGAGGGTGGGAACCATGCCTGCTCCACACGCCTCTCATTCCACAGCCAGAGCCGCCGTTCCCTGGGGCACGCATATCTCGTGGGGAAAATCAAGAGCCTAAGAGGGCAGGCCTGGCAGTGCCACACATTCCAGGCTTCTGCTTGTGCCGTGTCTGTGAAAATCTCGTTGGCAGAAGCAAGTCACCCAGCCACAAGCAACACCTATAAGTCCATCCACCCTCCCTCCGGCCCTGGCAAGGATGCGGCTGCGTCATACTCTTAGGGGGGAATGAAAAACTGAGGCCCAAAATTAAATCACCCATGGCAAGAAATGTCAGTCTCTGTGTCCCCACACTGGAATTCTTCTTCACCAGCGGGTTTGCCTGAGCTGACTTCCCTTTGCAATGGTGTCTGCAGGTTTAGGCCAATGCTGTTCCCCATGGAGGACAGAGAAGCCTCAACGGGCCTCTCTGTTGGGAAGAACAAGATATTAGCTTGGCGCGAAACAACCGCAAGCCACAGGTGGCCCACACCCCGTGAGACAGGAGAGGGGCAGAGAACTGTGGGAACTCAGGAAAGCTTGCATCCCTAGCCCCTCCCATGTCCCCAGCCCCTCCCGTGTCCCCAGCACCCTCCCCCGCATCCCCAGCACCCTCCTGTGTCCCCAGCACCCTCCCCTGCATCCCCAGCACCCTCCCCTGTGTCCCCAGCCCTCTCCCCTGCTTGCCCCATCTCTTTCTTTTTTTCATTTTCTTTCTTTCCTTTTGTTTTATTTGAGACAGGGTCTGGCTCTGTCACCCAGGCTGGAGTGCAATGGCACGATCTCGGTTTACTGCAACCTTCACCTCCTAGGCTGAAGCAATTCTCCCTCCTCAGCCTCCCCAGTGGCTGGGACTACAGATGCACGCCACCATACCCAGCTAAATTTTTTTTTTTTTTTTGGGAGAGACAGGATCTGCCATGTTGCCCAGGCTGGTCTCAAATTCCTGAGCTCAAGTAATCCTCCCACCTCAGCCTCCCAAAGTGCTGGGATTACAAGCATGAGCCACCGAGTCCAGCCTGCTTTATTTTTCTCTACAGTACTTGGAATCTTCTAATATACTAAGGACACGTGTATTTTCTTTCTGTCTTCCCTAGAACAGGAGCTTAATGTGGGCAGGTATTTTTGTTGATCTCATTTATCACCCTATCCCCAGTGCCTGGACAGGGTCTGGCACATGAATGGTGTGTTCTAAATAAATATTTTTAATAGATAAATAAATGAAATATCCTACAAGAGAAAGCTATATCTGGAACTCACCCACCAACAGAACCTAAAAGCCAAAGACCTTTAGCCTGTCTCTGCCTCTGAACACACCCAACCCCGGAGGAGCCAGCAGAGGAAAAAGAGGACAAAGGTGGGGAAGGGAGCAGGTGGTGCCCACCAAGTAAGGAACCCTGAGGCTTAGGCGGAACCTGAGCTGGAGAAGGGACTCATCTAGGAACTGGGTATGAGATTAAAGTTTAGATTTGTCTGGCCTGGATTTTGTTAACACCTAAACAAGGGTTATTCTATTCTTTTTTTTTTTTTTTTTTGAGATGGAGTCTCACTGCCCCCCAGGCTGGAGTGCAGTGGCGCTATCTCAGCTCACTGCAACCTCTGCCTCCCAGGTTCAAGTGATTCTCACGCCTCAGCCTCCCGAGTAGCTGGGATTATAGGCGCGCACCACCATTCCCGGCTAATTTTGTATTTTTAGTAGAGATAGGGTTTCACCATGTTGGCCCCCTGGCTCACGCCCGTAATCCCAGCACTTTGGGAGGCTGAGGTGGGCAGATCAAGAGGTCAGGAGATCAAGACCATCCTAGCTAACATGGTGAAACCCTGTCTGTACTAAAAATACAAAAAATTGCTGGGCGTGGTGGCTCACGCCTGTAATCCCAGCACTTTGGGAGGCTGAGGCGGGTGGATCATGAGGTCATAAGATCGAGACCATCCTGGCTGACACGGTGAAACCCCGTCTCTACTAAAAAGACAAAAAATTAGCCAGGCATGGTGGCGGGTGCCTGTAGTCCCAGCTACTCGGGAGGCTGAGGCAGGAGAATGGCATGAACCCAGGAGGCGGAGCTTGCAGTGAGCCAAGATAGTGCCACCGCACTCCAGCCTAGGCGACAGAGACTCTGCCTCAAAAAAAAAAAAAAAAAAAAAATACAAAAAATTAGCTGGGCGTGGTGGTGGGCACCTGTAGTCCCAGCTACTCAGGAGGCTGAGGCAGGAGAATCGCTTGAACCCCAGATGCGGAGGTTGTAGTGAGCCAAGAGCGTGCCACTGCACTCCAGCCTGGGCGATAGAGCAAGCCTCTGTCTCAAAAACACACATAAAAAAACCTTCAAACGAATGTAAGAATTATTATTTTTTAAAGTACAGCTTTAAAAATGCCCCTTACAAATACATCAGTGTTATATTAAGGCAAACCTACTTCAGAAGCACAAAGTTAATTTCTTATAATTCCAAGAAATATGTGAATGTTAAAAAAACCCCAAACACCCGAAAAGGGATCAAACTCAAGATAGTTTGGAACATTTTATTGCAAAAAGAAGGGCAGAGAACAGTCTTCTTCTTCATACCTGTTCACCACAGACCTCCCTGAGAGCAGTAATTTTTAGCAGCTCTCCTGTGCAAACAAGTCTCATGAAGGAATCAGTGTATGGGCCACAAATACCTTCTCAGTGTGGTTTCACCTAGAATACAAGCACTCAGAAGCACAAATTTAACTGAAGTGAGAAACCAGGCCATTTTGTAGCTTCAGTTTTTCTACCAGTAATATATTAATTTCTTGAAATAGCCTAATAATTTAGTTCTACTATCAAAACAGAAGCCCAATCTGGGAGCACAATTATTATAGAAATCAAACTAATTTCAATCATATTAGTATAGGAATTCATATTAGTATAGGCTGAGGCAGGAGGATCACTTGAGCCTAGGAGTTTGAGACCAGCCTGAGCAAGACAGTGAGACTCCATCTCTAATTTTTTTCTTAAAATAAAGAAATTCAGAGAGAAGAAGGAAGAGGATATGTGTTTATCCAAGGACAAATTTTGTGTGCCTGTACATACAACACAACTATGAACCTTCCTTCACGCAGCTCACAACCTAGTAGTGAGAGGGAACTATGAAAACGTGAGCCCCCACGATGAGGAAAAAGGTGCATATCAGAGAAAAGAAAAATGCTGCGATGATCCAATGGCAGGAGCAGCGCGCATCCACTTTCTTTGTTTTTTTGAGATGGGGTTTCGCTCTGTCTCCCAGGCTGGAGTGCCGTGGCTTGATCTCAGCTCAATGCAGCCTCAACCTCCCAGGCTCAAGTGATCTTCCCATCTCAGCCTCCCAAGTAGCTGGGAATACAGGCGTGCACCACTACACTCATTTACTTTTTGTAGAAACAGGGTCTCACAATGTTGCCAAGGCTGGCATCCTGAAGGGCGGGTGGGGCTTCATCCTACAGAGATGAAAGGCAGAAGAAGCTTAGAGCCCAAAGCAAAGGGGTGGAGGACAAGGGCATCTTCAGAACAGAGTGGCTCGGCTGAGACATCCAGTAGGATGCCACCAGGCAGAGGTGTGGTGGAAAAACACAGGGCCACGGTGAATGCTCACATGTGAGGAGCAAACCACCACAGAACACAACAGAAACACGGTGTACTAAATCAGGCTTCAAATCGCAGCCCTGCAACTTGAGAGCTACCACAGGTAACCCGGAAAGGGAGCACCGACAGCAATGCCCACTGCCTGAGGCTGTGAGATGGACCAGAAACCTGTGCTTACTAACAACCTGCCTTATTCCAGAAGGAATTCAGGAAACACAGAGACACTCACGGTACAGCAAAATAAAGTAAATGTGAATCATATTGGTTGAGAAGAAAGTGAAGAGTCTAAGACTATGTCATAAAGTTTACTTCTACTCTAAACTCTCATTACTGGTGAGCCACCAACCTGACTTTAAATTTTCTAGCAGCTAAATTGAAGAGGAAAATGTCATCAGGTAAACGTTTATAAGATGCAAACAAAACAGAACGGCCACCACAGTTTCTGAGAACACGCGCAGCTCCAGGAGAAATGGGGTGGCCATTTCCTGGGGCTGCCCCGCAGCAGGTGTGTGAGCCCGAAAGCCAGCGTCTCTCAGGGTGAACAGTGACTACGGGCTTCATGGGGCCACATGCCCCCAGCACAAGCTGAGGAAATCTCCCAGGGCAATTCAGGCAACAGGGTCTCACAGTGTCGCCCAGGCTGGTCTCAAACTCCTGGGCTCAAGGGATCCCCCTGCCTCGGCCTCCCAAAGTGTTGGGAGGTCAGGCGTGAGCCACTGCACCTGGCCCTGCACTCACATTAGAGAAGAGGGCTTTGCATCCTGAAGGGCGGTGGGGCTTCATCCCACAGAGATGAAAGGCAGAGGAAGCTCAGAGCCCAAGGTAAAGGGGGGCGCCTAAGAAAAGTGACTCCATTGGGACCACGGTGAGAGGGTCCCGATACACAGCTTGGGTTAAGCCACTGATTTCAAAGTATCTCAGGAATGGTGGACTCAGCACCCATCAGGCAATTCTCTCAAGCAGTCTCCTGGTAGATATTTAGTAGCAGCTGAAATCAAGATTATGTTCTGATAGACACTTGCTGATGGTTAAAGAGCTATATACACTTTGAGGACCAGCTGAACTGGGGCAGGACTAACTCCCTCTGGTGAAAATACAGGAACCCAAACACACAAGTCAGAGCAGGAGGTGTCTCCCCCACCCCCAAACAATAATGCTGACCTTGGATTTGGGTTAAGTGCCTAGCCCAGCGTGTGAGTGTTGAGTAAGTGGAAACCATCATCACCATCATCAGGTAATGGAAAACCATCAAAGCTTTGAGCTGGCTTGTTAGCCAAGAATAGTACCAGTGTATTAGCTACTACTAATACTCACAGCTGACAATTACTGAGCACTTGCTCCGTGCCAGGAATCACGGAAACACCTCGCATGCATTTCCTCAATACTCCCTCCCAGTAACGGCGAGGACACAAAACTGGTAGAGCCAGGACTGGAATCCAGGCAGGCCCCAAAGCACTCCAGTGGAGCCTGCCAAGGTGGGCAGGCTACCATACTAATGCGGTCCAGTATTTGACCACCACTCCTATTTGAGCAAGTTTAACAGAAAACCTAAAACTAAACCTAAAATCTAAAAATTAGAGCAAATGCATAAAAAGCAGGCTGTTAAAATGGATCATAAATCTTGCATCACTCATTGGAAAACCACTCAAAATAAATGTCTCTGAAACATGGCCTCTGAGGAGGGCACTCCGTGTGGCTTGTATCACCCTGGTGACAAACCACTTGAACCTGGATGGTCATCTGACCATATTTAACAGGTGATGCACAGAGCCATTTGCATCCACTGTGGTCAACATTTAGGAAGTTTTAAGCTGAGATTTGCCAAATTGTAGCCTACTGGATTCCGGGTTCTCTTGACATCTCTTTCTAGTAGCCACGTCTTGCACTTCCCGAGTAAAAACGAACTGAGATGCAAATAAAAAAAAAAAAAACGAGGATTTAAGAATAATGAAAAGAGAAAAACCAAGAAAGCACAATCACTAGTGTAGAGATAACAGCATTTCTGAATTCCCTGAAAACAATCTATAGAAATGCATGTGAAATAATACACCAGCATCTGTGGCCCACACGCCACATATTAGGAACTGATGTCGTAATATAAGGTAAAAATGTTACTCTGAAAACACAAATCCTCACAAATCATTAGGCAGTAAGGCTGAATCCAGCACCCCCCCACCCACAGCGCAGTGAGGCAGTGTCTAGCAGCCGTAGTGCTCCCCGCGCCCCAGTTCAGTCTCTGGCAACTTCAGATACTTCCCACTAATAACAAGAAGCCTTTCAACATTTTCACAACATCTCAAAACTGACCCCTTTTCTAGCTTAAATGGCACGGATCTGGAAAAGCAAACTATACACAGAATCAGAAAAGATGACTGCCCCTGAGGGATTACAGAAAAAGTGGCAGTCAGGTTTCAATGAAGTAAAATGTGTCCAATGATAGCGGAGGGGAGGGGGATCAACTGAGCTGAAACTGGCAAGAACGTAATTCCAGGGAGCTCACAACACGCAAGGACCCGGATTTCCCGCTGCCTGAACGCCCAGTATTCGCACACTGATAAGAACACCTCCCCATAATCCCCTGGCCAGCGCCTCCAACACCCCCAATCCTTTCCCCAGGAACCCAGTCCCAGTTTCTGCAGTTCCTGTAACAGCCACATTCCCATACAAGGGCTGCCTGAGCTCCCCAAGCCCTCCAACAATCACCCCCCAGTGCCCTCGAAGGTCTATTCAGAGAAGTCACCAAGATGCAGTCACCCAGGAAATTCAAGGACCTCCAACTTACCAAAAGGCTTTCGGCTGTACAGAGCTAAGCTTCCTATTCCCCTCCTAAACCTACAATCTAGTTTTCATTTCTCAAGAAGCCTTTCCCTGTGCTCACGCACGCAGTTGTTAGCTGGCTCGGTGAGGCACTCCAAGCAGTAACAGCGGTAGCCACAAAATAAACCAGAAGCATCTCCACTACGAAGCAGTAATAACAATTTGTCCTAATGATTCCTTTGTCCTTGGAAAAACAACTTCAGAAAGTTATCCACTGTGAACAGGGCAGGCTCGCGGCTTCTTGGTCCGGAGACCCAGTTCCCACTGGCCCACTCACCGTTGGAGAGAGCTTGCTGAAGCTCGGTGTCTGATATCACTCCACTCCTGTCTTTATCGACCCTATAACATCAAGAAGACCAAATAAGCTGGCGATCGAAAGTTCAGGAAAAGCAAAACAAACGTCTTCTGTCAACCCTGCACCGACTCTGGAAGGCTCCCTCCTGGAACCTCCGCCTCTCCCGTCCCGCTGAGGAGTACAGCGGAATCAAGGAAGTGCCCCAGGAGCCGACGTCCAGTGTGGTCTTCCCCTAAGAGGACAATCATCTTCACCTCAATCCTTCCCTTCCTTCCTCTCCTGGCCTGTCTGAATTCCCATTTGCACCCGTTTCCCTTTTTCACAGACAAGACAAGATTCCCTCAGATAACTAAGCCATTCCCTGGCCATCAGTCACTACAGTTTCGGACATTCGGTGGAAAAGCGACCAGGGACAGAAGGCGCCGCCATAAAGGTCACCTGGCCCGAGCAGACGCCAGGTCGCTGCTTCTTCCTTGGCTGCTGACATTTTAACAGCGCCCAGGCAGTCTGTTTCCGCTTTCCCCAAACAAGCACCCTGGAGACCCTCCACCTGGCGGCTCTTGAGGCGAGAAAAAGGGCCTAGCCCAGGAGCCGGTGGCCGCGACCTCGGGTCTGCAGTGGCGCACTCTGCATCTTGGGAAGGGCCCGACGCACAGGACAGGGACCGGGCAGGAGGCAGGGGCGGCCCCAGGAGACCGGGCAGCGGACGGGGGAGACCGCGGGGGACCCGCCAGGGGACGGGGGCGGCCGCGTCGGCTGGGGCAGGGGTCGGGGGCGGCGGCAGGGGACGGGAGGGGGCCGCGGGGGACCCGACAGGGGACGGAGGAGGCCGCAGTAGAACCGGCAGGGAACGGGGTTGGTCGGGGGAGTCGGGACAGGGGTCGGGGCCGCCGCGGCGGAGGCGGGAGGTGCCCGGGCGGTGCCAGGCCGCACCTCTGGAAAACGTTCCACAGGAAGCTCTGGTCCGGCAGCGCCGCGCCTGCAGCAGGCCCAGGGCCGGCCCCAGGGCCGGGGCGGTAAGAGTAGGCGGCCATGGGCCAAGGCACGCGGCTGGGCTGAGGCGCCTGCAGCGACGAGAGACCTCTCAGGCCGACTCCGCTTCCGCCTCTGCCGGGGGCAGGGCCTGGCATTATCACCACTTCCGGGGGCGCAGGAAATGCGTGGTCTCCGGGATGGTCACGGGGTCCCGCGCAGCCAATCCCCTCGCAGCTAAGTTGCCAGGCAACGCCCTGGCGCCTGCGGGGAGGGCGGGGTCTGGGCGCCTGGAGGAAGCCAGAGCTTTGGCGCAGGCCGCCTGCGCGCTGTGCCAGGAAAGCGCTTGGAGAAAATGTCCGGCCCCGCGACCTGGGACAGGAAGTGATGGAGCACGGACTTAGTTTGCCTTTCAGTTCTTGTATAAATAGTTTTGAGGTGAATGTGATTTGCTAACAGTCGGAAACTCTGGGCGGGGCGCGGTAGCTCACACCTGTGATCCCTGCCCTTTGGGAGGCGGAGGCGGGCGGAGCTCTTGAGCCCAGCAGTTCGGACCAGCCTGGGCAGCATGGATAGACCCCATCCCTACAAAAATTACAAAAAGTAGTCGGGCGTGGTGGGCTCCTGTGGTCCCATCTACTCCGTGGGCTGAGGCGGGAGGATTGCCTGAGCCCGGGAGGTCAAGGCCGCAGGGAGCCGAGCTCACTGCACTACAGGGGTGGACAGCGAGACTCTGCCAAAAAAAAAAAAAAAAAAAAGAAAGCAAAAGCAGGCCGGGCGCGGTGGCTCACGCCTGTAATCCCAGCACTTTGGGAGGCCAAGGCCAGTGGATTACCTGAAGTCGGGAGTTCGAGACCAGCCTTGGCCAATTGGGAGACACCCCGTATCTACTAAAAATACAAAACTAACCGGGCGTGATGGTGCACACCTGTAATCCCAGCTACTCGGGAGGCTGAGGCAGGAGAATTGCTTGAAACCGGGAGGAGGAGGTTGCAGTGATCCGAGATCGGGCCATTGCACTCCAGGCCTGGGCAACAAGTGCAAAACTCTGTCTCAAAAAAAAAAAAAAAAAAAAGTCAAAACACAATTCGGGTGGGAAAGGCAGTGTGCAGCATTCTCGGTTGTCTGTTCCGCCCCCAAAAGCTTCCCTCCTTTAGGTTTAACCTGCGCCCCCGTGCTCTGCATCAGCGCGGCCCCTGACCCCGTGCAGCTGGAAACACTGCTGGGCCCCTTCACACCCCTGCCTGCTGGGCCCCTTCACACCCCGGTGGTGGTGCAGCCCTGCCTCCCGCAAGACAGCACTGCCTTCGTGCTGGACACAGTTCTAAGGTGGAGCCTGGAGTGCCTGTAGCACAAATCCCGGAATTGGGAAGTGCCCAGCTTTGGGCCACTGTGATCCCTGGGTCTTTCCCACGCGCGTAGTCTCGTGCCGCCTTCCACCCCGGTCCTGTGTCCTGTGCCCCGGTTCAGAATACTACAATTATTCTCATTATTTCATGGGGTTATTTCAGCTTTTCAGTTTCTTCAGTGCCTCATTCCATGAATGCTAACTTTTTTCATCCTCATACTTCCTAGGGTTGTCTCTGAATTTTCACTCAGTTGTCTACCAAGATGTTGAATGGACCCAGAGCCAAGGACGTGGTCTTTTATCAGTGGCACCTGAGACTTTCTTCCCTGTGGACGCAAATCCATTATTCAGCACTCTGGGCACAGCTACAGATCTGATCAGCTATCCATTCTCCAAACTATCTCATCCTCTGTCCCATTTTTCTGTCTCTCTTGTCCACAAGGCATATACCTGAGAGTTTTCAAATTCCTCAGAGAAATTTAGATATTCTGTGGCTTTGGCATTCACCTAATGTGTTAATCTACAAACCTTTTTTACAGTGTGGATTTTTTTTCATGATGTGAATTCAAGTGGTTTCTAATGGTCTCTTCATAAAGTTGTAAACCAAAAGTAAAATTCTAAGGCCCCACCCCATCTGAATGGACCCCTTCTCTGGGCCAGGGCACTCCAAATTAACCTGAAAACCGTTCAGGCCACGACATGAAGTGGGGGCGGGTGGGACATGGCTGACTATGCCCTCCTCCCTTTTGGAATTCAGGGAAAGCCAACACAGACCTTAAGTCTAATGAGAAACACCATCTATTCTCTCTGAAGCCTGCTACCCCAAGGCTTCTTCTGCTGATAAAACTTTGGTCTCCACAACCTCTTATAACCCAGACATTCCTTTCTATTGGTAATAACTCTCAACTAATTGCCAATCAGAACATTTTTAAATCTACCTATAACCCAGAAGCCCCCACTTTGAGTTGTCCTGCCTTTCTGGACTGAACCAATGTATATCTTGAATAGATTTGATTGATGTCTCACGACCCTCTAAAATGCATAAAACCAAGTTGCACCCCAGCCACCTCCTGAGGTCTGTGTCATGGGCGTGGCCACTCTATTTGGCTCAGAATAAATCTCTTCAAGTATTTCACAGAGGTTCAGCCTTTTCATTGACAAAGTATTCATATCACTTGTTGAAGAATCCTTTCTAGAATCTTCCACAGCTCTTTGAGCTGTAGTTTCTGAAGTCCATCTTTATTCTCCCTCCCATCACTGGCTCCTGTTTTGTTCTCCAGAACTCTGAAAATACTAACAACTATGATTTTGTGACCCAATTTGGAAGTTCTTACAGGGAAACCTCAGCAAGAAACAGCTCAGTGCTAGACGCAGTGGCTCATGTCTATAATCCCAGTACTTTGGGAGGCTGAGGTGGGAGGATCACTTGAGGCCAGAACTTCAAGACTAGCTTGGGCTATTTTAAAATTTTTTAAAAGGGGGAGCATCTCAGTGACTGCAGCAGGCCTCAGCCTCCACTCCCAACAGTTAGTTGGGCTCTACCAACTGTTGGCCGAGTCTCCAACCTGGAGTACCACAGCCATCATCACCCATGGCACCCAGGAGTGCTCCGTCATGCTTTCCCTTTAGTTCTAGGGGTAGAAAATGCCTTCATTCAAGAGAGGACACACTTAATGAATGCAACCAGCTAGAATCCACCCTTTTAATATTTAAATATAATCCACCCTTATAATATTTAAATATGTGGCTTTGTTTAATCCTCCCCATGCCAAGGCACCATATCCACATTTTACTGAAGAGAAAACTAGAGTTCAGAGAAGGTAACTTGCCTAAAGCCAAGCAGGCAGTAAGAGGAGATTCAAGCCCAGATCCTTTTGTGCTTTTTCTGCATCATCTCAGGGGCAGCAAGGCTGACTCTTGAAAGGGAGGTTAATTACTATGAAATTAAGGTTTAAAGAAAAAACACCCTGGCCAGGCGCGGTGGCTCACAGCTGTAATTCCAGCACTTTGGGAGGCTGAGGCGGGTGGATCAAGACCATCCTGGCTAACATGGTGAAACCTCGTCTCTACTAAAAATACAAAAAATTAGCCAGACGTGGTGGCAGGTGCCTGTAATCCCAGCTACTTGGGAGGCTGAGGCAGGAGAATGGCGTGAACCCGGGAGGCGGAGCTTGCAGTGAGCCGAGATTGCACCAGGCACTCCAGCCTGGGCAACAGAGTGAGACTCCGTCTCAAAAAAAAAAAAAGAAAGAAAAAACACCCTGCGTGCATACTCATATGAATGTACAAATGGATGAGTCTAGAACAAGAGATACTAGCCTGTTACATACACAAACTATGCAGCTGCAGTCCCTGCTGCTTCTACAACCCTGACCTCTAAGAAACCTCTAGCTCTGAATCCTGTCAGTACCTGGGCTGTGCTGCTTGGGACAACATTGTCTTCACAAGTCCTCTCCACATTCTCAGAGGTGGGGGTATTGCCAATGATGGGGGTTGCTGCCTGAGTCCCGTCACCAGGGGACAAAGCTACAGCAGAGACCACCATCTGCCAACAAAAAGAGAGATCATCTCCCACCCCTGGTTCTGCTGACCCAATCACTGGAAGCATCAAGGCACCACTATCTCCTCATCTGCCTCAGATTCAATTTCCTCCTAGCCAGGTCTGTTCTAAGCTCTCCAGAAGTTGAGAAATTAACTGAAAGATAACACTTTCCTCCCTGCATTAAGGTTCATCACATAATGTATCCAAATACTGGGTCAGTCTTTCCTTTGGTCTCGTTTCTCTCAGCTAATTTGAAAATGCCTTTTCTGTTTTCATTAGAATTTTTCTAAATGTTTCTGGGCACTTGTGTTCCTGAGGCTTTCCATAGTGCACCCTCTTATGCATCTGATGTCTTTGGCACATATAGGCCCTCAACAAGTATTTGTTAAATGAACAGATAACCATCCTGTCCTTTGTGTGAACAAGCATATGCAAGTGTACATTGTATCTGTACATGTATCCAACAGCATCCATCTGAAGCCACTTTGTTCGCTTATTTTCTCAGGATGACTGATGGCTGCATCATGACATTTGCACACAGAATCTTTTCTTCTCCAGTCACTTTTCCTTTTTCCAGATTCCCGCCATAGAATTCCAGGGACAGAGCCAACCATGCCTGGCACCCCCTCCTGTCCTGGGACAATGATACTTTCTCCCGTGACTCCCATCTTCCTTCCAACATTCTTCTGCTAGAATTCAGTAAGGAAGACAATGACTTACCACTTTTAATTTTTTCCCCTTTTTTGCTTTTCTACCAAATACTGCTTTTAACACAGGCTTTTCACTGAGTAGTGGACAATCTATCAGCTAGGTGCTATTCAGTGTGAGGGGCATTTGCAAAGGTCTGCATCAGTGCTGGCTGATGGAACTTTCTAGTGATAGCATCATTCTGTAGCTGCACTGTCCAGTGCAGAGGCTACTTGCCACTGTGGCTACTGCTCAGGATGGTGCAGGTCTGAATATCTTAGACACAGCGGCCACCGTGTCTACTGCACGGGACTGAATATTTTAGACACAGCGGCCACCGTGTCTACTGCACGGGACGGCGAGGGTCTGAATATCTTACAGACAGCGGCCACCGTGTCTACTGCACGGGACGGCGAGGGTCTGAATATCTCAGACACAGCGGCCACGGTGTCTACTGCACGGGACGGTGCAGGTCTGACTGTCTTAGACACAGCTCACCTTTGATCCGTGTTAGGAATTATCCACATCTCCTCTCTGGGCAATATTCTACTTTCTTTTTATATTGACCCAATTATTTTACTTCTTTGGTGTGTCCTTTCTCCTCACACACATGGGTTCACTTTAAAACCTTGAAACCCACATTTATAAAACATTTTCAATATGAAACATCGTTCCATGACTCATATAGTACTCCATGGAGTACTATAAACATTTACATTTCCAGACCACCCACTGCCCAGTGGTTTTCCTGGTCTCAGTACTCATGAAAATGGTCTGAAGGTTTGTTTTGGGTTCCTAAGCAGTAGACACACACACAACACTGCCTGTCAGTTATTTCTTGGAAACTAAATCAGCCCTTCTGTTGCCATCCTATCATGCTTCAGGGGTGCCTGTGCTAGTTTTTAATTCTTTGTCCTAACACTTAAATGTTTGCTCAAACGCCCATATTAATACTTCCTCTTAGTTTACAAAAGGATTTACTTTCTTACTGGTTGGGATGAAGCTGCCTGAGGTTGCCACCTGTTACTTTTCCTTCATTTATTGGACCAAGTCATCCCATTACATGTCAGCTGTGGAGGTTTTCAAACTGTGGTCCCTGGACATGTTAGAAATGCAAATTCTCAGGCCGAACCAGGACTGAACCGGAAGATCTGGGGTAGGGTCCCTCCAGGACTGAATCGGAAGGTCTGGGGTGGGGTTCCCCCAGGACTGAATCGGAAGATCTGGGGTAGGGTCCCCCCAGGACTGAATCGGAAGATCTGGGGTAGGGTTCCCCCAGGACTGAATCGGAAGGTCTCGGGTAGGGTCCCTCCAGGTGATCCTGTTACACAGGTTAGAGAACCACAGCATTGGGGTGGCAATTTGACAACTCTTTTTTTTTTTTTGAGACAGAATCTCGCTCTTGTTGCCCAGGCTGGAGTGCAATGGCGCACTCTTGGCTCACTGCAACCTCCGCCTCCCGGGTTCAAGCAACTCTCCTGCCTCAGCCTCCTGAGTAACTGGGATTACATGCACCCACCATCATGCCTGGCTAATGTTTTGTATTTTTAGAGATGGGGTTTCACTATGTTGGCCAGGCTGGGACAATTCTTAAACTGTCATTCTTTACTCACTTATTTGCAGGAATTCTTCTGTAAAGAACTTTTCCTAATCAGCAAGGTTTCCCTGATTGCAATTTGTAGACAGAAGGTGGGATAATCGCTGATCTTCCCTCAAGTGTCCACTCCCAGTGTTAGGAGTTAGTGCCCTAGGTACCTCCAAGAGTGACCAATTACATGTGTTTGGTTGGTTGGTTTTGGCTTTGAAACCATCACTATGAATTCATGGTTTTCATGTATTAGAGACCAAGTCTAGGTGCTTCATGTGCCTACTGCTCCTGGGGCAGAGCTAGGAAATGTGTCTATGTGAAAGGAACAACAGAGTTAATGCTTATATTTCTATTTCAAATTTAGTATATGGTTTTACACCTTTTTCTCAGAAAAATCTTTTTTTATTTTTTGAGATGGAGTTTTGTTCCTGTTGCCCAGGCTAGAGTGCAGTGGCACAATCTAGGCTCACTGCAACCTCCGCCTCCTGGTTCAAGAGATTCTCCTGCCTCAGCCTCCTGAATAGCTGGGATTACAGGCACCTGCCACCATGCCCAGCTAATTTTTGAATTTTAGTAGAGATGGGGTTTCACCATGTTGGCAAGGCTGGTCTTAAACTCCTGGCCTCAGGTGATCTGTCCACCTCGGCCTCCCAAAGTGCTGGGATTACAGGTGTGAGCCACCGCACCTGGCCAGAAAAATCTTAGTTTTAGCATTAACATAATTAGTTATAGTTTTAACTCCCACCCCAGATAATTTCAAAGGCTTAATACCAATAAGACAAGTAACAAGGAGATGATTGATTGAAATTTAGGATTTCAGTGGCTCTATTTGTCTTTAAACTATGGCTCACTAAATCTGCATACTTGAAGTGCTGCGTTCTGGCGATGCTCTGATGACACACGAAGTAATAGGCTGTGTGACTGTCACCAGCCTGATGTGCAGTTGGGCTGCAGAACCCTGTGATGCTGCCTAGCCCAGCCAGCCCCAGGTCACTCCTCAGACTCAAACTTGATTCTGACACCACCAGCACCCGGGATGCTGCCTAGGGGCTTTCTCTGGTGGCAGGAGCATGTCCTGGATTAGGCCGGGGTGCCCGGAATTGACCATCCTGACCCTGTGGAGCGTGGGCTGGTGAAGGAATGCACCAGCTCCCACAATGAGCACGGGCCCAGCTGCCCACGTGGGATCCGGCTCCCAGACACCCTGTGCCCTCACCTCTTTCCTGTCTTACCTCCCGCTTCCCTTCAGCTGCTGCTCAGGGCCACCTTCCAAATTTTGGTCTCAGGGTTGGCACCTGCAGAAGACAATCCAAGGAATTTAGATTCATTCATTTCAGATACTATTCTTTCAATTTTAGGGACTATCTTAAAACTTAGTTTGGTAATATGTAAAACACTTATAATTTCAAAGTCCAGATATTACTTCAGAGTCTATTTCAGTCTCACTTCCACCATTGACCCCTGTCCTCCACAGCAACCACTTTAGTTTTTTATCTTTGTACTGTTTTAAGAAAAAGCAAATATATATTTGCATTATATGATATGTACTCTGCCCCTTATCAATAGGTCTTCCTCATCCCTCCTTCTGGTACTGAGTTCCCCACTGTACGAATTAATGTTCCTAATCCCCTACTGATGGACATTTTGATTGTTTCCAGTTTTACAAATGCCACAGTGAAGAACTTGGTTGCAAACATATTTAGGCGTGAAAAGAACTCTGTGAGTAAAGTCCTTTCATTTTTTTGCCAGAGTTTTTTTTGAGGCAGTCTAGAATTGCTGAGTCAAAGGGCAAATGCCACATACTTTTGTTAGATGCTGCCAAATCCTCTTCCATGAGGTTGCAATGTTCTGCATTCCACAGTGACGTATGAGAGTCCTTGTATCCCACAGCTTCATAAACAAAGCATGATGTCAAACCTGCACATTTACCAATCACACAGGTGAGAAATTTTATCCTAGTTTCACCTTTGTTTTTGGTTCGCATTTTTATGACCAGCTTTTTTATGGTGTAATGCACAGAAGATAATGAACACACTCTACCCACAAGCTTCTTCCTGTGCCTTTGGAATCTGCTCCTGCCAGTCTGCAGGGAACCACGGATCTGCTTTCCGTCACGTAGGAGGCATTCTCGACACCCTCTGTACACAGTATGCACTTTTAAAATTTGGCTTCTCTTACACAGCATAGTGACTTTCAGATTTATTCAAGCTGCTGCGTGCACCAATAGTCCGCTCCTTCCTAGTGCTGAGGCCCCCATCACATGAGCACAACTGTTTCCTGTGTGTGATGTGTTGTTCTCTGGCTGTGCACTGCCAAAAAAGACATCATTAAAAAAAAAATCTAAATATAATGTAAAACCTGCCTTGTCTTAGGAAAAGTTTTTCTGGCAGTGGCTCACACCTATAATCCCAATACTCTGGGAGGCTGAGGCAGGAGGACTGCTTGAGCCCAGGAGTTTGAGACCAGCCTGGGCAAGATGGTGAAACCCTGTCTCTGTAAAAAATATAAAAATTAGCCAGGCATGGTGGCTCACACCTGTAGTCTCAGCTCCTTGGGAGGCTGAGGTGGGAGGATTGCTGGAGCCCCGGAGGTGGAGGTTGCAGTGAGCCGAGATCACAGCACTGCACTCCAGCCTGGGCAGCATGGCAAGACTCTGTCTCTACCAAGAAAAAAAACAAAAAATTAATATAAGGAAAAACAAAAGGTTTTTCTTACCAAAAATACACTTTAAGGAACAAATTTATCATATTAAGTTGGTGCAAAAGTAATCGTGGCTTTTACCATTGAAAGTAATGGCAAAAACTGCAATTACTTTTGCACCAACCTAATATTACTTTCTAATGACAAACTTGGAAATAATTGTCATTGTTCTCTAAAAAGAACAGCCTAAAAATAAAGCAGCAGCCCATTTACTTCTATGCCAGTTCTTTTAGTATTTGGTTATTTAAACTGGTGGTCCCTAACCTTGTTGGCACCAGGGACTGGTTTCATGGAAGACACTTTTTCCACGGACAAGTGTGGGGATGGTGGGGATGGTTTGGAGATGAAACGGTTCCATCTCAGATCATCAGCATTAGATTTTCATAAGCGGCGCATAACCTAGATCCTTCGCATGTGCAGTTCACAACAGGGTTCCACTCCTATGAGAATCTAATGCCACCACTGATCTGGCAGGAGGCGGAGCTCGCCCAGTAATGATATGACAGGGGGCGGATCTCACACAGTAATGCTTGGACAGGAGGCGGAGCTCACACGGTAATGCTCTGCCGGGAGGCGGAGCTCACACGGTAATGCTCTGACGGGAGGCGGAGCTCACACGGTAATGCTCTGTCGGGAGGCGGAGCTCACACGGTAATGCTGTGACGGGAGGCGGAGCTCACACGGTAATGCTCTGTCGGGAGGCGGAGCTCACACGGTAATGCTCTGGCGGGAGGCGGAGCTCACACGGTAATGCTCTGACGGGAGGCGGAGCTCACACGGTAATGCTCTGCCGGGAGGCGGAGCTCACACGGTAATGCTGTGACGGGAGGCGGAGCTCACACGGTAATGCTGTGACGGGAGGCGGAGCTCACACGGTAATGCTGTGACGGGAGGCGGAGCTCACACGGTAATGCTGTGACGGGAGGCGGAGCTCACACGGTAATGCTGTGACGGGAGGCGGAGCTCACACGGTAATGCTGTGACGGGAGGCGGAGCTCACACGGTAATGCTGTGACGGGAGGCGGAGCTCACACGGTAATGCTCTGACGGGAGGCGGAGCTCACACGGTAATGCTCTGACGGGAGGGCGGAGCTCACACGGTAATGCTCTGTCGGGGGGCGGAGCTCACACGGTAATGCTCTGGCGGGGGGCGGAGCTCACACGGTAATGCTCTGCCGGGAGGCGGAGCTCACACGGTAATGCTCTGCCGGGAGGCGGAGCTCACACGGTAATGCTGTGACGGGAGGCGGAGCTCACACGGTAATGCTCTGTGGGGAGGCGGAGCTCACACGGTAATGCTGTGACGGGAGGCGGAGCTCACACGGTAATGCTCTGGCGGGAGGCGGAGCTCACACGGTAATGCTCTGACGGGAGGCGGAGCTCACACGGTAATGCTGTGACGGGAGGCGGAGCTCACACGGTAATGCTCTGGCGGGAGGCGGAGCTCACACGGTAATGCTCTGCCGGGAGGCGGAGCTCACACGGTAATGCTCTGACGGGAGGCGGAGCTCACACGGTAATGCTCTGCCGGGAGGCGGAGCTCACACGGTAATGCTCTGCCGGGAGGCGGAGCTCACACGGTAATGCTCTGCCGGGAGGCGGAGCTCACACGGTAATGCTCTGCGGGGAGGCGGAGCTCACACGGTAATGCTGTGACGGGAGGCGGAGCTCACACGGTAATGCTGTGACGGGAGGCGGAGCTCACACGGTAATGCTCTGACGGGAGGCGGAGCTCACACGGTAATGCTGTGACGGGAGGCGGAGCTCACACGGTAATGCTGTGACGGGAGGCGGAGCTCACACGGTAATGCTGTGACGGGAGGCGGAGCTCACACGGTAATGCTCGGACGGGAGGCGGAGCTCACACGGTAATGCTCTGGCGGGAGGCGGAGCTCACACGGTAATGCTCTGACGGGAGGCGGAGCTCACACGGTAATGCTCGGACGGGAGGCGGAGCTCACACGGTAATGCTGTGGCGGGGGGCGGAGCTCACACGGTAATGCTCTGGCGGGAGGCGGAGCTCACACGGTAATGCTCGGACGGGAGGCGGAGCTCACACGGTAATGCTCTGGCGGGAGGCGGAGCTCACACGGTAATGCTCTGGCAGGAGGCGGAGCTCACACGGTAATGCTCTGTCGGGAGGCGGAGCTCACACGGTAATGCTGTGACGGGAGGCGGAGCTCACACGGTAATGCTCTGTCGGGAGGCGGAGCTCACACGGTAATGCTCTGGCGGGAGGCGGAGCTCACACGGTAATGCTCTGACGGGAGGCGGAGCTCACACGGTAATGCTCTGACGGGAGGCGGAGCTCACACGGTAATGCTGTGACGGGAGGCGGAGCTCACACGGTAATGCTGTGACGGGAGGCGGAGCTCACACGGTAATGCTGTGACGGGAGGCGGAGCTCACACGGTAATGCTGTGACGGGAGGCGGAGCTCACACGGTAATGCTGTGACGGGAGGCGGAGCTCACACGGTAATGCTCTGGCGGGAGGCGGAGCTCACACGGTAATGCTCTGTCGGGAGGCGGAGCTCACACGGTAATGCTCTGGCGGGAGGCGGAGCTCACACGGTAATGCTCTGACGGGAGGCGGAGCTCACACGGTAATGCTCTGGCGGGAGGCGGAGCTCACACGGTAATGCTGTGACGGGAGGCGGAGCTCACACGGTAATGCTCTGGCGGGAGGCGGAGCTCACACGGTAATGCTCTGACGGAGGCGGAGCTCACACGGTAATGCTCTGACGGGAGGCGGAGCTCACACGGTAATGCTCTGACGGGAGGCGGAGCTCACACGGTAATGCTCTGACGGGAGGCGGAGCTCACACGGTAATGCTCTGACGGGAGGCGGAGCTCACACGGTAATGCTCTGCCGGGAGGCGGAGCTCACACGGTAATGCTCTGTGGGGAGGCGGAGCTCACACGGTAATGCTCTGGCGGGAGGCGGAGCTCACACGGTAATGCTCTGGCGGGAGGCGGAGCTCACACGGTAATGCTCTGACGGGAGGCGGAGCTCACACGGTAATGCTGTGACGGGAGGCGGAGCTCACACGGTAATGCTGTGACGGGAGGCGGAGCTCACACGGTAATGCTCGGACGGGAGGCGGAGCTCACACGGTAATGCTCTGGCGGGAGGCGGAGCTCACACGGTAATGCTCGGACGGGAGGCGGAGCTCACACGGTAATGCTCGGACGGGAGGCGGAGCTCACACGGTAATGCTGTGGCGGGGGGCGGAGCTCACACGGTAATGCTCTGGCGGGAGGCGGAGCTCACACGGTAATGCTCGGACGGGAGGCGGAGCTCACACGGTAATGCTCTGGCGGGAGGCGGAGCTCACACGGTAATGCTGTGACGGGAGGCGGAGCTCACACGGTAATGCTCTGGCGGGAGGCGGAGCTCACACGGTAATGCTGTGACAGGAGGCGGAGCTCACACGGTAATGCTCTGGCAGGAGGCGGAGCTCACACGGTAATGCTCTGTCGGGAGGCGGAGCTCACACGGTAATGCTGTGACGGGAGGCGGAGCTCACACGGTAATGCTGTGGCGGGGGGCGGAGCTCACACGGTAATGCTCTGGCGGGGGGCGGAGCTCACACGGTAATGCTCTGGCGGGGGGCGGAGCTCACACGGTAATGCTCTGGCGGGAGGCGGAGCTCACACGGTAATGCTGTGACGGGAGGCGGAGCTCACACGGTAATGCTCGGACGGGAGGCGGAGCTCACACGGTAATGCTCTGACGGGAGGCGGAGCTCACACGGTAATGCTGTGACGGGAGGCGGAGCTCACACGGTAATGCTCGGACGGGAGGCGGAGCTCACACGGTAATGCTCTGACGGGAGGCGGAGCTCACACGGTAATGCTGTGGCGGGAGGCGGAGCTCACACGGTAATGCTCTGGCGGGAGGCGGAGCTCACACGGTAATGCTGTGACGGGAGGCGGAGCTCACACGGTAATGCTCGGACGGGAGGCGGAGCTCACACGGTAATGCTCGGACGGGAGGCGGAGCTCACACGGTAATGCTCTGGCGGAGGGCGGAGCTCACGGCAAGGCTCTGAGAGGAGAAGGAGCTCACAGTAATGCTCTGGCAGGGGGCGGAGCTCACACGGTAATGCTGTGACGGGAGGCGGAGCTCACACGGTAATGCTGTGGCGGGGGGCGGAGCTCACACGGTAATGCTCGGACGGGAGGCGGAGCTCACACGGTAATGCTCTGGCGGGAGGCGGAGCTCACACGGTAATGCTGTGACAGGAGGCGGAGCTCACACGGTAATGCTCTGGCGGGAGGCGGAGCTCACACGGTAATGCTCTGGCAGGAGGCGGAGCTCACACGGTAATGCTCTGGCGGGGGGCGGAGCTCACGGCAAGGCTCTGAGAGGAGAAGGAGCTCACAGTAATGCTCTGGCAGGGGGCGGAGCTCACACGGTAATGCTCTGGCAGGGGGTGGAGCTCACACGGTAATGCTCTGACAAGAGATGGAGCTCACAGTAATGCTCTGACAGGAGGCGGAGCTCAAACGGTAATGCTCTGGCAGGGGGCGGAGCTCACGGTAAGGCTCTGACAGGAGGAGGAGCTCACACACTAATGCTCTGACAGGGGGGCGGAGCTCACAGTAATGCTCTGGCAGGGGGCGGAGCTCACATAGTAATGCTCTAACATGGGGCGGAGCTCACAGTAATGCTCTGACAGGGGGCGGAGCTCACGGTAATGCTCTGGCAGGGGGTGGAGCTCACCCAGTAATGCTCTGGCAGGGGGTGGAGCTCACACAGTAATGCTCTAACGGGGGCGGAGCTCACACGGTAATGCTGTCGGGAGGCGGAGCTCACAGTAATGCTATGGCAGGAGGCGGAGCTCACACAGTAATGCTCTGGCAGGGGGTGGAGCTCACCCAGTAATGCTCTGGCAGGGGGTGGAGCTCACAAGGTAATGCTCTGGCAGGGGCGGAGCTCACCCAGTAATGCTCTGGCAGGGGGTGGAGCTCACACAGTAATGCTCTAACGGGGGCGGAGCTCACACGGTAATGCTGTCGGGAGGCGGAGCTCACAGTAATGCTATGGCAGGAGGCGGAGCTCACACAGTAATGCTCTGGCAGGGGGTGGAGCTCACCCAGTAATGCTCTGGCAGGGGGTGGAGCTCACAAGGTAATGCTCTGGCAGGGGCGGAGCTCACACAGTAATGCTCTGGCAGGGCGCGGAGCTCACACGGTAATGCTGTCGGGAGGCGGAGCTCACAGTAATGCTCTGGCAGGGGGTGGAGCTCACCCAGTAATGCTCTGGCAGGGGGTGGAGCTCACCCAGTAATGCTCTGGCAGGGGGTGGAGCTCACAAGGTAATGCTCTGGCAGGGGCGGAGCTCACACAGTAATGCTCTGGCAGGGCGCGGAGCTCACACAGTAATGCTCCAACAGGGGGCGGAGCTCACGGTAACGCTCTGACAGGAGGCGGAGCTCACAGAGTAATGCTCTGGCAGCAGGCGGAGCTCACACGGTAATGCTCTGACAGGTGGTGTTCACAGAGTAATGCTCTGGCAGGGGGCGGAGCTCACACAGTAATGCTCTGACAGGTGGCGGAGTTCACAGTAATGCTCTGGCAGGGGGTGGAGCTCACACAGTAGCTCACCGGCCCACTGCTCACCTCCTACTGTGCGGCCTGGTTCCTAACAGGCCATGGACTGGTAACAATCTGTGGCCTGGGGATTGGGGACCCCTGATTTGAATAATCAAGGACACACTCACCTAGTAAACCGTCTGCCAAGAAAAAGGAGGAAATGTTAGTTTTCTCCATTCGTTCTCAGGCACCAACATTAATTTGAACTTAGAAATAAACTACAAGGCCAGGCATGGTGGTTTGTTCACACCTATAATTCCAGCACCTTGGGAGGCCAAGGAGGGAGGATCACTTGAGACCAGCCTAGGCAACACAGTGAGACCCTGTCCCTACAATTACAAAATAAATGAGCTGGGCATGGTGGTGCACACCTGTAGCCCCAACTACTCAGAAGGCTGAGTCAGGAAGATCACCTGAGCTGCCCAGGAGTTTGAGGCTGCAGTGAGCTGTGATTGTACTACTGCACCGATCCTGTCTCAAAAAAAAAAAAGAAAAGAAAAAGAAAAAAGAAACTATACAAAATATCTGGATTTTGATGTAACACAATACAAAGATTACATTTGATTTTTAGGTCAACAAATATGACTAAAGTCACAACAGTAAAATATTTCAAATGGATTTGGAAATAAAAGAAAGTTTGTTCATTTATATTTTATTTAAGAGCTGTGCCCAGTTTTATCATCTCACAAGAATGAAGCAAGGGACAAAGGTAAGTGCCACGCTCCCTGGCCACTGGGTTCCTGGCAAGCTCCCAGCCACTAGGTGCCAATCTCCCTTCAATGTACTCCTTCTTCCCCAGAGTGCAGAAGCGTATGAAGACAGTTATGACATGGACACATGCATGAGCTATTATACATAATTACAAAAGCTGATTCTGTCATCACCACATCTTGTCTCATCAGTAGGAGCGAATGGCTGGCGGGACGGTGGCACAGTCAGCCTCGTTCAAAGTTTTGTCGATCACGGGTCTATATTCCAGAGTGACCTTGAAAAGAAGAGTCAGTGGTAAGTTAAGCACAAAAATGTACAAAAAGCCATCTCTTGTGTTCCTTTTGAAAAATTTTAACTATAAAAGTAGATTTATGGCATGTGAACTTTAAGATTCTCAGTGCTTTACAAAAATGCTCCCATCATGTAAAGTGGGAGAACCCTTGTCTATACCAAGACACTTTATGTTTAAACCATCTACTTCCAGTTTTTCTACTTCAAAGTAAATATTTATATAGGTTGAACATCCCTAATCCAAAAATCTGAAATTCTCTAAAATCTGAAACTTTCTGAGCACCAGCATGACATTCAAAAGAAATGTGCTATGGAGTCAGATCTTCCGATTAGGGATGCTCAGACAGTAAGTATAATGCAAATATTCCAAAGTCTGAACAAGCCTGAAATCCACAACGCTTCTGGTCCCAAGGATTTCAGAGAAGGAATACTCAAGCTGTGTATTAAATATGCACACACAGGAAAAGGTAGGCACATATACAAAGAAATTTAAACCATAATGGGTCGTCTCTGGTTAGTGAGCTCTTATTTCAATCTCTTTGTACTTTCTAAAATGAGTATGTATTTCTTGAAAAATCACTAAAACTGGCTGGGGGTGTTGGTTCATGCCTGTTGGGAGGCCAAGACAGGTGGATCACTTGAGCGCAGGAGTTCAAGACTAGCCTGGGCAACGTGGAGAAACCCCATCTCTACAAAACATATAAAAATTAGCCAGGCATGGTGCCATGTGCCCAGGAAGCTGAGGTGGGAGGATCACCTGAGCCTGGGGGAGGTTGAGGCTGCAGTGAGACGAGATCAAGCCAACACATATCAGCCTGGGCAACAGAGATGAGACTCTATCTCAGAAAAACAAAAAAAAACCAAAAAACCCGAACCCGGAAACATTAAAAATAGACTTGTGCTAAGCGAGTGAAGTGTGATTTCTATACACTATCAAGAAATGGCCTTCATGAGAAGTCCTGAAAATGACCTACTGCCTGAATCACAGACACACTAGATGATAGTGAGAGTCCAAAGGTAACTTCCACAGACACAGCTAAGTGATTATACGACTCTTACAAGCTATGAAAAGTTTAAGGGTAAAAGCTTTCTATCTTCATTATTTCTGAATCTTAATGCCCAGCGGAAATGCCACACAGGTGAACTGTGCTTGTGTGGAACAAGGCTGCGACCCCCCTACCACACCCTCGGCTGGCTGTTCCCAGGACGCTGCTCACCGTGTGTGGAAAAAGGCTGCGACCCCCTACCACACCCTCGGCTGGCTGTTCCCAGGACACTGCTCACCCCAACCCCACCTCCATTTCTGCCCTTCTCTGCTTGCTCAGTGCCCAGGGGATGCTAAAGGCTGCACCACATCCCCTCAGCTCCCCTGCAGACGCTTCCAGTTGGCCCAGCCCGTGGGAGGAGAGGGGAGGTGTCTCTTCTGGGCTCCCTTAACGTGGGACTGGTTTCTGGTAATGGCTGTGTGTCCCCACCCCACAGATGCTTTCTCGCTAGGTCCACAATCATCATCTCCTCCCCTACCACCAGGCCTTGGACACTTGCTCCTGCCCAGTGACGTCCATCTGGCGCACACCACGGAGCAACCCTTCCTTAAGGCTCCTCTGAACCACCTGCAGGAACTGGATTCTGTTTCCAGCCCGAAGCCCGACTGCTGTCGGAGTGCCTTTTTCAGCGGTGCCTCGAATCTGTCGGGAGTTGATTTAAATCTGGCCTGCTCTTCCCCGTTCACCATCAGCAAGGCCAGCCCGCAGGCCTGGGCGGGGCCGTGTGGGTGCTGGGCTGTGGTGAGAACGAGCTCCACACTGACCTTCCCAGTGCCAACGTCCACATAGGACAGGGTGTGCTTCCTCCAGTGCTCCTCAAAGGGCTTCTTCTGTTGCCCCTGGATGGGCTTGGAGTAATCGTACTCATCAATCCGCACCTGAGGCCAGAAACACCATCACGTTTCTTATTACTCTAACAGAGCAATACAGAAAAAACACAGCAGACATTAACATGATCTAAGAGACAGATGCCCTAGAACTCATTCCATTTCCACTTCAGCCCAGGAGGTTGGCACCATCAACATGTTCAGAACCCACGGAGGCCGCATGGCTGGCCAGGGGGTGTGCAGCCAGCAGTGAGTCCACAGTAATCCATGTCCGCATGTTCCCTTAAGCATCCTTTATGTACCTAAGAGTTTATCAAATACTTTGTCTTTTTGCTCCATGTGCTGGGAGACTACCTCAATCTTTTCTTTCAGCCTGTTTTTATTAAAAAAAAATTTTTTTTTTGAGACAGGGTCTGGCTATGTCACCTGGGCTGGAGTGCAGTGGTGTGATCACAGCTTGCCGGAGCCTTGACTTCCCAGGCTCAATCAATCCTCCTGCCTCAGCCTCCTGTGCTACCACCACACCTGGCTCATTTTTTATGTTTTTGTAGAGACACGTTTCGCCATGTTGCCCAGGCTGGTCTACAACTCTGGGGCTCAAGTCATTGGCCTGCCTCAGCCTCCCAAATGCTGGGATTACAGGTGTGAGGCACTGCACCTGGCTTCTATTCTAATTAAAACTGACTGTGACCAACTAAATTTATGCACTGGCCAGGCACAGTGGCTCATGCCTGTAACCCTAGCACTTTGGGAGGCCGAGGTGGGTGGTTCACTTGAGGTCAGGAGTTCGAGACCAGCCCGGCCAATATGGTGAAACCCCATCTCTACTGAAAATACAAAATTAGGCATGGTGGCAGTGTGTCTGTAATCCCAGCTGCTTGGGAGGCTGAGGCAGGAGAATCACTTGAACCCGGGAGGCAGAGGTTGCAGTGAGCTGAGATCACGCCACTGCACTCCAGCCTGGGGGACAGTGAGATTCCTTCTCAAAAAAATAAAAATAAAAATAATAAATTTACTATTATTCTGTATTCTGGCAAACACGGATTCATATACTTTGCAGGAAACTCTTAATACATACAAGGAGACAAGAGCAAGTTCTGAGCAGTGATCACAGCCATCAGCATATTCTAGTGGAGGGTAAATCAGTAAAATTTCATGGTGAATAAAAATGATTTTCCCATTCACCATGTTCAGCTGACTGGAAAGGCTGCCACCAGCCGCCTACACACGGTCCTGAACCAGCCTGTGCGCCTGCCTTGTGGAGCCTTTGTCCTTTTGCTGATGTGGTTTATCCTGAACTTGCATTTGCATCCCAAGCTTCCCTTTCCGTCGTTTTTTGCTATCATATGGGAAAAACTCTTACCAGGCAGAATCCAACACGTGCGCTCTGCACAAAAATCAGTTCATCTGAAGAACAAGTGACCACAGGGCAGGCTCTATAATACCTTTTCCAAACCACAGGACAGGTCTGAAATGGTGGCTTACTCCTTATTTAATAAACTGGCATTTCCTCCACAGCGCAGGTCTGAAATGGTGACTTACTCATTAATAAACTGGCATTTCATCCACAGGGCAGGTCTGAAACAGTGACTTACTTGTTAATAAACTGGCATTTTCCTCCACAGGGCAGGTCTGAAACGGTGGCTTACTCGTTAATAAACTGGCATTTCCTCCACAGGGCAGGTATGAAACGGTGACTTACTCGTTATTTAATAAACTGGCATTTCCTCCACAGGGCAGGCTTGAAACGGTGACTTACTCATTATTTAATAAACTGGCACTTCCTCCACAGGGCAGGTTTGAAACGGTGGCTTACTCGTTAATAAACTGGCATTTCCTCCACAGGACAGGCTTAAAACGGTGACTTACTCGTTACTAAACTGGCATTTCCTCCACAGGGCAGGTTTGAAACGGTGACTTACTCGTTAATAAACTGGCATTTCCTCCACAGGGCAGGTTTGAAATGGTGGCTTACTCGTTATTTAATAAACTGGCATTTCCTCCACAGGGCAGGCTTGAAACGGTGGCTTACTCGTTATTTAATAAACTGGCATTTCCTCCACAGGGCAGGCTTGAAATGGTGGCTTACTCCTTATTTAATAAACGGGCATTTCCTCCACAGGGCAGGCTTGAAACGGTGGCTTACTCGTTATTTAATAAACGGGCATTTCCTCCACAGGGCAGGCTTGAAACGGTGGCTTACTCCTTATTTAATAAACTGGCATTTCCTTCACAGGGCAGGTTTGAAACGGTGGCTTATTCGTTAATAAACTGGCATTTCCTCCACAGGACAGGTTTGAAACAGTGACTTACTCGTTAATAAACTGGCATTTCCTCCACAGGGCAGGTTTGAAACAGTGGCTTACTCGTTATTTAATAAACTGGCATTTCCACCACAGGGCAGGTCTGAAACGGTGGCTTACTCGTTATTTAATAAACTGGCATTTCCTCCACAGGGCAGGCTTGAAACGGTGGCTTACTCGTTATTTAATAAACTGGCATTTCCTCCACAGGGCAGGTTTGAAACGGTGGCTTACTCGTTATTTAATAAACTGGCATTTCCTCCACAGGGCAGGTTTGAAACGGTGGCTTACTCGTTATTTAATAAACTGGCATTTCCTCCACAGGGCAGGCTTGAAATGATGGCTTACTCGTTATTTAATAAACTGGCATTTATTTCCTGGTCTTGCCACTCTAGCTGCACTTCTAACCTTGGCCTTCTAACAGCAAAGCACATTGGCTTGGAGATGCCACTGCTGGCATCAGTGGATGCCGACCCAAAGCAAGGAAAAGGTCACAGTGATCCAGAAGATGGCGAGAACCCAGGGATCAAAGTTACCAGGGGGGAAAAAGGCATTTTTTGGATTTACTTTTGGGGCAACGAAAGAAAATGCAGAGAAAATGCAGGGGTGGGGCTGAGTCCCACCAGGTGGCAGGAAAAGGCAGGTGCAGGTGGGCGTGGTGAGAAGGCCCACCTTGTAGTCTTCCCTGGCATGCGCGCCCCGTGACTCCTTCCGTGCCTCTGCTCCGTAGATGGTCTGCAGCGCACACAGCATCAGGTTCTGCAGCTCCAGGGTCTCCACCAGGTCCGTGTTCCAGACCATTCCTGGGGACACAAAAAGTTCCATCAGGGGCAGGCGGGACCCAGTCACATGGGCCCTCCGAGCTGTCAGCCTGGGCCTGCTAGTCCATGGAGTCACTGGTTGTGGCTTTATAGCTGTGGGCCAGGACCCATCCAGACAGCAAGCACGGAACTAAGTCAGCACTGACGGGACAGACACCAGCCCACCCTGCAGAAGGAAGGGCCCAACAGTGTGCACAGAGCCCACTGTCTGCTCACCCCGGTCGAACGTCTTCAGGTGCTTTAGGTCTCCATAGAGCTTGCTGATTTTCCCACAACCTTCTTGCAACACGCTTCCCACACGGAACACGGCAGCATGATTTTGCATTGACTGTGGCACAAAATATTATTTGTAAACTTTTAATCCATAGAAGCAGCCATACCAAGAACTGCTTAACTTTTAGACCTGTTGTTTTGCATTTCACTTAAAAGTTACATAAATTAAACAGAAAAATTAGGAAATTCAGACTATGAGTTTATTACTCCAAACTTAAAAATGAAGTTTTGACTAAAGCTTCTGAATAAATAAATGTTTCTATTACATACACATCTTAGACCCACACACATCCTTTCCAGCAGGATACAGCCAGGGTCCAGGACTCCAAGCAGACTGCCTGTGAGGCACCATGTTCCATACAGCTCCACGGCCAACCAGGCAGCGCTGCCTCTCCACACCCCTGGCGGGACTCCTGACGCGGGGTCTGGTGGTGAACGTGACACAAGCCAGCAGCCCTGTGGTGATACACACTAGGAGGAGCTGAGCAGAGCCCTGGTGATGGTGGTGTTGGAGCTGCACGTCTTCAAGGAGAGGGAGGGGCGTGGGTGGCTGGGGCCCTTGGCCCATCTGGCTACTGTCTTCTGCCTATCTTGTAGAAGCTCCTTGTACACTGAGTTCCTTCATAGTTTTACTGTGATGAGAGACGTGCTATGCAGTGGACCTGAAGTTTACTGTAGGTATGCTGGGAACTAGGCGTCAGCTTTTGCTTCCTGTGGGACAGGCACCACCTCAGTGATCCCTCCTCCTCCTTGCTTCTCCCTCTAACTGTGCTTTGCTCCACTGACCCTAATTTTCTCTTCCTCTACCAATGCACCTTCATGGTTTAATTTGGACATTTCATCTGATTTTCCTTAGACTCATACATAATCGTAACACTGTAATGCACATCAACCTAATGGTTTTTCAGGAAGAACAAATGAAAAACATTGCATCTCAGAATCTAGTATTACATTCTTTCATGTCCATTAGCAGCCACATGTTTTCATATCCTTTTTTTCGTATTTCTGGTTACATTATTTCAGGGCATTTTCAATTTTTTTTGAAATGTGAATGAGATATTTACTGATGTCTGAGCAGACTACTGCTGGCACATTGTAAAGCTACTGATTTTTAGATACAAATCTCTTATCCAGACACCTTACTACATTCTTGTTTTGTTTCTGTTAGTTTTTCAGTTTATTCCCTGGGAATTGTTTGGAAATTCTATCTGTAAATAATGACAATTGTATCTATTCCTTTTCAATATTTACTGCTGAGACCAGCTCGGTTGTGGAGACCCTAACCCAGCGGTGCTGGAGGAATTAAAGACACACACACAGAAATACAGCATGTGAAGTGGGAAATCAGGGGTCTTACAGCCTTCAGAGCTGAGAGCCTTGAACAGAGATTTACCCACATATTTATTGACAGCAAGCCAGTGATAAGATTTACTAAAAGTATTCCTTACGGGAAACAAAAGGATGGGCTCTGGCTAGTTATCTGCAGCAGGAAAATGTCCTTAAGGCACAGATCGCTCATGCTATTGTTTGTGGTTTAAGAATGCCTTAAACGGTTTTCCACCCTGGGTGGGCCAGGTGTCCCTTGCCCTCATTCCAGTAAACCGACAACCTTCCAGCGTGGGCATCATGGCCATCAAGAGCATGTCAGAGTGCTGCAGAGATTTTGTTTATGGCCAGTTTTGGGGACAGTTTATGGCCACATTGGGGGGCCTGTTCCCAACGTGTCCCCTTTATTTGTTTTGCAAAGTGATAAAAGCAAAGGCAGCTTTGTTACGGTGAGCTACTTCTTGCAGAGTCAGGATCCACATCTGCAGACTATACAAATAACACAGATTAAAAGCACAATCTTCATTGAAATCACAGAGCTTCCAAGTGTTTTTATCCATTTTAATGGATTACCAGCTGCTAATCTGTCTGCAGCTCCTTCAAGCACTCCAGTTCCTGGCATTAAGGTCAGGTGTGCTGGGATGCTTCAAATATCTGTTCTTTCAATTTTGCAATATCCAAAGACAAGTTTGTACGGTGTCCTTCTAGATGCTTTTTTATTCTTTCCCAAATTTTGATCTTATTAAGAGCTATTAACAGTTTCCACAAATCCTTATGTTTAGCTCCTACAAAGGGCCATACCATTTGAGGTTGAGGTGCCACTACACCGCCATGGTTCCAGATAATAGGAACCCTTGCCGTATTTCTTATCATTTCTACCATCTGACAATTTTGTTCAGACCAGCTGAACATAGTGTGGCCGTGGCACGCAGACAGAGAGGTGCAATTCAAGCTAAACATCCCCTTAGGAGATCAATCAATAATGATTCCATAGGAATCGTTGCCAGCACCCCTGCCTGTTCTGCAATGCAATCTTCCCAAACATGTACGTTCATTTTCTCTGACTGGGTCCAATCCTGTTTACAGATAGGTTTTTGAGGGCGGTATGCCTCAATTATAGAAGCAGATTTATCATGGTAAATACTGAGATCAGAAAGCATGTGTAACTGCATCATAGAGTGATTACATCCAGGCATTCTTGCCAGCCAAGATTGATAAATATGCCCAATAAGTATAATTGTTCTCTGTGTCAGCCCTTGTTGAAGGAATACTCATGGCAATGGTGATCACTGCTATCACAGCTACCATTAAATTACTCATTGTGACTGGTTGTCCCGCTTTCCTCAGGTTTTCTTCTGCCATCTGTGACAGCTTCTTGATCTGACCTCAGGTGGGTGGCTGTGTTCGACGGGTGTTGCTCATGACAGTTGGGGTCCTCCTCAGCATCAGTCTTGACATGGCTGCAACCGAGGGGTCCTCGGGATCCTCCCAGAATCTCTTCCTCAGTGTCAGCTCATAAGGTTTCAGGTGTCTTGATGGTTCCGTCCTGGAGAAACATAAGCATAACCTCTACCCCAAGTTATTATTTTACCTATTTCCCAACTTTTTATTATCAGGTCTCTCCACCAAACCAGTTGTTCTGCTTCTGTCTTTGCAGCTGGTTTCTGTAGATGCTGTTCAGCTGCTGATAAGATCTGGCCTTTAGGCAGGCTCAAAAAATTTAAATAATGCGATTCAATTGCATATGGGGTGTCCCGTAGTCCCTGTTTTCCCCCTTTTACTTTTGCAGCTGCTGTTTCAGGGAAAGATTCATTCTTTCCACTATGGCTTGTCCTTGAGAATTATAAGGGATACCAGTAATGTGTTTAATATTCCGTATAGAGAAAAATGTAGCTAGAGCTTGGCTAGTATAGCCTGGGGCGTTATCTGTTTTAATAGAAGCTAGAATGCCAATTACCACAAAACACTGCAAAAGGTGACGTTTAACGTAGGCAGAAGACTCTCCTGATTGGCATGCAGCCCAAAGTGAAAAGGTGTCCACACATGCATGTACATAAGCTAGTCTCCCAAACGAGGGAACATGTGTGACATCCATTTCCCAAAGAGAATTAGGTTCCAATCTTCGAGGATTAACTCCTCCTGTAAAAGATGAGGAATGTACCATTTGGCAAGTTGGGCATCGCTGGATAATAGCTTTAGCTTCTTTCCGGGTACTGCTGTATCTGCGTTTGAGACCAGAGGCATTAACACGGGTTAAATTGTGAAAGTGTCTAGCATTAGATATTGCAGTAGCAACTAGGCGATCAGCCATTTGATTCCCTGCAGTCAAAGGTCCTGGAAGAGGTGTATGAGCCCTAATGTGAGTGATGTAAAAAGGGTGCATTCTACTCCTAACTGCTGTTTGCAATTGCATAAATAAAGTCATCAGTTGTTCATCTGTATGAAATCGTAACTCAGCATTTTCAATTAATTGTGTGGAATGAACCATGTATGAAGAACCAGAAATCACATTAATAAGCATATTAAAAGCAGTCAATACCTCAATTACAGCTACAAGCTCCACTTTTTGAGCTGAAGCATAGGGTGTCTAGAAAACTTTACCTTTCGAGCCAGAGTAAGAAGCTTTACCATTACTAGACCCATCTGTAAAAACATTCTCTGCATCTTCATTTGGTTTAAATTTAGTTATTTTAGGGAGAATCCAATTAGTTAATTTCAAAAATTGAAACAGTTTCATTTTAGGAAAATATCAAGAATACCCACAAAGTCAGCTAAATGGGTTTGCCAAGTAAGACTATTTAAAAAATCTTGCTGTATTTGTGCCTTCGTGAGAGGGACAATTTTTTCAGGATCATATCCATGTAATTTAACAATCCAAGTTCTCCCATTTCCTATCATAGTAGCAATTTGATCCAAATAAGGAGTTAGAGTCCATGAATTAGTATGTGGAAGAAAAAGCCATTCTACAAGATCTTGCTCTTGAACAATAACACCAGTAGCTGAATGTGGAGTTGGAAAAATTAGCAAATCTAGAGCCTTCTCTAGAGTCCATGAATTAGTATGTGGAAGAAAAAGCCATTCTACAAAATCTTGCTCTTGAACAATAACACCAGTAGGTGAATGTGGAGTTGGAAAAATTAGCAAATCTAGAGCCTTCTCTGGAACTATTCTATTTACTTGGGCTTTATGGCCTTGCTTTTCGATCAGCTGCAGCTCAAGTCTTCTCTGGATCTATTCTATTGATTTGAGCTTTACGGCCTTGCTTTTTGATCAGCCGCAGCTCGAGTCTTCTCTGGATCGATTCTATTGATTTGGGCTTTACGGCCTTGCGTTTCGATCAGCTGCAGCTCAAGTCTTCTCTGGATCGATTCTATTTACTTGGGCTTTATGGCCTTGCTTTTCGATCAGCTGCAGCTCGAGTCTTCTCTGGATCGATTCTATTTACTTGGGCTTTATGGCCTTGCTTTTCGATCAGCTGCAGCTTGAGTCTTCTCTGCATTGATTCTATTTATTTGGGCTTTATGGCCTTGCTTTTCGATCGGCTGCAGCTTGAGTCTTTTCTGGATCTGTTCCATTTATTTGGGCTTTATGGCCTTGCTTTTCGATCAGCTGCAGCTCGAGTCTTCTCTGGATCTGTTCTATTTATTTGGGCTTTATGGACTTGCTTTTCGATCAGCTGAGGCACTCCCTTAGTTTCTTTTGTTAATTGCTGAGGGCTAGTGAGACCAGGATCTCCTCTAAGGATAGAAAATAGATTACTCATGGCATAGCCGAGGGCTAGTGAGACTAGGATCTCCTCTAAGGATAGAAAATAGATTACTCATGGCATAGGTAGGAAGCCGAGGGCTAGTGAGACTAGGATCTCCTCTAAGGATAGAAAATAGATTACTCATGGCATAGGTAGGAATGCCTAGAGCAGGGTGTATCCAGTTAATGTCCCCAGTAATTTTTGAAAGTCTCATTTAATGTTTTCAATTGATCCCTACGTATGGCTACTTTCTGTAGCACAATGGTAATGTCATTTACTAAGGTTCCCAAGTAGGAGTAAAGAGTAGTAATCTGGATTTTGTTAGGAGCTATAATTAAACCAGCACCAGAAATTGAATTTTGCAAATGATCATAACATTGGAGTAATATTTCTCGAGTAGGGGCAGCACAAAGTATATCATCCATATAATGAATAATGTAACACTGTGAAAATGTTTTATGAGTAGGTTCAATTGCTTGCCCTACACAAGTCTGGCAAATCGTTGGACTGTTTAACATGCCTTGTCGCAACACTTTCCAATGAAAACGCTTAGCAGGCTGCAGGTTGTTTACTGCACGAATTGTAAATGCAAACCGTTCACAGTCTTGCTCAGCTAAGGGGATAGTAAAGAAACAGTCTTTTAAATCTATGACTATTAAAGGCCAATTTTTTGGAATCATAGCAGGAGAAGGCAATCCTGGCTGTAATGTCCCCGTAGGTTGTATAACTGAATTAATGGCTCTTAAGTCAGTTAACATTCTCCATTTACCTGATTTTTTCTTAATTAAGAAAACCAAAGAATTACAAGGGGAAAATGTTGGAGCTATGTGTCCCTTTTCTAATTGTTCATTAACTAAGTCCTCTAAAGCCTCCAGTTTCTCTTTACTCAGTGGCCATTGTTCTATCCAAATTGGCTTATATGTTAACCATTTTAAAGGTATAGGTTCTGGAAGCTTAACAATGGCCGCCATCAAAAATAATATCCTAAACCTTGGCAGGAACTTTTGTCTTTCCACTTGAAGCACTTCTTTCAAACCCTGCAAATTTTTTCCTAGTCCCATACCAGGGACATACCCCATTTCATGCATATGTTGACTTTGAGGGCTATATAATTGCTCTGGAATTAGAACTTGTGCTCCCCATCGTTGTAATAAATCTCTTCCCCATAAATTTATAGGTACAGAAGTTATCATTGAATAGTCCCAGGTTGTCCATTGGGCCCTTCACAATGGAAATATAACTACTTTGATATACTTCAGGGGCTTTACCAACTCCAACTATGTTAAATTGAGCAGGTTGAATTGGCCACACAGACGGCCAGTGCTGTAGAGAAATGATTGAAATGTCCGCTCCTGCATCTACCAAACCTTTAAATTTCTTTCCCTGAATAGTTATTTCACAGGTAGGACGTTTATCAGTAATTTGATTCACCCAATAGGCTGCTTTGCCTTGTTTATCTGTGCTTCCATATCCTTTTGTTCATTTAATTTCACTTTTCCCCATTTCCACATATGGCACAATCAGGAGCTGTGCTATGCACTCTCCTGGCTCTGCTTTCCAGGGAACAGAAGTAGATGTAACAATTTGAATTTCCTCATTGTAATCTGAATCAATGACTCCTCTATGTATTTGTACCCTTTTAAACTTAAACTAGACCTGCCTAGGAGTAATCCTATCGTCCCTGCTTGCAAGGGTCCACAGACTCCTGCTGGGACCTTTGGTGGGGGTTCCCCAAGCAGAAGACTCACAGCTACTGTGCAGCATAAATCTACTGTGGCACTACCGGCTGTGGCGGGGAACAGACATTGTACAGGGGTGAGGGAGTGGCCTGAGCCGGAAATGCCCCGGTTTGGAACGGGACCCAGGACGGGCCCCTCATGGCATTTCCCAAAATGGGGTTCCCATCTTTATCAAACTTAGAGTGACACTGATTAGCCCAAAGTTTTCCTTTTTTACATTTTGGACATATTTCAGGCTTAGCAGTTTTCTTTCTTCCCCCATCTGGCACCCTCACTCACTGATTTTTTTCTACATTCTTTTTTAGTATGACCATGCTTCCCACAGTTAAAACAACCTCCAGGAAACGGAGTATTTCCTTTACTCACTTTCAGTCCTGCCATAGCTTGTGCCAACAAAGTCGCTTTATGCAGAGTACCTCTGATACCATCACAGGCCTTGATATAATCAACTAAGTGTGCTTTCCCTCTGATAGGTCACAGAGCAGCCTGGCAATCGGGATTAGCATTGTCGAAAGCTGATAACTGCAGCACTATATCCTGAGCAGCCGAATCTGCGATCACCTTTTTAAGAGACTCCTGTAACCGAGCTATAAAATCAGCGTACGGTTCTTTTGGTCCCTGTTTTACTGCACTAAAGGAAGGGTATTGTTCTCTACCTGAAGTGATTTTTTCCCAAGCTCTAATGCACACTCCTCTAAGCTGTTCTACGGCATCATCCTGCACGACCACTTGTGCATCTAAACCAGCCCAGCTGCCGACCCCCAAAAGCTGGTCTGCAGTTATATTAATTTGAGGTTGGGCCTGGGCGCTGCAAGTAGGCTGAATGGAAGCTACAACTGCCCACCAAGTTTTAAATTGTAAGAACTGAGCAGGAGTTAGACAAGCTCAAGTAAGAGCGTCCAAGTCAGTAGGAATCATCCGACTGGAAACAACAACATTCTTTAACAGTCCTGTTACAAAAGGAGAACCTGGTCCATACTGATTGATAGCGTGTTTAAACTCCTTAAGTAATTTAAAGGGAAAAGGCTCAAATGTAGCTGTAATATTTCCCTGTTGATCTGCAGGGTGTATTCTAACAGGGAACTGCCAAGCCTCTAAATCACCCTCTCATCTAGCTTGCTGAATTCCTGCCTGAATAGAACTGAGAGGGGTCGCTCAAGGTGCTGCTCGGACAGTCACTGGAGCAACTACTTTTCGCCCACTGTCCTCTGGAAAAGAAAGATCTGGAGGGTCAGGCCACTCTTTTTCTTCAAAATAAGGAGGGGGTGCAGAAGGGTAGGGATGAACCTCTCCCTCCTTTGCCGCTTTAGCTTTAGTTGGCAAACAAACCTGCTCTGTAATTTCTTCTGTTACTTCGTTATACTCTCCTTCCCCCTTATTATTAGCATGAAAAGGTTCCAAGGTGGAACGAACCAGAGCCCACACGTGTCCCATTGTTACCCTGATGCTTCTGAGCTACCCGTCTTACTCACCACAGGGACTGCGTAAGAGTACTCAGGTGTCCTCCAGCTTAGTTCCATGTTCTCCATCGCTCCGGTGACCCTTCGACCTAGATTCGAGCCCCCATATATGGGCGCCATTTGCCGAGACCAGCTCGGTCATGGAGACCCTAACCCAGCGGCGCTAGAGGAATTAAAGACACACACACAGAAATATAGTGTGTGGAGTGGGAAATCAGGGGTCTCACAGCCTTCAGAGTTGAGAGCCTTGAACAGAGATTTACCCACATATTTATTGAGAGCAAGCCAGTCATAAGATTTACTAAAAGTATTCCTTACGGGAAACAAAGGTATGGGCTCTGGCTAGTTATCTGCAGCAGGAACATGTCCTTAAGGCACAGATCGCTCATGCTATTGTTTGTGGTTTAAGAATGCCTTAAGCGGTTTTCCACCCTGGGTGGGCCAGGTGTCCCTTGCCCTCATTCTGGTAAACCAACAGCCTTCTAGCGTGGGCGTCATGGCCATCAAGAGCATGTCACAGTGCTGCAGAGATTTTGTTTATGGTCAGTTTTGGGCCACATTTGGGGGCCTGTTCCCAAAAATTTACCTCATTTCTTTTTTTTGCTTCTTACTATGAATAGCCAGACTCAGCAGAAAAATCCCTTCCCCAACGGAACGCATTTCCACGAGCAGAGGAAACTCTGTTTGTTCAGTGCTGACTCCAGCATCTCGTGGAGCCTGGGATACAGCAGGCACCAAGACACACCATGTTTGGTGGGAATGCTTCTAGTATTCTCACTTTAAACTATCTCATGGATTTGCCATTTCTATATCCGAAGGCATGTTCCCATTCTCTAATGCAATGGTTCTTTCTTTCCCAGCTGGCCTCCAACCCTACAATAGTACTGCAGGGCATCACTCAGCCTTCTGTGCCTTAGTCACACTGTTCTTCTCACCATTCCACAAAGCCTCCCTGAAGCCCAGCTTCACTTGAAGACTGAAGGGCACAGGCCTCTGAAAATGTCAGCAGGGAACCTGTTCTCCTGTGTCTAACACCACATAGGTGTTAGACACCTATTTCAGAATAGGACTAAAGCAATGGACTTTTTAGAAAATACACAGAAATTCTTGCAAATAGTAGGCAAGAGATCTCATTCATGGACAAGAATCCTTGTTATTAGAGGAATTCAGTTTCTTAGACTGACCATGTATCAGGTTCTCCACGGCCCCATGGCTAATGGCTGCCATACTGGATGGCAAACACTCGGAACATTTCCATCATCACAGATGGTCCTACTGGACCGACTCCCAGCAGCACAGGCCACAGATCAGTTTCCACCTGCCGCCCACTCTCCCTCTCTTCCGAGTATATTTAGAGGCAGCAACAAGTCCAGCTTAAAGACATTTCCGAGCTGCTGGAAGCCAGGCATGATGACATGATCGATATCCGGGCCTGAGATGTAAGCACCAGTGTTGTGTTGAACTCCAGGAAACCTCTAAGAGAAAGCTGCCCTGCTGGGGACTGAGCTTCTCCAGCGGTCCTGCAGTTCCCTCTCCTCCACGCTGTGACTCATCCATGACAGCCAGCAATGGTCAGGTCACGGAGGTCACACCCAAGCACACACGAGTGAACCACAGAAGGCTGTCCTGGATGCCAAGCAGTCACTAATTCTGCCCTAGTCTGCCGACCTTCTATGTGGAAAAGAAGTGCACTTCTGTATAGTTCAGGCCTCCTGGTCTCTTTCATATTCTTGATACGGTGAGGAGTACGTCCTACCGCTGTTTACCTCCAGATACTGGTGCAGCCTTATGTATTTATCGCAGCACTAGTCACAACAGCAAAGTCATGGAATCAACCTAAGTGCCCATCAACGGATGACCAGATGAAGAAAATGTGGTACATATATACCATGAAATACTACTCGGCCATAAAAAAAGAACGCAATCATGTCTTCTGCAGCCACACGGATGGAACAGGAGGTCACTATCCTAAGTGAAGTGACTCAGAAGGTCAAGTGTCACACATTCTCACTTGGAAGTGGAAGCTGAATGGTGAGTACACATGGACACATGGAGTGGAGTAGCAGAGACTGGGAGCTCCAAAAAGCGGGAGGGGTGGGGTTGAACAATTACCTACTGGGTACAACACACACGACTTGTGTGACGGGTACATGAAAAGCCCAGACTCCACCACCTCCCAGTACATCCACACAAAACTGCACCTGCATCCCCCTAGATCTAGTTTTTAAAAAACAAAACCAGTGCAGGGCCAGGTATGCAGCCCTCCTGCTCACTCCAGAGCGAGTCCAGGCTCTTACCTTCTGCATGCTGAGTCGCAGTTCCGATGTTCTTATGCTTCCATCAGCAAATCTCAATTTGTCAAGATTCATGACAGATTCTTCCCCAGCGTTTGGTTTAATTGGAGGGACTTTATCTCCTAAAACAAAAAAAAGCTAGAATTTAACTTTTGAAAACCGTTTTAAAAAACCAAATGGATTTAGAATGACACACAAACATGTAGCACAGCCACTCAAGGAGCTTGGAAACTCTGTAAGTCTCCTGAGCTAACACACTGCCAGCCCACCCTACAGCTGAGGCCATCTGTTGAGTTGGGGCCAATTTTAAAGAACATAAAGGCAAAATTGTTGGCACACAGTAGATATCCATTAAGTGATCTTAGAGTGAATAAACTAGAAATCATCTCTAAAATTAAAAAATTAAATGTAGGCCGGGTGCGGTGGCTCACGCCTGTAATCCCAGCACTTTACGAGGCCAAGGTAGGTGGATCACTTGAGGTCAGGAATTCAAGAGCAGCCTGGCCAACATGGCAAAACCTCGTTTCACTAAAAACACAAAAATTATCTGGGTATGGTGGCACGCGTCTATAATCCCAGCTACTCGGGAGGCTGAGGCATGAGAACTGCTTGAACCCTAAAGGTGGAGGTTGCAGTGAGCCGAGATCGCGCCACTGCACTCCAGCCTGGGCAACAGAGCGAGACCCTGTCTTAAAAAAAAAAAAAATTAAATGTATACAAATTTATATATATTAAGTGTATATAAATGTCACTCCACTAAGGGAAAAAAGAGACACCTTCCAGATGGTGGTCCCAAGGGGCCGGCCACCCTTCACATCAGCGGGGGGAAGGTGGCTGCTGTGTGCTTGAAAGTCACCTGTTGATTTGGACTCTTATGTGCTCTCAACTATACTTCAAGATTAGCAATTTTTTTTTTTTTGAGATGGAATTTTGTTCTGTAGCCCAGGTTGGAGTGCAGTCAGTGGCACCATCTCGGCTCACTGCAACCTCCATCTCCGGGTTCAAGCAAGCCTCCTGCCTCAGCCTCCAGAGTAGCTGGGACTACAGGAATATGCCACCATACCTGGCTAATTTTTTGTATTTTCAGTAGAAATGGGTTTCACCATGTTGGCCAGTCTAGAACTCCTGACCTCAGGTGAGCCACCTGCCTTGGCTTCCCAAAGTGCTGGGATCACGTGTGAGCCACTGCGCACAGCCAAGATTTGCAACTCTTGTGTTTCTACGATGTCTTGAAAAAAGTTTTTAAGTTTTTTTTATAACGTTATATATATTTTCTTCAACAGGTAATACATGCAGGAGGTAGGATGTATGAAATGCAGGAGTCAAACAGGCCCCACCCCGCCCACCACCTCTCCACAGGACCAGGCTATGGGTCTCTTGAGGGTCTGCTCAAATGCTTCTAGGCTCGCTGGTGTTTCTCTTCCTTTTGATAATAATGCTTTAAAAATTGATCATTCAGTAAAATTGACTTTTTTCTTTAGGTGGACAGTTCTACAATTTACTTTTTCTTTTTTTTGAGACAGTGTCTCCTCCCTCTCTTGCCCAGGCTGGAGTACAGTGGTGTGATCTTGGCTCACTGCAACCTCTGCCTTCCAGGCTCCAGCAATCCTCCAACCTCAGCCTCCCAAGTAGCTGGGACTACATAGGTGTGAGCCACCATGCCCAGCTAATTTTTGTATTTTTGGTAGAGACGGGGTTTCACCACGTTGCCCAAGCTGGTCTCGAACTCCTGAGCTCAAGCAATCTGCCTGCCTCGGCCTCCCAAAGCGGTGGGATTATAGGCGTGAGCCACTGCACCCAGCCTCAGTTCTACCAATTTTAACACATGTATAGGCGCATGTAACCACTTCGGGAGGCTGAGACAGGAGGAACACTTGAGGCCAGGAGTTCAAGCCCATCCTGGGCAACACAGGGAGACCCTGTCCCTACAAAACATTTTTAAAAATTAGCCAGGTGTGGTGGTGTGCACCTGATCGTACCACTGCACTACAGCCTGGGCGACAGAGGGAGACTATCTCTTAAAAAAAAAAAATACATATATATGTGTATATATATGTATTTTTTTTTGCAGGGGGTTTTGGGGGAGAATAGTGATGCTACAAGCATTTTTTCTTTCCTTTTCATTTTTGAAAATTAAAGCATAAAGATACAGTAAAATAAACTCATCATTTTTAGTGTAGGGTTTTTCAAATTTTGACACACACAGAGTTGTGTCTGTAAGTCTCAGCACAATCAGGAAGCAGCCTCTGGCAACCACCAATCCCTTGTCTTCCCTAGATGTGCCTTTTCCAGAATGTCGTATCAACAGAACCACAGGCATGCAGCCTTTTGAGTCTGACTCCACAGCATTCTGCGTGAGATGCTGCATGCGTGGGCGGTTTCTCAGATGTAAAGTATAGGGTATTCTTACAAAATGTTCTTTTTTGCATTTTCAAAGAAAGAGCAGCTCAAAATTTCTACATTGCTCTGAGAGAAGTGGTATCAGTCCTCACTGCGACAAAGTGCAGGGCTATGGAGTGAGACAAGCACTACCTGCGGCGTCAGGAACGATGGACCTGAACTCCGCCTTCGCCGATGATCACCAATGGCTGGGGATGAGACGCCAGCTCTGCGTGTGCTGGCCTCCCGAGCGGTGGTCAGATCCAGAGACAGAGTGTCTGAAGTAAGCTACCCTTTTAATACTATCTGCACCTTTCTAACTACAGATACAAAAGGGGGCACGTTTATAAGTTACAGCCGTGCTAGTTTTTATTTCACTTGAATCCATACAAAAAGCACCTGTTGTATAAAAACAGCAGAAATGATGCTAACAGTTAACACCAGAGAAAGGTAACGGGAAGAACATGGGCCTGGGGTCCCACCATCCTTGCCACGCAAACATCCACCAGTGCCTCATCCACCTCACACTGTTCTGAGCACACGAGGCTGGATAACCACCGTGAGGATGTCTGGAGGTGGGAGAGATGCTAACTGCCCCGTTCTTAGTGCACGTAAGACTCACACTCCCACACATGGTATTTCCTTTACTGCACATTATTTGATGCTATCATGAAAAGAAAACCAGCAAGTGAAATCCAATCTGTCCGTAAAGGGTGGGAATCCTGTTCACTGTAAGTCATCCCTTCTCCTCTAATAGAGGCTAGCTGTACTTTGTTTCTAGAATGGCCTAAATTACTTTTCTAAGTACCAAGAAGTTACATATTCATTCATGCCAACTACTTAAAATATTTCATTGCAAATAAGTGATTTTTATCAGGCAAGTAATATGTAATGATTCCCCTAAAAATAACAACTTTCTAATAGTGCTTTTTCTAAACAGAACATAATGACTGCAAAATAATTAAAAAAAAATGTAACCCCAAAAATGTCACCTTAACTGTTAAGATCCCCAACCAGCCTCTATCTAGTCTCAACATTACCACCATATAATTTCTGGATTTCTCAGTTTAATCACTTCTGGGGGAAAAACCCAGACTACCTCTATATGATCACTAAGCAAATTTCCAGTAAGAAATCAAGGCTTTGTAACCTGGCTGGGTGCAGTGGCTCATGCCTGTAATCCCGATACTTTGGGAAGCTGAGGCAGGACTGTTTGAGTCTAGGAGTTCAAGACCAGCCTGGGCAATATTGTGAGACCCTGTCTCTACAAAATAAATTTTTTTAAAAATTAGCCAGGTGTGGTGGTGCACATCTGTAGTCCCAGCTACTTGGGACTCTGAAGGTTGAGGTGTTGAAGACTGCTTGAGCCCGGGAGGTTGAGGCTGCTATGACTGTGCCACTGCACTCCAGCCTGGGCTGACCCTTTCTCAAAAAAAAGAAAAAAGACTTTCTAACGTCCTGCGCCTTCTCAAATAGTCTGGCTCCTGAAGAAAACACTTACCAGGCCTGCATGACTCTTCGATGCTCAGGGCACATGCCCGACCAAAGACAACCAGGTCCAAGAGCGAGTTTGCCCCGAGGCGGTTGGCACCATGTACCGAGGCACAGGCGGCCTCCCCACAGGCGTACAGGCCGGGCACAATCTGATCCTGGCCATTCACGTGCCTCAGGACCTGTGGAAAGGAAGATTTCAGGTGAAATGTCAAGGTGCCCATGCCTCCACCAGCCCACCTTCCCCAACAGGGTGTCTGTGCTGCAGGTCAGAGAGAGGGAAGTAGGCCAGGCGTGGTGGCTCACGCCTGTAATCTCAGCACTTTGGGAGGCTGAGGTGGGTGATCACCTGAGGTCAGGGGTTCAAGACCTGTCTGGCTAACACGGTGAAACCCCATCTCTACTAAAAATACAAAAATTAGCGGGGCATAATGGCGGGTGCCTGTAATCCCAGCTACTAGGGAGGCTGAGGCGGAAAAATCACTTGAACCTGGGAGGCAGAGGTTGCAGTGAGCTGAGATCGCACCACTGCTCTCCAGCCGAAGCAACAGAGTGAGACTGCATCTCCAAGAAAAAAAAAGAGAGGGAAGTAAAGACCGTATCTAAGAGGGAAGTAAGGACCATAGCTACTCTTCTTCAGAGGGAAGCTTCCGAAGGTATCCCCCAGTTTCCCCTCTGCCCCTGAGCACCTGCTGTTACAAGCAGGTCAGAGGACCTCCAATGTCAGCATCTGCGACTGTCCCCCGTGTCCCATGTTCCCGGGGCCCTCACCACCTGTGCTCCGGCTCAGACCCAGGAGCACGGCAGGTGGAGGAACATCAGCAGGGGAGACTGATGTTCCAGACTGTTCTACCCCGTTCACCTCTTCGTCTACGCAGGGAGAGCAACAGCTTCCACCCACCTCGCCCAACAAGGAGCCTAAGTGACTGACAAGCTCTGTGTGAACCACAAACCACTCAAAGGAATGAATTATAAAGATCCCTTGATGTGTAAGATCATTAGAAATAACACAAGATCATATAGGAAAGTAATTACAAAATGGAAAAAGCTGCAAATGATGTATCTCTGACAATTTACTAAGGAGGAATAAATTATTAAGCCCCCTCCATCCTCCGGTAATAGAAATTTAAAGTGCAATCTAGAAAACAATACAGTACTTTCTTGAAGGAAACATCTATCTTTTCCTGTAAGATCTAAAGAGACAACTGCGAGGTGGGCCCCGTCGTCCCAGCCTTCTTTCCAGCTGTGGGGGAGGAGCCAGCACCATCACCTGCCCCTTGTAGTTGGTGGGAATGCCGCCCATGTTATAATGCACGGTGGGGAGGACAGGGATCGGCTCCTTCGTGACGTCCACGCCAGCGAAGATCATGGCTGTCTCTGAAATGCCAGGCAGGCGCGTGGCCAGCTGCTCTGGAGGTAGGTGGTGCAGCTGCAGGTAGACGTGATCTTTCTCAGGGCCACAGCCTCTGGTAAGACAGAACACCATCACATACGGCAGAGAACGGCAACGGCAGGAGACCTGAGAATACGTCATCTTGGAAGTGTGTGAGTTTCAACATGTTTTGATACTGAGGAAAATTTCCCCTCATGTATGGTCACCCTCTCATCAAATCTTTTCTAAGCAGCTACTGTGTGCCAGGGACAATCCCAGGTGCTGGGACACAGCTGAGAACCAGAACAAAAACTCTGCCCTCACTAAACTCACGCTCGTCTCAGGGATCACAGCCTGCTGCAGGTGTCCTTGGTAAGTGCATTAGAAAGGCCTCTATGCCAAATACAGTCGTCCCTGCGTATCCGTGGCAGGTTGGGTCCAGGACCCCCACGGATACCAAAATCCGTGGATGCTCAAGTCCCTAATATAAAATGGGAGAGTATTTGCATATAACCTATGCACATCCTCCTCTATACTTTAAATCATCCTCATTTCAAGTTTTACGTTTAAGTTTTACAGCAACTCCAGGATGACTCATAGTACCTAATACAATGTAAATGCTACGTAAATAGCTGTTACACTGTATTGTTAAGGGAACAATGACAAGGAAAAAAAGTCTGCATATTTGTAAGGATGCAATTTTATTTTCAATACATAGTTGGCTGAAACCACACATGTGGAACCAATGGGTACGGAGGGCCACCATATTCCAAAAAACCATTTGACTTCTCTGTTTTTTTTTTTTTTTTTTTTTTTTTTGAGACAGAGTGTTGCTCTGTCGCCCAGGCTGGAGTGCAGTGGTGTGATCTCAGCTCACTGCAAGCTCCGCCTCCCAGGTTCACGCCATTCTCCTGCCTCAGCCTCCCGAGTAGCTGGGACTACAGGCACCTGCCATCACGCCCGGCTAATTTTTTGTATTTTTAGTAGAGACGGGGTTTCACCGTGTTAGCCAGGATGGTCTCGATCTCCTGACCTCCTGATCTGCCCGCTTCAGCCTCCCAAAGTGCTGGGATTACAGGCGTGAGCCACTGCGCCCCACCTGACTTCTCTGTTTTTTTAATATAAAAATGTAAAACCTCTAAAGGCCATACCAGCAGATATTTAGCAAATGTCATTACATTAAAGAACAGGGTCAGGCAATGAAAGAGCTGCAAACTGTTTTACTGAAAGCCAAATAACCCACACACTTTGAAAGCTGCCAAAAAACATCTGTGGGTATCAGACACAACACCCAAGGCTCACATGCCGACTTCAGGTTGGGTGTGTGTCTCTCTCTCCCATACTCCGTCACATACTCACACACACTAAGAGAAACTCTGTTCCACAGATTTGAGAAAGAAACTGGCTAAAATTTTCAAAATGTAGGTCTTTAGGAAAATATCGCAGACTAACAGACGCCTGCCAGCAGCTAAGAGAGGTGGCTGTGCACATGCGCCTGCACACGAAGGTGAGGGCGAGCGGTGCTGAAACTCACAGAAGCAACCCCGGCCCGTGTGCCCGCTCAGACAGTGCTGGTGGTAAATCACACGCACCTTCCTTCTCGGATCTCCAGAGTCATGGACCGAGACACCACATCTCTAGACGCCAGGTCCTTCGCGACAGGGGCGTATCGCTCCATAAACCTTTCGCCTTGACTGTTAATGAGAATGCCTCCCTCTCCACGACATCCTTCCGTAATGAGACAACCAGCACCATATATGCCTGCAAAAAACCACACATATTTATTACCTAACAATTGCTAGATCTCTATTTCAAATGCATTATTTTTTTCAAGACATTTTTTGGGGGAAAGAGGAAAAAGATAAGCAGAAGGCATTATGTGCAAAACTGCACAGCAAGACAGTTAAGATACAGTAGAAAGTCTGGATAACAAAAAGCACTGACAAGGCTGACAGCTGCAGCAGAGGCTGGGGCAGAGCGGTGTCCCCAGAGAGGAGAAAGGCCGGCCCACAGACCTCTGGCCAATACTCTGATTACAGCCCAGTGTACGTTGGATGCCTCAAATTTTGTTTTAATTTTTGAACATTCTTTTGCACTATGATACTGTGGTGACTAGTTAAGAATACTAGCTTGAAGTATTCATATCTAAATTATCCAAACAGTGACAAGGACAGTAATAATGATTATTTTAGATAATATTTACACTGCACTTGCTATGGGCAGTTCTAGCTGCTTTCCACATATTAACTCGTTTAAGTCTTACAACAACTCTGGGTAGTACGACCCCCTTTCTCAGTGACAAGCAAATTAACACTTGGTAACATCCAGTCATGCAGCTGAGGACAGAGCTCAAACCCAAACCTGGGTAGTCCGGCGGTCTGTGCTCCAAACAGCGGCTCTGTGACTCCTCAGTGCGATGAGAAACAGGGCATGCCAAGCTCTCGAATTTTAACAAAGGAGATCAAAAACCCTAAACTAAATGTATTTCGAAAGCTACAATTTTTATTAGTATACAAAAAGGGCAATCTTGCTTTTAAAAAACGAATGTGATTCTTGTCTGTCTTTTGATTTTCTAAGTTTCAATGCTCTTTTTTCTGTGGTTACTTCTCACATACTGAAGACAAAGCATGAGCAGTGGAGCTCTAAGCAAATTACAGAGGGAATTCAGGGGCTCAGTGACATTTTATTCATTAAAAACAGTAATAAAAAATACAACAGGCCGGGTGCAGTGGCTCATGGCTATAATCCCAGGACCCTGAGGGGCCGAGGCAGGAGGATGGCCTAAGCCCTGGAGTTTGAGACCAGCCTGGGCAAAACGGTGACATCCCGTCTCTACCAAAAACGAAAAAACCCTCGAAAATTAGCTGGGCATGGTAACACATGCCTGTAGTCCCAGCTGTTTGGGAGGCTGAGGTGGAAGGATCGTTTGAGCCTGGGAGACAAAGGCTGCAGTGAGTCAAGATTGCTCCACTGCACTCCAGCCTGAGCAACAGAGCAAGACCCCATCTCGAAACAAATAAAAAAAAAACACTACAACAAATTCATTTCTTATTTTCATCCCTTCCAGGGATCAGAAAGCTGACACTGACAGAGAAAGAGAAGACACAGGTCTGGTTCTTTGGCACCACTTCAGAGGTCTCCATCGTCCACAGGTCAGAAAAGCAACCCAGAAAAGTATAGGACAAGTCACCTCAAACAAGAGGCAGGTGTGTGTCTGTCTCTGACTCATTCTGAAGAACCTCCTCCAAACTCAAGACTTCAACTGTCATTTCTGAGTTAATGTCTCCGAATTGCACATTCGTAACCTCAACCGTCAGACGTCCCCAAGACGAGCTCATCTTCCCCACGACAAGCTCTCTCAGTGGTCACGTGGGCTGAGCCCAGCGCCCAATGTCACATGGGGTTCTGTCACGGCTGCGTCCTAACTTTACATCCCATTGTCACAGAAGCTCCGTGTTCTCCTACAAAGCTGAAGTCTGCCTGTGCTGCTTCTCGGTTCCATGGCATTCTCCCAGCTCTCAGAATGTTCACTCAGTAAACCCCGGTGGAGACCCTACCATGTGCTGGGCATGGAGCACCACAGCTAACGAGAAGACCTGCCTGCCCGAGGAGCTGACGACCTCGTTGCGAAGAGGGACACTGAACAATCCCTGCTTTACTTTTTTTTTTTTTTTTTTTGAGACGGAGTCTTACTCTGTTGCCCAGGCTGGAGTGCAGTGGCGCGATCTCGGCTCACTGCAACCTCTGCCTCCCAGGTTCAAGCATTCCTCCCACCTCAGCCTCCCAAGTACCTGGGATTACAGGTACACGCCATCACGCCCAGCTGATTTTTGTATTTTTAGTAGAGACGAGGTGTCACCATGTTGGTCAGGCTGGTCTCGAACTCCTGACCTCAGGTGATCCGCCCGCCTTGGCCTCCTAAAGTGCTGGGACTACAGGAGTGAGCCACTGTGCTCGGCCTCAATCCCTGCTTTACTGCTGGCTTAAGTATCACCAAGGCAGGGTTTAGCGCTCTTGAGAAATACATAAGACGGTGGCCCAAACTGCCTTAGGGGAAGGGGAGTGTGGGAAAAGTCTCCTTAGGTAAATGACGTTGAAGTTAGGACCTGAGAGCTGAGGAAGCTGATCTTCAAAACCATGTTATTACATAAAACTATGGAAGAGCAATGAGTAGGCATCACATGCTTACAAGACACACACAAGCCAAACACCTGCCGGGCAAGGCGTCCTGCCCTACCTGTAGGGTGGAACTGAACAAACTCTAGGTCCTGGCAAGGAAGGCCTGCCCTGGTGATCATGGCCGTGCCGTCGCCAGTGCTGGTGTGGGCAGACGTGCAGCTGAAGTAGGTGCGCCCGTAGCCTCTGGAAACAATAGAGAGCAGTGACTGCACACAGCGGCCCACATCTGGACCTCCTATCTGGTGAGATCACAGAATGGACACGGCAGCCCCCAGCACCGTCTTCTCAGTGCTGTGCACACACAACCCCCTACTCACGCACACCCCACACATATCACTAGGGGCCGCGCCACTGGTGCTGCTACCCTGCACAGGTAGGATAGAAGCCTGGGATCAAAGAAAGGACTTCCATTTGTATTTTATTTATTTATTTTGAGATAGGATCTAACTCTGTTGACCAGGCTGGAGTAGAGTGGTGCGATCTCGGCTCACAGCAACCTCCGGCTCCCAGGTTCAAGTGATTCTTCCGCCTCAGCCTCCCGAGTAGCTGGGATTACAGTGTGCACCACCACGCCCAGTTAATTTTTGTATTTTTAGTAGAGATGGGGTTTCACCATGTTGGCCAGGCTGGTCTCGAACTCCTGACCTCAAGTGATCCTCCCACTTTGGCCTCCCAAAGTGCCGGGATTACAGGCGTGAGCCACTGCACACCTGGCCCTATTTGTATTTTAGCTTTGTGCTGTTCAAAAGGTTTCCCCAATAAGCATATACTACTTTTATAATGAAAATTTTAAAATTTTTATGGATTTTTTTCTCCCCCAGATTTACTGAGGTATGATTGATGAATTTAAAAAAAAAACTATATATTTATGGTGTACAGCGTGATGATTTATTTTGTGAAATGATGACACAATCAAGTTAATACACATCTATCACCTCATACAATTATCCTTTTTTTGGAGATACAGACGCCTAACGTCTACTATCTTCGCAAATTTCAAGTTATAATATTAACGATAGCCACCATGCTGTATAATATTAACTCTAGCCACCATGCTGTATAATGTTAACTCTAGCCACCATGCTGTATAATATTAACGATAGCCACCATGCTGTATATTAACTCTAGCCACCGTGCTGTATAATGTTAACTCTGGCCACCATGCTGTATAATGTTAACTCTGGCCACCATGCTGTATAATGTTAACGATAGCCAGCATGCTGTATAATGTTAACTCTAGCCACCATGCTGTATAATGTTAACTCTAGCCACCATGCTGTATAATGTTAACTCTAACCACCATGCTGTATAATGTTAACTATAGCCACCATGCTGTATAATGTTAACTCTGGCCACCATGCTGTATAATGTTAACTATAGCCACCATGTTGTATATTAGACCTTCAGAACTTCACCTTGTAACGGGAAGTTACACCTTTAATCAGCATCGCCACAGTCTGCATTCCCCCAGCCCCTGGCAACCACTGTCCTACTCTGTTTCTGTGAGTTGTGACTGTTTTAGATTCCACATGAGTGACATGCAGTATCTGTCTTTCTGTGCCTGGCTCGTTTCACTTAACATAATGACTTTGGGTTCATCCACGTTGTCACACATGACAGGATTTCCTTCATTTTCATAGCCGAATAATATTCAGTTGTGTATACACACCACATTGTCATTAAACACCAACACATATTTAGGTTGTTTCCATATCTCGGGTATTGTGAATAATGCTGCAATGAACATAGGGTCCAGGTGTCTCTTTGAGCTTCTGATTTCATGCCCTTTGGATATACACCCAGAAATGGGGTTGCTGGAGCACATAGTAGTCCTATGAATTTTGAGGAACCTCCAGAGTTTTCCGTAATAGTTGTACTAATTTACATTCCCACCAACAGCACACAGGGTTCCCTTTTCTCCACATCCTCACCAACACTTGCTCTTTTGTCCTCTTGGTAACAGTCATTCTAACTGGAGCGAGATGAGATGATATCTCATTGGGGTTTTAATTTGCATTTCTCTGGTGCTTAGTGACGTTGAGCATTTTTTCATACATCAATTGGCCATTTGTATGTCTTCTCTAGAAAAATATCTATTCAAGTCCTTTGCCCATTTTTAGTAGGGTTGTTTTTTAGTAGGGTTTAGTAGGTTGTTTTTAGTAGGGTTTTTTTTTTGCTATTTTAGATAGTAAGATATTATTACACATATGGTTTGGAAAATATTTCTTCCCAACCTGTAGTTTTGCTGATTTTTTGTTTGGCTGTACTGACACTTTTTAACTTTTAAAATGGTTAAAGTAACTGACAGTGTATAAAATTAAAGTTACTTATTTTCATCATGTGGAGAAGAAGGACTTACCCACCCGAGGAATCAGTATCAATACAGTACCCACTAAAACAAGAGAGATTTTGCCAGAAAACCCCATGTTGACTCTTTGGGCCACAGTTCCCTCATCTAAATTGGGAGAGGTAAGCTGTGAACCTGAGGGCAACCACTACCATCTACTGAGGACCATGCTTTCTCACCCTGAGGCAGGTGCTCCTGTCCTCACCCTTTACAGGTGAGGAACCACGGCTGGGAAAGGCCATCACCCTCACATGGTTATATCAAGGCCTGTGTCTAAACCGTTATTCTACAATGCCTCTATTTTCATTAAAATAAAGAAACTCTAAATGAAATTTATTCATTTTTATAAACAAAATAAAGTAGAAATGAGATTCCTACCCTGTGGCAACAACAGTGTTCTTTGCTCTTATGCGATGGATGGACCCGTCCTCTATGCACAGTGCGATGACACCACGGCACTCCCCATTCTCCATCAGGAGATCCAAGGCAAAATACTCCACAAAATAGCTGGTATCATATCGCAGAGACTAAAAGAAAGGAAAAAAAAAGGGCAAGAAGTGTTAAGCCAAACTTTAAGGTTTTAAGGTGGTATCTGCTCATGTGAATAGGTGAAAGAACTTGATCCAAATGGACCAGGTAAATCCAAGGAGATCAGCAACAGTGTCAGTGACACTGTCAGAGCCCGAGAGGCATTCCACGCCGAGCAGTACAGACAAGGCAGGTGTGCTAGAGAACGCAGCAGCAACAGCTCCTATTTTGGTGACACATTTCCTACTTCTACACAACCCGAAGAGGCACTCCACACTGTCCGGTGGCCGCATGCAGCTCCACTCGGAGTCTGGTGCCAGAGTGAGGTCCGCAGACCATGCAGTCACAGCCCAGATGGGAGCTACTGGCAACACATAACCACTTAATTAATTAAAATAAGTCAAAACATTCAGCTCTTCAGCTACACCTGCCACATTAGCAACAGCCCCATGTGGCTGGCAGCTACCAAAGCGGACGGTTGCAGACGAGCAGATTCCGGCACCGCAGAAAGGTAGGCGCCGGACAGCGCTGCCCGCCTGGACCTGCCGTTCCCTCAGCCAGCACAAGTCGCTCTTGTAAGCCTGGGCCAGCTCCCCACATGACAGCTCCTGCTCCAGATGGAGCCGCGGTCTCCTCCCACCACACACTTGTCGATGCACTCAGCCACAGAGAAGTCACTGGTGTTCTAACAACCTGCAAATTAACGATCCGTCCCCATGCATCAGAAAACAACAAAGTTCAGAATATTGATTACTCTGAATCAATACCGTTCAGAATATTATTTGGCCATGCCAAAGTTGACTCTGATTACCCAGTAACTATTGTCACCTCAAGTCTTTCTTCAGTGTTAACAGTTAATATTAAAACAATCCATGGCCGGGTGCGGTGGCTCACGCCTGCAATCCCAGCACTTTCGGAGGCCAAGGCAGGTGGACTGCCTGAGCTCAGGAGTTCGGGACCAGCCTGGGCAACATGGGAAACCCTGTCTCTACTAAAATACAAAAAATTAGCCAGGCATGGTGGCGTGCGCCTGTAGTCCCAGCTACTCGGGAGGCTGAGGCAGGAGAATCACTTGAATCCAGGAGGTGGAAGTAGCAGTGAGCTGAGATTGTGCTACTGCACTCCAGCCTGGGTGACAGAGTGAGACTCCGTCTCAAAAACAAAACAAAACAAAACAAACAAAACCAATCCATTCAGGAACTCAGAGGTGGTAAAAGAGACTTAAAATACTTGTTCTTTTTTTTTTTTTTTTTTTGAGATGGAGTCTCATTCTGTTGCCCAGGCTGGAGTGCAGGGGTGCGATCTCGGCTCACTGCAAGTTCCGCCTCCTGGGTTCACGCCATTCTCCTGCCTCAGCCTCCCAAGCAGCTGGGACTACAGGTGCCTGCCACCATGCCTGGCTAATTTTTTTGTATTTTTAGTAGAGACGGGGTTTCACAGTGTTAGGCAAGATGGCCTCAAACTCCTGACCTTGTGATCTGCCCGCCTAGGCCTCACAAAGTGCTGGGATTACAGGCGTGAGCCACCGCACCCAGCCTGTTCTTTCTCTTTTTTTGAGACAGGGTCTCCTGTTGCCCAGGCTGGAGTGCAGTGGTACGAACATGGCTCACTGTAGCCTCAACCTCCTGGTCTCAAGTGATCCAGGAGCCTCAGCCTCCTGAGTAACTGGGATTACAAGCATGTACCACCATGCCCAGCTAATTTTTAAACTTTTTGTAGAGACAGGGTCTTGCTATGTTGTCCAGGCTGGTCTCAAACTTCTGGTCTCAAGTGATCCTCCTGCCTTGGCCTCCTAAAGTGCTGGGATTACAGACCTGAGCCACTGTGCCTGGCCTGCTTGCTCTGCTCTTGTATGTTGAGTGTCACATATCCCAAGTTAAAACCTGGTATGTAAGATTATCGATTCAACTTTCTGACATAGATGCAAGAAGTCACACACTGCCTTAGGGACAGCTCCTCAAGGCACACGTCTGGTCCTGTCACATCCACAGTCGCTGCATGCGCCCCACGCTGCTGTTCTCTGTTGCTTTTTACGTAATCTCTGGCTGACTCACTGGGCACGCTAACCCATTCCCCACTGTCACCATAAGCCCCAGCACTACGTGTCCTGTCTCAGGTGGACGGGGGCGGCCTTACCCTTCCATATAAGGTGTGCAATAGCGAGTGGCCAGTCCGATCAGCCACACAGCAGCACCGATGGGCCTGCCCGCCCTTTCCAAACTTGAGGCTCTGTCCACCAAATGCACGCTGATAAATCTTCCCATCTTCAGTTCTGCTAAACGGCATGCCATAATTTTCTAGCTGTGAAAGATAAAAACAAACAAAAACCTTAACACCTTAAAGGAGTCAAGATATTCGCAGCTAATCTACACTAAACAAGTTTAACACAAATCTGCAAACCCAAAGTAACCTATTTTATGAAAATGTCAACACTTCATCAAAGAGAAGTTTTCTTGTTACATATAATGCATAGTTCATAACGGAAAAAGACTCTTCTTGTGAACTTTGCTCATCACCATTCTTTTGGCTGCCACATCCGCCTCAATTGCTTACATTTTTTTCCAGGATTCTTTTGTACTAGAAACAGACCACGAGAACACCCAGAGCCTCCCGCCCATCACCTCGACCACGGCGGCGGGGGCCTGCTCCGTCATGTAGTGGATGGCATCCTGGTCCCCCAGCCAGTCGGAGCCCTTCACGGTGTCGTAGAAATGCCACCTCCAGTTGTCCTCCTCCATGTTCCCCAGAGCAGCATTGATTCCTCCCTGGAAACACCAACCACTCCTTACAAGCCACAAACAGGAGCGCCAACTTTGTCTTCCAGGCCCAAATCCACCCGCTGGGGGGATTCAGAGAAAGCCAACTACTCACACAGTGACTCCCAGTGAGGGCTGACCTCAGCAGAGGAGCAGCGAGACCCGACAGATTCCAGATCACAACCCCTCCCCGACTCGCCCAGTGATTCCATCCTTAGCCTCAGTCTCCTCATCTGCGTGGTGGAGACACAGGGAACTCCAGGAAGGGCTGACTGGAGCAGTGAGTGAAAGGCTACCTGTAATATGCTTATAACCTAACCTATCTGGCACAGAAAAGGTACTCAACAAATCTTTCCAGATAATTTTATTAACAAATCTTCCCAATGGCATTTACGGGCATGTGTTAAAGACTAGAAGTGCTTCCTGCCAAGTAATAAACTCCACACTCAGAGTCGCACTCCCCTGTACCCCAGCTTCCTTTGGCTGTGTGTGCCCACCACTGTCTTACCCCTCAGAGAGTCCCAGAAGACAGAAGCACAGGGACAAATGAAACCCTTGCCCTTTTCTTCCCCAACCTAAATTCTGATTCCTCCTCTTTAGGTGATCTCCTTTTCTTAAGGTGTTGGGGTGGCGGGGGTAGGTGGGGAAGGTAGTAGGCAAGATGGTCAGAGAAAACCCAAGTGTGACTGGAGTCTGAATTAGGAGTGACAACAAGTCTCCCGCCCTTCAAAGTCCCCAGGGAAGAGGCTCCAGGGAGAGACCCCTGAGAGGGTGAGCTGAGTAAGGCACAGCAAGAGGCCATGTGGCTGGAGCAGGGGGAGGAGGCAGGGGGCTGCCCAGGTAGAAAGTGCGAGGCTGCGCGGGACCTGCACGGAGTGGGAGCACAGTGGGGCACCTTTCTCTTACCTGTGCTGCAACAGTGTGTGACCTGGTAGGAAACAGCTTGGTAACACATGCTGTATTAAACCCTGCCTCAGAAAGGCCAAATGCAGCTCGCAAGCCTGCCCCTCCAGCGCCTACCACCACTGCATCAAATTCATGATCCACTACTGGATACTGAGCAGAAATCTGGAAAAGAAAAATTCACCTGTCAATCACATGTTCCACTATGCCAAACATGAAGAATCTTGTGACAGTGAAAGAGCTTGACAAAGATAAAAGGAGCAACTGCTGGGCACACAGGGCCTCCATCCTGTCCTGGGGCTGAGCCCTGAACAGTTCGGGGAGAGGTGGGCACATTCGCACCTGGAGAAGGGACTGACAATCAGATTCTACGAATGGTAGAGGGTCTATCCCATGGGGTCAGACTGAGGACCACAACTCTACTTCAGGGCCGTGCCTATGCTTATGCCTGAGAAGGTGCCAAGGAGTATTCAGTCGCTATTGTGGGCTTATAAGAAAACAACTTCTCAGCAAGTTTCAGTTTTTCAACAGAGATAGGCTCACTAAATACAAAGCAACCCACACCCGAGGGGCCCCACCATCCTATTTTCAGTAGGATTTTATCATCTATCACAGCAGATACTGTTCACTGGCCCCACCGTCCTATTTTCAGTAGGAATTTTATCATCTATCACAGCAGACACTGTTCATTTTATTTTAATTTATTGCTTTACTTGATCTAAATTTAAATCTAGTTTATAGATACATAACAGATACAAGTAAAAATGTAAACATCTATGTTTATATTTGTACTTGCAATTAAGTATTATTACACTGAAAATAATTTCAGCATGCATTGGATACCTATGAGAAATTTTTCCCTTATGTCTATGACTCATATGAAAACAAACTGGTATAGATCCTTACCCCCTAAGCCAAAAAAATCATTTATAATGGAACAAAAAGCATGAACTTACGGAATCTGAAACTTTAGCAGATGCCCTCTTGTTCCCATCAACAGTGAAGTGAAAACCTCGGGTTCCTGTTTGCAACACTGTTGGCCACTGGAGACACAGAAGACACAGATCCAGAGGGTTAGTGTCCTGAAGGAACAAATGCTGTGGGGGATAGTAATTTCCCCTTGCAAACTGTTCACCTTCTTATGTACCCAGGTGCTCCTGTGCATCCAGAGAGCTCAGCTGGGACCCTCTACTTAACCCTGAAGGCAGCCCAAGGGGCAAGGAAGGACTGAGCCCCCAGGTCCTCGTTTCCACCCTGACTTGGCACTCTAGAAAACCAGGATGAAGCTTGTTTCCAAACAGGATACTCACTGACTCAGATACGAAATGAAAAAGGCACACTTCCTCTGTGAAGTCTTAATGTATGCTACTTAGTGGAGAAGGGGAAAGACGTGTATATTGTATTACTGTATGTGGTATTTTGCAAGTAATGAAGCATTTTAACTGGCTCCATCATAGCCCTTTCCACATTACAGTTCCAATCGTCCAGGAGGGCTTGTGGTCAGTTCAAAAGGCACTCAACATTGAATCAGGAGATCTGTATCCTGGAACAGTAAAAGCTGACAGCCTAGAGGGACGAGGTGTCATCCCTTCATCACACAGGAGGATGTCGGATGCACACTCTCCCCTGCCTGGCTGCTGCTGGCTTTTTCCTGGCCAACATCTACAACTTGACACATCTTGCTGCTTAAATTTTCCATCTTAGAAAACTTTACCCAAGAAAACTGGTTTTGGTGTTTAGTTTTTAGTGGCTCTGTGTGAGAGAGGTGACACTGTCCATATGCTAAGGTTGGCCAGCCATTTAGGGGATACGTTTTCCATTCTGCTGGCTACATTTGAGAAGACCACTGAATAGTCTCAGAAATATCATCAAGAATAGTTTTAGGGGCTGGGCACGGTGGCTCATGCCTGTAATCCCAGCATTTGGGGAGGCCAAGGTGGGTGGATCACCTGAAGTCAGGAGTTCAAGACCAGTCTGGCCAACATGGCAAAACCCCATCTCTACTAACAATTAGCTGGGCGTCGTGGCGGGCACCTGTAATCCCAGCTACTTGGGAGGCTGAGGCAGGAGAATCGCTTGAACCCAGAAGGCAGAGGCTGCAGTGAGCCTAGACTGTGCCACTGCACTCCGGCCTCGGCAACAGAGAGAGACAACGTCTCCAAAAAAAAAAAAAAGAAAAGAAAAAAAAGCTTTAGGAAATAAATGCAATCAGAAGAGGGGATGTGAGGAATGTCTTCAAGTATTTAGAAATACTTGCAATTCAGAAATTACTTATTATGTGGGATAAAAAATTATTCTTCATTTCTCCAATTTCTAGTCTCTGTTTTTATTGGTATAAGCTAATTCAGCTTTTTTCTTTTTTCAGAAAATGAATGAGAAAGAACAAATATTCTTCTACCTTAGTAAAATTTTTGCATGGTAAAATCATATTTTAAGAAAGAAGTCTTTGAAATAATTTTAATACAAATGTTCTTGAAAATGTTGTAAAGTGCCCTATTAACATAGTAATAGCACCAGTAAGAACAGTATATTATACCAAATGTAAGTAGAAACAGTGAGATCACTCAATGTTTATTCGTTCTTTCTAGGATGTTGATGTGGAAGACCCACTGCCCACCCCCCACCACACACACACAGAGCTGGCTTAAAAGGGGCAGCTACTATAACACAATCTTGAACAAATTATCACGCCATCCCCCTGGCGAAAAGGACACTAACCCTCTCAATCTAAATCTAATCTGGGGCAGATTTTTGAATTTGGAAAGCCCAACTTTAAGCCAATTTCAGTCTTTAGATAAAACTCAAAACTAGTTTTGACACAAAACTAGTCTTTTGTGCCAATTGTTAATTTTTTTAGGAGAAACTATCAAACATTTCCTCAAGAAAAAAAATGGGGAACATATAACTAAAAGGAATACTTAGACCTTGCTTAACAATACAGAATTTCAGATGACTGAATTAGGAGGTGGAGGGGAAAAGTAAGAAGTGCAGAGACATTCATATCCGAAATCTAGCAAAGTAAGGGGTCCTCATCTAATACAACGCACCTATAAATCACGAGCAAGAAACTAATCTGCATGTACAACCTACACAATCACAAAAGCAGCCAACGAAGAACCTAAAAACGCACGACTGTATCAGGAAGAAGCGGAAGCAGGGTAGTTTAAGTGAACTAAATCCCCTCTCTAGGCAAGAAGTCTAAAACTGATAAAAATGCACCTGCATATCCGCTAAAGAAACAGAGGTATTACAAATGCCAGGAGTCAGTATCAGAAACAGGAATTGCTTTCATGGAAAATGAACTGGGTGAGGGAGGGTATACTCATTGATTCTTTTACAACTGCGTGTAATTATTCTCACTAGAATTTTAGTGTTTATTATTTTAAAAACAGGGATACTTAAAATACAGTTCGGCCGGGCGTGGTGGCTCACACCTGTAATCCCAGCCCTTTGGGAGACCGAGGCGGGCGGATCACGAGGTCAGGAGATGGAGACCATTCTGGCTAACATGGTGAAACCCCGTCTCTACTAAAAACACAAAAAAATTAGCCGGGCATGATGGCAGGTGCCTGTAGTCCCAGCTACTCAGGAGGCTGAGGCAGGAGAATGGCGTGAACTCGGGAGGCAGAGCTTGCAGTGAGCCGAGATTGCGCCACTGCACTCCAGCCTGGGTGACAGAGTGAGACTCTGTCTCAAAAAAAAAAAAAAATTCAGTTCACACATGGTTACTGTGCATAGGCTGTGAGCCCTGGTTCTCAAGAGCATCACCAAAGGTTTCAAACATTACCCACAGAATCCTCACTAACCCCACGGAAAGACGGAGCTCAGAGAGGATTCAAGTCGGCCGGCCTGGCTCTGGATCCTGGACTTGCCCCCCTATCTAAAGACCCTTGGGAAAAATCTCTGAGACTCCCAACTAATATTAATATCCAGGTTTCATATCAAAAAACAAGTCACAATTTTTCAAATAAATCAGGAAAAACATCATGAGGAATGCAGAATGGAATGCCATTGTTGTTACAATTATCCCAAGAAGCAAAGCAAAGGTTTACTACTATAATGGCCTAAATAATGTATTTCTAGAACACCATTAAACATATTCAGAACAATCCATTCAAAGAAAAGAAATCAATTTGTCCTAGAACAATATATTGGATGTTCATGTTAAGGGATTTGAAAAACTTCACCTGAAGTAAGCAGTTAACCAGTAACTATTGAAGTTTCTTGGTTTTCTTTTTCCTCTGATTAAACTGCTTTCGAACAGTTTGCAAGCTGTGTCAGTGCACTGGGCCATAAAAAGAAACCAAAAGCAAAATAAGTCTGATAAGTTCGTCACTTGAAAGCAGTTGTAAATACAGAATGATCAAAACACCACAGAACTGGCCAAAATGAGGTTAAAAAATTCTCTCTGGACTTTACTGAAATTATCCTCAGCATCTATTTTCCAAACACATTTCTCAGTTGGCTATCACGAATTTCTTTCTTTTTTCTGCTAATTTTTTGATTATGCTGTTCCTTCGTAAACTCCAATTCTTCAGGAAAAAAAGCCTATCTGAAATGCCGATAAATATGCTGCTTGCAGGCAGAATTTCTGTAGGAAAAGCTAACTTCATCAAGATAAAAAGACTTTTACAAAACCCAAGACTAAATTTTGGTTCAATTTTGCTATCTTGCCATCCCGTCTGAGGTGCCTCCGCCGCTGGCAGGGTCTTAGTCTGCAGAAGGAACACCGGGCACCATCTGGGTTGAGGACAAAGGCACTAGCTCTAGCTTTTCTCCAATCACAAGCTACCATTTCCCCTAAAAAGCCCCACTGACCATGGGCTTTCCTTCCTGCTTGTGGACGCCCTCCTAGCAGCTCTTAAAAGCCCAAGATGCGGCAGGGGTCTCTGCTCAGTCAGTACCAACCACAGCAACACACTAGAACGGTTTACACGCTTTCTGATGTTGGCAGGATGGCTGTATGACTAATCCTCACATTTAACTCAACGAGATTTTTAATAAGTATTTCAAAAAGGAGAAAATTGCACAATTACAGGCATAATTCAAATCAATATTGCTGAATGCCTTGGTTCCTATTGAGATTTTTATTCTGCAATTTAAAATTACTTTGTAATTAAGGAGGTGGGTGGGTAAGTTCATTTAAAAGAACCAAACAACTAAACCTATCCAATTTAGCTTGATTAAATAAAACCCTAGAAGGCCGATTCTTAAGATGCAATCGTAGAGGGCACATTCAGACACTCAGAGAGCAAGGGCTCAGGGAAGTATAACCCTGACCACCATCCTGGACTAAGCCGAGCCCGGCCCTAGAGGCACTCAGCGCACAGGCAAGCACAGGTCCCGGCGTCCTCGCCCGGTCAGTGCGCTGAGCTCTCCGCCTGAGTTTTAAAAACTGGCACAGCTGCTTTTAAACACTGGCACATTTTTGGTGGCATAAGGACCACCAAACACGACCCAAAGTAGAAGCCCTTAACTTACAAGGTCTCGAAGTGGACATGGACAGATTTGCGCTTTCTGGAAAGGCGAACTGCAAGCCTAAGCTCGGGCGCGCCACGCTTCCCACCGGACGCCCACCGGGCCGAGCCCGGCCACTCCTCGCACCCACCCGGGCGGTCTCACCCGCCCCGCCGGCCCCACCCACGGGCTGCGGGCTGCTCCTCAGGACAACCCGCACAGAGGGCGGCAGAGGCCCAGCCCAGCCAGGGCGGCCACCGGCCGCTATCCGCCCGGGTGACCTTGGGCAGACACGACTCCTCCCCGAGTCCACCTGCCAGGCACTGAGGCGAGGGGCTACCTCAGCCCGCGGGGTCCCAGGACCCCAGGCCCGGACCAAGGCGGCGGAGGGGACGCCCAGCAAGCCCGCGGGGTTGTGACCTTCACCCGGACGCGGACTATCTACTAAGGACCGAGCTCCCCGGGTCCCCGAGTCCGCCCCGCGGCTTCCCCTCGCACCGGCCCAGGGCTCTCTCAGCCCCTTCCCGATCCCGGGACAGAGGGCGCAGGGACCCGGCGCCCGCTCCGCTCGGACCCGCTGGGGACCGTCCCGCTCCTACCGCCGCCTCGGCCCCCGCCTGCCCCGCCCCGGTCCGCGGCACGGACTCACCGCCTTGGCCAGCGCCAGGCGCCGAGCGCTCAGCAGCCGCGACAGGCCCCGGACCCCCGACATGTCTGCTGTTGCCGCCGCGCAGTCCCGCCAGTCCCTGCGCAGACTGCGCCTGCGCACCACACCGGGGTCGAGCTGGCGGGGGAGGGGGGATACCGCGCCTGCGCACCACGCCGGAGTCGAGCGGGGCTGCAGTGGGGGACATCGCGCCTGCGCACCATGCCACGCCCGGAGCGGGTACTGAGTGGGGGCGCCGCGCCTGCGCAAAGCGGACCCGCGGACGGTGGCGTTAAGGGAACGCTGAGGTCCCGCGCTCCCCGACCGAGGTAGAGCGGGCCCTGTTCCGGGGAGGTGGTGGGCACCAACATTTTTAAAGCCCCGTGGGTGGTTCTCCGGGATCGCCCAGACCGAAGGGCCTGAACGCCCAGACCGCAGGGAATGGGGTCGGAGGGGGGCGCTCGTCCGCGGAGGTGGGCGGGAGCGGCCCGGGGCCTCCGACCTCTTGTTTATTATACATCCCTTGATTAACTAAACTATTTTGTAATTGTGTGTGTTTGTGGAGGTCACATGTAAACAAACTTAAAGTGACTCTACTTTGTGAAAATGTGAAACTTCGTGTAGGTACTCAGTAAATCAGTAAATTCTTACTAACGTTAGCCCCCAGCCTAGCTATGGAGGGTGCATGCTGAGCCCGAAGCAGAGAACTCTGTAATCTCTGCATTCATCACCACCACGAGGAGGCCTCAGAAGCTTCTAGCACTGTTTGCACCTTCCCCACATCACCCCTCCCTGCCTTCCTCACAGTCTTCCTTCTGATCAGAAGACCCTTTCCTTCTTTCTCTGCCTGTCAAAATGCTGCTCACTCTTCAAACCCTAGCTCATATGAAAGTGTCCGGTGTGAGCCCACTTTTATCGAGTTGATTCTGTATCTTTGATACAACTGTATGAGGGTTCTCCAGAGACACAACAAATAGAAGGGAGACGTGAGGAATTGGTTTAAAGGTTCAATTGCTAATCTCATCCAAAAACACCCTTACAGACACGCCCAGAAATAATGCTTAACCATGTATCTGAGCACCTCATGATGCCGTCAAGTTGACAAACAAAATTAACCATCGCAGCAGCCATACATTTAAACATATTTGTACCAGAGAACTTACCTGATTCTACCTGCACTTCAGATGCTTAAGACATGTCTGTTTTCTCCACTTTCCCCAACCAGATTGTGAGTCGCTTTCATCTTAAGTTCTTGTTTTTTTTTTCCTTTTTCTTTTTCTTTTTTTTTGGGGGGGACGGAGTCTCGTTCTGTCACCAGGCTGGAGTGCAGTGGCGCGACCTCGACTCACTGCAACCTCCACCTCCCAGGTTCAAGCGATTCTCCTGCCTCAGCCTCCCGAGTAGCTGGGACTACAGGTGCCCGCCACCATGCCCGGCTCTGGTCTAGTTTTTTTCTTCTTTGAATCCCGTAGGGCCTCAGTGCTGTGCAGCAAGCACATAGTTAAAACTGAAGAAAAATTTCTTGAATAAAAGTAGTTAACGTTTTTATTCTTTACTTCAAGGTATATCTCCATGAATAACCTAAATGATCCCCCAAATTGGAATATCCGGCCTAATTCCAGGGCGGATGGTGGTGATGGAAGCAGGTGGAATTATGCCCTGTTGGTTCCAATGCTGGGATTGGCTGCTTTTCGTAAGTCATGGTTTTCTTAAAATTCGTGTTTTCCAGGCTGAGAGTGTGGAGCCCCGGTGAGGGAGGCAGCATGGTGTGGGAGCCTGAAGGCCGTGACTTTGGGACCTGCCAGGGACAGCCGAGTTTTATCCCCTGCAGTGAACCGTGGGCAAATCACTTAAGCTCTGAGCCTCAGTCTTCCTGTTCACAGGAGATGGATAATCATACTTAACCTCAGCACACTGCAAGGATTAAGTCAGCCAAGGCGTTTAGAAGCATTTTGTGTGGGGTGGGTTTTAATAACTTAGTTCCCTCTGAAGGCTTTGCTGCTCTCAAGTCGGGGAGGAGGTTCCTTATTTCAGGTGCCCTCATAAGGACTGCTGGGGAACAAAACGGGTGTAAAGGAAACCAGTGGGCTGGGCGTGGTGGCTCATACCTGTAACCCCAGCACTCTGCGAGGCCCAGGTGGGCAGATCGAGTGACCAGCCTGAGCAACACAGCAAAACCCCGTCTCTACAAAAAAATACAAAAATTAGCAAGTCGTGACGGTGCACACCTGTAGTCCCAGCTACTCAGGAGGCTGAGGTGGGAAGATCAGTGGAGCCTGGGAGGTCGAGGCTGCAGTGAGTGGAGATGGCACCACTTGCCCTCCAGCCCGAGCAACAGGGTTAAAAAAAAAAAAAAAGAAAACCAGTTTTGGAAAACCAGTGATGTTTAATGTTTAGGAAATCAGTCTTTGGGAGACTTCATCCATGAAATCTCTGCTTGGCCTGGCCAGAAAAATTCTCTCTAGTTTAGATTGACTTGGCACCACTTTGGGGACCTGCCGGTCATATGCAGACTTACATCCCCACCACACAATCAATTCACTGATGCAGAGGAGTGAGTTTTGTGTTTCTTCACATTCCATGGTTCTGGGCTGGCACTTAGGAACATGAGAAACTGAATAATTGAATGGAAGAAAGGCAAAACTGCCCTCTAGTTGTAGCGATACATTTTGTGTAGTGGCTTTTTATCTGCTTCCATGTCTCAGGTCAGAAGTTTTGCTGTAGAGGAAGAGGAGGCTGGTAAGAGCAGGTGGTTTTTATGATTCAGTGATCTGCGCAGTGCTTGCTTCTTGGTGAAAGACAGGGCAGGTCCACATCCAATCCTAAGGGGCTGCCATGTAAAAAGCTCATCCGCCTGCAGGCTTGGGAAAAAAAACCCTTAACACTTGGAGAGGCTACTGTTGCCTGTGGCTAGGGTGAGTGGATTGGAAGGCTTAAAATTACTCTGACTAATGTAATAATTAATTGGCTTTGAGGCTGGGAGAGGCCCTGAAGTGACTCATTTTCCATTTGTTTTTCAGACTCATCTCCAGCTTTTATAGCCTTTCATGATAACTTTCACTTTTGAAATTCTTACCTTCCCTTCTTGGACTTTTGAAATGATGCTTTCTGTCCCTGAAAAGGGTTGAAGAATATTTTTTTCTTCCTGGTTTTTTGCTGAGGTAGTGTGGTCAGAGAGAACTGTTAAGTTGGTGTTCTTGTAAGGATTCTCCAAAGGTGTGTTACGATGTGTTTGAGGTTCTGTTGCACATAGGAGCGTTAACCAGCCCCTAGTGTAGTCTAGAAGAAGAGGCAGACATATGAATACTTGATAAGCGCTATTGGTTGATTTATTGATGAGAGGCTAGTTTTGTCCTGATCACTCGCTTCATTTACTAGAATTTTTTTTTTTTTTCGAGACGGAGTCTTGCCCTGTCGCCAGGCTGGAGTGCAGTGGCGCGATCTCGGCTTGCTGCAACCTCTGACTCCCTGGTTCTAGTGATTCTCCTGCCTCAGCCTCCCGAGTAGCTGGGATTACAGGCGCCCCTCACCACGTCCAGCTAATTTTTGTATTTTTAGTAGAGACGGGGTTTCACCACATTGGCCAGGATGGTCTCGATCTCCTGACCTCATGATCTGCCCGCCTCGGCCTCCCAAAGTGCTGGGGTTACAGGTGTGAGCCACCGTGCCCAGCCCATTTACTAGATTTTTACTTAACATAACATAGAAATGTGTGTAATTGTGCTTGCCCGAAAGAGCAGTCCCTGGAGAAATTCTTACCCTGAGTAGCTCCCAGGGGAGAATATTCAGTATTTCAGCACTCCAGAGGGCTTCTCTCTCTTCACACCTCCTCTGTCATTCTGCTTCCCCCCTTTTCTCTCAGTCTTCTTGATTGCCCTTTCCCCATCTCTCTCTCCGTGCTTTTCCCATCTCTCCGTGCTTTCTCCCCTCTAGTGTTCCTGTACCTCCTGTTTCCTCCCCTGACCCAGAAAACATAGTTTTAGAGCTGAAAGGGACTGGTTGAGTTCACTGGGCCCAACTCAGTTTCTTTTAATTAAATATTTTATTTTGGGGTCATGTAAATCACATGCAGTTGTCATCAGTAATGCAGAGAGCCCGTGTACCCTCTACCCAGCTTTCCCCAGTGGAAGCATCTGCAAAACGATAGTGCAGTGTCACAGCCAAGACATCTGCCAGGATGCGGTCAAGATACCCCAATCCCTGGGGCCTCACGTGCTGCCCTGTGTACCGCCCCTCCCTCCATAGCCCCCGGCAGCTACTGATCTGTTCTTCATCTCCAGAACTTTGTCATTTCAAGAATGTTATGTAAATGGAATCAAACAGTATATAACCTTTCGGGTTGACTTTTTTCATTCAGCATAACCCCCTGAGGTCCATGCAGATTGTTGCTGTATCAGTAGTTCATAGATAGTTTCATTGCTGAGTCGTGTTTTATGACATGGACGTACCACAGTGTGTTTAACCACTGAAAGACATCTGGGTCCTTTCCAGTTTTCAGCTGTTATGAATAAAGCTCTTATAAACATTCTTGTGTAGGTTTTTGTGTCGATGTAAGTTTTCATTTCTCTCGGATAAAGGGCCAGAAGTGAAATTACTGGGTTTTATGGAGGTTGCACGTTTAGTTTTTTAAGAAGGGCTGAAATGTTTCCCGAGTTGCTGCACCGTTTTAGGTTCTCACCAGCAATGCAGAGCTGATCGGTTTCTCCACCTGGTCAGTATTTGGTGTTTCACTGCTGTCCCGTCTGCCCCATCCTGATGGGTGTGTGGTGCTGTCTCATCGTGGCTGCAGCGTGCAATGTCGAGCATCAGCGTGCTCACACTGCTGTCCCGTCTGCCCCATCCTGATGGGTGTGTGGTGCTGTCTCGTCGTGGCTGCAGTGTGCGATGTCGAGCATCAGCGTGCTCACACTGCTGTCCCGTCTGCCCCATCCTGATGGGTGTGTGGTGCTGTCTCGTCGTGGCTGCAGTGTGCGATGTCAAGCATCAGTGTGCTCACACTGCTGTCCAGTCTGCCCCATCATGATGGGTGTGTGGTGCTGTCTCGTCATGGCTGCAGTGTGCGATGTCGAGCATCAGCGTGCTCACACTGCTGTCCCGTCTGCCCCATCGTGATGGGTGTGTGGTGCTGTCTCGTCGTGGCTGCAGTGTGCGATGTCGAGCATCAGTGTGCTCACACTGCTGTCCCGTCTGCCCCATCCTGATGGGTGTGTGGTGCTGTCTCGTCGTGGCTGCAGTATTCGATGTCGAGCATCAGTGTGCTCACACTGCTGTCCCGTCTGCCCCATCGTGATGGGTGTGTGGTGCTGTCTCATCGTGGCTGCAGTGTGCGATGTCGAGCATCAGCGTGCTCACACTGCTGTCCCGTCTGCCCCATCCTGATGGGTGTGTGGTGCTGTCTCATCGTGGCTGCAGTGTGCGATGTCAAGCATCAGCGTGCTCACACTGCTGTCCCGTCTGCCCCATCCTGATGGGTGTGTGGTGCTGTCTCGTCGTGGCTGCAGTGTGCAATGTCGAGCATCTCAGCGTGCTCACATTGCTGTCCCGTCTGCCCCATCCTGATGGGTGTGTGGTGCTGTCTCATCGTGGCTGCAGTGTGCAATGTCGAGCATCTCAGCATGCTCACATTGCTGTCCCGTCTGCCCCATCCTGATGGGTGTGTGGTGCTGTCTCATCGTGGCTGCAGTGTGCGATGTCGAGCATCAGCGTGCTCACACTGCTGTCCCGTCTGCCCCATCCTGATGGGTGTGTGGTGCTGTCTCATCGTGGCTGCAGTGTGCGATGTCAAGCATCAGCGTGCTCACACTGCTGTCCCGTCTGCCCCATCCTGATGGGTGTGTGGTGCTGTCTCGTCGTGGCTGCAGTGTGCAATGTCGAGCATCTCAGCGTGCTCACATTGCTGTCCCGTCTGCCCCATCCTGATGGGTGTGTGGTGCTGTCTCATCGTGGCTGCAGTGTGCAATGTCGAGCATCTCAGCGTGCTCACATTGCTGTCCAGTCTGCCCCATCATGATGGGTGTGTGGTGCTGTCTCGTCATGGCTGCAGTGTGCGATGTCGAGCATCAGCGTGCTCACATTGCTGTCCCGTCTGCCCCATCGTGATGGGTGTGTGGTGCTGTCTCATCGTGGCTGCAGTATTCGATGTCGAGCATCAGCGTGCTCACACTGCTGTCCCGTCTGCCCCATCGTGATGGGTGTGTGGTGCTGTCTCATCGTGGCTGCAGTGTGTGATGTCGAGCATCAGCGTGCTCACACTGCTGTCCCGTCTGCCCCATCCTGATGGGTGTGTGGTGCTGTCTCATCGTGGCTGCAGTGTGCGATGTCGAGCATCAGCGTGCTCACATTGCTGTCCCGTCTGCCCCATCCTGATGGGTGTGTGGTGCTGTCTCGTCGTGGCTGCAGTGTGCGATGTCGAGCATCAGTGTGCTCACACTGCTGTCCCGTCTGCCCCATCCTGATGGGTGTGTGGTGCTGTCTCGTCGTGGCTGCAGTGTGCGATGTCGAGCATCAGTGTGCTCACACTGCTGTCCCGTCTGCCCCATCCTGATGGGTGTGTGGTGCTGTCTCGTCGTGGCTGCAGTGTGCGATGTCGAGCATCTCAGCGTGCTCACATTGCTGTCCCGTCTGCCCCATCCTGATGGGTGTGTGGTGCTGTCTCATCGTGGCTGCAGTGTGCGATGTCGAGCATCAGCGTGCTCACACTGCTGTCCCGTCTGCCCCATCCTGATGGGTGTGTGGTGCTGTCTCGTCGTGGCTGCAGTGTGCGATGTCGAGCATCAGTGTGCTCACACTGCTGTCCCGTCTGCCCCATCCTGATGGGTGTGTGGTGCTGTCTCGTCGTGGCTGCAGTGTGCGATGTCGAGCATCAGTGTGCTCACACTGCTGTCCCGTCTGCCCCATCCTGATGGGTGTGTGGTGCTGTCTCGTCGTGGCTGCAGTGTGCAATGTCGAGCATCTCAGCGTGCTCACATTGCTGTCCCGTCTGCCCCATCCTGATGGGTGTGTGGTGCTGTCTCATTGTGGCTGCAGTGTGCGATGTCGAGCATCAGCGTGCTCACACTGCTGTCCCGTCTGCCCCATCCTGATGGGTGTGTGGTGCTGTCTCGTCGTGGCTGCAGTGTGCGATGTCGAGCATCAGTGTGCTCACACTGCTGTCCAGTCTGCCCCATCATGATGGGTGTGTGGTGCTGTCTCGTCATGGCTGCAGTGTGCGATGTCGAGCATCAGCGTGCTCACACTGCTGTCCCGTCTGCCCCATCGTGATGGGTGTGTGGTGCTGTCTCATCGTGGCTGCAGTATTCGATGTCGAGCATCAGCGTGCTCACACTGCTGTCCCGTCTGCCCCATCGTGATGGGTGTGTGGTGCTGTCTCATCGTGGCTGCAGTGTGTGATGTCGAGCATCAGCGTGCTCACACTGCTGTCCCGTCTGCCCCATCCTGATGGGTGTGTGGTGCTGTCTCATCGTGGCTGCAGTGTGCGATGTCGAGCATCAGCGTGCTCACAGTGCTGTCCCGTCTGCCCCATCCTGATGGGTGTGTGGTGCTGTCTCGTCGTGGCTGCAGTGTGCGATGTCGAGCATCAGTGTGCTCACACTGCTGTCCCGTCTGCCCCATCCTGATGGGTGTGTGGTGCTGTCTCGTCGTGGCTGCAGTGTGCAATGTCGAGCATCTCAGCGTGCTCACATTGCTGTCCCGTCTGCCCCATCCTGATGGGTGTGTGGTGCTGTCTCATCGTGGCTGCAGTGTGCGATGTCGAGCATCAGCGTGCTCACACTGCTGTCCCGTCTGCCCCATCCTGATGGGTGTGTGGTGCTGTCTCATCGTGGCTCTACTGTGCAGTGTTGAGCATCTTTTCTCATCGTGGCTCCAGGGTGTGATGTCGAGCACCTCTTCACGTGCTCATTGCCATCAGCGTATCCTCCTGATGAAATGAGTATTCTTGCCTTTCAGCCGTTTCCTAATAGGACTGTTTGTTTTTTAATGTTGAGTTTTGAGAGTTGTTAATATGTCTTAGATTCTAGTCCTTAGTTGCATATGTGGCTTGCAAGTATCCTCTCCCAGTCTGTAGCCTGTCTTTTCATTCTCTTCATAGGGGCATTTGCAGTGTAAAAGTTGTAATTTTGATGAAGGGCAGCTTATCATCGTTTCCTTTTATGAACCATGCTTTTTGTGGAAAGTCTAAGAATTCTGCCTAGCTCTAGATCCTGAAGGTTTTTTCTTCCTAAAGTTTTAGTTTTACATTTTACATTTAAGCCCTTACCCATTTGAGTTAATTTTGTTAATAAGGAGTAAGACTTTAGTTGTATTTCTTCTTTCCAGCCTGTTTGCCTTTGATTTCTTGTCTTGCCTTCCGGCACTAGCTGGAGCTTCTGGGACTCTGTTGGACGGTCCCTGACCTGAGAGAGAACACACTCAGCCTCTCCCAGCTAAGTACAGTGTCAGCTGCAGGTTTTCCGTAGATGCTGTTTATCAAGTCAAGGAAGCTCCCCTGTATTCCTGTTTTTCATGAATAGGTGTTGAATTTGGTCCGTTTTTTTTTGGTTTCAATTGATGGAATCGTGATTTTTCTTCATCAGCTTAGTAATGTGTTAGATTGCATTGATTTTTGAATATTGAACCCGTCTTTTGTCTCTGGAGCAATCCCCACGTGGCCGTGCTGTAGAATTAGTTTTATGTATTATGGAATGATGTTTGTGACCAGGCTGCAAAGGATTGTTTCTGTGTTTGTGGGGGAGTCCTATGTGTTGTGGAATGATGTGTGTGGCCAGGCTGCGAAGGGTTGTTTCTGTGTTTGTGGGGGAGTCCTATGTGTTGTGGAATGATGTGTGTGGCCAGGCTGCGAAGGGTTGTTTCTGTGTTTGTGGGGGAGTCCTATGTGTTGTGGAATGATGTGTGTGGCCAGGCTGCGAAGGGTTGTTTCTGTGTTTGTGGGGGAGTCCTATGTGTTGTGGAATGATGTGTGTGGCCAGGCTGCGAAGGGTTGTTTCTGTGTTTGTGGGGGAGTCCTATGTGTTGTGGAATGATGTGTGTGGCCAGGCTGCGAAGGGTTGTTTCTGTGTTTGTGGGGGAGTCCTATGTGTTGTGGAATGATGTGTGTGGCCAGGCTGCGAAGGGTTGTTTCTGTGTTTGTGGGGGAGTCCTATGTGTTGTGGAATGATGTGTGTGGCCAGGCTGCGAAGGGTTGTTTCTGTGTTTGTGGGGGAGTCCTATGTGTTGTGGAATGATGTGTGTGGCCAGGCTGCGAAGGGTTGTTTCTGTGTTTGTGGGGGAGTCCTATGTGTTGTGGAATGATGTGTGTGGCCAGGCTGCGAAGGGTTGTTTCTGTGTTTGTGGGGGAGTCCTGATTCCGTCATTCCAGTTTTTCTTCGAGTTGTTCTGTTTTTCAGTTCCAGAATTTTCATTTGGTTCTTCTTTACGTCTTGTGTTTATTTTCTTAGGCTCTCTGTCATGGCAGCTGCTCTGAAGTCCTTGTCAGATGATACTGCCATCTCTCATCCAGGTCTTGGCATCTGTTGATCATCTTTGTTCATTTAGTGTGACCCGTCCTGGCCCTTGGTACTAGGAGTGATTTTCTGTTTGAACCTGCGCATTTGGGGCATTACGTGCTGAAACACTGGTTTTTATTTAAACCTTCGGTCTTAGCTGGCTTTCTTGAATGGCGCCCTGGCAGGGGAAGGGCCACGCAGCCTCCTTACTGCCAGGTGAGGATGGAAGTCCAGGCTCCCCACTCAGCCTCTGGCCCCCATGGGCCCCCGAGGAAAGGATGGGAGTTCCAGCCCCCCGGCCTCTACTGGTGCCCCCCGGCTGGGAAGGCCTCAGCACTGCTCCCCACATGGCTCCCCCCGACCCCACCCTGTGTTTGCTGCTGGGTGGGAGTGGGAGCCTCAGCTCCATCCAGCCTTTGCCCATGTGGGTGGAGGTGGGGCCGTAGTTTTTTCTGTGTTATTTGGCTGATGTAGAGTGATTACTGTCGGAACATTTTCTCTCTTGCCAGGCCTCTATCGTGGTCCTTTGGGCAGAGACAGCAGGCTTTGTTGGAGTTTCTTTTTTTGTCTGCACCCGTTGAGATTTCCAATTGACTGTGTCTTCAGCTCCAAGTATGGGATCTATGAGGCAAAATGAAAATCTAGAGGACTTGCCCCCGTGTTGTTCCTGGGGTCCCAAGGACCCAAGCCAGTCTGCCTTCTCTCCATCTTTCAGAGTCATCTTGTTTTACAGATGATGTCCAGGATTTTTAGTTTACTTAGAAGAAGAATAGGGAGGATGTCTACTCCGTCTTCCCAGAAGCAGGAGTCTCACCGGAAACTGAGGCTTTGAAAAGTTGCGTGTGCCCAAAGTCTGTCAGGTCAGACTCGGAATTCAGGTTTTCCTGACATCCAGCCTGTCCTGCCACACTTTCCTCTGCAAAGCTGCCTGTAGCCTCCCCTGCCTGGCTCCCTGTCCAGCCAAAAACTTACCAGTAACCACAGCCTGTATGGTGGGGTCTGACGTTTAACCGTGTGCGTCATTGTCTGTGTTAGTTTTCCAGTGGTTTGGTGTGTCAATGATGTGACTCGACTGAGATCGTCCCCAGATTGTATCAGGGAGCAGCTCCCTGTCTCCTCTTGATTCGGCGCCACCCCTCGCAGCCCCACCTCCACCCCTCCACACCTCCTGGATGCTCTTAAGTCACGTTAATTCCTTTGACTCCTCGTGGCTGCAGAACATATCCCGTGCTCCTTGTCCGGGTCTCCTGGGGGCCCCTCTCATTTGGCACCTGTGACTTTCCAGAGGCAGCTCCAGCTTGTCCTTGACATAAGCCCCGTCCCCAGGCACATCCGGCTCCTGGAAGCTCTCACTCTCCGATGCTCTCGCCTGCCTTGCTCGTTTAATTTCGGGTGACTTTTCCTTGCAGCTTCTGCTCAGCCTTCAGCCTTCTAGACTTTGTTCATTCACCTTTTTAGGAAGCCGTTCTTGACTTCACCAAAACCAGACGAGCCTTCCCTTCTCTCTCCTCACATACCTTTGCAAACCCCTCAGTGCTTATCAAGTGACGTTGTAACAGCTTCTTTCCTGGTCAGGCCCCTGCCTGTGAGCTCTCGTCAAAGGGAGGAGATAAAGGTGACGTGAGTTTGAGTTGTCATCTGAAGTAGGACTAGCAGCTATTTTTGGTTGAGGAAGGATGAGTTTGGTTTTGTGCTTACTCAGTGAAGTGTCAACAGCATATCCAAGGGGGACTGGCTTTCAGGCTAATGGAAATCTTGCTGTTATGGAATTGCTCCCACAAAGGTCATTCATGACCCGGGAGAAAAGCAAAGGTGACCATTAATGACCTGGAAGAAAAAGGTGACCATTAATGACCCGGGAGAAAATAATTGAATGTCAAGGACACCACCTGGGTTGGGGGAGGCAGCAGGAGGAGGAAGAGAACCATTAAAGTTGATAGAAACTCCAGTGGTTCTAGAAGGGGCTGCAGACGAGGGAGTCCCACAGTTAGTAGGGGAGGGGTTACAGGATAGAAGCACACGAGGGAACCCAGACTGCTGCTCTCAGTGGCTTTTGGGGCCTTGGGCTTTGAAAATTTGCCAAACAGTTCTGTTTTCCAGAAGACTCAACTCCGTGCTGCTTTTAGAATGTACAAGCAGAACACGTCGCTGTTTGGAAAACTAAGACTTAGCATGCAGTTGCTCCAACATGCATGAAATTATTGAGCAGCATCAGTTCGGAATGTGGATGGAACTGTTATCACACGGTCTTTTTTTATTGTTGAAACACATCCAACTCTTACTTGTGGGATGGACAAAGGGTTGGTGGCTCTATACGGAGCCAGGTGCCTGCTGGCCAGCAGGCTGTGTGAGTCATCCGGTCTTAGAGGCGCTGGATTTCTCTGCAGTGCAGGCCAGCCCTGCTGCTCCTTGGTGTAGGGGGCAGAGCCGGGCAGTGCCCCCTCCAGCCTCCCAGCAATCTTCGTCCCGTTTTCGTGAGATTCCAGCAGTCTCCAGTTTGAGGAAAGAGGCCCACTGTGTCTTGAGGCTGAACTTCTTAACCCACTTTATTTTTATGTGTCCTTATCAGAACATAAGCAGTGTCTCAAACTCAGGCCGTTTACTAGTCGCCACCGGGCAAAGCTAAATACAACTTTTATAAGAACCTGGCCAACGGTAGTTGAAGTCGACCCAAACATTTTAAACTTTGCCAATTGTACTAGAGCCGGAGCAGGCAAATGGTGGTAGATCTTCTTAGCAACAAACAGTTAGAAGACGGAAAGGGCTAGGGTTAGGGTCTTTTGGTCACCCAGCCCTTACCTGGTTTTCAGATAAGAACTTGGCCTGTTACACATTTTCACGTAGAAGTGATCTTCTTGGTACAGCCGAGGTCTTAAGCTTTTACTGAAACACTATCCTTAGCTGCCTTATGATTTAAGTGAGGATTATAGAACTTCAGCCCTAACTTTTTCATTATGTGTATTTTTCTTCATTCATGTCAGGTTGGATTTGGTCTAGGGAGTCCCAGAAAGAAGTAGAAAAAGAGAGAGAAGCCTACCGTCGGAGAACTGCTGCTTTTCAACAGGATCTGGAAGCCAAGTACCACGCCATGATCTCAGAAAATCGGCGTGCTGTCGCTCAGTTGTCCTTGGAACTCGAAAAGGAACAAAACAGAACTGCTAGTTACCGAGAAGCCCTTATCTCTCAGGGACGCAAGTTGGTAGAAGAAAAGAAGCTTCTGGAACAGGAACGGGCCCAGGTGATGCAAGAAAAAAGACAGGTGCAGCCTTTGAGAAGTGCGTATTTGAGCTGCCTGCAAAGGGAAGAAAACTGGCAAAGGAGAGCCAGGCTTTTGCTGAAAGAATTTGAAGCTGTTCTCACAGAAAGACAGAATATCTACTGCAGTCTGTTTCTTCCTCGCAGCAAGCGGCTGGAGATAGAGAAGAGCTTACTGGTGCGAGCGTCCGTCGACCCCGTCGCCGCTGACCTAGAGATGGCAGCCGGTCTCACCGACATATTTCAGCATGATACATACTGTGGTGATGTCTGGAACACCAACAAACGCCAGAATGGCAGACTCATGTGGCTCTATCTCAAATACTGGGAACTCGTTGTCGAACTGAAGAAGTTTAAGAGAGTAGAGGAAGCCATACTAGAAAAGTAAGACAAGAGTGAAATCAAACTGCTTTTAGTGACTCGAGGCCAGGCAGTCATGCGCCTTCTGGGTCTCCGGCGTCTTCCGTTCCCGTGCTGCCCGTGTCATGGCCACACCGTCACCCTTCAGCAGCGACCTCCACTCCCGCCACCGTCTGAGCAGAAGTGCACCGAAGCCTCAGAGACAGAGGGTCTCCTCCCGATGCTCTGCCGCTGTTGGGGATATGGTTTCTTGAAGCATTTTTAGGCTGCCAGTATTGTATTAAGCAGAACAGTATAACCTCGTATTTTAGCTCCAGGGTAAAAATGGTTTTTTAAAAAGTCAAATACAATACTGGTCCTTACCACAAGTAATTTTCTGTCTGTTTCATCACTCCCTAAATACTTTCTCCTCAAATTATTTTTCTCTGTCACCAGATTACATTAAGAATTTGTCAGATAATGTGTAGAACTGCATAACAGGTAATAGGAAGTAGTAATATTATATTATCAAGGGTTTATATTTTAAAGATCTCTCTCACTCCATAAAGGGGAAATACCAAGTGTTTCTTGTATCCAGTTGTTACTTAATGTGTGTTTGTTGTATGCAGTTGTTACCTAATGTGTGTTTGTTGTATGCAGTTGTTACCTAATGTGTGTGTGTTGTATGCAGTTGTTACCTAATGTGTGTGTGTTGTATCCAGTTGTTACCTAATGTGTGTTTGGAATTTGGCTTGTGTCTGTATTCAGCAAGCAGATACTTATTAGCAATGATATATACTCAAAATACTTGCCATTTATGAGTAATAATGCCACTTTTTGTGTAATTCTTCACTCTTTACAAAATATTTTTATATGTATTATCTCATTGTTTACCACAGCCAACAAGGTAGACAGGCACTTATCACCCCATGTCACACATAGCTACTGGGAATTGAGCCTGTATACCTGTTCACTCATGGAATCCTCAGTCGAATCCTGTGAAGTGAGTATTACTATTACGCTTTGCGGAGGTGCCCCAAGGCCAGCCCCCAGGTGCGTGACCTGCTGGGAGATCTCACAGGACTCAGCACAGGGTTGGACTCAGCACAGAGCAGAATCAGCAAAGGGAGAGGGTGTGTGGGTGGCGCTCAGAGGAGCCACGTGTGGACACCCCAGGATCCACTCCCTGGAGTCATACAGGACACACCTAACTATTAAGAATAAGCTCACTGGAGACTCAGCACCTGGGGCTTTTGCTAAGGGCTGGTCATGTGGTACCCCCTGCCTGGCCTGTGTGGGAATTCCCCACTTGTCCAGAAGGAGGGTGGGTTTGGTGTGGTCTGTGCCGTGAGCACAAGTACTGTGGTCACAGAGCCACGCGTAGGAGTTAATGGTGCTGGGAAGTCTCCCAGAATCCGAGTTCCCAGATGTCAGTCAAGGGCCAGCCTTGCACACAGGCCCTGGTAGGACACAGCCTTGGGCCTGCTGTGTGAATTCGTCACCACGCACCTCACTTTACGGAGATGTGGAAGAGCTAACCTGCCTGAGGTCACGCAGGTAGTAGTGTTGGAGCCAGTCTGAGCCCGGGCACCTTTTCTCCAGAACCGCGAGTAACCTGTGTGCAGTGATTTGATAGTGTGTGGCCAGGCAGGAGCGGGAGCAGGTTGTCCATCTGCTTTCAAGGGCCATGTTCTCCCCTCCTGCCCGTCTGTACGGGAGTAGGAGCAACTGTTAAAAATCCTAAGCTCATAGAGCCCACGTGGCAGTATGAGAGCCACTATTCATGGAGTGCATGTTCCACCCTGAGCTGTACACGCTTTACACGCATGCGTTGTTTGAAATCCGTGGAACCCCTTGAGCGCGGCGGAGGCGGGCTCAGAGCCAACATGCGCTGCCTGCAACAGACACGGGCCCCCTGCCATGCTCTGCTCTCGGCACCCACGCCCTGCTAAGGGTGCTCAGATGCTTCACCCAGGCAGGAGTGCAGTGGTGTGATGGCTAAGGGTGCTCAGATGCTTCTCTTCTTCAGTGGCTGCTAGCGTGCCTCTCTGCTCTACCACCATCGCTTTATCTGAGAAAAAGTCACTTTTATTTTCATTTTTTATTTTTTTTGAGAGGGAATCTCTGTCACCCAGGCAGGAGTGCAGTGGTGTGATCTCAGCTCACTACAGCCTCCGCCTCCTGGGTTCAAGCGATTCTCCTGCCTCAGCCTCCTGGGTAGCTGGGATTACAGGCGTGCGCTACCACACCCAGCTAATTTTTGTTTTGTTAGTAGAGACGGGGTTTCACCATGTTGGCCAGGCTGGTCTCGAACTGCTGACCTCAGGTGATCCACCGCCCCCACCTCGGCCTCCCACAGCACTGGGATTACAGGTGTGGGCCACGGCACCCGGCCCCTAAAAAGTCATTTTTTCGGTAAATCTGGACAAAACTCTTCCTGTTGTTGTTTGTACTTCCTGATGCATCAAGACCCTTGCCTAAAGAGCGGTGCAGGCTCCATTCCTGCGGCAATCCGGTCTGCTGGGTGTCCCTGTGTGAACCACTCCACGTTTGTCTTTAAATGAAGAAAACACAGTCAGCTGCTTTGTAGGTGAATGATTTTCGAGGCAAATTGTTAATCCTCATCCTGTTTCTAATGTCCAGTGTGCTGTCAGCCTAGCTTCCTTCTATAGTGAGATAGATATGTTCAGAGCCTTCAAGCTGGTGTGGACACTGACCCGCTGACCCGGTCCTGCAGAGTTAGGAAGACGAGCATTTTTTTTTTGAGACAGTCTCGTTCTGTTGCCAGGCGGGAGTGCAGTGGCACAATCTCGCCTCACTGCAAGCTCTGCCTCCCGGGTTCGAGTAGTTTGCCTGCCTCAGCCTCCCGAGTAGCTGGGACTACAGGTGCCTGCCACCATGCCTGGCTAATTTTTGTATGTTTAGTAGAGACAGGGTTTCACCATGTTGGCCAGGATGGCCTCAAACTTCTGATCTCAGGTGATCCACCTGCCTCAGCCTCCCAAAGTGCTGGGATTAGGGGCGTGAGCCACCGTGCCTGGCCGGAAGATGCTCTTTCCACAGGGTTGATATTAGTTCGTGTTTGTGTGGCGTGGCTGCCTTCCATCAGCAAGTTTGAGTGTTGATGTGAGGCCACCCTCTTTTGAAATGGATTGTGGTCGGTTTGGAATAGTTACACGGTGCTGTGCCATTTGGTAACTCCACACATGTACCGAAAGGTGAGCCCACAGTGGAACGCTCCTCAACCAAAGTGGTTTAAAGTTGCAGAAAAGGGTAATTGTGCTGGTTGGTGTGTGTGCTGAATTTGTAGCGACATCAGAGTCAAGCATTATTTGTCCTGCTGCTTTCTTGGAGGTCACAGTAACTATAAAACCGTGAGCCAGCAAGGCAGAGAGGACCCTTTGGGGTAAGGAGTGGAGCTCTGGGAGATCCTAGGTTTCGGAAGCAGGTCCAGTTTCCTTGGGGAGGGGAGGGCTCGCTGCAGGGCGGAGGAGGGGCAGCCACTGTAATCCTTGTCTGGAGTGAACATTGTATATGAGGTTGCAGTGGCTTAAAAAGGAAGGACTTTTGCGGGGAGGGGTTGAGATTGTACTTTCTAATTTCGCTTGCTTCAGACTTGACTTTGGAATGAAGTTCGAAGGCATCACAATTGACCTGGACATTCCAAAAACAAAACTGAAGAGGCAGCATTTCTCTTCCGTAGTCCAGTCAGCTCATTTGGTAGATGCGCTTTTTCCTCCTTTGCGCTTATTCATCCATAAGGATATATAATTTGCATATATATTTCATATGCGTGCATATGTGTGTGTATGTGTGAACTGGCAGGTGTTGATTTCATAAGGACAAAATTGTTCTGCAAACCTTGCACCAATTATGGGGTGTTTCAACGGAAAAACTTCACCAAATGATCTGTGTGTTCTTTCAAAGAGAAGTTATGTCTAATTAAAATGTGTAACGGACTATTTCTGTGTTGGATTGTTTAAAAAGTGATTGCTTCATAGTGTACTAAGATCATCTCTTTAAGCAGAAGGGAGAAAACAGCTTTCTAGTTACTTTCACATATTAGGTTTGCTACATAAAAGCAAGTCTGAAGACTACACCTGTGACATTGCAGAGACCAAACTGCAGTGTGTGCAGCCATGAGTGGCAGCTGCTTCCTCCTCGAGGTGTCTTGTTCCAGCATGAGGACAGCCCGTGCGATGTTGGGAGGAGCCAGGGTGTTTGGGGGGGCAGCTGCCCTAGACACTGGCTGGCTGTGATGGGGGGCAGCCTGCTGTGTAGACACTGGCTGGCTGTGATGGGGGGCAGCCTGCTGTGTAGACACTGGCTGGCTGTGATGGGGGCAGCCTGCTGTGTAGACGCTGGCTGTGATGGGGGCAGCCTGCTGTGTAGACGCTGGCTGGCTGTGATGGGGGCAGCCTGCTGTGTAGACGCTGGCTAGCTGTGATGGGGGCAGCCTGCTGTGTAGACGCTGGCTGGCTGTGATGGGGGCAGCCTGCTGTGTAGAAAGTGCTGGGCTTGCTCCGTCTGCCTTGACTTGTGTGAGTAACTGCGCTGGGTTTTATAGGTTGAGGCTGAAAAGGCTCCTCTTTCTATGCTGGGTTTGACGAAACAGTTGCTGTATTTCTCTATTAATTTAGGATTCTGTTTGCAAGCAGCAGAGATGGATTTGTGCTAGCCTAGAAAGTTAAAGAGGGATTTAAGGCTGTCTCGTGAAACTTCAGGTCAAGAATGGAGAACACAGGTTAGATGTCAGAGAAGAACCAGAAAGACAAATAAGGGACTCTCAGGGGCCTCGGAGTACTTGTCACTCTGTGTCATATCTCTGCATAGCCGCGCCAATCCCCAAACCAGCTTCTCTGGCCACACGGTGGGACAGGGCGGTTCCCACAGCTCCTGAGCCTGCCCCCTGCCTGGCCTGCTCCAGCGGGCGGCCGAGTTAGGGAAGCGCTGGGCTCCACCATACCGCGGTGTTCTAAAGGAGTGGGAACAATGAAGATCAGGGTTGCAGAGCCTGTGGCCTTTGCTAGCTTCATGGGAAATCTTGAAAAGAGAAAACGAAGGGCTTCAGTAAGCCACCCATGGACAGCAGGCATGCGGTGGAAGGCGGAGGGCTTCTGTGGCAGCTTCGCAGGTCTCTCATCTGCTGCAGACCCCCTGACAGGCTGAGGGTCTTGCTGTCGGGTAGCGGGACCAGATGAGCCTGAATGTGGCTCTGCGGCTCACAGGACAAGTGTACCTTGAGAGCTGCTGCCGCCGCCTGGATGTTTGCTGGGTGAGCTCCAGATTCACGGGAGCCCTTTGTGCCAGCATGGCCGCCCCAACCCCATGGGGAAAGCAGATCTCCCTCACCTGGGAATCTGGCAGAGACCTCAGGCAGTGCCCCATCTTTCATGACCTGCCTGGTCCAGGTAGAGGAGTCAAGTCCTGCTCCAGGAGCAGGTGCAGGGCCTGGCCTGGGTGCCGAGAGTGGGGTGAGGAGGGAGGAGTAACGAAGAAAGGCAGATGGGCAGAAAGTGCCACATTGGGGCACTCAAGTGGCTCTGTTTAATATTCCAGCAGGGACACTGAGACCGAGCCCATCCCTGCTGGGAGAGCTTCTCGAAGCTGGTTGGTGGCTGACAGGCAGGGAGTGGGGTGCTGGGGCCTCCTCGGGAGGTAGGGGTGCTGGGGCCCTGCTCTTGACAGCACTGTGCCATAGCTCCGAGGTGGCTGCTCCCCATGGGCCAGGGCTGGTGGTGCCAGAAAATGGGATCTGGGCTGAGGGGCTCTGGGCTGGCAGAGGTGGGGCGGGGGGTGACTGGCAGGCATCAAGATGGGGGGGGACAAGCACGGTGCCCCCACCCATGGGGCCGTGTGGGGCTGATGGATAGTGGGACTCCAGCATGCAGCAGATGATGGAGCCTTGCTCAACTCAGAAGAGGAAGAGCAGGAGAGCGCTGGTGGATGAGAGCAACCCTGATGTTCCAGGGCCCTTGGCCACGTCCACCACACAGAGGGGCCACGTCCACACAGAGGGGCCACGTCCACCACACAGAGGGGCCACGTCCACCACACAGGGGCCACTGGGCCTGCGTATATCTCCTTGGCCTGCGAGGGTATCATCATTTCCTGACCTGTGGAACAAGTCATTAAGCCAGGAAGGACTTGAGTTGGAGCCCCTAAAACGGCCCCCACTCCTTGCCAGGATGGTGGACAGGAAGCAGTGCCATGTTCTGAAGGAGCTGCACCAGCCCATGCTGCTGTGGAAGACCCAAGGGAGGCAAAGACGGTGGCTCCAGATGGCGGCCCCCATTGGGACCCTGCTCACATCACCCACTGGCCCTGGAAAGCCGGGGTGGGCCTGGGCAGGTGAACCCTGAGGCTCCGCCAGGAGCAGCCCCAGCTACAGCCACCATGGATGTTTGCTGGGTTGGATCAGCACTCTCACCTGCTGAATGGTTTTGCCTGATTCCCACTAGCTTGTCTTGTGTGGGAGGCCGTGTTTTCTGCGGTAGAGAAGTGCTCTCCATAAAAACCCAGCAGGCGTGCTCCTGGGCCCTGCAGACGCCGGATGTGTGGCCACAGACGCCATGCGACCCAGGACTGGAGTCACAAGATTGGGCGAGGACAAAGACCCAGCGAATGGTGAACGGCCATGCAGGATGGGGCCGATCAGTTCAGTAGGAGCAAGTGCGAGACCTGCACAGGACGGGCGAGGGAGGCGTTGGTCCCCAGCCTCTGCTGGCCTTATCAGAATGGGCTGTTCTTGGGAAGCCCCTGGGTGTCTGTGGAGCTGGAGATGTTGGGAGCTTGTGCCCTCAGCACCGCCCACTGACACCAGTGGGCTCCTGTGTGCCCTGCCCAATCCCAGGCCTCAGGACACCCAGCACCCTGGGCCCTTCTCCACTGCCACAGGCCTTAAGGTTGGTCATCATGCCGCCCAGCGGCTGAGTCTTACAATAAAAATTCAGACACAAAGCAGTGGCAGCCACTCTGTGCTTTAGAGTTAGAAGTAAGTCATTAAAAATGTTGGCCCAGCACCTTCCCTGCCTGTTTCCAAAAGCTGGCCGCAATATCAAATTCATGTCCCTGGACAAGGCTCCAGTAAGGCACTGCCTGCAGTGTGCAGAGAGCACTTAGGTGGTTGCAGAGCAGGCAGAGACGAATGTGGGGAGTGGAAGTCACCATATCTGCCCACTCGGCAGGAGGCCGTCCATTCCTGAGACGCCCCCGGGAGGCAGGCTCCTGTACGGCACTCATGCTGGGTACCCAACCCCTACAACCCAGGCAAACCCCTACCCTGGGCAGAGAAGGGCCTGGACACACCAGGGGCAGAAGGAGAAAGGGGATGGAGACAAACCTGGGTGGGGGTGACCTGGGGGCAGCTGGGGTGGGGTGACACGGGGACCATTGGGGTGGGGACACACTCCGGGAGGGGGAGACACGGGGCAGCAGGGGTGGGGGCACACCTGGAGTGGGGTGACATGGGGGCCCCTGGGGTGGGGACACACTCGGGGAGGGGGTGACACAGGGACCACTGGGGTGGGGACACACTCCGGGAGGGGGTGATACGGGGCAGCGGTGTAGGGAAAAGAGAGATCAGACTGTCACTGTGTCTATGTAGAAAGGGAAGACATGAGACTCCGTTTTGAAAAAGACCTGTACTTTAAATAATTGCTTTGCTGAGATGATGTTAATGTGTAGCTTTGCCCCAGCCACTTTGCCCCAACCTGGAGCTCACAAAAACATGTGTTGTATGAAATCAAGGTTTAAGGGATCTAGGGCTGTGCAGGACGTGCCTTGTTAACAAAATGTTTACAAGCAGTATGCTTGGTAAAAGTCATCGCTATTCTCTAGTCTCAATAAACCAGAGGCACAATGCACTGCGGAAAGCCGCAGGGACCTCTGCCCTTGAAAGCCGGGTATTGTCCACGGTTTCTCCCCATGTGATAGTCTGAAATATGGCCTCGTGGAATGAGAAAGACCTGACCGTCCCCCAGCCCGACACCCGTAAAGGGTCTGTGCTGACATGGGTTAGTAAAAGACGAAAGCCTCTTGCAGTTGAGAGAGAGAAGTCCACTGTCTCCTGCTCGCCGCTGGGAACTGAATGTCGCGGTGTAAAACCCGATTGTACATTTGTTCAACTCTGAGACAGGAGAAAAGCCGCCTTGTGGCGGGAGGCGAGACATGTTTGCGGCAATGCTGCCTTGTTATTCTTTACTCTGCTGAGATGTTTGGGTGGAGAGAAACATAAATCTGGCCTACGTGCACGTCCAGGCATAGTACCTTCCCTTGAACTTAATTACGACATAGATTCTTTTGCTCACACGTTTTTGCTGACCTCCTCCTTATTATCACCCTGCTCTCCTACTACATTCCTTTTTGCTGAAATAATGAAAATAATAATAAAAACTGAGGGAACTCAGAGGCCGGTGCCAGTGCAGGTCCTTGGTATGCTGAGCGCCGGTCCCCTGGGCCCACTGTTGTTTCTCTATACTTTGTGTCTTACTTCTTTTCTCAGTCTCTCGTCCCACCCAACTAGAAATACCCACAGGTGTGGAGGGGCAGGCCACCCCTTCACAGCGGGGGTGGGGACACACCTGGAGTGGGGTGACATGGGGGCCCCTGGGGTGGGGACACACCTGGAGTGGGGTGACATGGGGGCCCCTGGGGTGGGGACACACTCGGGGGGGGGTGACACAGGGGCCATTGGGGTGAGGACACACTCCGGGAGGGGGTGACACAGGGCAGCAGGGGTGGGGGCACACCTGGGGAGGGGGTGACACGGGGCCCCCTGGGGTGGGGACACACTCGGGGTGACATGGGGGCCCCCGGGTTGGGGACACACTCGGGGAGGGGGTGACACCTGAGGAGGGGATGACATGGGGCCCCTGGGGTGGGGACACACCCGTGGTGGGCGCTGTCATGAGGTGTGACTTTTGAGCGGAGCCATGGACACACAGTGACTCAGATCCCTGGTTTTGGGTCTGAGAACGACTTAACCACACCAAGCACTGACCTGTCTGAACTGCACTGAAAGACGCATTTTATTTGCATTTAGTTATTCTAGTGCTCAGCCATTTCTTTGCACAAAGTCACTCTTGGTGGACACCAAGTCCAAATGTGTCTTAGGTGGTTGTCAGCTCCTCCAGGGGCTGGTCAAGTGCTAGACCTTCAATTAAACACCCGGAATAGCTCCCGTCAGTCTAAGCCTCAAGCCCCGCAGGACACAGTGAATGTTGGTGAGAAACAGTGGCGCGGTCGGGCAAAGGCCTCCCCGCAGCGCTGACCGCCCTGGTCCAGGCGGCTCTTCAGCGGACGCCTGTGCTCACCCACTCGGATGCCCCTCACGGTTCTGGGGGCTACACAAAGTGAGAAGAAAAGCCACCACTAACAGCAACCAGAAGCCCCGCGTTCCCTGCAGGCCCACCTCATCCCGTAAGCGGCAGGTCCAGACAGCGGGTTGTGACCAGCAGTGGGTGGGAGCCTCCTGCTGGAGGAAGCAGGGTCCGGTTTGCTGTTCATTTTTCGCCTCTTTTTCTCGGTTGTTTTTCATGGGCTGCTTATTTTGTGCAGTTTCTGTGATGTGTTCTCTCTTCCCCTCCCCCTCCCTGCTGTGGAGCCCAGTCACATCTGCCCCCTGAAGCTTCATCTTGCGCCCAGTGCCCAGATGCGCTGAGGCCAGGTCGGCCACTCCTCACACCTCCCGGGCTTCTCTGCTCTTTGCCATGTGGCGTCTGCCCCCGCTGACCCTGTCACTGTCTCTTGGTGGCTTCCCCCGCCTCCAGAACCTTGCCGTGCTGCCACTAAAGGGCACCGCATGGCACCTCTCCTGGAAGGCTTCCTCTTCTACAACGCTTAACAGGCTCGCCTACAATTTTCACTAAGAACTGCTTTTGGTGGTGGTGGTGGTGGGGATGAATGCCGGGCCCAAGCCTCAGATCCAGGACTAAAGCCCGGGGCACCTGCAGGCTGAAATGCAAGACCTGTCACTGGTGCGAGTGGAGGAACTACTCTATTTGTTTGAGTGCTCTGGAGAAGTTTTCTAGAGCAGTTTTGAAAGCTTGCAGCAAGAAAGCACCAAGCTCATTGCTTGTTTCTTGAATGTCTGGGTCAAAACTTCCAAAGAGAGGTGTGGAGACTTGGATGTCCTCTCGGTCAGCCCGCAGCAGCACGGCACGCAGCTCCTCGGCGATCTCGTCGTATTTCTGCTGGTTGAACTTGGACATGGCCAGCTCGTCCTGTGGGTAGGCGGCACCCTCGGGGTAGCAGTCCTTGGGCACCGGGAACTCAATGCAGCGCAGCTCGGGGAGCTCACAGAGTGCGGTGAAGAGGCGCCGGAGGGCGCGGGCCGACAGCGGGTTCCCGAGGAACTTGAGCTGGCGCAGCCGGTGGCAGGGGCTCAGGCCCAGGATCAGCATGCCAACGTGGCTGTCTACGATGCCACACTCCTCCAGTGTCAGGATCCTCAGCGTCCGGGAAGCCTGGCTGAGCAGCCTGAAGAAGGTCGAGGGGTACAGGCTGACCAGGTTGTGTCCACTGAGGTCCAGCACCTCCAGGTGGGCAGCGTGGGCACAGTCTGCCAAGAAGGCCATGTCCGTGTGGTTCAGGGCACAGTTGGCCAGGTCCAGTACTCGCAGCGGGGTCTGTAGGGGGCTGCAGGACACGGGGGAAAGAGCACAGGTGAGAGGAGGGTCCCAGGAAGGAGCCGAGGGCTCAGGCGAATGGGAACAACCCATTTGTCCATCATGGGGTCAACACACAGTCACGTCCAACCACCGCCTAATTTCATACAGCCTATGAGCTAGGAGTGGTTGTTATATTTATATAATAGTTTGTGAAACGTGAAAAGTTACATGATATTCAAACTCGGTGTCCATAAATAACATTTTACCAGAGCACAACCACGTGCATTCGCTTAGTGTTGGCCATGACTGCCGGCCGCCACGTGGTGAAGTCAGCTATACCCAGAGGTCTGGCTTTTGTCCTCAGCACCTAAATGGTAAGTTTGTTTTGTCAACAGCTGCTTTTGTGTTGTCTGAGAAAAGTGATGCATGTGACCACGAGAACGTCCACTCAGAAAGTGGACGGGGTGGGGCAGTGAGACCACAGGACAGAATGTCAGCTCAGAAAGCAGACGGCGGGGGGCAGTGAGACCACAGGACAGAATGTCTGCTCAGAAAGCAGACGGCGGGGGGCAGTGAGACCACAGGACAGTGCCGCTCCACTCTGACAAAGATGAATCCCGCATGGTTTCAGAGCTGGGAAGGGCCATGGAGGCTTCCAGTACAGCCTTTGACTCACCTGGGAACCCTAAAGACCCCCCAACTTGCCCCACATCCCATATTCTGACTTGGTTGGTGTAGGGCAGCCTAGCTCTAATACAGGGGCAGTTGGAGTGAGACCTACTCTGGTTCTGAGCTAAGGGAGATCTCCAGAGCAGAACTGCATCGGGACATGGCCTCACTGTCCTCGCTGAGCCGGGGGACACAGCTGGGGTCTGCCCCATCCCAACCCTCTCCTTAGGAGGCTGCCTCACTCTTCACCCACCTGCACCTGCACCCACCTGCATGTCCCGCCCAGGACATGTCCCTCCCCACCCAGGACTGGGACCACTGCCAGGTGCCCCTGTCCCACCTGAGAAACCACGCCAGGCATGCCCCCTGCCCAAGGTCCCACCGCAGGGCACCTCTATCCCTCAGGACCCACCGCAGGGCACCCCCATCCTTCAGGACCCACCGCCAGGCATCCCCCACCAGGATCTACTGCCTGGTGCCACCCCAGGACCCACAGCCAGCCACCCCCCACCCCAGGACTCACCACCAGGTGCCCCCACTTCAGGACCCACCACCAGGCACCCCTACCACCGCCAGGCACTTCTCCCCAAAACCCACTGCCAAACGCCCCACCAGGACCCACTGCCATGTGCCCCCAGCCCCCAGAACCCACCGCCAGGCACCCCCCAGCACCTGAGGACCCACCTCTAGGTGCTTCCCCAGTACCTACCAGGCACCCCTTCCCCCTAGACCCACTGCCAGGTCCCACCCCCAGGACCCAAAACTGGGTGCCCCCCGGACCCACCGCTAGGTTGCCCCACCAGGACCCATCACCCGGTGACCCCAATACCCACCGCCAGCTGCCCCTCCTTCAGGACCCACCACCAGGCTCCCTCCCAGCACCCATTGCCAGGCACCCCGTTCCCCAGGACCCATCACTGGGCACCCCCCTTGGACCCACCGCTAGGCACTCCCCCTCCAGGATCCACTGCTGGGCACCCCCCTTGGACCCACCGCCGGGCATCCCCCTCACCACTGCCTGAGGCTGCCTTGGCCTGGCCCCTTCCTAGCTGCTGCCCTCTCTGCCTCCTTCACGCAGATCTGCTGAGAGGATCCTGCATAAGCCTCCTGTCCCACCATGGGGAGGTCCATGCAGCATGGAGCCCAGGCCTCCCTCGAGGGAGACTGGGAGGATCCCGCCCTGTCAGGCCTTCGGATGAGATGGCACCCTTGGCCAACAGCAGCCCTGAGCCAAAGGCACCGACAGGCTCAGATTTCTGAGCTGAAATCGTGTTTGCTGTTTGAAGCCCCCAAGTGTTGGGGTGAGTCGTTCATCAACAATAGACAACTCCTCACACCACGTAGGCACTTCTGTTTCGTCTGTTTGGTAATTTCCGTATTCTCTTTTTTTAACTGGCATTCTCTCCACATCCCTAAGTCACACATGGCAGCCCGCTTCTTTCCTGGTGGCTCTGACTTTCGGTGCTCTTGCCCCTTGGCGGGGCCGCTGTCCTGTGGCTGTGGCCACACCCGGAGTGAGAGGCTGGAGGCCGTGTAGCCTCATGGCCTTGGACATGAGCAGGCCCCTGGACGATCTCTCCTTGCCTCTGCAGCCACCAGCCCGCCCTCAGTCCCCTCCCCAAGACTCACCCAAGCAGCGTCGGGATCTTCCCGGTCAGCGTGGAGAAGGCCACACTGAGCTCAGTGAGCTGCGCCATCTTGCTGAGCTCCCGGGCGATGGAGGCGAGGAGGGGGTCCTCGCCGTCGGGAGTGGAGGCGTAGGTGGGGGGTGCATCAAAGGCCTTGGTGGGCAGGGTGAGCGAGGCCAGCCGGGGGAAGCCCACCTGGGCCAGAAGCTGCTGCACGTGGCCCGCATGCAGCCGCACGTTGTGCACCACCTCCAGCTTGCGCAGGGCACCCGGGCCAGCCAGACGCAGCACGTGCAGGAGCTGGCTGGGGCTCAGGCTGTCCGCCCGGAACGAGGGGCAGTGCACCCGCAGAGGGGCCGGGCCCGCTGGCCTCAGAGCCTGCACCACCGCCTCGAAGTTGCCCTCAGTGACGAAGAGGTCGGCGAGGACCTCGACGGGGCGCCCGGCTGCGAGGGGCTCTGCCTGCAGCTCACAGCAGGTCCTGGCCAGCAGCTGGGTGCGGCCCCACCTGCCCAGCGCCCTCCCGCACGGGCACCGCTGCACCTGCACATCTCGGATGCCCGTGAGGTCAGCCACCCGCAGCCGCCGGCGGCTCCGGTCCTGCAGCACGTGGTCCGCGAGGCCGCGCACCAGCGCCTCCAGGCAGGCCCTGCAGGTTCTGTCGCGCAGGTCCTGGGGGTGGTCGGCACCAGGACCCAGCAGCGCTCCCAGCCGGAACTCCTCCAGGGGCCAGCGCCCCAGCACCGCGCGCGTCACCTCCGCCTGCTCCAGCAGGTAGCTGGCTTTGAACAGGAGTGGGTAGAGGTTGTGGGCCACGCTGTCCAGGCTCTGCCGGGCCACCTGGGGGTGGGACACCAGAGCTTCTGCAGAAATGAAGCGGAGTGACCTCATTGTGTCCATGGCCCGAGACAGGACCGCTCCCCACGACTTTCCCCAAGGCGTGTGCCCTTCACGCCTATCTTTAGCTGCAGCAGCTGTGAGCAGCCTGCCCTGGGGGCCCTGCCACGGGGCCTTATGATCATCTGACTGCTATTTTGGTCCTGGGACACCTGCGTCTGCCCGGCCTCGGGGCACGCAGCCGTTGGGAGCTGCTTGGCTCAGGCACCCAGCCGTTGGGAGCTGCTTGGCTCAGGCACCCAGCCGTTGGGAGCTGCTTGGCTCAGGCACCCAGCCGACACAGAAAGGCAGCCCGTGCCCATGGCAGGGCTGGGCAGAGAAGCCTGTGCTCCATGCTGCAGAAAGCCAGTCTTGGCAGGCGTTCGTGCTGGCGGCCGGTGAGGCCAGCGGGCAGGTCCTGTTTACCATCCAAGCGGGGCTACTGCCCAGCTCTGGGCACCTCCCCCACCAGTCAACGGGGCAGAGAACAGGCCAGGCCCCTGCGCCTCACTCGGTAACCAGTTCCCTTTCCACAGTGGCCTCTGGGGCCGCTCCCACACTTCGCCTCGCATCTGGGGTGAGACGAGTGGCCAGGAATGGAGCTGCTGTTTTGCCCCTTCCCTGTGCCTTTCCTTCTCCCCAAGGACCCGGCGGGGGTGGCTTCCCTACTTTCCATGGGAGAGAGTGGCTGGGAGAGGTGGAGCCTCCCTGATGGCCTCGGATGAGCCCCCAGCTCTCTCTGAGCTGCAGTGTCCTGTCTGCAACCCTGCCGCCTGTGCGGCAGGGAAAGCTGCAGGGAATGGGATACACCTGTGTTGGGGGGCGGTGCCTGATGGTTCACTCCCAGCACTGACCGTGTTGGACAGCTGATGGGTGCTGCACTCACCTCTCCCCGTGACACTGCCACTCAGGGCAGGGTCAGCACACATCGCTGCACACATCACTGCACACATCACTACAGGGCACCACGTGTCCATGGGCTTTGGAGGGTCACGGCCATGAGACAGAGGCTGAGGGAGACTGAGAGAAGTGAGTGACGGAGACTGAGACAGAGACAGAGGGACAGAAACTAAGAGGGAGAGAGACAGAGACTGAGGGAGAGAGAAAGGGAAACAGAAAGAGACAGACTGAGAGAGAGACAGAAAGGGAGAGACAGAGACTAAGAGAGAGAGAGAGAGACTGGTAGGCAGAGACAGAGACTGAGAAAGACAGACAGACGGGGAGACAGAAAGAGAAACAGCAGTGGGAGGGGGAAGGCTGCTGAGCAAGCTTGGAGGGTGCTGGTCATGGGTGCCCCACCAGCCTCCCTGTCTGACCCTCCCCAGTTTGTTCCCTGAGCCTGAGCAATGCCTCTCCCCGGGAGGCGACCCATGCAGAAGGGACTGTGCTCCGTTGTGGGGCCCAGGCACTGTCCAGCAGGCGGAGGTGTGTGTGAAGAGGTGGGTGGGCCCTGACCCCACCCTTCAGGGGTGGCCGCCCTCGGCCAGCCGATGTGGGCCCCCGGGCTCCCCTCATGAGGTGCACAAGAGGTTTCCCCAGACACACGGCCCCTTTCCAGGACCAGATAAGAGAATCTCGAAGGACACAGTAGAAAAACATGTTCCATTGGTTTTTATGATTAAAATTTTTAACAATTCAGTATTGATACAAAGTAAACACTTAACAACAGTGGCAGGTAACGCCATTTCCCAGACACCTTTTGGGTTCTGAAAAGTGGTTTCCAGAACCTTCCTTTACCTACTCGGGCTCTGTGTGGCCCAACACCCTGCTGTCACTGCGGGGCCCCTGGGTCTCGGAGGGTGGAGACCATGGCTAGGAAGGTCAGCCAAGGTCTGGGCCCCTGCAGCCTCCCTCTCGCTTACTGTTTTCCCTTCTTTTAGAGAGGGGTGGTCCTCTTGGGGTTCCCATTCCAGCAGGACCACTCAGCACAGGTTGGGTCAGACTCAGGCCCAGCTCTGGCGCCGCCGTCCCAACCTGGGGCCACGGCTCTGGGCTCCTTACAGGAAATGCCATGACAAACAGGCGTTCTTTCTCAGACCTAACTCAAGTGCTGTCCTGCTAACTACATGGGACCTGCTGAAACCGAAATGAACCGAGATTCCAGTTCTGTGCAGAGATGGCTGGACCTGCGTTGGGGACATGCCTGGACCACCCAGCCCACTGGCCTTCACTGGTCTGAAAGGTTGTGAGGTACACTGGTCCTAGGATGGCTCACCACGGCTCTGAGACACTGTGAGCCCGGCCATGGGCGGTGGACACGGGGTGAGGGGGTCTGGTGTTCCCACCCTGGGTCACCCCATGACCTTTGGAGGGCAGGAGGGTTCCAGGCTGCAGGAGCATGGGGGTCTGCAGCTGGCAGGCACTGCTGAGTCCCTGCTGGACCAGGGGTAGAGGAACCATCCAGGAGGAAAGCAAAAGAGGCCAGGCCTAGGGGGCAGGGCCCATTATGGGCGACTGCAGGCCCCGAACGGCAATGCTGACCATCGGTGTGCGCAGCCCCTGCCTGAGACCTTCATTTCCAGGCCCGTGCACAAGTCTGGCTCTCGAGGACTGGGGCACTCCCTGGAGGACCCACCTCCATCCCAGCTGTCAGAAGAAAAACTGCTGTTACTCACGTCGCACGGGCCTCTCCCTAGGACCCGCTGGCCCCTCAAAGCTGTGACAGCACAGACGTGGCCTGGCACCCAGCAAGGCCTCTGACACCTGATACACACGGTGGGGCCAGGCCGGATGGAGAGCATCGCTGAGCCTGCCTCTGGTTCCAAAGCTCGGGAGGCTCCTCTGCGAGGCCACCTTGTGGTGCAGAGTGGATCTGCAGCTTGAGGGGAGCTCCAGGTCCCAGCCAGACGGGGCGTGGACTCGGCGGCAGCTCCACCCAGCTGGTGTCATGGGCGTTCTGTGGGCAACAGGGTTTGGACCCTAAAAGTGCCGGTTCTGTCTGCTGCTCTGATCCGGAACAAGAGCGTCTGTCTCGTAGCAGCTACATGTGTGACACAAAAGCTCTCGTCATTTCACACGCGGTGTGGAAAACATTCTCTATGTCACAGGCACACAGAACCCACATTCACCTATCGTTTTGTAATTAAATCTTGGACCTACGCCCCAGGTGGTCAGTTCGGGCTCAGCCAAGGTGCTAATCCCCCAGGGATGGTGGGAGCAGCCTGGACCCTGGCCGTTTTCTTCTCCTGGGTCTCAGGGTGGGTCAGCATCTCCCTGCAGGGTCGGTCCTCTGTGAGCCCCCCCAGGACATCAGGCAGGTGTGAAAACTCTGACACAGCACGCAGTCTGGGAAGCATGAGTAACAAAGCCCCCACGTGGGTGACCTTGGGAGAGGCGTGTCCCCAGGATGGAGCCTTCTCTGAACGGGAGGCTGGAGCTTTCTCCTTATGGGGGCTGCTGAAGGCCCAGGGCAGGCACACCAGCGCCGCCAGCCCCAGGACCTCTGGTTGGCAGCAGAATCCGTCCTCTGGCAGTGGCCCTGAGGGCTCCTGTTTCCTGTGGTCAGAGCACCTGGCAGGGGGCTCCTGAGAGCAGGGCGGGGGCAAAGGGGGGCCAGGGATGCCTGGATCCTGGGGGAGCTGCTCCTGACAAAGGAATGCTCGAGGGAACCCGGGGAGGTGGGGTGGCCTCCTGCTGCCCTCTGACCTGACAGGCGGACCTCCTGGGAAGACGACCACCCTGGGGCCAAGGGTCCCCTGCCTCCATGTGACCCTGCCAGCCCTCTGGGTGCACTTGGTTACCAGGATGTTGAGGCTTGAGACCTTTGGGAGCTACAGGCGGGCCGGGGAGGGAGGCTGCCCAGCAGATGCTTGATGGGGGTGGGGCCAGGCGAGCTGTTGCTTCAGAAGCATCTAGAACAAGGCGGTGAGCTGGTCAGGCAGCCTGGTGGTGGCGGCAGGCCAGGCGATGTGAGCTCCCCTTGGCTACTTTAGGGTCAGCCAAGGAAAGGTCTTTCCTTATGTAAGGAGCATTTTGCCTGTCAGAAAACCAGCCTGAGGCCTGAGGCTTGGGGGTTTTGTTCTGACCACAGGGAAGAAACTGCTGGGTGGAATGGTGTTGGCATGAGGGGTCTGGGGACGTGGACTCTCCAGGGCGTGCCATGCTCCATCTAAGTCTCTCAGGTTCTTAGGGCTCCCTCAAAACCCAAACCTCCACTGCTGCTGCCATCCAGGAGGGGCCCGGGCATCTCCCCAGAACCGGGGATGGACGCAGGCCCAGCTAAGCCACAGCCCTCACGACACCTGGCAAAAGAAGAGGTCTCTCTGGAAGGTGATGGGGATGCGGCTCCCGTCTGATCAGCCTCTCCTGAGTCGCCTCCCTGCTGTCCTCAAGGGGATGACATCTGTACCTGCCCGGTTGTGTCTGGGGCAGATGCCGGCACCCCTTCCTCACCTCTGAATGTAAAAACACTCTTGCTGGGCACTGGGGAGCCTTGTAGACTCATCCACGAATGGGGTCAATCTGAAGGCCGGCACCCTGGGGCCGTGGGAGGGTCCTGGGGAGGGCTAGAGCTCACTGCGGGAGCCCCAACCTTGTCCAAGCACAGTCCCAGGATGGCTCCTCCCAGGGCTTGGTTTAGAAACCACCTCGCTGACCACCAGCCCTGAGCATTCAGGATGGTGGGGCCACACACCCTTCCTGGGGGTCCCAGTACTGAGGTGGGGGAGGAAATCACACACCTTCCCAGCTCCCAGTGCTGAGGCATGGACGGGGGGCAGGAATCCCCACACCATCCCTGGGGGGTCCCAGTGCTGAGGCGTGGGTGGGAGTGGTGGAGCTCACCACCCAGGATTGCTCAGGCAGCTTGGAAGGAGGCACTGGTGGTCGAGGCGAGGGGGCCGCTGTGGGGCTGTGGCCACAAACCCTTCCTGGGCAGGGCTGGGGAGGCATCAGGAAGTGACTCTGGGAGATGCTGGGCCAGGCCAGGGCTCCAGGGCTGTCCCTCCACGTGCTTGGCGACGACTCCGCGCTAGCGTCACTGCGGATGGGGACGCATCGGGGCTGTCTCCCACGTCCCCTGTGGGCCCCTCAGCTCCCAGCGCCCCCAGTGCTGGGCGGAAGTGGCCTCACGTGGCGGGGTGAGTGACCCTGAGGGACCCAGTGGCCGCCTCTCCCACTTCTCAGCACCTGCTTCAGCTCACGGGTCCAGAACCCTGGAGAAATGAGAACACGTGTTCGCCATCTAAATGAAACCTTCGTGTCTGCTGGTGAAGCCCATGAGGCCTGATTCAGACAGAAGCATTACTCTGCCTGGAAACAGGTGTTTCCTAACCCTGCCTTCTGGAAATCAGAGCCAAATCCCAGTGTGGACAGAAGGCCAGAGAGAGAGGTGCCCAGGGCCAGCTGGTGTGGACGTAACTCGGTGGGCCTCTTCTGCCAGCAGGAAGCCTCTGTTTCACACCAGGGCTGGCTCCAGGACAGTTTGGAGTGCACGAGAAACTCAAAAAACAGAAAATGAGGCCAAAGAGCCCCATGGGTTAAATAAAAAGCAGGAGCAAGATGGCCTCCCAGGGCTGGGCACCTCCTTCCCCACAGACACCTCAGCCCTGCAGGGTGGCCTTTGCATCTGCCCAGACCAAGTCACAGGCTGAGGGGTCCCGGCCGTGGGGATGCATCCCACAGCCCGATGGGTCGTGGGGCTCCCGTGGGGCTGGTGTGGCTCCATTCCCACATCCAGGCTCCATGCTATCAGGAGAGAGAGACCCATCTTTTGACTGGAGGCTTGTGCCAGCCCAGATGGGAGGCACCAAGGTCCTGGGAGGCCCAAGGACGTGTTCAGGATGGCGCAGTCACTCCTGCTGGCCCTGCTGGCCTGGGCATATCCCCAGCCTTGCTCCCCAGTGGGTTGGCCACAGGCATAAGCTGTGCCCCTGCACCTGGCCCTGCCCCCTGCACACCTGGGCCCCCAGCAGCCTCCTCTTCCACAGGCGTAGATGCCTTCTGATTTGAAGCAACACGCTTGAAGTGGCTTTCACGGGGGCAGTGGCATTTGGGTTCCTGAGGGCACCTGTCCCAGGCAGTGCCAGAGTGTGGCTAGAGCCTGGGCGGCCTCTGGGGCTGTGTGATGGTGGCTGTCCATACTCAGGACGCAGAGGTAACGACTTCTGTGGGCACAGCCCCTGCCTCCCAGGGGAAGTGCTGTGTGCATGATTGTACTTTAAAAAAATACTGCTTTGTTGGGATTTAAGCGACATACGATCCACTGCACATCTTTAAAGCATGCAGTTTGACAACTCTGGACATAGAACAGACCCGTGAAGTTACTCATGTGGTCACCAATTCAGAGAGCAGGCCTGTCTGTGGCTTGCCGGCGTCCTGCGCCCTGCTTGTGTTTGCTGTGATGGCCAGTGGCTGCTTCAGTCTCTCTCCACTTGTCTTCTGTGTCGCCCCCAAGTCCATTCTTCCCTTTCCCTCTTTCTCTACGTATTTTTGGACTGGATTTTTAAAAATTCCATTTTATCTCCTCTGTTGGTCTATTAGCTGTAATTCTTTGTTAGTGGGTGTTTCAAGGGTTTATCAGTACATCTTTAGCTTACCACAATCTACCTTCAAGTGATACCCCTCACTTCACGTATCACATCCAGCGTCTCCCAGCCATCACGCTGCTGTGGTCACACAGTTTACCTGTGCGTATAGTACAAACCGCAGATACGTTAATACTTTTGTTTAAACAGTCAGTTAACTTTTATTTATTTTTAATAGAGATGCGGTCTTGCCATGTTTCCCAGCATGACCCCCCAGTTCCTGGGCTCAAGTCAAGTGATCCTCTGGCCTCAGCCTCCCAAAGTGCTGGGATTAGAGACATGAGCCACCGCACCCGGCCAAGCCACTCATCTTTTAACCCATTTCCCGTTTAGAGAAAAAAAAAGTGCAGCTCACTGCCAGCACTCATTCCTTGGGGCAAATGGGAGATGGGCTAAAGGGATTTAAATAACGAGGAAAATCCTGGATGGTGCACATGCTCTTCATTTTTCTTTTCCCTGAAGCACATCATTTAACATTTCTTGTAGTGCAGGTCTGCTGGGGATGAAACTCTTAGTTTCTGTGTGTATGAAAATGTCTTTATGTCACCATCGCTTCGGAAAGATTTTGTCAGGTACAGAATGTGAATTTGGCAGTTTTCTCCTTAGTACATTCCACTGCCTCTCACCCATGCTGCTCCTGAGGAGTCAGCCATCCTCATCAGCTTTGTGCCTCCCAACAGAACATGCCCTTGTCCTCTGACTGGTTTTAGGATTTTCTGTTTATCACTGGTTATATGCAATTTGATTATGATGTGCACTCGTATCTCTTGTGTTTGGAGTTCACTGGGTCTATGGACTCAGACTTATACCAGTGGCCCCCAGGTTCTCAGGCCTTTGGCCTCTGAGAATTACACCACTGGCTTCCCTGGCTCTGAGGCTTTAGGACTCGGACTGGGCACACTAGCAGCTTCCTTGGGTCTCCAGCTTGTGGATGGCCTATTGTGGGGCTCTTGACCTGCCAAAATTGTGTCAGCCAATGCCCCTAAGGCCCCTCTCATCTGTCTGTCAGTCTATCTATCTATCTATCTATCTATCTATCTATCTATCGATCTATCTATCTATCTATCTGTCTGTATATATATCTAGCTATCTCCTATTGGTTCTGTCTCTCTGGAGGCCCAACAAATGCAAATAGTTTCCACTGATGTGTCTTCAAGGTGCCTCATGGTCTCTTCTGTGAAATCCAATCTGTTACCCCATCCAGGATAGTTTCCACTGTCAATATTGTAGTTTCTCATCCCTGTAAGGTCGGTCTGGGTCTTCTGAATCTCTTCCATTAAGTCATTTCTTAACCTTTTTTGTGAGACAGAGTCTTGCTCTGTCGCCCAGGCTGGAGTGCAGTGGCGTGATCTCAGCTCACTGCAAACTCCGCCTCCCGGGTTCATGCCATTCTCCTGCCTCAGCCTCCCAAGTAGCTGGGACTACAGGCGGCCAACACCATGCCCGGCTAATTTTTTGTATTTTTAGTAGGCGGGGTTTCACCATGTTAGCCAGGATGGTCTTGATCTCCTGACCTCGTGATCCGCCTGCCTCGGCCTCCCAAAGTGCTGGGATTATAGGTTCTTAACTTTAACTTTCTGGACGCCTGGGCTGCGATTTCAGCCACAGTTTGAATTCTGTGATTCTAGCACAGACGCTGGCTCTGGGTGGTTGGCTTTGCCAGGCGACTCTCCTTGGAGTGTTTGCCCTTGGCTGCTCCTCTGCACGCCTGGCACTCCGAGGTCAGGCACTGTGAGTTTACCTTGCAGGGTGTGGACACTTTGGTAACCCCTAGATCATCTGGAGCTTTGTTCTGGGATAAAGTGAATTATCTGGGAATGGTTTGATCATTTTAGGTCTTGCTTTTATGATTTTGTAGGCGAGTCAGGAGCAGGGCTCAGTCTAGGGCTAATTATCCCCATTCCTGAGGCAAGATTTTCTGAGAACTCCACCTAATGCTCACAGATTGGGAGTTTTCCTAGTCTGGCTGGTGGGAGTGGGTCCTGTCCCCAGCCCACATGAGTATCAGGAATTGATCTATTGAGAGTTTCCCTAGTCTGGCTGGTGGGAACGGGTCCTGTCCCCAGCCCACATGAGTACCAGGAATTGATCTTTGGTCTTTTCAAAGGTTGCTCCCAGCCTTGGTAGCCTCCCTGTTTGAGTGTGCGAATGGGTAGCAACCCACTAGGTGCTGGAGGGGCTGATCTGGTGAGTCTTTCCCCATGCAGGCATCTCTCTCTGGCACTCTGACCTGCCAACTCCTGCTGACTTGGTCTCTTCAACTCACGGAGGCTGCTGGGCTCTTCCTGGGCCCCTCCCTGCACTGAGGCCTGCAAACTCTCAAGGCGGAGGGAGGTCTGAGGCCATCACCGGGCTCACCTCCCGTTTTCCTGTCTCTCAGGGATCGCGGTCCTTTGTTGCCAAATGTCTTGTGTCTTGACATCTTTTGTTTCATGTTTAGTCTTTTTTTGTCTTGTTTTAGGTCTGTTTCCTATGCTGTTGTCTTGGGTGGAAGTGGAAGGTTTGTTTTTTAAATAAGACAAAATTATAAATTTGTTTGAAAATGTTAGGGAATGTCTAAAATCCTGGGAAATACCTGGACACCTGCTGTGCTATTCCCTCTGGATCGTTCCAGCCACGCGATGGGCACCGCCACCCCCAGAGTCATCAGGCCTGGCGTGCTGCTCCCTCTGTATTGTTCTAGCCACATGATGGGCACTGCCACCCTGACAGTCATCAGGCCTGGCGTGTGCGGCTCAGCAGCACAGCAGGAGCCCCCTCACACACTGCAGCCTGGGTGCCCGTCTCTAGTTCTGGCTCTGGCTCATCTTCCTCGACGCAGGCTCTGATATCAGATGACCAGGGGCTGTGGGCAGGGCTCCATAGGCCCGGGTGGGCTGGGCTGGAGGACACAAGCAGGCCCAGCGACCCCAGGATGGAGGAGGACTGGCTGCTAGAAGAGGAGGTGCTGCTGTCTGAGATGGTGGAGTGTGGTCGCTTGAAGGGGGCGGCGTGGTCAGAGGAGGACACCGCTGTGGACCCTCTCATTTGTGACTCTGGAAAGGGACAGAAAGCACGTCAGGCTGGCTTCCGCTCCAGAAGTGCAGCCCAGGTTCGGGAATGGGATCAGAGCCGTCTGAAAGGCCGACCAGGCTTTGCCACTGCAGTCATGCCCATCCAACCCACCATGTCGGCCACTGGCCCAGTGCCCTCTGCAGGATGAGTGAGGGCGGGGCCGAGGCCACCGTACCCGTGTCCTTGACGACAGGCCTGGTGCACTCTGTGGGCGAGTGAGGGTGGGGCCGATGCCACCGTACCCATGCCCTTGATGACAGGCCCAGTGCCCTCTGCAGGGTGAGTGAGGGCGGGACCGAGCCACCGTACCTGTGCCCTTGACGATGCTGTCGGGGACTCGGTCGCTCATCACTGCACATTTGGGAGCCCGGTCGCTTATCACTGCACAGTCAGGGGTCCGGTCTCTGGGCTTGACATCCATGAATGGCTGGTTGCCTATACCCATGGATGCCATTTCTTGGATTCTGAGTTCTAAGACAGAAGAAAGTATGACAGTTTCCAAAGCAACTCGGGGGCTAATGCCACCCCAAAGACGCCCGGTACCCCTAATGCCCTCAGCCCAAACCAGGAGGGTGTACAGGGTATACCCACCCTGCCCCACGAGGGGCATGGGGGGCCAGGGTGCTGAGGCTTCCCATTCCGGTTTTCGGCACCAAAGAGATCTCTCCCAGGGAGCCCGAGGCAGTAACCAAGAAAAAGGAAGCCATGAGGCCTTGGAAACGGCGTGTCCAACCTGGGGGTGAGGAAGGGTTCCTGTCAGCTGGTAAGCAAGGGAGGGCCACACAGCAGGTCCCAATTAGAGCAGGGGTCAGAGGCCTGGGAGCCGTGTCCATGGGAAAGACAAAACAACAGGTTTCTAGGAGTTTGAATATTGAGAGGAGAGCTAAGCATAAGGTGAGAGTTTGGGAATGAACTTATTCTTGGTCAAATTAAGCAAAGAAAAAAGATGATATTAATTGTAAGGAAAATGTATGAGGACAGAAAACATAATTGCATGTATGTAGTCCTAATGCCTATGCTGAAGAATATTATAGTAAGAATTGTTTTCCAGAGGTCTTGGGAGAACGGGAAGAAGTGCGGTGTGTGTGTGCTACAGTCACAGAGTTACTGATCATCTTCACCAATAGGTAATGTGCAAAGCTGGTTTATCAAGAGCGAGTGTCCCCTCTTGCAGGGAAAGGGCTGAGTGTGGCTGCCCGGGACACAGGGCTTGGAGTTGGGCAGTGAACAGGACATTGCTCTTCCCCTAACTCCGAAGGCTATTTTAGGGTTAGAGCTGTGCACGTGGACGCGGGACAGCTTCCTGCTCTGGCTGCAGTGGGTTTGCTCGTGTACCTTACATCCAAGCCCACGGCCAAGAACAACCAGAAAAGCTGGACACACTTTTTGAAGGTTTTCTGGAGGTGACAAGGCAATCTAGCCTCAAAGGGCCAATGTCCTGGGCAGATGTGGCGTTCACAGGCCACTGGAAACTTGACACCTTTCTACCCCTCAGGGCACTGCTGGTGGCCGATGAGCAGAGAGCTCATCTTGGAGCTTGGAGGCTGAGAGCTTCTGAAAACGCACAGGGTGGGGAGATAAAATCTGGAATTCAAGGACCACTGGGAGGAAGGGCCTGGGAAACTCCCAGACATTCAGTGGGGACCTGAAAAGGGAGCATGGACTTTGCCAGGAGTGGGACAAACGGAAGCTGGATCAGCTGCCCAAAGGTCTGAGGCGGACTTCATGCAGTCCCTCCCCGGAGTGCATTCAGATGAACCACCCCTGCTCTTCCAACAAAAATAAATCCTCTGGAGGTGAAGACACCAGCCCGGGCCTCAAATGATCCTTACACATTTCCTACATCATATCTACTACTTAATAAAAAAATTATCAGGCACACCCAGAGAAAGGACAAAATGAGGAAAGGCTGAGGAAAACCCCAGATAATTAAACATCCACGAGATAAAGGTTTGGACGTCTCAGACAGGCCGTGGAGGTAACCAGGATTAATGTGGCAGGAAGTAGATCACAGGATAGAGAGTCTCAAAAGGAAACCGAAATCCATCAAATAAAAGGAATCAAACACAAACCTACATATCAAAAATAAACCAATAATGAAATAAGTGAGTTTAATAGCAAAGCAGATCAATGAACTTTAAGATGAGTGGAAAACACACAGAAGCAGGGAAGACGTGATCGAAACATAGAAATCACACGAGAAACATAGGAACATGTAAAAGGGTCATACGTGTAATCGGGAGTTCCAGGTGGAGTGCAGAGAGTGGAGCAGGAGAAGTGATCAAATGTTCCAGAACTAACCCCACGCTCGGACACAGGCAAGGACCACCACGCTTGGCCGTCAGAGCATAGCTGGCCTGGGGACAGCCAGAGAGCTCTCATTCATGGCGGTGGCTGCCCAGGTCTCTCTGCCTGGGGGGTGTTCCCCGCCTTCCTGTGGATGGGACAGAAGCATCAGGTGGTTCACACACCAGGAGGAGCCTCAACAATGAGGGACAGGAGTTGGCAGAAAAACACCCAGGTCCTTCAGTATGTGGGGGTCCCTCAGCATGTGGGACAGTGCCTCAGTGTGCCTGTCTTCCAGAGGGTGTGTGCAAGGACCTGCCCATCAATCACCCTCCATGGCCTTCCCCTCCTCTCTCACTCCCCTGTTCTCACCAAATAGGTAGAAAACAAAGAGTAAGATACTCAATTTATACCCAAATTACATTAAATGTAAACACACTACTCCAATTTAAAGACAAGGTTAGTCAAACTAGATAAAAAGATAAAAGTGAAATCAAACATATGCCTTTTACAAGAGACGTATCTCAAATATAAGAACACCAAAAGTTCCAAGTAAGAAGATGGAGAAGTATGTGTCGTGTAAACACTAACTTTGCAAAAGGAAACTGGAATAGCTATATTAATAGGAAGCACAGTTGGCCTTCTGTATCAGTGGGTTCCATATCCACAGGTTCCACCAAGGATCAAAAATATTTGAACAAAAAGCAATTAACAATAAAAGTTAAAAATACAAATAAAAAACCAATATAACAGCTATTTATAAGCATTTTCATTGTACTATGGATTATAAGTAATCTACAGATGATTTAAAGTATATAGGAGCATGTGTGTAGGTTCTATGCAACTACTGTTCCATTTTATATCAGCGACTTGAACAACTGCAGATTTGGGTATCCGTGGGGGAGTCCTGGACCGCATCCCCATGGACATAGAGGGACAACTGTAGATCTAAGGCAAAAGGCACTGCTAAAAATAAAGAGATGCATTTCATTATGATCAAAGAGGCTCTGTTTCTAGGAAGATATAGCAATTCTATATTACTATGCACCTACTAATTTAGCTTCAAAACATAGGAAGCAAAAATTGACAGAACAAAAAGAAAAATAGACAAATTCAAATTTACATCATCATGGGAGATTTTCACATAATTTTCCTAGTAAGTGATAAGCAGCCAAAAAGCCAATAAGGATATAAAAAATCTGAAAAACACAATTTTCAAAACATGATCAGAACTCTGCAATAACAACTACAAAGCACACTTTCTCTTCACGTGCACATGGAAAATTTACCAAAATGCTAGGATATACAACATTTCAAATAATCGAAGCTGTTACAGGTAGTTAGACAGGCATGAGCAGGGCAGGAGAGGCTCCCCCACCCATTGGGAATGTCGGGTGATGGCTCGGCATATTTGCACTGTCTCTCTAAAAGTGGCACCTTGGGAGCCAGTGCCAGGGAGAGGGCGTTTCCTGATGGTCCACACCTGCTGCACTAAAGTGTTAATTGAAGGCAGGTGCCAGGAGAAGCAACTTTGTGCATTAAGAGACAAAATGGTAGAATGTGACCTTTAGGGGGACCCCACCAGAAAAGGGAAGAAAGCCTCAGATGGGGATGCATACAATTTCCTAAGCACACAGGGCATCCTCACGTTCCCCCAACAGAAAAGGGACGAAAGCCTCAGATGGGGATGCCTACAACTTCCTAGGCACACGGTGCATCCTCACGTTCCCCCAACAGAAAAGGGAAGCCTCAGATGGGGATGCATACAATTTCCTAAGCACACAGGGCATCCTCACGTTCCCCCAACAGAAAAGGGACGAAAGTCTCAGATGGGGATGCGTACAACTTCCTAAGCACACGGCGCATCCTCACATCCCAAGGGAAAGGTGCGCACTGTGCACACGGGCAGCCCAGCCTAAGGGGAGAATCATGGGAAAGGGGCTGGCCCAGAAAGTCTTAGGATCAAGGATAAATGGGGCACTCGATCTCGGTGCCCGCTTGGGTCTCTTCCAAGTGTGCTTTCATTTCTTTCCCGCTCTAAAAGCCTTTTTAAATAAACTTCCACTCCTGCTCTGAAACTTGCCTGGGTCTCTTTTTCTGCCTTACATCCCTCAGTCAAATTCTTTCTTCGGAGGAGGTAAGAACTGAGGTTGCTGCAGACCTGTACAGATTTGCCGCCGGTCACTCGGATACCTTCCACAGACAACAAACTCTAGTGTATATTATTTGACCAAAGTGGTCTTAAACTCAAAACTGGTATCACAAAGTTAACTAGAAAATCTTGGAAATTAGGTAATACATTTCTAAATAACCTATGATGAGTCCGAGAATAAATTAAAGTGGAAGTTAGAAAATATACTGAACTGACTGTGAATAGACACATGACATATACAAACTTCTGGGATGCAGCTAAAGCCAGGCTTAGGGGAAAGCCTGTAGTCCTAAATACGGCACAAAAACTAGAACAAAACAAAGGCTCAAATCAATGATATAAGCATCCACCTCAAGAAATTAGGTAGAAAGGAAAAGCAAATGAAACACTGAAAAAGTTAGACACAAGAAAATAACAAAGAGTAGAAATTAATTAAATAGAAAGTAAGTGTGTAGATAATCAATTAAACCAAAATTCTGTTTTCTGAGAAGACTAATTTGGCAAATCCCTGGCAAAACTGGAGAAGTCAAGAGGCCTTAAGTGACCAATGACGCAATGGGGAGGGGGTGCCAGGTCCTAGACACACCTGAAAAGCATTAGGCTCCACTTTCCAGGTGACCCAGCTGTACCTGCAGAGGTTGGTCAGCTCTGTGGCCCAGGCCCCACAGCCCCAGGCCCAGGCAGAGTCCTGTGTGCGTACCCTGTGCTCAGCTGCCCACCTGACCCTGTTTGAGGAAGGCTGTGAAACTAAATAATTTGAACTCAACGCTGTGGGAACTGTAAGTTATTCTGAACCCTGAGAGGAACCCAGCAATGCCGAGTCTCTGAGCATCAGCTGCACCTTCTGCTTTTTCTGGTAAATGGTCAGGGATGACCGGGAAGCACCAGAGATAAGAATCTCTCAGAACAAGCCTCCGCCTCCTCACAGAATGTTAAAGCAATCTTCCTTGGAATGCAGCAACCTGTAGTAATCAAGTTGCTGTCAAGTTGGCTGCAACCGTTTCTGTCTCTGTAAGTGAAGCCTCAGCTTCCCCACTTGCGAGCACGGACCCCGTCCCTTTGGAGGCTGCATTCTGGGGCGGCCATTCTCATGCTTTGCGCTTGAATCAACTTAGTTCTATTTTCTGAATCTGATTATTCAAGGCTGGCAGGGCCTACTTCCTGCAGGCTCCAGGTGCTTGGAACACCAGAGGGGTTGAAATGGACAGATCGACCCCAGGGAGACTTTGTGCACTACAGTCAGGCAGACCCCAAACAGGAAGCAGGACCGTGGGTTACAAAGGAAGGAAAAAGGCCAGGAAGGCTCTTCAGGATGGTGGCATCTCGGAGGTGAGGCCTCTGGCCAAGTAACTGCTGTTGGGGGCTGCACAGGGGTGAAGCCCACGGGGGTGTGGAGTAGCCAGGAGGCTGGGGGCCAGAGGGGGAGCCTGTGGCGACGCCATGGGGCCCCCTGTGTCTGACAGAGCTGGCTCCGGAGTGTTTCAGGGGCCGGTGGGGAGGTGGTGGCTTCACCTGGAGGGGGTCAGGGCTCAGGCGGGGTGCAGCCGTGCAGGAGCCCTGGTCGTGTCTGCCTGGAGGGGTCAGGGCTCAGGCGGGGTGCAGCCGTGCAGGAGCCCTGGTCGTGTCTGCCTGGAGGGGTCAGGGCTCAGGCGGGGTGCAGCCGTGCAGGAGCCCTGGTCGTGTCTGCCTGGAGGGGGTCAGGGCTCAGGCGGGGTGCAGCCGTGCAGGAGCCCTGGTCGTGTCTGCCTGGAGGGGGTCAGGGCTCAGGCGGGGTGCAGCCGTGCAGGAGCCCTGGTCGTGTCTGCCTGGAGGGGGTCAGGGCTCAGGCGGGGTGCAGCCGTGCAGGAGCCCTGGTCGTGTCTGCCTGGAGGGGGTCAGGGCTCAGGCGGGGTGCAGCCGTGCAGGAGCCCTGGTCGTGTCTGCCTGGAGGGGTCAGGGCTCAGGCGGGGTGCAGCCGTGCAGGAGCCCTGGTCGTGTCTGTAGCTTGGGTGCCTGGGTTTTAGGTCTGAGAGGCCAGAGCTGCCAGGGTGGGCTTGTAGGGTAGAGAGGGACAGCTGGGTTTACAGTGGCTTTGGCTACTCGTGAGGTGCTGGGGCAGGACCTGGAGTTGGAGCTCAGTGTGGGAGAAGGTCTGGGGTGGGGGGTGGTTGCTGTGAAGGTGGTGTTCGCAGCCGCCAGGCTGGAGGAATAAGCACAGAGAGTCACCCTCAGTGAAGAAGTCGGTGGGGGGAGCAAACGAGGGTGGACATTGAGGGAGGAGGCCTGGGGAAGGGATCCTAGGGTGGGGAATGAGTGCTCTGGGGAGGGCCCTCTCACCTGCAGGAAGACTGAGGGCTGACCATGAGCTCAGCCTCCCAGGGCCACGGGGGCCAGACCAGCAGGGCAGGGGCAGGAAGTCAACCAGAGGGTTAAACATGGAACCAGACCTGCGGGGGACTCTCTCGGGTTGCCGCAGTGCCTTATGTTCGCTTGTGGACACGAGAGACACGTGTGTGAGTGCTGTCGGGGCCAATCCAAGAGCTTTCTTGTCAAGTGCTGACCGAGGAGCCCCCAGGTGCCCCAGACCGGGTGGGCCTCTTGGGTGCCCATGGGGAAGAAAATGGACAGTGCGGCTACTGGAGGCTCCTCAGAGTGATTAGGCCCTTAGAGAGACTGACTTTGGAGATCGAGTCACGGAGCTCAGCCCCTTCATTTCTGACCTTTTGTTAGAGATTTCCTTGCCTCCCTGTTCCTGGCTCAGACCAGAGAGCCCTGAGACAGAAGACCCTTGGCTATTCTGTCCCTAACGTGGAATGCGAAATATACCCCTCACCCTTACCAAAAAAGAAACGCTGACTGCAGCCAACCAAACTGCTATAACTGTGCACCAACCCTGTATAGAAAATGATGTGATCCTGTTGTTTCCCCAGACCGTGCCTATACAAATGGCCCTTAAACCTCCCCACTTCGGGGCAATGACCCCATCCCTTTGAAGTCTGTATCCTCCCAGTTGGCCATCCTCAGACTTTGTGCTCAAGTGAACTCAATATTTAATCATACCGCCTGAATCTCAGCATTAAGGTTGATAGCCCAGCTCCCAACCCATGCCTCCACCCCAGCCCCACTCCTAGCCTTGGCCCCCGGCCCCTGGACTCAGTCTCCAGTCCCCACCCCAGCCCCACTCCTAGCCTTAGCCCCCGACCCCTGGACTCAGTCTCCAGCCCCCACCCCGGCCCTGCTGGCCCCCTGGCCCCTGGATTCAGTCTCCAGCCCCCACCCCAGCCCCAGCCCCCATTCCCCAGCCCCTGGACTCAGTCCCCGACCACAGCTCCAGCCCCAGCTCTAGCCCTGGCCCCCAGCCCCCTGGCCCCTGGACTCAGCCCCTGGCTCTCACCCCAGTCCCAGCCCCGACCCCTGCCCCTAGCTGTGCCCCTGAGCCTGGCAGGCCCTGCGGCCCCCATCTTCCCACCTCTGCTCTTTAGTGCCTGCCGCCACAGGATCCTCCCTATGACATCGGTCCATGCACTCTTGACCTCTGCCGAGCTTGCTTGGAGAATGTAGGTGTCCTGAGATTTCCGCCGCCTGCGAAACCAAATCTCAAACCTCAAGCCACTGTCCCCGACGTTCTCTGTCATCCCGATCTCGGCCGTCTGCAGTCAGCAAACACCCATTGCAGCACCATCAGGAACATGGTCTCTGAACAACTGGCTACCCAAATTCCTCAGTGCTGGAGGTCACTTCACCCAGACACCAAATGACAAATGTGTGGGATGGGTCAGGGTGAGCGAGACCACACTGCTCACGAGTGTGTGAGGCTGCTTGTGACCGTGCCAGGGAGAGTGCCTGTGTGCAGGATAGCTGTCCGTGTGTGTGAGGCTGCTCGTGAGTGACTGCTTGTGAGCGTGCAAAGGAGACTGTACAGGACTGTCCCTGTGTGCAATGCTGCTCATGGGTGTGTGAGGCTGCTTAACAGTGTGCAAGGGAGAGTGCTTGAATGTGAAGGACAGCTGTCCATGAGTGTGCAAGGCTATGCATGAGTCTGTGAGGCTGCTTGTGTGTGAGCCCATGCACCCTCATGGACTCTGTCAAGAAGGGAGGGACCTCCCCTCCCTCAGCACAGCCGAGTCACAAGTGGGAACCTGCCCAACGTGGTGCATCAGCAAAGCCCTCCCTGTGCACCTCCGAGAGCCAGGGGAAGGCCTGTCCCTGTGTTCACCTCTGCACAGGATCCAAAATGCAGTTACTGACTGAGTAGGCACTTGTTTCTCAGCCCCTGGACTGGACATGGGACTGGAGAAGACACACTTCTCCTTGCAGCTTTTGGAAGGCTAACGTTTTCAAGAATTTACCCAAGAACCGCAGAAAACAAACATCGCAGTGCGGCTCCTCCCCGCTTCACTCCCTCCCAGTTCCTCTGCTGGCCTTAGGTGAGACAAGGGTCCGAGACCCCCTTGGAGGGCCTGGCTCGGCCTGCACCCAATCGGACCGGGCGGGTGCTACCTTGAAGGACTGCTTGTACAGGTAGACGTCGTGGCTGCCCTCCACCTTCTGGGTCTTGCTAAACAGGATGAGGTCTTCAAAGAGGAACACATGCCTCAGATACTTCTTCCTCCCGCAGCAAACGATAAACTCATCCCGGCATCTCAGCTGCCCCTGTTCCTTCAAATTCACCTGCAGAGGAACACACAGGTGGATTTCATCCAAGAAAATCCGGCGTCTGTGGTGGCACAGGTCACTGTCTCCGTCTAAATGTGTTAGCTTCGTGACAAGACGGAACAGCAGCCAAACTGCCATAAAATCTGGCAAATCCGCCTTAATGTTAGCTGTTAAAGGTTTCAAAGAGCATCAGGATAGAAACTGCAGCATCACATCTAAAAGCTCAGGAACTCACCCAGTTCCCCCCAACCCTCCCGTTTGACCCTCTGGGCCCACACACAGGGGAGGAGCCCTGCTCAGGGGGTGAGCGTCCCACACCCCCACCCCGGCCCCCGTTCCCGGGTCATACGTGCAGAGATCACAAGGTAAACCTTGTTGCGATTTATGGAACTTTCTTCTTCAAAGCCCTCGCGTCCATTTTGATGGAACTCCCTGCTGAGGTGGTGCTAGAGTCCCCCTCACTAAATAGCCCCTGGGAATCCGACAGCTCCTCCCTCGTCCCCACAGAAATCCCTTCAAGCTGGGTCAGAGGAGACAGCAGCCCCCAGAGATGGAGCCGCCGTGCCCACCAGGCTGTCCCTCCCCTAGTGGAATTTACCCGCATGACGGGCACGGTTGGCAGAGCCTCTCCCATGACCTCCATCCCATGGACGCCCCTAGGGCTCCTTGGCTGAGGATGCTGGGACAGCCTGAGGCGCCTCCACACAAGTGACCAGGAAGACTGACTATACCACTTCCTAGAAGCAGCCCCGATTCCGTCGGTGTTGGGGGCCCGAGATGGGCCTGCCTTTTCCAGCTCATGTGGGGTCCCACCCTCCACGGCCCTGCTCTGCCATTGGGGTGTCACCCATCCCAGGCCAGAGTGGAGCCAGCGCCCCCACGCACCGGCCATTTCTCAGCTCACCCGTGGCCTTTTGGGCATCTGGGGTTTGGGGCAGCCAGGGCAGCCTTCACTACACTGAGCTGCACAACCCCCGCAGAGGGGCCTGATGAGACCCATGCAGCCGGTCGCGGGCAGCAGCATATGGGTGAGCTGCCGCGGGCCCGTATGAACGAGCCAAGGTCAGCCCCACGCCCTGGCCCTAGTGCCTTCTCACAGAGGGCTGGGGTGCAGCGCTCACGTCCACCTGTTTTAAATACAGCCCAGGTAAGCAGACTTCCAGTTATTCAGAGCCAGCCTGCTTTGCATGTCCTGTAGAACGGCAGCCAACATCTGCCAGCCATTGTCAAACCCTGGGGCTCCAGGGGCCTCGAGCCTGGCTGCTCCCTGACATTGCCCAGACAGGTAAGACCCTCCTCCAGGTGGCCCCCGCTGCGGCCTTCAGAAGGCTGTGCTTTGAGGGACTTCTCCGGGGCAAATCTGCCAGCACATCACCAAGAAAAGTGTGCTGCTGGGGCCAAGACTTTCTCACCAGCAGCCTCAAATTCCCCCAGCTTGCCTGAGCTGCCAGCGTCTGAGGCACTTACGTCACAGCCGCGGATGGCGTCCATGGCCAGCAGGTCATTGCCGTGACGCAGCTGGAAGCAGACCACGACCTCGGCGGCTCGGAGCTCGCCCAGCTCCTGCCCCTGGGCCAGGCCACAGCTGGCCTCCTTGAGCAGGTCCTGGAGTAGCAGCGCGTACTTGGCCACACGCTGCACGGGCCGCAGCAGGTAGGAGGCCAGGTCCATTTTGTCACCTAGCTCCCGCTGCTTGTCCTGCAAGGGCCGGGTGAGAGGGTCAGCTCCGGCCTGGCTGAGGGCCGGGCAGGCTGTGGGGGGCGGGCCGAGGGGGATGACCTTGAAGAAGGCGTTGCCATGGCTGCTGAGCAGGGCATCCGACTGCGGCTTGTTTTTGCTGTAGATCACGTACATCCCAAACTGCTCTTCCTGGAAAAGCAGAGGCGACTGCTTGGCTGTGGGAGTGACAGGCCCAGAGACAGCAGGCTCCCGCAGCCCGGGTCAGACTTGGAACTGCTCCCGTCCCAAGACCCCCCAGGTGCAGTTTGTACCATGATCAGGTGAAAGGGAGACTCGGCCCTTCATTAAAGACTATCAGAGTATCCCCAACACCAGGGCTCCAGGGGTGACCAGTTTACCAGCTGAAGCCTCAATGCTGAGAATTCTGTAATTTGTCTTTAAAACACAGACTCCAGGGGGTTGAGGGGGGAAGAGGATGCAGCTGGCAGTGGGCCTGGGAGGGCGTGGGGGGCATTGGAATGATTTGGTCCATGGCCAAGAGCTAAAGCTGTCAAGACATTTAAAATTGCCACAATCACGGTCAATATGAATCTGCACTTTATGTCTAAAAGCACCTTTTAAGAAAATGCTGAGGCTGGGCACAGTGGCTCACACCTGTAATCCCAGCACTTTGGGAGGCTGAAGCGGGTGGATCAGGAGGTTGGGAGTTCAAGACCAGCCTCGCCAGCATGGTGAAACTCCATCTCTACTAAAAATACAAAAATTAGCCGGGCGTGGTGGCGGCGCCTGTAGTCCCAGCTACTCAAGAGGCTGAGGCAGGAGAATCACTTGAACTCGGGAGGCGGAGTCTGCTGTGAGCTGTGATTGTGCCACTGCACTCCAGTCTGGGCAACAGAGCGAGACTTCATCTCAAAGAAAAAAAAAAAGGAAACACTGAAAAGATGTAACATGCGCTTCTTTTGTCCACGGCTGTTTTCGTTGTGATAATCTGTGCTCAGTGGTCTGGGACATACATCCCATCTGCCCACAGCACTCAGTGAATGCCTGTTGAAAGCCTGTCAGTTTCTTTCCAGAGTAAATTAAAAACTTTATTAAAGACTCTCAAACAGAGAGATTCCACATTCATCACTGAGAAGCAACTTACGAGGAGAGACCACTGGGTCTGTACATTCAACGTGCTTCCAGTTGAAAGCCTCACAGGGAATTCTCAGAACGGGACAGGCTGGTCCCTCTGGCAGGTAATGGGGCATCCAGGGGCAGGGGGCGTGTGAAGAGGTGAGGCCTGGCCTCTCCCCGGAAGGTGATTCTGGGAACTGCTTCTGGCCTATCAGCTGGAAGTGGTAAAGGAGAAGGGCTGCTGGCAGAATGGGTGTGATGGTGTCTGTGAGCCTCCGCCTCCAGGGGCAGCAGGGACACAGTCGGTCACACCACGCGCAAAGCACCGAGCACTGGAGACCCACAGGTTATCCGTGTGGGGCATCTGTTTTTCGGCTGGTCTTAACATCCTGTCAGGACCAGCTCCTAGACCTGGACTGAAGCTATTCCAACCGCCTGACACGTGGGCCCTGTAGGCCCCGCCTCTCTGACACCGGCTTCACCCACCACGTTGCCCGGCACCCACGCCATGGCCTGCACTTACGTGTCTCAGGAAACTGCGGCCCACGGCCAAGGGGCAGTGCTGGCAGCGCTCCAGCTCCCGGAGGAAGTGCTGCTGGTGGAAGTCGTGGAGCTTCTCCAAGTTGCCGAAAATAACGTGGTGCTTCCCTCGAAGGCCCTGGGGCAAGTCCATTCTTTCCATTTCTGGAAAATAGTTGTCAATGACGTATCCTAAGCACCGAATGTACTCCCTCTCTGTGGCGATCATCTCGGCCATGATGTGCCTCAGTCGGCTGCTGGAAGACACAGAGATCCCGGGGGGCACACGGCCCCCCACGGACACTTTATTAAAAGCAATTCATGCCTGAGACAGAAACACATGAAAACCCGGAGGGATGAGCAGGGTCACATGTGGACTGGAGGCACATGGGCACATGTGGGATGCACGATAAAAAAGCTTCCGGCCAGGCGTGGGGGCTCGTGCCTGTAATCCCAGGACTTTGGGAGGCTGAGGCGGGTAGATCACGAGGTCAAGAGATCGAGACCAGCCTGGCCAACATGGTGAAACCTCGTCTCTACTCAAAATACAAAAATTAGCTGGGGGTAGTGGCAGGCACCTATAGTCCCAGCCACTTGGGAAGCTGAGGCAGGAGAATCACTTGAACCTGGGAGGCGGATGCTGCAGTGAGGCGAGATCACGCCACTGCACTCCTGCACTCCAGCCTGGTGACAGAGTGAGACTCTGTCTCAAAAAAAAAAAAAAAAAAAAAGAATAATCTTCCAGTCTACTGCACATCCTCAGCAAGGAGCGACTCACCTGCACCTCCACTCATTCTCTCCCTGTTACCTGGAGCTGCTCTCTTGATACACAGTAACTTGAAAAGATAAGGACTATATTTCAAAAAGAAACTTGTCAGGTGAAACATTTCCACATTATTGATCATGGCCTTTTCAGAGGAAAGATCCCTTTGGAAACCAAGACAGACAGATTCCCAGGCTTCCTAACTGAAACTCTGAACATAAGGTTTCTCGTTCCCAGCTGGTTTCATTCTAGCGGTGAGATGACTCAAACACTTCCAGCAGTGACGCTTCTGCTAAGGAAGGCTGTGGTGGAAATTTCGTGAGAAAACGGCTTTTGGATCCTTGCCCACTGCTGACTGACCAGGAGGTTTTCTCGAGGGTCAGCTTCCATGGTAGTTACTCCTGACCCAAGGGGCTCAGCACCTTAAGGAGCAGCTTCAGGGGTACTCGGGGGCTGCAGTGGCCGGAGAGCAAGGCCGGGGGCGCAGGACGGCCCAGAGGTGGACAACAGCAGGCTAGGCCCCAGGGATGGCCCTCCACGGAACCCTCAGCCCCACCCTTGGCTGGGGTCTCCCTGCCTTGAATGAGCGTCCTGAGGAGGGGCTGCCAAGCAGGGTTTGTAGGAGCACTGTTCCCGTGAGGGGTGAGCCTCTGAAGCACTTCTGAGTCTTTGAAGAGCCCTTCCTGACAACACACACATCTGCAGGAGATGTGGGCTCCTCTGTGGCTGCCCGAAGTCTCACTACCTCCGTATCCCCAGGGCAGGGCAGGACCCAGAGGATCCACTCGTGTTGCCCTGAGAGAGTGGAGAGGTGGGCTGGCCAGTGTGGTCAGCTTGGCCAGACGGTACCTCCCGTGCAAAACTGCAGTGCTGTGATCATAGAGGCCCAAACTGGGCTTCCCAAATCAGGTGGTATTTTTTAATTTTTTTATTACCACTAAAAAACATGCTAAGCATCCAAAAGTACTTTTACACCATAAACAAATGCAGGACGCTTAGGCTGGTGGCTCTGTTTCATGAGCTGGCTGGAGTGGGGCCACCTGGTCACTCTCAGCAACTGAGCAGTGGCCAGCATGTGAGCCTGGAGGGCAGGGCCCACACTCCGGCAGCATGAATGCCAAAGCCTGGCCTGGGCGGCGGGACTCTCCAGGAGAAGGTTCTCTGGGTTCTGCTGGGGTGGGATCTGGGCGTGTCCCACAGCTCTGCACCTCAGACAGCACCATCCACTGCACTTTCAAAGGAGATTTCCCAGGGCCATGGTGAGCCGGGGGCCCTGCCCTAATGAACAGTGAGGTGCGTTGCTTTTCTCCTCTACTTGATGGCATCTTACCCCCAACCTCCTTAAATAACTCGATCCTGATGATACCAATGGGAGTTGGCAGATTTTTTTTCTACCATTATTTGTATTTACTTGTTTTTTAAGTTGGAAAAACTAAAAAGCAGCTAATGATGGGAAGCACAGCTGTGGGCAGAAATGCTGCTGAACGCACATCCCATTCACAGCAGAGCTGCAGAACTTGTCCCCTTCACTCCTGCATAACAGATTTGACAGATTCTCACTGTTTCTGAGAACACAGCACCTCCTGGCTGGTCAGGAACTGGCCCTCACAGCACTGGCGGGAAGGCCGAGGCCCAGTGTCACGACCCACACAAAAGCCTCCTCAGTAAATATCCAGAAACAAAATCAGAATGAGGACAGTCTTAATTGGGTCTTGATCAAAGTAAATGGACAATGTACTCACTAGGAAGCAAAGGCTGGAAATCACACGGGGGTCGGCAGGAGTCCCCCCTTCCTGTGTTCTGCTGCCCCCCAAACCTGAAACATGGGCTCAGTGGAGACAGAAACGTCAGTGCAGCCACTTGCTGAGACTCAGGGACAGCGCTTGGCGTTCCTCTTACGGATTCGGAAGGGCTCAGCCGGCAGATACACCCTGGATCACTCACACCAATGGTAAAAACCAGAACTTAATGTTCTACTTGGAGCTTTGCCTTTAACAAGGTAAACACTGAGTCTGGCAACCTAAAGGTGTGTTTCAGAAGAGTGTTCTTGGGCCTTCTCCGTTCAGATTAAACCTATGATCAGGGTGTGAGGAGGAAACCCCTTCTATGGACCTTAAGGCAGAGGCCTCCAACCCCCAGGGCCACCGACTGGTACCCATCTGTGGCCTATTAGGAACCAGGCCGCCCAGCAGGAGGTGAGTGGCAGGCGAGGGAGTGTTGCCACCTGAGCTCCGCCTCCTGCCAGAGCATTAGTGTGAGCCCCGCCCCGTCAGAGCATTAGTGTGAGCCCCGCCCCGTCAGAGCATTAGTGTGAGCTCCGCCCCGTCAGAAGATTACTGTGAGCCCCGCCCCGTCAGAGCATTAGTGTGAGCTCCGCCCCGTCAGAGCATTAGTGTGAGCTCCGCCCCGTCAGAGCATTAGTGTGAGCTCCGCCCCGTCAGAGGATTACTGTGAGCCCCGCCCCGTCAGAGCATTAGTGTGAGCCCCGCCCCGTCAGAGCATTAGTGTGAGCTCCGCCCCGTCAGAGGATTACTGTGAGCCCCGCCCCGTCAGAGCATTAGTGTGAGCCCCGCCCCGTCAGAGCATTAGTGTGAGCCCCGCCCCGTCAGAGGATTACTGTGAGCCCCGCCCCGTCAGAGCATTAGTGTGAGCTCCGCCCCGTCAGAGGATTACTGTGAGCCCCGCCCCGTCAGAGCATTAGTGTGAGCCCCGTCCCGTCAGAGCATTAGTGTGAGCTCCGCCCCGTCAGAGGATTACTGTGAGCCCCGCCCCGTCAGAGCATTAGTGTGAGCCCTGCCCCGTCAGAGCATTAGTGTGAGCCCCGCCCCGTCAGAGGATTACTGTGAGCCCCGCCCCGTCAGAGCATTAGTGTGAGCTCCGCCCCGTCAGAGGATTACTGTGAGCCCCGCCCCGTCAGAGCATTAGTGTGAGCTCCGCCCCGTCAGAGCATTAGTGTGAGCTCCGCCCCGTCAGAGGATTACTGTGAGCCCCGCCCCGTCAGAGCATTAGTGTGAGCCCCGTCCCATCAGAGCATTAGTGTGAGCTCCGCCCCGTCAGAGGATTACTGTGAGCCCCGCCCCGTCAGAGCATTAGTGTGAGCCCCGCCCCGTCAGAGCATTAGTGTGAGCTCCGCCCCGTCAGAGCATTAGTGTGAGCCCCGCCCCGTCAGAGCATTAGTGTGAGCTCCGCCACATCAGAGCATTAGTGTGAGCTCCGCCCCGTCAGAGCATTAGTGTGAGCCCCGCCCCGTCAGAGGATTACTGTGAGCCCCGCCCCGTCAGAGCATTAGTGTGAGCCCCGCCCCGTCAGAGCATTAGTGTGAGCCCCGCCCCGTCAGAGCATTAGTGTGAGCTCCGCCCCGTCAGAGCATTAGTGTGAGCCCCGCCCCATCAGAGCATTAGTGTGAGCCCCGCCCCGTCAGAGCATTAGTGTGAGCTCCGCCCCGTCAGAGGATTACTGTGAGCCCCGCCCCGTCAGAGCATTAGTGTGAGCTCCGCCCCGTCAGAGGATTACTGTGAGCCCCGCCCCGTCAGAGCGTTAGTGTGAGCCCCGCCCCGTCAGAGCATTAGTGAGCCCCGCCCCGTCAGAGCATTAGTGTGAGCTCCGCCCCGTCAGAGCATTAGTGTGAGCTCCGCCCCGTCAGAGGAGTACTGTGAGCCCCGCCCCGTCAGAGCATTAGTGTGAGCTCCGCCCCGTCACAGCATTACTGTGTGAGCTCCGCCCCGTCACAGCATTAGTGTGAGCCCCGCCCCGTCAGAGCATTAGTGTGAGCTCCGCCCCGTCAGAGCATTAGTGTGAGCTCCGCCCTGTCAGAGCATTACTGTGAGCCCTGCCCCGTCAGAGCATTAGTGTGAGCTCCGCCCCGTCAGAGCATTAGTGTGTAAGCCCCGCCCCGTCACAGCATTAGTGTGAGCTCCGCCCCGTCACAGCATTACTGTGTGAGCTCCGCCCCGTCAGAGCATTACTGTGAGCCCCGCCCCCTGTCACAGCATTAGTGTGAGCTCCGCTCCGTCACAGCATTAGTGTGTGAGCTCCGCCCCGTCAGAGCATTAGTGTGAGCTCCGCCCCGTCAGAGGATTACTGTGAGCCCCGCCCCGTCAGAGTATTAGTGTGAGCTCCGCCCCGTCAGAGCATTAGTGTGAGCTCCGCCCCCTGTCAGAGTATTAGTGTGAGCTCCGCCCGTCAGAGCATTAGTGTGAGCTCCGCTCCGTCACAGCATTACTGTGAGCTCCGCTCCGTCACAGCATTACTGTGTGAGCTCCGCCCCCTGTCAGAGCATTACTGTGTGAGCTCCGCCCCCTGTCACAGCATTACTGTGTGAGCTCCGCCCCCTGTCAGAGCATTAGTGTGAGCTCTGCTCCGTCACAACATTACTGTGAGCCCCGCCCCCTGTCACAGCATTACTGGGTGAACTCCGCCCCCAGTCACATCATTACTGTGTGAGCTCCGCCTCCTGTCAGATCAGTGGCAGCATTAGAGTCTCGGAGAAGCACGAACACTACTGCACATGTGAGGGATCTAGGTTTCGTGCTCCTTATGAGAATCTAACTAATGCCTGGTGAGCTGAAGTGGAGCAGTTTCATCCCAAAACCATACCCCAACCCCTGCGGTCTGTGGAAAAATTGTCTTCCATGAATCCTGTCCCTGGTGGCAAAAAGGATGGGGATTGCTGGCCCAAGACACAGAAGCCAACCAAATGAGCAAAGCATCTCACGAAATTCTCCACCTCTAGCCCTCACGACCAGTACCACATGGGTGGAAGATGGAGGTTCAGACGGCATCCGGCCTAGGCAGGGGCCGAGTGCGCCCACCCTTACCAATGAGTGGACGCGTCCTTTGCAGGCTCGACAAGTGAGAAGGGGCCTCTTCAGTGGGGCAATGGGCGCATGGGTGCGCCTTCTAACCCCTAACACTTAAGAGACTTTTTAAAAGTTATTTTTAAGGTAACTCTTCTTGGTGTCGGGGTTGATTTGCTGCTTGTAATTTTCTGTAAGTGGGCTGAAAATAACTAGAGTTGGTCGCACAGTTACTTAACCGTCAGAGTGAGTGTGTGCAGGTTACCACACACCATCCAGGCAGTTTTCAGTGGTCCCTTCCGGACATGGGGGCAGGTAACTCATATCTAGTTTAAAATTGTGTTTCTTCTTAGACCGGACAGGTGGACCCAGAGGGATGTCTGCGGATTTACTTTCTACTTTGCAGAAGAGAGTTTACTGCCTAAATGGCTTTGGGTTTCTAGATCCCCAAGGACTGCTAGGACGAGAGGAGGGGGACGTCCACCTCACCTGCCCACCTGCTGCCTCCCATCCTCCTCAGCAGGGTGGAGCCCCGAGGGGGAGGACAGACTCCGGCTCTGAGTGACCGGGGGGCTCCTGGCATGCTGCCACAGCGGGAGCTTCTTCTCTGTGGCTACAGTGCTGGTTACCTCCAGGCCCTTGCTGAAGACACTAGTATGGTCTGGCTGGCAGGAGTCCCTGGGGCCACTGTCGGGCTGAGGTATCTCGAAACTTTGCGTTTTCTTTATCATTTTCTTCTGGGGATGTTTCCTGGGGCGGCTGGCCAGGGTCTGGGTGGGCTCAGAGGAACAGGCAGAGCTGTCCTCCAGGTGGGCCGTGGTGGCCCCTGCCCCTGGAAGGCCCCTGAGGAGGGACAGTGGGTCCCACAGAGCACACAGCCCTGGGCGCAGGGTCTCCCCGTCCTGTCCACACAGAAGCGCTCGTCCAGGGAGGCCGGACAGTGGTTGCGCAGGTTCCCAGGCACCACCCCCACTGTCCGTGCTGGGGAATGAGGGTGGCTTCTGGTGCCTCCTCATGGCCTCCTGGGCACGCTCATGCTTTGGGGGGCTCTGGGCAAGGGGCGGTAAGCTGGGGTCTGGGGCAGCCTCAGAAAGGGCCTCTTCCAGACGGAGCCGGGTCTGGGGGTACTGCAGCCACAGGTCTTGCTGTGATGCCCACGGTTTCCCCAGGGCATGAGGCTTCAGCACTGCCACACCTGCCCCGGGGAAGGCCTCTGCAGCCACCGAGGTAGCCTCCTGGTGACAGCTCCTCAAACACTCAGCCACGGGTGAGGAGGGACAAGCCTCCGGGTCCAGGGGCCCCATCCAGCTGCTCACCTGTGGGACAAGGAGGGCTCTGCTCAGTGCAGTGGAGGAGGGGCTGCCCTGGAGCCAGCTCAGGCCCTGCTGTTCCCCAGGTCAGCCTATTCAGGGACCAGGGGGCCAGAAAGCAGAGCGAGAGGCAGTCCCGCCACCCAGTGGGGGCTGTGGCCGGGTTCAGCGGAAGGGCAGGTGGGCTGTGTCTGACCCCATGGGGTCTGTTCGCCATGCCAGAGGGCACCGTGGGGGATGTCCTAGGACCACGTGAAGACATTGTGTAGATCAGTTATGCCACATCCTGTGAGCTGAGAGAGGCGTGACGGGGCAGACGGCTCTACCCTGCTCTGGCCACCCCATGACCCCTCAAATGCTGTCCTGACAGGTGAGCTCCGTGGCCTCTGGCCCGGGCTCCTAATGGCAGGCAGTCCCCGGCGCGGGGGAGCTCGCAGGCGTGCGGTCTGGGGCGCGTGGGAGCTCGCAGGCGAGCAGTCTGCTGTAGCACTTGTTTAGGGTTTTGGGCAATCAGTGGAATTTTCTAACTGAGCCAGTAAACACACAGAGAAATGTGTGTGTTCGTTTGGCTGGTCTGTTTGGTACAATATCAAATGCTTCACAGGTCGGCTCAGAGCCTTCTCCAGAGAGCCGTGGGCGCAGTGGCCAGGGGGGCTCCATCGCAGGTGCCCGGCCTCTGTCCCACAGCCTGGCCCACTCCAGCTTGTGAGGGGAGGCACTTGCTAGATGTCCACAGCCTAAGGAGCCGGGATCCCTGGGACGCACGCCCACTGGGTCTCTTACCGTCTCGCACAACTCGGACGAGCGGGTCCACCTGGCCAGCTCTCCCTCCCTGCACTCAGCCTGGCTGACCACGGCGCTCAGGCCCCTTCTGAAATCCTGGACCATTTCCTCTGTACGTTGCGGGTTCTCCTTCGCCAGCTGTAGTCCTTTCTGGCAGGATTGCTGTACCCAAGGAACAAAGCATCAGTACAAGCCCGGTGCTTCCACGTTCATGTCTCCAGGTGTGGGCTGGGTCTGCGTGTAGCCACTGGCACCAAGGCTCGGACGGCCCACAGTGCTGCCTGCTGCTGCCTCTCATTCTCGAGAGCAGGCACCAAAGGACCGAGGCATTTCTCTAGTTCTTTTCCAAACTATGATTTGATCTACACAGGGGAAGAACATTTTATATTTAAACATGCGAAGAAGTCACACTCTAGGATTTAGCAGGACCGAGGGAGGGATGCGTCTTGGTCATGTCCTGAGTACACGCTGCACAGGGCTGACAGCCTGGCTGCGTAACCACCCGTGAATGAACACGACTGATGAGAGGTGGCACGGGCCTCTGAGGCTCAAGCTCCAAACTATTTTCATTGTTTGGAAAAGGACATTAAAATCATTGAACAATAGATCCAGGACTTTCCATTTTGAAACTGGTTAATATGGTAAGCATATTCCAGAAATATTCTTCAGGCCAGTGGCTGCTTGGCCCCTTGAGGCTGCCTGGGAAAGATGGGGGAGCCCCTGGCTGAGCCCTGCTGGACGGAGCGCCTGTGGCTACGCGCCCTGGTGACAAGACCAAGGTTCTTATTTTGGAGGCATTTACTGCTGGATTCAGTGGAAATGTCAGAGGTAAGCCCTTCATGTTGTCGTTAAACAGCAACACCAGGGGCGACTAGGGGTCAGATGCCCAGAGATGAGAGGCCTGTTGTGAAGAAGAGAACAGCTGCCTGGATCCATGACCATCAGAAGGTACCGAATGACCCCAGACATGCAGCAGAGGAGAGACAGACCAGCACATACGCTGTCTGTAAACAGAGCCAGAGTCAAGAAGAAAATCACAGCATCTTGATTCTTAGGAGCACGGGCAGAGTCTTGCAACTGCCAGGCAAGGGGCAGGTGCGGCTTCGGCAGAGCAGAGTGGGGGTGGCGCAGAGCTGGAGCCTGGCCTCCAACTTTGTGGAAAAATCGGCTGTCATTGGTTTCAAGATTTAAATACAAAAATTCAAGTCATAAAGGTTCTATGATGAAATACACTAATAATTCTATAACTTAAGGTAGAAAGGGCTGTTTAAAAGATAAGCAAAGCTAGAGGGCAAATGACAAACTAGGAAAACAAGCAGAACATGAAGGATCCATATAACATAGACAGAAGTGATGATCAACCCTAGAAAAACTGTCTAAAGCATGAACAAGTAATTCACTACAGAAATAAAAATAATAAACGTGTGAAGAGAATGTCCAGCTGTCGCATAGAAAATCTGAGGGCACACTGTTTAGGGGCTCCATTTCCCCACGGGGCAGCCGGCGGGAGGCAGGTGCGGCTGGAGTGCCACGGCTTATGCGTGGAAACCTCCAAAAACAAATGGTCTGACCGCAGCCATCCGAGCCTAGGAATGTATCCAGAGTCAACACCCACAGGCTGTGAAGGAAGCAGAGACACAGAGATGTTCAACATGGGGAGTTTCTAACAGCAGAGAGGGGAGGAGCCCAGGGCCTTCAGTGTGGGAGCCGTGTGAACATGGCTCGGGGACTGAGCTTGCAGCGCATGCCCACACACAGGGTGCCGAGGCCGCCACATGCGGCATCCCGTGTGTAAAAATCTATTTGTTTCTAATTTTCCCACAGTGTGCATGCACTTTTTAGGTTAAATATATAGAGACAGACGTGCACCTATACATAGCAGGATCGCCTGTCCGGTCACAACGTGGAGTTTCTGGGTGAAGACTGCAGAGTGAGACGTGTCCTCTTGAGACACCACTAAAGCCCTGCAAGCATCTTCCAAGGCGTAACACTCAGCACGGTGGGCAGAGAGCAGCCAGGGCACAAACCTGGAGGCCGGGAAGGAAGCGGGAGTGGCAGGGCCTGAGGAGAGCAGAGGCCAAGTCCCGAGACTCCACAGGACAGGGTGAGGGAGTGTCGGAGGGAAGGAGCTGGGCACCCTGCTCCACAGGGCCCAGGGTCTGTTCCCTGGCAGGTGAACACTGAGCTACGGCCAGGCTCTCCTTTCAGGCCGGGATTAGAGGAAAAGAATCAGACCGCCAGGGAGAAAATGCTAAAGATGCGTGGGCCACAGGCTTCCTAGCCAGGGGTCGCCAGGAAAGCCTCTGGCGCCAGAACAAACCCACAGAAGCCACAGACTGTGCAGACTCATCATGATTAGTATGGAGAGGGGACTGTTCAGAAAATAAGCCCATGGAGTTAAAAAGCAAGAGCAGAAACAAAAAACTCAATAATAGAGTTAGAGGGTAAAGCTGAGAAAAATCTACCTTACAAGGACAGCACACAGCCAGGGGTGGGGAAAATTAAGGCAACAGGACAGAAAACTCCAGAACCAGATGGAAGTGTGGAGCTGTGGGAAATGCGAGCGCCACGAAGGATGTCACAGAATTCCCAGAACAGAGGGGCGCAGTGCAGACACAAAGAGCACACCTGCCCTCGGTGCACCTGGGCGACCCTCAGGCACACCTGCCCTCAGTGCACCTGGGCGACCCTCAGGCACACCTGCCCTCAGTGCACCTGGGCGACCCTCAGGCACACCTGGGCCACCCTCAGGCACACCTGCTCTCAGTGCACCTGGGTGACCCTCGGGCACACCTGCCCTCAGCGCACCTGGGCAACCCTCAGATTCCAGAGCCCCGAGGACGACAGGAAAGTCTGTGGCTTCCACCGAGAAGCAGGGCACAGGCAGAAGGCTGGGAGTGGGATGGAAGCTAAGCACAGGCGCAGGGCCTTCCAGCTGGCGAAGGGAAACTAAAGTGACTGCTGGCCATGAAGGTGGAGTAGAGATGCTTTTAGATACCACGGCCTCAAAAATGCTCACCCCAAGATCCCTTTCTCTGGGAAGTCCTGGAAGTTATTCTGCATAAAACGCCAAAGTAAATGAAAAAAGAGGAAGACTTGGATACAGGAAATAGGAGACCACAGGATGGGGCAGAGTGGGGAGGGAGATGGAGGAGACCCCAGGAAGAGCAGAGGGAGGAGGGGAGATGGGGGAGACACCCCAGGAAGGAGTAGAACGAGGAAGGGAAGACGAAGGAGACCCCCCAGGACAGGCAGAGGGAGGAAGGGGAGATGGGGGAGATCCCCCAGGATGGGCAGAGGGAGGAGGGGAGATGGGGGAGACCCCCCCAAGGACGGAGTAGAACGAGGAGGGGAAGATGAAGGAGACTCCCAGGACGGGCAGAGGGAGGAGGGGGAGATGGGGGAGACCCCCTGGGATGGGCAGAGGGAGGAGGGGAGATAGGGGAGACCCCCAGAATAGGCAGTGGGAGGAGAGATGGGGGAGACTCCCAGGACGGGCAGAGGGAGGAGAGGAGAAGGAGGAGACCCCCAGGATGGGCAGAGAGAGGAGAGGAGATGGAGGAGACCCCCAGGATGGGCAGAGGGAGGACAGGAGATGGAGGAGACCCCCAGGATGGGCAGAGGGAGGAGAGGAGATGGAGGAGACCCCCAGGATGGGCAGAGGGAGGAGAGGAGATGGAGGAGACCCCCAGGATGGGCAGGGGGAGGAGGGGAAGATGGGGGAGACCCCCAGGATGGGCAGGGGGAGGAGGGGAGATGGAGCCAGGATAGAGCAGAGGGAGGAGGGGAGATGGAGGAGACCCCCAGGACAGAGGGCACAGACTGGAGACAGCCCGGACTGGCTGGTGGCTGCAGCTTGGCCTGGACTCCACTTGCCTGGTGTGGGGTTCCTGTTCCTGCCCCAGGGATTGGACCAGCTGGGCCCCTGGCCAATATTTGGGAGCTGGGGTCAGTCGTGGGGAGGCCAGGAGCATGCACAGTGCCTCGCGTCCCTGCTGCACGTCTTTGTCTGGAGGCCCCCGTGAGGGCACGCGCATGGACCTGAAGGCCGGGGGAGCTTTGCCAGCAGACAGGAGGGCTGGGGATGCCTCCACCCCACTGCTGCCTCTCCATGCTGCTGGCTCTTTCACCCGCACATTCATCGCAGCAATAGTTGTTGATAAAATAATAAGGATTTATATAAAAATGTGCAAGTTTTGAAGAGTTTATATGTGAGAAAAGAAAGAAACTTTTTATCTGAGTGTGCACCCCTTAAACTGTCAGGCCCAGAGGGGCATCAAAATGAGGCAGCAGCATCATCTGCACCCCTGAGCTAAGCAATCATTTCGCTGGTGCCCCCCGAGCTAAGCAATCATTTCAGAGCCACTGCTATATGGACCCCAGATTCTGCAGTGTGTCCACCAAGGGCCATCAATAACCCCAGCCACGCCACACACTGTGCACAACTCACACCCTGTAGTCCAGCAGCGTGTGGCCAACCCCCACCAATGCCATTTCTGTGACCCAGAGAATTCATGAAAAGCCACTTCCGTCATCACCCCCTCCCGATTTGTCCTCTTTTCTTTAAAACCTTGAGCCTCTCCCTGGCCTCCAGAGCCACTTCTTGAGGTCATCTGGAGGTGTTTCCCAGGCTGCCGTCCTCAACCTTGGCCCAGACTCTCTCTACCTGTGTCGGTTTCACCTCGGCTTCTCAGTCACTGTGTACGCATGCACATGGAGAAAGCGTCCGGAAGATACACCCAGCTATTCACACTGGTAGCATCAGAAGGCACAGTGTGAAATTATTTTTCTCCCTGGCCTCCTCTGGATTAAACAAATTTTTTTTCTCCACTGATCCAGTATCTCTCACGTAAAAAATAAAATTTATTTCTTTTTACACAAGCAGCAAGGCATGCCCTATCCTGACATAATTTCATTCCAAATGGAAATCAGATCAAGGCCCTAAAGACACAGTGTGAAGGTGAGAGGGTTGCCTTGGCCAGCCTGGCCTGGAGGGGATGCTGACCGGGCCGCCTTCCTCCTGCAGCTCTGACCTGGTCATTCCCTTCCAGGAGTGACGCCAGCTCCCGGAGGTGCTCCAGCTGCTGGAGACGATTGTTCGAGGTGAGGACCAGCCTGTGCACCTCCTCATCCACTCGGTCGTACAGGCTTGTGGCGGCCTCCAGGGTGTCCCTGAGGAAGAGAAGGCAGTCCTCAGGCTTCCAGGCGGCCCCTTGAGGAATCTGCTCTTGGTGACAACCCCATATAAAAACCCTGCTCTTTCCATTCCCTCATGCCACAAGGCAACGGGAGCCCCAGGAGGAGGCCCACAACCGAGGCGGGGCACAGATGTGCTCCATGCGTTCTGCCAACATCCTGGCCGGCCTGGGTTGCAGGTGCCTGGAGGGGACCCAGGTGGGGCAGCTTAGGCGGGACTGGCTGTGTGCAGCTGAGATGGACAGGGACTGCTGGGGGTGGGCACAGCTCCCCAGGCAGCACTGGTCAAGAATGAGCTCATTCTGATGCACTCTGACCACCTCCTGCCGAGCATCCCCAGAAGCTGGCTCCTTGATCTTTGGAGCCTGTAAATGTGGAAAAGCTCTGACCCAGGCAAAGCGTGGCTGTCAGAATGGAGGTCTGGACCAAGCACAGAGGGGGCTCTCCTTGGAGCAGAGCGCTACGCCTCCTGGTGCAAACTCCCCCGAGCAGCTCCCTCGATGGGCCAGGGCCCAGCATGACCCCTGTGAGCGCTCACCGGCTGTCTTCTGTGCCAAGCTCTTCTCTCCTCAGCCGCGCCAGGACGGTGCCCCCCTCCAGCCTGAGAGACACAAGCAGTGGGTCTTCCAGGACAAGCTTCATCATCGTCTCATGCTGGTCAATTAACTCGGCGACTTCCTGCACGGGATGGGGAGGAATAAGCCTTTAACTCCCTCCTCCAAGGGGCAGGTCCTCCCAAGTGTGACAGTGGCAGGAATGTCCTGTTTCCATAAATCAAGCTGCAGGCCTGGCGGCATGACAGTGCCCACTCCTCAAGCTGATGGTCCGGACTGTCCCAGGGAGGGTGGGCCCCAGGATAAGATCCCTGGGAGGGAGAAGAAGGGGGCTCAAAGCTCAGCTGTAGGAGGTGAACCTGCCATTTAGACCAGGGACAGACATGCAGACCTCACTCACAGACTCTGGGCCCCTAGACCTGGCGGCTGGGCTGTCAAGAGCCCTGTGGCCAGTTCGCCTCTGTGTCTTGTTGGAATGGCTCGTTCCGAGCAGCGGTTGCCGCTCACACCTGTTGCATATCATCAAATGCTGTGGCACGGTTTTCCTTCTGGGTCGGGTGGGATGTTTTTGGTGACAAAGGGGAGGAAATGGCCTTTTCTGAATTAAGAGGGATCTACAAATGAAAAAGGATTTGAAGGTCTCTGCTACAGATGATAGTGAACCAAATATTTATTTTCAAGTTTGGCTAACCTTTATGCCCCCACCTACCTGTCACATGAAATGAACTTACCTGCAAGTCTGAGGACTCACCTGGGCTGTTCTTGGGGTTCTGTGGGTGTTCAGGGAGCAGAATGAATTCTGTAGGAAAATGATGGCTTCTTCACAGTTTGCAGCGAAGTGTTCCAGCCTCTGTTGTGAGTTGAGAGGGAGGAGATTATAAGAACACAGTCTGTTAAATGCTAAAGTAAGCAGCTGTGAGTTCCAGTTTCTGCATTTAGACCGATCTCGGGTTGGGAAGCTTCCATATGTGAAGATCCCTGAGATCTACAGACACTTCCGGGGCGGCAGTGCCCTTCCCACCCGGGCTCGGCATTCTCAGATGCACCACGGCGTGGTTGTGTAGACACGAAGACCTGAACGGCGACTGTAACAAGCATCAGATCAGGGACGGTGATGCCCTTTTCAAATTCTAGTAAAAACAACCACATAACAGAAAGTCCCCAGAGACTGTCGCATGTGCAGCAGCTGCAGGCTGAACCTACCTGACGGAAGCAGATCCAGTCACCATGGCTGTAGGGAAAGGAGCCGTCGAGGTCTGCGGTCAGCTGGCAGCTGTCAACAAATTTGTGCACGGCCTTCAGGGAGCTCACGACCTCACACTGCCAAGAAGAGGCACTCGTTGGTCATGGCTCCAGATGCATCTCTTGGGGGCAAACACTGTAAATGGCTCATTCCTGGGTTCAGAGGATGGAGAGGCTGGCTCAAGGAGTATCGCCCCTGCTTTGCTGGAAGCACTGATAATAGCACGGGTCTGGGTGCAGTAATGAAAGCGAGAAGACGGGAAAGAAGGGAGCTAAGACAAGTGAAGGAAAGGCCTCAGTGAAGAAAAACCAAAAAAAAAAAAAAAAAAAAGGGAGGAAGGAAAAGGGAAAGAATGAGTCAAGGCTCTTCTCCTTCTGGTGTGGCAGAGGTGGCCCTTCTCAGATAAAACCCACAAACTCTGGACAAAATATAAGGAGAGTTTCCTGAAAGCCCTGGCAGCCGAGCCAAGTCAGGCTCATTGTTGGGGCACCTGATGCATGCGGGGCCAGCAGGGGCGAGTTCCCACAGTGGCTCCGTCCTCAGGGCCGCTGCCCGCGTGTGGGAGTGGCTGAGCTCCAACAGAAAACAGGCATCCTTTTGACAGCAGGTGGCTTTGTAAAAAAAAGAAAAAGAAAAAGAAAGGGAAGGGGCTGGGCACGGTGGCTCATGCCTGTAATCCAAGCACTTTGGGAGGCCGAGGCAGGCGGATAATGAGGTCAGGAGATCGAGGATATCCTGGCCAACACGGTAAAACCCCGTCTCTACTAAAAATGCAAAAATTAGCTGGGCATGGTGGTGTGCACCTGTGGTCCCAGCTACTCAGGAGGCTGAGGCAGGAGAATTGCTTGAACCCAGGAGGTGGAGGTTGCTGTGGGCCGAGATCATGCCACTGCACTCCAGCCTGGCGACATAGAACGAGACTCTGTCTCAAAAAAAAAATAAAGGAAACGAGAGGGGCATCTGGCCGGTGTGGTGGCTGACACCTGTGATCCCAGCACTTTGGGAGGCCAAGGCAGGTGGATCACTTGAGCCCAAGAGTTCAAGACCAGCCTGTGCAATAGGACAAAACCCCCATCTGTACAAAACAAAATACAAAAATTAGTGGAGCGTGCTAGTGCATACCTGTAGATCCAGCTACTGAGGAGGCTGAGGTGGGAGGATCACCTAAGCCTGGGGAGGTCAAGGCTGCAAGCAGCCGTGATCACACCACTGCACTCCAGTCTCAGCAATACAGCTTGATCTTGTCTCAAAAAATAAAAACATAAATAAAATATAAAAACAATAAGAAAATGGGCATCTTTCTTGCCTGAAGAAAGAAGAAACAGAGGACGGGGTGGGGTGGCCACACCACTGGAAAGTGAAAGTGGATTCCCAGAAGGCGGCAGCTGTGGAAGAAGCCCCGCGGTATGTGTGTAAACTCTGCCCAGGTCTCTGGCTGACCCTGAACCGTGCATACATGGGGGAAGACTCAGAATTAAACTGAACCCACTGTGGGTGACACAGAGCTGCCGGTTGGAGTCTAACCACGTTACGTGCACACTAGAACAACACTGTGAGTCTATACCAGAATCCAGTCTCCCCAGCAGAATATTCACAATGTCCAGGATTATGTGACACATCATGAATCAGAAAATGGGACCTATTCTCCAGGGAAAGACAATCAGCAGAGGCCAACCCAGAGATGACCCAGATGTTGGAATTATTAGACAAGGACTTCAAAGCAGCCATTAAAACTGTGCTCAATGAGGTAAAGGAAAAATGCTTGCAATTTATGAAAGGAGAGGAAAACTCAGGAGAGATGTAGAAAATATATTTTAAAATCCATTGGAAATCTTATAGCTGAAAAATACAATATTTGAACTAAAACATTCACTGGGTAAATGTATTAGTCTGTTTTCACACTGCTGTAAAGATACTACCTGAGACTGGGTAATTTATAAAGGAAAGAGGTTTAATTGACTCACAGTTTTGCATGGCTGGGGAGGCCTTAGGAAACTTACAATCATGGCAGAAGGCAAAGGAGAAGCAAGACACATCTTACATGGTACAGGCAAGAGACAGAGTAAGGAAGGGCCACACTTTAAAACCATCAGCTCTCATGAGAACTCACTCACTATCAGAAGAACAGCATCTGCCCCCATGATCTAGTCACCTCCCACCAGGTCTCTCCCTCCACACGTGGGGATTAAAATTTGAGAGGAGATTTGTGTGGGGACACAGAGCCAAGCCACATTAGTGAGTTTAACAGCTGAAGAGATGACAGAGTAAGGAGCCAGTGACCCTAAGGACAGGATCAATGGGAACAACCTGATATGAAGACTAGAGAGGAAAAAAGTTAAAAAAGACAGATTCTTAGAGATCTGCGGGACAATACTGGTATACGCAATTGAAGTACTAGAAAGAGAGAGAGAATAAAGCAGGAAAAAAGTTTTTAAGAACTAGGCCAGGTACTGTGGCTCAGGCCTACAATCCCAGAGCTTTGGGAGGCCAAGGTGGGAGGACTGCCTAAGGCCGGGACTTCGATTCCAGCCTAGGCAACATAGCAAGAACCTGTCTCTTAAAAAAAAAAAAAAAGTAGCTTGGCATGGGGGTGCACACCTTCAGTCCCAGTTACTCAGGAGGCTGAGGTGGGAGAATCTCTTGAGCCCAGGAGTTTGAGATTACAGTAAGCTCTGATTGCACAACCACACTCCAACCTGGGTGACAGAGCTAGATGCTGTCTCAGGAAAGGAAAAAAAAAAAAAAAGACAGAAAGAATGGCTAAAAAGGTCCTAAAGGTGGTGATAGACATGAATTCACAAATTTAACGTTCAAGCCTAAACTGGATAATGAAGAAAACCAAGCCCGCTCGCATTGCGATTTGCTCAAAAGAAAGGAAGTACCTTGGAAACAGCCAAAGGAAAATTAACACACTTCATAGAGATGAACAATGATCTGAATTATGATGAACTTTTCTTCTAAAATTATGGAGGCCAGAAGGCAACAGAGCAGTATCTTTAAAGTGCTGAGGGGAAAAGGAGAACTCCTCTCAAACCAGAATTCTAGATGTAACAAAAATACCCTTTCAGAATGAGGCCAAATGAAGAAGATGTTTTCAGATAAAAGAGGAAGATACAAAGAAAGAGAAGGAAAGAAACCATATGAGGTGGAGAAGAAAGGTCACATTTTTAAGTTTTTCATGGCATACTCTGCAGGACTCCTGCAAGAACTTACGGGGTAGGAAGTAGGTTTCCAGGCTCCCACATGGATGCAATTAGAACTTATCTAAATTCCTTCATGTGTTTCATCTCATCTAGGTGCCTTAATGTTTAATTTTATCCATCACTCAGGATCCCACAGTCTAAACCATTACCTGAATTATTGCATCCTTGTCAGGCCTAAATGCAGATTCTTTATCTACCAACAGCAAGATACTATGAATTATAGGAGATGTGTTGTTCTGAAATAAATAAGAAATAAATATTACTGATTAGCTTTCTAATTTTTAACTTCATTAATAGAATTGCCCAATTTTGAGTGGTACTACTTCTGTCATAGTTTCCCAGAGTGCCTACAGTGCATAAAACATGGCTGACTTTGCCCTGAAATGTAAATTATTTGCCCTTATGAATTTTTAATGTAATCAGGTTTATCGAGGTATAATTTACATACAATAAAATTCACCCTTTTTAGTGAATAGTTCTATAAGTTTTGATGAAAGCATAGTCATGTAACCATCACCACCATCAAGACAAAGAACTGTTAAGCAACCCCAAAATTCTCTTGTGCCTCTTCGTAGCCAAGCCCTCTCCTATGCCCAGCCCCTGGCAACCACTGACCTGCTTTCGTCTCCACCGACTTGCCTTTTCTAGACATAAATAGACTCAGGCAGGAGTGGCCTCTCTCACTTAGCATTGTGCATTGGGAACTCATCCCTGTTGTGGAGATCAACGGTTTGTTCCTCTGTTTTGCTGAGCAGTATTCCACGGTATGCCTCACCACAATCTGTTCATCCATTCACCAGCTGAAGGATAACTGGGTTGTTTCCAGTTTTTGGCAATCATGGGTAAAGTCACTATAAATATTGTGTGAACACAAGTTTTCATTTCTCTTGGATAAATATCTAGGAGTGGGATTTCTGGCTCATGTGATAAGTAAGTATTTTCCAGAGTGGCTGTACCATTTTGCATTTCCATCAGCAATACCAAGCATTTGTTACTGTCAAGCTTTGTTACTGTTTTTGTGTGTTTCATTTTGGTTTTCAGTTGCATTTCCCCAGTGATTAATGACGTTAGGCATATTTTTATGTGCTTATTTGCCATCTGTGTATCATCTTCAGTGAAGAGTACTCAAATCCTTTCCCATATTTTATTGGGTTGTTTTCTTATTACTGAGTTTTGAGACCGTATATATTCTATATACAAGCCCTTTATCAGATGTGCATTTTCAATTGTTTCATTGTGGTGAAACACTATCATCATCATTTTTCAGTGTACTGTTCAGCAGTCTTAGGTACATTCATAACGTAGTGCAACCACCACCACCATTCGTCTCCATAACTCTTTTCATCTTGTAAGAGCAAAACCCTGCACCCGTAAAAGAAAAACTCTCCATTACCCCCTGCTCCTGGCACCAGGCAACCATAATTCAACTTTCTGTCTCTGGGATCTGGGCTACTCTGAGTACTCATAGAAGTGGAATGTTTGTCTTTTTGTGATTGGCTTATTTCACTCAGCATGTTCTCAAGATTCATACATGCTGTGGCATATGTCAGAATTTCCTTCCTTTTTAAGGCTGGATAATATTCCATCGTAAAGATAGGCCACATTTTGCTTATCCATTCATCTGTTGATGGGCACTAAGGTTGCTTCTGTGTTTTAGCTGTTATGGATAATGCTGCTATGAACACAGCTGTATAAATCTCTGAAACTCTGCTTTCAATTTCTTGGGTATATACCCAGACACAGTATTGTTGGATCATATGGTAATCCTATATTTACTTTTTTGAGGAACTGCCAAATTGTTTTCCACAATGAGTCACTATTTACTGTTCCCATCAACCGTGCACAAGGGTTCCAGTTTCTCCGTATCTTTGCCAACACTTGTTGTTTTTTTACAATAGCCACCCTAATGGATGGGGAAGTGGTATTTAATTGAGGTTTTGATTTGAATTTCTCTAATCATTAATGACATTGAACATCTTTTCATGTGCTCATTAGCCACATATATATCTTCTTTGGAGAAATGTCTATTCAAGTCTTTTGTTCATTTTTGAATTGGGCAGTTTGGTTTTTGTTGTTGTTGAATTTTAGGAGTTCTCTATATATTCTGGATATTAACCTCCTATCAGATACATAATTTGCCAAAATTTCCCCCCATTCTGTGGGCTGCCTTTTTACTCTGTTGATAGCGTCTTCTTATTTACTTTTTTTGAGACGGGGTCTCTCTCTGTCATCCATACTGGAGTGCAGTGGCATGACCATGGCTCACTGCAGCCTTGACCTCCTGGGCTCAAGCGATCCTCCCACCTCAGACCCTTAAGTAGCTAGGACTACAAACATGCACCACCATGCTCAGCTAATTTTTTTTTTTCATAGAGACAGAGTCTTACTATATTGCCCAGGCTGGTCCTGAACTCCTGGGCTCAAGCAATCCTCCTGCCTCAGCCTCCCAAAGTGCTGGGATTACAGGAATGAGCTACCACATCTGTCTGGTAGTCTTTTGATGCACATTTTTTAATTTTTGAAAAGTCTGATTTGTCCATTTTTTCTTTTGTTGCTGGTGCCTCTGATATTATATCTAATAAATCATTGCCAAATCCAATGTTAGAAAACTTTTGCCCTATGTTGTCTTCTAAACGTTTTATAGTTTTAGGTCTTACAATTAGGTTTTTGATCCATTTGAGTTAATTTTTTATATGGTGTTTAGGTAAGAATCTAAGTTCATTCTTTTGCATGTGAATATCTAGTTTTTTAAGCACCATTTGTTAAAAAAGACTGTCCTTTCTCCATTGAATGGTCTTGGTACCCTTTTCAAAAATCATTTATGTATATGATTGTTAGTTTCATGGCTTTCTACTCTATTCCATTGTTCTATACGTCTGTTTTAATGCCAGTGCCAAACTTTTTTGATTACTGTTGCTTTGTTAAGTTTTGAAATCAGGAACTGTGAGTCCTCCAGCTTTGTTTTTATTTTTTACAATTGTTTTGGCTATTTGGAGTCCTTTGAGATTCCCTATGAATTTCAGGATAGGTTTTCCTATTTCGGCAAGAAACAACAGCTTAATTTTGATAGGGATTGCACTGAATCTATACATCACTTTGTGTAGTATTGATATTTCAATACAATATTAAGTCTTCCAATCCTTGAACATGAGATATCTTTCTATTTATGTCTTCTTTAATTTCTTTCAGCTGTCTTGTAGTTTTCAGTGAAAAAGTCTTTCACTTCTTTGGTTAATTCCTAAGTACTTTATTCTTTTTGATGCTATTGTAAATGAACTGTTTTCTTAATTTCCTTTTCAGATTGCTCACTGTTAGCATAGAGAAGTGTGACTGATATTTGTGTGTTGACTTTGCATCCTGCTACTTTGCTGAATTAACTTATTTTTATTTATTTTTTTTTTTTTGTGGAACTGTTAGGGTTTTCTGCATATAAGATCACATCATCTGGGAATAGAGATAATTTTACTTCTTCCTTTCCAGTTTGGATGCCTCTTCTCCCCCACCCCCCACTTTTTCTTGTCCAATTGCTCTAGCTAGAACTTCCAGTAATATGTTGAATAGAAGTGGGCATTATTGCCTTGTTCCTGATTTTAGATGAGAAGATTTCAGTTTTTTTGCCATTGAGTATGATATTTGCTGTAGATTTTTCATATAACTTTTATTATGTTGAGGTAGTTTCCTTCTATTTCTAGTATATTGAGTGCTTTCATCATGAAAGATGTTGAATTTTGTCAAATGCTTTTTTTTTGGCATCAATTGAGATGATCATGTGTTTTTCCCCCTTCATTCTGTTTACACTGATCAGTTTTCATGTGTCGAACCATCCTTGCATTCCAGGAACAAACTGTACTTGGTCAGGGTGTATAATCCTTTCAGCCTGCTACTGAATTTGATTTGCTAGTATTTTGTTGATGATTTTGGCATCAACCTTCATAAGGGATATTGCTCTACAGTTTTCTTTACTTTTAGTGTCTTTGGCTGGCTTTAGTATCAGGGTAATGCTGGCATCATAGAATGAGTTAGGATGCATTTCCTACATGAATTTCTTTTGAAAAAGTCAATAAGGAACTTACATGCTTGTAAAAAGTTTTATGGAAACTGAGTTTTGGCACTTCACACTGTATCTACCTTGTGTTAGAGAAGCTAACTGAGCTTTAGAGCAACGCACTGTGAACCTTTTTTGGTGAACACTAACAATAAGCATATGTATTCTTTTTTCCACCCTGATGTCACTGCCTTAGGTTTGCTCAGCAGGTGTGCGCTCTTCCAGATTCCTCTTGTGCCCAGGTAACCTCTGGTCAGCTCTGTTTCCTCCCCTAGCATCTGTTCCTTGACTGTCATTTCTTTGTCTAGGTGAAGCACAGACCACTGCCCAGGTGCCCAACCAGGGACAGCTCATGCTCATGCTGTGGTGCAGGGCCTCATGTTCCTTTCTTGGAGGCCTTGAGAATCTCTCAGAACCTCTCTGATCAGTGCCTCCCCTGGCTCCAGGCCTCCCTGAGGCTTTCCTGACAGTGTCTGTGCACTGAGGACTCCTGTCTAGCCTAGCTGGTGCAACCCAACTCATGGCACTTCTTGTCTGGACCTCGGCCTGTGCTCTCTCCTCCCAGTGACTCCTTCCTGACCTCAGGGAGTCACCTCAGCCCCTTGTCCAGCCCAAGGTCCCTGTCACTTGCTCCCAGGCCAGCCAATTTCTGCTGGCCCAGCCACCCTGTCAGGGAGTTCTGGAGGATGCCACTGCAGGGCTCAATGTGAGTGGATCCCACTCTGTAAGGGGGGTCATGACTGAGCCTGTCTCCTCCAAGTCTCAGGTAGGACACTGACATTTTCTAAGAAGAGCCACGTACTGCGAAAGTAAGAAGAAACCACAGGCGGGACTGACAGTGAGGAGGGGGACAAGAGGCAGGTTCACTCTAAGGCAAGGGGAGGCAGGCTCGATGCAAGGGGGAAAGTGTGGGGGAGAGAAGTGGTGGCAGCAGGGTGGAGAGAGAGGAGGGAGGACTGTAGGGCCAGGGGAGAGGAAGGGAGGGCCGCAGGGTCAGGGGAGAGAAGGGAGGACTGTGGGGGAGGAGAGGAGGGGGGAGATGAGGGAGGACTCCAGAGTTAGGGAAGAGGAAGGAGAACTGCAGGGTTGGGGGAGAGGAGGGAGGACTCTGGGGGAGGAGAGGAGGGAGGACCTTAGGGGAAAGAGGAGGGAGGACTTTAGGTTGGGGAAGAGGAAGGAGGGCCACAGTGGGGACAGGAGGGAGGACTGTGTGGAGGGGAGGAGAGAGGATTGCAGGGGTGAAGAGGAGAGATGGCTGCAGGGTTAGGGAAGAGGAGGGAGGACCATAGTGGGGAGAGGATGGAGGGCTACAGCTTGTGAGAGAGGAGGAACCACTGTGGGGGTGGAGAGGAGGGAGGACCATGGAGGAGGAGAGGATGGAGGACTATGGTGGGGAGGAGGGAGGGTCACAGGGTGTGGGAAAGGAGGGAGGGGGGCAGGGTGGGAGAAGTGGAACGACTGTGGGGGTGGAAAGGAGGGAGGACAGTGGAGGGGGAGAAAAAGAAGTACCATGGAAAGGAAGAGGAGGGAGGGCTGCAGAATGGGGGAGAGGAGGGAGGACCACAGGTTGGGAGAGAGGAGGGAGGACTGCAAGTAGGGAGAGGAGGGAGGACTCCAAGTGGGGAGAGGAGTGAGGACCATGGAGGGGGAGAGGAGGGAGGACCATGGAAGGGGAGTGGAAGGAGGACTCCATGGTGTGGTGAGCTCTGCCAGTGCTGTCCCTGACTGATGTCTTTCCTGGCACAACCTGCCACCTGGTGTCCCTAAACTTGAGATTCCTCAGTGAGTATAGGAGCCTCTGCCTCCGTCTTCAGCAGGGACAGCAAGGGCGAAATGGGTTTAGCTTCGTGGAGTGCAGGTGGGGCATGGGAGAGGGCACCCTGGTTCTGTCCCCGTCCCCTCCCTGTCCCTGTCCCTGGACCCCCCTGTCCCTGGTCTCTCCCCATCTCTGAGCTTCCATCTGCCCCTGCTCAGGCAGCAGCATCTTCCCATCCCCGGTGCTTCCCATCTCTGGATGTTGCTTATGGTTCAGTGCAGGGCCCCTAGGCCACACACAGTGGCTCATGCCTGTGAGCCCAGCACTCTGGGAGGCTGAGGTGGGTGCGCTTGAGTCCAGGAGTTCAAGACCAGCCTAGGCAATGTGGCGAAACCCCATCTCTAGTAAACATACAAAAAATTAGCCGGGCATGGTGGCATGCGCCTGTAGTCCTAGCTACTCTGGAGGCTGAGGCAGTAGCATGGCTTGAGCCTGGGAATTCGAGGCTGCAGGGACCTGTGGCAATGGCATTGACCCTGTCTGGGGCTGCCAGGTTCGTCCCCACCCTGGTTCATCCTTGCAGTGAACTATGGCTGCCCCTTCCTGCCTCTGTCCTTTGTCTGAAGGGTGATGCTGTGCTCTCCATCCTGACAGAGGGGCATAGCGGGGGCAGCTGCACTGGGCAGGGATGGGGCTGCGCTGCCCTCCTGGGACAGGTGCCCACCACCCGGGCCTGGCTGGCTTTGCATTTTAGGTTTGCAGTTGCCCTGAGCATGAAGCTTCCCCAAGTCCCCAGCGGATGGGCCAAGCCCACCTTCCCCAGTGTCTGTGCCTGGCCCCAGAGAGCAAGAGCTGGACTCACTGGGAAGACCCCAAGAAGGAGGTGGCTCTGCACAGGGGCCCCCATCTCGAATCTTCACACTAAGCCTGTGGACTGGCTACTCCAGAACCACGATGTGGGCAGCCCCAGCAACACACGGCCCTACGATGCTCTGCACACCCAAGGGATATGACAACCTTGCCGTACCTGCAATCCTGAGAGGGCCTGGGAGACGGCAGGGGCAGCTGGACTCCTGCGTGCATCCACCAGGACAACCAGCCCCAGGTCCCGGACCTCTTTCCTGGGGAGGGAAAGACAGCCCATCTTAACCACTGAAGGTTAAATCTCTTACAAGAACGAGTTTCTCCACCTCTGAGGCTAGTTGTTACTGGTTTCCTTTCAGCTCTAGAAGTTAGGGGTTCTCTATACACATCAACCTTCCACTTCCCGAAGGTGCAGGCCCATCGGCTGGAGGCACTGACGTTGTTCCTCTCGTGGAACCTGCTACTGATGTCAGACAGTGTCTCTGGGCACATGGGGCTGGGGCTACTTTCCCCTAAACACCCACCAATGCTCCTGGATGGACGAAATGGGCCGTGCTCCATCAAGGGAGCAAGGACTTCAGGGCCTTCTTGCCCTCATTTATTTGGGCTTTAACGTAAGCACAGAAGGTGATTCTGATGGGATGTGGATGGCCTGTTCCCAAGATGGAAGCTTGAGATCAGTCAGGAGGGTCCTTACTTATCCAGAGCCAAGCTAAGACTGTTAGAACATCTTTTAAAACTAAAAATACCATCATGTGGTTTTGAAAACTCCAATTTAAAAGCTTTGTCTCTGTGATTGTGATTAGAAACTTCAGTTCAAAATTTAATAGGAGAGAATGGTAGGTGGGGTGAGTTGATATATTCATTTTACAAAATTTTAGTGTTCAGCTGGTCTGAAGGTAGTGAGTTATCTCATTTGATTGTTCACACACATTACAGATCAAACACCTTATTCTATTCTTTCCCCCTTCTCACTACTACACTTGACTAGTCTTAAAAAATATTTAGCCTGGCGAGGCTGAGGCGGGAGGAGGATCGCTTTAGCCCAGGAGATTGAGGCTACAGTGAGCTGTGATTGCACCACTGTGCTCTAGCCTGGGCGACAGAGCAAGACCCTGTCTCAAAAAAAAAAATTTGTGTGTGTGTTTGTTCTTTGAGAAACTTCTTTAGCTCTAACTCCAGGATTAACTGACATTCTAATTAAGTTGTGTGTCTGGACACTGATCTTACAGCACTCTTGTGAGCCAAGGACATAAGAGAACCCTGACTCAAAGCCGGCAGAAGCTGCACATCACACGGATGGCTGAATCCTGGTCCAAAGAGTGAGTGTGCCCTGTCTGCCCCGTAGCCAGGTGTGTTTAATTGTGGGTGTCACTGGGAAGGATGTGTAGAGAAGGCAAGAAATGGTGTGTAGAAATCAAGGCTGGAAGCACATGGGTGCTGACTGCTCTGAAAGATGAGGTTAGGAGAGGCAGAGTCTGGCCATGGAAGCTGGCACCTCCCCGTGCCCCCCACTTTGCCACACACATGCAGCTGGGGTCCCATGGGTCTGCAGGGTGCGGCCTTGCCCCCCGTCCCACCTGGGGATGCTATGGAAGTACAGCAGCAGGCGGGTCAGCTCAGCACAGGACGAGTGTTCCCTGGTCCAGAGCAGGCTCCTGGTGCGGACCTGCACCACTGCTCTGCCATGACGGTCTCGGGTCCCTGCGGAGACAGAGACAGGGCAGCTGCCAAGGGCTTCACTCCTACAAGGTGGTGAGCTGGGTCTGTGCTGTCGGCTTAGATGTCAGATCCGCCCTGACAGGAGAGCCTGGCATGTGCTCTCACCTGGGAGGGTGACGACCCCGGACTGCAGCAGCTCCTGACTGACGTCCAGCACCTGCTTGGGCACCTGGCTGGGGAAGTCTCCTGTGCCGGGTGGCCACCCTTCTTGCTCGGGGTGTGGCTGCCGGGCAGGCACATCGGAAGGCCCGCTGGGGTTGTGGCAATGGAGGCTGCCGCCGTCTGTGCTGACACAGGCTGAGGATGCAAGAACGTCTGGACAAAGGAAAGAGGCCGTGTCAAAGATGAAGGTTTTCCTGCGCGTTGAAAGCAGCTGCTATGCTCAGCTTGCTATGAACCATGGGACAAAAACACGCATGAAAGTAGGGGGTTCCGAGAAAACTTGTCCCAGTTCACACGGGAAGTGAAAGCATGTCCCACTGCACAGGGCATGCGGCGTCATCACGGACACGCGGCGTCATCACGGAGACGGAGTCTCCAGCTCACAGACATGCTCACTACCTGCAGACGCCTCAGGAGGAACAGGTCATCTCATCCCTACTCATCTGCTCAAAGTGCAGCATGCGTGACTGCATGTGGTGTGTGACTGCGCGTGCATGTGTGGTATGTGTAACTCTGGCACGTGTGATTGTGTGAGGCATGTGACTGGTGTGTTACTGTGTTTGTGTGATTGTGTGTGTGGTATGTGGAACTCTGGAGTGTGATTGTGTGAGGCATGTGACTGCGTGTGGTGTGTGACTGTGTGTGTGGTATTTGGAACTCTGGAGTGTGATCGTTGGAGGCATGTGTCTGCGTGTGGTGTGACTGCGTGTGTGATATGTGTAACTCTGGAGCATGTGATTGTGTGAAGCATGTGACTGGTGACTGTGCGCGCGTGTATCGTGTGAGGCATGTGACTGTGTGTGTTGTGTGATTCTGTGTGCGTGTCGTATGTGGAACTCGAGCATGTGATCATGTGAGGCATGTGACTGTGTGTGGTTGTTATGGCGTGTGTGTGACTGCGAGGGGTGCTGCAAGATTGTGTGTGTCTTTTCTGCCCAGTACAACAGGGAAGAAAATCAATACAAAGGAAAGGTGAGGGGCTGGAAACCACGGGGAGGGGTTAGGACTTCTTTTCACTTTAGCTGAATTGCAGTGAGGCGACAGAATACTCTCAGGTAGTGTTGCCCCCAAGTGAGTACTTCTGTTACAAAGCTCTTTCTGCGGTAGGTCCCGTGTGTGTGCGGCACTCTCCGGGACCTGTCAGAAGTTCCAGGCACAGCAGCCTAACTTTGAAGGCGAAAGGCTCTCGTGAGGTGGCTGGAATGGGCTGGGCCACACTTCTGTTTCCAAGGGCTGTGGTGCCATTGCCTCCGAGCCCCTGGTCAGGCCAGGCAGGTAGGAGGGGTTGGCAGGGCAGGCGTGGCTGTCTCCAGGCACCGCGGGGGGAGCCCACGGAAAGGAGGGCTCAGCCTGTCACTTTCCCGAGGTTGGGTGGCCCTACTTGCTGGAGCCTACATCAGTATGTTCACATTTTTTCCTTCTTTCCAAAATCACTGGTTGTGTTACTCACAGGATATTTCTTTACTCAAAAAAAAAAAAAAAAAAAAATGAAATATTTAAGAAATATGTTGTCATTATTTTCTTACTTTATGTCCTGCAAACTTAGTCTTTTAAATCATCACATTTTCTCTCCTAACCCTTGGAAACTGTGAATGTGGCCTCCAGTTGGAAACTGAGTCTACGGATCTGGATGTGAGGTCGTCCTGGGTTTAGAGGGGCCCCGAATCCAGCGATGGGTGCCCAAGAGCAAGGAGAGGGAGATTCGAGTCAGAGAAGCACTGGGGAGGAGGCCACGGAGGACGGTCAGAGGGCTGCAGCCACAGCCCGGGACACCTGGAGCCCCAGAAGCTGGAAGAGGCGGGATGGGTGCCCCCGGTCCTCGGAGGGGAACACACTCTGCCCACAGCTTGATGTTGGACTTGTGGTCTCCAGAACGTGAGCGCCAATATGAACATGGAGACAGGCTTCTTGTGGATCAAGTGACCAAACAAAACTGTGACAGGGTGGGAGGGGGACAGTGCAGGGGGAGGTTGTGGGGTGTGCAGGGGAGGGGGTGGGGGTGTGCGGGGAGGGGGTGGGGGTGTGCAGGGGAGGTTGTGGGGTGTGCAGGGGAGGGGGTGGGGGTGTGCGGGGAGGGGGTGGGGGTGTGCAGGGGGAGGTTGTGGGGTGTGCAGGGGGAGGTTGTGGGGTGTGCAGGGGGAGGTTGTGGGGTGTGCAGGGGAGGGGGTGGGGTGTGCAGGGTAGAGGGTGGGGGTGTGCAGGGGAGAGGGCGGGGGTGTGCAGCGGAAGGGGTGGGGTGTGCAGGGGAGGTTGTGGGGTGTGCAGGGGAGGGGGTGGGGTGTGCAGGGGAGTGGGTTGGTGTGCAGCGGAAGGGGTGGGGGTGTGCAGGGGAGAGGGTGGGGGTGTGCAGGGGAGGTTGTGGTGGTGTGCAGGGGGAGGTTGTGGGGGTTTGTAGGGAAGGGGGTGGGGTGTGCAGGGGGAGATTGTGGGATGTGTAGGGGAGGTTGTGGGGGTGCGCAGGGGAGGGCGTGGGGAGCATTTACCTTCCTCTTTGGTGCAGCCGGGACCCTCTACTGGGACACAGTTTGGGGTCCCCACAGCTTGTCCTCCTAGGTGGCCCCCAGGCCTGGAGCCTGCTGAGTGGTGGGAGGTGTGGCAGGCTGCAGCCTGGGCCCCTCTGGAGCTTCTGGGTGCCCTTTCCCAGGACCGAGATCTCCTGGGAAGAGTCCGCCCTGCAGCTCCTGGACCTGTCCGGCTGGGTGTGTGCCTCTCCTTCTCTAGACTTGGGGTCTGTTGGGGGTCTCCCCGGGGGCCAGAGGTTTCCTCCTGGGTCCCACTGGCTACTGCCCCAGTCCCCAGGTCCCTGCTGGCTCCAGTCAGGGAGCTGCAGGCCAGGTCCCCGAGGGCCTCCTCAGAGCTGCCCAGGGGCATGGGGTTCCGCAAGGCTTCCATGTACGACTCCCTGAACCAGCGTCTAGGCTGCACACAAGTGGGGTCCCCCGGCGGCCGCCTCCTGCTGCTCGGGATGCCCAGGTCTGTGTGGAAGGTGAGGGCCTTGGGTCTGTCCTCCTGGTCCATGGGGTCCGGCCTCTCCCCCGACCCCCCACAGTTCTCAGGGGGCATCCGTGGGCCCTGCTCTGAGGGGCTGACCTTTTCGAAGTCCCTGTCTGAGCTTCCAGACAGGGTCCTGGGGCTTCCCAGCTCGGCTCTTTCTGGATAAGGAAGGTGCCTGAGCTGGTCGCTGCCCGTATGCCCTCGGCGGCAGGGTGAGGTCAGGGTGTCGGGGCAAGAGGCGCTTCCCTGGAAATGGGGGCCTGCTGTGGCTTGGGTGGGGACTGGGGCCTCTGAGGGGCTGCTGGGCAGCCGCTCAGGACCTGTGCAGCTGGAGTAGCTCTGCAGGATGGCTCCAGGGCTGGGGACAAAGACAGGGTCAGTGACGTCGCTCCACGGGGCTCGGTGGACGGCCAAGCCTGAGGTCAGCAAGCAGGTTTGCAGGGGGACATGGCGCCGCTCCCGGTTCACCCACTCCAGGAACGCCCCCGTGAAGACACAGCCATACATGGCCTCAGGGACGGTGACTTCCTCTGTGCCTCTTCCCAGCCGGGACAGGCATTTCAAGACCAGTCTAGCTGACTGCTTCCCCGCCGACGTGACCTGCAGGTAGAAGTCCCCGGGCTGGAGCCTGACTCCGTGCAGGGACGCCAGCTGCACCACCACCTTCTCATGGGCGCACAGCGGCCAGCCTGGGTGCAGGAAGACCAGACCCCTGTACCTGGCCTGAGACAAGAGAGGAGGGAGGTTAGTGGTGGGCACGGCCATGTCCTGAGCCCTTCCATGCCCTGGGTCTCCACCCCTCAGGGGAAGGTCAGTGACTGAGCTCCCACAAGGAAGGGGTCTCACGGGGGCTGGGGTGTCCTGTTCCTTGGAACATAAAGCAGGTCATTAGGACTAGAAAACACGGGCTGCTCTTTGGTTCAGGGGTCAGTTAAAAAAGCAATTGTATAGCTCTTCCTGGAGGCTGGGGGTAGGTGGGCAGGACAGGGGAGAGGAGGCCACTCGAGGGCCACAGCCACAGCCCACCAGGCGCTCCGAAGGATGAGTTGTCCCTCAGAGTGGTCCCAGCCTGGGCAAGGGGCCGGGCGTCCACACTTGCCCCTGCCAGCCCTGGTCAGGGCCACCCTATGGGGGGCTCCCTCCTCTGCACTCCCGGTGCTCCCTGTGGCTCCCGGCTGCTGCAGGCGCTACCTCGGCCTCCTTAGCGAGGGGTGCGGGTGCCAGGATGCTGGTGAATTTCACTTCAGTATTTTCTCTGTTCCCTTTAAATAGCTGAGATCCCACTCCATTTACAATTGTGTACTTTAACTATTTTCACCCAATGTGATTTCATTAGCATTTCCTGTGCTATTAGAAACTGCACACAGATCACTTAACTGTTGAGTGTTTATTTTCCCCAAATGTTGCTCTGACAAACTAAAATACAGTAAACATCTTGGGGCCTAGAGCCCCGCCTGGGTTTCAGTTGCTTCTGCAGAATCTTACACCAAGTTCAAGTTCAACCCACCCACCAATCATGTTTTGCACTGGTAACAAACATGCCTTAGGTGTTGGTGCCTTTTCTCAAGCACGAGGCCCATTCTCAGCTCAGCTTTACTATGCTGGCCTCAGGGACTCAGATGGAAGTCACAACCCCAGCTTTCCAGAATGGCAATAAAAATGCGCTAAAAACTTAAAAGGGCATTTGCCACTGAAAGAGACACACATGCAGATGGGGAAAGGTTATTCTCAAAAGCCTTTTTCTAATCATTTTCATCTTACTGGGCTTCAACTCTCGGAATGTAAAATCGAGTATGAGCATCCCTAGGTGGCTGAGGGAAGTGAAAACAAGTTCCTCAACTTTTACCAGAATTTAAGCTCAAACTTCACGCAAGGGGAGAATATACTGAACAGGAGGCATAAAACGGAACTATCATTGATATGGCAAATTTGACTTAAAGAATGTAAAGTTACACCCTCATTTCAGAAAATAACCTGAACAGATGAAAGTAATGTAATGCAGAAAACTAGAAAATATTCATCTATTTCAGAGGGAAGCAATTAGCTGCCGGTGGGGGGCGGGTCCCAGGGTCTTCTGTGGGCCACTGGCAAATCCAAGTGGTCATTTAATCGTCTGACGTCAGGGTGGGCCCTGGAGCTGCTCCACTCCAGACCCACAGTCCATACAGACATTGGCCCACCCAGTTTTCAGAAACGTCTGCGCGTGTTCCTCACACCGGTGAGCAAGCCGTTCAAGAAGCGGCTCCTTGACACCCTCCCCAGACGCTGCGAGGCGGCCTGAGGAGCTGTGTCCTGGGCTGGATGCCTGGTGGGGCCACCTCCATCCCCTCCACAGGTTTCACCCCAGAAGAGACAGGTACCTGCCGGTCCATAAGGGCCTCCCCGAGCCTGGCCCCCAGAGTCCGTCCCCGATCCTATTGCCCAGCACAGCCATATTGGTGCCCAGGGCATGTTCCTGTGAAGTGGTGATTTGACGTAAAATGCACAAGTGACTGTTGAAAAAATCGTTGTGACTTGTCCTTGTAATCGCACCACTAGACTTTTTCCAGAAAACAGAAATGGGAGGGTGTTGGAGCCTTTCATGCCTTTTGCCCTCCCACAGGGGTCTACAGGTCTCTACATATCAAATATTTGATGAGACAAAACCTATTTCCAAACCCTATTTCCAATATGCATAGGGTTTCTTCACTGTAGAAGGGAACTGGTCCGGGTTAAGGCAGTGGCACAGCCCAGAGCAGGAGGGAAGTCAGAGACTGTGGGGAGGAGGGTGTGTGTGTGTGTAAACAGATATAATGTGAAGTTCACCAGCATAACTATGTTTACGGGGTACAGTTCAGTGGCATTAAGTACATTCACACGGTTATGTAACCATCACCACCATCTCCAGAACTTTCCATCTTCCCAAACTGAAACGGTGAACCCATTAAACACCAGCTCACCATTCCCCTGCCCCTGAGCCCCTGGCACCCACCATTCCACTTCCTGTCTTGACGAGTTTGACTACTTCATACAAGTGGAATCATCCAACATTTGTCCTTCCAGTACTGGCTCCTATCCATTGGCACAGTATCCTCAAGGTCTATCCATGCCACATGTGGCACGTGTTGGAACTGCACTCCTTCTGAGGGTTGCATAATCTTCCATTGCGTGTACATACTATATTTTGCTATCCATTCATCCATCCACAGGGTTGCATAATATTCCATTATGTGTATAGACTACATTTTGTTCATCCATCCATGAACACTGGGGTTGTTTCCACCTTTTGTCTGCTGTGAATAATGCTGCTATCAACACGGGTATACAAATATCTATTTAAATCCCTGATTTCAATTCTTTTGGGTAGGTGCCCAGAAGTGGAACTGCTGGATCATAGGGTGATTCTGTGTTCACTCTTTTGAAGAACTGTTTCCACAGCAGCTGCACCATTTTACGTCATCACCAACCACGCACGAGGACCCCAATTTCTCCACATCGTTCCAAGCACTTGTTTCCCAGTGGTGTTTTTCCTTTAATAGTGTTTTCCTATTAATGGTGTTTTCCTTTAATGGTGTTTTTCCTTTAAAAGCTATCACAATGGGTGGGAGGTGGTATCTAATTGAGGTTTTGATTTGTGTTTCCCTCCTGATTAATGATGTTGAGCATCTCTTCATGTGCTTATTGGACACTTGTATGTTTTCTTTGGAGAAATACCTGTTCAGTCTTCTATCCATTTTTGATTTGCGTTATTTTTGTTGTTGAGCTTTTGGAGTTTTTCATTCATTCTGGATATTAATCCCTTATGAGATACACAATGTGCAAATATTTCCCTCATTTTGAAGGCTGCTTTTATACTGTATCAATAAGGCCCTTTTTATGCAATAGTACCCTTTTAAAACATTGGATGAAGCCTATTTTTCACTTTTGATGGTTGTGCTTTTGGTGTCATATCTAAAAAATCTTTGCCAAATTGGATGTCATGAAGCTTTTCGTCTATGTTTTATTCTAAGAGTTTTATAATTTTAGTTTTGACATTTAGGTCTTTGATCCATTTTGAGTGAGTTTTTGTAAATGGGGTTTAGGTAAGGGTCCTACTTCATTCTTTTGCATGTGGATATCCAGTTTTCTAAGCACCATTGATTGAAAAGACTGTCTTTTCCCCAGTGAATAGTCTTGGCACCCCTGTAGAACATCACTTAGCCATATACGTGAGGGTTCATTACTGGGCTCTCTATTCCACTCCACTGGTCTGTGTGTCTGTTTTTATGCCAGTGTCACACTGCTTTGATTACTGTAGTTTTGTACTAAGTTTTAAAATCAGGAAGTGTGAGTCCTCCAACTTTTTAGCTCTTCTTCAAGATTGTTTTGGCTATTTGGGGGTCTCCTGAGATTCCACTTGAGTTTTAAGATGGGCTTTTCTATTTCTGCAAAAAACACCATTGAGACTTTAATAGGATTGCACTGAATCTGTAGATCACTTTGGGTAGTACTGACATACATATATATATATATATATATATATATATATATATATATATATATATTTTTTTTTTTTTTTTTTGAGATGGAGTCTTGCTTTGTCGCCCAGGCTGGAGTGCAGTGACATAATCTCGGCTCACTGCAAGCTCTGCCTCCAGGGTTCATGCCATTCTCCTGCCTCAGCCTCCCCAGTAGCTGGGCCTACAGGTACCTGCCACCATGCCAGGCTAATTTTTTTGGATTTTCAGTAGAGACAGGGTTTCACTGTGTTAGCCAGGATGGTCTCGATCTGCTGACCTCATGATCCGCCACCTCGGCCTCCCAAAGTACTGGCATTGCAAGCGTGAGCCACCACACCCGGCCCATTTTACAATATTAAGTCTTCCAATCCATGAACATGAGATGTGTTTACAATTATTTACATCTTCTTTAATTTCTTTCAGCAATGCTTTGTATTTTCAGTGAACAAGTCTTTTACCTTTTTAGTTAAATTTATTCCTAGGTATTGCATTCTTTTTAATACTATTATAAATCAAACTTTTTTTTTTTTTTTTTTTTTTGAGCTGGAGTCTCGTTCTGTCACCCAGGCTGGAGTGCAGTGGTGTGATCTCGGCTCACTGCAAGCTCCACCTCCTGGGTTCACGCCATTCTCCTGCCTCAGCCTCCCAGTAGCTGGGACTACAGGCGCCCGCCACCATGCCCAGCTAAGTTTTTGTATTTTTAGTAGAGATAGGGTTTCACCAAGTTAGCCAGGATGGTCTCGATCTCCTGACCTGGTGATCCGCCTGCCTTGGCCTCCCAAAGTGCTGGGATTATAGGCATGAGCCACCGTGCCCGGCCACAAATTGTTATCTTAATCTTTGGGTTGCTCATTGTTAGTGTATAGAAACACAACTGATTTGTGTTGATTTTGTATCCTCCAACTTTGATGAATTATTATTTCTAACAGGTTTTACTTTTCTTTTCTTTTTTTTTTTTTTTTGAGACAGAGTCTCACTCTGTTGCCCAGGCTGGAGTGCAGTGGCACGATCTCAGCTGACTGCAACCTCCACCTCCCAGGTTCGAGTGATTCTCGTGTCTCAGCCATCCGAGTAGCTCGGATTACAGGCACACGCCACCATACCTGGCTAATTTTTGTATTTTTAGTAGAGAGAAGGTTTCACTACATCGGCTAGGCTGGTCTTGAACTCCTGACCTCAAGTGATCCACCTGCCTCAGCCTCCCAAAATGCTGGGATCACAGGCATGACCCACCATGCCTGGACTTCATTTTTTTTAATTTCAATAGGTGTTTCGGAGAACAGGTGGTGTTTAGTTACATGAATAATTTCTTTAGTGGTGATTTCTGAGATTTTGGCGCACCCATCACAGTGGAGGGTGCACCCAATGTGTAGTCTTTTATCGCTCACCTGCCTCCCACCCTTTCCCATGAATCCCCAAAGTCTATTGTATTATTCTTATGCCTTTGCATTCTCATAGCTTAGCTGCCACTTATGAATGAGAACATACAATGTCTGATTTTCCATTCTTGGTTATTTCACTTAAAATAATGGTCTCTACTTCCATCCAGGTTGCTGCAAATGCCATTATTTTGTTCTTTTTTATGGCTGAGTAGTATTCCATCACATATATATATATATATATATATATATATATATATATATATATATATTCTATCATATATATATATTCTATCATATATATATTCTATCTATATATATTCCATCATATATGTAGTCCATCTCATATATATATATTCCATCATATATAGTCCATCTCATATATATATATTCCACCATATATATATGTGTGTGTGTGTGTGTGTGCGTGTGTGTCACATTTTCTTTATCCACTCGATTGGTGGGCATTTGAGCTGGGTTCATATTTTTGCAGTTGCAAATTGTACTGCTATAAACGTGTGTGCAAGTGTCTTTTTTGTATAATGACTTCTTTTACTCTGGGTAGATACCCAAGAGTGGGATTTGCTGGATTAAGTGGTAGATCTACTTTTAGTTCTTTAAGGAATCTCCACGCTGTTTTCCATGGTGGTTGTATTAGTTTACATTCCCACCAACTGTAAAAGTGTTCCCTCTTTACCACATCCATGCCAACATCTATTATTTTTTTATTTTTTCATTATGGCCATTCCTGCATGATAAGGTGGTATCACATTGTGGTTCTGATGTGCATTTCCCTGATAATTAGTGATGTTGAACATTTTTCATATATTTGTTGGTCATCTGTATATCTTCTTTTGAGAATTGTCTATTCATGTCCTTAGCCCACTTTTTGATGGGACTGTTTTTTTTTCTTGCTGATTTGTTTGAGTTTCTTGTAGATTCTGGATATTAGTCAGATGAGAAAAAAATAAAGGGCATCCAAATCAGTACAGAGGAAGTCGAACTGTCGTTTTTGGTTGATGATATGGTCATATACCTAGAAAACTCTGAAGATTCCTCCAAAAAGCTCCATGAACTGGCAAATGAATTCAGCAAAGTTTCAGGACACAAAATTAATGTACACAAATCAGTAGCTCTACTACACACTAACAATGACAAAGCTGAGAATTGAATTAAGAACTCAACCCCTTTTATAATAGCTGCAAAAAATTAAAATAATTAGGAATATACCTAACCAAGGAGGTGAAAGACCTCTACAAGGAAAACTAGAAAACACCGCTGAAAGAAATCATAGATGACACAAACAAATGGAAACACATCCCATGTTCACGAATGGGTAGAATCAATACTGTGAAATGACCAAACTGCCAAAAGCAATTTACAAATTCAATGCAATTCCCATCAAAATACCACCATCATTACTGACAGAAGTAGAAAAAACAATCCTACATTCATATGGAACCAAAAAAGACCCCACACAGCCAAAGCAAGACTAAGCAAAAAGAACAAATCTGGAGGCATCACATCACCCGACTTCAAACTATACTATAAGGCCAGAGTCACTAAAACAGCATGGTGCTGGTATAAAAATAGGTGTATAAACCAATGGAACAGAATAGAGAACCCGGAAATACACCCAAATATTTACAGCCAACTGATCTTCCTCAAAGCAAACAAAAACATAAAGTGGGGAAAGGACACCCTATTCAACAGATAGTGCTGGGATAATCGGCTAGCCACATGTAGAAGAACAAAACCGGATCCTCATCTCTCACCTTATACAAAAATCAACTCAAGATGGATTACAGACTTAAATCTAAGACCAGAAACCATAAACATTCTAAAAGATAATATCAGAAAAAACCCTTTTAGACATTGGCTTAGGCAAAAACTTCATGACCAAGAACCCAAAAGCAAATGCAACAAAAACAAAGATAAATAGATGGGACTTTATTAAAGTAAAAAGCTTCTGCACAACAAAAGAAATAATCAGCAAACGGATGACCCACAGAGTGGGAGAAAATCTTTGCAATCTATACATCCAACAAAGGACTAACAGCTAAAGTTTTTATAAAATCTTTAGGGTTTTCCAAATACAAGATCATGTCATCTACAAACGGATAATTTTGCTTCTTAATTTCCAGTTTGGATGCCTTTCACTTTTTTTTTTCCTTGCGTAACTCCTCTAGGAAGAACTTCAAATACCATGTTGAATAGAAGTGGTGAAAGTGCGCATCCTTGTCTTGTTCCTGGTATCAGAGGAAAAGCTTTCAGTCTCCCACCGAGGACAATACTGTTTGTGGGTTTTACATATATGGCTTTTATTATGTTGAGATAGTTTCCTTTTATTCCTAGGGTATTTTGTTTTTATCATGAAAGAGTGTTAATTTTGTCAAATGCTTTTTTCTGCATCAATTGAGATGATCAGAAGAAGCTTCTTCCATTTATGCAGCCAACAGACACATGAAACTATGCTCATCATCACTGGTCATCAGAGAAATGCTAATCAAAACCACAATGAGATACCATCTCACACCAGTTAGAATGGCAATCATTAAAAAGTCAGGAAACAACAGGTGCTGGAGAAGATGTGGAGAAATAGGAACACTTTTACACTGTTGGTGGGAGTGTAAATTAGTTCAACCATTGTGGAAGACAGTGTGGCAATTCCTCAAGGATCTAGAACTACAAATACCATTTGACCCAGTGATCCCATTACTGGGTATATACCCAAAGGATTATAAATCATGCTACTATAAAGACACATGCACACGTATGTTTACTGCGGCACTATTCACAACAGCAAATACTTGGAACCAACCCAAATGTCTGTCAATGACAGACTTGATTAAGAAAATGTGGCACATATACACCATGGAATACTATGTAGCCATAAAAAAAAAGCATGAGTTCATGTCCTTTGCAGGGATATGGATGAAGCTGGAAACCATCATTTTCAGCAAACTATCACAAAGACAGAAAACCAAACACTGCATGTTCCCTGTCATAGGTGGGAATTGAACAATGAGAACACTTGGACACAGGGCGGAGAATATCACACACCAGGGCCTGTTGGGGGCTGGGGTTCTAGGGGAGGGATAGCATTAGGAGAAATACTTAATGTAAATGACGAGTTGATGGGTGCAGCAAACTAACATGGCACATGTATACCTATGCAACAAACCTGCACGTTGTGCACATGTACCCTAGAATTTAAAGTAAAAAAAAAAGGAAGCAGCTTCTTCAAGGGGAACTTGCAGAGGCGTGGGGCATCAGCTGTGATTTCATAATAATGTACATGACATGAATAGCTGAACTATGACAAGACTATTCCAAGTGGAATGTACATCAAGGCTTTGAAAAAGAAACAAATAGAGAAAGAACACCATTCTTCTTTGCCTCAATACAATTCACAATTCTGTGATTCTCCTTGGCCAAACTAGCCATGGTTTAGATTGTAAATCTTTTGGCTACCCTGGGATTGCTACCAAATTAGACCAGATGCTATAAATCTTGTAGTCATGTTCTGAATAGTTCCAGTCCTGAGAAAGCTGCAGATCACACAGGGTAAATCTTTCTCTCATTTTGATGTCTTCTCTAAGCGGTGCACTCAAGTTGTTTCAACACAGTGTCAAGGAGAGTGTCAGAACCAGAGTTTTCTTATTTAAAATGAGGGCACTCGACTTCACTGTTTAAGTGCTGCAGCTCAGCTGCTAAAAATAAGCAGAGTCCCGCTTTATAATGAGCTTTCACAAAGCTGTCCAGGAGCCTGAAATTCCTGAGACAATTAACAGGTTTTGATCATAACAAAGGCATATCACGCCATGAATGTCAATATTCCTAAAAGTTCAGCTTCATTCTGGGCAATGGGACAGGTAACCTCCCAGGGCATGGGGGGGCGTTAAGGGATGAGCTTCCCTCTACTGTGGTATGAAACCAATTTACACTCCTTTTTTGGTTTAATATTAGTTATTAACATTTCCTTATGTATTTTTTAAATGCTAAATTGTAACATCTCTTCTGTAAATTATCTCTTCAAGTCTGCCAATTTTTCTATTGGCTCTTAGTGTTTCACTTATTTTTATAAGCCCTCAGCAAAGACAATGTAAAGAATAGCTTTTGTTTTGTGTGTTTTTTCTGCTGATGTTTTTGAATTGTAAATTTTCTAGATGTTTCTGCCATCAATTTCCTTCTCTTTGTGGTGTCACTCTTTGCTTCAGCCAAGTAAGTCTGTCTTTTTCTGATGAGAAAGCATGTTCCTTTCTCTCTCTCTCTCTCACTCTCTCTTCATATTCACTCTGACTCATCTGGATTTAATGTGGTCTTGGGTGGGAAAACCTATACAGACATTTTCCTGAGTGACCTATGAGCATGTGTGACTCTTAAGCACATTCTGGGTGAAGCCTGTCCTCTTGCCCACTGATTTTACTGCCTACTTTGCAACATTCTAAGTTGTACATTCCTTTGATGCCTCCAGCTGTGAGTGGTCAGGACTGGCAATTAGTTTGCTAAGGCAGGCAATGACAAAAAAAAAAGGTCATACATACCCTAAATATTTTATTTTAGCTTTAAATACATTAATGCACATTCACCCACCACTATCTTGATGGGGGCTAGGGAAGGCTTATTTCCTCTTTGGGAGCTCTCCCTCAGTCCTAGGGAATACTTCGTAGCTCTCATTGACCCTTGTTGATGAAGAAAGCCAAGCTCTATGAAATATTTAAAGAGGCTTACTCTGAGCAAAATGTAAGTGACCATCACCTGGGGTACACCCTCAAGAGATCCTGAGAATGTGTGCCTGAGTTGGTCTAGTTACAGTTTGGTTTTATACATTTTAGGGAGACTGAAGTTACAGGCAAAGACATACATCAATACATGTAAGGTATATACTGGATTCGCCCAGAAAGGCAGGACATCTCAAGTTTGGAGGGCAGGGGTGATGGACTCAGAATTTTTCTGATTGGCAGTTGGTTGGAAGAGGTAAGCTCTGCCTAAAGAACTGACGTCAGCAGAAAGAAACACTCCAGTTAAGATAAAGGGGGATAAAGCCAAGGTTCTTGTTCTGTAGATGAAGCTTCTAAGTAGCAGGCTTCAGTGAGAATGATGGCAAATGTCTCCTTTTGTACCTTAAAAGGTGTCAGACTCTTGGTTAAACCCCTCTCCTGGGTCAGGAGAAGACCTAGAAAGGGAAGGAGATTCTCTACAGAATGCAAATGTCCTCCACAAGAGACAATTTTGCAAGGCTGCTTCAGAATATGGCAAAGAAATCTATTTTGGAGTCAAATAATTTCATTTCCTCAGGGCCTGTTGTCATGTGACGCCACAGGTTCAGATTTGGTATCTTATTGCTACGGAATCTGTTTCGTCAGTCTTTTGGTCTCTATTTTAATACTAATGCTGGTCAGTTGTGCCTAAACTCCAAAGGCCTGTCCGACCCCTCCCTGTCACGGCCTGAACTCGTTCTTCCAGTTTCTTTGGGATCTCCTTGGCCAAGGGAGAGGGGGTCTGTTCAGTTGGTGGGGGACTTAGAATTTCATTTCTGGTTTACACCCTTTATGGTTATCCCAGTTGTGAGGAGGATTCTGGGAAGATGGTGGAGTAGGAGGCACCAGCAGTCTGTCTCCCCATCTGGACAACACCTGCACTGGCAGAATCTGTCTGCCATAACTATTTTGGAACTCTGGAGTCTACCAAAAGCATGAAGGGCAAATTGTGGTTGATTGTGGTCAATTTCAGCTCTTGGCCCCACTGGCAGCCCCACCTCCAGCCCCGCAGGCAGCTGTGCCTGTGTTCCTGGAGCGGCTTGCAAGAGCCAAAGTGGCCAAAAAACCCCAAGAAACAAAAAAGAAAACCCCTGTCATCCAAATACAGTGGATCAGTGCTGAGGACTAAGCTCTGATTTTTTTAATCTTGCCTAAATGCCTATCTGAGGGGTCTGGGGAGTTCATGCCCTACAAACCATAAATTCTCATCATGTGGTTTTTATTTAGCCATACAGATTGTGACTTTCCAATCTGACTCTGGCATAACATCATGTGACAAAGAAGAAAGTTAAAATATTTTACTGCAAAATACGTTTCTTTGCCATATTTTGAAATGGCCCTGCAAAGCTGTCCTTGGTGGGGGAAAATTTGTATCTGTAAAGACTCTCTATTAACATAGCTAGATCTTTTTCTTCCGGGCCCTCCCAGTCCTGAAGAGATTAACTAAAATCTAGTACCTTTTAAAGGTCTGAATAGGACACATTTGTCATCTATTGTCCCTAAGGGCAGCCACCATAAGATTCAAAAGAAACTTTGTCTCCACAATCTTTTATCTTTACCTGAACACTCCCTTTCTATTGACCCCAGGTCTTTAGAAGAACTCAACCAATTGTCAGCCAGAAAATGTTTAAATTCACCAAATCCCCTAGTTGTCCTGCCTTTCTGGACCAAACCAATGTATTTCTTAAATTTATTTGATTGATGTCTCAATATCCCTAAAATGTATAAAACCAAGCTGTACCCTGACCACCTCAGGCACATGTTCTCAGGACCTCCTGAGGGCTGTATCAGGGGCCATAGTCACTCATGTTTGGCTCAGAATAAATCCCTTCAAACATTTTACAGAGTTTGACTCTTTTCATTAACAGTGCTCTAATCACTGTGGCTGGTGACCACAGAGGTGCAGACAAAGAGGTGCAAGTTCAATATTGTTGCACCTTTCTCACTGTTCGGCCGCCACCTACCACTGCCACTGAAGTGACTTCCAGGGGATTTAAAGAGGTGATGCCCTTTTGCCACCCCTTTCATTTTTTTGTCTTTTCCCCTTTTGTGAGCCAGACATTAAACACTAGGACATTTTAAAAAAATGTATACAAGGAAAATTAGAAAATGACCATGTATGCTCAAAGAAAGGACCAGGCTCAGAAGGAACTGAAATGACCTTACGGTTACACCTCAGGCTGGGCCTTGGCACAGAGGCAGCCTATAATAATAATAATAATAATAATAATAATAATAATAATAAAAACCAACAATAAGCAGAAACAATGATATAGGAGTTAAGAAGAAATTAGGCAGATAGTGAGGGAAAGAAAGTCTGTAGTAACGTTTCCTTTTAATGAAAATCAGCCCCCAAATCATTTTCTTTTCTAACAAAGAGCAGCCTTTAAAATCGAGCTGCAGACATAGACAAGCAAGCTGGAAGCTCATACAGGTGAATGCTGGCAGTTGCGCCAATAAGAAAAGGCTACCTGGGACTAGGCATGTTCAAAATGGCAGCTCCGTCTTCCCTTCTTTTGCCAGCCACATGTATAGTAAGGAGCAGGCAAGATGGCGCTGGCCAAGTGGAAAGAACATTTGCATAAGATTAGGGTGGGGTGGCCAGCTTCCCCGACCCGCACACTATGTAAATGTCACACCTGGTCCAACCAATCTGTGGGCCCCATGTAAATGGAATACCACCTCCTCAAGCCTGCCTATAAAATCTGGTGCTCTCTGCCGCAGGCCAGATTTCCCTTTTGGGCACCCCTCTCTGTCTTGAGAGTAAGAGTTCTTCTCCTTTCTCTTTCTTTTGCCTATTAAACCTCCACTCCTAAACTCACTCCTCATGTGCGTCCATGTCCTTAATCTTCTTGGTGTGAGATGATGAACCCCGGGTATTTACCCCAGAAAACAGTGCCGCTTCAACAACATAAAAAGCAAACCCCAAGGGAGGGGGAAAGTCTGCTTTGCAGAGGTGTCACATAATTAGATTCAAATGTCCAATTTTCAACAAAATGTCATGAGGCCTTCAAACAAACAGGAAAGTATGTTCCATTCAATGGAAAAAATAATTAGAAACTGTCCCTGGAAAAGACTTGATAGTAGACCTACTAGGAAAAGACTTTAAAACAACAGTCTTAAAGATGCTCAAAAAACTAAAGAAAGATGTGAAGAAAATAAAGTGATGTATGAAAAAGTGAAAATATCAACAAAGATATTAAAAATCCTAAAAAGAAGCCAAACAAATTCTGGAGCTGAAAAGTATAATAACTGAAATGAAAAATTCACTAAAGGGGTTCAAAGGTGGATTTGAGCAGGCAGAAGAAAGAAAAGTGAACAAAGCCTAAAAGACCTGTGGGATACCATCGAGCAGCCAGCATATGTAAAATGGGAGTTCCAGAAGGAGAGTAAAAAGGCATAGAATATTTGAAGAAATAATGTGTGAAAACTTCCCAAATTTGAGGAAAGACATGAATACAAACATCCAAGAAGCCTGATAAGCTCCAAGTAAGAGGAAGTCAAAGAGACCCACACCAAAACACATTATAATCCAGCTTTTGAATGACAAAGACAAAGAATCCTGAAAGCAGCAAGATAGAAGTGACTCATCACATGCAACAACCTTAATAAGATTGTCGGCATATTTTGCATCAGAATCTTTCAAGTCCAGAAGGCAGTGGGACAAAACATTCAAAATGATAAAAGAAAAAAATCCTGTTGACAAGGACTCATATCTAGCAAAACTATGCTTCAAAAGTGAGAGTGAAATTAAGACATTCCCAGATAAACAAAAGCTGGGGGGATTTGTTACCACTAGACCCACCCTGCAGAAACAACGGAGTCCAGCAAGGTGAACTCAAAGAACATTAGACAGTAACTTGAAGGACTATGAAGAAATAAAGATTTCAATACAGGTAAATATATGCAAATTATGAAAGCTAGTATTATTGTAACAATGGCTTGTAACTGCCTTTTTGTTTTCTACATGATTTAAGACACTAATATATTTATAAGAATTATTAGATTATGTTTAATACTTCATACTACTAGTAATAATTAGTAATACTTCATACTAATAAAGTATAAAGATGTAATTTTCTGACATCAGCAACCAAAAGGGGTGAGACAGAGCTGTAAAGGAACAGAATTTTTTTATGTTATTAATGTTAAACTTGTATAAATTCAAATTAGTGTTATAACTTTAGGATAATAAGTGTAATCCCCATGGTAATCAAAAGGAAAATAGCTATAGAATGTACACAAAAGGAAACAAGGAAAGAATTTAAGACTTTTACTACAAAAAATCAACTAAACACTGAAGAAGACAGTAATGCAGGAAATGGACAAAAAAGCTATACAGCACATACATAGAAAACAAATGGACAAATGACAGGAGCCCCTGTTTATCAGTAACTACTTTAAACATAAATGTGTTACCCAATCAAGAGACAGAAACTGGCAAAATTGATTTTTTTTTAAGTCTCACTCTGTCACTCAGGCTGGAGTTGAGTGGTGTGATCTCAGCTCACTGCAACCTCTGCCTCCTGGGTTCAAGGGATTCTCGTGCCTCAGCCTCCCAAGTAGCTGGGATTACAGTCGCACGCCTCCACACCCAGCTAATTTTTGTATTTTTAGTAGAGACGGGGTTTCACCATGTTGGCCAGGCTGTCTCAAACTCCTGACCTCAGGTGATCCACCCACCTTGGCCTCCCAAACTGCTGGGATTACAGGTGTGAGCCACCACACCCAGCCTGCAAAATGGATTTTTGAAAAAATCCCACATGATCCAACTATATGGTGTCCACAAAAGACTCACTTGAGATTCAAAGACATAAACAGATCCAAACTGAAAAGACGGAAAAATATATCCACACAAATAGTAACCAAGAGACAGCAGGAATGACTATACTAATGTCAGATAAAATAGACATTAAATCATAAAATGTTACCAGATACCATGAAGAACCTTATATATTAAGAAAAGGTTAAATACAGCAAGAAGATATAACAATTATAGACATTTACAGACCAAATGACAGACCATCAAAATGTATGCAGCAAAAACTAACAGAACTGAAGACAGACACAGACAGCTCTACAATAATTGTTGGAGACTTCAATACCTCACTGTTTCACTGTCAATGGACAGAAGAACCAGACAGAAGATGTATTTTTAAAAATGGAGGACTTTAACAACACCATAAATCAACTCCATCTAACAGACATATGCAGAACACTCTAGCCAGCAGTGTCATTATTCTGCCTTCATGTTTGAAAGGTATTTTTGCTGGACATACACATGCTTCTCAAGTGCACACATGAGACAACTTCCAGGGTAGAACATATGTTAGGCCACAAATTAAGTCTCGGTAAACTTAAAAAGATAGATATCATACAAATTATCTTCGCCGATCACAAAGGGATGAAGTTGGAAGTCAATAACAGAAATAAGACTGAAAAATTCACAAAATTGTGGAAATTAATCAACAATGGATCAAAAAGGAAATCACAAGAAAAATGAGAAAATGTTTGAAGTGAAATGAAAACAAAAACACAACATATTACAACTTACGGGAGGCAGCAAAAGCAGCATTAAGGGGGAAATTTATAGCTATAAATGCTTACATTTTTAAAAAGTAAAGATCGCAAATCAACAACCTAACTTTACAACTTAAGGAACTAGAAAAAGAAGAAAAAAACTAAACCCAAAGCTAGCAGATGAAAGGAAACAATAAAGATTAGAACAGAGATACATGAAAGAATAGAAAAACGTGAGACAAAATGGATGAAACCAACAATTGGTTCTTTGGAAAGATAAAAAAAGTTGACAAACCTTTAGCCAAGTGGACTGAAAAAAGAAGATTCATGTTACTAAAATCAGATTAAAGAGGGGATATTACTTACTACTGATTCTACAGAAATAAAAAGGATTATGAAAAATTATTATTAGCTGTACATCAATAAATTGGATAATCTAGATTAATTCCTAGAGACACAAAGCCTACCAAGATTAAATCAGGAAGAAATTTAAAATGTGCATATACCTATGACTGCTAAGTAGATTGAATCAGTAATTTAAAAATCTTTTAACAAAGAAAAGCCTGGAACTCATGGTTGCATTGGTGAATTTTACCAAACATTTAAAGAAGAATACCACCCCTTCTCTAATTTTTCCAAAAAATTAAAGAGGAGGGAATACTTCCTAACTCATTCTAAGAAGCATTACCAAGATATCAGACAAAAGAAAAATATAGACTAATATCCCTTATGGACATTGTAATCTTTTCTACCCATGGATTATTTAGAAATACATAATTTCCAAGTATTTTGTGAGTTTCTAGTTATCTCTTTTATGTTATTGAGCTTTGGTTTAATAACACTGTAGTCAGAAAAAAAAAACTCTGATCTCTGTCCTTAGAAAATTATTGATACTTTGAAAAAAATCATCTACAGTATGTAGTTTATTTTGTGAAGTGGTTCAATGTGACCTTCAAAAGAATGTGTATTCTGCATTTGTTGTGTGCAATGTTCTATAAATGTCAAATAGGTCAAGTTTATTATTAACGTTGTTCAGGTTTTTGATATTCTTAACGATTTTTTTTCCAATTGTTCTATGAATTGCTGAGAGGAGAGGGTAAAAAATCGACATTTACTGCTGACAATTGTTTGGTTTTATGTATTTTGAAACTCTATTATTAGGTACTGTGTTGATAAATTGAGCCTTTTGTTGCCACAAATTGTCCCTATCTGTCTCTGGTAATACTCATTGTCTTGAAATCTTACTTATCTGATATTAATCCACCACATACTTTCTTACACTTAGTGGTATTTTCCCATTTTTTTAGGTTCCATTTTTGTGTGTCTTTATATTTAAAGGGCATTTTGGCCAGGTGCGGTGGCTCATGTCTGTAATCCCAGCACTTTGGGAGGCCGAGGCAGGTGGATCACCTGATGTCAGGAGATCTGACCAGCCTGGCCAACATGGTGAAACCCCATCTCTACTAAAAATACAAAAAATTAGCTGGGCGTGGTGGTGGATGCCTGTAATCCCAGCTATTCGGGAGGCTGAGGCAGGAGAACTGCTTGAACCTGGGAGGCAGAGGTTGCAGGGAGCTAAGATCGCACCACCGTACTCCAGCCCAGGAGACAGTGCAAGACTCCATCTAAAAATAAATAAATAAATAAATAAATAAATAAATAAAAATAAAGGGCATTTTATACAACGAACGTTCAGTTGCTCTTGCCTTTTTTTGAGTCTGTCCATTTCTGCCTTTTACATGGAGTGTTTGGTTTACATTTAAAATAATTATTGATATGGTTGAATCAAATCTATCATCTTGTTATATAATTTCTATTTGTTCAATCTATTCTTTGTTCTTTTGTTCTTCCTTTCATCCTCTATTTTTTGGATTCCATTTTATCTCTTGAATATTTAGTTGTATCTCTTTGTGTTATTTTTGCTCTCAAGATTACAATATGCATCTTTAACTCACTACAGCCTAACTTCAATTAATATTTTAAAATTCGAAACAATGTAATAACCTTTCAGTAGTATAATTTCATTTACTTTCCCCAACATTTTGTGCTTTTGTTGTCATATATTTTACTTTTACATTGATTAAAAACCCCATGATACACTGATCTAAGTAGTTAATAATCTTTTAAAGACATTCATATTTACTCACGTATTTAGCCTTTCTTGTACCCTTCACCTATCTAGTATCATTTCCCTTCAACCTAAAGACCACCCTTTGGCATTTCTTTTATTCACCTCTGCTGGTCTACTCTTTTATTAACCTAAAAGTGTCATTATTTTGCCTTCATGTTTGAAAGATATTTTTGCTGGATGTAGACATTTATTTTTGCTGGATATAGAATTTTTTTCTTTCAACACTTAAAAGATGTTTTTCCATTGTCTTCTGAAGCCCAGTGCTTCTGAGGAAGTCATCGGTCATTCTTACTGTTCCCTGATGCATGCAGTTTGCCTCCTTCCTCTGTCAGGTGATGACGAGCTTCCTGGATTCAGGTGTTTCCGGTTTTAAACAAATTGAAAAAAATCTAACAATACTTCTTTATTTGTCCTGCCCTTTTCTCACTTTCCTCCCCTTCTGTGAATGCAACTATACACATTTCGACTGCTTGATAATGACACCAGTTACTGAGGTTTTGTTCATTGTTTCCTCATTCTCCTTTCTCTCTGTGCTTCCATTTGGATGACTTTCTTTGGCAAGTCTTCAAATTCATGTATCCTTTCTTTGTTGTGTCCAATCTGCATTAATCCCATTCACTAAGCATTTTAATTACAGATCTTGTATTTTTTAGTTTGGAGATTTCCATTTTCTTTTTCTTTTTTTTTTTAGACGGAGTCTCACTCTGTCACCCAGGCTGGAGTGCAGTGGCACGATCTCGGCTCACTGCAAGCTCCACCTCCCGGGTTCACGCCATTCTCCTGCCTCAGCCTCCCGAGTAGCTGGGACTACAGGCACCCGCCACCATGACTGGCTAATTTTTTTGTATTTTTAGTAGAGATGGAGTTTCACCGTGTTAGCCAGGATGGTCTCGATCTCCTGACCTCGTGATCCGCCTGCCTCAGCCTCCCAAAGTGCTGGGATTACAGGCGTGAGCCACCACACCTGGCCCATTTTCTTCTTTTAAAATACTTTCGAAATCTGAAACTCTCCACCTCTTCATCTACTTCATCTGCCATATTACTTATAGGTTATTTAATATATTTATTATAGTTTTTAAGAAGTCTCTGTCTGATAATTCCAACACCTGGGTGGTCTGTTTCTATTGAGAATTTTGCTGTTATTTATGAACTGATAAAATCTGGTACCTTTGCAAATCACCAATTCTTAAATTTTATCTCAGAGATTTTGTCTAATGCAGGCATGTTTCCTTTCAAGAGGAAATGTTCTTTCTTCTGTTAGGCAGTTAGGTGAGGGGCTTATCAGTGTAATGCATTTGGAAACAGAGCCAATTTGGGGCAGGGTTGTGGCTTTAATTCCTCTATGAAAGCCTTGGAATTAAAGCTACAGGAGTGCAATGAGATCTCTCTCCACCTTTCAGCCCAGCCTCAGACTTCACTGGCCACCAGGACCTTCTTATCAGATTTTAATTGGGTGGAGTTTGGTTTTAAGGTTGATTAATTTCAGCCTATCTCTAGTTTCAAATCCTTTGATGGTGAGTCCATCTCTCTCTCTCCAGGGGGAGTCTGGAATAAGAACTGAGAGATGTTGAAACCGTGGGACTGAAATTTTAAGACTGTTAGACGATGAGATTTTGAGACCATGAGACTGTAAGAGTTGGAGATCACAACTCTTTGGAACTGTATGACTATAATTTAGCTTTTGAAGCAGGGTCTTGCTGTGTTGCCCAGGCCAAGTGCAGTGGTACTATCAGAGCTCACTGCAGCTTCCATCTCCCAGGCTCAAGTAATCCTCTTACCTCTGCCTCCCAAGTAGCTGGGACCACAGGCATGCACCACCCACCATGACTGGTTAAGTTTTAGAAAAATTCTTGTAGAGCTGTGCTCTCACATGTTGCCCAGGATGCTACTGAACTCCTGGGCTCAAGCGATTCTCCCCCACAGCCTTGCAAAGTGCTGGGATTACAGGCGTGATAATGCCAGTGCACCCAGCCCATGTGACTATGAGATTCTGAGATTTCTTTTTGCTTTCTAGTCCCTCCTTCCATTTCCACTTACTCAGCAAAATTCCCTATAAGAGAATTACTTGGTAGAGAAGATCCACGTGCATTCAAGGCTCCTTCAGATTCTAATCTGTCAGCCCAGAGGTTTCCTAAATTTTGCTGATTTCTCCTTGTCTCAGCAAAGAAGGTCCTTCTCTAGTGGGCTTGCTCCCCTCTCCATCCTCCTCCAGCCTCAGTGACTGGCCCCAGGCATGACAGTGGCTTCTGTTATTTACTCATTTAGGACGGCACTGTCTCTCCACAGTTTGGTCCTTTTAGGTGTCTTCCATATCCATACCTCTTGGGTGGCTTTGAAGGACGATGCAATTGTGTAGGCTCCTCTAGGGGTTTCTTATTGTTTTGGTGGTAAAGGTCTTCATGTTCCTCCACATTGTAACTGGACACATCTGTTCTTTGGCTCTAAATATTTTGACAATTTCCTTGGTGGTTTTGTCATCCTTTATTTAGCAGTACATTAACCCATTTATGCTGGAGGTTGCAAATTTTTTGTGTGTGAAAAATCAGACCTTGGCGATGACATTCAGCAGTAGGATATAAATAACTCCCACAAGCTTAGTGTTCCAATAATGGAACATTAAACATAAATGGGTAAAAACATTTTCCAAATGTAAGGGTTTCTTGTTGTTGATTTCTAGTTTTATTGCACTGTGGCCTTTAGATATAAATTCTTTGGTATTTGTTGACACTTTACGGACAATGGTCAATCCTAGTAAGCTACATGTACACTTAAGAAGGCTGGGCATGGTGGCGCACACCTGTAATCCCAGTGGTTTGGGAGGCTGAGGCAGGAGGATCACTTAAGCCCAGGAGTTTGAGACCAGCCTGGGAAACATACTGAAAGCCCATCTCTACAAAAAATTTTAAAAATAAAATAATTAGCCAGGTGTGGTGGCACACGCCTGTAGTCCTAGCTAGTTTGGAAGCTGAGGTGGGAGGATCGCTTGAGCCCAGGAGGTCAAGGCTGTAGTGAGCCATGATCGCACCACTGCACTCCAGCCTGGGTGACAGAGTGAGACCCTGTCTCAAAAAAAAAAAAAGAAGGAGGAGGAGAAGAATGTGGGCTCTCCAATATCCTCTAATCATATATATATATAATATATGACAACAAAAGACAAAGTGTTGGGGAGCAAATGAAATTATACTACTGAGAGGTATTATTACCCTAGATCTGGGCAAAGTACATTGTAAACCTCTGGAAAGGATTCACCATTCTGGATGCTATTATGAACATTTAAGATTCATGAGAGGAAGTCAAAATACCAACATGAAGGGGAGTTTAGAAGAGGTTGATTCCAACCCTCATGAACTTTAAAATATTAATTGAAGTTAGGCTGTAGTGAGTTAAAGATGCATATTGTAATCTTGAGAGCAAAAATAACACAAAGAGATCATACACCCTTGAGATAAATGTTTCTAAATGGACAAGAATTTTATCAGATTTTGGTTAACTTTGGAAAGTGATCCATGTGTACTTGGGAAGGATTCTAAAGTTGCTGGGCTCAGCACTCTACGTATGCCCCATAATGGAAGAGAGTCAGTGTGTTTAATGTATATCCCAAGCAGTGTGTGGTCTGCTTACCCCGTCTGCTTTTGAGAGAGGTGAAATCTCCTACGGTAATTCTGGATTTCTCCTGGCAATTCTGTCCATTTATATTTCACACATTTTTGGACTATGTTGTTAGGGGTTCACAGATCATGTCTTCCTGGCTTTTTGTTACTAGTATTATTATTGAATGATCTTCTTTAGACCCAACAATGATGCACTTTGCCTTTTATGATATTTAGTTTGTTATGAACATTGCCACACCAGTAATCCTTTGAATGTTGCTGGTCTATTATTTTTTAGACTCGTGTCACAGACATTGTGCTTTTTACTTCCCATGGCTTTATTCTGTTAACTCCCTCCTCCTTTTCTGATTTCTATTTGATTGATTTCATTTATTTTATTCTAATTCCCAGCTCACTTCTGTCTCTCTTTTATGGAAATATCCTGTTTCTATATTTTTCTGATTACTTTTCCCTAAACGTTTTTTGTTCTTTTTGAGACAGTCTCACTCTGTTGCCCAGGATGGAGTGTAGTGGCACAATCCTAGCTCACTGCAACTTCTATCTCCTGGGTTCAAGAGATTCTCCTGCCTCAGCCTCCTGAGTAGCTGGGACTACAGGCACCTGCCACCACGCCCGGCTAACTTTTGTGTTTTTAGTAGAGATGGGGTTTTGCCATGTTGGCCAGGCTGGTCTCGAATTCCTGACCTCAGGTGATCCACCCTCCTCGGCCTCCCAAAGTGCTGGGATTACAGGTGTGAGCCACCGCACCGGGCCCTTTTCTCTAAACTTCTCCAGACACATTTCTGGATATGTGTCTTCTCCATCACATTTCTCAAATTGTGATGAAACAAAGTGACAAATAACTTGATAAGTGATTAAGCATGTCATTTATTGGCTGAGGGTTGGGAGACAGGCAACAGTAATCACTCAAGTCTTAGCTTCACATGACCATTTATCTCAATATTAATATTATTAATAATGATTTCCCAACCACATATTTTGACAACAGTGGATAAATGAATAAAAACAGAATTGAACTTATATCAACTGTTTATATTCATCTATTCATAGCAGTTAAGGTAAATGCATTTTTCTCCTGTTATAGAGATGAACAAATTTTATTTTTATCATTCAAAAGCAAAAATTAATATAAAATCAAGTAGACTGTCCCTAAGTTTTGTGTTGTGCTTATTAAGTACTAGTAAATATGCATCCATATTAAAGTACCATAATTCACATGACGTTTCCAGAAGACAAGCAATTTTGTAGGTTGGGAGAGGGATGGTTTTTGATTAAAATGAGAGGAAAAAGAAACTTCACAGAAAGAAGGTGAAACAGGCAGGCCTTTGAAAGCAGCCACGCGTTTTCAGACGCAGCGAAAGCAGTGGGGCTCCAGCAGGCACCTCTCTGTTTCTTCCCCACATCAGTCAACATCCTTGCAATATGCAAAAGGTACATCCTCACAAAGGAAAACGTCTTCTGAACAGACCACCTCACATAAGGAATCAAATCTAGGTTGTGCCTGGCCCCTCCCCTAGCCCTGTCATTCTAACCAAAAGACACTCAACGAGTCTAATAAACCAAAGTGGCCCAGTGGTAGTTTCAAAACAACGCCCTAATTCAATTTCAGTGGAGTGCTAAGTTGTGCTGTTAAGAAAGGCTGTGCTTTTTAGGACCTAGCCAGGTGCCTTCCAGCAGCTCGCTGCAACACACCCACAACCCGGCTATCACTACAGTTTTACCCCGGCCTCAAGAACAACTACAGCATAAATATCCCAAGAAACAGACTAAACATACAATAAATTCATTAAGTGGGACTTATCTGTATGTACAGACATATCTTGTTTTACTGTGTTCCAGCTGATTGAGCTCTGCAGATAATGCATTTTTCACGTACTGAAGATTTGTGGCAACCCTGTGTCTCTGTGTCACATTTTGGTAATTCTCACAATATTTCAAACTCCTTCATTATTATTATATCTGTTATGATGATCTATAATCAGAGTCCTTTGATGTTACTATTGTAATTGTTTTGGTGTGCCATGAACCATGCCAATATAAGACAGCAAACTTAATCAATAAACATTGTGTGTGTTCCGAAGTCTGCTCCACTGACTTGGCCATTCCTCCATCTCTCTCCCTTTCCTTGGGCCTCCCTATTCCCTAAGACACAATAATATTGAAATTAGGCTAAGTAACAACCCTGCAATGGCATCTAAGCGTTCAAGTCAAAGGAAGAGTTGGACATCTCTCATGTTAAATCAAAAGCTAAAAATGATTAAGCTTTGTGAGAAAGGCATGCTGAATGCCCCAGCCAGGCCAAAAGCTAGGCCTCCTGCACCTAGAAGTCAGCTAAGCTGTAAACACTAAAGAAAAGCTACCGAAGGAAATTAAAAGTCCACTCTAAGGAACACACAAATGATATGAAAGAGAAACAGCCTTATTGCTGACATGGAGAAAGTCTTTGTGGTCTGGATAGAAGAGCAAACCCTAGATACAACATTCCCTTAAGCCAAAGCCTAACCCAGATGAAGCCCCTAACTTTCTTCAGTTCTATGAAGGCTGAGAGAGGTGAGGAAGCTGCAGAAGAAAAGCTTGAAGCTAACAGAGGTGAGTTCATGAGGTTTAAGGAAAGAAGCCATCTCCTTAACGTAAAAATGCAAGGTGAAGCAGCAGGTACTGATGGAGAAGCTGCAGCAAGTAATCCAGAAGATCTGGCTAAGACCATTGATGAAGGTGGCTGTGCTTAACAACAGATTTTCAACGTAGACAAAACAGCCTTCTATTGGAAGAAGATGCTGTCTGGGACTTTCCTAGCTAGAGAGGCAAAGTCAATGCCTGCCTTCAAAGCTTCAAAGGACAAGCTGACTCTCTTGTTAGGAGCTGGTGCAGCTGGGGACTTTCAGTTGAAGCTGATGCTTATGGACCATTCTGAACCTCCCAGGGCCCCTAAGAATCATGCTCAGTCTACTTGGCCTTGCTCTATAAATAGAACAACAAAGCCTGGATGACAGCACGTCTGTTTACAGCATGGTTTACTCGATATTTTAAGCCCACTGTTGAGACCCACTGCTCAGAAAAAAAGATTCCTTTCAAAATATTACTGCTCACCAACAGTACATGTGGTCACCCAAGAGCTCTGATGAAGATGTACAAGCAGATAAATGTTTCCATCTGTGGTAACACAAAATCCATTCTGCAGCCTATGGCTCAAGAGTAATTTTGACTTTCAAGTCTTTTTAAGAAATACATTTTGTAAGACTATAGCTGCCATAGAGAGTGATTCCTCTGATGGATCTCAGCAAAGCACATTGTAAACCTCTGGAAAGGATTCACCATTCTGGATGCTATTATGAATATTTAAGATTCATGAGAGGAGGTCAGAATATCAACATGAAGGGGAGTTTAGAAGAGGTTGATTCCAACCCTCATGGATGACACTGAGGGGTTCAAGCCTCCCATGGAGGAAGGAACTGCAGATGTGGGGAAAATACCAAGAGAACTAGGATTAGAAGTGGAGCCTGAAGATGTAACTGAACTGCTGCAATCTCAGGATAAATCTTGAATGGATGAGGAATTGCTTCTTATGGATGAGCAAAGAACATGGTTTATTAAGATGGAATCTGTTGGGAGGCTGGGGCGGGTGGATCACCTGAGGTCAGGAGTTTAAGACCAGCCTGGCCAACATGGTGAAACCCACCTCTACTAAAAACACAAAAATCAGCCAGGCATGGTGGTGGGTGCCTGTAATCCCAGCTACTCAGGAGGCTGAGGCAGGAGAATTGCTTGAACCTGGGTGGCGGAGGTCGCAGTGAGCTGAGATTGCACCACTGTACTCCAGCCTGGGTGACAGAGCAAGACTCCATCTCAAAAAAACAAACAAACACCAAAATATGGAATCTGCTCCTGATGAAGATGCTGTGAACACTGTTGAAATGACAACAAAGGATTTAGAGTACTCCATAAACTTAGTTGATAAACAGAAGGATGTGAGAGGATCGACTCCAATTCTGAACGAAGTTCTATGGTGGGTAAAATGCTGTCAAACAGTATTGCCTGTCGGAGTAATCGTTCATAAAAGGAAGAGTCAATGTGGAAAACTTCATTGTGGTCTCATTTTAAGAAGCTGCCACAGCCACCCCAGCCTTCCGCAACCACTTCCATGATCAGTCAGCAGCCATCAACATTAAGGCAAGACCTTCCACCAATAAAGAGATTATGACTCACCAAAGGCTCAGATAATCATTAGCATTTTTGATCAATATTTTAAAATTAAGGTATGTATGCTGTTTTTAGACCTAATGCTACTGCACACTTAGACTATAGTGTAAACGTAACTTGTATATGCGCTGGGAAACCAAAAACTTTGTGTGTCTGGCATTAGCGTGGTATCTGCCTTACTTTGCTGGTCTGGAACTGAGACCACAATCCCTTCCAGGTGGGCCTGCACAGTGACTGCTGCACTGACTTAGCTCTGAGGTTCTCACTACTATCCCTTCCAGGTGGGCCTTCATTGTTACTGCTGCAGTAACTTAGCTCTGAAGTGCTCAGTACAGTCCCTTCCAGGTGGGCCGGCATTGTGACTGCTGTAGTAACTTAGTTCTGAGATACCTGCTCTGAAGAATGACTTATTTACTTCCTTCAAAGAATGCAGTGCAAGTTTATTGGGGGTGGGGGACAAAGAGGGCTCCACACTCCTGGGAAGCCTGAGAAACCCTTGTTGCTGGGACATGCAGCCTTGTTTGACCCTTCATTTGGGATGAGGGTGGGAGGAGCCAGAAGCCAGAGGAAAGAACTGAGCCAGTGCCCTGATGGGCCCAATTCCTGCCCTGCCCAGGGAAAGGGCAGGTTCCTCCAGGTTGGCCACGGTCTCAGAGCTACAAGGGAGGTACTCACACAGGCTTCCTGCTGCAGGTGCTGCAGGGCCCTCTTGGCTGGGAGGAGGAAGCTGGTGAGGCAGTGCAGCCCGTCCCCACCGTGGCACCTCTCGGCCACGCTGAACAGCTGCCAGAGCACCGTGGCTGCCGTGGCTTCAAACGGTGGGTACAAGGCAGAGAGCGTCCTCTGGATACAGGCATCAAGAGATTCCAGATCCTGAAATGAAAGAGAGAATTCAGAAACTTTAGGGACATAACTCAAGACAGGTGCACACCACAGTCCAAGGCTGGCACTGAAGGATCCACACGGAAGTCCCTTGTCCTGTGTCTGGCATGATGTGAGTTAACTGAGAAAGACAAAATGTGCAGGCGAATCCATGGTGCAGGGCGAGCTCCTGGTGGTTCTCCTTGTGCTGTCACACAGCAGAGGGGCAGGTGCATTAGGCAGACCCGTGGCCCTGTCCTGGGGCAGGGGCTCTATATACCACCTCTATAAATGTGGGCTGCCATTCCTATAACACTCACACTGAGGCACAACCAAGCCTAGATTTAGGGTAAGTTTCATCCCCTGCACCTGAACAGCATAAGGTCTTTGGGGTGGGGCTGTGAGTCCTGCGGGAGCTGCTCCTCCCGGCTCTCCTGGGTTTGTACAGGGAGGAGGGGACAACCACTTGTGGGGAGGACAAAGCTGGCCCACGCGCCACTTTGTTCTCAGAAAACAAGCTCATCCCACAGCAAATACATTTTAATTGTGTCGATGATTTTGTTTTCATTTAAACAGTACTGATGGTGAAAACCTTAGGGTGCCCTCCTCAAGGCTGCTGAATTGTGCCCATTTGGCACCCTAAAAACAGGATCATTGGCCACTGACTTCCGCTTGGCATTTTGGTGCAACATGCTTTTATGAAGAGGCAATGATTCTTGTTTAAAAATTTGTAATGCTGTTTTTAGAGTAACAATCCCTGAGGAAATACCACAAGGCTCATGTCTGTAGAAAAGAACTGCAAGGCAGTGAAAGCCAAAGAAGCTAAAAATTGTGAAGTCAGTTTTTATAATGGCACGACAGTTACATGAGAAACACCTCTGAATAGCTAATCACACAGATAATTTCCTAAGGAAATTGAAAATAAAACAGGGACTCCTCTGGCCTGCAGTGGGAGAAGGGTCTGTCTTGTCAGCTGGGCCTGTGACTGGAGGTACCTGCAGCAGAGCTCAGCTTCTGGAAACTGCGTGACTCAGGGAAGCTCAGGGCTGGGTTCCTGAGTCCTGTGTCCCACAGTAGAGCCTCCTGCCGGCCCTGCCACCCCATGGGTCAGCTCCCTTCCCTGCACACACTGGCTCGTTCTCACTCACCCGACAGGGCCACTCACTTGTTGACAGGAATGATCTAAATACAGTCTGAGTTCATGCAGAAATGCTATGTGATCTAATTTCCAAAAACTCAAATCACACCTGAGCCACACAGCAAACACATAGTCCATGAGAATGAGTGGGCCCGTCTCAGGCCAGGGTCACACAGTCCATGAGAATGAGTGGGCCCGTCTCAGGCCAGGGTCACACAGTCCATGAGAATGAGTGGGCCTGTCTCAGGCCGGGGACAGAATCACCCACATCGGGCACCAGGATGGCTGTGCTTTAGGATTTGGGGCAAATGCTCAATTGACACAGGAGAAATGGGCAGGAAGGAAGAGGAACATGATCTAGGAGAGGCATCTCGAATGGCCTGTTCTGCACGAGCTGAAATGTCGACACTGGGCCATCTCCGGAAGAGGCCTGTTCTGCAGGAGATGAAATGCCGACACTGGGCCATCCCCGGGAGAGACGTATTCTGCAGGAGCTGAAATGCCGACACTGGGCCATCCCCGGAAGAGACGTCCTCCTACTTCTCTGATTCCCAAATCCAGGCCCATTCCTCCCCCACCCTCAAGTCCAGATGTGGTCAGCAGCCCAGAGCTCTGTCCAGGGCCACCTTCTCCAGGGCCACCGTCTCAACCGCCCGACATAAGGAAGGAGATGGCTGGTGCACTGCGCTGTCAAGCCCTGACCCTACCTCTGCCTGATTCCATGGTGACTGGGGCAGGCCCCATGCTCCACTCAGTGGGTCCCACCTGCACCACCTCCCCAGGATGACTCCCACTGGGGCCACTCAGGGCCTGGGCCAGGCCAGAGCTGCCCCAGGGAAGCTGCCTGCAGACTGAGAATTGGGTAGGTTGAGGTGCTGAGTAACCCAAGTGAGCCATGAACCAGGTTTATTCATAGCAGCCTTCGAATGCTCCTGAGTCCTGTGTCCTTTGAGGGCGGAGTGTGTGCTGTCTCCTGGCCTGATGTGTCTGCAGCATCCCGATTCTGGGGAGCACCTTTGGGGGTGCCACTAGATGACTGCTCATGATGAGGGAGCTGCAGTGTGTGTGCAGGACTCCGAAGGAGTGTAAGCCTGGCCAGGTGCAGTGTACGGACAGAGGAACCCCTGCCAGCTGTGTCCAGGCCTCGGGGCCAGGAGAGAGAGCAGACACAGGGCAGGGGACCTGCAAGCACAGGTCCACCAGCTCAGCCCAATTTCTTGTCTTTGTAGAACTCAGGATTCTTGTTTCTGCCAAATGTACAAACGTGTGCTGACTTCAAACCCGAGGGCCTTCCAGTTTACGAGATCATGAGCCTCACTGAGGGACAGACGGTGCGGGTGTGTGCACGTGTTGCAGATTGTGTGGATGTGTGCACGTTTGTTGCAGAGTGGCTGGTGTGTGCACACGTGTTGCATTTTGTATGTGTGCACGTGTGCTGCAGATTGTGTGGGTGCGTGCACGTGTGTTGCAGATTGTGTGGATGTGTGCACGTGTGTTGCAGAGTGGCCGGTGTGTGCACACGTGTTGCAGATTGTGTGGATGTGTGCGCGTGTGTTGCAGATTGCGTGGGTGTGTGCACGTGTGTTGCAGATTGTGTGGATGTGTGCATGTGTGTTGCAGAGTGGCCAGTGTGCACACGTGTTGCAGATTGTGTGGATGTGTGCACGTGTGTTGCAGATTGTGTGGGTGTGTGCACGTGTGTTGCAGATTGTGTGGGTGTGTGCACGTGTGTTGCAGATTGTGTGGATGTGTGCATGTGTGTTGCAGAGTGGCCGGTGTGTGCACGTGTTGCAGACTGTGTGGGTGCGTGCACGTGTGTTGCAGATTGTGTGGGTGTATGCATGTGTGTTGCAGATTGTGTGGATGTGTGCATGTGTGTTGCAGAGTGGCCGGTGTGTGCATGTGTTGCAGATTGTATGGATGTGTGCATGTGCGTTGCAGAGTGGCCGGTGTGTGCACGTGTTGCAGACTGGATGTGTGCACGTGTGTTGCAGACTGTGTGGGTGCGTGCACGTGTGTTGCAGATTGTACAGGTGTGTGCATGTGTGTTGCAGATTGTGTGGGTGTGTGCACGTGTCTTGCAGATTGTGTGGGTGTGTGCACGTGTGTTACAGATTTTGTGGGTGTATGCATGTGTGTTGCAGAGCAACCGGTGTGTGCACGTGTTGCAGATTGTGTGGGTGTGTGCACGTGTGTTGCTGATTGTGTGGATGTGTGCATGTGTGTTGCAGAGCAACCAGTGTGTGCACGTGTGCTGCAGAGCAGCTGGTACAGTTCCGGTGCCCGCCAGTCCCTTGGCACTTCGCTGAGCTTTGCCCTGAACTCTGTGCAATCACTTAGCCAATGGGGCGGTGGCGGTAGAGCAGGAATGGAAGACGGTGTCCGAAAACCCATTTTAAAGCTTCACTCTTCAATGAAGGATTTATTTTCCCAATTAACTTTAAAATTTTATTGAAACGAGGGTAACATTTTAAAGTTAAGATGCTTGTTTCTCACCCTATCTGCACTCCCTGGCTCGCAGCTCCACGCCCACAGGGGACACAGCCCAGCCCAGCCCAGCTTCTGTGTCACCCGTGGGTTAGCGTGTCCCTCTGGCACCAACACATGGTGATACCCACAATGCTGTAGCCCAGGGTGTGGCACCTGGGGGTGGGTATGGGAGGTACTTTTAATTCACTGCTGTGGCCTTTGCCTCTGGCTGGATTTTTTTTTTTTTTTTTTTTTTTTGGAGACAGAGTCTTGCCCTGTCACCCAGGCTGGAGTGCAGTGGTGTGATCTAGGCTCACTGCAACCTCCACCTCCCGGGTTCAAGTGATTCTCCTCTCTCAGCCTTCCGAGTAGCTGGGACTACAGGTGTGTACCACCACTAACCGCGCCTGGCTAATTTTGCTATTTTCAGTAGAGATGGGGTTTCACCATGTTGGCCAGGCTGGTCTCAAACTCTGACCTCCTGATTTCCCTGCAAAAAGCAAGACATCCGTGGGCAGCAGACACCCGTGGCTCCTTCAAGCAGGGCCCTGGGGACAGCGGGGGACCCACACTGTCCCTGCTCTGCCCCAGTTCCCATCAATGGCCACTTTCTTAGCACAGCAGGGTGGTGAATGAGAAAGCCAGGTGTGAAACCCACACCCCCAGGAGGCTCGCTCTGGGCTGCCACCTGGTCACAGCCATTCAGGCCCATCAGGACCCAGTGATGGCTCCTGGCGTCTGGCCCAGGTACCCGTGCCCATCTCTGGTTTCCTGTCTGTGCAGTCAGAAACCACCATTGAATCAAAACCTGTCTAGGAAGCCTCGTCCCAAACAGGGCTTGGTGTGCAGGTCGGTCTGTCTACACCAGCCATCTGCACCCAGTCTGTCTACACCAGCCATCTGCACCCAGTCTGTCTACACCCAGCCATCTGCACCCAGTCTGTCTACACCAGCCATCTGCACTCAGTCTACACCAGCCATCTGCACCCAGTCTGTCTACACCCAGCCATCTGCACCCAGTCTGTCTACACCAGCCATCTGCACCCAGTCTGTCTACACCAGCCATCTGCACCCAGTCTGTCTACACCCAGCCATCTGCACCCAGTCTGTCTACACCAGCCATCTGCACCCAGTCTGTCTACACCAGCCATCTGCACCGTCTGTCTACACCAGCCATCTGCACCCAGTCTGTCTACACCAGCCCTGCTTTCCACTCAGGCTTCTGTGTATTTTGGATTCTTGACCCTCTCCGCTGGAGATGCTGAAGACGCTTCTAAGGCTAAAAGTTCCGTTGGCCCGAAGTTGGTACAACAGGGTGCCAGGAAGGAAGGACGGCAAGGGGGAAGGAAGGGAGTGTGCCTTGCCTCTCTGGGTTTCTGTTCTACGTTCTTTGAAGAGTTCAGCAATCACCAAAAGCCACATCATCCCTGGTTCCTAATGCACTGACTTTATCACCTGAGTAGATTTAGAGAGATTCCCAGGTCCTGGTGAAAAGCTTCACCCAGCAAATGTCTTACTCCCCTGAAATGGTTTTCCGATTCCCATAACCAACCCAATCCACAAGGGAAGCCCACTGGAGACGCAGGACCTGGTGGCAGGGGATGGCTGGGTGCTCCAGAGTCTGGGGTCAAGCTGGTAGTCTCTGTTTCGAGGCCTCCTCTCTTCTAATTCCCTGAGCCTATGTGGTTACTGTGCCAGAAAGGTGCTGCTCCACTCCACCACACTCTAATTCCTATATCCCTGAAGCCCAGGTATACAAACCTGGCACACCTGGACCCAAGCTGGTGCCCCAGCCCCACCCGGATCACTGCATTGGGAGCTAGTGGGCCAGGTGGTGATGCTAGCTGCTCTCTGATGAGCCCCACCGAGGTCCAGCCAGAGCTCCTGGCCACACCAGGGCAAGTGCAGAGAAAGCCTTGGCTCAGTTCCCCTCCTCACTGACACATGCCTACCAAGCCCCAGCCCAGGGCAACCCCCGTCCTCCAGGGACTCACAGTTCAGGGTGAGGCCAGACCCAGGGCGGGGATGGGCAGGTGGGATACCAGAGTGAGCCCTCAGCAGCGCCCTGAGTCTAGGCCAGCTTCCCGGAAGAAGAGGCATCTGAGCAGCACCTGAGGGTAAGAAGGTCTCGCTGCATGAGCAGATGGGTAAGGGAGCACCCAAGACTCTCCCAGGTGAACCTTCAGGCCTAGCAGCCCCTTCTTCCTCCTAGGAAGGCCAGGGCTGTCCAGGCTTGCTGGAGGCCTCAGGGGCAACGTCGTGCAACTTACAATGGCAGGACAGGGTGGAGCCAGGGCCTGGGTGCCCAGGATGGGGCCCAGAGCAGAGGAGAGCAGTGGATCCCAGAAGGGCCAAGCATGGGGTCTCTGGGGTCCAGGGTCCCTGACAGCAAACATCAAGTAGGCCCTGTCCAGTGAGCCCCAGGGGCTGTGACTGATGGGTACATGTGGCCGCCTCAGCAGGGCTGGCACCTCCTCCAGCAGGCAGAGATGGGCAGGACCTGGAGCAGCTTTACAGTTGGCTGAGCATTAATAATGAGCCATTATGCCTAACCCTAAAGCCCGAGAGAGGTGGGTCTACATCCACAAGTCCTGCTGGGGCAGCCCCTGAAGCTGCAGATTCCAGCCTCTTCCCATGTCTGCACTGAGCAGGCCTTGCCGGGAAAAGAATCGGATAAGAACTGCATCCTGCATATGAGTCTCCACATGTGGGCACACATACAGTACCTAGACACCTGCGTGCGTGCACACACACGTACATACACGAGAACTGCGCCCTGCACCTCATCTCTCACCACACACACGTGCACACACACACACAGAAGCTGCACGTGGCACCTCAATATCCCTGTGGGCACACACGTGCACACAGAACTCAGAAACTGCAGCTACACTCCTCCTGTCCCTGCCTGTGCAGCCACCCTGGGCTCCGGCTCTCACGTCAACACCTACGTCTGCTCTCAGCCCTCACCCTGCTGCAGGGGGAGCCACTCGTAAATTCAGCAATGCATGGAGCTTGCAGAGTGGGGTCCTGACAAAAACCTCTAACTGAAATTTGTTTCAGGTTTTGAAATGTGAGCACGCTGTGGACAATTACAAAGTGCAGTTCTACATGTTCGTTAAATCGGCCACCAAGTACTGTTGGCAGATTTTTCTGCCAAACTAAGAACAAAATACCTTGAAATAAATAAATATGCAAGTATTTTAATATAACTCTGCATTTAGGAAGGTAATTTCTATCATGAAATCTAAACAGTAAAATTTTAATCTGAGGACTGGAACCTTCTTCTGCAAAACAAAGGGCTGGATGGGGGAGCTGTCAGGCCCCCGGAGACAGACTCCAACCTGCCCAGATGCCTTTCCTGGAGCAGCAGTACTCGTGCTTTCCTCAAGGAACTGAAAATAACTAGGAGGAGAACCACAATATGCTATGCCCAGTTCTTTCACACTCAAAACAAGGGTCCTCAGAATTTTTACAGTGGTGAAGGCCCTCAACAAAAAGTGTGCAAGACTGATGTTAACCACAATCAGTCCTGAGCTGGGTTCTTTATGCTGAATATGACCTTAGCTGGAAGTAAGGGTTTGTTCATTCCAAACTATGGCTAGGCAGAAAAGATTACACCAATCTAAAAGAAAATTTCCTATAGTCTTAATTATACCAAATCTAACTTTTCTACCATTGCGTCCAATTAGGGAAATTGCTGCCTTCCATCAATACCTGGTCCCACGACAGAGCAGGACAGAGAGGCGGCGGGTGCGTGCTCGGCTCATGGGCCCCCCCAGCTTCTACAGCTGCCGTATGTTACAGTTCTGCAGGAGAGCAGTTGATAACAACCATTCTTTCCTGCTTACGTCGTCTTGAAAACCATTAGGTAGAAAAAAAAAGTCCTCAAAATGTGTCGGCTTAATTAGATGTACAGCTTCTCAGGTCTCAAAGGGAAAAATGCATTCTTGTTCCTCCAAGGGTCTGCTGGCTTTGCTGCTAGCAGCACGGCTGAATGAAACCAGAATAAACCAACTTCAAACGAAAAGCGAATTCCCTTTTGTCTGAGGCCAGCTGCTTTGCCAGGTCTGTCTGGGATCCTGTTTTAAACAGTACACCTGGCCTCCCCAAACCACTGCCATGCATGTTTCCAAAGAGAAATAACTAATTCTGGATGATACCATTGACAAGATGATTGAAACTAATTTTTCTAAATTGTAGATCTGACAGCAGATTCCACGTAAATCATCAATATGGTTTCTTTCAAACACCTTCAGATTCCATTTAACAATATAAATAGGAGTAGGTACAAAAGTGGTAAGTGGAGCTATACTGTGTATTTGCATAACTGGATTTGAAATTTCACCTAACACCCTTCCAAAGCAGCTTCTGAGCAGGGCCCCCAGCCACAGCTGTGAATCCACAGCCATGACGGGAATCAGCCTCATGGAGAAGTCTTCAAGACAGGAGCATGAGAACCCAGAACAGCCCTCACCCACTGCGGAGTGTTTCTCCACCTTCAGGACGGGAACACCAAAACCAGAACAGCCCTCACCCACTGTGGAGTGTTTCTCCACCTTCAGGACGGGAACACCAGAACCAGAACAGCCCTCACCCACTGTGCACTGTTTTTCCACCTTCAGGATGGGAACACCAGAACCAGAACAGCCCTCACCCACTGTGGAGTGTTTCTCCACCTTCAGGACGGGAACACCAGAACTGGAACAGCCCTCACCCCCTGTGCAGTGTTTCTCCACCATGGAGGGAGCTGGCACCTTGTTCTGATTTGAAGTCTTACAGCAGGAAGGTTGTAATTTATGGTGTTAGTGAAAAACCACAGATATGATTTAAATTACGCATGATTGTTGTGCTTTTCCTAAAGCATCTTTCAGCTTTTAATCTGAGTTGAGCGGCAATGGTGGTTGAAATGCAGCTCAAAGGATGTCAAACAACTTATCAGAGACTCTGCCTGAGGCCAGGCAAGGCCGCCATGGGGCCTTGTTCACCAGAAAAATGATTATCAAAATTACCTTGTATACTGTACGGTGATTAATACAGCCCTCTTCCTCTTTTCAAAATTGTGTAAAAAAAATCAGCTTTATTATCTATTGCGATGAAGAAAATTATTTTAATACCACTTTAAATTGGGTTACTGGTTGTCAACTTAATTAATATTGGAACATTTATACCCCTTTATAATAATTTTCTTCCTTGAAGGATCCGTATTTTAGAAAAATGTTTATTATATGCTGGATACGGTGGATACTGCATGTTAAGAGCTGGATTTTGTCGTCTTAAGAGTGTTGAGTTTTTTCTGGCAATTAAGTTACTGGCACATGCACATCTGTGAGTGAGTCAGTGCTGGGACTGGGCTGAGGTTGTCTAGGAATCGGTGCTGGGACTGGGCTGAGGTTGTTTAGGAATCGGTGCTGGGACTGGGCTGAGGTTGTTTAGGAATCGGTGCTGGGACTGGCTGAGGTTGTTTAGGAATCGGTGCTGGGACTGGCTGTGGTTGTTTAGGAATCGGTGCTGGGACTGGCTGAGGTTGTTTAGGAATCGGTGCTGGGACTGGCTGTGGTTGTTTAGGAATCGGTGCTGGGACTGGCTGAGGTTGTTTAGGAATCGGTGCTGGGACTGGGCTGAGGTTGTTTAGGAATATCGGTGCTGGGACTGGGCTGTGGTTTGGTGAAATAAGCCAGGCACAGAAACACAAACTTCTAAGTTTTCACTCACACGTGGGAGCTAAAAAGTGGATCTCATGAAGGTAGAGAGTAGACTAGTGGTTACCAGAGGCTGGGGAAGGAAAGGAAGACAGGAAAGAAGTTAGTTAAGAGGTACAAAAATACAGTCAGATAGAAGGAATAAGTTCTAGTAGTCTACAACACAGTAGGCAAATTACAGTTAATAATTTGTTGTATAGATTACTGTATATAGCTAGAAGAGAATCATTATGTTCCCAACACAAAAGAAAAATGTTTGAGGTGATGAATATCCCAACTACCCTGATCTGATCACAGCACTTTGTATAGATGTATCAAAATATCACATGTACCCCAAAATATGTACAACTATCACACATCAATTTTTAAGAAGGAATAGAAAAGGATCTGGCAGGAATTCTGCAAAGTGGCAGTATATCCAGAAAATGGCAGTATATCCAGAGTCGAGGGTGGGGCAATGTACACAGCTGTGTAAAGACAAATGCAGGGAAAACTGGGGAAACCGCTGCGTGCGGTGCATTCTCTGATCATTGCAGGGTTGAATCTCCTCTTCTCCCAGAGTGGGGGTCACTATACCCCCTCCTCAATTTCTCAGTGTTTGAATCCAAGCAGAAAAAATAAAATGAGCCCTGAAAACTGTGTCAGCCCAGGAACAAAGATGGGAAAGGAAAAATGAGAATAAAGCACCCGGGAAAACCCACTCACAACAGCACTGAACTTCACAGGATGCACCTGGTGGGAGCGATGGGACCTGGGTGGGAACATCTGACTTCACACACAGCAAGTGTTGTCTGTCCCCACCCCATGCACTGGCTGCAAGTTCACAAGGTTGAAGACAGACAACACTGCAGCCATCCCAGGGCAAGGCTCCTGTCCTGGGCCAGGGAAGGATCGGGCCCAGGGAGGGAACAGAGCGGTAACTCTGCAATGGAGGGGTGCAAACTTCCTGATGCCTCACCCGGAGCCTCAGCCAGATGTGCTAGCAAGAAGCCTCTAACAGATTTGCTTACCATAACCACCGGCTCCAAGACCCGAGGGTCAGACACAGCCAGCATCAGACTCAGCAGAAAAAAGCCACGTGTCACACAGATGTCGCCCAGGCAGGGCCCCAAATCCGTGAGCACCCTAGGAGTTCCAAGGGGGCCCAAGCCATTGGTGGAGTGTTAGTGCTAGTGTTAGTGTTGGTGCTGTCTGTATTAGTCTGTTCTCACACTGCTATAAAGAGATACTCGAGACTAGATAATTTATAAAGAAAAGATGCTTAATTGGCTCAGCGTTCTGCAGGCCATACAGGAAGCACGGCAGCCTCTGCCTCTGGGGAGGCTTCAGGGAGCTTTGACTCATGGAAGAAGGCAAAGGGGAACTCGTGTCTTACAGGCGGAAGCACGGGCAGAGACGGGGCAGGTGCCACACACTTTTAACCCATTTGCCCTGAGAATACTCACCCACAGCACTGGCGGTTGCAGTGTTTACCCTGAGATAACTTTCCCACCAAAATATCTTGCTTTTATTATTATTTTTATTTACATTGCTCTAGTAGGTCAACTTTGGAAACAAAAGACATCATTCTATTTATAGCATTCTGGTTTTGGTAGCAGTACTTCCATTTACAAAATATAGTCAAATCCTAAAAAAAAAAGCTTAATTATACTCATAACAATAATAAAATGACAGAAACTGATGTGAGTTCTAGTATATGTCAGGCACTACTAGAGGGTTTTATATGGATTAATCTCACAACAGTCTTTCCCTACTACTTCTTCCAGGGATTTATATGGATTAACCTCACAGCAGTCTCTCCCCTACAGGCTTTTTCCAGGGCTTTATATGGATTAACCTCACAACAGTCTCTCCCCTATAGACTTTTTCCAGGGCTTTATATGGATTTACCTCACAACAGTCTCTCCCCTACAGACTTTTTCCAGGGCTTTATATGGATTAACCTCACAACAGTCTCTCCCCTATAGACTTTCTCCAGGGCTTTATATGGATTAACCTCACAACAGTCTCTCCCCTATAGACTTTTTCCAGGGCTTTATATGGATTTACCTCACAACAGTCTCTCCCCTACAGACTTTTTCCAGGGCTTTATATGGATTAACCTCACAACAGTCTCTCCCCTATAGACTTTCTCCAGGGCTTTATATGGATTAACCTCACAACAGTCTCTCCCCTACAGGCTTTTTCCAGGGCTTTATATGGATTAACCTCACAACAGTCTCTCCCCTACAGGCTTTTTCCAGGGCTTTATATGGATTTACCTCACAACAGTCTCTCCCCTACAGGCTTTTTCCAGAGCTTTATATGGATTAACCTCACAACAGTCTCTCCCCTACAGACTTTTCCCAGGGCTTTATATGGATTTACCTCACAACAGTCTCTCCCCTACAGACTTTTTCCAGAGCTTTATATGGATTAACCTCACAACAGTCTCTCCCCTACAGGCTTTTCCCAGGGCTTTATATGGATTTACCTCACAACAGTCTCTCCCCTACAGGCTTTTCCCCGGGCTTTATATGGATTTACCTCACAACAGTCTCTCCCCTACAGGCTTTTTCCAGGGCTTTATATGGATTAACCTCACAACAGTCTCTCCCCTACAGGCTTTTTCCAGGGCTTTATATGGATTAACCTCACAACAGTCTCTCCCCTACAGGCTTTTCCCAGGGCTTTATATGGATTTACCTCACAACAGTCTCCCCTACAGACTTTTTCCAGGGCTTTATATGGATTAACCTCACAACAGTCTCTCCCCTACAGACTTTTTCCAGAGCTTTATATGGATTAACCTCACAACAATCTCTCCCCTATAGACTTTTTCCAGGGCTTTATATGGATTAACCTCACAACAGTCTCTCCCCTACAGACTTTTTCCAGGGCTTTATATGGATTAACCTCACAACAGTCTCTCCCCTACAGACTTTTTCCAGGGCTTTATATGGATTTACCTCACAACAGTCTCTCCCCTACAGACTTTTTCCAGGGCTTTATATGGATTTACCTCACAACAGTCTCTCCCCTACAGACTTTTTCCAGGGCTTTATATGGATTAACCTCACAACAGTCTCTCCCCTACAGACTTTTTCCAGGGCTTTATATGGATTTACCTCACAACAGTCTCTCCCCTACAGACTTTTCCCAGGGCTTTATATGGATTAACCTCACAACAGTCTCTCCCCTACAGGCTTTTTCCAGGGCTTTATATGGATTAACCTCACAACAGTCTCTCCCCTACAGGCTTTTTCCAGGGCTTTATATGGATTAACCTCACAACAGTCTCTCCCCTACAGGCTTTTTCCAGGGCTTTATATGGATTAACCTCACAACAGTCTCTCCCCTACAGGCTTTTTCCAGGGCTTTATATGGATTAACCTCACAACAGTCTCTCCCCTACAGGCTTTTTCCAGGGCTTTATATGGATTTACCTCACAACAGTCTCTCCCCTACAGGCTTTTTCCAGGGCTTTATATGGATTTACCTCACAACAGTCTCTCCCCTACAGGCTTTTTCCAGGGCTTTATATGGATTTACCTCACAACAGTCTCTCCCCTACAGGCTTTTTCCAGGGCTTTATATGGATTAACCTCACAACAGTCTTTCCCCTACAGACCTTTTTCCAGTTACCTACATTTTGAAGTCTTATGCATTAGTTTTACTAACTTCTGCAGACTTTCTAGTAATTTTATATTTTGGCCTTTGGCACAAACTTGTTTCTCAAAGAGGTCATTTCTTATTTCAAAATTTACATTTTTAAGATATATTTTCATATAACGTAATGAGATTTAAGAGCAGAGTCAAAAAATTAGTTCTAAATCTTCCACAAAACACTAGTAAACCAAATCTAACAGCATATTAAAAGGATTATTCACTGTGACCAAGTGGTAATTATTCCTGGAATGCAAGCGTTCTTCAACGTAAGAAAACCAATCAATGTAATACACCACATTAACAGAACAAAGGAAAAAGCTCACATGATCATCTCAAGTGACACAGAACAGGCATCTGACAAACTCCAACACCCTTTCATGATAACAGACCCAGAAAACCAAGAATAGAAAGAAACTTCCTCCATATGATAAAAGGTATTTATGAAAAACACACAGCTAATATACTCAATGGTGAAAAACTCAAAGTTTTCCCCAAGATTAAGAACAAAATAGGGATGCCTGCTTTCTACACCTCTATTCAACATTGTCCTGAAAGTTTTAGTCTGAGTAACCAAACAAGAAAAAGAAATAAAAGGCATCCAAATTGGAAAGGAAGAAGGAAAACCATTTCTGTGTTCAGATGACACAATCCTCAATATAAAACATCCACAAAAAGCTAGATGGCTAATAAATAAATTCTGCCAAGTTGCAGGGTACAAGAACAACACACAAAAATTAGTTATGTTTCTATACACCAGCAATGAATACTTTGAAAAGGAAATTAAGAAAATGATTCCATTCACAATAGCATCTAAAAGAATTAAATACCTAGGAATAAATTTAAACGTAAAGGTAAAAGACTTGCTTGCTGAAAACTACAAAACATTGCTGAAGAAATTAAAGAAAACACAAGTAAATGGAAGACATTGTGTGTTCATGAATTGGGAGGCTTAACATGTAAGACGTCCACACTACCTAAAGTGATCTATAAATTCAGTGCAATCCCTATCAAAACTGCAACGGTCTTTCTTGCAGAAATGAAAAAGATGATCCTCAAATTCGCATAGAATTGCAAGGGCCCCAAAATCGCAAAATATATATATATATATATATATATATATATATATATATATATACACTTTTTTTTTTTTGAGACAGACTCTCGCACTGTCACCTGGGCTAGAGTGCAATGGCGCGATCTCGGCTCACTGCAACCTCCGCCTCCCAGATTCATGCAATTCTCCTGCCTCAGCCTCCCGAGTAGCTGGGATTACAGGTGCACAGCACCACACCCAGCTAATTTTTTGTATTTTTAGTAGAGACGGGGTTTCACTCTGTTGGCCAGGCTGGTCTCAAACTCCTGACCTCATGATCCACCCGCCTCAGCCTCCCAAAGTGCTGGGATTACAAGCATGAGACACCACACCCGGTCCCCAAAAAATTTTTTTTGAAAAAAAAAAAAAAAAAAAGGAAAATTCAAGTTGGAATACTCAGACTTCCTGATTTCAAAACTTATTACAAAGCTACAGTAATCGGCCGGGCGGGGTGGCTCACGCCTGTAATCCCAGCACTTTGGGAGGCTGAGGCGGGTGGATCATGAGGGTCAGGAGATCAAGACCATCCTGGCTAACACGGTGAAACCCCTTCTCTACTAAAACTAACACACACACACACACACACACACACACACACACACACACACAAATTAGCCAGGCATGGTGGCACATGCCTGTAGTCCCAGCTACTTGGGAGGCTGAGCCAGGAGAATCGCTTGAACCTGGGAGGCAGAATTTGCAGTGAGCCAAGATCGTGCCACTGCACTCCAGCCTGGCGACAGAGTGAGACTCCATCTCAAAAAAAAAAAAAAAAAAAAAAAAAAAAGCTACAGTAAACAATGTGGTACTGACAAAAGAAGAATTGACATTGAGGGTATAGAATTGAGGTCTGGAAACAAACCCAGGGTTCAAAGACCCTGGCTGAAAATGGGGAAAAAATAATTCATTCAACGAATGAATGCTGACACAACTGAATAACCACATACAGAAGAATGAAGTTAGACCCCTACCCCACACCACATACAAAAGTTAACTAAAAATGGATCAGCAACCTAAACACAAGACCTAAAACCATAAAATTCTTAGAAGAAAACATTGGGGTAAACCTTCATGCCTTTGCATGTGGCAATGGATTCTTAAATATGTCACTGAAAGCATGAGCAACAAAAGAAAATATAGATAAACTGAATAATAATAGATAATGGATCAAAAGATATATAGATATAATGAAAATTAAAACTACACTGAGATAATGGTTCAGACCTACCAGGATGGCCATAATAATAATGTAAAAAATATAAAAGAACAAGTGTTGGTGCGGATGTGGGGAAATTGCACCTGTGCACTTGCTGGTGGGAATGGAAATGGTGCAGCTGCTATGGAGCGAGTCTGGTGGTCTGTCAAAAAGTTACACAGAACTGTGACAGAATCTTGAAATTCCATTCTGAGGTATATCTGCAAGAGAAATGCAAATATACATACACACACAAAACTTGTAAACACATGTTCACAGCAGCACTATCCACAAAAGCCAAAAGAAAAAGTCCAAATGTCCATCAACAGATGAATGGACAACTGTGGTCTATCCACACAGCGGAGAGTTATACAGCCATGAAAAGATACGAAATACCGACACATGGTGCAACAGATGAGGTTCACAAACGTCGTGCTAAGTGAAAGAAACCAGACACACAACCCTATATATTGTGCGATTCCGTTGATATGAAATGTCCGGAATAGATAAATCCATAGAGACAGAAAGCAGATGAGTTGCCTGGGGCTGGGGAGGACGGAATGTGGACAAACAGCTTGATAGGTAAGGGGTTTTGACTTTGGAATGAGGAAAACGATCTGGAGCCTGAATGACAGGTAAGGGGTTTTGACTTCGGAATGAGGAAAACGATCTGGAGCCTGAATGACAGGTAAGGGGTTTTGACTTTGGAATGAGGAAAACGATCTGGAGCCTGAATGACAGGTAAGGGGTTTTGACTTCGGAATGAGGAAAATCATCTGGAGCCTGAATGGCAGGTAAGGGGTTTGGACTTTGGAATGAGGAAAACGATCTGGAGCCTGAATGGCAGGTAAGGGGTTTTGACTTTGGAATGAGGAAAACGATCTGAAGCCTGAATGACAGGTAAGGGGTTTTGACTTTGGAATGAGGAAAATCATCTGGAGCCTGAATGACAGGTAAGGGGTTTGACTTTGGAATAAGGAAAATGGTCTGGAGCTAGAAAGAGGTGGTGGTTGCCTAACATTGTGAATGTACTGACCGCCACTGAACTGTTTACTTTAAAATGGTTGATTTTACGTTATGTAAATTTCACTTTGCTAAATTCTTTTCAGAAAGTTAGTCCTAGTACCTTGTGGAAATTGTGCTAATTTTTTTTTCTCATTTGTTGGAACTGTTGCTCTCCTTGTATTTATTACTCCCACCCTAGCTGTAAACTTTCCCAAACAACCCCCTTCCCTATGCTTTTCTTTTTAAATACTGTCTTTTGGGGAGAAGGTATCTTTGTCTTGGAGGCATGAGTGGTCACTGTGATTCTCTGGGTTGCTGCCATGGAATGCTCCAGCCTCCAGACACATGAATATTCACTCCTATGCCCAATGTGGTCCTACAGACTGACTAAATGCTTGTTCCAGTGAGGTCTTCTTTAATCTTTCTCAACAATCCATAAAGAAAACTCAGGAACCCTTGAACTCAGAAGGGTTCACTGCCTAATAATTTGGGCACTTCTACAAAACACTTCTTTAAAATATTACATGATTGTTTTGCTAAAATCCTACATATTACAGTTGTAATTCCTATTTCTTGGTGATATCTTTGAGTATAAACAACTTGAAAATAATTTCATTGAATATTTTTCCCTAAGAAATTTGACAAAAAATTGGAACTCATTCTTTTTTCCTTACTTCTAGAAAAATCTCCATCTCTCTCATTTCAGAATCATAGAATGATAGCTAACATTTATTGAGCAGTTCCTGTGCTCCACACACTGCAAAGTACACTGCAAAGCTATTATCACTCAAGACTAAAGGTGATTAAGGTGAGGACCAGGGCCTTCCCCTCCCTCTCACTGGGAAAACCAAAAGTTGACCTGGGCCAGTGTGTGCACAGCCTGAATCCCAAACCACTGTAACACCACCACCCACACCAAATGTCCTTTGTCTCAGTCTATTATACCAAAAGTTAGGGATCAAGAGCTTTCAGAAACTCATTCCAATCCCCCGATGTCCCAGTGAATGCAGGGAAGTATGTCACTACCTGAAGGCAAGTGAGAACTTCAGGCAAAAGTTTCCACCAAACTATACCTCCTGCACTAGACCTTGAGGAGTGGGGTCATCACCACCAGCAGACACTGAAGAGGTGGGTGGTCTCCTCCAATGGACACTAGAGAGGTGGGTCATCCCCCTCCAGCAGACACCAGAGGGGTTGGTGGTCCCCTCCACTAGACACTAGAAGGGTTGGTAGTCCCCTCCATTGGACACTAGAGGTGGGTCATTCCCTCCACTAGACACTGGAGGGGAGGGTCATTTTTATTCTTGACAATCTCAGGAATGATGTTCAGGTGGCAAGCCCGGAAGGAGAGTCCCACAGGGCAGGCTCTGCCCATCTGCATAGCCACCAAAGGCAAATTTGTCTTAGAATAAGGCTGGGAAGGGAGGGAATCTGGGCTTTACCAGAGAGGAAGGACAGATTGCTGAGCACTACAGAAGCCGGGGAATGAAGCAACTGGCAGTGCTGCCCGGGTAAACGAGATCTGGCAAGAGACAGGGCATGGCGAAGTCGGCTCTGACCATCGTATGCAGACCCTCCCCAGGGCCGGAGAGGCTTTGGGCTGATGATGAAGGCAGGGTGACCCAGAAAGCCCTCTCTAGGTGAGGCGTACCAGAGTTGAGGGGCACAGGGTGGATGTGGGCGGGCACAGGGTGGATGTGGGCAGGCTCAGCTTCTCCAGGGGAGGCATATTCTTGTTACCTGGCTGACGTAACGACTCCAGTGCAGAACCCACGTCCAGGCTGTGTCAGCCTCAGAAAGGTAAGCAGTTTTAACATGTAAAAGAAATTCAAATTCACCACAAAGTATCTCTTTTGCACAATGTGATTTTCTGTCAGGGGAAATTTTGTAAGATCAATCAAAAAGAATTCAAAAGCTTTGTCTTTGAGAACCTGGGCCCAGGTGTGAACTGCGGCCCAGAAAAGTGTCCCAGATATCACAACGACATAGGCAGCTTTCAATTTAGGAACATTCTGTTAAAGGACAGTAACATAAGTGAAGAATGCAACTGTGTTTCCTTGTTAAAAGCTTGTGTACATCTCTTTTCAAGTTTGACTCTAGGGTACTCGGAGAGGTAGGTGAGGCACAGATGATTCCTGTAAACAATGAACAGACTGAAGCTCAGAGAGGCTGAGCTACTGGCCCGAAGGACAACAGCTCATGGAGGGTGGATGTGCTGGTTTCCAAGATTCCAGGCCTGTTCTTTGGACAAAAGATCGGGGTCTGGAGCCTGTTACCCACTTCACAGACACCTCCCCGAGAGCCCCCCATAAGGTAAAGGGAAATGTTGGGTGCCTTCTGCTTACCAGAGTCCAGATTCCCAGGCCCAGGACCAACACCTTCAGGATGGAACCTGCCACCTCTCAACCCCCTCCAGCCCCGCCAGCCACTCATCCCAGCCTACCCCTCTTCACTCTCCCCCTGCCCAGATTCCCAGGCCCAGAACCAACACTTTCAGGATGGAACCTGCCACCTCTCAACCCCCTCCAGCCCCGCCACCCACTCATCCCAGCCTACCCCTCTTCACTCTCCCCCTGCTCAGAAGCACGTTGGGGTCTCGGGTCAGACAAAGTCTGAGGCTCTGTCTTCAACAGCATGGTGGAAGAAGGGAGCCCCTCACCACACACGTGGCACCTGAGGTCTTGGCTGGACCCAACAGCACTGGCCTGTCCACAGGGAGCACCTGCCCTGCCAGGTGTGGGGCGACCCAGGTGGGGAACAGAACCGCTGCCGCAGGGCACAGAAGCACTGATGCTGTATCAGCCAGGAGAGGCACCAAAATTTCAGGGCCCTTGAGGGGAGAAGGAGAACCAGGACCTTGAGTTTGGCTCAAACCTAGCTTTGCTGCTTCTTGGCAGTGAGATGCTGGGCAGGTGTTGAAGCCTCAATTTCCACTATCTATAGAATGAGTAGCCCCACCTTGGAGGTCTGAGGTGAGAGTTAGGAGGCTCTAGATGGCCTGACTTTTGTTCAAACGCAAAGAGAGGACAAACTCATTCTGTTTGGAAGGAGGGAGGCAGTGGTGTCTGAGCTAGACTCAGATGATTTCCCACAAAAATCTCTGAGATCTGGGGATCTGGGGCCTCCTGTGTTTGGCTGGATGATACAACCTGTGAATACAGGTCTCAGGGAGCCTTGGGGCAAATTACTTCCTCAGCCCAGCATTTCTGGGCTACTTTACAAGTAACGAAGAATTCCTTTGAGACCACCGGCCAGCTTGAGAGCTAGCCAGTGCCACAGATCCCACAAAGGTGATTTCAGACTAGACCCACCCCCCAGAAAGGCCAGCAGCGCCCCTCTACCAGGATAAAAGATGAGAAGGCTCCGGCTAACACAGGGGACCTGACACCCTGGCCTACCGGCTGCCTGCGGGGTCAAGCCTGTGTGCTCCCAGCCCAGGCCACATCTGCATTTGCACACCGGATGCCGCACAGTGAAATAAAAACCTGGTATCTCCTCAGAAGCAGGAATATGAACCCACTTCTCGGTGGGGGGGTCACCAAACACTGCTTCCCAGTGGGTTGTGATCCCATAGGGAATGGAAATGCTGAATATATCACAGAATCTCGGAGACGGCGGCCTCCTCAAGATCTCCGAAGTTCCTTCTGACCCAGAGAGCCTGGAATTTTGTGAATTCGAGGCAGGCTCAGGGAAATTGAAAGCTAAAACTCACCTTTGTCCACATTACATGAAGATTTACATTAAATCTCTTCGGGAAGCTGAGAAACCTACCTTCCCAGGAATCTTGATTCAGGACCCACCCAGCTGCCTAAGGCTCAGTCAAAAGTATCAATTATGCACCGTTTCAATGACATTTAACTTAATTTTTAAATTATATGTTTCAATTCTTAATTAGACACCTAGACGTACCAACTAAACTTTTTAGGCAAAAGTGCTGTTGGGTAACAGGAGTAGAGTGTAATTACCTCACCTCAACCACTCTTTAGTTTCACACGAAACAGGGAAAGGCAAACCCAATATACTTTTTGCAACTCACATGAAAAACCTGAAAACAGCTTTATCACTCTTTCACCAAAGCTGAAATAACTGTCTTGTTTTACTAGCAAATGTTTCTTACTCAAATCAACTAGCACTCCAACACAAAAGTCAATCTTGGTATTTTTAAGTAAAAATTCTCTTTGTTCCGGGCCACCACAGATCACTGTTCTGTCCCACCGGTTTGAGCTGAAGAGTAACTTAGCAACTCTCAGTTTTGGCGATGAGATTTCAGACTCCCCTCCCCTGGCTCCCCTTCAGGCACCGAGAGGGCAAATCTGTCCAGAAAGCGTTATTTCTTCTCCCGAGTATTCACGAGGTTACAAGGAAAAGGGTGCCTGAAGAAGCTCCCTCCCGTTCCCGCAGCAGCCGCCGGCAGGTCCCAGGACCCACGCCAGGACCCCCAGCACGTCTGGGTACCCGCGCCCCCTCCCACCCCAGTCCCCGCGCCCGCCCGCCTTGATGCTCGCGCCTTCACCCCGCCCCTACCCCCGCGCCCCCACCCGCCCCTACCCCGGCGCCCCCACCCGCCCCTACTCCCGCGTCCGCTCGCGCCCCCACCCCACCCCTACCCCCGCGCCCCCACCCGCCCCTACTCCGGCGCCCCCCCCCACCCCGCCCCTACCCCCGCGCCCCCACCCGCCCCTACTCCCGCGTCCGCTCGCGCCCCCACCCGCCGCAGTCCCCGTGCCCCCTCTTACCCGGGCGCCTGGGCCGCCCCCGCCGTCTGCTGTGCTGAAACCCATGCTGGACCCTGGTCTCCCGAACTCCGACGCTTTCCCCGAACTCTGCCTGGTCCCGCTGTGCACTGGGCCGAGGCCGCCTTCGCCGCGCGCGTTCCCGGGGCCCCGCCCGATCCGGGCGAGAGAGGGGCGGGGCCGGGGTCTCCCCTAGGAGGCTCCGAGGGTCCGGCCGGGGCGGGGCGTCTCCCCTGGACCCGGCTGCGCAGCTCCCGCCTAGCCCCGGACGCGCCCACCTGGGCGGCTCCTCCCCGAGCGCGGGCGGCAGTGGCTTCTGCTTTTGTTCTCTCGGAGCCCGGAGCTCGGGGACCTGCCATTTTGTGGATGCCACGTTGCACCCGGACGGGCCCCTGGTTTCCATAACGTAGAGGCACAAATCTGAATGCTCCAGGGCAGAGGATCTGACCCCTGAGTTCTGCCAGTGTACCCGGACGGGACCCCGATTTCCCCTGGTCTAGGCGGACCAGCTCCAGATTTCTGCAGGTGTGGACGGCCCAGGCCCTCTCCTCCGTCCAGGGGCCGCTGTGGGAACTACGTGCCACCCCGCGCCTGGCTTGGATAATGAAGGGCTTCAGCGAGGGCCCCAAATTCCATCACCCTCCCCCCCCACAACTCAGGGTGCCTCGGGGTGTCTGGTGCTCTGGAACATGCTTTCCCCAAAGGTGCAATTTTAATGCCTTGATCTACAAAGAGCCTCCCAAAACAAAGTCCCTCTCCCGCCCGTTAGTCCAGGGTGCTCTGGGCACCAGCTTCCTGCTGGGAATTCAGCTAGGGAGTGTCTCATAAGGTCCACTCCGTCCAGGAGGGCCTCACAGGGACCCCACCTCAACCTGTCCCCTCAACTTGTCCCTCACCCCTACCCTGGCACCATCCCAAAAACTGCGGCACAGATGTGCTCATTGACAGATAATGCTCCGTTTTGTCACAGGTTACAGAGTGGATGAAGCTCAGGGACACAGCTGGGAGCCTCCCTCCTATGCAGCTCAGGGACACAGCTGGGAGCCTCCCTCCTATGCAGCAGGCAGTCAGTCTCCCTGGGATCTCCGTCGAGGCCTCCTTGAGTCTCTGTCTACTCCTTCCTAGAATCCCTGTCCACACCTCCCTGGGATCCCCTCGAGGCCTCCCTCCCTTGAGTTTCTGTCTACTCCTCCCTGGAATCCCTGGCTGCGCCCCGCCTTGATTCTCCATCTACACCTGTGTTCTCACTGTTCCCTGTCCTGCTTACTTGCTCTGCTTCCTAGAACCTCCAGCCCCATCCCTGAGCCCAGGCAGGGAGCTGACCTGTTCCTGCCCTCTGTGCTGGGTATCTGGGTGTCCCTCTGTGCTGGCCCCTACCTGAGGCCCCCAACACCCCTGCCACACCCTCCTCCCAGCCCGTCCTCGTGACAGTACTGCCCACGGTGCTGTCCAGGATGGGAGCCACCTTTCTAAGCCTGTGTGGCCCCACAGCTCCTGCCAGAGCAGGACCCAAGAATGCTGGCATGCCTCCAGAATAAACGGCTTCATCCCTGTTCAGCACCTCCAGGACGGTCAGCAGTGACCCAGTGGCGCCTGGTCAGGGTGCAGCCCGGAATCTCACTCTTACTGGAGACTTTGGGGCCCGTGGTAGGAGCTCACCCCTGCCACACCTCCACTATACAGAAAGAAAGTGGGACCGTGTGGGGCTTTCTCAGCCCAGGAGTCCTTTGTGAGCTTCTCCAGCCCGTTTCTACAGATCTGGTTCTTTCTTTGCCATGGATCCATGGAATTAGGGATGTTTTCTAGGGAGTTTTTCCAAAACATGGACTATTAACATAGCTTGGTTTATTCAAAAAGTACTTACTGATCAACTACTACTGGTAGTCACAGCACAGCCCCCATCTCTGGGAAGCTGACATTCCAGTGGAGGGAAATAAACCAGTGGACAGAACACAAATCCGGTCAAGGAAGGCCTCTCTGATGGGGCAGGCTGAGCAGACACTGAGAGGAAGCTACCTGGGACTTGAAGGCAAAGGAGCCACCTGTGCAAAGGCCCTATGGGGTGGGGGGGGGGCAGATCTGGTGAGCTCACAAACACAGCGAAAGTGGGGACACTCAGAGGGGATGGAGTTAGAAAGGAAGCGACCTGTTCCGACTTACATTTCAGAGAGCTCAGCAGGCGGAGGCAGGAGATCAGGAAGTGGATGCCTGATCTTGGTGAAAGTGATGAGGTTGGGTTCCAGGGGAGTGACAGAGGTCATGGGAAATGGTCAAAGCAGGACCTGTAAAGGCAGAGGGGGCAGGACTGCTGAAAAGCTGGCTGCGGAGACAGAACCCAAAGAGCACAGAGGCAGACACTGAATTAGTGACCCTGCCACCGCCCCCCCCCCCCGGGGTGTGCCCTCCAGTGTGCAGAAGCTGGAGGCCATAATGCCACGCTCCGGGATCCCTTGCAGCTGGTGTGCAGATGTGCCCGGTTTTGCCAGGAGATGCACCACATGAGATGTGGAAGGAACACAGGAATCGGGCTGGACACAGCAGATGGATGTTGAGGTGTTTGGTTCTTCTGGGTCCCGTCCCTGGCATTGTTGGTGCTGAGCAGCAGGGGACGGGGAGGGGGGTTTCCCTAACACAGTCCTACAGCGTGGCTGGGTGTTTCTCCAGGGTTGTGGTTGTTTCTCGCTGTTCTGGTTTCCTGACTCTCCCATGGATGCTATGATCTACCCAATGGCTTCACACATATCCTCACTGCTTAAATTAGCTATAGCGGATTCTGCTGTCTGCAGTCACGAGTCAGCACCAACACAGCAATTCAAGGATTTGGGGCCTGACCAGCAGGTGGAAGGTGTTTCCACTGACTGAGATGGGAGAGACTGGAGAAGCATGTCTGGGGGGAAATGCCATATTAAGATTGAGATGCCTATTGAACATACTGAGTGGACTGACTGCTGTATGAGTTTGGTGCTTGGAGTAGCGGTTGGGTTAGAGATGTGGTTCTAGAACCATCTACCACACAGTTGTGTCTAGACAGGTGGAACTAAGTGTGTGGACAGAGGGGAGGAGGAACCAGGACTGGGCCAGGAAATGTGTCCATGCTTAGAAGTCACAAGAGTAGATAGATCTCTTTCACAAACTCTTTTTAAAAACTGGAATGGAGGGACCGCTTCCTAACATATGGTAGGAGGCCAGCCCTTCTCAGATACCAAAGCCAGATGAAGACATTGTGAGTAAAGAAAAACTACACACCAATATCCCTTATGACTACAGATGCAAAAAGCCTCAAAAGAAAGTCAGGGAATAGTATGTTAAAAGGACTATTCACCATGACCGAGTGGGATTTATCCCAAGAACACAGGGGTGGTTCAATATAAGAAAATCAGTCAATGTCGTGCACTGCAGTAGCAGCACGAAGGGAGAAAACCCACACGATCATCTCAATCGATGCAGAAAGGGCTTCTGAAAATGCAATACCCTTTCAGAAAAAAAGTTCTTGGAAAACAAGGATGGGAGAAAATTCCTCAAGTAATACAAAGTATTTATGAAAAACCCACAGCTAACATCATACTCAATGGCAAGACTGAACATTTTCCCCAAGATCAGGAAGAAGACAAGTGCCCACTGCTGCCATGTCTAGTCAACACTCTGCTGCAAGTTCCAGCGACAGCAACAGAGACAACCAACAAAAAATAAATAAATGAAAGACTTTCAAATTGAAAAGGATGAGGTAAAACTCTATTCACAGGTAACATGTTCCTATATAGAGAAAATTCCAAAGAATACACAAAAAGCTACTAGAGCTAATACAAAAATTCAACAGTTACAGGGTACAAGATTAACATGTGAAAATCGGTATTTGTATTTCTATACAACAGCAATGAACAATATGAAAAGGAAATTAAGAAAGCAATTCTATTTACAATAGCATCCAAAAGAATTAAATACCTAGAAATAAGTTTAACCAAGGAAGTGAAAGATTTGTATGCTAAAAACTACAAAATATTGAGGAAGAAGTTCAAGAAACAAATATATGGAAAGCCAATGTCATGTTCATAGATAGAAAGACAACATTGCTAGGACGTAAATACTCATCAAAATGATCTACAGATTCAATGCAATCTCTGTCAACATTGCAATGGCTTTTTTTTTTGCAGAAATGAAAAAGCAGGTCCCCAAATTCACGTGGAATTGCAAGGGGCCCCAAATAGCAAAAACAATCTTGGAAAAAGAATAACAAAATTAGAAGACTCATACATACTTCCTGAATTTGAAATGTACCCCAAAGCTACAGTAATTAAAACAGTACAGTACTACCATCAGGACAGACCAACAGAATAGAAAAGAGAGCCTGGAAATAAATGCTTAACATAGACAGTCAAATGATTTTTGGCAAGGGTGCCAAGAACATTCACTGTGTAAAGGACAGTCTTTTCATCAAATGGCACTGGGAAAACTGGATATCCATATGCAGAAGAATGAAGTTAAAGCTCACCTTACACCTGTAAAAAATTAACTCAAAATGAATCAAAGACCTAAACTTAAGAGCTAAAACTATAAAACTCTCAAGGAAAACACTGAAGTAAATCTTCATGGCATTGGATTTGGCAACAATTTCATGGATATTAAAGCAAAAGCATTGGAAATGAAGTTAGATAATGAGTTTCATCAAAATAAGACCTTTTTTTACATTGAAGCACACTCTCAAGAAAGCAAAAAGACAATCTGCCAAGTGGAGAAAATATCTGCAAATCACATATCTGATAAGGGCCTAATTTCCAGAATATATGAAGAACTAAAACTCAACAACAAAACAACCCAATTTAAAAATGGGCAAGTAAGTTGAATAGACATTTCTGCAAAGAAGATAGACAAATAAGCACATGAAATGATGCTCAACATTAGTTATTACAGAACTACAAATCAAAACCATAATGATACTACTTCATGCCTGCTAGAATGGCTCTAGTAATATACTTTTTTCATGCTAAGTGAGTGTTGGCTAGGATGTGGAGAAGTTGGTACCCACAGGTTAGGGGGAATGTAAGATTGTGTAGCCACTGCAGAAAAGTCTGGTGGTGCCTCAAAGAGTGAAACATAGATGTACCATAGGACCCAGGCATTCCACTCCTAGTTGGCAGATCCAAAAGAACTGAAAGTAGGGACTTGAACAGATATCTGTACACCAACATTCATGGCATTAATCACTACCGCCAAAAGATAGAAACAAACCAAGTGTCCATGCAGACATGAAAGGACCGATACTGTATGATCCCACTTCTATAAGGGAACTTGAACAGGCAGATTCATAAGGAGAAAATGTAGACATTACCACAGCCTGGGCAAGAGAGAAATGGGGAGTTCTCACCCGGGTACAGAGTTGATGTCTGGGATAGGGAAAGTGTTGGGTATAGATAGTGACGATAGTTATACAAATTGTGAACATATTTAAATGCCACTAGAAGCTACACTCAACAAATGGTTAGAATTGTAATTATTGCATATACTCTACCACAATACAAAATAATAGCAGTACTATAACCACTCAATCATGAATTATAACTGATTATAAAAAATAATGTGTTATGACAGATTTCTAGATAAAAACTTTTGGTTGCAAAAGTCCAAAATATGGATGAACCAACAAAGGCTGTTGCAAAGGAGCAGCCAGTGAGGTAGGAAGAAGGGTTTCATGTCCCAGGTCCAAGGAAGAAAGTGTTTTAAAAGGGGGAAAATGACAAATCTTGGCTAAATGCTATTGGTCCATCAAGATGGGAACTGAGAACTGATCATTAGATTTAGCAACAGATAGATCACTGGTGACCTCAGAGCAGCATCCACAGAGTGGTGGGGACAGCGGCTCAATGTGAAGGGGACAGAGTCAATCAGAAAGGTGAGGCGAGAAGGGGATGGAGGGGGGGGAGGAGCAGGGAGGGGAGAGCGAGGGGGAGAGAGTGTGGGGGAGAGAGGGGGGATCATGGGAGGGGGGCGAGAGGGGGAGGGGGAGGCAAGTGGGGAGACGGGCAGACAGAGAAAGACAGGAAGAGATTTTCTACAAAGGGAGTAAACGTTGCAACATCTGGAGAAGGAAGTGGGGGTATCAAACGCCCCCTTCTTGAGCCATCAGGGGTGGAAAGTCTGTTTGTCCTATACTGAGGAATTGTTAGTTATACTTTTCTTGAATATGTGTGGACTAGATCTTTTAAAATTTTTAATTTCATGAAAAAGAGCAAAAACGTCTTTCTGAGTTTGCATAAACATTCTGGCAGACCGGCTCTTGCAGCACTGGTCCATCCCAGGATGCTGTGGCCATCCACAGGATGCCTGAGCTCAGAGACCTCCACGCTCCCGTGGAGTCAGCACAGCCTTGGAAATGGCTGTGTGTTGAGCCCTCACATTGCACGTGTGGCACCTGTCCCGGCCTGGCCCTCAGTGACAGATGGCAGCACCCTCACAGACACTGCAGGTGTGCTCGCCAGCATCAGCCGTGGAAGAAAAAGGAGTGTTTCAGGGCCAGCCTGTTTTTCTCTGGGGACAAACAGAACCAGGGCCCCAGGGTGTGGACACTGCAGTGTCTTGAATGCCACTGCATCCATAACCCAGGGACGGTGGTTGGAGCAGGAGGTGTGTGTGAGTGTGAGAGGCGGGGCCAGGCCCCAATGCCTCTCCTCCAGCCACAGGCCTCCCCACATGCCAGGCACACCTCAGACACAGAACTTCACCCACAGTTCCCTCTGCCCCACACACACTCCCCGATCTCTGCCTGGCCCGACCCCTCCCTCCTGCGTATGTCTGCTCGCTGCCTCTCATCGAGGCTTCCCTGACCACCCGGCCTCTCATCGAGCCTTCCCTGACCACCCTGCCTCCCATCGAGGCTTCCCCGACCACCCTGCCTCCCATCGAGGCTTCCCCGACCACCCGGCCTCTCATCGAGCCTTCCCTGACCACCCGGCCTCTCATCAAGGCTTCCCCGACCACCCGGCCTCTCATCGAGGCTTCCCCGACCACCCGGCCTCTCATCGAGGCTTCCCCGACCACCCGGCCTCTCATCGAGGCTTCCCCGACCACCCGGCCTCCCATCAAGGCTTCCCCGACCACCCGGCCTCTCATCGAGCCTTCCCTGACCACCCTGCCTCCCATCGAGGCTTCCCCGACCACCCTGCCTCCCATCGAGGCTTCCCCGACCACCCGGCCTCCCATCGAGGCTTCCCCGACCACCCGGCCTCTCATCGAGCCTTCCCTGACCACCCTGCCTCCCATCGAGGCTTCCCCGACCACCCTGCCTCCCATCGAGGCTTCCCCGACCACCCGGCCTCTCATCGAGCCTTCCCCGACCACCCGGCCTCTCATCAAGGCTTCCCCGACCACCCGGCCTCTCATCGAGGCTTCCCCGACCACCCGGCCTCCCATCAAGGCTTCCCCGACCACCCGGCCTCTCATCGAGCCTTCCCTGACCACCCTGCCTCCCATCGAGGCTTCCCCGACCACCCTGCCTCCCATCGAGGCTTCCCCGACCACCCTGCCTCCCATCGAGGCTTCCCCGACCACCCTGCCTCCCATCGAGGCTTCCCCGACCACCCTGCCTCTCATCGAGCCTTCCCTGACCACCCGGCCTCTCATCGAGGCTTCCCCGACCACCCGGCCTCTCATCGAGGCTTCCCCGACCACCCGGCCTCTCATCGAGCCTTCCCCGACCACCCGGCCTCCCATCGAGGCTTCCCCGACCACCCTGCCTCCCATCGAGGCTTCCCCGACCACCCTGCCTCTCATCGAGCCTTCCCTGACCACCCGGCCTCTCATCGAGGCTTCCCCGACCACCCGGCCTCTCATCGAGGCTTCCCTGACCACCCGGCCTCTCATCGAGGCTTCCCCGACCACCCGGCCTCCCATCGAGGCTTCCCCGACCACCCTGCCTCCCATCGAGGCTTCCCCGACCACCCGGCCTCCCATCGAGGCTTCCCCGACCACCCGGCCTCTCATCGAGCCTTCCCCGACCACCCGGCCTCTCATCAAGGCTTCCCCGACCACCCGGCCTCTCATCGAGGCTTCCCCGACCACCCGGCCTCCCATCAAGGCTTCCCCGACCACCCGGCCTCTCATCGAGCCTTCCCTGACCACCCTGCCTCCCATCGAGGCTTCCCCGACCACCCTGCCTCCCATCGAGGCTTCCCCGACCACCCTGCCTCCCATCGAGGCTTCCCCGACCACCCTGCCTCCCATCGAGGCTTCCCCGACCACCCGGCCTCCCATCGAGGCTTCCCTGACCACCCGGCCTCTCATCGAGGCTTCCCCGACCACCCGGCCTCCCATCGAGGCTTCCCCGACCACCCTGCCTCCCATCGAGCCTTCCCTGACCACCCGGCCTCTCATCGAGGCTTCCCCGACCACCCGGCCTCCCATCGAGGCTTCCCCGACCACCCTGCCTCCCATCGAGGCTTCCCCGACCACCCGGCCTCTCATCGAGGCTTCCCCGACCACCCGGCCTCTCATCGAGCCTTCCCTGACCACCCGGCCTCTCATCAAGGCTTCCCCGACCACCCGGCCTCCCATCGAGGCTTCCCCGACCACCCGGCCTCTCATCGAGCCTTCCCTGACCACCCGGCCTCTCATCAAGGCTTCCCCGACCACCCGGCCTCTCATCGAGGCTTCCCCGACCACCCGGCCTCTCATCGAGCCTTCCCCGACCACCCTGCCTCCCATCGAGCCTTCCCCGACCACCCGGCCTCCCATCGAGGCTTCCCCGACCACCCGGCCTCTCATCGAGGCTTCCCCGACCACCCGGCCTCTCATCGAGGCTTCCCTGACCACCCGGCCTCTCATCGAGCCTTCCCTGACCACCCGGCCTCTCATCGAGCCTTCCCCGACCACCCAGCCTTTCATCGAAGCTTCCCCGACCACCCTGCCTCTCATCGAGCCTTCCCCGACCACCCGGCCTCTCATCGAGGCTTCCCCGACCACCCGGCCTCTCATCGAGGCTTCCCCAACCACCTGGCCTCTCATGGAGGCTTCCCTGACCACCCTCCCTCTCATCAAGGCTTCCCTGACTACCTGGCCTCTCATCAAGGCTTCCCTGACCACCCTCCCTCTGATCGAGGCTTCCCTGACCACCCGGCCTCTCAACGAGGCTTCCCAGTAACATACCCTGTGAATCACTTATGCTGATACCCAGTTTATAGTTTCATGTTTAGCATCTCTCTCTCCCACTGGAATATTAGCCCCTAGAATGGTGCCCAGCACACAATGGACACCCAATAAAGATTTGTTGAATGAATGAATATATGATCTTAAAAAGTCTCCTGGTTCCAGAAATACTCATGAATTCATACAGTATTAGTTGCACACGGTTACTGAGAGACACTGTGCATTACTAAATAATTCATGTAACGCTTAAGAATGACACTTAGTATTCGGCAAATCCCCTCCAGCAACACCGGAGAGGGGAACTCACATGCAACGCACAAGGACCCTCCTTAACCTGGGCGAGGACCGGATCACTGACCGGCTTGTGCGAGGCAGCTCAAAGCCTCACTAAAGACAGACAGGAAAAGAGCCGCATCTGCTGAAGTTCTGCTTCCAGGCTTAACATGTTTTTCCTCAAACCATTGGCATTTCCAATTTAAACAAACATGAAAACTGCAAGAGCACTAAGATAAAAAAAAATTAAACATGTTAAAATAAAAGTTTCTAAGGTGAATTTCCCACCTCTTCTGAGATACACGTAGGAACAAACCCCTTGATCACTAGCCCCATAATCATGAAGCACGTGAATTGAAGATTTTTCCTCAGGCAAAAACAGTTAAAACTAGACAGTGCCAGCAAAAATCTACCTGTTCTTATCCTGCAGACCCATCACCCCTCCAGGGAGCTCAGTGGGAGCCTGGGGCACAGTCTGCTCATATTCATTTCATTATGCACAGGGTTGCAGCCCAGCACAAAGCAAGACGCAGACCCGCACAGGGAGGCAAACATTCCACCCTGCCCTGGAATGTGAGTTATTTCGGGGCAGCCTCTCTGCGGCTCCACACATCAAGCCGGCCAGTGACAGACGGGGAGGGTCAGACACTGCAGCGCACAACAACCCTGCACTCAGCCTGGCAGATGCTGTGTGGTTTGGGCTTCAACACACCTGAAAGACTCAAAAACCAGAAAGAGGCCCCGTAAGCCATCTCTCACTTCCACACACGTTTCCTCGCCATCCTAAAGTCCAAGCCACCAGCCCTGCCTTCAGTGGAGTGCAAGGGAAAGACGCACTGGATGGACATGAATGAAGGGCCATGCTCCCCGTTCTGCAGGTCAAGGAACTGGGAGACCAGCCTCACCCTGGGCACTGGCTGTTCCCTCTTGCCCCATCCAGCTCCGGCTCCCTGCAGAACTCAGCCAGAGCCTTCCCCAGGAAGCCTCCCCTGGGCTCTGTGACCAGGCACCTGCTGCAACAGGCTGTGGGTGGGGAGCACTTGTCACGGTGTAAGTGCATGTGAATACTGTGGTTGTCTGGGTAGCATCTGGCTTCTCCACTAGGGCTTAAGCTCCGGAGGGCAGGACGCTGCTGTGTCCGCAGTGCTGACAGTGCAGTCAGTGGAGGTGCAAACAGAGCTGCTTCACGGTGACCCATGACCAACACAGTGTGCAGCTGCGCTCAGCGGGGAAGCCAGTTGACCATCTTCTGAGAGAGCGAGCCATGGTCCAAGGGACCGGCTGGGGGTTAACGAGGTAAAAGGAGGCCCTGGTTGGGAAAGCTGCAGTGCCACGTCCCAGGTGGACAGCCAGCTGTGGTCAGCAGTGGCCCACGAAGCCCAGAATGAGGGGTAGGGGCTGCCCTACGTGTTACCCTGGTGCGGCCGCGGATGCAGGCCTGGGCACCTGCCACATTTGTTCTCGCATCTGTGCAGCTGGGCATGACCAGGTTTTTCCAGGAAGATGGGCTTGGCCAAGAGCAGAAAGGGGGGATAGGAAGGCATCTGAGAAGTGGGATGCAAGAAAGGGAGGCTGGAGGCGGGAGGTGCTAAGTCCTGAAAGAAAACAGAGTGGATGTGTAGGTCTCCGGGGGAAGAGCATGCCAACACCAAGGATCTGTGGGGTCTTCAGCACTCACCAAGACCCAGTGCCCCTCCTCCCTGGGCACACATATCAGTGGGAGCATGTGACAGGGAAAGATTGGACATGACATAAAACAAGGTCCCTGGAGAATACTGGGAACCTGCAGCTGCCTTCACACAGTGACAGAAACTTCACTGCAACACACTGGAGATGGGAGTCGGATACACAGGACACAGTGCCCCTCCTCCCTGGGCACACATATCAGTGGGAGCATGTGACAGGGAAAGATTGGACATGACATAAAACAAGGTCCCTGGAGAATACTGGGAACCTGCAGCTGCCTTCACACAGTGACAGAAACTTCACTGCAACACACTGGAGATGGGAGTCGGATACACAGGACACAGGGGCCCTCCTTGGGACCCATGAGCTGAGAACCCAGGAAAGGAATAGAAAGTAAAGCGTCCTGTATGTTCTTCCACAAGAACAAAACGGTTGTTAGTGGATTTGGGATGCCTCTACAGAGGTTCCCTAGTGGGCAAAGGTGGTGGGAGGCGAAAAATGGAGGAAGCAAAATGAGGCAAATGATGGGGAGGAAAGATGGATGAGGAATGGGGACAAGGGGCTGGATGGAGAAGAAAGGCAGACATATTGGAATTGACTTGCACATTGACCTGGCAGCTGTCACCACAGAAAGAAGCTCAATGGAGCATGAGGAGATCCACAGGACCCAGGTATGCCATCCCACAACACAGCCACGGTGTCATTTTGTTGTATGGACAAATGTGAATTATTTATCAAGTTGAAAAAAACCCTCCAGGAATAGAGCCACTGGGATGCAGGAGGTAAGGAAGGTCCACTGAATCCAGCGAATGTCCCCTCATACGCACTGCAGGAAGGGGTGAAAGCCCAGTGCCCCCCATATCCTATTAGAGAACGGGGTAAAAGCCCAGTGCCCCCCCATATCCTCTTAGAGAATGAGGTGATAGCCCAGTGTCCCCCATATCCTCTTAGAGAACGGGGTGAAAGCCCAGTGCCCCCCATATCCTCTTAGAGAATGGGGTGAAAGCCTAGTGCCCCCCATATCCTCTACTACAGGACGTGGTGGCCCAGTGTTCACTATTACAGGATGGGGTGGGGGAGCCCAGTGTTCACTTATTTTCTGCTGCAGGGGTCCAGGCTGTGGTGGGTCATGGGTGTTAGGGCCAGGATGGCACCCCCAGGTCACATCCTGTAGGGTTCTTCCTGGGCCGCCCCCGCGGATGTCTCCAGCTTTGTATAAGGAGCAGTACACCTGTCCTGTGTGCACAAAGCATCCAAGTCACCACTGGAATCAACCTAGCTCCAAGTACACAATCTGGACTGATTGGCCAGGGCAGCCCGTTCCCCCAAGAGTGTGGGTCTAGATAGAGAATCCAAAGCACCTCACTGAAAGTTTCTATCAGCCTCATCTTAAAAAGATAAACAGAGGCAAACATAAATCGGTTAAATTAACTTGAAAAATATATTTTATGTAACCCAACATAACGAAAATACTGTCATATCAACACCTGATCGATACATAAATTATTGAGCTATTTTGCACTTTCATGCTGATCTTGGAAGCGTTGTCTGTCCATTACACTCCCGGTACATCTCACCATAGAGCGGCCACACTGCTCAGCAGACTCATCCTAGATGCTGCAGGCTGACAGCTCGTCCACTGCCTTCAGCCCAGAAGGCAGGAGCCACAGAGGGGCCCTCAGAAGGATCTAGACACTGGGCAAAGAACACACACGGTGCACAGCATTACGGGAGAGATGGTCACCCGGAAACCAGGGCTCTCCCTCCCCTTAATCCTGCTCAGCACGGCTCCCTGCCCACCCCTGTGGGCACACCTGAGACTACAAGGGCCTGCTGTTCTCTTGTTGGGGTGGCAGGACCCCGGGTTTGCTGCTGGTCTTGGTCATAGGCTGCTGCATTTCCTTCTTTCTTTACTAACCCGAGGCCAGTCCATCCAGGTTTACCCTCACTCTTTTCACACCTAATCCACACTCTCCTCTCTGCCATAAACCATCTCATCTTCATTATTTGGATGGACCAATCTTTTGATACATTAGGCATCTCCTACACTGTCATCTTTTAAAAAATGGCATGTATTCAACACCTAACTGCAACCCCCTGTAACCTATTCCAGATATACTAGGAAAAATTGCACCCAAAACTTTAGAACTGCTTTAGAATATAAATTCAATCCCTAATTAATGCAAGTCATGGAGGAGAAGAGAGGTGCTGAGCAGGCAGACGTGAGGCAGGGCCTCCACACTGGCGTTTGAGTTGGGAACCCTGATTCCTAACAGGAACCTGCTGGGACTGGCATCACAGCTTTGCCACCTTTTGCCCTGTAAGAAATGGTGATCAGCAGAGGAGGGTCAAGGAGGGCAGCCTAAGGAGGGCAGCTAGGGGTAAAGCAGTCAGCGCAAGGCAGCCTGGAGATGGCATCTTTTCAGCCCCCACGCACCCCCTAGTGGGCAGCACCCAAGGCTGCTGGCTTCACACAAAGCCCCAAGCATTGGCCTCCTCCAGGGTGAACAGAGCCACCTCGAGGCAGCCCTAGATGCAGAGGGACAGGATGCCAATTCCCGGCACAGGTGAGGTGGGCCCACTCACAGAACCTGAGGGCAGCCAACAGGACAAGAGGAAATGGGTTGGCAGAGGAGGCTCCCAGGCCACCCGAGCTGCCGTGGAAGATGTGCCTGGAGTTTCCCGATCTGATGCGTCTTACACAAGCAAGACTCTGCCAAGAGACCAGAGACGCACAGATGTTCTCCTTCTTCCTCCCTTAGGTTGGAGGGGCTTCTCTGAGGCGCCCAGAGTTGGGGGGCCTGGCCGACGACACCAGGGACTCTGTCCCCACTTCAGGCTGCATAATGGTGGTGGTGGCAGGGAGGCACTTGGAGCCTCCCGGGGAGGGGCCTCCTGCCTCCATGGGGCCATGGGAGGCTTGGCAGTTTCCGCCTCTTTGCCTCTGGACAAAAGTGCCTGGACCCAGCCTGGAATCAGCCTTTAGAAAACCCATGACAGGGGTGAGAAACCCCTGTGGTGTTCTGGGAATGTCAGGCATTTTTAATAGAGCAATGGAAAGAAGTCCTGGGGCCAGCAGTCTCCACGCCCCCAGACACAGAGACACAGTGACGCAGATCCCAGCACCCCACAGCAACACAAATGAGACAGGAACGCTAATGTGTAATGCAAAACACCAGGTTAGATTTCTACTTTTGACCAAAAACATCTTTCTGGTCTACTGATAGTTAAATAGTAGACAAGCAAAGATTATTAACTAAAGTCACATTTAAGTACAGAACATTATTCTGCACTTTTGATGAACGGCTTTCAGATTTGGGAACTTCACGGCAAGGCAGCTGGGCAGCAACGGCGAGTTGTCCAGCCAGGCCTGCGGCCTCCCCTGCTGTCATGCGGCTGTGGGACGCAGGTCTCTCCTGTGGGAGGCCCAGGTGTGCCTCCTCCATGCCCTCTTCCCCTTTTCACCTGGACACAGAAGCCATGGCTCTGGGGAAGGCAGAGCCACAGGCGGGAAGAGACCTGGGTCTCTAAATGGCCCACAGGAAAGAGCCACCTGCAGGCCGCACACCTGCCACGACTGTGTGAACAAGAAATGAATAACTGTGTCATGCTATTACCTTAATTCATTGGCATTTTAATGCTGCTGAATCCACCACAAGTCACTCTAATGAACTTCCACCCTTCAGAGTAAAGCAAGTTATGCTGACACCTGTCTGTGTGCATCCTCCTTAAAGTTGGTCACTGGATTGCGGCCGCTTCCTTATGAACAAGAAGTTCCCTCAGTGTCTGTCCCCACTGGACAAAAAGGAAAAGTCCTCCTCGGACTCTCATCTTTCCTGCCTGCACAGCCTCATCCCAAGCCAGCCAGGGAGGTCTGCAGATGGCAGTTTCAAAGGGGCTGTTATTCTTTCCAGCTGTTACTGCTCCCCTGAGCCAGACCCAACCTGCTGGGGCCACACACTTCTGTCCGTAACACCAACAGCCTCTGACCCTCTCTCCTGCCCTCTTCCTCCCCTCTGCATCCCCAGGGGCTACGGTATGCTGGGACAGTGATGAATGGTCCTGGCCCTAATTAGATCAGCCCTGTCCCCTCTTGCCCAGGCACCTGCGGGAGGCTCTGCCAGTCAACTCACCCTGTAGCACATGAGGCTGACCTACCCAGCATCGTCATGCACATGGGGCATCCACTCCGGGTCACACAGGACGCTAAGCACAGGGGAACAGATACAGAAGGACGGTGTCGACTCTGCATCTGGGGCAACCCTCCACAGCTCCTCGCTACACCCCCAGTTAACTGGGGCTTTAAGACATTGCCCAGTGCATCCTCCATCCGCCACCTGTCCGTGTGGCGCCCTGCCACTTCTGGTGTAGGCTAATTCCCCCGCTGCCAGCAGGCTCTGCTGAGGAGACCTCCTGACCCCTGTCCCTCCTAGGCCTCCTCTCCCATGGAGTCTCCCAGCCAGCCCCCATCTCTTCCTCCTCCTCCTATTTCTGTCCCTAGCACAGAGGTTTCCACAGCAGCACTGGGTGCGATGCCTGCACCCAGGACAGAGGAGCTGCTCAATGGCTGAGTTCAGTGGGTCGCAGCCGATACTCGGAAAGCCAGCGGGGACCCCGTGTCTTCTGACTCACTGCCATGGCCGACGCCAGACCTCCTTACTCCCAGCAGCCCTCTGTGGTCAAACAGTAAGGGCAGGGCACCTTTTGGGGTGAGGACACCATTTAATCTCCACCCCTTTGATGAGAATGAAAACTCTTAAAAATACTGTTGAAGGCGGCATGGCAGAGAATGAAGCCTGGAGACTGCAGATGAGCGTGAGGGAGGTGAGCGGGTGGGCTCACACCCAGACCCGCCCCTGACCTCTACCTCTCAGCAGAGTTGGCTTTCAGGCTTTATCTTCAACTTCTGTTAATACTTAAGGTCCACATGCCGCAGCGTGAAACACACCTGTAATTATGGGAGGCCACCACTTACCTCAGGGTTTCTCCACTGGTTCTTGTTTGAATGAAAGCCACAAGAGCAGCAGAGAGCGTGGGTATGTTGTCAATGTTCCTGTGGGCTGAATACTCATTATACATCCCCGTGGTGCCAAATGAGGCCACACTGGGTTACAAAGACAGAGGAGCAAGCAAAGGTTGGAAATGAGAAAATCAAGCTTCAATGACAGAGGAGCAAGCAAAGGTTGGAAATGAGAAAATCAAGCTTCAATGACAGAGGAGCAAGCAAAGTCTGGAAATGAGAAAATCAAGATTCGCCTACGCTGCAGAAAGCCCTTCTATGGATAATCATGAGTTGGAAGCAGGATGTTCCAAGTGCCCTCTCTGGGCTCCTAGAGGTGCCTGCGTGCCACGTAACAGATGTCCTAACAGTGAAACTGATCCAGGTTTCAGGCTGACACCAGCTTAAATGGCCACCACGCCGCCGTCCACTGCCCAGAGAACACTTTGCCATGCCAGGGTTTCAGTCGTTTGCAAGCACTAGAGTTCTCCCTTGCCCAAAATGTGCTCCTTTTCTGGGGCCCTTTATCTCCGTGTGAGGTCTGGCCACCATCCACCCGGTGTTTTCACAGCAAACCCTGTGAGGTTTGTCTCTCTCCCGGGAGGGCGGAATGCAGGCTAAGAAGCCACAGAGAAGGCTCAGCATCAGGAAGATGCCTTCACCCTCTGCCGCCTCCCGCCTCGCCCTCTGCCGCCACTCAGCCGCCCCTCACCCCACGCTCTGCCGCCTCCCGCCTCGCCCTCTGCCGCCTCCCGCCTCGCCCTCTGCCGCCTCCCGCCTCGCCCTCTGCAGCCAGGGTTTTCTGCAGACTCCAGTGCACCTGAGGATGAGGTGGAAGAGGAGGAGGCCCTGTGCAGGTCTGAAGGAGGGGACAGATGGGCCCAGGACCCCCCAGTGCAGCAGGATGGTGTGACCACCACTGTCTACCAGTCCTGTCCCCAGATTTTGGGAAGATCAAATGAGGAAGCACTTGTGGAAGTTTTTACTACCAATATGGTGGTGCTAGTGTTGCCATGAAGGAAGAGGGCACGGGGGCGAGGGTAGAGGAAAAAGAACTCTTGTCTTGGGAACTGGAACACTGGGCAGGGCCATCCTCGGAAAACCTATGTGGTATTTTACAAATAGGTATTCTTACTATAAAAGGAGACAAATATGAGAGAGACTAAATCGTTAAAATGATGGGGAAGAAGATAAGAAAAGCAAAAAAGAAGGAAAAAAATGGGGCCAAAGGAAAAAGAAAGAAGAACAAACACCTGCCAGGAGACTTTCTGCAGTTTGAGGGCTGAGGCTGCAGCCGTGCAGTGGGACAGGTGGGATGGGAACTGGATCCGTTTCCCGACTCCCCAGGCCTGCCCTGCCCCCACAGACAGTGTGTGCACACACCCACAAACACAACACCTGTGCACACAAGCAAGACACAAACACGCGTGTACACACACACTCTGCCTTCTGCCTGGGGTGGCTTGGAACGTGGGGGGCAGACTCCACAAATCACCCTCCCGACCTCTGGATGCACATCCCGGGGCCCCTGCTTTGCATCTCTTCTCACCTTGTGTCCTGGAGGCGTCTTTTCTGCTCCCCGCAGTGGAAACATGGATTTTCCCTGATGACAGCCATAACGTTATCAAGGGCTCCCCCATGGAGGTCCTATGTTGAGCTCCTCTCCCGCATCGCCTCAGTTAACTCTCACAACAGCACTCAAGAGAACTGACTCTCAGCACCGCACGTTACACAGGTGAGGCCCAAGACGGAGCGGGTGGTGGAGCTGGGATCAGGTCAGGCCAAGCTGTTCCTGGGGCCTGTGCTCAGCCTCTCCCTGCAGCAGCTCTCCCCAGCCCAGCCTCCTCTCTTCACAGCTCCTCACCTTCCCACAGCTCCCCAGTTCCCCAGCAAAGACCCTGGCCTGGGAAAGCACTGAGGGAGATTGGGGCTGGAATGACCTAGAGACTTTGTCATCAATCCCTCTTCTGAGAGATGAGGACACTGAGGCCCCACTATGAGAATGCCTCACGGTCATCTGTCCGTGTGTGGAGGGAGCCCCGGTGTCCCCCACTCCACGTGTCACACTCCTTCTGAAATGCCGAGCTGCCTCAGGTCCAATCTCAGCAGCCCTTGGCACTACCCAGACACACTGGACCATAAAAGGACAAGCCTAAAGGGCCTCTGGCCCGGGGAAGACCCAGGGAAGGTAAGGAGTCCGTGACAAGCCATTTAGGAAGGGATGGGGAGGCTGGGGCCCTGACCCTGCAGGTCTCCTGGGGCAGGGCCAGGCAGGTTGATCTGTGGGTGAGGTGAGGCCTCACTCCGGGCTCTGGCCCTGAAAGCAGAGGATCGAGGGAGTTGAGACCCGGCCTGCTGTGTCCCAGGGCCTCCGGGGAGTGTATACTGAGTGGGACCCGGCCTGCTGTGTTCCAGGGCCTCCGGGGAGAGGACAGTGAGTGGGACCCGCCTCCTGTGTTCCAGGGCCTCCGGGGAGTGGATAGTGAGTGGGACCCGGCCTCCTGTGTTCCAGGGCCTCCGGGGAGTGGATAGTGAGTGGGACCCGGCCTCCTGTGTTCCAGGGCCTCTGGGGAGTGGACAGTGAGTGGGACCCGGCCTGCTGTGTTCCAGGGCCTCTGGGGAGTGGACAGTGAGTGGGACCCGGCCTCCTGTGTCCCAGGGCCTCCGGGGAGAGGACAGTGAGTGGGACCCGGCCTGCTGTGTTCCAGGGCCTCTGGGGAGTGGACAGTGAGTGGGACCCGGCCTCCTGTGTCCCAGGGCCTCCGGGGAGAGGACAGTGAGTGGGACCCGGCCTCCTGTGTTCCAGGGCCTCTGGGGAGTGGACAGTGAGTGGGACCCGGCCTGCTGTGTTCCAGGGCCTCCGGGGAGAGGACAGTGAGTGGGACCCGGCCTGCTGTGTCCCAGGGCCTCCGGGGAGTGGACAGTGAGTGGGACCCGGCCTGCTGTGTCCCAGGGCCTCTGGGGAGTGGACAGTGAGTGGGACCCGGCCTGCTGTGTCCCAGGGCCTCCGGGGAGAGGACAGTGAGTGGGACCCGGCCTGCTGTGTTCAAGGGCCTCCGGGGAGTGGACAGTGAGTGAGACCCGGCCTGCTGTGTTCCAGGGCCTCCGGGGAGTGGATAGTGAGTGGGACCCGGCCTCCTGTGTTCCAGGGCCTCTGGGGAGTGGACAGTGAGTGGGACCCGGCTTGCTGTGTCCCAGGGCCTCCGGGGAGAGGACAGTGAGTGGGACCCGGCCTGCTGTGTCCCAGGGCCTCCGGGGAGAGGACAGTGAGTGAGACCCGGCCTCCTGTGTTCCAGGGCCTCTGGGGAGTGGACAGTGAGTGGGACCCGGCCTCCTGTGTTCCAGGGCCTCCGGGGAGAGGACAGTGAGTGGGACCCGGCCTCCTGTGTTCCAGGGCCTCCGGGGAGTGGACAGTGAGTGGGACCCGGCCTGCTGTGTCCCAGGGCCTCCGGGGAGTGGACAGTGAGTGAGACCCGGCCGCTTATGTTTCAGGGCCTCCTGGGGAATGGGGGTTGGGACTCAACTTGATGGAGACATGGGATTCACACCAGCCCCTCATGCTGGAGCCGCACCACCAGACAGCAGCTGTGGGGTGGGACGAGACTCGAGAGCTGCACTGAGCAGCTTCATAGCCCGCGTCTCACCACCTTCCCTCTCTGCTGCACATGGCACTGAAGGAATCTGCTTAGTCTGGGGGAGAACTAGGCCATGCAGGCAGGCAGCGCAGCAGCCTCACGGCAGGTTTTCTGCAATGCCTGGTGGAGAGGCAAAGGTGGACTCCACTTGGACTTGCTGGGTGCACCCTATTTTCCCCAGCCTCGGAGCACAGAGACACTGGGTGTCCGGACACGGTCGGCTGCTGTAAAGACGGCTGCACTGCAATCAAAGGGGTGATTCGCCTCAGCAGCACATCACTGTGGCTCCCAGTTATAGCTTAAGTAGATGTGAAAATGTTTCTATTCGTTTTTTTCATGGTGCTTCATATTTACCAATTCAGAAAGTCCCTTGAAGGTGGGAACTTAATATTCTGGACAAGGAGTGGCTCCTATGTCCCAGGTCCATCTCTGTTCCCAAGCATCAGAGCCCCCCAAGTGAGTCTGACATAAGAGTAAGTCAGAAGCCGGGTGCATCTGGCCATCCCCACCCACTGCGGAAAAGATTAACGCAAATACAGTTTGCTAATGGCACCTGGTGTTGTCTAAAAATAATGCTGTGTCCTTCACCACGTTGAAATAGCCAGATGAAATTACTTGCCTCCAGCAAGTGTTTCTGTAAACCATCCTAAGAACAACATTCCCAGAGAATCAGGAACTCTGCCTCTTGCTATGACGTTCAGACCCTGGTGGTTCTTTATGGCACAAATTACACAAAAAATACAAAACATTTCACCTCTGCAATCTTGAGGCTCCTCCAGGCCCGAATACATAAGTGATGTTACCAGGACAGAGTGGGTTTTAAAAGCCTGTGCTGAGTATCTCAAAGCTGAGCCTGAATCCATCCCTGAGCTCACAACACTTGCTCCAAAAGGGACATGGTCATCACTGTCACACCACAGGACACAGGGCAGGAGAAGGGCCTGGAAAGGCCAATGTGACCGGGGGAAGGGCCTCCTGCCCTTGACTCAGAGGGGTCCAAAACAGCCACTAAAATCCACATAGGACCAGTCCTGTCTGGATAGAGAAGGGCCAGTTAGCTGTGGTTCCTCTGGTTGTGGGAAAAAATACCGACTTTCTGAGCAATCCTTATTTCAGAGGCCCAGAATTTCCAACATTTCCACTTCCCAGGCATATATGCCAAGCTCTCTTTTGCATCTGAAATAAACCAAACACAAGTAAAACCCTGTTTGGTCACAGAATATACAGGCAGAGGCATGCGTCAAATAAGAGGTGTCACTGAGTGGGCTCTGGAGAAATCACTCGAGAGGCTGGAACTCTGAAAGGAGCCAGGCCCTGGGAAGGAAAGAAAAAGCTGCCTATCTGAAGTCCTCGGAACACTCAATTCATATAATTGCTGGATGTTTCTACTACTTTTGTGACTTGGTTTTATGCCTTTTTACCTCTTTGCAACTGTGATCTTTGTCCTTTTGTTATTTTTTTAATTTAAAAAACGGTGTAAATGTATGAGGTGTAAAATGATGTTGTAATTTATGAATACAATGTGACATAATTAAATCAAGCTGGTTAACATATCCAGCACCTCAAATACTTAACATTTTTTGTGTTAAGCACACTTGAAATTTACTTTCTTAGCAATTTTTAAATGTGTAATACTCTGTTATTAACTAGATTCACCACACTATGCAATCTAAATCAAAAAAGAAAAACATATGTATTCTTTCTGAGATTTTGTACTTTGACAATCATCTTCCCATCCCCTAAACTGTTGTAACCATCAGTCTGCTCTTTGCCTCTATAAGTCCAATTGTTTCAGATTCCACATGTAAGTGAGAACATGTGGTATTTCTCTTTCCATTCCTGGCTCATTTCATTTGACATAATGTTCTCCAGTTACATCCGTGTCATCATAAATGTAAGAATTTTCTTCTTTTTTAAGGGAGAAAAGTCTTCAATGATGTATATGCACATTTTCATTATCCATTTCATCTGCTGCTATTTTTGATTCTATGACTTGGCTATTTTGAATAGTGCTTCAGTAAACACTGGAGTGCAGACATCTGTTTGACAAACTGATTTCACATCTTTTGGGTAAATAACCAGAAGTGGGACTGCTGGATCATAGGGTAATTCTGTTTTTAGGTTTTGTTGTTGTTGAGACGAGGTCTCTCTCTGTTGCCCAGGCTGGAGTGCAATGGCTTATTTTTAGCTTTTGAGGAACCTCCATACTATTTTCCATAATGGCTGTACTAAGTTATATTTCCACCAAATGTGTAAGAGTTCCCTTTTCTCCACATCCTTGCCAACACTTGTCTTTCATCTTCTTGATAAAAGGCATTCTGACAGGTGAGATATGATATCTCATTGTTGTCTGAATTTGCATTTTCTAATGACAGTCGTGTCAAGCATTTTCTTCTTATATATGTTGGCCATTTTTATGTCTTCTTTTGAGAAATGTCTTTATCCTTGGGATGCAAGGATGGTTCAACATATGCAAATCAGCAAATATGATATATTACACCAATAGAATGAAAAACAAAAATCATATGATTACCCCATCAGACACAGAAAAGGCATTTGATAAAGCTGAACATTCCCTCCTTTTAAAAACTCACCAAATTAAAAATAGAAAGAATGTACCTCAACACAATAAAGACCATTTATAAGAAGTCCAGAGCCAACATTATATTCAGTGTTGAAAAACTGAAAGCCTTTCCTCAAGGATCTGAAACAAGACAAGGATGCCCACTCTTGCTACATCCATGCAATATATTAATATAAATGGAAGTCCTTGCTGGGGTAATCAGGCATGGAAAAAACCAAAAGACATCCACATAAGAAAAGAGTGAGTGAAACTGCCATTGTTTACTGACAAAGTGATCCTATATGTGGAAAACTCAGACTCCACCTGTATTAGTCTGTTCTCATACTGCTAATAAAGACATACCCGAGACTGGGTAATTTGTAAAAGACAGTGGTTTAACTGACTTACAGTTCAGCATGGTTGGGGAGGCCTCAGGAAGCTTATAATCATGGTGGAAGGGGAAGCAAACGCGTCTTTCTTCACTTGGTGGCAGCAAGGAGAAGTGCAGAGCAAAAGGGGGAAAAGCCCCTTATAAAACCATCAGATCTCATGAGAACTGACTCATTATCATGAGAACAGCATAAGGGTAACTGCCCCCACAATTAAATTACCTCCCACTGGGTCCCTCCCAAGACACGTGGGGATTATGGGAACTACAATTCCAGATGAGATTTGGGTGGGGACACATTCCACCCCTGGCCCCTCTCAAATCTCATGTCCTCACATTTCAAAACACAATCATGCCCTTCCAACAGTCCTCCAAAGTCTTAGCTCATTCCAGCATTAACTCAAAAGTCCAAGTCCAAAGTCTCATCTGAGACAAGGCAAGTCCCTTCTGCCTGTGAGCCTGTAATATCAAAAGCAAGTTAGTTAGTTCCTAGATACAATGGGGGTACAGGCATTGGCTAAATACACCCATTCCAAATGGTAGAAATTGGCCAAAACCAAGGGGCTACAGGCCCCATGCAAGTCCAAAATCCAATAGGGCAGTCATTAAACCTTAAAGTTCCAAAATTATCTCCTTTGACTCCATTTCTCACATCCAGGGCATGCTGATGCAAGAGGTGGGCTCCCATGGCCTTGGGCAGCTCCACCCCTGTGTCTTTGCAGGGTACAGCCCCCCTTCTGGCTGTTTTCATGGGCTGGCATTGAATGTCTGCAGCTTTTCCAGGTGCATGGTGCAAGCTGTCAGGGATCTACCATTCTGGGGTCTGGAGGATGGTGACCCTCTTCTCACAGTTCCACCAAGCAGTGCCCCAGTGGGGACTCTGTATGGGGCTTCCAACCCCACATTTCTCTTCCACATGGCCCTAGCAAAGGTTCTCCATGAGGGCTCTGCCCCTGCAGCAAGCTTCTGCTTGGACACCCAGGTGTTTCCATACATCCTCTGAAATCTAGGCAGAGGTTCCCAAACTTCAATTCTTGGCTTGGGTCTTGCACCCTCTGAAGCTGTACCTTGGTCCCTTTTAGCCACGGCTGGAGTGACTGGGACACAAAGCACCAAGTCCCTAGGCTGCACATAGCAGGGGGGCCTTGGGCCCAGCCAGTGAAACCATTTTTCCCTCCTAGGCCTCCATGACTGTGATGGGAGGAGTTGCTGTGAAAGTCTCTGACATGCCTTAGAGACATTTTCCCCATTGTTTTGGTGATTAAATTTTGGCTCCTTGTTACTTATGCAAACGTCCGGAGCTGGCTTGAATTTCTCCCCAGAAAATGGGGTTTTCTTTTCTATCACATCTTCCGGTTGCAAATTTTCTAAACTTTTATATTCTGCTTCCTCTTGAATGCTTTGCAATTTAGAAATTTCTTCTGCCAGATACCCTAAATCATCTCTCTCAAGTTCCAAGTTTCACAGATCTCTAGGGCAGGGGAAAAATGCCACCAGCCTCTTTGCATAGCAAGAGTGACCTTTACTGCAGTTCCCAAAAAGCTCCTCATCTCCATCTAAGACCACCTCAGCCTGGACTTCATTGTCCATATCGCTGTCAGCATTTTGGTCAAAGCCATTCAACAAGTCTCTAGGAAGTTCCTAACTTGCCCACACTTTCCTGTCCTCTTCTGAGTTCTCCAAACAGTTCCAATCTCTGCCTGTTACCCAGTTCCAAAGTTGCTTCCACATTTTTGGGTATCTTTACAGCAGTGCCCCACTCTCTGTGGTACCAACTTACTGTATTAGTCCATTCTCACCCTGCTAATAAAGATATACCTGAGACTGGGTAATTTATAAAGGAAAGAGATTTAATTGACTCACAGTTCAGCATGGCTGGGGAGGCCTCAGGAAGCTTACAATCAGTTGGAAGGGGAAGTAAACACATCCTTCTTGACATGGCAGCAGCAAGGAGAAGTGCAGAGCAAAAGGGGGAAAAGCTCCTTATAAAACCATCAGATCTCAAGGCCGAGTGTGCTGGCTCATGCCTGTAATCACAGCACTTTGGGAGGCCAAGGCAATATAATCCCAGCTACTGGGGAGGCTGAGGCAGGAGAATCGCTTGAACCCATGAGGCGGAGGTTGCAGTGAGCCGAGACTGCACCACTGCACTCCAGCCTGGGTGACAGAGCAAGACTCTGTCTCAAAAACAAACAAACAAACAAACAAACATCAGATCTCATGAGAACTTACTATCTCGAGAACAGCATGAGGGTAATCACCCCCATGATTAAATTACCTCCCAGCAGGTCCCTCCCAAGACACATGAGGATTATGGGAACTATAATTCAAGATGAGATTTGGGTGGGGACATAGCCACACTATATCATCACAAAAACACTCTCAGAACTTATAAACAAGTACAGTAAAGCTGAAGGACTCAAAATCAACACACAAAAATCAGTAGTCTCTCTATATACTGACAATGAACTATCTGAAAAAGAAATCAAGAGAACAATCCCACTCATAATAGCTTTAACAAATTACCTAGGAATAAATTTAACCCAGGATGTGAAAGACCTGCCAATGAAAACTATAAAACATTGGGGAAATAAATTGAAGATGACACAAATAAATAGAAAGATATCCCATATTCATGGATTGGATAATTAATATGGTTAAGAAGTCCATAGTACCCAAAGCAACCAACAGTTTCAATGTAATCCTTAACAAGATCCCAATGTCTGTTTCATAGAAATAAAAAATAGTAATCAAAAAATTCATATAGAACCTCATAAAACCATGAATAGCCAGGACAACCAAGAGCAATAAGAACAAAGCTGTTAAGTATCACACCACCTGACCTCAAAGTACACTCCAAAGCCATAGTAATTAAAATAGCATAAAATTGACCAAAAAAAAAAAGAAGAAAAAACAGACACGTTAACCAGTGGAACTGAACAGAGAGCCTAGAAATGAACTCATGCATGTACAGTTAACTGATTTCAACAACGGTGCCAAGAAGACAAGGACAGTCTCTTCAATAAATGATGCTGGGAAAACATGCAGAAGAATGAAAGTGGACCCCTATCTCACACTGTATTCAAAAATCAACTTAAAATGGACCAAAGACTGTAACATAACACTAGAAACTCTAAAACGGGTGTCCACTTGTTTGGCTTCTCTGAGCCACATTGGAAGAAGAATTGTCTTGGGCCACACATAAAATATACTAACAGGCTGAGCACAGTGGCTCATGCCTGTAATCCCAGCATTTTGGGAGGCCAAGGCAGGCAGATCATGAGGTCAGGAGTTCAAGACCAGTCTGGCCAACATAATGAAACCCCTTCTCGAGGCAGAGATCCAAGACGACCGAATAGGAACAGCTCCAGTCCATGGCTCCCAGCATGAACAACGCAGAAGATGGATGATTTCTGCATTTCCAACTGAGGTACTGGGTTCATCTCACTGGGACTTGTTGGACAGTGGGTGCAGCCATGGAGTGTGAGCCGAAGCAGGGTGGGGCATTGTCTCACCTGAGAAGTGCAAGGGGTCGGGGAATTCCCTTTCCTAGCCAAGGGAAGCCATGACAGATGGTACCTGGAAAATCGGGACACTCCCACCCTAATACTGTGCTTTTCCAATGGTCTTAGCAAATGGCACACCAGGAGATTATATCCCGCCCCTGGCCGGGAGGGTCCCACGCCCACGGAGCCTTGCTCACTGCTAGCACAGCAGTCTGAGATCAAACTGCAAGGCAGCAGCGAGGCTGGGGGAGGGGCACCTGCCATTGCTGAGGCTTGAGTAGGTAAACAAAGTGGCTGGGAAGCTCGAACTGGGTGGAGCTCACCACAGCTCAAGGAGGCCTGCCTGCCTCTGTAGACTCCACCTCTGGGGGCAGGGCATAGCCGAACAAAAGGCAGCAGAAACTTCTGCAGACTTAAATGTCCCTGTCTGACAGCTTTGAAGAGAGGAGTGGTTCTCCCAGCATGGAGTTTGAGATCTGAGAACGGACAGAACTGCCTCCTCAAGTGGGTCCCTCACCCCTGAGTAGCCTAACTGGGAGACATCTCCTAGTAGGGGCCGACTGACACCTCATACAGCCAGGTGCCCCTCTGAGACGAAGCTTCCAGAGGAAGGATCAGGCAGCAACATTTTCTGTTCTGCAATATTTGCTGTTCTGCAGCCTCTGCTGGTGACACAAACAGGGTCTGCAGTGGACCTCCAGCAAACTCCAACAGACCTGCAGCTGAGGGTTCTGACTGTTACAAGGAAAACTAACAATTAGAAAGGAATAGCATCCACATCAACAAAAAGGACATCCACACCAAAGCCTCATCTGTAGGTCACCATCATCAAAGACCAAAGGTAGATAAAACCACAAAGATGGGGAGAAACCAGAGCAGAAAAGCTGAAAATTCTAAAATCAGAGCACCTCTTCTCCTCCAAAGGAACGCAGCTCCTCACCAGCAATAGAACAAAGGTGGACAGAGAATGACTTTGACGAGTTGACAGAAGTAGGCTTCAGAAGATCAGTAATAACAAACTTCTCCAAGCTAAAGGAGGATGTTCGAACCTATCACAAAGAATCTAAAAACCTTGAAAAAAGATTAGACGAATGGCTAATTAGAATAAACAGTGTAGAGAAGACCTTAAATGACCTGATGGAGCTGAAAGCCATGGCACAAGAACTATGTGACGCGTGCACAAGCTTCAGTAGCCAATTCGATCAAGTGGAAGAAAGGGTATCAGTGATTGAAGATCAAATGAATGAAATGACGCAAGAAGAGAAGTTTAGAGAAAAAAAGAGTAAAAAGAAATGAACAAAGTCTCCAAGAAATATGGGACTATGTGAAAAGACCAAATTTACATCTGATTGGTGTACCTGAAAGTGATGGGGAGAATGGAACCAAGTTGGAAAATACTTTTCAGGATATTATCCAGGAGAACTTCCCCAACCTGGCAAGGCAGGCCAACATTCAAATTCAGGAAATACAGAGAACGCCACAAAGATACTCCTCGAGAAGAGCAACCCCAAGACACATAAGTCAGATTTACCAAGGTTGAAATGAAGGAAAAAACGTTAAGGGCAGCCAGAGAGAAAGGTCGGGTTACCCACAAAGGGAAGCCCATCAGACTAACAGCTGATCTCTCAGCAGAAACTCTACAAGCCAGAAGAGAGTAGGGGCCAATATTCAACATTCTTAAAGGAAAGAATTTTCAACCCAGAATTTCATATCCAGCCAAACTAAGCTTCATAAGTGAAGGAGAAATACAATCCTTTACAGACAAGCAAATGCTGAGAGATTTTGTCACCACCAGGCCTGCCTTACAAGAGCTCCTGAAGGAAGCACTAAACATGGAAAAGAACAACCAGTACCAGCCACTGCAAAAACATGCCAAATTGTAAAGACCATCAATGCTAGGAAGAAACTGCATCAAGCAACTGCTTCAACTAATGAGCAAAATAACCAGCTAACATCATAATGACAGGATCAAATTCACACATAACAATATTAACCTTACATGTAAATGGGCTAAATGCCCCAATTAAAAGACACAGACTGGCAAATTGGATAAAGAGTCAAGACCCATCAGTGTGTTGTATTCAGGAGACCCATCTCATGTGCAGAGGCACACATAGGCTCAAAATAAAGGGATGGAGAAAGATCTACCAAGCAAATGGAAAACAAAAACAAGCAGGGGTTGCAATCCTAATCTCTGATAAAACAGACTTTAAACCAACAAAGATCAAAAGAGACAAAGAAGGCCATTACATAATGGTAAAGGGATCAATTCAACAAGAAGAGCTAACTCTCCTAAATATATATGCACCCAATACAGGAGCACCCAGATTCATAAAGAAAGTCCTTAGACACCTAAAAAGAAACTTAGACTCCCACACAATAATAATGGGAGACTTTAACACCCCACTGTCAACATTAGACAGATCAATGAGACAGAAAGTTAACAAGGATATCCAGGACTAGAACTCAGCTCTGCACCAAGTGGACCTAATAGACATCTACAGAACTCTCCATCCCAAATCAACAGAATATACATTCTCCTCAGCACCACATCGCATTTATTCCAAAATTGACCACATAGTTGCAAGTAAAGCACTCCTCAGCAATGTAAAAGAACAGAAATTATAACAAACTGTCTCTCAGACCACAGTGCAATCAAATTAGAACTCAGGATTAAGAAACTCACTCAAAACCGCACAACTATATGGAAACTGAACAACCTGCTCCTGAATGACTACTGGGTAAATAACAAAATGAAGGCAGAAATAAAGGTGTTCTTTGAGACCAATGAGAACAAAGACACATACCTAGAGATTTAGGACACATTTAAAGCAGTGTGTAGAGGGAAATTTATAGCACTACATGCCCACAAGAGAAACCAGGAAAGATCTAAAATCGACACCCTAACATCACAATTAAAAGAACTAGAGAAGCAAGAGCAAACACAGTCAAAAGCTAGTAGGAGGCAAGAAATAACTAAGATCAGAGCAGAACTGAAGGAGATAGAGACACAAAAACCCTTCAAAAAATAAATGAATCCAGAAGCTGGTTTTGTGAAAACATTAACAAACTTGGTAGACTGCTAGCAAGACTAATAAACAAAAGAGAGAAGAATCAAATAGAAGCAATAAAAATGATAAAGGGGATATCATCATCAATCCCACAGAAATATAAACTACCATCAGAGAATGCTATAAACACCTCTATGCAAATAAACTAGAAAATCTAGAAGAAATGGATAAATTCCTGGACACATACACTCTCCTAAGACTAAACCAGGAAGAAGTTGAATCCCTCAATAGACCAATAACAGGCTCTGAAATTGAGGCAATAATTAATAGCCTACCAACAAAAAAAAGTCCAGGACCAGACAGATTCACAGCTGAATTCTACCAGAGGTATAAAGAAGAGCTAGTATCATTCCTTCTGAAACTATTCCAATCAACAGAAAAAGAGGGAATCTTTCATAACTCATTTTATGAGGCCAGCATCATCCTGATACCAAAGCCTGGCAGAGACACAACAAAAAAAAAGAATTTTAGACCAATATCCCTGATGAACATCGAAGTAAAAATCCTCAATAAAATACTGGCAAACCGAATCCAGCAGCATATCAAAAAGCTTATCCACCACGATCAAGCTGGCTTCATCCCTGGGATGCAAGGCTGATTCAACATACACAAATCAATAAATGTAATCCATCATATAAACAGAACCAAAGACAAAAACCACATGATTATCTCAATAGATGCAGAAAAGGCCTTAGACAAAATTCAATAGCTCTTCGTGCTAAAAACTCTCAATAAACTAGGTATTGATGGGATGTATCTCAAAATAATAAGAGCAATTCATGACAAACCCACAGCTAATATCATAATGAATGGGCAAAAACTGGAAGCATTCCCTTTAAAAACTGGCACAAGACAGGGATGCCCTCTCTCACCACTCCTATTCAACATAGTATTGGAAGTTCTGGCCAGGGCAATCAGGCAGGAGAAAGAAATAAAGGGTATTCAATTAGGAAAAGAGGAAGTCAAACTGTCCCTGTTTGCAGATGACATGATTGTATATTTAGAAAACCCCATCGTCTCAGCCCAAAATCTCCTTAAGCTGATAAGCAACTTCAGCAAAGTCTCAGGATACAAAATCAATGTGCAAAAATCACAAGCATTCTTATACACCAATAACAGACAGAGAGCCAAATCATGAGTGAACTCCCATTCACAACTGCTTCAAAGAGAATAAAATACCTAGGAATCCAACTTACAAGGGATGTGAAGGACCTCTTCAAGGAGAACTACAAACCACTGCTCAATGAAATAAAAGAGGATACAAACAAATGGAAGAACATTCCATGCTCATGGATAGGAAGAATCAATATCATGAAAATGGCCATACTGCCGAAGGTAATTTATAGATTCAATGCCATCCCCATCAAGCTACCAATGACTTTCTTCACAGAATTGGAAAAAACTACTTTAAAGTTCATATGGAACCAAAGAAGAGCCCACATTGCCAAGACAATCCTAAGCAAAAAGAACAAAGCTGGAGGCATCACACTACCTGACTTCAAACTATACTACAAGGCTACAGTAACCAAAACAGCATGGTACTGGTACCAACACAGAGATATAGACGAATGGAACAGATCAGAGCCCTCAGAAATAATACCACACATCTACAACCATCTGATCTTTGACAAACCTGACAACAACAAACAATGGGGAAAGGATTCCCTATTTAATAAACGGTGCTGGGAAAACTGGCCAGCCATATGTAGAAAGCTGAAACTGGATCCCTTCCTTACACCTTATACAAAAATTAACTCAAGATGGATTAAAGTCTTAAATGTTAGATCTAAAACCATAAAAACCCTAGAAGAAAACCTGGGCAATACCATTCAGGACATATGCATGGGCAAGGACTTCATAACTAAAACACCAAAAGCAATGGCAACAAAAGCCAAAATTGACAAATGGGATCTAATTAAACTAAAGAGCTTCTGCACAGCAAAAGAAACTATCATCAGAGTGAACAGGCAACCTACAGGATGGGAGAAAATTTTTGCAATCTACCCATCTTACAAAGGGCTAATATCAAGAATCTACAAAGAACTTAAATTTATAAGAAAAAGTCAAACAACCCCATCAAAAAGTGGGTGAAAGATATGAACAGACACTTCTCAAAAGAAGACATTTATGCAGCCAACAGACACATGAAAAGATGCTCATCATCACTGGCCATCAGAGAAATGCAAATCAAAACCACAATGAGATACCATCTCACACCAGTTAGAATGGCGATCATTAAAAAGTCAGGAAACAACAGGTGCTGGAGAGGATGTGGAGAAATAGGAATGCTTTTACACTGTTGGTGGGAGTGTAATCTAGTTTAACCATTGTGGAAGACAGTGTGGCAGTTCCTCAAGGATTTGGAACTAGAAATACCGTTTGACCCAGCCATCCCATTACTGGGTATATACCCAAAGGATTATAAATCATGCTACTATAAAAGACACATGCACATGTATGTTTACTGTGGCACTATTCACAATAGCAAAGACTTGGAATCAACCCAAATGTCCATCAATGATAGACTGGATTAAGAAAATGTGGCACATACACACCATGGAGTACTATGCAGCCATAAAAAAGGATGAGTTCATGTCCTTTGCAGGGACATGGATGAAGCTGGAAACCATCATTCTCAGCAAACTATCAGAAGGACACAAAACCAACCACATGTTCTCACTCATAGGTGGGAGTTGAACAATGAGAACACTTGGGCACACAGCAGGGAACATCACACACTGGGGCCTGTAGCTGGGGGAAGGATGGTATTAAGAGAAATACCTAATGTAAATGATGAGTTAATGGGTGCAGCAAACCAACATGGCACATGCATACATATGTAACAAACGTGCACATTGTGCAGATGTACCCTAGAATTTAAAGTATATTAAAAAAAAGCCCCTTCTCTACTAAAAATACAAAAATTAGCCATGTGTGGTGGCACGGGCCTGTAATCCCAGCTACTTGGGAGGCTGAGACAGGAGAATCGCTGGAACCGGGAGGCAGAGGTTGCAGTGAGCCAAGATCACACCACTGCACTCCAGCCTGGGCAACAGACCAAGGATCTGTCTCAAAAAAAAAAAAAAATACACACACACACACACACACACACACACACACACACACACACACTAATAGCTGATAAGCTAAAAAAAAATCACCAAAAAAATCTCATAATGTTTAAGAAAGTTTACATATTTGTGTTGAGCCACATTCAAAGCTGTCCTGGGCTGCATGCAGCCCACAGACCACAGGTTGGATAAACTTGCTCTAAAACTACCAGAAGAAAACAGAGAGTAAAAATTACACGACATTGGTGTTTGCAATTTTCTTTTGGACTTAACACCAAAAGTGCAAGCAACAAAAGTAAAACTAAACAAATAGGATTACATCAAACCAAAAAACTTCTACCCAGCAAAGGAAACAATCAACAGTGTGCAGAGATGACCTAAATACTGGGAAAAGCACCGGCCATACATCCACAAGGGGTCAATATCCAACATCTATAAGGGGTCAATATCCATCATCTATAAGCAGCTCAAACTTAGCAAGAAAACAGAAACCAATTTAACAATGGGCTAGGGATCTGAATAGACATTTCCACTGAAGTTTTTAAAGCCATGAATACATTTTGGCACAAACACTGTATCATATGCAATTATTTTCTGTAAATGATTTCTTGTGAAGCCATCAATACATGTTAGAGTGATTTTTCATCTATGAGAGGAAAATGTTTAAATCAATATATAAAGTATCCATATATATTGCATATTTAAATATCTATTTATATATCTATGTATTTAAATCAATGTATTCAGTATCTGTATTGGCACTTTAGTGCAGAAGAAAGTGACTGCATAGAGAACAGTTAAGAGCAAGGCCATTGAGCCTATATTCTCAAATGGGGCTTCATCACTCAAAACAATAAAGTTGTTCATTGGCAGAATTTCTAATCAAGTTAGTATAGATTTTATGCCATTGGATACAAGATAGCAACAATGAAATTAATTGGTTTCTTATCTTCAGTATTTGCTTTAAGGGAAAAAATCTCAGGCTCATAGGGATTTCTGATACCAGGAAACCATGAAATGTGAGACTATATTTTGGAATCAGGGTGGCTTAGCTTCTGGTAATTGGCATTTGTATAGTTATAATCTGCATCACAGTTATAGAAACCAATATATTCTTAATCAGGTTGATCATATTGTAAGTAGAAGAACTCTTTCCCCAAGAAATAAGATGGAGAGAGTTTTTGGAGAATGGCCTCACTGAAATGGTACTGGGTTTCGGTGATTTCCCCAGTTCTTCCACAGCTCCTCAGTGCCCTGGCCATTTCTGGAAAGTCATGGTACTCTGGTTGCTTTTTCTCTTCCCCCAAAGTTCAGAAGTTTCCTGGTTTTTTGTTACAAACTGAAAGGTGTCTTTGGTTTTATCTTCCCAGTGAATACAAGATGCCATCTCAGTACACAGGGATTTGTGAAGGTATTCAATAGCCAGAGCCTCTTCCTGCCTTTTCTTCCTCTTGCTGGAGAAGAGCAGGTTGTACCAGCTGGTTTTCAGTTATGCTCTGCAGAGGTTGATGAATATTTCCTTCAAAATAGAAGTCCACAGTCCTGCTATTACAGTTCTCCAATTGTAGACAGGTTCCTCCGTAGGCAACACTCATAGCAGCTGGAATTTCCTCTGATATGAAGACAACAGTTAATGAAAGACAGGTAATTTTTGTCATCAGGGGAGTTCTGAGGATCTAAAGTTGGATGTTGCCTCAGTACCTCAAAAGCGTCTTCAAATGCTTGACCCAGCTTATCTTGTTCAATCCAAGTCATGCTTCATGAATAAACTGATGATTAGTACAATTAGTTGTGGAGGCTGAGAAGTCCAACGTTGAGAGACCAAATCTGGTGAGGGCCTTCTTCTTGGTGGAGACTCCCTGCAAAGTCCTGAGGCTGTGCAGGACATCAAACAACCAGGGGGCTGAGTGTGCTCTGTTCTTTACTGTAAAGATATTTTTATATACCGACAAGGGAACTGGGGCAGGTAGGGATGAGGGCATTTCAGGGACCACTTGTAGAAGGTGGAGCTGCCTTCTCTCCAAGGGACTCTCAGACATGGACAGGAAAGAGTTACTAGGGAGACAGAGATGGGGAGCAAGTCCAGAGAGAGATGGACCAAGCTGAACAAGAAGAGATATGGAGAGGGCAACAGGTAAGAACAGTAGGACCAAGTGGGATGAAGGCTGTGGGGGTTTCTGGGAGGAGGCAGGGCTCTCCTACCTGGCAGGCACCACCTTCCTTGTTCAAAAGACATGAAGGTGCCGGCGCTTGCCCCTCCTGGCTCCACCATCTGGCTAGCAGTTTATATAACTTAGTTATGTTTTAGAGATTCTTATCCAATGGTATTGGAATCATCATTTTATTTTTAATAAGTTATTCACAAAATTGTCCATTTCCTACCTAATTCAAACCATGTCATAATTTAGTTTCTCATGATGCCCTTACATGCACAAATGTTGCATCTATCCATCTGTTTTGAAACAGCTTGAGGGCTCCTACATGGGAGAAATATCAATATGGATGCCATAAATATCAAACCCTATTGGAGTCTGAGGCATTGAGATTATCCATGGGGATCCCAAAGTCCTGCCATATACTTACACGTTCTGGGCCTACCATCTTTTCACGACTCCTGAAACTAAGCTCCTTGTGACCTCTACCTTAGGTAAAAGTATCGAATTTCAGGCTCAGTCAAAAAAGAGGGCAAAGCTGATCTGAGAAAGACCTTTAAGCCACTGGAGTCCTGAGCAGAGAGAGTTCCCATCTTGAGGACTGGAGCTCTCCAAGGTCCTGATGTGGGCAGATCCTCCAGCTAGTCCGTGCCTCACCTGTTTATCTGTCCATCTGATATTTACAGGACAGCTTCTGTGTGCTGGATTCTGTGAGGGTGTTGCGTATACAGAGAGAAACAGCTCAGACCCAGCCCCCACCTCTGTTCTGCTTACAGTCTAGGGGAAGCCCTATTCAGTCTGAGTCTTCTTCTGAATCTGCCCATGCCAGTGGTGAGTCAGAGGTCGTGCTGAAACATGATGTTAGTTATCTAGGGCCACCATAACAAAATATCGCTTTCCCCTGAGGCTGCATGAAGCCTTGTGCTTTTTCCCAGCTTCCCAGAACCACTGGAGAACAGGGTTGCTGCTGCTTTGAATTTCTACCTGATCTACTGGTCTGTTGCTTGCCCGAAAGAGCAGCATGACCTCAAGCAGCCTTGACGCTGACCTTCCTTGGCGGTCTGCCACCGATACTCTCCTGTTACTGACAACAGCTGGCCATGGACTTTTCCACACTCTCCCCCAAATCAAGTCAGCTCTCCTGGTGGCTTGTCTTCCCCTCTAGTGCTACCATGCCATGGACCTGGGGAGACAGGAGCAGTCCCCGCTGAAATGCCAGAGGCTCCCACTGTTCTTGCCAAGGGTTTCAATGCCTCTCAGTTTCTTGCAAGCCTTTAGTCCATTTCCAGAATTCTGAAATGACTGTTTTTGAAAATTCTGTTCAGCTTTGTGGTTGCTTTTGGGGAAGAGAATTTGCCAAGTTCCTCACTCAGTCATCCTGGAAGTCCCAGGCCCTCTTGTAGTTTATTGTTTCTAAGGGACCTGTTTTCCATGGGGAAGTGTGCGTGTCTCTGTGTATGTGTGTCGAATCTAACTGGAATTTGTCTGGGCAATACAGAGTGGTTGGTCCCCTTTTGCTTGTCAACTGTCACTTCAGTACATTTTATTGTAATAATCAAATCACTGCAAATTCTCTCCTTTTATCATATTTAGAATTAAGGGTGAAATGCACAGTCTTTGCTTCTAACACTTACATAGAGGAACTAACTGAACCAGAGACAATCTGTCATCCTGTTGGCTTTTGGACTGCCTGTTATCACTTGTCCTAAAATTATTTATATCTTTTCTTTATAAGATATACTAATATTCCTTAGAAATTCCATTGAATGTAAAATAAAACACCCTAAAATTCCACCAACAGAGGGAAGTAGGTGTTAATCATTTTTAGTAAATACCCAAATTCGTCTATGTAAACATGAAAAACAACAACGTATATCTACATTTACTGTCATGGAAATGACACCCCTGACGCGCCGTTTCCGGAGAGAGACAGGGCGCAGAGCGGCAGGTGCCATTTCCCCCATGTGACATCACTCACAAATACACAGTGTCATCAGGAGATTATCTTTCGGTGATAAAATTGTTAGCTCTGGGTTGAGAGAAGGTCTCAAGATTCAAAAGCGTCACCCCCAACCCCCTCTGACCTCACTCACCTCACACTGCAACACACCCCATAAGATACACTGCCCCACAAGCACACTCACACAACCCACACAAACACTGGCAGTCCCCAGGGTCAAGAGCTCCACACCCCACGCTCTGACCCTGTCCCTCCTCACAGATCTGTCCTGATGTGCATGCTCTGTGGGCACCTTGCCTCAGACGCAATCCACACAAAACCTCTCACCCCCATCCCCTTCTGCAGAAAGCACCAGTGTGCAAAAAGCATGCAGAATTAGAAAGAACAGAAAACGAATGCAGGTAAAGCAAAAACAAACAACAAAAACTCAGGATACACAGCTCAGAAGAAAGCAAATACAAGAAGAAAGATTGAGTCCACGTGGGCGGGCTGGGAATGCCCAACTGTGCCTGGCAGAAGACCAGGCCACTTGCTGCTCCGGAGCCACAGGGAGCTCCTGGAGAGCCTCTGCCCCGACTCCAGGCCCCCAGTGTGCCAAGCCTCCAAAACGCCCTTGCGTTTCCAATCCCCAGGCAACCTTAGGCCCCTCACAGCCCCAACCAACAGCCAGTGCAGACGCAGGTCCTCGGGCTGACATGGCCGTCCTGGGAACAGCGGGCGCAATGCCGGGGTTGCAGTGACTGACCCTTCCCCGGTAACACCGGCGTGGACGCCCGGCTTTTCGCGCATTACATGCTGGAAACTGTTCACGGTACTTACATTTCCTTACACGGCACTGCAAGATGCCTACGTTTTGTGATTCAGTCACATCGCCTACAGAAGCCATAGGGAGGCGGGGGAGGCCAGACAAGCCGCAGTCCAGCCTTCCCTGGGGCCCCTGGCAACTGAAACTCGCCACAAATGCTCAAACATGTCTGACTTTGTTCAAAGTGTTAATTTTCCAGGCCTTTGCACAGGAGTTCATGTGGCCCAGGAGCCTCATTTGCACAGAAGCATGGCTTCGGGTTTGAAGCACAGGCCTAGGGACGGTCATCTGTCCACTCCCACCCCAGTTGCAAGGAAAAGGAAATCTCCCAGAAGCCGGAAGTGGCCGGGAGGCGACCCTGGTCCTGGCCAGAGCTGTGGTCTCTTCCAGAGTTGATGCCCCCCACCTCCCAGCGACCCCCGCACAAGTTGCCCCTCCTACCTGAGAGGCTTAGGTGTTAGGTGTGGGCAGAGACTTCCCCACAGATGTCAGGCCATGAAGGACTGCATATGAGGGGCGTGCCTGTGAACACGAGGGGCTGCCTATGAATATGAGGGGTTGCAGATGAGGGGCTGCCCGTGGGCCCGGCGGTGGGGGGCGCTGCCTGGCCCTTCACGTTCTGCAATATTCATATGGACCTGACTTCCATTACCCTGGGGGTGCCCGGGCCACGGCGGCCCCTTCCTCTTCCTCCTCCTGGGTGGGGTCTGCAGTCTGACCAGGCCCCTCTCGCACACAGGAGCGTGGGGGCTAAAGCAAGTGGAAACAGAATAAGGCAATTGGGGTTTGGGGGGCTGGGGCGGTTTTTGGTTGTTCGTCCTGGACGTAGCCACAGAGGAACTGCTTTCTAGGGGACTCACCAACTTTAGGGGCTTCCCTAGAAGGCGCGGGAGCGTAGGACCCACGGGGCGCTCAGCAGTCGGGCCAGGGTTCCAGGGCTCCCGGTTCCGCGCTCTCCTCCCGCAGCGCCGGGCAGCAGGTGAGTGTCCCGGGGAGCAGCGGATCTCCGGCGTCCCCAGGCGCCGCCCCCGGTCTCAGCAGCTCAAATCCTCCCTCTGGAAACTTCGCGCTCCGCCCCCTCGGCCCCGGCCCCCGGGCCCGCCCCTCTGCCCCTTTCTCTTCCCCAGCCTCCTCCCCGGTTCCGGCGCTCGCAGGAACGAACCGCCCCGCCCGTCTGCGCGGCCGCAGCGTGGACTCCCCGCGCCCCCTCGCGGAGTCCAGGACTGGGGCGACTACCCCCCATCTGCTCGCCGGGCGCAGCGCGGTTACCTGGGCAGCAGCTCCGGGCACCGAGGTCCCCTTCACGTTTCAGTTCCTGGAGCTGCTCGGGAACCGCGCGGGGCCACACAGCCGGGAACGAAAGCCCGGGCGGAGACTCGGAAACCTGGGGGTCCTCCCCGCCCCGTCTCCTCCTCCCCCTCCGCCCCCGCCCTTCTCCTCTTTAACACCCGCCTCCCCCTAATTCCCCGCCCCCGCCCCCTCCTCCCGCCGCCGATGCCGCTGGCCCTCGGACCCCCGCAGGGGTAGGAAGAGCCTGGGCTGGGCCCGCCCGCCCCGAGCGCTCCGAGGTTCTCATTCTCTTTGCGGCGTCCGCTTGGGCTCGCGAAGCCCAACCCCAACCCCCACAGCCTGCCTGAGAAGGGGACTCGGGGGCGGCAGTGAGGCGGGGGTGGGGGGCGTTTTGCGCAGCCCCGGCCGCAGGGATTCTGACCTTGGAGACACAACAGCGAGCAGAGGCGGAAAAGACCCTCGGGCCCTCCCGCGGCCCAGAGGTCAGCCGAGGTCTGAGGCAGGTGGACGGTTTCGTGCCCGTCCCCGGTGCGTGGGACGCCCGGCAGGACCCGAACCCGCGGCCCTGAGCCCAGCGCGGGTGGGATCCAGGACCGGGTCAGCGCGGCGTCCCCGCCCTTGCCCGCTCTCGCAGCAACACCCCCCAACACACACATACGTTTTGTTCCCGCGTCCTTGTCTCCACCCGGCGGTCCCGAACAAGTTCTGACCTCAGGTTAGGGGCGAGCCCTTCCCTCCGCCAGGTGCGGAGGCTGGAGATGAAGAAGCCGGGCCCCAGGAGCCTTTCCGGAGCACCCTCACCTGTGCGGGTGGAGTGGGGGCTGAGGTGGAGGCGCAGTAGTGCTAGGGCCAGGCTTCCTGGTGTTTAGGTAAACGCCATTTCCTTAAAAATAAACTTCCAGCCTGGGCAACGTAGTGAGACCCCCTTCTCTACAAAAAGTAAAAATAAAATTAGCCTGGCGCACCTGTGGTCCCAGCTACTCCGGAGGCTGAGGCGGGAGGATTGCTTGAGCCCGGGAGGCGGAGGCTGCAGTGAGCCGAGATCGCGCCACTGCCCTCCAGCCTGGGCGACAGGGCGAGACCCTGTCTCTAAAAAAGAAAGGAGAACAAACTTGAAACTCTGCTCCTCTGGGCAGTGAGCTTCGGGAAGCCCCTGTCGCCCTGACTGTCCCCCGCCACGCATAAAGGTCTATTTCTTGCCGAGGAAGCGTTTCAACTGCCTGCTTTTTTTTTTTTTTTTTTTTTTTTTTTTTTTTTTTGAGACTGAGTCTCATTCTGTTGCCCAGGCTGGAGTGCGGTGGCGCCGTCTCCACTCACTGCAACCTGTGCCTCCTGGTTCAAGCGATGCTCCTGCCTCAGCCTCCTGAGTAACTGGGATTACAGGCGTGTGCCACCAAGTCCAGCTAATTTTTGTATTCTTAGTAGAGACGGGGTTTCACTATGTTGGTCGGGCTGGTCTTGAATTCCTGACCTCAGGTGATCCGCCCACCTCGGCCTCCCAAAGTGCTGGGATTACAGGTGTGAGCCACCGTGCCCGGCCTCAACTGCTCTTTACGGACCTAAAGTCTCTCCATTGCGGTAGGAACTTAAGATTTGTTGAAAATAACATAGTTTACCTGATAACATAGTCCTGTTTGAGGTTGAAAGACGTTTATTAAGGCCATTTTTAATGCTTTTTTTTTCATTCTTGTTAGCAAAACACAGTGAAGAAGTAGAGACACTTAAATTTTCCAAACTCTTTGTCCTCACAAGTGGCTCCAAAACGAGCACATTTTCAGAAAGGAACTGAAAAAACATTTTTGGTTTTATACCTTCTCTTATTTCCAAAAAGGATTGGTCAGTTTCAAAACTGCCAAAGGCAACGTAAAATAAAATGTAACAGAAGGTCAGTGACCCGCCATGGAGTAGAGCGGGCCGTTTCCCCCTTGTCCTTTCAGAATCCACCCAGGGACAACTTGAACGGTAATAGCGGAGACTCGGCTGCAGCGAAAGGAAGGGCTGCCCACACCGCGGGTCTACACCCAGACGTGGGAGACGCAGCCGGGACCTGCTCCGGAGTCTGGGCTAGAGAGGAGGCGAAGAGGGAGAAACAGCGTGTGGACCAGGCGCCTCTGCGGGAACCCGGCAGGACAGAGGCGCGCAGGGGCCATGGGTGCGATAAGCGCTCACACGCCTCGCAGGAGCAGGGCGCACACCTGGAGCCCGCTCAGCACCACCCACCCCGAAAGATGGAAGATTTAGACAAGCCGGAAGGAACCGTTCACTCATACCTAGAAAGAGTGAACGAGGAACCAGCCCAGGAAGAAAAGAAAAAGAACAAGGAACCAAATACACAACAAAAATGGAAGTCAGAACAACACGTGATAAAACGTTGTCATTGAGTAGATGGAAATGACGACTTAACGTTAACGCATTGCGCATGGTTTAAGAGCCGTTTTGAAAACGGGAGATGATGAAAAGGAAGGAAGGATGAAAAAACAGACTTTCAGGAAAAGGGGGGAAGATATAAGATCAGTGGGGTGCTTACCATGGAGCCACAAAAAAACAACCAGAACTGCAGACCAGGGAGATGCCCCACCCAGGCCGGCCCCTCCGAGCCTCCGCGGGGATACTACGGCCCCGCCGGGACGGAGAGGGCGAGGCCGGGGGAGACTGCGTCCTGCAGCGCCGCGCCGCCACCGCCCATCTCTCGCCGCGGGGGCCCTGGATCGGGCAGGTCCCCGGGAACCGGGCAGCTGAGGTCGCCGGGTCAGCTTCCCCGGCCCAGTGCCCAGCGGGATGAAGACGCCGGGCCCCGGGCATCCCCAGGTTTGGAATTAGGATTAGGCGTTGGAGTTAACCGGACTCCGCGGAGTTCCGGGGACCCGGAGACAGCATGAGTCTCAGCGCGCAGTCAGCAGAGGCGGTCCTGGCGCCAGGGTAGGTGAGGGCACAAGCACCGAAGCGGGTGGGGCAGCAGCCGGGCGCCGGAGTGAGCGGGGGCACGGACGAGGGACAAGGTGGATAGAGGCGAGACCCGGCACCGGAGTGGGTGTGGAAATGAGCACCCGGGCGAGTGAGGGTTTGAGCTTAGCGTTAAAGTCAGGGTTAGGGTTGAAGTTAGGGTCACGGGTAAGTGTTAGGGTTACAGTTAGGGTTGGGGTTGGAATTGGGGTTAGGGTTTAGGGGTAGGGGTATGGGGTTAGGGTTAAAGTTAGAGTTAGGGAAGGGGTTAGGGTAGGGGTTCGGGTTAGGGGTTAGGGTGATGGCTGGCGCTAGGCTTGGGGCTGGGGTTGTGGTTTGGGCGGGGTCGGGGTTAAGGGTTAGGTTTATGGATTAGGGTTAGGGTTAAAGTTGGGGTTAGGGGATAGATTTTAGGGTTAGGGTTAGGGTTGGGATTTATGGTTAGGGTGAGGTTCGGTTTGGAATATTTTTGGGGTTTGTGGGGTTTTAGGGTTTGGTTCAGGGGTTAGAGTTAGGTTTTGGGTTGGGGTTGGGTTTAGGGTCAGGGGTTAGGGTTTTGCGGTTAGAGTTAGGGTTGGGTTATGATTAGTGTAGTGTCGGTATTGGGGTTTGGGTTGGGGTTAGGGTTAGGGTTCAGGACTAGGGTTTGGTTTAGGGGTTTGGGATTAGGGTTAGGTGTTAGAGTTAGCAGTAGGGTTAGAGGCTAGTGGTAGCATTAGGGTTAGTGGTAGGGTTAGGGTTAGCTTTTTGGTTAGGCTTAGATTAGCAGTGTGTTTTCAGAAAGAGTGGAATAATTTTTATGTTTTGAAAACTATTATTTCGTTTATTTTCCTTTAAATATGCAGCAGAAGTTTACTGCAACTAAATTATGTGGGTTCTCTGGCCACTTATTTTACCTCAATTAATATGTGGTTTATTTCAACTTGATGTTTTTAAAGACAAGCTTGTGGTTTGTGAGGGTTAGAACATGCACCATAAGCAAGGAGGCCGCTGGCAGCGCTGGAAATGCTGTACCCTGACCCTGACCCTGACCCTAACCCTGACCCTGACCCTGACCCTGACCCTGACCCAGAAGTGCTGTACCCTGACCCTGACCCTGACCCTAACCCTGACCCTGACCCTGACCCTAACCCGGAAGTGCTGTACCCTGACCCTGACCCTAACCCTGACCCTAACCCGGAAGTGCTGTACCCTGACCCTAACCCTGACCCTAACCCGGAAGTGCTGTACCCTGACCCTGACCCTGACCCTAACCCTGACCCTGACCCTGACCCTAACCCGGAAGTGCTGTGCCCCAGGTTCTGCTCAGGGCCGGCTGCTCTGAACCTTCACACTTCTGAAATGGCTGGACGTCTCTGTACGAGCTGCTTTTACCCAGTTCCATTTATTCTTATATTTTACAAGCATTTAGTAAATTCTTGAGCTAGGTAGGCCCTGGGGACTACCAAAGGAATAAGATATCTGCTATTTTTATTTTATTTTATTTTATTTCAATAGTTTTGGGGAACAGGTGGTTTTCGGTTACATGTGTAAGTTCTTTAGTGATGGTTTCTGAGATTTTGATTCACCCATAACCCAAGCAGTGTACGCTGTACCCAATGTGTAGTGTTTTATCCCTCACCTCCCTCTCACCTTTCCCCTAAGTCCCCAAAGTCCATTTTGTCATTCTTATGCCTTTGAATTCTCATAGCTTAGGTCCCACTGATAAGTGAGAACATACAGTATTTGTTTTTCCATTTCTGAGTTACTTCACTTAGAATAATGGTCTCCAACTCCTTCCAGGTTGCTGTGAATGCCATTATTTTTTAACCTTTTATGGCTGAGTAGAGTTTGATGGTGTGTGTATATATATAATATTTGATTTATCCACTCATTGGTTGATGGGCATTTAGGCTGGTTCCATATTTTTGTAATTGTGAATTTTACAATACTTAAAATATTTTAAGGAATACTTAAAATAGCTGCAGTGCAGGATAGAAAGTGTGCACAAATGATCACCTTTTAAATAGATGCATGAGAGGAAATAACTCTGAAATGCAGTGGTAAGTATGGTTCAGTGGAGCCCTCAGGACCTATCTCAGTGTGTTCCTCTAGCATCTCTTCTAGTTTCCTCGTGCGCTCTGCTTTCTAGCTGCACCTGCCTTAAGCTTAGCACCTGTCCTATTCCCTCCTTCACTCTGTGCCCCAGGTTCCCTTGTGTTTTCATTAGCACCTGTTGTATTCCCTCCTGGACTCTGCTCTCCAGCTGCACCTGTGTTCTCCTTAGCCCCTGTCCTATTCCCTCCTTCACTCTGTCCCTCAGCTGCCCTGTGTTCTCCCTAGCACCTGTCCCAGTTCCCTCCTGCACCCTGCTCTCCAGCCGCACCTGCATGTTTCTTAACACCTGTTCTAGTTCCCGCCTTCATTCTGCTCTCCAGCTGCACCTGCATGTTCCTTAGCACCTGGCCTATTCCCTCCTGCACTCTGCTCTCCAGCTGCACCTGTGTTCTCCTTAACACCTGTCCTATTTCCTCCTTCACTCTGCTCCCCAGCAGCACCTGTGGACCCACAGGTGGCTTTTCAGCTGTGCCTCCTGCCTATGCCCTGAGGAGCCCAGCACCCAAGAGTGAATGGATCAAAGTACTGACTCCATTTTTGGGTCGATCGTCATTCTAGGCTCTTCATACACAACGTACAAGGCAACACATCAAGTAGATATTGTTATTTTTATTTAACTAGAAGGAAATTAAAGTTCATAAAAGTTATACCCCGAGATCTAGTGCATGGAAAAAGGGGTTTGTGTGATTCTTTCCACTGCTGCTCTGTACACTCAGAGCCCTATTCCTCCCTGAAAGAAATTCTGTTCCTAAACACTGCAGTCACTGAGATTCTTCACTTTCTTACTGTCTCTTACTTTTATTTTTTTATTTTGTAGGCAGTGCAGTGGCTCTATCTTGGCTCACTGTAACCTCCATCTCCCAGGTTCAAGCAATTCTTCTGCCGCAGCCTCCCAAGTAGCTGGTACTGCAGCCACACACCACCATGCCCAGCTAATTTTTGTATTTTTGGTAGAGACAGGCTTTCACTGTGTTTCCCAGGCTGCTCTCGAACTCCTGATGTCAAGTGATCCACCTGCCTCGAACTCCCAAAGTGCTGGGATTACAGGCGTGAGCCACCATGCCCAGCCTTCACTTTCTTCTCTGAGTCAGAGATCTCTAGCAAGATAGCCTTTTCACAACTTTTATTGCAATGGAAATATTTCAGACCTTTGTCAGGTTAAACTGTTAAAGGTATGTCTGTTTGTCTGTGATACGCTGAATTTAGGAATGTATGACTCAGTAATGAAAAGTTGATCTGGCATCACCCTAGGCATTTGAGCTCCCAGATGGAGAAGGATCTGTTTTTCCAATCACTGACAAAGCCTGGCATGATCATGGCTTGCAGGAATGCAGCACCCCAAGAGGACCCTAGCAATTGGGAGAATTTTGTTTACATGACAGCCCCAAATGACCTTAAATTCTAAATAAAAGTTTGAAGGGTGATTTGTATAAGGGCCTTGTTTTTTGTTTTTTGTTTTGAGATGGAGTGTCACTCTGTCGCTTAGGCTGGAGTGCATTGGGGTGATCTCGGCTCACTGCAACCTCCACTTCCCAAGTTCAAGTGATTCTCGGGCCTCAGCCTCCCAAGTAGCTGAAATTACAGGTGCTCGCCACTATGCCCAGCTAATTTTTTGTATTTTTAGTAGAGACGGGGTTTCACCATGTTGGCCAGGCTGGTCTCGAACTCCTGGCCTTGTGATTTGCCTGCCTCAACCTCCCAAAGTGCTGGGATTACAGACGTGAGCCACCTGCCCAGCCAGGGCCTTGTTTTTAAAGAAAAAAAATTATATATATATATAAAATATACTGGTGAACATTTTACTCAATATTTAAAAATCTGTAAGACCTTTCAGTACATAAAGCTTATATAACAAAATCTAGCAAAAGTCTATAAAATCTAAACACATTTCTAAAAGAAAGGGTGGTGCCACGAAAGTTTACATGCTGAGGCTTTCAGGGTGGCTGTGCTGTGTTGGATGTGGGCAGTGTTCTCTGTCTCGTCGTTTTGCATATATGACAGTTCTGGCTCACAAGAGCCCTGGGAGCCCATCTGTCAGCCTGCATCTTGTGGCATTTGGCAAGTAAGATCTGTTTAATATAAGGTGTCAGTAAAGCCAAGGTTATGATATCTAAAAATAATCAACACTAATTCCCTAGAAATTTAGTCTCTTTTGACCAAACCACTGGTGCAATGTGGAGTTACTGCATTATATGTAAGAAGAATAACACCCTCACTCCAGCATCTGAACCAGAACTGACACTCGGTGGTGATTCCCCCTTTATTCTAGGAGGTATTAATGTTAGCTATGGCAATGTAAAACCAATGTTTTTGGAGGCAGTAGGGGCAGAGAATGGAAAGTCCTCTACAGCCGTCAACATGGGGAGTGAGACAATGCAGGTGTTGACTCACGGAACTGGACAAGAATCTGCTGCTCCTTCTCTACTTAGAGTCTCTATCATTTGCATAGAAGGCTTAAACGCAGGGAAGGCATGAGGATTCCGTGTAAACTTCAGTAAGCTGCATAAACAGAGGCGGTGATGTTTTATGTCTCTGATCTTTTCCAAGGACATCTGGCCTCCGGGTTGCAGCGCGATGCTTACTAACAGAAGCTGACTCAGTTGTGTTTTCTGGTTTTGGGGAATATCTTTAATCTCCACATGAATGTTTATAAACCGTTGGGGCTAAACATGAAAGTCACTCTTCAGGTGCCGTCTCCACCTAGCCAGTGTGTACATTTTCTTTCTCTCTCTTGCAGCTGTTCTCTTCCTACAGACTGAATGAAAATGAAAAGGAAGTCATTTCTGCATGTGTCACAGAGGCATCCTTTGGTTCTAAAGTGAGCTGAGTTGGATTCCACAAGCATGTGGTCCTTGTAGCATGTGAATAGGATTCAGGCATGGACGAGAAGGAAGGGTTTTGGGGGAGACTGTAATCGCCCTGTCCAAGCTAACCCTCCAGCTGTGCAGGTGACAGGCTTGCCTGAGTTTGTGTTGTGTGTGTGTGGCACAGCTGCTAATGTAGTGTCCAGAAACATCTTACAAAGTCAGCATTTCCCTACATGTAGTTTTATGTGGGTATAAATTCATTTCAGTTCTTGCCATGAACATTTGTACAGTGCTTCCAATTGAGGGTTTGACTGCCTCATATCTGGAATCCTTGAGGTTTATCCTTCTGGGAGTCAGTGTCATGAACATTTTCCCCCTAGGTCAAGAGTCTGCTGTCAACATGATGTTCTCTAATTACACGGCTTCGTACAACTCCCAGCTCTGTGGACATATGTTTTTGTATTTAAGGCATTCCTTTTTTTACCTGTTCATAGATCATCCTTGACTCTGCTCTTTTCCCACTGCCTTTATCTCAGGTCCTTCCCAAGGTTTCGTCCTGGCTGACTTCTTTTAAGTACTGGAAGTAGAGGTTGTGGGGTCAGTCAGCCGGGCTTCCGATCCCTTCTCTTCCCATTACTTGGCAAATTAAAGCTGTGTTTAGGCCTTATTTATGTCATCCTGGATTTCTCAAGAGTTACAATTTTTAGATATATTAATTACAATTATAGGATTGTTTAAAGATCAAACAAGACAATGTATATTGTTGTGTTTTGTAATTTGTTGTTGTTGTTGTTTGTTTGTTTCAGACGGAGTCTTGCTCTGTCACCCAGGCTGTAGTTCAGTGGCACGATCTTGGCTCACTGCAACCTCCGTCTCCCGGGTTCAAGCGATTCTCCCGCCTCAGCCTCCCGAGTAGCTGGGACTACAGGTGCCTGCCACCATGCCCAGCTAATTTTTGTATTTTTAGTAGAGACAGGGTTTCACCATATTGACCAGGCTGGTCTTGAACTCCCGACCTTGTGATCCGCCCGACTCGGCCTCCCAAAGTGCTGGGATTACAGGCGTGAGCCACCGCACCTGGCCTGTAATCTTTAAAGCTCAATAGAAATATAAGATCTTGCTATTATGATGCGATTATAAAATCTTTCATTCTTTGCTTTTTCCTTGGTTGCTGGCCTAGAAATTGAATCAATTCTGTTCTCTTTTTATTTTTTAAAAATAATCTTGATCATGTGAAATTGCTGATATTTTAATATATTGCTGATGTTTGATCTATTCGAATGGTAGCTTCCTATGATTTCTTCTAATAGTTAAAATTCTATCAGGCTGGGCACGGTGGCTCATGCCTATAATCCCAGCACTTTGGGAGGTCAAGGTGGGCAGACCATCTGAGGTCAGGAGTTTGAGACCAGCCTGGCCAACATGGCGAAACCCTGTCTCTACTTAAAATACAAAAATTGGTAGGAGAACCACTTGAACCTGGGAGACGGAGGTTGCAGTGAGCCGAGACTGCACCACTCTACTCCAGTCTGGGCAACAGAGCGAGACTGTGCCAAAAAAAAAAAAAAAAAAAAACAAAACAAAACAAAACAAAATGAAACAAAAAAAACCCAAAAGTACATCCAAGTTGTGTACTGAAACGCCAGACAGTGCCACTAAGTGAATGATGATATAAAACTCTTATTTCTTATTTTGCTACGATGTTAGGTTCTTAACAATCATTCCGCCTGCCAGTTTACCTTGGTGTTTTTTCCCATTAAGATTGGTTTCCCTTCAATGTCTGGTGATTCTTCGTTGTTCACATTTAATAGTGACACATGAAGAAGGAGAATGAGTCTGTGTTATCATTAGTGAAAGGGTCGTCTAGATGGTGATTCTTCACTGTTCACATTTAATAGTGACACATGAAGAAGGAGAATGAGTCTGTGTTATCATTAGTGAAAGGGTCGTCTAGATGGTGATTCTTCACCGTTCACATTTAATAGTGACACATGAAGAAGGAGAATGAGTCTGTGTTATCATTAGTGAAAGGCTCGTCTGGAGGTGATTCTTCACCGTTCACATTTAATAGTGACACATGAAGAAGGAGAATGAGTGTGTTATTAGTGAAAGGCTCATCTAGATGGTGATTCTTCACTGTTCACATTTAATAGTGACACATGAAGAAGGAGAATGAGTCTGTGTTATCATTAGTGAAAGGCTCATCTAGATGGTGATTCTTCACCATTCACATTTAATAGTGACACATGAAGAAGGAGAATGAGTCTGTGTTATCATTAGTGAAAGGCTCGTCTGGAGGTGATTCTTCACTGTTCACATTTAATAGTGACACATGAAGAAGGAGAATGAGTCTGTGTTATCATTAGTGAAAGGCTCGTCTGGAGGTGATTCTTCACTGTTCACATTTAATAGTGACACATGAAGAAGGAGAATGAGTCTGTGTTATCATTAGTGAAAGGCTCATCTAGATGGTGATTCTTCACCGTTCACATTTAATAGTGACACATGAAGAAGGAGAATGAGTCTGTGTTATCATTAGTGAAAGGCTCGTCTGGAGGTGATTCTTCACTGTTCACATTTAATAGTGACACATGAAGAAGGAGAATGAGTCTGTGTTATCATTAGTGAAAGGCTCGTCTGGAGGTGATTCTTCACTGTTCACATTTAATAGTGACACATGAAGAAGGAGAATGAGTCTGTGTTATCATTAGTGAAAGGCTCATCTAGATGGTGATTCTTCACCGTTCACATTTAATAGTGACACATGAAGAAGGAGAATGAGTCTGTGTTATCATTAGTGAAAGGCTCGTCTGGAGGTGATTCTTCACTGTTCACATTTAATAGTGGCACATGAAGAAGGAGAATGAGTCTGTGTTATCATTAGTGAAAGGCTCATCTAGAGGTTTTACTTCAGGGAGTTGATGGGGTTTCCGCATGTTAGTAAGTGATGCCTTTGGTCTGGATGGTTTCCTTTCTCTGGAGAAAACCTTCTCCTCTCCTCTCTGGAAGGCAGGTGCTTGCTTGTTGGTTGTTGGTGTTCTACTCACTGGTTACCCGAGGGGTGGGGTGCAGGCATCGGTGAGGGAGGATAATGAGGGTTGACTGTCAATGTACAGATTTTAATCAACCCTCCTGTTTTCTGACGCCTGCCTCACTTCTCCGCCCCTCACCCCCAGGAAGGACCACAGATGATGCTCCTTCTCGTGGAGTCGAGGCCATCAAATCACTTTTTGTCTTTGAGAGAGAATGAGTGTCGGCTCTCACATGCTAAGCACACATTAATTTCTCTTATCATTTATTCCCACCTAGTGTGTGAGTGGTTTTGAGAGAATCCTGTATGGCATGGTCCTCAGGCGCTTGACAAAATTGGTCCACCCTCTCCCAGGTAATCCTGGCTCTAGGCCCTCTTCCATGTCCTGGCCTTCCCCAGCAGTCCCCTGGAGCCCTCTGCTGACCAAAACTCTACACTGAAGCGCCACCCAGAATGGTGGCCCGTGAAGGGTTCCCAGTTCGGGACACGTTATTCCTCTTCTGTAAAAATTGCACCACTTTCAGATAGACTCTCAGGCAAAGGCACAGAAAATTATCTGATTAGTTTCATGATCTTTTAGAGGTTTCATCTGAGCCAGTAGTTTTCAAAATGAGTTGAGGGTTTCATATCCTAAAATGTTGCATTTAAATTCTAGTTAAAAATAGTTTAACTACTGTATTTTTCCATTCTAAGACAGATGTTTTTTCCCATGCTTTACTTTTTGTGGCGTTAGCATGTATCTTACAATTGATCCACTGCATTTAATATGATGAGATTGCTTCTGTTCTTCTAAAAAATTATGAATACTTTTGTGACAGGTATTGATTTAATAGCATCTCAGAATGTAAAACATCCATGTTACAGTCATTAACTCTTCTACAATATTTAGATGCAAGAAGGTCATATTTCTTTCTTTTTATAAGTCAAATTATATCTAGCAGAAATTCCCATGTATCAAGATATGGAAGATTCCAGTTCACAGAGGTTCCTCATCATATTCTGTGCCAGACACAGGAGGCTGGTATGGTGGGACTTCATGCTCCTCACCTTCCTATCTTACTACTTTTCTTGTGACTGCCAATTGCTGGCCCTTTACTCTGAAGGGGGTGAGAGGACCACTGCCCCTGGCACTGGGGAGGGATGCTCCTCACAGCACACGAAGTGCCAAGAAGGCAGCTGTCAAATGCTGGAACCTTGGCCACACCAACCACATCTGGGGAATTGCATGTGACTAGGGCCTAGCCCATTAGGAATGCTCCTCTTCTGGGAACATCTCTTCAGTATCTTCGTTTTGATTTCCCATTGGCTAGTCCAGCTTACCCCCTTAGATGATTCTAGATCTCCCCAGAAAATACCTAGGTGAGAGTTATCCAGGCATATTCTCTTTCCCTCCTTTAAACTCCTAAAGGCTATATTGCGTGTGTGTGTGTGTGCATGCGTGCGTGCGTGAGTGTGCATGCATGCGTGTGTGTGTGTGTGTGTGTGTGTGTGTGTGTGTGTGTTAACAGAAAGGCCTAATCTGCAAAAACACAGCTTGGTCTTCAGGAAATAGATGGGAAAAGGGAAAAGGGCTGCTTTATTATTTCCTGGTGCTTCCAAAGCACACACAAAGAAGATATAAGTTAGTACTTTCTCTAATAATTCCATCTGTAACAATGAGCATTTAAAAGTTGTGATAATACATTTAAATACCATGCCCATACAAGTGCATTATAAAATGTAGCATTAATGAAACAATTAAATGTCCCAACTTAACCTGTCTTCTTGTAAGCCATGAAATAAATTTCTCCCATGATCTCTATGTATATGTTTACCATTTGTGCAAATATACCACTGAATAGAGCTTGTAGACAATTTTTATTTTGACAGCAGTCCACTCATGTAAAATTGCACACAAAAATACTACTATAACCTATGTGCATTCTAGATCCAATTCAATGTAAACCAAGGCCCATTTGTTCATGCATGTGTTTTTATGATTTTGTCTGTTCCTTTTCTGATTTACATATTTATAATACAGAATGTGAGAAGAGTGAGCTCTTTCTAGTTATTTAGCTTTAAGATACAGAAAACTGTTCTAGAATCTTTAAAAAGCAATTGCAGGAATTTTTTAAAAGTCTCTTGAAATTAAAGTCAAGTTTTTTTAAAAGTATTCTTTAAAACTACTTTTCTGTGTACATCAAGATTTATCAATAGCATATGAACAAAATAAAACAGGAAAGGATGGTAATGGCCACCTCATATTGCTTATTTCTTTTATAATAACTAAGTCATATAAATTGAGTTCACAAAAATATTTATATTAATGAAATTATAATTTATCATTGGTAATGTTTGAGTTTTTCTTGTGCATTTTTATGTAGCAAGAAAAAAAGCGTTTGCTATTAAAAATCGTTTTTAAAAAATCGGAGCAAGCCTAAGCCCCTTCATTTTACGAACACAATAACCTGAGGCTCATCAGTGCTGGTGACTCACACAGGCGCACACTCAGCATTGCTGGATGTCGGCTCAGGATCCAGAATGCATTTGGACAACACATGCTACATTAATAAATGCACTTTAAAATAGGCCCATGTTAATCCCAAAGTAACTAAACATGTTGGATTTGTAAAAGAAGATGTGTATGAATGAGGACATGGCATTTCGACATGAGTTCTGATTCCCGCCTTTCTAAAAGCAGAATCTGCAGTCCATTTTCCCATTGCGAGATTTCAGAGAGCCTGGCGGCACTTACAGCAGACATCAGAGATGCCTCAGCGTTTCAGATGAGGGCGGTAAAGACCTTCTTTGTTACATGAAAACCTTTGTTTTCCAGGGGAGAAAACACAGGTTGGGTCTAAACTCAATCCTCCTATTGATATATTTTAGTGACGCTGAAAGAGGTTGTTGCGTTTGGCAAGTGCATGTGGAGCTGTGCAGTCCTGCACCGAAGCCCTGCAGTCCTGACTTCTGAGTGGAGCTAGAGGAGAATTATAATAATGTGTTTGCACTACTTGCCCAGTCGTAAAAAATAGCAAATTTTTTTAAGGCATGTTTTTAATGAGAATAAAATAGTCTAACAATGTTTACACACCTATTTTAGTTATTATATTCTCTAAGCTATTTTTATCCTCACAACCTTGGAAGCACTCCACCATCTCCATTTCAGAAAGTAGGCAGTAACTGAACAAAACTGTCTACTTTTTTAAAACAGGATTTATTTCATTAAGAAAGTTTATAGTTTATGTAATTAATACCGTTTCGTGGTCTGCATTCAATGGGTGTTGGCATCTGCACACTGTCGTGGGTCTACCGTTGTGGTGAAATCACACACGGTGGTCTCACTGCCCTAAACGTCCAGGGCTCTCTGCCCATCCATCCTTTCCTCTCCCCAATCCCTGTCAACCACTGATTATTTTACTATGTATGTAATTTTCCCTTTTCCAGAATGTCACGTAATTACATAGATATTTTACTATCTATGTTATTTTCCCTTTTCCAAAATGTCACATAATGCCCACAGCAATGAATGCGAGTTCCTGTTGCTCCACATCCTGACCAGCATTTGGTGTTTTTGGTCTTGTGGATTTTGGCCATTCTAATAGGTGTGTAGTGGTATCTGACTCTTGTCTTAATTGGCAATTCCTAATAACATATTATACAGAGCATCTTTTCATATACTTAATTTCCATCTGCATATCTGTTCAGCTTTTGCCCATTTTTAATTGGGTCATTTGTTTTCTTATTGTTGAGTTTTAAGAGTTCTTTGAATATTTCATATATGAATCCTTAGATGTATTTTGCAAATATATTCTCACTGTCTGTGGTTTGTCTTTTTATTCTCTTAACAGTATCTTTCACAAAACAAAAGTTTTTTTATGTTAAAGTTCAACTTCCCAATTTTTTTCTTCGTGGATCATGCTTTGATGTTGTATCTAAAAAAAATCACCAAATCCGAGGTTATCTAGAGTTTTTCCTTATGTTATCTTCTAGGAGTTTGAAAATTTTGCGTTTCATATATTGATCTAATATCTACTTTGCATTAACTTTTGTAAAAGGTGTAAGGTCCGTTTATAGATTCATTTTTTTTTCTGCGTGGATGTCCAGTTGTTCCAGCACCATTTGTCCATTGAATTGCCTTTGCTCCTTTGTCAGAGATCAGTTGGCTGTATTTCAGTCTGTTTCTGGGCTCTCTGTTCTGTTTCACTGATGTATGTGTATGTGTCTTCTGTTTTGCCTTCAATTAAAAAATATCTAATTGCTACCTCAATTTGCTTATAAATTCTCATTTGTAAACAGAAAAGCATAAATTAATGCCTGGGTATCTTTTAGGGTAGATGTTGCATTGAATACAATGAGCAGAATGAGTTATAATCTTAAAAAATATAAAAATTTGACCATAGTGGTAACAGATTTACACACTAGTGACATCAATGACAGAGTCCATTGCAATATTGCTTCCTCCCATAGCCTCAGCTCTGCTTCACACCAGGTAACTACCAATCCCTTCTGTGCTTCATTCAAGGATTTCTGTGGGGTGGAAAGCAGAAATATCATGATATCAGTGGAGAGAAGAAGGCAGTTTCCCAGGCTGGAAGCAGTCAGATCACCAGTGGGTCCCAACACTGCTCTGTAGCAATGCCTACAGGGTGATAGAAACAGAGACAGGGTGCAAATGAGGTGGGTGCAGGCCCTGGGGTTCCAGTGTTTCCTGGTTCCCATGGTCTATAAGATGCTAAGAAATGAAACCTTCTGGGCTTTTGGGGGCTCCTGTGGAATTGGAAAACGAGAAAGTGAGCAGTGACAATCTAGACTGATTATTAGAGGTACTTCTCCCACTTTTCAGAAACCAAGGAGCCTTTGATTAGTAGTGAAATTGTGGCACCCCAACTACAGTGGAGTGGAATGTCCTGCTATTCTGGAGGGGTGATGGCTCAGGGTCAAGACTGGACTAATTAGAAAAAAAAATGCACTCCAGGAATATCAAGTCCGAAACAAAGCTCATTTCTCATGTGCGCTCCAGGAGTATCAAGTCCAAAACAAAGCTCTTCAAACCACCTAGGAAGAGAAAACAGCATGACAAGGAAAGGTATATTTGTCTGATCCCAGGAATCAATATAAACATCCATGATAACTGCACCTTTTTAAAAAATATATGATTTCGATGAGACAAGAGAAAGAGACTGATTGTTGCTGAGTCCCTGCTGCAGTCCTGACACAGCTCTCCTTATTTTGTTGATGCTCATGAGGACCCTGATGTCTGAGGAAGAAGGTTCACATCCAACTCTGCCCCTGGTGTGTCACGTGCCGGCCTTGTCAACGCACACGAGAACCTGACAGGGTGAGTGTTATAACCCAGTCATAGAAAAGGAAACTGGCTCTAAAGTGTTTGGCATCTTACCCAAGTTCTGACACTTAGCAGAGGCCTGAGTTTAAATACAGCCTCGTCTTGCTCTTCGACAGCCTCAGCACCACATGCCCTGGGTGGCCCACGCAGTGAGTCACTGACAGCCCTCGTGGTTGGCCCGTGGCACAGCATGGAGCAAAATGGCCCACTGACCTTTTCAGACACTCGGGCAATGCGTGATATTGGGTATGTGGTCACTCCCAGTGAGTTCTATTGTTCAGGTTAATAGAATAGCTAATTCTATGTTTATTGTGAATAAAGGGAGATTTCTTGTGGTTTTTAAGAATATAAATCTTATCTATTTTGCCTACAAGTTGGAAGTTCCGATGCTATAGGAAGCATAAGTGCAGGTTATAATGATGGGTCTTTTATAAGACTGAATTCACATCAAACTGAATCAGTAACTCCAGCTGCATGAACAGGGTGAAACATTAAACATTTAATGAAAATAATTCCTTTCTCAGGTCACAGCAAGGACTAAATATGTCCAATTATCATGCCCACTAAGAAGATGTATTGTGATATTTGCAGTTAATCACTAATTCAGTTCAAAGGATATTTATTAATTGCTCTGGGCATAACATCAATTGGAAGCAGTGTGTTCACATGGAAACAAAACTTACCTGAGACTCTAAGTCACAACTTTCCATGACCACCACACATATATTTTTTTTTTTTTTTGAGACGGAGTTTGGCTTTTGTTCCCCAGGCTGGAGTGCAATGGTGCGATCTCGGCTTACCGCAACTTCCACCTCCTGGGTTCAAGCGATTCTCCTGCCTCAGCCTCCCGAGTAGCTGGGATTACAGGCATGCACCACCATGCCTGGCTTATTTTGTATTTTTAGTAGAGACAGGGCTTTCTCCATGTGGGTCAGGCTGGTCTTGAACTCCTGGCCTCAGGTGATCTGCCTGCCTGAGCCTCCCAAAGTGCTGGGATTACAGGCATGAGCCACCGCCCCCGGCCGACCAGCACACATTTCTAATTTGAAATACATATCTAAAGCTTCAAATGCATAAATAGATATCCCAATCTAGAACTAAGTCAATAGTTGCTTTGAATTAATTGTTTAAATTATCCTGGGAATCGGAAAGATATGTCTACATGAAACAATAAAGGCTATATTAGAATTAGTAAACTTTAGAAGGCCATTTTAATCCTAATATATAAACATACTACCTAGGCACACTGTTTAAATACATCTGCAACCTACTATTTTTAGATTTAGGTAAATCATTAAACCTGAAATTTGGAAAAGATTCCAGTGTTAGAGCTCTAGACTATGAAACTTGAATGTTTTTCTAAACTTTTTTAGTTTTATCCAGAAATACAGATTTTCCTGCCACCGAGAACTGCAAGAAATTTCACTTGGAGTCTCCACATAGTCAACCATGTGATGGCAGCATCAGCGTAACAGATACTATCACAAACATCCTGTGACTTTTATATTTTTTTTAATACTTTAAATTCTGGGATACAGGAGCAGAACCTGCAGGCTTGTTACACAGGTATACACATGCCATGGTGGTTTGCTGCACCCATCAACCTGTCATCTACATTAGGTATTTCTCCTAACCCTAACCCTCCCCTAGACCCTCACCCTGCAACAGGCCCTGGTGTGTGATGTTCCCCTCCCTGTGTCCATGTGTTCTCATTGTTCAGCTCCCACTTATGAGTGAGAACATGGAAGTGAGGTTTTCTGTTCCTGTGTTAGTTTGCAGAGAATGATGGTTTCCAGCTTCATCCATGTCCCTGCAAAGGACATGAACTCATCCTTTTTTATGGCTGCATAGTATTCCATGGTGTATATGTGCCACATTTTCTTAATTCAGTCTATCATTGATGGACATTTGGGTTGGTTCCAAGTCTTTGCTATTGTGAATAGTGCTGCAATGAACATACATGTGCAGGTGTCTTTATAGTAGAATGATTTATAATCCTTTGGGTATATACCCAGTAATGGGATTGATGGGTCAAATGGTATTTCTGGTTCTAGATCCTTGAGGAATTGCCACATGGTCTTCCACAATGGTTGAACTAATTTACACTCTAACCAACAGTGTTAAAGTGTTCCTATTTCTCCACATCCTCTCCAGCATCAGTTGTTTCCTACTTTTTAATGATCACCATTCTAACTGGCATGAGTTGGTTTCTCATTGTGGTTTTGATTTGCATTTCTCTAATGACCAGTGATGGTGAGCTTTTGTTCATATGTTTATTGGCCACGTAAATGTCTTCTTTTGCGAAGTGTCTGTTCATATCCTTTGCCCACTTCTTGATGGGGTCTTTTTTGTTTTTTGTTTTTTTTTGTAAATTTGTTTAAGTTCCTTGTAGATTCTGGATGTTGGACCCTTGTCAGATGGATAGATTGCAAAAATTTTCTCCCATTCTTTAGGTTGTCTGTTCACTCTGATGAGAGTTTCTTTTGCTGTGCAGAAGCTCTTTAGTTTAATTAGATCCCATTTGTCTATTTTGGCTTCGTTGCTTTTGGTGTTTTAGTCATAAAGTCTTTGCCCATGCCCGTGTCCTGAATGGTATTGCCTGGGTTTTCTTCAAGGGTTTTTGTGGTTTTAGGTCTTACATTTAAGTCTTTAATCCATCTTGAGTTAATTTTTGTATAAGGTGTAAGAAAGGAGTCCAGTTTCAGTTTTCTGCATATGGCTAGCCAGTTTTCCCAACACCATTTATTAAATAGGGAATCCTTTCCCCATCGCTTGTTTTTGTCAGATTTGTCAGACATCCTAAACCTTTAAAATTAAGAATTTACATTTTTTAAAGTAACTGACAATCATTTAAAAATCCATAAGTTAAAAAATAATAATTCCTCGTATGTTTTCAACCAAGAGAAGTGAAATGGTAGTGTTGTGTACATGACTATATATATTAGTCAAAATGCATTGATTTCTTCACTTAAAATTACTAAATTTTATTATATGTAAATTAAACTCAATTAGACAATAAAAAATAAGCTTTTGATCCTGAAAAAATGCCTACATATATACAAACTACCTCTGAATCAAACTACTTTTTCAGAATTTCTAATTTAAATATTCAGAAATATGAATGATGATGATGAATTTTAACAAGGCTTGCATAATTCAAATCTGTTTTGGATGATGCCCGAGAGGCATATTAGCTGCTGGACTTATGTGGACTTCCTTATCTCCTTTGCCTATGAATAAATAGGAGGTTGAGGCAGAAACAAGATATGTAATTTATGTACAATGAAACTTTCTACTGCCCAGGAAATGAAGTTTTATATTGCCCAATGAATTGTGCCTGGCAGCATAATTCACTGCTTCACAATTGATCATTCTTTTTACCCTTAAAGCACCCTTGAAATGATTGACTCAACCATGAGAGAAGCACTGTAAATATTCTCAGATACAAACTCATAGTATTAGCTTCACAGAACAACTGCAGATGCAGGTAACTAAAAATCCAGCTCAATTTGACTTTAATAAGAAGGCAATTTATTGACTCAGATGGGTAGTTCAGAAGCAGGCCAGGCTTCAGGGTGAATCTGAGCACAGAAGTTCATGGATGCTACCCAGGACTCAGTCTCTTCCCAATTTTCTGCTCTGCCTTCAGTGAAGTCAGAATCAGTCTTAGCATGGCAAAATCTCCAGGAATAATTTCTGAGGCTGCATTCTTCATCAAAGAGGGAGCATGAACAAGCACTCTCTTAGTACAACTTGTATTTGACTCTAATTGGAACAACTCAGGCCCTTGCCCATCCCCAAGTCCATTAGGGGGACCAAGGGAGTGCTGTGTGGCACCTGGCATGAGCCTCAGTTGCGCACCCACCTTGGAACCAATAACTGTGACATAGGGTGAGACAGTGCTGGTTAGGTTAAGTCAACCAGCACCCACCCCATATTTCAAACCATGTGACTGAATAACTCAGGGCTCTGTTAGGAAGGAGAAAAGGGGATGCTCCTTGAATAGTATCCAACATTCAACTACAATTTGATTTGACAGGAACCTGGAGGCCTTGCCCATAGAAATCTCTCACAGTTGCTTGGAGAGAGCAGTCAGTACAAAAATCTTATGGCAGCAACCCTGTGGCCTCAAGGGCGCCATGGACCTGGTGTGGGGGGTGGGGAAGGGAGGGTGGGGAAGGGCTCAGTGTCTTCTGAAGATGAAGCAGAAGAATAGATGGCACTGCCTTAGGAGAGTGGAAAATGTTTAACCCCAAGAGATGCCTACAGAGGCAGCTGAGCCACACCACAGACTCCTAGAAGGGTTTGTGTTAGGGTTCTCAAGTGTCTAGGTAAGGAGAGGAGATGGTGAGGCAGACACAGAAGGGCCAGTTCAAAGCATATTGGGAAGAGAGATGACTACAGAGGCAGCTGAGCCACACCACAGACTCCTAGAAGGGCTTGTGTTAGGGTTTCCACATGTCTAGGTAAGCAGAGGAGATGGTGAGGCAGGCACAGAGGGTCGGTTCAAAGCACATTGGGAAGAGTGTGATCCCAAGACCCCTCAGTCCACACTGGCAGTCAAATACTCCTCCCTGACACTGGAAAAAGAAACAATTTATTTTCTTCAGACATTGAAACAGGACTTTTCTAAGCTCCAGGACACTGGGTAACGCTGCTTATGCAAAGAGAGTATTTAGTGAAAGCCAATTTACTGAGCAGGGAGATCCGCAGACTCTTTCTGCCTCTTGGCTCCCAGAATGCTGGGTCAGTCTTGCAGTCTTAGGAGACTGGCGACCTCTTTTTGGAGATTTGCAGCTACCAACATTTTCAGGGTTTCCTCAGGTCCAGGAGTGCCAGGCTCCTGTGCACTCTTCCTTTGGGGAAGCAAAGGAATTCTCCATCTGTGCGTACAGAATGCATTAATTATTTTTTTTATTTTCTATTTTCCTGATGCTCTAGCATCTGGTGTTTACTGGGAAAAGATTGCCTTTCCCAGGGCCAGCCAATTAAACTATCAATCCAAAACCCGCACTCTTAACCACCTACTTTATCTGGCTCTGATACTGTAAGAGACAATACCGCCCTTCCCTAATCACCCCAGGGCCAGGTACTAGGCAATTAGAGATGGCCCCTATGCCCCAGAGCCTGCTGAAGCTATTCAGGCTGGCCAGCCTAAGCCTGCCTGCCCTGCCTGGCCTTGCTGTCCCACGGAGATCACAGCAGAGGCTCCTGCCCATGCCTTCCCCTCTCCTGCCTGTGCCTGGGGCTTCCCTGTGCCTCCTATTTCTAGGGATCTGTGAGTATGAACATATTTCCACAGGACAGTCACTTCCATGTCTGCAGGTCTTAACATCCCCGATTAAAACAAATTCTGAGTACATTTTAAAACATAAGTCTTCCAACGGAATTTTTAAAACCTTTATATGGAGATTTAAAAACATATATGTAAATAAACAATGAATATAACAAACCCCTATATATCTATAACCCTTCAGAGCAACCAGAAACACATGGACAATTCTGTTCTGTCTATATTCCCAAACAAAATTCATACATTGTGATTAGCTGATGTGTTTTTAAGTCTATATAATTTATACATTTCCCCTGTATCTCCTATATATCATTTTCTGGTAATTTAGTTTTTGAAGAAGCTGCTTTGATTTTCCTGATTCATCTTCAAAGTTTAAAATAGAATTTCACAAAAAGAAAAAAAAGAAGCAGACGGAAGGAATAAAAATGTCAGAAAAGATATCAGTGGGATTGAAATGGTACAGGTGCTTTGGAAAACAGTCTGGCAGTTTCTCAAAAAGTAAGACATAGAATTACTCTTTGACCCATCAGTTCTACTCAAGTCTTCATACTGAGGAGAATTAAAAACATATGTCCACACACAAACTTGTACAGCAGCATTATCCATAGTAGCCAAAAAGAAGAAACAACCCAAATGTCCACCAACTGATGAGCGGATTAATAACATGAAGTATTTCCACACAATGGAATATTATTCAGCCTCAAAAAGGAATGGTTGCCAGAGGTTGGAGGAGGGAAAAAATGGGAAATACAGTGTTCCTTTCTGGGGTGCTGAAAACGTTTTAGAATTAAATAGTGGTGAAGTCTGTGCTACTTCTAGAAAGTACTAAATTGTACACTTTAAATGAATAAATTATAGTATGTGAATTATATCTCAACTTAAAAATCAAGAACATTTTCCAGAAATAAAGTTTAGGAATTTCCAGATTTAAAAGATCTATTGAGTTCCCCTCAAATTGAATTTCAAAGTTCTTCTACACTGAAGCACATTATTGTGAAATTTGATAACATCAGAGATAAAGAGCTGAAAAGCTTCCAGAGAGGTGAAAGAAAAAGATCACCTACAAAGAATCAAGAACCAAAATGGCACTGAAGTTTTCCATTGAAATTCTAGATATAATAAGAAAATGAAATTTGGCCTTCACATTCTGAGAGAAATATATATATTTTAAACCCAACTAAACCATCAACCCAGTGTGAAAATAGTGCTCAGGCATTTTGGGACATGCACAGCATCAAAGCTTTACCTTAGATCAGGAAGCTACGGTAAAGTGGCAACCTAAGAAATGGGAGAATGAATTTCGGGAGCAGGTGATCCATGCAGGAGAGAGGAGCAGCACTGCCGAGAGCCAGGGGTGAAGCAATTCAAGCTGGAGACACTGAGACAAACACAGGGGCGCCTGGCATTCTCTGAGAGGCCGTACAGTTGTTCTCACAACTCGGTAAATGTGGCAATTACCTCTTATTGGTTACAATGCATCTTCCCAGGCCTGCCAGCAGAGATTCTAAATCCTGATGCAAATGATGTGGCAGCACCTGTGGTTATAGACATGAGTGTTTGAATCACAGATCCAGGTCCAAGCCCAAATCCCCTCAGTAATTAACTGTATACTGTCATTTAATTGCTTAATCTCTCCAGCACGCCACTTCCTCAGGCCAATTCATATGGGAATATAAATTCATAGGAGTGTTATAAAGGGTAGTTTGTACAATGCACTCGTGACTATGAAATGCTTAGCATGGCATCCAAAAAAGTCGTCAATAAGTGGTGCAACAATACCTTTTTATTACAGAAAACACACCCAACCTAGAAAACAGTGTTCATAGAGGAATAAGAGAAGTAAGTACAGTTGAGTGAGTAGAAGGAGTCAGCGTGGTGAGGGCCTTTCCTAGATGAGGCATCCACCACACTTGAAAGTGGGATGAAGGGCCAGAGCTGAACATCAACCAGGACAGGCAGGAATGAAGTAAACAACTCACACCTGTTCCTTCATGGGTCAGTTCCTTTCATTTTCACTTTTGACTCTGATGCAAAATTAGAACTGTTCTCTGCTCAAATGTCATTATTCTTAATAAAGTAAAGTAAATAAGGAGGATCCAAAAACTTCAGTTGCGTAAAATACATGCTCTTATTATTGCAAGGCAAATGGGAAATATGTTGCAGTTGGTCATCGCCATCACAATAACACAAATTCTAAAACTTACACTGTTTACAACTGAACCACACCCTCAAATAATCAAAAAATGGTCCCTCCCTAACCTCTCTCCTCAGCAAGAGAAGGTCTTTGGCCACCCCAACCTGGGCAGGAGAGCAGGTGGAGAGTGGGAGCCCACAGCTGCAGCAGCAAGAAGCATGAGGACTGATGGCTTTGACCAAATAATAGGGAATTGGGTTGAGTTGTTTGAATCATTTTCTAATAACTGATTTATAAAATAGGTCAGACTCATTGAAGGAGCTGGGGAATGGGAGCCCACCCCTCAGTCTCCAGCCTCCCCAAACTGTGTGTTTCTCCAGAGTAACCTTGAGCCTCTCCCAGCATGGATTAAAACCCATGGCTCTTCCAGATCTAAAATCTGAGGCTCTACAATTTAAGTCATAGTTAGGCACTTCCATACCTGTGATGGTAACATGCTTACATACTCAGTCTATCATTGTCTAATATTGAATGAAAGACACACATTTTGTTTACTTATGATGCAGCAGATAGTCTGTGTTTACCTGCGTTGTCTCAGGGTCAGCTCTTTATTTCCAAGAATCCTGTCCCATTTCCTGGAGCCTATTGACTGGGGGAGAGATGTGGTCAAAAGTTAAAGGTATGTTGGGTGAAGGCTTAGAAACATAGCTTTTCTGACAAGCAATGGGGAAAAGATTCCCTATTCAATAAATGGTGCTGGGATAGCTGGTTAGCCATGTGCTGAAGATTGAGGCTGGACCCCTTTCGTACACCATACACAAAAATGAACTCAGGATGGATTAAAGACTTAAATGTAAAACCCAAAAATATAAAAACCCTGGAAGACAAGCTAGGCAATACCATCCTGGACATAGGAACACACAAAGATTTCGTGACAAAGATACACAATAACAATGAAAAGCAAAACAACGAAAGCAAATATTGACAAGTGGGATCAAATTAAACTAAAGAGCTTCTGCACAGCAAAAGAAACTGTAAACAAAGTAAGCAGGCAACTTACGGAATGGGAGGAAATATTTACAAACTATGCATCTGACAAAGGTCTAATAACCAGCATCTATAGGGAACTTAAACAAATTTACAAGAGAAAAACAACACCACGAAAAAGTGGGCCAAGGACATGAAAAGACACTTCTCAAAAGAAGACAAACATGTGGGCCACGCATGGTGGTTCACGCCTGTAATCCAAGCACTTTGGGAGGCCAAGGCAGGTGGATCACGAGGACAGGAGATCGAGACCATCCTGGCTCACACAGTGAAACCCAATCTCTACTAAAAATACAAAAAATTAGCGAGGTGTGGTGGTGAGTGCCTGTAGTTCCAGCTACTTGGGAGGCTAAGGCAGAAGAATGGCGTGAACCCGGGAGGCAGAGCTTGCAGTGAGTGGAGATCGTGCTGCTGCACTCCAGCCTGGATGACAAAGCAAGACTCTGTCTCACAAAAAAAAAAAAAAAAAAAAGACAAATGTGGCAAACAAGCCTATGGAAAAAAAGCTCTAGATCATTGATCACTAGAGAAATGCTCATCAAAACCACAGTGAAGCAGCATCTCACACTAGTCAGAATGGCTATTACTAAAAAGTAAAAGACTAACAGATGTTGCAAGGTTACAGAGAAAAGTGAACACTTATATACTGTTGGTGGGAGTGTAAGTTAGTTCAACCATGGTGGAAAACAGTATGGTTTTCAGGGGACCTGCCCCCAAAATCACGTAGGTTCTTTTCTATTTTCCTAAGCATTGGCTGGCTTGAGAAATAAAGGGACAGAGTACAAAAGAGAGAAATTTTAAAGCTGGGCATCCAGGGGAGACATCACACATTAGTAGGATCCGTGATGCCCCACAAACCACAAAAACCAGTAAGGTTTTATTAGGGATTTTCAAGAGGGGAGGGAGTGTGTGAATAGGTGTGGGTGACAGACATCAAGTACATAACATGGTAATAGAATATCACAAGGCAAGTGGAGGCAGGGTGAGACCACAGGACCACAGGACCGAGGTGAAATTAAATTGCTAATGAAGTTTCGGGCACCATTGTCATTGATAACATCTTATCAGGAGACAGGGTTTTGAGATCAACTGGTCTGAGCAAAATTTATTAGGCGGGAATTTCCTCTTCCTAATAAGCCTGGGAGTGCTATGGGAGACTGAAGTCTATCTCACCTCTGCAATCTCGACCATAAGAGACAGGTACACCCCGGGGGGGCCAGTTCAGAGACCTACCCCTAGGTGCACATTCTCTTTCTCAGGGACGTTCCATGCTGAGAAAAAGAATTCAGTGATATTTCTCCCATTTGCTTTTGAAAGAAGAGAAATATGGCTCTGTTCTGCCCGGCTCACTGGTGGTCAGAGTTTAAGGTTATCTCTTATTCCTTGAACAATTGCTGTTTTTTCAAGGTGCTCAGATTTCATATTGCACAAACACACATGCTGTACAATTTGTGCAGTTAATCCAATTATCACATAGTCCTGAGGCGACATACATCCTCCTCGGTTGATAGGATTAAGAGATTAAAGACAGGCATAGGAACTCACAAGGGTATTGACTGGGGAAGTGATAAGTGTCCATGAAATCTTTACAATTTATGTTTAGAGATTGCAGTAAAGACAGGCATAAGAAATTATGAAAGTATTAATTTGGGGAAGTAATAAATGTCCATAAAATCTTCACAATCCACATTCTTCTGTCATGGCTTCAGCCGGTCCCTCCGTTTGGGGTCCCTGACTTCCCACAACATATGGTGATTCCTCAAAGAGCTAAAAGCAGAACTAAAACATTTGACCTCGCAATCCCATTACTGGGTATATACCCAGATGACTATAAATCATTCTACCATGAAGATACATGCATGCAAATGTTCATTGCAGTGCTATTCACAATAGCAAAGACATAGAATCAACCCAAATGCCCATCAATCACGGATTGGATAAAAAAAATGTGTTACATATACACCATGGAATACCATGTGGCCATAAAAAATAACAAGATTATGTCTTTTTCATTAGTATGAATGAAGCGGAAGGGTATTATCCTTAGCAAACTAATGCAGGAACAGAAAACCAAATACGGCATGTTCTCACTTATAAGTGGGAGCTAAATGAGAAGACCTTGTGAACACAAGGAAGGAAACAACAGACACTGGGGGGTCTACTTGAGGGGGGAGGGTGGGAGGAGGGAGGGGAGCAGAAGACATAACTATCGGGCACTGGGCTTAATACCTGGATGATGAAATAACATGTACAACAGACTCCTGTGACACGCGTTTACCTATATAACAAACCCTCCCATGTACCCCCAAACCTAAAATAAAAGTTAAAAAAAAAGCAACACAGCTTTTTATTTTTTCTTTTTAATACCATAAAGGTCACGGGCCATTTGCCACCTGAACAGTCAGTAATACATGAGTGGAAAGAAACTGAACACCCAGGGACACCAGAGACTGTTCACTGTAGAGGAAGGAGGCAGGCATATGGCATAAGGTGAACTTCCTCCAGTCCCAAAGTGGTTCCTCTCTCCTCTTAAATGCAGGTCCCATGGAATTCAGACAAGGAAGTAAAGCAAATGAGAATGGCCCACAGGGGAGCAGTTCAAATGCGCAGAAAAAGATAGAGCAGCCCCAATGAGGAAGGAAGGCTGGACAAGAAATGGATTTGTAGGGAAGACAATGTGCACCCATCGGAGCTCTGATTGCTTTACTTTCACTACCCTCCCCTGCCCACTAACATCGAAAAAGTATCAATGGCAAGTGTTGGGCCATAAGACATCTCCTTGCTTTATAATCTGGATTTGGGGGGTTAAATTTCAAAGATAATGAAAACATCCTCCTTTAGTTAACTTTTAATTTCATAATTGTAACTTTTTTTTTTTTTACAGATTTGTGAACATGGCATATGGCATACGAACACCCTGAGAGTAGGATCGTGGGGCATCCGATGGTGATTGTCCTTAGAGTTGGTGGGGGCCCAGCTTCCCGCTGTCTGTGAACTGCTGCGTGCAGAATCGGTGTCTTCTTTAACTTCACAACGATGCCACAAGGCAAATAGCATTGTCTTCACTTTCTGTGTAAGAAAACTAAGGCTGGGTGAGAGTATGCAGAGCTGGATCATGGATTTGTTTGGCTCCTTCTAGTTTGAAAACCTGTGAGTATTTTCCTGTCTCTAATGCTAATCTTAGCACTGTATTTGGAATAAGCATATAAACATATAACCACAATCCACTCAGGTAATATGCAACTAAATTATAAATAAATGCTCAATGAGATTATGAGTGATTGAATGAGCTATATATAAGAATAATAACTGGTGGAAGTGTTATTCATAGGATAAAGGAGAAATCATTTAAATGGCTAACAGTATAAGGAGGGTTAAATCAAGCACCCAGGTGTGGAAATAGCTGATTTACATATATAGTTTATGCCATGTAAAACGTTTATGATCTAATATTGGATGAAAAAACAGAAACAACATTTTATATACAGTATAATCTAAAATGTCTACATTTCATTAAAAATGCAAGAATATAATTATCAAAATTTGAGTGATAAAATTATGAATGATTTTTCTTTGTCTTATAACTCATTTTGTATTTACCAAAGCTCCTCCACAGAGAATATACACTTTTGTAATTAGAAAAAACGTTATTTGTTAAAGAGATCCTAAATGACATAATATTTTACAGAAGTTAAAAGCTGAGATCGTGAGGATTTCCAGGGACTCCTGCCACCAGCTCATCTCACATCATCATTTACATGGAAATGTTGGGACTGAGGTGACCTCATGCCTCTCAATTCCCAGCCAGCCTTCTCTCCCTCTGGCTCCTAGCCAGCCTGTTAAACAGAAAAAATAAGTGAGACAAATAAAAAACACCCTAGTGTTCTAACAAGTTACACATAATTGCTTGCTTACCAATTGTCTACCTCAGAACTTTGTTTTCCTCTTAGAGTCAATATAATCATTAAATTCAGCTTCTGCCATTTTACAGTCTGAGATGCGGGACTTTGCATAGGGCATGGATGGGTTTCCACAGTCCACACGAGGATGGGAGGAGAGCAGGGCAGACCCAGCCACACTCAGTGAGAGTTCTGGCTGGAGTTACTTGGCTGGACATCACTCCAGAGAGAGGAGACCTTCTTCTGGACCAGCTACCAAGACAGCCCCTAGTTGGAAAATCTTTTCTTCTAAGGTGAGATGCAGCCCCCACTGGAGAGGAAAACACCAGAGAGTTTTTAAAAAGGAAAAACCAAGGTAAGCTGAGGAGCTTCTTGACAGGAGACACAGCGGAGTCCACGCAACTGGGGTGAATCTCTGCAGTTCCCCAACAGGACGGCGGGAGGGAGCCCCAAGACACTGGCCCCTGCAGTGTGGGAGCAGTGTGAGCCATCTGCAGTGACATTGTCTCCTCTGGCAGCAGCCTCCATCCCGAAATCCATCTCAGGGTCTGTCCTTACAGGAACCTGATGCCAGAGCTGTGCGCTCAAAGTATTTGGACACAGGTATTCTGTGTAACTGAGCATTTTCCAGGCCTTGCTGGAGGTCATTCTGCATGAACTTCATGGAGCTCTTTCCCATGGGCTTCTTTTCTTTTTTTTTCCACTCTTTTTTTTTTTATTATTATTATACTTTAAGTTCTAGGGTGCATGTGCACAACGTGCAGGTTTGTTACATATGTATACATGTGCCATGTTGGTGTGCTGCACCCATTACCTCAACATTTACATTAGGTATGTCTCCTAATGCTTTCCCTCCCCCCTCCCCCCACCCAACAACAGGTCCTGCTGTATGATGTTCCCCTTCCTGTGTCCAGCTGTTCTCGTTGTTCAATTCCCACCTATGAGAGAGAACATGCGGTGTTTGGTGTTTTGTTCTTGCGATAGTTTGCTGAGAATGATGGTTTCCAGCTTCATCCATGTCCCTACAAGCGACACGAACTCATCCTTTTTTATGGCTACATAGTATTCCATGATGTATATGTGTGCCACATTTTCTTAATCCAGTCTATCATTGTTGGACATTTGGGTTGGTTCCAAGTCTTTGCTATTGTGAATAGTGCTGCAATAAACATACGTGTGCATGTGTCTTTATAGCAGCATGATTTATAATCCTTTGGGTATATACCCAGTAATGGGATGGCTGGGTCAAGTGGTATTTCTAGTCCTAGATCCTTGAGGAATCGCCACACTGTCTTCCACAATGGCTAAACTAGTTTACAGTCCCACCAACAGTGTAAAAGCATTCCTGTTTCTCCACATCCTCTCCAGCACGTGTTGTTTCCTGACTTTTTAATGATTGCCATTCTAACTGGTGTGAGATGGTATCTCATTGTGGTTTTGATTTGCATTTCTCTGATGACCAGTGACGATGAGCATTTTTTCATGTGTCTGTTGGCTGCATAAATGTCTTCTTTTGAGAAGTGTCTGTTCATGTCCTTCATCCACTTTTTGATGGGGTTGTTTGTTTTTTTCTTGTAAATTTGTTTGAGTTCTTTATAGATTCTGGGTATTAGCCCTTTGTCAGATGAGTAGATTGCAAAAATTTTCTCCCATTCTGTAGGTTGCCTGTTCACTCTGATGGTAGTTTCTTTTGCTGTGCAGAAGCTCTTTAGTTTAATTAGATCCCATTTGTCAATTTTGTCTTTTGTTGCCATTGCTTTTGGTGTTTTAGACATGAAATCCTTGCCCATGCTTATGTCCTGAATGGTATTGCCCAGGTTTTCTTCTAGGGTTTTTATGGTTTTAGGTCTAACATGTAAGTCTTTAATCCATCTTGAATTAATTTTTGTAAAAGGTGTAAGGAAGGGATCCAGTTTCAGCTTTCTACATATGGCTAGCCAGTTTTCCAAACAGCATTTATTAAATAGGGAATCCTTTCCCCATTGTTTGTTGTTGTCAGGTTTGTCAAAGATCAGATTGTTGTAGATGTGTGGTATTATTTCTGAGGGGTCTGTTCTGTTCCGTTGGTTTATATCTCTGTTTTGGTACCAGTACCATTCTGTTTTGGTTACTGTAGCCTTGTAGTATAGTTTGAAGTCAGGTCCTGTGATGCTTCCAGCTTTGTTTGGCTTAGGATTGTCTTGGCAATGTGCGCTCTTTTTTGGTTCCATATGAACTTTAAAGTAGTTTTTTTCCAATTCTGTGAAGAAAGTCATTGGTAGCTTGATGGGGATGGCATCAAATCTATAAATTACCTTGGGCAGTATGGCCATTTTCACAATATTGATTCTTCCTACCCGTGAGCATGGAATGTTCTTCCATTTGTTTGTATCCTCTTTTATTTCATTGAGCAGTGGTTTGTAGTTCTCCTTGAAGAGGTCCTTCACATCCCTTGTAAGTTGTATTCCTAGGTATTTTATTCTCTTTGAAGCAATTGTGAAGGGGAGTTCACTCATGATTTGGCTCTCTGTTTGTTATTGGTGTATAAGAATGCTTGTGATTTTTGCACATTGATTTTGTATCCTGAGACTTTGCTGAAGTTGCTTATCAGCTTAAGGAGAATTTGGGCTGAGATGATGGGGTTTTCTAAATATACATACAATCATGTCATCTGCAAATCATGGGCTTCTTTTCTAAGTGTGGGAGGGCATGGCCTGCATGACTGCTGGCTCCCAGCACGTGGCGTGCAAACCCATGCCAGGGTGTGTAATTCACTGTAGCCCTTGACAGAATATCAGGGGATAAAGGTTGTTTTTTAATCTTCTGTTTATTACCCTCAGCCAATTAACTTATATCTATAGTAGAAGATATTTTGCCAATTTTTTTTCAAAATGGAAAAATACCATGCTCCTTAAAAAGTCTTTTAGAAGCACAGAGTACTCAATTTCATTACATTAAAATCACGAAAATATAGAAAAAAGTGAAATTCACATATCTAAGAAATAGTTTTCTTTTGGCAAAATACTCTGCTTTGCTTAGAAATGTTTTTGAATTTTCCATGCATGTGTCCAGATGCATAGGGAGTTTATTCATTCAATTAAGTTAAAACATTAGATAACATGGTAAATTCAAAAAGTAGTGAGGACACATTTTTTTTCTGTCTCTTAACTGAGAAAACTGGCTGATGCCTCCTGTGTGTGAGCACCGTGTAGCTGATGCAGATACAGAAACCACGGTTTTCTTACTTGCTGCCGCTGGCCCCGGCACTGGAAGTTGGCTCTGGGAGGGCAGGGTGTCTGTTTTTATTACCACTCAGCAAGTGCCACACAAAGACACATGGGTGTCTTTGCCCTCTAGTGGATCCTGGCAGGAACTGGGAGCAAATGTGACTATAAAAAACATGAAAGATTAAAAAAATACTCATTATCTCTTCAGAGGGGATTTAATTCTAACAGGAGGCTTTTTTTTTCTTTTTCAAATGGGCTGATGGGTAAAAATAATGCAAGACTGGAGATGTTGGAAAAAAGCACACTGCATTTGCCTTTCGGCATCTGTGATGACTGAGTCCTTCCTCAGCGCTGCCACAGGGAGCACATTCACATGTGTGTCACACACATACCAAGGTTAGGTCAAAAAACCAAGTGTTACCTGGAGGAAGCTACAAAGACTATGAGACCAAGACCTCACCTAGAAGACACTTGATAGTTCAGAAGCCGAGATCCTGCGAGGTGTCCCAGAGAGCTCAGCTGTGACCCTGCACTGTATGGAAGGGCGGGCAGTGGGGCCCAGGCAGGTGAAGAGAATTGTCCACTGTTGAGCATCATCAGCCTAAAACCCACATGCAATGCTATTGCTGCAAAACCGCTGACTGTTGAAGCCAAAAACCACAGAAACAGACTCCCTTTATGGTCCTCACTGTGTAACTGGTGACTTTTCAGAAGATGAAGATTAAACATATTAATCACAAATTCAAAGTATCACAAGAAATACTAGGAGATTTTCTAACCTCTGCTACCATGACTTTTTTTTTGCAAGATTCGTGAATTGTTGTAAATAAGCTCACAGAGGCCAAAGTGCTCCCCTGAAGTCATCCAGAAAGAGGCAGGCTGCTAATCCCCACATCTGGGACATCTGTGTTTTTTATGATAATACAAAAATTAAAGATAAGGGAGAGAGAGGACAGAAAGAGACGGAGAGACAGAGAATTGGAGCTAAGAGGAAACATTTTCAGGTTTTGCCCCCCAAAATTCCCAGTGAACAGTCCCATTGCCAGCGGGTGAAATCGCAGGCCCTGGCTCCAGGATCCTGCTCTTTCCTTTGGTGACTCCTGTGCAGATTTGGCACTGAAACAATATGAAATTGTTACACTTCTCTGGACAAGTCATTATGCTTTTGGCTCACAGGCTCCACTTCCCTGGACACCCCTTCACCCTAAGCTTCAAGTAATTCAGCTTCACCCTTCAGAGCAGAGCTCAGCTGTCACTTCCTCTAAGGACCTCCCCAGCCGCCTCTCCAGCAGAAGGGCCCCCACCTTGCTCTTTGCACCTCTGTCCCTCGAGGTGCTGCTGTCCTTTGTGGAGGGTGGGACCCTGGGAACTACAGCCCTTCTCATGCTGGAGACACTCGGCACTCAGAAAGTGTGTGCTGAGCGGATGCAAGCGCAGCAAGCTTGCACAGCCTTACAATGTGTACTCTCATGTCTGGAATAGATCCCCATTTTCATTCTTGGTAAAATGAGTAAGTGGGGCTGGGTGACCCATACTCTCTTTTCAACTCAGAAGTCCACATCAAGCCTGACATCAAATAGCTTCCCAGCCAGCGCCAGGCCAGGACCCAGGTTGTTCAATGTGCCTTTGTCCCGCACAGAGTGGGGAAAGCATGGAGAAATGGGACTAGCTCTGCTGCCTGCTGCCCAGTGCCAACCAGCAACTCCAGGCTCACAAGCCCAAGGCAAAGGCACCTGCAGGAGATCTTGGTTATTCATTAGCTGTGATTGGGCTGTGAGGGGAGTGTGTTAACTTCTAATTTTCCAGGGACTAGCATGAGACAGTAAAGTTTGAAATGTGGTGTTTTTTGGTCTTGGCCAAAAACAAAAAAACAAAAAAAAACCCGGCTTTTTACTTTCTCATCCTTAGAGCCACTGGCATTAGCTATGGGCCTGATAGTTTAAGAAAACTTGAAAATGAACTACGTGAACCAGTAATCTCCAAAGTAATATTTTGATAAATAGTGTAATTCTTTATTACAGCAAAACCATTTCTTAAGTGGGCAAAACTCGGGAGGATAGGAAAACACACTCTTGAAAAGAGGTGGTGTTGCCCTGAACTTCAGCAAACTGCAGGGACACGTGTTGTTCTACCCCAGGTCAGAGTGTGTCGGTCATCACTCGATGCCACTCACAGACCACCAACTTCAGAATATCTAGGTGTAAAGCTCTGTACAAAAGTTGTAACATAATAATGTAAATAATTTTACATTATTATTAATAAATTATTATTTATAGTACACTATTACATAATGTAAAGGCTATTAAAACATGTTTGTCTTCAAAGAATGGCCTTGGTTTCTGTGGGCAGTGTCTCCTCACGGAAAGGTAGCGCATTCCTGCTAAATCATGGAGAAAACGGGCCTCCATGATTTGGGTTTGTTTCTGGGGAGAGATCTTGGTATAGAGAAAGGAGAAATGCATAGAGCCACCATCAGGACAGTTGGGATGAAAGCTGGGGTTGGGCAGAGGCTGGAGGAAACATGTGCACCCCCTGTAAACACTTTTATTCTTGTTTTAATTACTCATTTTTCTTACAGTGTTAAATTAGTAAAAATAGTATTGAAAAATTGAAAAGTAGGCATATTAAAACTTGCAACACCACTTAAGCTTAGATGTATTATTTGTACCTCAACATTTTTTATTTTGTTGAGAAAGTTTAAGGTTAATTGGCAGCATATTTCTAATAGTAGATAGAATAATGTCTGTTTTATAAACATTGACATCCTACATTACATGTGTGAACCCTGAAAATCTGAGACGGCTCTCAGATTTTTTTAGAAAGTTTATTTTGCCAAGCTTGAGGATGTGCGCCCGTGATGCATCCTCAGGAGGTCCTGACAACATTGGCCCAAGGTGGTCGGGGCACAGCTTGGTTTTACACACTTTAGGGAGACATGAGACATCAACCAATATGTGTAAGATGTGCATTGGTTCAGTCCAGAAAGGTGACAAGGCCAGACAGGGGGCTTCCAGGTCATAGGTAGGTAAGAGACAAATGATTTCATTCTTTTGCATTGCTGATTACCCTCTCCAAATGAGGCAATCAGGTATGCATTTATCTAGGTGAGCAGATGGGTGACTTTGGATACAATGGGAGGCGGGTTTGCCCTAAGCAGTTCCCAGCTTGACTTTTCCCTTTAGCTTAGTGATTTTGGGTCCCCAAGATTTATTTTCCCTTTATAAGGTTTTCCTATGAGCATTAATTATTCATTGTGTATTTTATCACACAAATAAGGCACAGATTTTTAAGAAATCATCAACATCGTGGCTACCTATATAGACATAATTACATAGAAGCTCAACTAAATTTGCAAACATTCCAGAGTTTGGGTTTCCAACAATTCTTTGTGATTCTTTAAAAGGTAAAGTATTTTTTCCCATAAAACATAGCAACATTTAAAATCACCCGTAGAATGTCCTGCCATTTTTGTTTCTCTAGTTTCCTCATTTTCTGCAAAGCCTCGCTGAGGAAATTGACTTTGAATATCCTTTTACACTCTTCTGTTTTAGAAAGCATTGTGGTAAAACATTGAATCATCATGGTCATAAGTTCTGTCCACATTCCTTCTTTCTTTGAATATTTTTTCCCAGTGACCAATATTTGATTCTGCTGTATTATGGCTAAAAGGTAGGCATGGGAACAAAATAAAGACAAGAAGTCTTCGGGATAAGTGATCCCATCACAATGAATCAATTTGCCATTGGAACATATTTTTACAAAGTCACTCTTTTGAAAATATTTAGCTATGAATTGAAACAGAGTCTGTAAGGTTAATATTTTTCCTGGTCTAAGGTGAACAGCATTTTAGAGAATGAACCCAGGACACAACCACAACACAAGAAAAAAATATGATAATTAAGTTTACACATATTGTTACTACTGTAACAGAAAACATGTAAAGAACATTTGTTTTGATTTATATATCAGTCTGCACTGTTTAATTTTTTGTGTCATAAATGCTCTTATTTAAAAAAACAGGACTAGTTAACAGTGTCAATTACTAGTAATTCATGGTATAAATAATTAAACAAGGAAGTGTTCAAAAAAACAGTGTTTCAAATAAAGTTTTATTTTACATCTTTACTTACACAGAAATTGTCAAAAAAAAGCAGATATTTCCCATGTAGCCGCAACCTAGTTTCCTCTCTTATTAACATCTTTTATCAGTGTGTTCCTTCACATGGCTTATTAATATCTTACACAATTTGTCACAGTTAATGAACCAATACTGATAGACTAAAGTTCATATTTCATTTGGATTCCCTTAGATCTGTCTTACTCTGATCCAGGATCCCATCCAGGATCCCGCATGACATGTAGTCATCATGTGGGCTCTTCCTGGCTGTGACAGTGTGTCAGGCTTTCCATCTCAGGTGACCTTGATAGTACTGAGGAGGATTGGTCAGGCATTTTGTAGAATGTCCCTCATTGTCACTTCATGTTCTCAAGGTGAACTGTTACCTTTGTTGTTCACTTGGATCATTTGGCAGAGCTACTGTTTGTCAGGTTTCTCCACTGTGAAGTTATTTTTCCTCCTTGTCCATACTACATGTGTTCTTTTGGAGCAAGCCACTATGCAGAGCCTCACTCCTTACGGAGTGAGGAGTTGGCTCCGCCTTCTTGACAGCTGAGTGTCTACATCAAGTATTTGGAATTCTTTTGCAAAGGAGATTTCTATGCAACTCCATTTGCTTATTCACCTATGCATACAAATACAGACACCTAGATAATTACTTTAAGCTTTAGCTATTATTCAACACTGCAGCCTTATGTTGCACAATTCATTCCTGTGTTGGCCATCGGTAGCTGTTTTTATTGGCTCTTATTTTTCTTTGATATATTTTAATTTTTTTAGTACTTACTTACTTACTGATACTTCCAGATTATCCTGGCTCCTATATTTACTCTCCCAGTTCTAGTATCAGACATTTCTTCAAGGAGCCTGATTCCTTTCAGAATGGTAGGAAAACTTACATCTGGCTGCTGAATGAGCACATTGTATCTTGTCCCTCATTAGCAATGCTAGGAGGTATATGTGTGTGTCTAACCTACCTATACACACCTAATTATAAAGTTTTCTATGCAGAACTGTGTGTATCTATATTAAACTAAACATAAGTTTACGTTCATGTCCCCACCTCTGATCTACTATCACTTGAATCATTCTAGCCTTCTCGCCTTGCTAATTTGTAACCTCCCACTTCAACAGTGAGAAACCTGGTTCCCACCATCTGCGACTTATGTAAGTCATTGTTTTATTCCAGATACAGACACTGTGGTTTTACAATTGTTCACAATTGCTTCTGTTGGAAAGAACTTTATAAAATGGAATACAATGATGAAGTATAGTTCATTTGCCTTCAGCTTACAGATTCTATTCATTTTCAAAGTGACTTTTGTCAACACCATTTTCCCTACACCTTCAGTGAGTTTTTACCTACATTTGCGTCTTAGTCCATTTTGTGCTTCTGTAACAGAATACCTGAGGCTGGGTAATTTATAAGTAATAAAGGTTCATTTGGCTCACAATACTGGTGGCTGGAATGTCTGAGATTGGGCAGTTGCATCCGGTGGGGCCTCAGTCTTTTTCACCTCATGGTGGAAAGTGGAAGGGGAGCAAGAGGTGCACCAGAGATCACATAGCAAAAGTGAAAGCAATAGGGAAGCCAAGGAAGCCAGACTCTTTTTAACTAGCTACTCCTGCAGGAATTAATCCATTCCTGTGAGAGCAGAACTCACTCACCCCCATGGAGGACATTAATCTATTCATGAGAGATCCATCCCCATGACCCAAACACCTTCCACTAGGCCCCACCGCCCCACACTGCCACATTGGGGGTCAAATTTCAACCTGAGTTTTTGCGGGGACAAACCACATCCAAACCATAGTAATTTGTAGCATAGTTAAATTATTTTTCACATGATGTATTCTGTCCTGGGATACTCCACGTGCTGAGTAATTTTATTTAATTTGAATAGAGTTTGATTTACCCATTTGGCCATAAAATTCTGTGTATTTTGACAAATGCATTGTGGCAGATATCCCACTATTAAAGTATCATATGGAAGGCTTCAAACCCCCACCCCATGGAGCCAATGGCTTCCCATCTGTGTAGTTTGCCTTCTCCAGTGTCTTATTAAATGAGATCACACTGTATGTATCCTCCTCAGACTGTCCTCTTCCACTTAGCAATGTGCATGCAAGATTCACTCATGTCTTTGTGTGAGTTGATAGCTTGTTCCTTTCTATGGCTAAATAGTATTCCATTGCATGAATGTACCACAATTTGGTTATGCATTATGGGGAGCAAAACTTTCCTCTTCTAACTTTGTTCCAGGGTTGGAGACCTTGAAATTAACTGACAATAGATATATTAGTGGGAGAGACAATACCTGGCTTCTTATTCCACAAGTATCATTGTTGGACAAAATTCATCAGATGGCAGGATCCAGTTTACAAAGTGGTAAAAATAGCCCAAAAACAAGAAACAAGACTAGAATCTGATAATCCACAATAGCTATAGTTTTCCTTTAAAAAAATTTTTTTTTGAGACAGGGTCTGGCTCTGTCGCCCAGGCTGGAGTGCAAAGGTGCAATCTCAGCTCACTGCAACCTCTACCTCCTGTGTGGTAAACCTCTACTAACCTTTAAGGCTGTGAACCCTGTAATCTAGGTATCAGGCTGGCTTTTCTCAGAGTGCTGTTGGGAATGAAGATTTTGGTGTTCCCAAAAAAAAAAAAGAATTAACGTGGGAACAAATGATCTCTTAGTGAGGCGAGCTTTGCTTTCTGCATAAGGGGTGCTACTCAATAGTTGTCCAGCCACAAGAGCACACCAAAGGAGACAGAGTTACTTATAACCTGATGTGTCTACCCTAGTGCTGTGTCCATTTTCCATTGGCTGAAATAGGACCTCACATTTTACACTTTACCCAATTGGCTATTAGTTTAAAACTTTCTTAATTAGGTTAGGGGAATAGAACAAAGAAAGAAATGGAAGTTGGCCAGGGATAGTTAAGGAAGCATCTCCAAATAAGGAATGGCATGCACTATGGGCTGGGGCTTGTCTAGTTCTGCCCAGGCATGCTGGAGCAAGCTAGGATAACTGATTTGGAATACACACACACACACTCACGTATATATATAAATCGTGGATAGCAATCATATAGTAAGAAATTGTGACTTTTTATAATCTTTGAAGAACTTTCCCATTTCTCACAGTACTTTGTAAGCATTGTCTCCATAAAAGTCAACCTTACTTCCTTAAAATTGCTGGTCATAACTGATCTGAGGTACATTTCATAAATATGATATTCCTGTAAAAACCTTGATAATATAAACAAAATTTCCAATTATGTCCCGTTATAAGGTTCTTATTAGACTTGTGATAACAACTATATCATCATGAAAATAAAGAGTATTCAGTTAGAATTTCAAAATTCTGGAGAAATCAGGCAGAGAAAAAAGATAAATGCCTCATTTCTGTTTATAAAAGTATAATCTACTAAATTGTTGTTACAGTTAGATTAAGGGAAAGAGATTTCTTAAATCCAGAAACTAGAACATTAAACAACCAGCAATGCTCTAAAAAGCTATAAAATTATAATCAATTTTCATCAGTTCATTCAGTGCCATGTAATCAATTCCAGTCTTGTGGATCTTGAGTTAGCAGTGTCATGAACCCATCAATTTCTCAACCAGACTTCTGGAGATCTTCACTGAGTCAAGTGTATGGTCTTAAAGTTATTTAAGCAATATCATCAGAAGCCTATAACCAGAGTACCTGTGAGTCTCAGAGGGAGTCCTGTGTTGGAGATGAACATTTTGACCTGTAGCTGATTGCAGGAGCTTTCAGGAAAGCATCGGGGAAATAATATCTAAATGACAAAGAGTATGAAATGGCTGTGATGAAAGATCTGATGAGAGTTCATTATACCACAACTGACAAGGGTATTCGATTTTTTCTGTGGCCGCCCAAAGTGCTGGGACTACAGGCGCCTGCCACCACAGCCGGCTAATTTTTTATATTTTTAGTGGAGACGGAGATTCACGGGGTTAGCCAGGATTATTTAAAATAATAATTGCAATTATGACTCATTACTCTATACTGGCACATAGCACGGATAAGGAGGACATTAACAAATTTCCAGGAATTTTATATCATTTCTGAAAACATAACATTTTACCCATACAATTATAACACAAGGAAGGTTAGGTATCTCTTTTTATTTGTATCTTATGTATGGTTTTCCTTATAAAAATTGCATCCTACTTTCCTTGCGAAACATGCCCTACTTTCCTTGCATGCTTCGCATAGGGTTGTTTCTAGTTATTCCATTATTTTTATTTCCCCTTTGGCTCAGCACTTCTTCTTGTTGCGGCCATGTGAAGAAGGACGTCTTTGCTTCCCCTTCTGCCATGATTGTGAGGCCCCTGCAGCCATGTGGAACTGTCAGCCCATTAAACCTCTTTGTTCTTTATAAATTGCTCAGACTCAGGTATTTCCTCATAGCTGTATAAAAATGGATGAATACAGGCACCATCCAATTGGCTGAGAGGCCAAATAGAACAACAAGGAAGAGGAAAGCGCTGGACAACACTGTAAGTAACAGGGCCCTGCAGTTGCACTAGTCGCCAGCAGGGGGCAAACTGGCACAGCATCGTAGACAAGCGGGTCCTGTAGTTCCCGGCTCCAAGCACGGGGCGCCCGAAACGGGCTTTTCAGATTGCTGAGGTTCCACCCTCCTCTACGCCGCGCCGCTGGGGACGTGTGTCTCTGCGCCTGGACCGCGCCACCCCAGCGCTCCCAGCCCGGCGTTGTGCGACTGTGCACCTGCAACACGCCCCGCCACCCTCAGCCCAGCGACGTGCGTGTCTGCGCCTGCACCGCACCTCCCGCCCCGCCCGACAAGCCACCCCGCCCCCGCCGGGGACGCGCCGGCGTGCGTCTATGCCCTGCACCGCGTCTCCCTAACCGCGGCGCGCCTCTCTGCGCCTGCGCCGGCGCGCCTCTCTGCGCCTGCGCCGGCGCGCCTCTCTGCGCCTGCGCCGGCGCGCCTCTCTGCGCCTGCGCCGGCGCGCCTCTCTGCGCCTGCGCCGGCGCGGCGCGCCTCTCTGCGCCTGCGCCGGCGCGGCGCGCCTCTCTGCGCCTGCGCCGGCGCGGCGCGCCTCTCTGCGCCTGCGCCGGCGCGGCGCGCCTCTCTGCGCCTGCGCCGGCGCGGCGCGCCTCTCTGCGCCTGCGCCGGCGCGGCGCGCCTCTCTGCGCCTGCGCCGGCGCGGCGCGCCTCTCTGCGCCTGCGCCGGCGCGGCGCGCCTCTCTGCGCCTGCGCCGGCGCGGCGCGCCTCTCTGCGCCTGCGCCGGCGCGGCGCGCCTCTCTGCGCCTGCGCCGGCGCGGCGCGCCTCTCTGCGCCTGCGCCGGCGCGGCGCGCCTCTCTGCGCCTGCGCCGGCGCGGCGCCTTTGCGAGAGCGGAGATGCGTTCTCTGTAGCACAGACCCTAACAGACCCGGAGAGCATCGCGAGGGCGGAGCTGCGTTCTCCTCTGCACAGACTTCGGGGGTACTGCGAAGGTGGAGCAGAGTACTCCTCAGCACAGACCCGGGCGGGCGGGCCCAGGGCACCGCGAGGGCGGAGCTGCGTTCTGCTCAGCAGAGACCTAGGGGACACCATAAAGGCGGAGCAGCATTCTCTTCACCACAGATGTTGGGGGCAGTGCCTCGCTTTGGGACAACTCGAGGCCGCAACGACAGTGAAGAAAATTTTTCCCGGTTGCACCCCTGAATAATCAAGGTCAGAGAGCAGTTAGAAGGGTTCAGTGTGGAAAACGGAAAAGCAAAAGCCCCTGTGAATCCTGTACACCGAGATGCTCCCAAGGAAGGCTTGGGGCTGCATTGCAAGGTCCAACTGCAGGCTCGGAACACAAATGCAGCCTTCCTAATGCACACGTAACACCCAAAATATGATATCCACATTGCTCATGTAACAAGCACCTGTATGCTAATGCACTCCCTCAATACAAAATTGTTAATATAAGATAGGCATAGGGTCAGGGTCGGGGTCGGGGTCGGGGTCGGGGTCAGGGGTCAGGGGTCAGGGTTCGGGTTCAGGGTTAGGGTTTAGGGTTAGGGTTAGGGGTTAGGGGTTAGGGTTAGGGTTAGGGTTAGGGTTAGGGTTAGGGTTAGGGTTAGGGTTAGGGTTAGGGTTAGGGTTAGGGTTAGGGTTAGGGTTAGGGTTAGGGTTAGGGTTAGGGTTAGGGTTAGGGTTAGGGTTAGGGTTAGGGTTAGGGTTAGGGTTAGGGTTAGGGTTAGGGTTAGGGTTAGGGTTAGGGTTAGGGTTAGGGTTTAGGGTTAGGGTTAGGGTTAGGGTTAGGGTTAGGGTTAGGGTTAGGGTTAGGGTTAGGGTTAGGGTTAGGGTTAGGGTTAGGGTTAGGGTTAGGGTTAGGGTTAGGGTTAGGGTTAGGGTTAGGGTTAGGGTTAGGGTTAGGGTTAGGGTTAGGGTTAGGGTTAGGGTTAGGGTTAGGGTTAGGGTTAGGGTTAGGGTTAGGGTTAGGGTTAGGGTTAGGGTTAGGGTTAGGGTTAGGGTTAGGGTTAGGGTTAGGGTTAGGGTTAGGGTTAGGGTTAGGGTTAGGGTTAGGGTTAGGGTTAGGGTTAGGGTTAGGGTTAGGGTTAGGGTTAGGGTTAGGGTTAGGGTTAGGGTTAGGGTTAGGGTTAGGGTTAGGGTTAGGGTTAGGGTTAGGGTTAGGGTTAGGGTTAGGGTTAGGGTTAGGGTTAGGGTTAGGGTTAGGGTTAGGGTTAGGGTTAGGGTTAGGGTTAGGGTTAGGGTTAGGGTTAGGGTTAGGGTTAGGGTTAGGGTTAGGGTTAGGGTTAGGGTTAGGGTTAGGGTTAGGGTTAGGGTTAGGGTTAGGGTTAGGGTTAGGGTTAGGGTTAGGGTTAGGGTTAGGGTTAGGGTTAGGGTTAGGGTTAGGGTTAGGGTTAGGGTTAGGGTTAGGGTTAGGGTTAGGGTTAGGGTTAGGGTTAGGGTTAGGGTTAGGGTTAGGGTTAGGGTTAGGGTTAGGGTTAGGGTTAGGGTTAGGGTTAGGGTTAGGGTTAGGGTTAGGGTTAGGGTTAGGGTTAGGGTTAGGGTTAGGGTTAGGGTTAGGGTTAGGGTTAGGGTTAGGGTTAGGGTTAGGGTTAGGGTTAGGGTTAGGGTTAGGGTTAGGGTTAGGGTTAGGGTTAGGGTTAGGGTTAGGGTTAGGGTTAGGGTTAGGGTTAGGGTTAGGGTTAGGGTTAGGGTTAGGGTTAGGGTTAGGGTTAGGGTTAGGGTTAGGGTTAGGGTTAGGGTTAGGGTTAGGGTTAGGGTTAGGGTTAGGGTTAGGGTTAGGGTTAGGGTTAGGGTTAGGGTTAGGGTTAGGGTTAGGGTTAGGGTTAGGGTTAGGGTTAGGGTTAGGGTTAGGGTTAGGGTTAGGATTAGGGTTAGGGTTAGGGTTAGGGTTAGGGTTAGGGTTAGGGTTAGGGTTAGGGTTAGGGTTAGGGTTAGGGTTAGGGTTAGGGTTAGGGTTAGGGTTAGGGTTAGGGTTAGGGTTAGGGTTAGGGTTAGGGTTAGGGTTAGGGTTAGGGTTAGGGTTAGGGTTAGGGTTAGGGTTAGGGTTAGGGTTAGGGTTAGGGTTAGGGTTAGGGTTAGGGTTAGGGTTAGGGTTAGGGTTAGGGTTAGGGTTAGGGTTAGGGTTAGGGTTAGGGTTAGGGTTAGGGTTAGGGTTAGGGTTAGGGTTAGGGTTAGGGTTAGGGTTAGGGTTAGGGTTAGGGTTAGGGTTAGGGTTAGGGTTAGGGTTAGGGTTAGGGTTAGGGTTAGGGTTAGGGTTAGGGTTAGGGTTAGGGTTAGGGTTAGGGTTAGGGTTAGGGTTAGGGTTAGGGTTAGGGTTAGGGTTAGGGTTAGGGTTAGGGTTA